>NC_000011.10:26310000-27560000 GCF_000001405.40 Homo sapiens | reverse complement strand
ACTTCCTTTTCCTTCTGACTCTGATGTTACCCAAATCCCTGAGAACTCTTCCACAGGAATGCTCCTCTTCCTAGACTAAGAATGTCACCCACTAAGAAAGGTCGTCTCCTTGTCTTAGGTACAGTTTGTAATTTGGAAGCCTCCAGCTTAGGTGACTCCATGGAGTCTCAGCCCATACAAAACTGACCTGAAAGAAGAGAGAAAATACATGGCCCAAGTGCTGCCATTCCCCATGCCAATAAACACACACACACACACACACACACACACACACACACACACTGCCAAATGAACATAGTGCTCTTTCCAGCTGATTCCAACTCAACCTCCGAGTTCTATTCAATCCAACCCTTCAGCCAGCTTCATCAATCAAGAGCTGGCAAGTAAGATAAAGCCAATTAGTTGCAAATACCATTGAGGTAGAACCTTTCTCTAAAAGTTCACTCTTAAAGGACTAGGGTAACCTTTTACATAAAGGTTGTGCCAGAATTGGAAAGTGCCCACAACCCTGTAATTTACATGTACTCTGGCTCCCTGCAGTGATACTCAGTTCAGGTTGTAGACTCCTTTAATAAAATATTCATTAAATGGAACAATTCTCTTCTGCGTAAAAATTTACAGGCTGGAATGGTCCTTATGAGGTGATTTGGTCCTTCCTCTGAAGCAGTTGTGTACTTTATTTTCTGCAATTGTTATTTAGGTGCTAGAAACCAAGACTTTTGTTTCCATCTTCTTCCTTGTTGGTTGAACCAGATTTCATTTGGGTATTTATAGGGTTTTCTTTGCTCTATTTGGGTAGCATGCCCATTTTGACTGGTTGGTCCATGCTCCATCCATTGTTCAGTATTTTGAAGATCATTCTCTAGTTGTTCATCCTCCATACAGCTATGTGCTCAAAGGAAGGTGCTCCTTCTCATTGCCAAAAGTGAATGGCAATTTGTCCAAGCCAAAGTGACCTCATTCCCCTTGCCAGTGATTGGCTTATGACTCTGTCTTCTGCATACAGCATATAGCTCCATCTTGGCCAATGATATGGGAGGGGAAGTCTAGTGAGAAAACTTCTCAAGTAAATGTCTTTCATCTTAAAAGAGAGACGCAAGGGACTTCACAATAAAGTTGGCAGATCAGATTAAATGATTAAATACATGTATTTACCACTGGTTCCTCTCAAAACACCACTAAAATAATAGTATTATTTCCTTTAAGGCATAAATTTGTAATAATGAGGAAAATAGGAGGGGAGAGAAGACCAAGAAAATTTTACAAAGTAGGAAGCATACAGACAAGTAGAACTGACTTGCAGACCCAAGAAAGCTGAATGAGCTGAATGTAAGCCCTCCGTGGAGAAAGCTGAGAAGCAACTCAATTTCACAAGAATGCACCAAAGTCAGCCAAAATGATGAGTACAGCACATAGGAAAGATAGAACGGAACTGTATCCCTGATGACATCACTGAGACAGCCTAAAACCGTGCTGGTCTCCACACTTCATGTTATGTGAGATAATAAATGTCCCTAGTTTACACTGCTTTCAGATGACTATTTTTATTTCTTGCAGCCCAAATCATCTAACTGATACAGACTCTCAAGTTCTTTAAGAAAAAATGGGAATAGGGTGCATGGCATGAGGTCTGGGAAGACACGAATTAAAGCAGGTCTCTCATTAGTCACATGAGCATTCTTGCTCATTTTTCTCTCTCCTGCGTCTATCCAACCTCCGCTTTCTAGTCATAATTTCCTCTGCTTGTTAATATTACCTGCTACTTTTTTCATTTTTATTTTTAATTTTTGTGGGTACATATTAGGTTTATGGGGTATATAATGCATATATTTATGGGGTGCATGAGATACTTTGATACGGGCATGCAATGCGTAATAATCACATCGTGGAAAATGGAGTACCCATCCCCTCAACTATTTATCCATTGTGTTACAAACAATCAGTTATACTCTTTTAGTTATTTATAAATGTACAATTAAATTATTGACTATAGTCACCCTGTTGTGTTATCAAATAGTAAGTAGGTCTTATGTCTTATTGTTTTTATTTTGTGTGTGTGTGTGTGTGTGTCCCTGCTACTTTTCTAAGCAAATGGCTAGAGACAACTCCCCTCTATTTCATGGCTTCCCTTCAACTTCAGCTCCCATTGTTAAAATACATTTTCTCTTAGAGTAATTTACTGAAAAAGTAAACAGGATAGGTGCAGTTCATTCTTTAATGTCAGGCTACATGGTGTCTCTGACCAGTTTTCTAATTGGTTTCCCGTCATTACAATTCCCATCCCTGGTCCAATCAGCACATGTTGTGGGGGAAAGAAAGGTGTATCAGGGTTGTGGTGATATAAAACTACTTCCCTAGACTCACCCACTGTGGGTAGGAAGGCGCCATTTCTTCTTAGAATAGGCTGTCGAACAGACTGACTTAACCTCAAAGAACTGGTTACTTTATTGAAACATCGAAAAAAGGAAGAATATACAAACTTCTTTAATGGCCCATTCCTTCTATGTTAACCTCACAGCAAAGGCATTTTAAAGCCTAAACCACAACTTCTTGCTACAACAATTTTCTCTTGTGGCCTCACTGAAAATGAGATACAGCAACTTCCTACAACTTCATAGTATCCATTCTGGAAATATTATACCCTTGGGTAATCTCATCTCCAGGCAAAAGAATTCCATTTCCTTACACTATCATTTTAAGGACTAAGGAAGAAAATATCTCACTTATCACATTTATACAACTTATCTCCACAGAATGAATGCATAGATTAGTTTTTGTTCAACAGTAATGAAAGGCACTATGCAAATACCAAGGGCAATATTTTAAGTTATGGCATTTTTATTCACAGAGTATGTATTGAATATAATTTAAGGATGCAAAATCTTTTGTCCTTGCATTGATCATAAAATACAAGGTCATTTCCTGTGGGGGGGCCAGAAATTTATGATGGATGATAGAATAATGTATTAGTATACATACAGATATACAGTACATTATAGAGAAATATGCCTGGATAGAATTAATGTGCCTTTAAGTGTGCATAAACTTTACAGTAGCTTAATGCATATGTATCCATTTCTAGATAAAGCTAATGTGCCATTTGTGTACATATGTACACACACGTACACACACAGAGATTTAAGTGTGTATGTATGTGTGTACATATGCTGAGAGAGAAAAAGAAAGAATGTGGCATGTCTTTACAGACATAAAGACTTAATGTATACTACAGACACATTCACATTATAATGTATCTTTAATACAATTTTTTGGGGGGGACAGGGTCTCACTCTGTTGCCTAGGCTGGAGTGCAGTGGCATGATCATAGCTCACTGTAGCCTCGACTTCCAGGCTCAAGCAATCATCTCACCTCCAAATAGCTGGGACTATAGGCATGCACCACTATGCCAGGCTAATTTTTGTATTTTTTGTAGAGACAGGGTTTCACCATGTTGCCCAGACTGGTCTTAAACTCCTCAAGTGTTCCACCTGTCTCACCCTCCTAAAGTGCTAGGACTACAGGCATGAGCCACCACTATTGGCCTTTTAATACATATTTTAATGTGCCTTTAATTCTAACCCTATGGCAGCCCAGCAAAAATATAAAATTGGCCTAGCAAGTTAGGCTTCTTCAAGTATAGGAATTTTCTCATTAGTAGCCTATATGTTCAGTCTATGGTCAGTAAAAGCTCACGTTTCTTGAGTACTTACCAAATGCTAGAAATGGTGCTACAGGATTTTCATTTCATTTAAGGATGAACCAAGGAAGATAGTCTCTATACAAACATGGTCAAATCTTCTTACATGTTCTTCTCACATTTTGTCTTTCCTCACCATTCAAGCTGCCATCATCCCAGGCAGACCTGGTCACCTTACACCTGGGCTTGGCAATTGCTTTGTTCTTCTATCTTCTTTTCTCCAGCATTTTCCTCTGCCACTTCTTCCTTTTCTACAATAAATGCTTTATGGGATCTCCTTCCATCAGCCTGTGAGTTTTGAGAGGCAGAAATTATCTTCCTCCCTACAGTTCTCCCCAGTTTCATCACAAGAGACAGCGTTGGTGGGAGGCCCAGAGGGAAATCACTGCGAGAACATTACCTGGGCAAACTAAATTCTACCTTTCCCACTCCGTGTATTCTTGGATAAACTGTGGCAAGCTTCATCAACTGGGAAATGGCACAGGTAAGCAGATGACCTCTTAACTTTATATGTCAACTTAACTGGGGTAAGAGACGCCCAGATAGCTGGCAACACATTATTTATGGGTGTATCTCTGAGGGTGTTTCCAGAAGAGATTAGCATCTGAATTGGTAGACTAGGTAAAGAAGATCACACTCACCTATGTGGGTGGGCATTATCCATTCCATTGAGGGCCCACATAAAACAAAAAGGCAGAATCAGGACAAATTATCTCTTTCTTTAGCTGGGACATCCATCTTCTCCTGCCCTTGGACAGCTCCTTGTTCTCAGGCCTTCAGACTCTAGGACTGACTAACATCAGCCACCACCCCAACCAACCACCCTAGTTCTCAGGCCTTTGGACTTAGACTGGGAGTTACATCATCGGTTCTTTGGTTCTTAGGCCTCTGTACTTAAAACTGAATTATACCACTGGCTTTTATTGGTTCTCTAGTCAGCCCTCTGTATCTGTGGGTTCCAAATCTGTAGATTCAACCAATTGCAAACCAAAAATATTCAGAAAAAAATGGATGGTTGCATCTGTACTGAACATATACAGACTTTTGTCACATCATTATTCCCTAAGCAATACAATATTAGATAGTCAGTAATCTAGAGATGACTTAAAGTATATGGGAGGATTATGTGGGTTATATGCAGATTCTACATAATTTCACATAAAGGACTTGAGCATCTTCAGATTTTGGTATCCACTAGAGGGTCCTGAAACCAATACCCCACAGATACCAAGGGATGACTACACACACATACATACACACACACACACACACACACACACCACCACCACATAGTACATATTGGTTCTGTTTCTCTGGAGAACGTTGGCTAATACAGATTTTGGTATTGAGATTGGCTCTGGAGAAACAGATTTTCAAAAGTGAGGGTTTTTTAAAAAAAAAATCATTCTGCAGTTTCTGAAATTGGCTTTCTAATCTGACACAGTTTAAAGATGATAATGATTCCTTTTCCAGTAGTAAAGAGGCAAACAGTTCGTGGCACAAACTGTAGATATATACAAAATATGGATATTCCTAATCAAACACTTCTAAGATGCAAGGAGCTTAGTAACTCTGTATATATTAGCTTTGAACACTTTTGGAAAACTAAGGAATATGACACTGAATCACTGGAAAAAGTAGTTTACAAAAAAAAAAATGAGCTAAGGGATTCAAATTCCCACCTCAAGTGCTACATAAATGACCTAAGAGCTTATAGGTGTGCCCTGAGGGACAGCATTATCTCCTGCAGTGCAGGGCTAAAATTGCTGAAAATCAAATGTAGGATCTCATCCTGTAATTGGCTGAATTACAACACAAGTGAAACTCTCAGCCTCACAAGGTATATACTGTAAAGTGAGGACACTGTGAAAAAATGGGATCTTGCAAGTTGGGATGGGGGTATGTGGGAAGACTCTAAAGAAGCTGGGGACACTGAGTCCCTAAACTGTGATTATCTATTTTGGCAGTGAAAGAAGTCTCCCCACCCTCAGTAGAGCTTAGGTCCCACCCCCAGAGTAGTTGGTCTCCCTAATCCCAGCAAAAGTGGCATCCCTAATACCAGCAGAAATGACCCCCTACTCCCAGTGTCAACAGCATCCCCACCTCCAGTAGGAGCCATCTCCTCATTCACATTGGTCTGAGTCATTTACCTCCATCTGAAGGGATTAGCCCTGCATTGCCTGAGGAATGGCCTCCTCTGAGGCAGCTGCCATGCAAGACACTGCTGATTCTCCACAAGAGCTACCTCCAACACTCCTCTTTTCTTCTAGACAAATAACTAGACTCAAGACCCTAGCAGGCCCTTAAAGGGGAAGTACAAAGTGTGGCCCATGAGGAGGCATGCTATATTCCAAAAGAACTACCTAACCTTTCTAATTTATACAAGCAGAAATCTAGGAAACATGTCTGGGAATTGATATTAAGGGTGTGGGATAATGAAGGAAGGAACATAATGTTGGATCAGGTCAAATTTATTGATGTGGGCCCACTAAGCAGAGATTCTGCATTTAATATTACAGCTTGGGAGTTAAGGCTCTAATAATGTGGTTGATTGGTTGGCTGAAACACAATCAAAAGATGGCCCATTGTAAGCAAATTGGAAATGTCGGCTCTCCCTAGGTTTAATGTAGAGGAAGGGATTCACAGGCTTAGGGAGATTAGAAAGAGTGGATTTATAATTTATGATATATTCCCCAACACTGAGAAGATCTAGAAGACACACTTTTATCAATACTTTAAGAAATAAATTACTAAAGGAAGCCCCAGTATTCTTGAAGAACTCTGTGATTACTCTTTGTAGGCCAGACCTTATAGTGGGAACCACAGCCACTTAATTGGAAAATCTAAATGCAATGGGAGTAATTGGATCCAGAGTGGTGAGGCCAAGTGGCAGCATTCCACTGCCAAAGGCGAGGTGGGCGTAGTTACTGTGTTGGGTGGCAGAGTCAAAGCAGCAATTAGAATAGTCTGACTCACACAGATCTGTGGCGTGGGCTAGTTAATCATGGTGTTCCTAGAAGTGAAATAGATAGAAAGCCTATTAAATTTTTACTTGATCTGTATAAACAGAAAAGTTCCAGGTCAAATGAACCAAAGTTTAAATTGAATCATAAAATTAGAGAGTCAGAGCCCCTCAATCAATTTTCAGACTTGAGCCAGTTTACAGACCCAGAAGCCCTCAAATGAAAATTTATACTGTGAATCTTTCTCCCAGCTTTCTCCGAAAGGACCTACAGAATTTTAGCAGGGTAACTGTGCACCAGGGTAAAACATATAATCAGACCTTTGGGGGACTACTGAACACTAGATTTGAACTGACACTGATTCCAGGAAACCCAAAATGTCACTGTAGCCTCTCATTCAGAGGAGGGGCTTATATAGGTCAGGTGATCAATGGAAGTTTTAGCTCAAGTTCATCTCACAATAGGTGTCAGAATCCATCCTGTAGTTATTTCCCAGTTCCAGAAGAAATAATTGGAATGACATACTTAGCCACTGGCAGAATCTCCACATTGGTTCCTTGACTTGTGGACTGGGGGCTATGATGAAGAGGGCCAAGGAGAAGCAGTTCCTAGAATTGCTTCCACCTCAAAAAATAGTAAATAAAAAGCAATACTGCATTCCTGGAGGGACTGCAGAGATTAGTGCTACCGTTAAGGACTTGAAAGATGCAGGGGTGGCGATTCCCATCACATTCCCATTCAACACTCCTATTTGGTCTATGCAGAAGACAGATGGAGCTTGGAGAATAACAGTGGATTATGGTAAGCTTAACCAAGTGGTGACTACAATTGCAGCTGCTGTACTAGATTTAGTTTCACTGCTTGAGCAAAGTAACACACCCCTTGGTACCTGGTATGTAGCTATCATCTGGCAGATGCCCCCTTCTCCATCTCTGTCAATAAGGCCCACCAGAAGCAGTTTTCTTTCAGCTGGCAAGGCCAGCAATACACCTTCATTTTCCTACCTCAGGGTTATATTAACTCTCCAGTTATATGTCATAATTTAGACAATGTCAAGCACACAGGGATCTTGATCACCTTCCCCTTCCACAAGACATCATACTGGTTCATTACGTTGATGACATTATGCTGATTGGACCTAGTGAGCAAAAAGTAGCAACCGCTTTAGATTTGATTGGTAATCATTTACGTGTTACAGGGTGGGATATAAATCCAATTAAAGTTTAGGTGTGATCTATCTACCTCAGTTAAATTTCTAGGGGTCTATGGTGTGGGCATGTTGAAATAGCCCTTCCAAGGAGAAGGCTAAGTTGTTGCACCTGGCCTCTAACCAAAAAAAAAAAAGGCACAATGGCTAGCGGGCCTATGTGGATTTTGGAGGCAATGCATTTCTTATTTAAGCATGTTATTCTGGCCCATTTACCAACTGACTCAAAAAAAACTACTAGTTTTGAGTAGGTCCCAGAACAGGAAAAGGCTCTGCAACAGATCCAGGAGACTACGTAAGCTGCTCTGCCACTTAGGCCATATGATCCAGCAGATCCAATGGTACTTGAGGTGTCAATGGCAGACAGGGATGCTGTTTAGATCCTTTGGCAAGCTCCCATAGGTGAATTGCAGTTTAAGCCTTCAGGATTTTAGAGCAAAGCTATGCCATCATCTGCAGGTAATGATTCTTCTTTTGAGAGACAGCTCTGGGCCTGCTACTGGGCTTTAGTGGAAACTGAATACTTGACCAGGAGTCAACAAGTTACTACGCAACCTGAGCTGCCTATCATGAACTGGGTATTATCTGACCCATCAAATCATAAAATTGGGCATGCACAGCAACACTCTATCATCAAGTGGAAGTGGTATATATGTAATTGGGCCCAAGCAAGCCCTGAAGACACAAAGAAGTCACATCAAGTGATCCATGGTCCTCATTCCTGCTACTGCCTTCTCTTCTTCCAGCTGCACCCATGGCTCCATGGGGAGTTCCCCACAGTCAGTTGACAGAGGAAGTGAAGACTTGGCTATGGTTTACAGATGGTTCTGTGTGATATACAGGCACTACCCAAGAGTGGACAGCTGTAGCACTATAACATCTCTCTGGGACATCTCTGAAAGGCAGTGTTGAAGGGATATTCTCCCAGTGGGCAGAATTTCAGGCAGTGCACTTGGTTGTGCACTTTGCTTAAAAGGAAAAATGTCCAGACATGTGATTATATACTGATTGAAGAACTATAGTCAATGGTTTGGCTGGATGGTCAGGAACTTGGAAGGTACATAATTAGAAAATTGGTGACAAGAAATTTGGGGAAGAGATATATGGATAGATCTCTTTGAGCAAAAAATATGAAGATATTTGTAGCCCACAAGAATGCTCACCAAAAGGTGACTTCGGCCAAAGGGTATTTTAATAGTCAAGTGAATAGGATGACCTGTTCTGTGGATACTAATCAGCCTCTTTCCCTTGCTACTCCTGTCATCACGCAGTGGGCTCATGAACAAAGTGGCCATGGTGGCAGGGATGGAGGTCATGAATGAACTTAGCAACATGGACTTCCGCTCACCTAGGCTGACCTTGTTATGGCCAGTGCTAAGTGCCTAATGTGTCAGCAGCAGGGACCAACACAGAGCCTCCAGTATGGCACCATTCTCCAGGGTAATTAGCCAGCTACCTGGTGGCAGATTCATTACACTGACCACTTCTACCATGGAAGGAGCAGCATTTTGTCCTTACTGGAATAGACAACAGTGCATATGGATTTTCCTTCCCTGCACACAAAACTACTGTCCATGGATTTACAAAATGCCTTATCCACCATCATGGTATTCTACCAGGCATTACTTCTGATCACAGCAAAAGAATTGCAGCAATGGGCCCACACTCAGGGAATTCACTGGTGTTACCTTGTTCCCTACCATCCTGAAGCAGCTGTCTTGATAAAATGGTGGAATGGCCTTTTGAGACTCACGTTACAGCTCCAGCTAGGTGCAGTGCTTGGGCATGGTCCTCCATAAGGCTCCATATACTTTGAATCAGCAACCAATATATGGTGCTGTTTCTCCCATAGCCAGAATCACAGGTCCAGGAATCAAGGGGTGAACATGGTTGTGGCAACATTCACTATTATCCCTGGAGACACACTGGCAAAATTTTTGCTTCTTGTTTCCATGACTTTATGCTCTACTGGCCTAGAGGTCATAGTTCTAGAGGGAAGACTGCTTCCACCAGGAGATACAACAATGACTCCATTGAACTGGAAGTTAAGACTGCCACCCAACCATGTTGGGCTCCTAATGCCTCTATGTCAATAAGCAAAGAAGGGAGTTACAGTGTTGGCTGGAGTGATTGATCCAAACCACCAAAATTGAACTACTCCTAAACAATGGAGGTAAAGAAGAGTATGTGTGGAATACAGATTTCTTAAAGAGTTTCTGAGTATTGCCATGTCCTGTGATTAAGGTCAATAGGAACTACAACAACCCAGTCCAGGCAAAACTATGAATGGCCCAGACCCTTCAAGAATAAAGGTTTGGGTCACCTTTATCCTGTGGTAAAGAACCACAACCAGCTGAGGTGCTTGCTGAAAGCAGTGAGAATACAGAATGGTAGTAGAAGAAGGTCCTTATAAATATCAGCTTACAACCATGTAACCAGTTACAGAAATGAGAACTGTAATTGTCCTGCATATATTCTCCTTCTGTTATAAATATATTTGTGCATGTGTGTATGTGTAAAGAAAATATCTTTGTATTCTTTCCTATTCCCTTATCATAGTAACAAAAGATATATTGACTTTACATCCATATTTAAATGGTGTTAATTTTACATCATAGTATTTAAGTTACAGGATTCCAGGAGAAGAGAAAACATCACTCAAGAATTTTACCTCCTCTTTGAGGGAAGGGATTAGTGTGTTTTTGGTTGTACACAGGTTAGTTGTATGATGTTACATGGGATTTTGACCTTGTTATTGTATTTACTTGGAGATTAAGTATGGTTTAAAGAGATATGCATAAGTGCGGACTTGACAAGGGGTTAGTGAACTTGTGATGATTAATTTTATGTGTTAACTTGATTGGGCTAAAGGATGCCAAGATAGTTGGTAAAACATTATTTCTGGGTGTGTCTGTGAGAGTGTTTCCAGAAGAGATTAGCATTTGAATTGATAGGGTAAGAATAATCACTTTCACTAATTCTTACCTCACAGGATAAGAATAATCACCCCCATTAAGGTTCCCAATCTGTTGAGGGCACACATAGAACTAAAAGGTGGAGAAAGGAAGAATTTGCCCTCTTCTTGAGCTGGGATATCCATTTTCTCCTGCCCTTCGACATCAGAGCGCCTGGTTCTCAGGTCTTCAGACTCCAGGACTAGCATCAGCCACCTCATCCTGGTTCTCAGGCCTTTGGACATGGACCAAACTGCACCACTGGCGTTTCTGGTTCTCCAGTTTGCAAAGAAACAATCATGGATCTTCTGGGCCTCCAATTAGTTCTGGTTCTCTGGAGAATCCTGACTAATACAATCACCAAGGCTCATCTTCAGCCATCGATTTTTCCCTTTCCGAAGTTCAACCAGTCTCCACTATTAGAGATGACAGTGATGTGGGAGGTGAGGCTTCAGAATGACTCCTCCAGCTGTCACCAGAGGCCCAGCTCCTTCTAGGTGCATCTTTCCCTTGGAAAGAGGTGTCATAGGGGCTTTCTGGTTCAGTTCAGTTTGGGAACAAACCTATCAAAACACCAAAACAACTAGGAAATATACTCAAGGAATGAGACTTTTTTTTTTCCTTTTAGTCCATGAAGTTACTAGGATCAACCACACCTCACCTACTCTTTCACAAGGGATAATGATATATCTTCAAACAGTGTAGTCTTGAATTCATCTCATCTTTAGCTTCTTGGTTGATCTGAACTCCCATCAACTTGAAGGAGAAGTGAGTCTGCTCACTTTTGTGGTTTACATCGAATGCCCAATTAATTAATATTATTGTGTTCTCCAGGTCTAACAACACATGTTGAAAGACACTTTTTTGGAAAATGTAAATGTTATTCCACCATGTCACAACAGTCCAGTTCTTCCACATGATACTTAAATTAAACATTTTAAAACAGAATATATAAATTTGCCAGCCCACCTCCTTGCCTATTTCACCAATTCTTTAATTACAGAGATTGATTTAACTTCAGGAGATGGAGGTTTGAAAGGAGGGAAAAAAACGAACTGCACAGCTCATAGCAGCTGTTCCTCATTATAACACATTAAAGAAGAAAGCAACCTATTAGTTCAGAACAACTGCAAAAACCAATCACAGAGCATAAAATTTCATCTTCCTCTACCTTTGTCAAATTAAGCCAGTTGTTCCAGACTCCACTTCCTAAATCAAAGTCATACATTGAAGAAGGACTTACCTATGGTTACTTTCACACAAAAATCAACAGTGTTTTTATAAGCCTATTTTATTTATGGAATCTATTCACACAGGTAGCATATGCAAAATGGTGTCAGTTACTTTAAACATATGAAGTGGGCAGCTCCACAGAGTAGTATTTTAATATAAATCTTTAGAGTTCTATAACTGCTTTTAATTTAATAGCATTTTTCTCTTTATAAAAATAATTCATGCTTAGTATAGAAAATCTGAAAAATAATATGAGGCCTAAGGAAGAGTATAAAAATCATCACATTTCTCATGCTATTTCTTTATAATGCATATTACTATTTTGGAATATATTCATTTGGTCTTTTTTCTATTCAAATGGATTTTTTTCAAAGAAGTATATCTCCCCATACTTGAATAATATCTTTCTTTTCTCTTTATGAATTGCATGCATGTTATATGCATTAAATTCTTCTCTTACATTATTTTTAATGGCTAGAAAGTAGACCTCTAAATGGATGTACCATGCTTGAAAGAAAAATCTCTTCTTATTGCACATTTATAATGCGTCTGATTTTTATTATTAAAAGTATTATTGTAATGACTCAAGATTGATACATTTTTGCATGCATCCATGACCATTTCCTCCTGCTCTATTACCCAGGATGGATATGCTGGGTCAGAGTTTACAAAGTTTTAATACTCCCAAAGTTATTCACAGAAGATTCATTAAGTCAAGAATTTTGTTATAAGAGCTAAAAATGTTGTGCCAACTTGAATTTTATTTTTATTATTATTTTTTGAGATGGAGTCTCACTCTGTCACCCAGGCTGGAGTGCAGTGGTAGGATCTCAGCTCACTGCAACCTCTGCTTCCCAGGTTCAGGTGATTCCCATGCCTCAGTCTCCGAAGTAGCTGGGATTACAGGCATGCGTCACCAAGCCTGGCTGATTTTTGTATTTTTAGTAGAGATGGTGTTTTACCATGTTGGCCAGGCTGGTCTCGAACTCCTGACCTAAAGTGATCTGCCCACCTCGGCCTCCCAAAGTGCTGGGATTACAGGCATGAGCCACCATGCCCGGCCTGGTTTTTTAAAATCTTAAATTTTTATAGCGTAAACTGAAGACAATTACTTCTAGAGAGTCTAACTTAAATGCTCTGGAATGAGACCCAGGCCAGGCACATACTTTTTTTGTTTTTGTTTTTGTTTTTGTTTGTTTGTTTTAAGTTTACTGCTGATTTTGCATGCAGCCGGGGTTTAAGACCACTGGGCCTTGTTAGTGAGTTTTCTGGTCTACCCTGGAATTTTACTTCCAGGGAAGAGGTAACTGAATTACAAGCCCATAAAAAAATTTTTTTAATGACTGGAGGAGAAATTTTTCTGAGAGGTGCAACTGTGAGTCCTCATAAATGAATTTTATAGAATATCTTTTGCCCATATGTATCTGTGTATAGGCATAAATATACTAAATATCTAAGTTGCAGCAATGATTGATGAAAGGAATATAAACAGCACCCCCTGTGCCATTGCCTCTTTACTTTGGAATCCAAGAGTAAATCTACAATAAACAAACAAGTTAGACATTTTTTCACCTATGTTTTCATCTTTATTTTAAAATAACTTTGTAAAGGAATGGATAAAATAAGAAGCATTGGAAACATGGTATCCAGCAGCATAAATTCCCAGGGGCAGGAAGATGTGATTCTACTACTTCCTCTTTCTAAGCTTCAGTAATCTCTCAGAACATTATAATCCCCTCATCCTCCTAAAGAAACCTGATCAGCAGTTTGCTCATGCTGCTCTCTGTTTCCAGGTCCCTTTTGCAACAGCAACTGCCATCTCCTCTCCTCACACAGACACAGTCAGCTGTGTACATTGATGCCACTTGACAAATAATGCCTCCACTCCCACCCACCAGCCCCCTGGTGTAGTGTGCCTATCCATTTATATCTTTAGTAGTGCTTCATCATTTATCCCATTTGAGCTCAGGCTTTGCATTCAACTCTAAATATCTCTGCAATTCCCATCGAGGGGCCTAGTCATGCCAGCTGAAGCCACACAAAGATCAATTTACAAAAGACAGGAACTATTTCTGTCTGAAAATGTTGGCTTGCCGTGTCCTTGGCCATTTCCTAAAGAATAGAACCACATTTCTAATTAATCATAAAATTAAAATCTAATATGAAGTATTTTGTTTAATAAGTCTGGCACTGCACTAGGTATATTGTATATCTTTTGTACTCACAAGGAACCCATTTTACAGAGGGGGAAACTGAGTCTTAAAGAGGTCAAGATACTTTTTTAAGGTTACACACCCCATAAGTAACTGAATGAACTCAAGCAGACATCCACCCACCGAACCTGAGCATGAACATGCTTATTCACTGTGCTTCTAAACTTAGTCTTGCTTTAAAGGCCATCCACTCTTCCTCTCCAATTCATCTTGGAGGCAAACTCCAGCCATATTGTCCTATTCCATGTTCCCTCAAAACACTAACTGGAAGTATGGTAAAGAAACTGCCTGTCTCATTAGAGCAAACCAAGAATCCTTTAGAGTTTTAGCAAAGAATTCTAGAAGAATAATCCCCAGGTAGGGAGAGAGTCAAATATCTGTTAATATGTACCTATCTACCCCAATATTTTTCTGCCAAAGGTCTTGTTTTGTTTTCAAAAGGCAATCTATTTCCTAATACCTCTTCTTCCTTTACACAACCATTTGCAATCATACCCTCTGCACACTGAATTTGTTGCCAGCTACTGCCTAGGTAGGTACTTTCTCTTTTCTCATAAATATCTGATTCAAGGCCAGGTGCGGTGGCTCATGCCTGTAATCCCAACACTTTGGGAAGCTGAGGTGGGCAGATCACTTGAGGTCAGGAGTTCGAGACCAGCCTCGCCAACATGGTGAAACTCAGTCTCTACTATAAATACAAAAACTAGCTGGGCATGGTGGCGCATGCCTGTAATCCCAGCTACTCAGGAGGCTGAGGCACAAGGATCACTTGAACCCGGGAAGCAGAGGTTTCAGTGAGCTGAGATCTTACCACTGCACTCCAGCCTGGGTGACAGAGCAAGACTCTGTCTCAAAAAAAAAAAAAAAAAAATCTGATTCAACAAACTACATGAATACATTTAGAAATGGACTAGCCATGTAGTTATGAGTATCTTCTGCATGTGTACTATATTTGTGGTGGAGAGTAGCTTATGTAAAGGGAAAAATTGGGGAACTAGCAAAATATGGCAATGGGAGAGGAGGGAGGCAGATTAAGCATGTCCTTGGGCCAAGTTATTTCCTTCCTAAGTCTCAGCTTCTTTATCTTTAAAATGAGAAGGTTGGGTTAAATAAATTCAGTTCTTATTTCTTGTACATGTTTGTATACCTTTCACCATCTGCAACACTGTAGGTACTCAGCTAGTGTTGAACTGACTTATTAATTTTGAGTACTACCAAAAAAAAAAAAAGATTATGTCTAAAGCTTAAGTCCAGGCCACTATTACTTGGCTTTAAGTTTTGCCAGAAATGCAAAATTTCACTAAAATTCTTACTTAGCTTGGCCTAATGATTTGACATAAGAGTAATCTTCCCACCAAAACTTTATTCAAGAATCCAAATACAGGTAAGCCAAAGCTTTATGAGGGCACTTCCTTACCTCTCATGTATTTCTAAAGCTATGTCCCTAAGATTCTTGCCCCCACATCAACCCTAAAAGTGCTTTTGCAACATTACCGATGACCTTCTAGAGCAGGGGTCCCCAACCACTGGGACACTGACAGATACTGGTCCATGGCCTGTTAAAAATTGAGATGCACAGCATGAGGTGAGCAGTGGGCCAGCGAGCATTACTGCCTGAGCTCTGCCTCCTGTCAGATCAGCTGGGCATTAGATTCTCATAGGAGTGTGAACTCTATTGTGAAATGTGCATGTGGGAGATCTAGGTTGTCCATTCCTTCTGAGAATCTAAATAATGCCTGATGATCTGAGGCAGAACAGTTTCATCCCCAAACCATCCCATCCCCTCACCTCCATGAAAAAATTATATTCCACAAAACCGGTCCTTGGTGCCAAAAAGGTTGAGAACTGCTGTTCTATTGGACAAACACACTGAGACTTTTCAAACCTCATCTTACTCAACTTCTCCATGCCATTGGAGAGTGCTGCCTCTTCTTTCTCAACTTTCTTGGCCTCTGATATGTGTCCCCATCCAAATCTCATCTTGAATTATAGTTCCTATAATCCCCACGTCTGGTGGGAGGGGCCCGGTTGGAGGTAATTTAGTCATAGGGGCAGCTTCTCCATGGTATTCTCCTGAAAGTAAGTTCTCAGGAGATCTGATGGTTTTATAAGGGTATCCCCCATTGCTTGGCTCTCATTCTTCTCCTTCCTGCTACCATGTGAAGAAGGATGTGTTTGCTTCCTTTTCTGCTATGATTGTAAGTTTCCACAGGCCTCCCCAGCCCTGTGGAACTGTGAGTCAATTAAACCTCTTTCCTTTATAATTTACCCAGTCTCGGGTAGTTCTTCATAGCAGTGTGAGAATGAACTATTATAGCCTCCATGGCCTTTTTCTTTTCTTCAATGCCCTGTTTCTCCTCCTACACTCATGAGTTCCTTTATGAGTTCCTTTTCTCATTTTCCCTCAAATATTAGTATCCTTGAGTTCTATTCTCAGTTTTTTTTCTCGCCCTATGTATTCTCTTTCATCTACATCTACATCTCTTACTTTCTAAATAAAATTCCCCACCCTTACTTGAATTTTAGATACATCTATAACAAATATCTCTACCAGAAATATTCCACATATACCTTAATGCATAAATCATCCCACAAAATCATTATATTTCACCCAAAGTTTTTCCAACTTCATTAGTGTGTATAAGTATATAAACTAATCAACTTTCTTTCTCCCTCTTTCTCTCTCTGTCTCTCTGCTGGTGATAGATGAATACAGACAACCCAGGGAGCAAATGAAACCAAAATTTGGAAAGTCTGATTTTAAGACACAAATCAAGTTCTTCAGCACCAAAAGTTCAAGTAAATATTTTATTTTTAGATTACCATACAATGTAACTGATGTTTTTGTGTCCAGTTTTAGAGTTTAACACATATATAGGTTTCTGTAACTACCTCCACAATAATGATACAGAAGAGTTCCATATAACCAAAAGATAAATTCTCTTGTTATCCCTTTTGTAGTCATATCCTCTCTCTATTCCTAATCCCTGGAAATGACTGATCTTTTCCCTATCATTACAGTTCTGTCTTTTAGAAAATGGCATATGAATGGAACTAATTATACGTATGCAGCCTCATGAAACTGGCTTCTTCCAACTACTATAATACCTTTCAGAATCATCCAAGTTGTTTTGTAAACAAATAGTTTGTTCCTTTTATTGCTGAGTAGTATTCCGTTGGATAAATGTAACAGAGATTGTTTATACATTCACTTGTTGAAAGACATTTAGGTATTTCCATTTTGGGTGATTATGAATAGAGCTGCTATAAACATTCATGTACAGGTTTTTGTGTGAACATGTTTTCATTTATTTAAGGCAAGTACCTAGAAATGGGACTGCTGGGTCATATGGAAAGTGTTTGTTTAGTTTTACAAGAGACTGCCAAACTGTTATCCAGAGTGGCTGTTTTTCATTTTGCTACCAGCAATGTATACAAGTTCCAGTTGCTCCACATCCCTACCAGCCCTTGTCAATATTTTTTTATTTCAGCTATTCTAATAGATGTGCCATGGTACCTCATGGTGGTTTTAACTTTCATTTTCTGAATAGCAAATTAACATTTGTTAATTTGCTTATTTGCATTCCTTTTGCCCAAATTGTTTGTCATATTTTAGTTCCTTTGTCTTTCACATAACCTATTTTTATTTTCTACTTTTCAACAGTTTTATTGAACTATCACTGACATGAAAAAATAGCATATATTTAAGGTATACAACTTGATGTTCTGATATATGTATACATTGCGAAATAATGACCACATTCCCCATAATGAACACATCTATTACCTCTACAGTTACTATTTGTGTATGTGTATAGTGAGGAGATTTAAGATCTATCTTCTTAGCAGATTGCAAGTATACAATACAGTATTTTTAACTATTGTCCCTATGCTATACGGTCTTTTCATATAAATTCCAGAATCAGCTTTATATACCTACAAAAAGTCCTGTTGGGATTTTGATTTGAATTGAGTTGAATCTATGAATCAATTTGAGGAGAACTAAATCTTTACTATATTGAGACTTCTAGTTGATGAACGCAGTACTTTCTTTAATGTGGGTAGTTTATTTTCTTATGGTTGGGTTATGAGAGTTTTTTTGTGTTCCAGATACAAGTCCTTTATTGGATATGTGATTTGCAAATATTTTATCCCAGTCTGTAGCCTGTCTTTTCATTCTTATACAGTGTCTTTGATAGAGCAAAAGTTTTCATTTTGTTGAAATCCAATACATAAATCTTTTCTTTCATGATTGTGCTCTTGGTATCATGTCTAATAACTCTTTGTCTAACTCTGGGCCAGTTTTTCTCCTAAATTTTTTCCTTTAAATTTGTATAATTTTGTATTTTACATGTAAATCTTTTAGTTAATTCTTATGTAAGATTTGAAATTAAGATGAAGGTTCATTTTTTTGCCCATGATTGTCTGGCTGTTCCAACACCATTTGTTGAATGGCTATCATTCCTTTATGAAATTGCTTTTGCAACTTTCTGAAAAATAACTAGAATATATTTGTGTGGGTCTGCTTCTGGCTTCTCTGTTCCACTGATCTATGTCTATCCTTTTGCCAATATCACACTGAATTGATTGCTACAGCTTTATATTAAATCTTAAAATCTGATAGTGTGATTTCTCCAACTTTACTAGTCTGCTTCAAAATTGTTTTGGTTATTACAGTTCCCTTGACTTTCCATATAAATTTTAGAATCAGCTTGTCTGGATCTGTAAAAATACTCCTGAGGTTTGCTTGGAATTGCATTAAATCTATAGATCAATTTGTGCAGAGTTACATATTTTCTTTTCTTTCTTTTTTTTTTTTTGAGACTGAGTTTCGCTCTTGTTGTCCAGGCTGGAGTGAAATGGCACAGTCTCAGCTCACTGCAACCTCTGCCTCCCGGGTTCAAGTGATTCTCCTGCCTCAGCCTCCGTAGCTGGGATTACAGGCATGAGCCACCATGCCTGGCTAATTTTGTATTTTTAGTAGAGACAGGGTTTCTCTATGTTGGTCAGGGTGGTCTCGAACTCCCGAGCTCAGGTGATCCATCCGCCTCAGCCTCCCAAAGTGCTGGGATTACAGGCATGAGCCACTGCGCCCAGCTGAGTTACATTTTTTCTATGTTAATTCTTTCAATCCATAAAACTGTGTATCTCTCCATTTATTTAGGTCTTTTTTGCTTTATTTCACTAAGTTTTTGTAATTTTCAGCATACAGACCCTGTTCATGCTTTGTTTCACTTACACCTATGTGTTTCATTTTTTGGAGCTAATGTAAATTTTTTAAAAATGTTTAGTTGCCAATTATTCATTGCTAGTATAAAGAAATACATTTGATTCTTGTGTGTTGAACCCTGTACCCTGTAATCTCATTAAACTCACTTTTTAGTACTTGGAATTTGCTTATGAATTCCTTGAAATTTTTGGCATAGACAATCATATCATCTGAAAATCTGCATGCCTTTTATTTAATTTCCTAACTTTATTAACTGGATAGGGCACCCAGTAAAATGTTTGTTGAATGATGGGAGTAGATATCTGTATTAGTCTGTTCTCATGCTGCTAATAAAAACATACCCAAGACTGGGTAATTTATAAAGGAAAGAAGTTTAATTGACTCACAGTTCTGCAGGGCTGAGGAGGCCTCAGGAAATTTACAATCATGGCACAAGGGGAAGCAAACACATCCTTCTTCATACAAGGGCAGGAAGGAGAAGTGCTGAGCAAAAGGGAAAAAATCGCCATATAAAACCATCAGATCTCATGAGAACTCACTCCCTATCACAAGAACAACATGAGGGTAAACACCTCCATGATTAAATTACCTCCCACTGGGTCCCTCCCATGATACATGGGGATTATGGGAACTACAATTCAAGGTGAGATTTAGGTGGGGACACAGAGACAAAAAGTATCAATATCCTTGCCTTATTCCTAAATTGAGGGAAAAAGCATTCATCTTTCACCATTAAGTATAATGTTAGCTTTTCTGTATGCCTTTTATTAGGTTGAGAAAGTTTTTATTTCTAGTTTGCAGAGAGTCTTTATCACGAATGAATGTTGAATTTTGTCAAATACTTTTCCTGCAACAATTGATATGATCATGTGATTTTTCTTCTTTAGACTGTTAATATGGTGTACTACAATGAAAAATTTTCCAGTATTGAGCCAGTCTTATATTCCCCCTACAATCTCTACTTGGTCATGGTGTATTATTATTGTTTTTATATGTTTAAGAATTCAGCTGGTTAATATTTTACTGAAGATTTTTACATTTATGTTAATTAGGTATATTTGGTTGTGTTTAAAAGATTTTTTTCTTACGCTGTCTTTTGCATCAGGGTAATGCTGGCCTCATAAATTGAGAGTGTTCTCTTCTTATTTCTGGAAGAGATTGTATGGAATTGGTATTAATTTTCCACAAATAATTGGTAGAATTTGCCAGTGTAACCATCTGAGCTAGAAGGTTGCTTTTTTGGAAACTTTTAACTGAAAGTTCAGTTCACTAATATAATTTTAATTTAATTTCATCTAGGTTTTCAAATCTATGTCTATAGAGTTGTTCTTAGTATTCCTTTATTATCTGTTTAGTGTTTATGGGATCTGTAATGATACCCCCTCTTTCATTCTTGATATTAATAATTTATGGCTTATCTCTTTTTTTGGTCAGTTTTGCTAATGTCATTAATGTCAAAAAATCAGCTTTTGTTTTTATTTATTTTTTTCTATTGTTTTTCTGGTTTTAATTTAATTGCTCTCTGCTCTTGTCTTTGTTATATTCTTCCATCTGCTTGTTTGGGTTTATTTTAGTTTTATTTTTCTAGTTGTTTAAAGTGAAGGGTTTGAGGACTTTCTTCTTTTCTCAGGTAACCATTTAATGTTATCAATTTTTTTAATTTTTGCAAAAAACTTTGTGTGGTAGAAAAAATACTCAGACCTGTGAGTTAAGGGTGCAACAGATTTACATTTGCATGTAAGATAAGATATGTGCGACATAATGAACCCATGAACTTATTTGAGAGACGGGGATAAAATGATCCCAAATGTGAAAGCTCTAGACAGCCTAGTGCAGAATTAATCACAGAGTGATAATAGGCAAGAGTTTTCAGAAAGCAAAGAACAGGCAACACATTCTCTGTACAGGGTGGGAAGCTCTTCCGCAAGGCTCTAGACCTCTTCTACTAAAAGGCATCTGATGGTCCTGTGTACACTAGCATTCTTTAGTCCTACCTGCTCCGACTTTCATGTTTCTTCTACTAGGAAATACTGATAAAGATTGTCAGTGTGTTGATGGTATACTTTTTACAATATACTCATTTGTACCCAACGTGATTCACTCAATAAATGTTTTTTGTGGTTGCTATCATCTTTGTTTTTTAAAAAGTTATTATTTCTAATTATTATGGAAATATAGTAGTTGTACATACTCAATAAATAATAAATATTTATGATGTCCTTGAGGCCACTAAATAATTATTTTAAGTCCCGTATTTTAATGAATTTATAGTTCCCTTAGGTAGAAGCACAATATACACAAATGAAATCTATATTAATCTCTAATAGCTATCCTTTAATTTAAATATACTATGCACCAGACGTTGTATATGCTGGGTATGTTACATACATTTAATCTTTACCACCTTTTTGCAAGGCATAAATAATAGGGAGGATAGTTTCGTAGAAAGAAAGCCAACCAACCAGAAAAAGCCCAGGACCAGATTCACAGCCAAATTCTACCAGATGTATGAAGAAGAACTGGTACCATTCCTACTGAAACTATTCCAAAAAATTGAGGAGGAGGGACTCCTCTCTAAGTGAAGTCAGTATCATCCTGATACCCAAACCTGGCAGAGACACAACTAAAAAGGAAAACTTCAGGCCAATATCCTTAATGGAAATAGATGCAAAAATCCTCAACAAAATACTGGCAAAGCAAACCCAGCAACACATCAAAAAGCTAATCCACCACAATCAAGTAGGCCTTATCTCTGGGATGCAAGGTTGGTTCAACATATGCAAATCAATAAATGTGATCCACTATATAAACAGAACTAAAAACAGAAACCACATGATCGTCTCAATAAATACAGAAAAGGCTTTCAATAAAATTCAACATCTCTTCATGTTATAATCCCTCAACAAATTAAGCATTGGAGGAACATACATAAAAATAGTAAGAGTCAGCTATGAAAAATCCAAGCCAATATCATACTGAATAGGCAAAAGCTGGAAGCAAACCCCCTGAAAATTTGAACAAGACAAGGATGCCCTCTCTCATTACTCCTATTCAACATAGTAGTGGAAGTCCTAACCAGAACAATCAGGCAACAGAAAGAAATAAAAGGAATCCAGGTCAGGCGCAGTGGCTCACAAATGTAATCCCAACACTTTGGGAGGCCGAGATGGGTGGATCACTTGAGGTCAGGAGCTCGAGACCAGCCTGACCAACATGGTGAAACCCAATCCCTACTAAAAATTTACAAAATTAGCTGGGCCTGGTGGTACATGCCTGTAATCTCAGCTACTTGGGAGGCTGAGGCAGGAGAATCGCTTGTAGCTGGGAGGTGGGGGTTACAGTGAGCTGAGATTGCACCACTGCACTTCAGCCTGGGCAACAAGAGTGAAACTCTTTTAAAAAAAAAAAAAAAGAAAGAAAGAAAGAAGGCATCCAAATAGAAAGAGAGGAAGTCAAACTATTTCTGTTTGCAGACAATATGATTCTATACCTAGAAAACCTCATAGTCTCTGCCCAAAAGCTCCTAGATCTGATAAACAACTTCAGCAAAGTTTCAGGATACAAAATCAATGTACAAAAATCAGTAGCATTCCTATACACCAAGAAAATCTAAACTGAAAGCCAAATGAAGAATGCAGTTCCATTCACAACAGGCATAAAAAGAATAAACACCTAGGAATACAGCTAACCAGGGAGGTGAAAGATCTCTACAAGGAGAACTACAAAACACTGCTCAAAGAAATGAGAGCTTATTCAAATAAATGGAAAAACATTCCATGCTTATGGATAGGAAGAATCAATATCATAAAAATGGCCATGCTGCCCGAAGCAATTTATAGATTCAATGCTATTCCTATAAACTACCAATGACATTCTTCACAGAATGAGAAAAACTATTCTAAAATCCATACGGAACCAAAAAGGAGCCCAAATAACCAAAGCAATCCTAAGCAAAAAGAACAAAACAACAAGCATCACACTACGTAACTTCAAATTATACTACAAGCCTACAGTAACCAAAATAGCATGGTACTGGTACAAAAACAGACATATAGACAAATGGAACGGAATAGAGAACCCATAAACTATGCCACACACCTAGAACTATCTGATCTTTGACAAAATCAACAAAAACAAGTAATGAGGAAAGGACTCCCTATTCAGTAAATGGTGCTGTGATAACTGGCTAGTCACATGCAGAAGTTTGAAATTAGACCCCTTCCTTACACCATACACAAAAACTCAAGACGGATTAAAGACTTAAATGTAAAACTCAAAACTATAAAAACCCTGGAAGATAACCTAGGCAACACTATTCTGGACATAGGAGCAGACAAAGATTTCATGATGAAAATGCCAAAAGCAATAACAATGAAAGCAAAAATTGACAAATGGAACCTAATTAAACTAAAAACTTTCTGCACAGCAAAAGAAACTATCAACAGAGTAAACAGACAACCTACAGAATGGGAGAAAATATTTACAAACTATGCATCTGACAATAAAGTCCAGAATCTATAAGGAACTCAAACAAATTTACAAGCAAAAAACAACCCCACAAACAAAAAGCCCACAGAGTGGGCAAAGAACACGAATAGACACTTTTCAAAAGAAGACATAAATGCAGTCAACAAGCACGTGAAAAAAGGCTCAACATCACTAATCATTAGAGAAATGCAATTCAAAACCACAGTGAGATACCATCTCACCCAGTCAGAATGGCTATGATTAAAAAGTCAAAAAATAACAGATGCTGACGAGGTTGTAAAGAGAAGGGAATGCTTATACACTGCCGGTGGGAATGTAAATTAGTTCAGCCATATGGAAAGCAGTTTGGCAATTTCTCAAAGAACTTAAAACAAAATTACCACTTGACCCAGCAAATCCCATTATTAATTATATACCTGAAGGAATGTAAATTGTTCTACCATAAAGACACATGCATGTATATGTTCATTGTGGCACTATTCACAATAGCAAAGACATGGAATAAACCTAAATGCCCAGCAATAGTAGAATGGATAAAGAAAATATGGTACATATATACCATGGAATACTATGTAGCCATAAAAAGAACAATATCTTGTCTTTTATAGTGTAATATGGATGGAGCTGGAGGCCTTTATCATAAGCAAACTAACACAAGAACAGAAAATCAAATAGCATGTTCTCACTTCTAAGTGGGAGCTGAACACTTGAGTATATATAGACACAAAAAAGGCAACAACAGACACTGGGGCCTACTTGAGGGTAGAGAGTGGGAAGCGGGTAAGAATAAAAAACTACCTATTTGGTGCTATGCTTGATGACAAAATAATCTGCACGCCAAATCCCTGTGACATGCAATTTACCTATATAACAAACCTGCACATGTACCCCTGAACCTAAAATAAAAGTGAAAAAAAAAGAATATGAATTTTGGAGTCAGAGACCAAGTTTGAATCTCTGCTGTCTCACTAGCTGCATGACTTAGGCCAGTTGTGTAAACTCTCTAAACTTTAGGTTTTATAATTTTAAAGTGTGGATAAAAGCTGTTGTGAAGATTAAAAGCAATGATATATGAAAAAGGTCTGGTAGGGTAGGGAAACTAGGGATTTTGAAGTCTATACAGGAATACTTCACTTCAAACTCAGCATCACCCATGTTAGCTATGAGATCTTCAGCCAGATACCTAACATCTTGAGTTTTAATACCTCATATATAAAACATCTGATTAGATAGATAGATAGATAGATAGATAGACACAGACAGGTAAGTATGTAGACAGCTAGACAGATACATAGATAGATAAGTAGATAAATAGCTAGAGAAAGAGAAAGAGACAGATAGATCATCTTCCCCTTTACCTCAAAACCTCTTCTTTAGGAATCCCTTTCTCAATTACTGGCAACTCCATCCATCCACTGAGCTATTCAGATCAAACAACTTGGGATAATTTTTCACTCTTTCCCATGATTCATGATCAATCTGAGGGTTAATTCTATTAGTTCTATCTTCAACATCTATTCAGATTCTTTAACATACACTACTTCCTCTTCTATCATCATGGTCTGAGACACCTGTCTTATTACCATAATTTCCTAACTGATTTTCTTGTTTCCCTCTTTACCTTCCCACCCACCATTTTTATCCTGGCAGCAAAAATAACCCTTTCAACCTTAAATCAAATCAAATTCTTCAATGGTTTCCCATCTCAGTCAGAGTAAAGGCTGGTCTTTACAATGACAGGTCCCTCCAAAGCTCTCCCAACACTGCCACTCAGCTGTCCAGCCACTCCCGTGATCTCTTATCCTACACTCTAACCTGCACTGCTCCACTCCAGGCCAACTGCCTGCGTCATCCTGGAAACTCCTGAATTTCTGTCTCACCTCAGAGACTTTACACTTCCTATTCCTCCCACCTGGAATATTCTTCACCCAAATAGCTTCAAGACTCTCAGCCTCACCTCCAAGTCTTTGCTCAAGTTTCATCTTCACAGCGAGGCCTTCCCTGTCTACTCCATTTTAAAATCCAATAGCCCACTCCATCCAGCACTCTCTATTCCCTTACTCTAACTTATTTTTCTCTACAGCATTGATCATGATCTAACACTATTATATTGTACTTACTTTTTTGTTTTTTGTCTGTTTCCTCATTACATGCATGCACACACACACACACACACATAAACACGCAAGAGTGGAAACTCTGAGAGCAAGTATTTTGGGCAGTTTTGTTCATTTTTGTATCCCAACACCTTAAATAGTATCAAGAACTTAGTATTATCTCTCTCTCACCCTTCCTTTTGTTCCTCTCTCCTCCCTTCCCCTCCTCTCCATTCCCTTTTCCTCCCCGCTCCTTTCTTTCTCTAAAATATATATGTGTATATATCATGGCAAAATTTATTTGTTCATGGAACCCTAGAGAAAGTGGTATACAAAGCAAATCTTAGTTTCCTTAGCTTGTTAGAAACAACCTCTTTCATTGGGAAAGAATGTACAATTTATGGTACATTTAACATTTATGTACTAGAACCTACTGTGCACCAGGTACTATTTTATTTAGGATAAATAAGAAATAATCTCTGTTCTCAATGCACTGTCCAGTTTAAGAAAGAAACAAATAGACACATATGAAATAAAAGAAAGGTGCTCAAAAAACAATATTTTACTTAGTGAGAAGGCAATTATGAGAGGTTTAAAAATAGGTCTGATGTGGTTGAGACAAATCTGGCAATAACAATCAATTACAGAGAAGACTAATGGCACGGTGTGAGTTTGGTGCAGAAGTTTCCTCATTTGATCAACCTAGGGGGTTGCTCAAAATGATCCAAGTGTTCCTTTGACAATGAGTCATCCATAATTTCATGATTGCTTTTGCTGTGTTTGTGGTTATGAAATGATCCTCACACCACCATTCCTAATATTAGAAGGTTCTGTTCTAACCAGTGCAAATTGTCAGGCAAGAGAGTGGGTGTTTATAGTATGGGTTAATTTGTTCTCCAGCAGGCCTGAGTTCCAGTGAACTCAGCATTTGCTGCATAAGAAACGCATACTAGAACCTTCCTTAATTTGCTGAATGGGAATAAACAAGAGGTGCTTGGGGGCACATTCAGGGGAGCTCAAAGAGCTAGAAAGGAGCAATGGGGAGGGTGAGTAGTAATAGCTAAAGTGTCCTTGTATTCTGAAAACGAAATTGCCCTTCTGAGTATGCATTTAGCAAACTGGCAGATTCATAACTCCAAGGTTCAGAGGGCTGAACATGCCAATAGCAACAGCAAAAAGAAGCCTTAACGACATTCCTTTAATTTCCAAACCTTATTTCATTAGTGGAAACTTTTGGAGCTCTGTTTCATGCCCTACAAGTCTAACTCTGTGTAAGGTTGAGGGTGGAAACTTTGAACACAAAGGGAACATCTAGGGGGAAACACACACACACGCACACACACACACACACACAATCTTAATGGAGTTCTTTGGAAAACAGCAGGAATAGCTGGTGCTTGGTTATTCCACCTGCAATATCCCATCTAACCCTCATGGCCTCCCTGAGAGGTATGTACTGCTCATTTTCCTCATTTTATGAAATAAAAAACTGAGGCTCAGAGAGATGAAGTGACATTCCCAAGAGGCAGAGCCAGGACTTGAATCCTGGTCTTCTTACTCCAGACATGTGACAATTCTACACTTGTCTTTTCCTTCTTGCTGTGCTGAAATTCTGAAAAACAGAGTTTGTAAAGCTCTAGTCTATAGCAGTGTTTCTCAACCTTAGTTCCACATTGGAATCACCTGGAGATACTTACAAACCCTCTGATGCCTGGGTCCCAGCACTAGAAATTCTAACTTAATTTGTCTGGAATACAATCTGGGAAATGTTTTTTGTTGTTGCTGTTGTTTGTTTTTTAAACAGAGTCTCACTCTGTCACCCAGGCTGAAGTGCAGCAGCATGATCACAGCTCACTGCAGCCTCAACCTCCTGGGCTCAAGTGATTCTCCAGTGGGATTTTCTAAAGCCCCTCCCTGCCAGGTAATTCTAATATTTAGTCAAAATTGAGAACAACTATGAAGAAATTATTTTAAATGACAGATTCCCTGAGCCCCATCCCAGGTGTATTGAATTAGAGCCCCAGAGGCAAGTTGGCATAATTGTGTTATTTTATAATCCTCCCATGCCATTCTAGTAAGCAGCCAAGTTTGGGAACCACTCACTGGTCTACTCTATGACCTTCAGAGCTGCTCAAGGTGAGTAATTACTGAAGAACCAGTTATTAGTCCGACCTCTGTCCCTGTCCATGTTATCATGGGGAACTGAGTTATCTTCACAGCATCTGCGTTTCTTAATCTTAAAATGAGGCGATTGGTATTTGTCCTGTCAATCTCTTTGGAATGTTCAAGAGAAAAGGGACAAATATGAAAGTGTTTTAAAAGGTATGTTAACTTCTAAGGTATTATTATTATTATTGAACTGGTGTTCCTGATTTTTATCTCTAAAATTGCCTCCTGAATAGACCATGTCCATAGGAGAAGGGTTCTAGTCTTGGCTTCTGATTCACATATTATCCTCTTTATAACTCACAAGAAGGTAGTCTATTGGCTGAGAAGAAAAGTAGCTGCAGATGCTCTTTCCCATCAGAGGAAAAAAATACACAGAGGAAGCCTGCCCCAGTGAGGGGAAATGGAAAGAGATGAGAATTGTATAACTTCAACCACAAGCATTTGTTGTCAAAGACACAAATTCAACCAAAGGACTGAAACATTAGCCAATATGCTTTCCCAGCACTCAAATTCAATTCAGAAATGAGACTTCCCATTACCAATATCATCCCATCCCATCGGGAGCATGCAGCTTCTTCATCTGGGTTTTCTGTGTCTAAATCTATAATGGAAATATTAGGAGTGACTTGGGAGTGGGGAGAAGCTACACGAAGAAATAGAGCACAATGCACAGATGCTTTCTCAGTTTAGATCCAACTCTTGACTTCTAATAGGTCACTACTGTTCAAATTTTTAGGAGGAAGACACAAAAGGACTGATGATTGTCTAGAAGGTTTAACCCTTTTAAGCCTGAAGAAGACTTTGAGAGACACTAATGCTTGGGGTCCACTCCCAGACATTCTGACTTAAATGTTCTCAGGTGACAGCATGTGTTTTTTTAAAACCTTCCATGGAGATTCTAATGGTTCATCAGTGCTGAGATTACAAGGAGAGAAGGATGACAGAATAAAAAGGGCCATGTCTTTATCCCCAGGCCTTTACCTTCCCCTGGGGGTTCTTCTGTGGTCTAACCACCAATCCACCACCATTCTAACCTTAATGGAGTATCTAACCTTCTGTAAAGCTCCTGACCAAGTGTCTCAGGGATGGGAGTGACTCTGCCATAATTTTTTTTGAAGACTTGATTAAATTCTGAGGGAAAAGCAAGTTAAAATGAACAAGAAAATACAAGAAATTGATATAGTTATAAATACAGATTTTTGGCCAAAGTTTCTGTCACATACAGCACTTG
The DNA here is from genome assembly GCF_000001405.40 of Homo sapiens. Taxonomy (NCBI): domain Eukaryota; kingdom Metazoa; phylum Chordata; class Mammalia; order Primates; family Hominidae; genus Homo; species Homo sapiens. The sequence continues at coordinate 27,530,518 of NC_000011.10, read as the reverse complement.
CTAGCAGCCTATTCTCAAGAAAAATCCTGATGAAAACAATTACCCACTATGCCACCATTACCACGAGGGTGTTTCTAGCACGTAAACAGGTATTTCAGCACACATATACACATTCACACACAAACAACACTGGGTTATGTAAATATAGATATGAGACAAGGTTTTTCCTCAAATTATCCCTCAGAAAAGAAAGAATTGTCATATATTCCAGTTCTTATAGCAGCTCCTGTATTACTGGGCTCTCTTATAATTGCTTTATCAACCACGTATTATTTAGGGCGAACATATTAACCAAATAAATGCTAGTTTTGGTGTCAAATTAGTAGAGGTTACCTGACAAAAAGTATTAAATGGAAGGCCAGTAAATTTAACTAAAATTCACAATTATTTCTGAAATTACAACCTCACAATTTTACTTGCTTTTTTTTTTAAAAAAAAAACCTTTTAAAGATCATTTATTATAACAATTATAAAAATACACTAGGATGAATTTTTTAATTCAGGTATTATACAAACGGATACTTATAACTAGAAATAAAATCTACTGTGGCAAATCATACACATTTAAAAACCGCTGTGACTCAAACCAGTGAGCCAGTAAGTGCTCCAGAAAATTACATGACTCCAAAGGTGGTGCTAATAAGGAGGAAAACACTGATGTCTTTCTCATAAAATTTAAGTGGAAAAAAGACATAAAATTTGAGTTAAAAGCCATATTTCTAAACATATTTTTCTATAATATGAAATCATGAATACCTATATTCATCTAAATTTATATATTACATATCAACTTTTTAAAATTTCATGGAGAAAATGGAGAAATCACTTATGATTAGGTATAAATAGAAGAAGGGTTGATTCTCACAGTATTTTTCAGAGCCTTAAATATACTTACATGCACTGTGGCTCCGTGAAGTGGAAAAGGGATATATATGGTATATTTCTCATTCTTATTTGATCCATTGAGACAAGAATCCTACAGAACATATATTGGGAAATACTGCTCTGACCCAAAATGACCCGATCAACCTCAAAAATGCCTCTCACAGGTTCCTTTCCTTTGACATCCAAGCAGAATGCCTCTTTGTGTGGGTGCCATCCTACAGTCCACCACACTGAAACCCAAAAATCACACACTGAGCAATGGGAGGTCAAGTGGCACTTGCCATTTGCCAGGCACACGATAATGAGTAATAATATGAATTGTAATTACAATGAATTGAGCATCCCTGGGGCTGTGATACTGATAACAAAATGAATAATAATAACTGCCAATGATACTAATGAACACATGTGGAGTACATACTATGTGGTAGGCTCCTTACTAATTTCTTAACATTTAATTTTCCCTACAGTGATCCCCACAAGATTGGTAGTTATAACCATTTCATAACTAACTAAACTGGGAGTCACAGTCAAAATAATTTGCCCAAATTGCATAACTAGTAAGTGATCAATAGCAATTACTTAACCATCTATGACATTGCATTTCTCAATCTTTAATTCCTTGCAATTTATTCTCAAATTGTTTAGGAGCAAAAGTAGTCTACCTTCATATTGCAGAGTTATATTTTGAACTCAAAATGGTTGGCTTTTATACAGTAGCTCCAGCTGGTGGCAGACAGAAGGAAATAAAATGCATTAGTAAAAGGCCTACCTGATATTAACCCAGAACTTTGAAAGAAGTTCAACAATTGACTAGAAATGTTTTGTTTTCATATTTTTTAAAAGATACTTGTTCTATTGTATTTTTACAATACAATATCTATCTGTCAAGGTAGGGGGAAGTAACTACAATTTAGGAAAGATAAAATGTTTCAAAAATGTAAATGCCATAGACCAAAACACATAGTGAATTAGATTTTTTATAGGGGTATAGCACAGGTATCTTTAAGCTCTGATGATGTAACTTGCTCCCTTTAAATATTTTTTTACTTGTGAAAAAAATGTAGATCATATTATATAATATAGAGCTGCTATGAGGATTATGTAAAATGATATGTGTAAAGAGCCTCGCATGAGACCCAGCATGTAGTGAACATTCAATTAATATTAGTTCCTTTTGCTTTTTCCTATGTAAAGATGGGCTTCACCTAACATTCTGATTCTACAAAAGTGGCTTAACCATTCTTTGGAGACAAAGATAGCAGCTTTTTGCAGACAGCTTAAAACCCTCAGAAACCCAGGGTGAACACCAACCAAAAATAAAATAAGTTAAAATAAGTTAAAGCCAGTGTGAAAATTGTAAACATAGACTGAGTTATTTTCTTTACAAAGCCTGTAGAAAATATGTTAAATGCGGAAATGAAAAAGAAGATGAGAAGCTGTCACAACTCAGACAACTTCTGTGGAGTCTCTGTCCCTCAATGTGTCCATCTTCCTTACAGGTACAAAAATAATGAAAACAAAGAATATAGTAAAGGGCTCAGAGCTCTTCCTCTCAACACTCATTATTCTGACATGAAAGCAGCTATTTGTAAAGTAATGCCTAGAATTCCCGTTGCTTTATAATTAGAATGAATAACATTCTGTTATCCTCCTTTTATTGAAAATCAAGGGGAAATCAAATTTTGAGCAGCAGCTATTAGGATGGAAATGCTTAATCTCCAAAGGATTTATAATATCGTCTCTTATTTCACAGTACTGGCAGCTGAAGGCAACCTATATCCAAATTAAAAGAAGACAAACAACATACATAATAATCGGATGAACTACCCAACAAAGAAAATGTTCTCACATTGGTTCATTTCTAATCATTTTCTTGAGGCTTTGAAATGGTCCTCAACTTACCAGAAACAGCAAGCCTTCCACATTTGGAACACGACAAGGTAAGCTAGACTACGTAGCTAGCTAACGAAGAATAGTTAAGTAAATGATACTGACAATAGCTTGCATTTGTAGAAATAAAGCACTTTCCTATCCCATTATCTCATTTGATCCTCAATAGCTGTGTGACACTGGCAAGGCAGGTGTTTCTTATTATCTCCATTTTACTCCTGAGGAAACTGAGGCTCAGCAGGTTATACAGTAGATAGTAAAGCTAGAAGTAGGAATGAGAATAGGATGGGAAAGGGGAAATGTTGACTCTCTCAATGGGAAGGAAAGGATGGGCAACAATGATATCAGAATGCCAAGATGGGGACGGGGCAGTATATAATAAATGCAATTTTCTGGTCAGCTGTGGTGGCTCACGCCTGTAATCCCAGCACTTTGGGAGGCCGGGGCAGGTGGATCACTTGAGGTCAGGAGTTCCAGACCAGCCCGGCCAACATGGTGAAAACCCGTCTTTACTAAAAATACAAAAAAATTAGCCAGGCATGGTGGCAGGCCCCCTGTAGTCCCAGCTACTTGGGAGACTGAGGCAGGAGAATTGCTTGAACCCAGGAGGCAGAGGTTGCAGTGAGCTGAAATCATGCCACTGCCACTCCAGCCTGGGCAACAGAGCAAGACTCCATCTCAAAAACAAATAAATAAATAAATGCAATTTTTTAGCAGAGCAGGAGTAGATAAGACAGCAGTGACCCTCTCTGCGTGCATGCAATCTTGTGTTCCTGGGCTTGAGCCTGGCATGATTTGCAGCTGGGTATAAGAACACAAGCAATGTGATTCATTCTGGCACTATTTAAACTTTAAGTACGTCTCAGATGTAAAAACAAAGGAGAATATGCCACCAACCTGGTTCATTTGGGTGAATATAAAAAGGAGATTACTCAAAGCTTTAAAAAAAATTTTTTTAATGGGCTGTGTTTCTACCCCACCCTTAGGGAGTGCTGGCTAGGAAGACTTATGTATTGTGTTAGTTAGCATGAAAGGTGGGGAAAAACAGAGTAGGGCAACCCAAAGTCAAAATCAACAACCTTTATGAATCTGAGCCATGGACTCTTTGCCTAAAGGGGATGAGGGAGGAACCAAGTTTCCACCCTCTTAATGCGGAAAAGAGAGCAATTGTTGATAGAAAAAGGAAAATATTTTCCTCTCCTCCCCTCCCCAGAAAAAGCATGATTAAATAACAAAGGTTGCTGCCCCAAATCCCCATATCCTAATTAGAAAGTAAAAATGGTGGGCTTTTAAAAAATTATACAGAATTCGTATATAAGACAACAACAGAGTAGGGTGTCTCCCTCCAACCTTGGGTCTAGTGTAATTACACACAGTAATTAACAACGAATTTGTAACCAGTCCTGTTGGCTCTGTTCAGGTGCCAAGTGTGGTAGTCCAGTGGATCATCAGCTATGGGTGCAGAACCCTAATCTAAAGGCACTGAAACCTCTAGGTGATGAGTGATGGATTCCAAACGATTGCATAGACTTGAGGGAAAAGAATAAGGCTTTGGGACTGAAAAAGAGACAGACACCTGGGTTACTTTCTTGGTGCCAAATGTCATCCCTCTGGTCCACAGACCTCTTTTGGACAGAATCAAATGCAAGTCCAGCACATGCAGCAAAGCACAGACTCAGCCCAGCACTTAACTCTCTGCCAGCCTGAGATTAGGCCTGAGGACATCGGGCTCAGCCAGAAGAGGAGGAGTGCCAGAAAGCTTGAATTTGGCCTGCCATCCTGTGTTTGCTGGGACTTGTAGCATCAGTATTGGTGCTGGATGGCAAATTCCTGTAGGCCTGGCTATGTGTGAGGCTGAACAGAATTATCTCCTTAATGAAGGCTTTGGGTAATGGATTATGGTCCCATTGTGATCAAACCATTTCACCTATTCCCACACATAGGGATCATATCACCATCAATGAAACCAGGCCAGCCTTAAATTAAAATATAGACCAAATCTACCCTTGGCCTGCTCAGAGCTGGGTGACTTTATCCACCTCTCTTCTCTCAACATGCTCCACCTTCCCTGCCTTCCTCCTACCCTCCATGCTAGCAAGGCCCAAACCCTCTTTGCTGCCTCTGCCTATCCAAGGATCTCTCTCAGTAAACTGGTTATCTGAAGTGAGGTCTTGCCCCACTCCAACAGACATTCATTGAGTCTTAACTATGGGACAGACAATATGCTATGTACAAAAAATACAAATATATATTTTTTAAAAATGTGCTCCTCAGCCTTGATGAGAAGAGCCATATAATTCACTCAAAAATAAGTACTGAGCCTTCTGCTGTGGGCAGGACATAGTGCTGGGCATGTCAGAGGGCACAGAGACTAAGAATACACATTCTCTCACTCCAGGAATTCGTTGAAATCAAGAAAAGACTTAGAGGCAAGAGAAGAAGAGCTGTGTAGTGGAAAGAACCATAATGTATTGCCCAGTTAGTGTAAAAGCTTCTAATTGCTCTCCTTGCTTCTACTTTTGTCTCCTGTAATAATAATAGCAATAATAATTAGTATAATACAAATCCATGCGCCATCCAGGAGCCAGAGTTTTCTTTGTAATACATAAATCAGATCATGCTACGTCTAGCTTAAAACCTCCCAAAGGCTTCCTTCAGTGCATAAAATAGCATCCAAACTCCTTCACTGTGACTGACAAGGCACTGTATGACTGGTCCCTATCTGCTTCTCCATCTTACCCACTTCAGACACATTGGCCGCTTTTCTGTCTCTCAGATATTCCTGCCTCCAAGCTTTTATCTTTGTAGTACCCTCTAACTAAAAATGATTTTCTTCCAGATTTTTGTTTGGCTGGCCTCATTTCATCATTCAGGACTCAGTTCAAATGCCCCTTCTTCAGAGACGCTTTCACTGACAAGCTTGTCTAAGAAACTCCTCCTCAGTCACTCTATGGCTATTTTCTTTTCTTCATGACACATGTTGCTATCAGAAGCTATCTTCATTTTTTTGTTGTTGTTTGTGGTTTTCGTCTGTTCGTTTAATGGAAAACTCAAACTTAACAAATCCAAAATTCAAACTACTGATCTCTGCTTCTCCAAAATTTATTGATCTCAGTCCTCCCCATCTCACCTAAAGGCAACTCTATTCTTCCAATTCCTCCAGTGGTTCAGATTAAAAATCCAGGGATCACCCTGGACTGCTTTCTTTCTGTACAATTCATCTGGAAATCCTATTCTTCAACATGTTCTACCTTCAACATACCACTTTTCTTCCAGTCTATCCCACTCTCTCCTTCATCTTTGACCTATACTAACCTTCTAGCTGGTCTCTCTGCTGCCCCCTTACTCCCACATTGTTTATTTTCAACGGAGCAGCCAGGATGGCCTTTTAAAAATGAGTAGTATGGCTGGGCATGCTGGCTCATGCCTGTAATGCCAGAATTCTGGGAGGCAGAGGCGGGTGACTCGCTTGAGGTCAGGAGTTCAAGACCAGCCTGCCCAACATGGTGAAACCCCGTCTTTACTAAAAAAAAAAAAAAATACAAAATTAGCCAGGCATGGTGGCACACGCCTGTAATCCCAGCTACTTGGGAGGCTGGGCAGAAGAATCGCTTGAACCCAGGAGGCAGAGGTTGCAGTGAGCCGAGATCGTGCCATTGCACTCCAGCCTGGGCAACAAAAGTGAAACTCCATCTCAAAAAAAAAAAAAAAAAAAGAGTAGTCATGTCATTTCCCTCCCCAACACTTTCCATTTGGGCTGGGCACAGTGGCTCATGCCTGTAAATCCCAGCACTTTGGGAAGCTGAGATGGGAGGATCACATGAGGCCAGGAGTTTGAGACCAGCCTGGTCAACATAGTAAGACCCTATCTGTATATATATTTTTAAATTTAAAACTTTGTATATAAAAAACCTTTCCATTGGCTATCTCACTCAGTAAAAGCCAATGTCCAGCATATAGGTCTGTGCTATCTAATATAGTAGCCACTAGCCACATGCAGCTACTGAGCACTTAAAACGTGGCTAGTTCAAATTGAGATGTGCTATAAATGCCAATGCACACTGAAATTCAAATAATATTTTTAAAAAATGAAAAACATCTCATTACTCATTTTACATTGATTACATGTTGAAATGTTAATTTTTTAATATGTTGGGCTGAATAAAATATGTTACCAAATTAATCTAACCTGTTTCCTTTTCATTTTTTAATGTGGCCATTAGAAAATTCAAAATTATATCTGTGACTCACCTATCTACAATGTGGCTTGCATTATATTTGTATGGGATAGCACTGATAGTATATAGTTATTAGATAGTATGTAGTTATTAGACCAAATGAGGTCATCTAGTGAGTGAGTGTAGACAAAGAACAGGTCTAAGGATAGAATTCTCAGGGTCCTCCAAAATTAAGAAGCCAAGTAAGAGAAACCATTAGAAAGATTGAGAAAGTACCCAATAAGGTCAGCGAAGATTTTGATAGAAGACTCAGACATCTCTATTTGAGATGGCCACACTGTAAGTGCTCAGACTTGAAAGGATGATATCCAAGAAATCAAATGAAGAAAATGTATCAAGGAGGCAGTGATCAATTGTTTCGAGTGAGATAAGGACTGAAAACTGACAATTCGCTTTGACAACGTGGAAGTCACTGGAGATGCTGACGGGGTTGTTTTGGTGGAGTGGTGTAGATAAAAGTCTACTTAGAGTTATTGAAGAGAGAGTAAGAGAGCAGAAATGGATACTACAAGTATGAACAATACTTTGAAGAAGTTTTGTTATAAAGAAGATAAGAAAAATGCAAAGGTAGCTGCAGGGAAGCTTGAGATCAAGGGAAAGTATTTTAATATAGAAATAAAGCATATTTATATACTGATGGACATAAATTGATCAGGAGGAAGAAGAGAGAGCCTTGGCTGGGCGTCATCACGTATGCCTGTAATCCCAGCATTTTGGGAGGCCGAGGCACGTGGATCATTTGAGGTCAGGAGTTTGAGACCAGCCTGGCCAACATGGTGAAACCCCGTCTCTACTAAAAATACAAAAATTAGCCAGGAGTGGTGGTGCACACCTGTAATCTCAGCTACTCGGGAGGCTAAGGCAGGAAAACCTCTTGAACCCGGGAGGTGGAGGTTGCAGTGAGCCACGATCATGCCACTGCACTCCAGCCTGGGTGACAGAGCAAGATTCCATCTAAAATAAATAAATAAATAAATAAAAATTAAAAAAATTAAAAAAAAAAACAAACAGGAAGAGAGAGCCTCTCCAAAATGGCTAGAGTAAAATTGCTAGAGTGATCTCCTTGAGTAGATGTGAGATCCTGGGACCTAGTGTAGAACAGGAGGGCTGTGCCTTGGACAGACCCATGGACAGTTCCTCAGAGGACAGAATGGATGAGGGGACACAGGCGAAGATGCAAGCAGGTTTGGAAGAAGTGATGGGAACCACATGTGGAAGGTCTCCTCTGATTGTTTCCATTTTCGCCGTGTAAAAGAAATCAAGGCCATCAGCTGAGAATAAAGAACCAAGAAGTCGCAAAAGTTTGAGGAGAGAGCAGAAGGTTTGAGATCATGTTTGTGAAGCAAGAGTTCACAAACTCTTTGAATGAATTAGAATTGCTGGGCCCACTTAAATTTGGGGGCTCATGAGTTTAAAGTGATACCAAGCAGTAGATTGGGTACTTTCCTCCAGCCAAGTTCAGCAACCAGAAAACAGGTACAGAGTAAGAAAAGGGCTGCAAATAACTAGGATTGGGGGTTTTCCAAAGAAGGAAAAAAAACATGAAAGAGGCTCCAGGGAGTTACAGTTGTATAAAGTGAGTGATGATTATGATAGACTATAAGATCTAGGATGGATAAGGAGGTAAGGATACACAGGATGTAAAGGACAGTGAAAAGATGGTAGGACAAATTCATTGTTAGGTCAACGGATTTTTAAGTCAGAATGTGAGGGACAGTGAGCTGGAAAGATATGAGGTGGTGGGCCTAGGGTAGAATGCTTGAGATTGAGATTTTGATCTATGGCTATACCACCCTGAACATGCTTGATCTTGTCTGAGCTCAGAAGCTAAGCATGGTCGGACCTGGTTAGTTCTTGGATGGGAGATGGAGATTATGGAAGATGAGGAGTTATTGATAAGGACAAAGTTGAGGGGAGGCTATGAATGGCTCATTCCATGAGCATGAGTGGCTGAGGTTGGAAGAGAATGAAATCATTATAGGAGAAGAGGTCAAGGGACTCAGATGCCAGAGAGTATTGAAATGATCATCTAGGAATTGTGACAGAAAAATTGTTGTCACAAACAAGTGCGGATAAGCTGGGAGTTTACATCTTCAAAGAACGTGGAAAGTAACCCAGTCAGCAGATAACTGCAATAAGAAAGGGTAGCTGGTAATGATGTCTAAATTTCACACCAAGGGAGAAGAGAACTTGGTCTAATAGGAGCAATAAAAACCAGGGAGACATCTCCCCATCTCTAAGTCCGGAATTCTATTCAAATTCACATTCCAAATATAGGCTATATGTTTCTGGTCTCACAAGAGTCATACTCTATCCTAAAGGAACCTGGAATAATTACAGGCTTCCTGCCTTAACTCAAAGGGGTGTGGAAAAGAAAATAAGCACCACTCAACCAGGCTACAAGAAAGCAGGACTCAGAGGTCCAGGTTTCAGTTAAAAAAATAATGTGTAGGAGACACTAAGAGAAAAGGTTGAGAATATGAGGGCTTTAGCCGATAATGGGCCACAGAGCACAGAAAAGGGGTGGAAGTGGGAAATGGGCAATGGGGTCAGAATAGGGAATAAACAAACAGGATGTAGATCTAGACTATTAGGAATGACCTTATAGTTTGGTATATGGGATGAAGGGAGTGGCGAGATTGTCCTGGATTGTCTCTTAGGCAGATTGTGGTGGAGAGGCTGTCAGTGTTGGGGGACGAGGGATGAGGGTCATGCCAGAACCTTGCCAGGGTTCTGGGGCCCTTTGAAACTTTGGTGTCATCTTTACGACTTCCTCAGATCCAGGATGAATGGCTCCCTCATTAAACTTGCCCCCTAGCAGAGTTGAAAACCCCTAACCTAAGCCAGCTTATACTTTCATAAAGAATTTTACTAAATCCTGAAGGAAAACATAAGATGAAATAACAAACAGAAAAGACAAAATATCCACATTCCAAATATGGGTTTCTGATGCCAGAAGAGTCTTGCCCTATCTCAAAATGAGCTAGTGTGACTATATACTTCATGGTTTAACTCAAAAGGAAATACTTATTAATTGTTGAGACAGAGGCATTGCATAATACCAGTGTGGGGAAGATGTTTTGAAAAGGCATCTTTAAACCATTCCCAGGCATTTACCCATATGCGCAGCTGTTCCTGTATAGGACTTTCTTCACATTAACAACAACAATAAAAACACATAAAAATCAGCCCAAGAGTAAATGTTTCCTAATGGTTAGAAAAATAACATTTTACCTGATACTGCGAATGAGAGATTTTCAGGTCACGTTTATTGAGAACTAGCAAGATGAGTCAGTAGCTAAGATCTGTGGAAATGCCCTTAATGACTTTTACAATTGTTTCCTTAATAATGGACTCTTAATAAGCAGGTCAATGTTAAATTAATTACATGGAAGTATTCTAAAAAGCATATTGAAACCTGATTTTAGCCCATTCACTCAAGGATTAAAGTTGTACTTTGGGTTTTTTTTTTTTTCTCTTCCTGATAGAATATCATCTATTGGAAGGAAATGTTTAAGCTTGGGGATGAAGTTTAAAATATAAAATTAATAAAGAGAAGAAAATGTAGTTCTAACAGCAACCAGGCAAAGGCTATGTAGGCCCAGAGCCACAATCTTTCTGCCACTCACTGATTTTATTACCCATGGTTCATTCAGCAAATGATCAAGGAGCTTCGGTAATATGCTTTGCTACCTGCTGGAGAGTCAGTGATGATTACAATGCCATTCTTAGCCGTGAAGGGGCTCACTCTCTGGTTGGGGAAAATAAACACTTTAGCAAACACAATACAATATTGATATTTTGTATACAGGGCAGAGCAGAGAATGGAACATTTGAAGTGGGTCTTGAAGGATGAGCAGAAGTTTGTTAGAAAAGGAAAGCGTGCCAAGCAGAAAGAAGAGCATGTAAGTATGATGCAGACTGGCGTACTGGAGAAGCATGAGCAGTTCTGTGGGACAGGACTACAGGATCTGAAAGGAAGAAGTAGGAGAAGAAACTGCCCATTATAGAAGCATCCAAATTATTACTTCTATGCTACCATTGCACCATTGTCACCAACCTCCTCTCCCAATCTTCACAATCAACCCAAATATAGTCATTTTGCACAAGAAATCCAAGCACAAGCATATTATAATTTTTGTAAAGATTACCAAAGCTCTGGAAGCCATGAAGAAGGGTCTCACAGCACAAACATCAGCATTGCACCACTCTCTCATTCCCTTGGCCTTCCTCACCCCTCACTGCCCATCCAACCCAGGCCCAAATATGCAGAATTTCTCCCTTCTCTGCAGTTTTGCTATTTTCCAACAACCAGAGGTTAATAAACATCAGACAACACCCAAAATAAGGGTGACTCCCTTAAAGGAATTTTCTTACAATCTGCTATGAGAATCAAAGCTTTTCCCTCTGATTTTATTTCTAAAACACACTTTTAATCCTATTGCTTCCATTTTTTAAATCCTTCAATAGCTCACTCTGGCCAAAAGAATAAAATCCAAACTTTAGCAGCTTGCACTCAGCCTCAATCTAAATGCTAAGCCCCCTTTCCTTTTACAGCTTCCTCAGGTTCCGTTGTGTAACCTATACCCCACTGAAGCCCTCCCTCCTACTTCCTGAACAGGGCCTATATTTTTTTTCCAATGGGGCTTTGCTCATTTAGTACTCTCTCTGGGATTCTTGTCCCCATTCATCCACTTGTGAAAATTCTGATCCTTCTTGTACAACGTATCCATCTTATTCAAGCAGGGTTTCTCAACCTAGGTACTACTGACATTTTATGCTGAGTAAGTCTTTGTTGTAGGGAGTTGTCTTATGCATTGAAAAATGCTTAGCAGCATCTCTGACCTCTACTCACTACGTGCCAGTACCAACCCTCACCCTGACTATCCATCTATCCATTGTCATAACCATTAAAAATATCTCCAAATATTGCCAAATGTCCTATGGGTTTGAAAATTGCCCCTGGTTGAGAATCACTGCTCTCTAATCTGTTTTCTGGTTACCTCCAGTGAGAAATCATTTCTCCCCACTCATTACTCCACAACACTTTGCAACTCTGTTAAAAACCCCTATAACTAAAGCAACAACAAGACCAACAATAAGCAGCAACAACTAAAGCAACAAGAGCAGAATAATATTTAATGCCATCTCCTTTGTTTCTGTTGGTTGCTTATATGTCTGACCCTTTCCACTGGGTTTGTGAGCTGTTGAGAGAAGGGTGAAGTCCTGGTGCCTCTAGACCCCAGCACAGTGTCTTACCATAGTAGGTCATAATTTGAATTGACTTTAATAAAGCTATTGTCTTCATCTATTTGTCTTCTGACTAGCCATTTGATGGCCACATCAGTTGGAAGATCGAGAAGCTAAAGATTATTGAAATGCTCTTTTGCAAGGTTTTGTTCATATCTGGGAAGTTATAAGAAACACTAAGAACAGGGAATGGTGGTTCATGCCTGTAATCCTAGCATTTTGGGAGGCTGAGGCAGGCAAATCACTTGAGATCAGGAGCTTGAGACCAGCCTAGCCAACAAGGTGATATCCCGTCTCTACTAAAAATAAAAAATAAATTACCCTGGCATGGTCACAGGTGCCTGTAATCCTAGCTACTCGGGAGGCTGAGGCAGGAGAATCAAGGCAGAGGTTGCAGTGAGCCAAGATTGGACCACTGCACTTCAGCCTGGGCGAGAAAGGAAGAAAGGAAGAAAGAAAGAAGGAAAGAAGGAAGGAAGGAAGAAGGAAAGAAAGAGAAGGAAAGAAGGAAGGAAGGAAGAAGGAAAGAAAGAGAAGGAAAGAAGGAAGGAAGAAGGAAAGAAAGAGAATGAAAGAAGGAAAGAGAAAAAGAAAGAAAGAAAGGAAGGAAGGAAGGAAAGAAAGAAAAGAAAGAAAGAAAGAAAGAAGGAAAGAAAGAAAGAAAGAAAGAGAGAGACAGACAGGAAAGGAAGGAAGGGGAAACATGGATCTGGAGGATCTGGAGAGGGTTTTTTTGTTTGCTTGTTTGTTTAATCTTCACACTACTGAATGGTTTGTAGTTGAGTAAATACTAGCTTTCAGAATCAGTTTGGGTTAAAACAGTAATGTGGCTTATTTCAATTTAGTTTGAGTCAGTTTGCAGACAATGGGTTTTTAGGTTTAAAATATAAAGTAGTGGTCCAAACCATAAAACATAGCATTGCAGTACATACAGGTAGATAACATTCCTACTGTCTCATTGGTGTAGTTTCCGTTTGCTGAAATTGCCTGAAAGTTCCTCAAGGACATGAACACATCTGACATTTCTCCTCTCTCCTGTAGCACCTGCTAGTAAACGTTTTTGAGTTAAGTTGAAAACTTTCCAATGAAGGGAAATAAATCTATTGACCGGGAATGCTGCAGGAACTAGGTTTAAAGGTAATTTCCAGAAGTTGTGGTGTAGTATGGCAAAGCTTGCTGAAGGCTTATCCCCATATTTATTTTACCTTTCTTCCTTGGGGACAGAGTTGAGATTTTGTAGCTGGGCTCTTTGTCACTCAAAATAAAAGATTTTACTTCCTAGTTCTTTTGCAGTAAGATGGAGACATGTAACTGAGTCTGGCTAAGAAGATATAGGTCAAAATATTATGTTGGACATCTGAAAAGGGTGCTTTAAAGATGCTTATTCAACTGGAAAGGGTGATTTTTACCCTTCTGCAATTCCTTATTCTTTTTTTCTGGCATGCAACTCACATGTAATGACTGAAATTCCTGCAGCCATCTCAGATTATGAGTGAACTTGACTATGGAAGCCATGTCCTAGGATGGTGATGCAAAATGAAAAAAGCTGGGATCCTGGTGATACCATGGGGCTGTCATACTTGCACCAAGTTACCTATCTATGGATTTCTTTCATTCACTTTAAATGCACTATTATTTTGGACTTTTGTGAGTTTTTTTTTTTTTTTCAAAATAGTTTTTTGTTTGTTTTCCAAAACAGGGTCTTGCTCTGCCACCGAAGCTGGAGTGTAGTGGTACACTACAACCTTGAACTTCTGGGCCTGAGCAATCTTCCCGCCCCAGCCTCCTAAGTAGTTAGGACTACAAGCACACACTATTATGACTAGCTAATTTTTTTTATTTTTTATTTTTGTAGAGACAGGGTCTTGCTATGTTGCCCAAGCTGATCTCAAACTCCTGGCCTCAAGTGATCCTCCTGCCTTAGCCTCCCAGAATACTGGGAATAGCTGGGCGCGGTGGCTCACACCTGTAATCCCAGCACTCTGGAAGGTCAAGGTGGGTGGGTCACTTGAGGTCAGGAGTTCGAGACCAGCCTGGTCAACATGATGAAATCCAATCTCTACTAAAAACACAAAAAATTAGCTGAGCGTCGTGGCAGGCGCCTGTAATGCCAGCTAATGGGGAGGCTGAGGCAGGAGAATTGCTTGAACCCGGGAGGCGGAGGTTGCAGTGAGCTGAGATCATGCCAAAGTTGGGATTATAGGCATGAGCCAACATGCCCAGCCTGGATTTTTGTGTTTATATGCAGCTATACCTAATTCTAATTGATGCATATTTAATTGTAATTCCACAATTTTTATGCCTTCCATGTGGTAGATCAATGGTTCTCAACAAAAAGTACATGTCACTCACAAAAACCTTTATATTTTCAGAAAATACAAATGTTCATGCCATACTCGAGTTTTTGAATCAAAATTTACATGGTGACCCTCTGACGTGAATTGTGTGACAAATATATTTTTCAACAAATTAGATAAGTTACATGACATACATTCAGTTATATATAGTATATACTGCGTGTGTGGCAAGAGAGAGAGATTTTTATAGTATTTCCTAATATTCTTTTTTATTCTTGTAAGGTTAGTAGAAATGTCCCGTTTCATTCCTGATTTTAGTAATTCCTCTTTTTTTCCTGGTCAGTCTAGTTAAAGCATTGTCAATTTTGTTGATCTTTTCAAGGAACCAGATTTTGGTTTCATCATCTTTCTCAATTGTTTTTATTTATATTCTATGTTTTCCTATTCTGTATCGTTATTTTATTCTAGTTCTGCCCTAACTTTTGTTGTTTCCTTTCTGCTACTTAGTTTGAGTTTAGTTTGTTTTGCTTTAAGTGTCTTAAGATAGAAGTTTAGGTTGTTAATTTGATATTTTTCTTTTTTTTAATATAGGCACTTATAGCTATAAATTTCCCTCTAAGCACTGCTGTAGCTGCATCAAGAATATATTTTTAAAGCCCTACAGAGAATTCTGATGTGCATGCTTGGTGAGAGTATACTGTACTTCTTTGCCACTATAAGGTTTTTGTTTTTTTCAATTTCCCAGCATGACTGCTGATCTTCTTCATAGACAAAGGTTTTTTTTATAAAGCAAAATACTTTGGCTTTGGTTTGGTTAGATATTGCAGAAAGACTCTTGATTGCAGCTCAGAAATTTCTTTCATAGCCTAATATAAAAATCAAGGACATGTTTGCTTTACTTGATTTTCTCTAAGAAGTGAAGACTTCTTGGATTACAGGGGCCCTACTTTAAGGGCCCTTTCAGTTGGAAGTTTTCCTTTCTGCCTGTATTTTTACTATGCATATTTTTGGCAGCCCAAAAGCAATGTTTATGTCCATTCATCTGATAGTGAAAGCTTACTGTGCTACCTAAGTCCTTTCTCTTGGTCTGTGTACTTTCCTATTTGCCTTGCTTTTTCCACAATTTGGCAGCATTATCACTTACTCCACGTGACAAGTGACATCATTGCTATAATGAGAATTCCAAGCAGCACCACTGGATCAAAGCCCATCTGTGTGCCTGCTCCCACACTTGACAAAACAAATTCCAAATTCATTCAGCATGCCGGTGCCATTTAGTCACTGTGACATATCCTAAATTTTGGACTCTGTGCAAAAACCAATCTGTGCCCACAAAATTAATCACGGAACACATTTTATGACGTTTGACAACAACTTAAAAGGTTCTCATCTCTGGCAGTTGGCTCTGCCAATCTGCAAGTATGTGCACGACAAATCCTGAACAATACATTGTGTGGCTGAAAATACATTGTGCAGGATGCACAACCTGAAGAGGGCCAGAGTTGAGTCCAACCAATCCTGAAGTCTTTCTCAGGGACAACTAAGCCAGACTGCTGCTTTGTGAAGGAAGGATGATGGCCCCAGGTACATGCAGAAAGCCAAAGAAAAGGCAACAGTTCATGTGCCAGTAGATGCTGAGAACCTTGGCACAATCGGCTGTGTTGGCAGGACCAAGAGTTTGCAATCGCTAATTTAAGCAACAAGATCCTGGCAAACCGATTTATATAGGGCAAGGGTGCGTCAGGAAGATGCCAGAAAAATACATCAATCTGTGCCTTTACATGTACTACAGAGTGATGATGAAACAAGTGACATTAAAAAAGTCAACCCTTACACTTTAATAGAATCTGCAACTCATCCTACAAGGAAAAGTAGGGTTTATGTTAGATCTCTGGAACTCACAGATGGGTTTCTATGTTCTGATCTGAGATCTGTGATAAAATTTCCCTTCAAAGGTGCTCTTGAAGAGATTTTTCCATACTGTTATGATTACTTAATTAGGCCAAGTGTTTTTATATATTGTTTAAATTATTTTAAAATGCAGACTCTTTAACATTTGACAATATCATTCACTTCAAATAAAATAATCTATTCAAAATTTTACTTTGCTGAGTACATCAGAGAAATTCTGTTAAAAAAAGAAGATTGAGACTTTAATTGTACAGTTAGAAGCCTTTACTTGAGAGTAATGTTCTACCCTGCAATGGCATAACTGTTTCAAATAGCTATTTTATGTAGTAGTGCCTATTTGTGTACAGTTCAACAGGCAATGAAATAGTAAAACACTCCACTTGGAGCATGTTGCTTCTCCATATTACTTTCCATTTTCCTAGCTTCCCTTTAGACAGCCTTCTACTCCCACTGTTCCCCACCCACTCCTTTTTTCACTTAGTACGTTGTATTTGCAATGTCTCGGGTTAAGAAAGCTTTTGTACCTTGGCAGCCTACTTAGGGTTTTCATTTGTTATACAAAGACTAAATTTCCATAATTTAGCTTTCACTGGGATTTGTCTAGACCCAAACATCCTATTCTAATTTTACAGTTCCTCTACATCTCTGAGGCAGGAAATAATATGAGGAAGCAACAGGTGAAGAGGAGTTCTTCCACACGAAGAGCAATTCTTGATTAGGAGGCCTGGTGATTTAATAACCTGGCAGAGGCATAGAAGGAAAACCAGCTTCCCTTGGTTCATGCTCCTAATGGCCTCCTTTGAATGTAGGACAGCAATCCATCTTCTCTTCTTTAATATGAGGGAGTTGACTCTCTAGATCTTTCCCGACGCTAATACTCTTGAATTTCGATTAACGAGGAACATTTCGGGGTTCTCTCCTTACACAATAGTTGATTCTTTTGTTTATTTTGTATGTTAAGTACAAGCTGGCTGTTGGTTAATTTCAGGCATATTTTTCCCTCTCAGAAGTAGTTTCCAAAACTTTTTTCTTCCTTATCTATGCCTAAAATAATATAAAATAAATTTTAAAATTAGCTAGAAATGCTGCCCTTTATGCAAGAGCTACATATTCTTTTATAATGAAAATCATTTTCTCAATAATTTTTCTCTGCAGTTTTATAGGGAAACTGAATTTTAGTAGAAAAAGGCCCTAGAAATAATCTTTTAAATCCTGAACACAGGTCCCTGTGTCAGGCTAGCTGTGTCAGAATCACTAGGGATTTTTTAAAATATAGATTCCCAGAGCCTTCTCCTAAGGATTCTGATTTGATAAGTCCATGAAGTTCAAGGGAATCTGTATTTATATTAATTACTTTATTGACATAGAGTAAAGTAATTTTTAATGTGCTGACAGATTTTTTTTAAAGATTTGGGGTGTTGCTGTGATGCTCAGGCTGAAGAAAAGTGGCTATTTACAGGCGCAATCATACAGCCTCAAACTCCCGGCCTCCATCCTCCTGCCTCAGTCTTCCAAGAACTGGGACTACATACAGGTGGATGTCACTGCAGCTGGCTCAGACAGATCTTATTCAGTGGTCGTGCCAAATAAGGAAACAGGTCCAGAGTGAGAATGTGACATTGTCAAGATCACACTATCACAAGGTGGCTCATCTATGATTAGTAACCAGAGCTCCTGACACTTAGTCCTGTGCTCTTCCCATAATGTCAGGCTGCTACTCTTATGGAATTTGCAACATTTTTCCCAAATGTATATGTAATGTACTATATTAGACAGGCCAAATACATTGCCTGCTGTACTCTAGCCTTTTCTAAGGGAAGATATTCTACCCCCAGACTTATCAGGGACCTGGGTGAACCATTACTTCCACTGTACCAGATAGAATTGATTGAACCAAGGGTGAGTATCTGATCAAGGGTAGCAAATCCATAGACTACAGCACAATGAGATTCAAATACCAAACAAAGCAGATGTACAAATCTATTAAATGAAAATTGTCTAATCATTAAACACTACTTTAAACCTAGTAAGTCTGTGCTTTTTCAGCAAATTGTGCTTATAATTAAGTTTTCTTATTCCCCTTCCCAAGAGCAAAGATTTCAAATTGAAAAGATGAGGCCAATACAAATTAAATATTTCAAAATAAAATATATCAAATATTATCTTTAGTATTGTGATTCCTATTTATTAATTTTCATTTTTATTAAAATGTCTTTAAAAATGCAAACAGCATTACAGGGTTTATACTCAAAAAAATTAAAAGTTGCTGAATATGTTGTATGCAGCTGATCCACCTTATACTCATAAACATTTCCTTTATTACATGGCTTTTCAGGTTTTTTTGGAGTTAATAATTGCTTTATTTCCTCCCGTTTGCTTAGTTTTCTATGTGCCTATCACCAATTTATTCCCAAACTCTCCACTAAAATGCATAAATGTGTTATCAGTATGCTCACCCACACTGGTGAACTACATATTTCATTTTTTTCTTGGCAACACCTCACCTCCACTTCTGCCCTGCTTCAGTGTGAATGGATTGCTCTCTTTGCCAGCTGCATGTCTGCTACCCTAGGCTTCCCTTCACAATTGTGGTGGATTAATTTTATGTGTCAATTTGACTGGGCTAAGTGATGCTCAGATAGCTGGTAAAACAATATTTCTGAGTGTGTCAGGAAGTTTCTAGAAGAGATTAGCATTTTAATCAGCAAACTGAGTAAAGATCACTCTCACTAATGTGAACAGACATCATCCAATCCACTGAGGGCCCAAATAGAGCAAAAAGACAGAGGGAGGGCATATTTGCCCTTTCTGTTTGAGCTCAGATATCTTTCTCCTGCCCTTGGACTCCAGTGTTCTCAGTTCTCAGGCCTTCGGACTCAGACTAGTACTTACACCAGAGGCTCTTCTGGTTCTCAGGCCTTGGTTCTTCATGCTTGGACTGGAACTAAAGCATCTTTTCTGGGTCTCCCACTTGAAGACAGCAAATTATGGGATTTCTTGGCTTCTGTAGTCTCCTGAGCCAATCCATCATAATAAATCCTTTCTATATATCTAAATATATTCTATTGGTTCTGTTTCTGTGAGGCACCCTGATACACTAATCATTTTGAAATCACCTTAATCTCCTCTATATTGGATCCTCTTTTTCTTGGATTACACATACCTTTACTGGCTAACTTTTTTTTTTTTTTTTTTTGAGACAGATTCTTGCACTGTTGCCCAGGCTGGAGTGCAGTGGCGCAATCTTGGCTCACTGCACCTCCCGGGTTCAAGTGATTCTCCTGCCTCAGCCTCCCGAGGGGCTGGGATTACCACCCCTGGCTAATTTTTGTATTTTTAGTAGAGATGGAGTTTCGCAATGTTGGCCAGGCTGGGTTCAAACTCCTGACCTCAAGTGATAAACATGTCTCAGCCTCCCGAAGTGCTGGGATTACAGGCATGAGCCACCAGCCCTGGCCAGCTAACTTTTTTTCTTAAAGATGGGATCTCACTCTGTCACCCAGGCTGGAGTGCAGTGGCACAATCATAGCTCACTGCAGCCTCAAACTCCTGGGCTCAAGTGATTCTCCCACCTCAGCCTTCTGAGTTGTTTGAACTACAGGTATGAGCTACTGTACTTGGCTTGGCTCACTTCCTACTATTGATGGAGCACATTTTCTAGTAGCTCTTGAGAAAGTATGTATGGAAGGTTAACAATTTTTAGAACTTACATGTGTAAAATATTTTTCATTATTCCTTCACACCTGATTGATACTCTGGTTGGTGTTACGGGGTGAACTGTATCTCTTCCCTTCAAAAAAAAAATTAAAGTTCTAACTCCCAGAACCCCAAAATGTGACTTTATATGGAAATGAGGTCACTGATGATGCAACTAATTTAGGGTAAGGTCACACCGAAATAGGAAGTTCTTGTAAGATGATTTCCAGCTGACAACAGATAACACAAGGGAAGACGCCATGTGATAATGACAACAGAGATTGAAGTAATACAGTTGCAGACCAAGGAACACCAAAGCCTGCCAGCAAACTACCAGAAAGCTAGGAAGAGACAAGGAAGGAATCCTCTACACTTTCAGAGAGCACATGACATCTTGGCTTCTGATTTCTCGCCTCCAGAAGTGTGAGACAGTGACTATCTATTGTTTTAAGTCACCCAGTTTGTTGTATCTTGTTATGGCAGCCCTAGAAACCTAATACAGTTGGATATAGAATTCTAGTTTGCAAATAATTTTTTCTAAAAATTTAGTTGCTCTCTGTGTCTTAGCTTCCAGTGCTGCTGAGGAGAAGTACAATCTTGTTCTGATTTCCAATCCTTAGAATATAATTTTTTATCCTCTCTGGAAACTTCTAGGATCTTCTATCTATTCCTAGGATTCTGAAATTTTATGATGATTACATGTGTTAAACATCCACCCGGGTGTGGCGGCTCACGCCTGTAATCCAGCACTTTGGGAAATCAAGGTGGGTGAATCACTTGAGGACAAGAGTTTGAGGCCAGCTAGCCAAACATGGTGAAATCCCATCTCTACGAAAAATACAAAAATTAGCAGGGTGCGGTGGCAGGTGCCTGTAAACCTAGCTACTCGGGTGGCTGACGCATGAGAATCACTTGAACCCAGGAGGCAGAGGCTGCAGTGAGCCGAGACTGCGTCACTGCATTCCAGCCTGGGTGACAGAGCAAGACTCCATCTGAAGAAGAAGAAGAAAGAAGAAGAAGAAGGAGAAGGAAGAAAGAAGAAGAAATAAATTACCAGACAGGGAAAGGAAAAGAGCAAAAAAAAAGTCCACAAACTCAGTTCCTAAGAATAGTTCCCGTTCCTACCAAAGTAGAAAAACCACATAATTCACTTTGGGTATGGGGTAAGGAACTTTGAAGGGTACTGTCTTAGTAGTGGGATACAATTAACCCTACATAAATGACTGAATTGGTTCCACCTAAAAAAAATCAAAACCCAAAAGAACAAAATTGTTTTTCAAGTAAGTAAATTTTACAAAGTCTAGCATCTTGTTAAAAAAAAAAAAATTTCCAGGCATGCAAGAAGCAGGAAATTATGAACTGTAATGAAGAGAAAAATCAATCAATAGAAACTATGCCAGAAATAGCATAGATCATAGAATTAGTAGACAAGGATATTAAAACTGTCATTATAATTGTAGTCTATGTGTTTAAGAAGCTGCAGAAAAGTTGAGCATGTTAAGACATAAAAGATGTAAGACACACACCCACACCCAAATCAAACTGGTAGAGGCAACAACTACAATGTTTTATATGAAGAATGAACTGGACAGGATTTCAATATTAGATATTGAAAAAAGATTAATGAATATGAAAACATAGCAATTATCCAAAAGGAAACATAAAGAAAATCTTGAAAAAAAAATGAACAGAGCGTCACTGAGCTGTGAGACAATGCCAGTTAGTTCAATATACATGTATATTATGTACATGCACATGACTCCAATAGTCACACCAAAGGAGAGGAGCAAGAGAATGGAAAGAAAAAATATTTGAAGAAATAAGGGCAATGTTTGCATTTGTCTTGCTCTACCTGGTATTCCTATCAAGGCACCTGGTATATATTAGGTGTTTAATAAACATTTCTTGAACACATTTGCAGCAAAAAAAAATGACAACGAGTAAGAGATAAGCACCTGAGTGTTACTGCAACGTATTTAGGCCATCAGAGGACAAAAAAGGGGAATAATATGGAGAAAAGGCTTGGTAGAAGTGGCATGCCTTCAGCAGGGACCCACGAAATGGGTTCAACTGAGTGTGTACAAAGTTTGGAGACTAGGAAGGGATGAAGAAGGGCATTCCACACAAGAACAACACAAATGAAGATTTGGAGCCTGGCACAGTGGCCCACGCCTGTAATCCCAGCACTTCGGGAGGCCAAAGCAGGAGGACTGCTTGAGCTCAGGAGTTTGAGACCAGCCTGGGCAACATAGCAAGACCCCCATCTCTACTAAAAATTTAAAAATTTGCCAGGCATGGTGGTGCTTGCCTGTAGTCCTCGCTACTGGCAAGACTGAGACAGGAGGCTCTCTTGAGCTGTGATTGCACCACTGCACTCCAGTCTGGACAACAGAGAGAAACTCTGTCTCTAAAACAAACAAAAAGACTTGGAATCAGGAATAAATATGGTTGAAACTATACTATCTGGACTGAAGTGGTGGTTGCACTTAGTGGTAATGAGAAATGAAGTTAGTTGGATGAGTTAGGGTCAGAGTATGCAAGGCTTTAGAAATAGGAAACAGGAGAGAAACCATTGAAAGTTTCTGAACAGAACTTGTGATGATGAAATCAGAATTCAAGGGGAGAAAAAGGAGCATAGTGGTGGCATCCATGATGGATTTGGAGAAGAAAATACTAAAGGTGAATGGAAAGGGTGGACCAGGGGCAAACAGGTTATTAAAACAGTCCCATCATGAAGTGTTGAAATGCTGGATGTAAACACACCTACCACAGTATCAGTACAGACTAAGGGCTTGGATAAATGTTAGTCAAATCCAAGTACTAAAATTCTTCTTGGTTCGCGAAAATTTCAGAAGTGGCTCAAAAATCTGTAATGCATTAAGAATATTATTTGCTTCACAATATTTCATTTACTTAAGATTTTATAAGAATCAGCTGCTTATAAAATTGTTACTTTGTGGTGCACCAAAGCACCTTGTTCTCTCCCTCACCCAGATATGTTTCATGCTCTTTGTACTTTCCACCCCTTAACAGATTTGGAGGGAAGATTCAAGCCGTGGATTTTTAAATTTAAAGCAATGCTGTCACAAATTGAGAACTGACAACATGTCATTACACATTTAATTGCCACCGAATCCCAGAGTTTAAAAATTGTAAGGACCTAAGAGATAGGACCTCTCGTTGTACAGATGCGGAAACTGAGGCTGAGAGAGGGTAAGTGAACAGTCCCAGGTCACAGAGCTGCTAATGGGCAAGGTGGGACTAGAATCCAGGCTTGACTCCTCTACGCTGAGCCAAGGGTTCGAAGCGATTGGGATAAGGGAAGCCTGAGGCAGGGAACGAGAGTCAGGAAAGCAGCTCTTCCCAACCCTAGGAGGCCGGGGGACCTCGTCACCGCGGAAGGAGCGGAGCCAGGCCGACCTAAAAAGCCGCAAGTCCAGGTACCCTTACCCTGATGGCCGCGGCGACACACTCGGCCACCTTCCTGATCTCGCGATACTAGCCGGTACTCACTTTTCCGGCTTCCCCTAGGCCCCGCCCCCCCACCTCAGCCCTTCTGTCGTCATTTCCTGTGGGTCTGTAGGTTAAGGGAGAAGATGGCGGCGCTAGGGGAACCCGTGCGGCTGGAGAGAGGTGAGTGCAGCCGAGGCTCGGCGGAGGTGGGCGGAAGGGTTGGGGGAGTGCTGTGTCGCTGGAGGGGAGGAGGAGTGACCCAGGCTCTGAGATCCGGGCCACGCTGTCCCTTGTGCCGGCGCCAGAGGCCGCCGTTGTCTCTGTGCCTGGCTCTAGGAAGGGCGCTTACGGTATTTTGTCTGTTAACCGTAAGCCCTCCTCTGTTCACACGGACTGTTCCAAGGCACAGCACAACTAAACACAACCTGCCCGCTTCGCAGACACACGCCGCACACGCGCTCCCTTGGTGAGCACAGCAGAAGCAGCATTCGGAGACCCGTACACCCGAAAAGCAAACGTCACACACCCGGTTCGCACAGACTACACTCATTGCCTGTACAGCACGAGAACGGACACACGGTACAATTCAACAGAACCTCCTTTCCCCGCTGTTTGCACACAAACTCCTTCATTACTTTCTCCACAACCTCGCTTGTATTCGGGTTGGGGTATTTGCTAGCTTTTGTGCCCCTCCTAGAAATGGAGAGGTTGCTTTAAAAACAATCCTACTGACTTGGTCTTGGGAAGGAGGTTACGTAAGTAAGCCGAATAGTGGTAGATGCTAAAACACTTGCAGGTGCAGTGTTTTTCATTTCTTACAAACCCTACAATTGCAAACTGGTTGGCTGATTGCTTCCTAGAGCAGACTGTCAAGGAAAATAAAACCACCTCTGCTGAGTAATTAGAGATAGAGAAGCCTACGAAAATAACTGGCTATGCGCCTACCATGATTTCCAGCATTCCAGCGTTTCCAGTCCTTTTACAGATTTCCAGCATTCCACTCTGTCCCTAAGTCCTTTATTTCAAACAATTTCAAGCATGCTTTTCATACACCAGCATTAGAAATCATTGATAGGAATTGAGAAGTACAAATAAACATTTTGAGTACTGGTGGTAAAAAAAAATGTATATGTAGGATGGAGACTGAAATTATATTGCACATATTAACATTTGCAATTAGTCTAAATATTACTATTGTTCCCTAAGAAAACACATTTTTAGAATTACTGTACTTAGAAAAACCTCTTTCCTAATGCCTTCCCACAAACAAATGTGCACTTAATGTTGCTGATTTGCTCTTTACCGTGTTCACCATTTGGAAGCCTCACTGTAAATGAGATTGTTTCCGTTAAGCCTATTAAAGCATCATTTTAGAGGACTAGCTACTCTGGGAAGACTTGCCGAGTTAGGCCTAAGTCTCTGACATCTTCCTCTTGAGCACAGTGGCACTGTGTTTTATAGATGGGAGCAAATCTGTTTGGTGTTAACAGGAGTAAGTTTTTTCTTTGAAAGCTAGTTAAGATTCTAACGTATTGGTCTTTTGTGTTTTTGTTGTTGCTGTTTGGAGACGTAGTCTTGCTCTGTCGCCCAGGCTGGAGTGCAGTGGCGCGATCTCGGCTCACTGCAACCTCTGCCTCCCGGGTTCAAGCAATTCTCCTGCCTCAGCCTCCCGAGTAGCTGGGACTGCAGGCGAACGCCGCCAAACCCGGCTGTTTTTTGTATTTTAGTAGAGACGGGGTTTCACCGTGTTGCCCAGGCTGGTCTCGAACTCTTGAGCTTAGGAAGTCCGCCCGCCTCGGCTTCCCAAAGTGCTAGGATTACAGGCGTGAGCCACTGCACCCGGCCGGTCTTTGTATTTTTAAATGCAACACAAAATGTGGAACTTCTGTGGCATTTAGTTTTGATAGTCTTGGCTTTGTTTTTTGCTGTTACAGATTTCTTTTCTGTTCTTCAGTAGAAGACTCCACCTCTTAGTAGGATGAATTACAGTCAGCCCTCCATATCCATGGGTTCCATATTTCAACCAACTGCAGATTGAAAATACTCAGAAAAAAATCGTGTCTGTATAGAACATGTACAGACATTTTTTTCTTGTCCTTATTCCCTAAACAATGTGATATAACAACTGTTTACGTAGCGTCAGATATTGTAAGTAATCTAGAGATTATTTAAAGTATAGAGGGGGGATATGCATAGGTTTTATGCCAATACTATATCATTTTATATCAGAGACTTGAGCATCTGCAGATCTTGATATCTGTGGTATCTGAAGAAGGTCCTAATGAATCCCCCACTGTTACCAAGACAGCTGTACTAGTGGTTGCCATTTAGCAGGGTAAGAAAGTCAGATTACATCACCTCTGATTCTTGTTTAGAATTCTAACAGACTCTATTAACAAACACTCCCAACGATCCTAAAGTAGAAAATCCTACAGTACAATTACAATACAGTGCCTGATCACATATGATGATTTAGAGTGCCTTCTAAATCATCAAACTATGATTTAATGAAACACAAATTTGAGCACATAGTAGGTACATTTTAGATTTAGTCAAAAGCATTTTACTTTTTTCCATTTTTTTCTTCACTGGAAATTTTTATATGGCTTATATATTATAACTTTATAAATCAAAATAATTGATGAACCAACAGTCCCCATGTATCGGTCATTCTGGTGATGGGAAATCAGAATGGTGAAGGTCTATTTGCTTCCATTGCATTTGATTAACTTTTTAAGTTTAAGCTTTCTTTACCTCAAATTTAAAAATCTGCTTTCTGGCCAGGCGCAGTGGCTCACGCCTGTAATCCCAGCACTTTGGGAGGCCGAGGCAAGCAGATCACTTGAGGTCAGGAGTTTGAGACTAGCCTGGCCAACATGGTGAAACCCTGTCTCTACTAAAAATACAAAAATTAGCTGGGCCTGGTGGCAGGTACCTGTAGTCCCAGCTACTCGGGAGACTGAGGCACGAGAATCACTTGAACCCTGGAGGCAGAGGTTGCAGTGAGCCAAGATCGTACCACTGCACCCCAGCCTCAGCAACAGAGGGAGACTCCATCTCAAATAAATAAATAAATAATCTTTCTGCCAGGTGTGATGGCCCAAGCCTGTAATCCCAGCACCTTGGGAAGCTGAGGTGGGTGGATCATGAAGTCAGGAGTTTGAGGCCAGCCTGACCAACAGGGTGAAACCCTGTCTCTACTAAAAATACAAAAATTAGCCGAGCATGGTGGTGGACTCCTGTAATCCCAGCTACTCAGGAGGCTGAGGCAGGAGACTTGCTTGAACCTGGGAGGCAGAGGTTGCAGTGAGTGGAGATTGCGCCACTGCACTCCAGCCTGGGCAACAGAGTGAGACTCCATCTCAAATAAATAAATAAATATCTTTCTTTACTACATTTATTCATAGTTTTCTATCTGCAAACACGAAGAAGGCCATACTAACTCTATAAAGAAAAATTTCCAGTCCTTGAGTGTAACGAAATCAGGAACTTCTACTTAAGTCAAAAGGAAGCAAAGCAATAATAGAATACTGGGCATTGTAGTACCAGGGGTACAAAAACAGTATACCAAAACAGTTTTTGGAAAAATAAAAGTAGAGATAGTTAACAGTGTTATAGCTGACTTCCTGAATCTTCTAAAATGTCTCAATTCATAAAACACTTATCCTCACACTTCTCAGTGAGAATTCCCTAATGTGCTTCATACATTTGTATAAATGTATACAACCTCTTAGGGTTTTTTTTGTTTGTTTGTTTGTTTTTGTTTTGTTTGGTTTTTTGTAGATGGAGTTTCACTCTTGTCACCCAGGCTGGAGTGCAGTGGCACAATCTCAGCTCACTGCAACCTCCACCTCCTGGGATCAAGCGCTTCTCCTGCCTCGGCCTCCCAAGTAGCTGGGATTACAGGCACCCGCCACCATGCCTGGCTAATTTTTGTATTTTTTTTAGTAGAGTTGGGGTTTCACCATGTTGGCCAGGCTGGTCTTGAACTCTTGACCTCAGGTGATCCACCCGCCTCGGCCTCCCAAAGTGCTGGGATTACAGGCATAAGCCACTATTCCCAGCCAATATTTCTTATGATTAATTGGTACCAATGTAACATAACACTTTTGCTTGCTAAGCCCTTTTTTATGTATTTTGTGGTTCAGTTGTTAACTGAACTCATAACTCTTCCTCATAACCCTTATATGGAAGGTACTGTTATTTCCATTGTACAGTGAAAGAAACTGAGACATAAGGACATCATGTAACTTGCCCAAGGTCACACAGGTGGTATTGAGACCAGATTGATAAAGCTAATTGTTTTTATTTTTCTTTTTTGTAAACATAAGTGTTGGAGCTTGTTTGAATTAACAGTGTTAATTAAGTTGAAAAAAAATCAGTTTATTTCATTTGTACTGCTTGTTTTTTGCATTTTTATGGTTGTTTTAAATGTGTCCCTGCCACTAACTGCATCTGCTCTCGAGTGGTTATCTACCTATGTATCATGTTTCTTTCGAGGAATGACCAGTGATTTTACTAGCTTATAGTGCCTTGTACTGTTCAGTGCTTTGGTTACTAATAATAATTAGGTAAATTTTTATTGACTAGTTTCTGACAATATTGCTAGCTTTTCTGAAGCAGTACAATGTTCATGTATCGGTCACATTTGAGTCACAGTCCTTTCCGATGACATTTGGTATTTTGTGTTCAATTTGCCTGTGTTTCTCCAAGGTCTTATTTTATGCTTCTGTAATCTCAGTAGTTTTTCCTATCTACTGTAAAATTTAGTGTTCTTACATTTTACATTCTCACCCTCCATGTGTGTACACACACACAGTCTCCTTCCCACCAAATGTGCAAATTCAATGCTTTTTTTCCCCTCGATTGTCTGTATATTATTTGCCCTTGAGGAATGAATCCTAACTGCCCCACTGTTACATAGGCATTGAGAAAACCCTTGGAGAAAATTATCTGTGTGTGTGTTTAACTCTAGATATTTGTAGAGCAATTGAATTATTGGAAAAACTACAAAGGAGTGGAGAAGTACCACCACAGAAACTTCAGGCTTTGCAAAGAGTCCTTCAAAGTGAATTCTGCAATGCTGTGAGAGAGGTGAGTAAACATCATTAAAATTTACAAAAATTTGAGTTAATTAGGTCAGATAATACTCTAAATTTGGGTTCAACATTTCTTAAGAAAAACTTTAGAAAACATTAAAACCAGTCCCTCTCATTTTTGGAATTTCTGATAAAACCATTTTATAAAGATGCATAACTTTGCCTGAAATTTTAACTTCACAGAGAACTCAAGCATGGTATATTCTGAGATATAACTTTGGCTTTTACAGGTATATGAACATGTCTATGAGACTGTGGACATCAGTAGCAGTCCTGAAGTGAGAGCGAACGCTACTGCAAAGGTAAATTTTTTTGTTTTCCAAAAGTAAGAATTCTTCATAAATTAGAAGTTTAAAATATGGAGTTATTAAATTCATAATAAACTTACTTTGAAGACTAACATGTATCTTTCAAGCTACACCAAATTTCTCAAGTACTAAGAAATAAGACATTTGTTTCTATTGCCTTTACATAAATGCTGCATGATAAATAGCTTACATAAGCTATTTTATCATGCAGTTTAGATAATGCAATAGAAATGTACTTGCATACAATATGTATCATGCAATATATAATTGTGTTGTATATGTTATATATATGATACTATATAATATTCATTATACAAAATCTAATCAGAATTTTAAGATATGAATTACTATCCTCATCTTATTGATGAGGAAGCATGAGGTGATTTGCCGCAAACCACACAAATAGCATATGATAGAGCTGGGGTACTTCCCCGAGTTGATTTTTGCTTTCTTCTTTACATTATCTGCATTTCTGTGCCATTGTTTTCCTCAAATAATTTAGGTATTGACCTCACTATTCATGATAGGGGGTTTGAACAGGGTAATATCAGCAGTCGGTGACTTAAATTAATCATCAGCAGATAGTTTTTTATGGATAGTTACTGGCTCACAAAAGGAAATGGTGGATTCTTTGTTGAATACAAATACTTAAACATGTGGATATAGTTTATCAGTGTAGAAAAGACCAGAGAAACATGGTTTTAATTGCTGAGTTGTGTGAGTTTGATAGCCTACTGAATTTCTGAGCCTTAATTCCATTATCTGAAAAATGAGGCCTTTTTCAGAGCTTCGAAGATAACGGGTATTCAGTAAATCTTGATTTCTTCAAAGATAACGGGTGTTCAGTAAATCTTGATTTCTTTCCTCCTCCCCATTTTTGTGATCCATCACAAAAAAATGGTACTAGATAATTACCCTTTAAAGCAAAGTGAAACAAAATCTCAACTTTATAATTAGTTTGGATTAGTCTAAAGTTGAGCTTTAAAGAAGATACGGCTCTGTTTCATCTTCTGTGGGGATTTTTAGTTGTGTCTAGTTAACTAAAGCAACAAAACATTCAGATTGGCTATATGTACCTCTCTTTTTCTCAATATTGAGTTATTTCTTGACATCTTAGATATTTAGTATATAGTACAAATAGTACAGAAGCCAAAATGATTACATATAAGGGCAACTCCATGTTGATTATATAGGTAGGTTGTGTCCTGCACAAAGGCTCCTGAAGGAGTTGGGAGATCCAGATCTAAAGCCCAGGGCTGCTAGCATGCTGGGGAAGGGGTTTTCCTCCTTACCATGTACAATATCAGTCTGCCCAGTAAGTCTGCTTGCCAAGCCCTGCGCATACAGGACTGCACAAAAGAGTGGGCACTGAATGGGCTAGGAATGACCTAAAAAATCATAACAAAAAATCGTAACATTTCCTGCATAACTCGAAATTATTCATTTGTCGTCTCTAAAATACCTTCTGTTTAGCTTACCTTCTCAGAATCACCAGTGAATTTGTGAGCATTCAGACGTCAAAAATACGTGCTCAAAAGTAGTTTTTAAAAAGAGACAAAAGAGGCCAGGCGCAGTGGCTCACGCCTGTAATCCCAGCACTTTGGGAGGCCAAGGCGGGCGGATCACGAGGTCAGGAGATCGAGACCATCCTGGCTAATGTGGTGAAACCCCATCTCTACTAAAAAAAAATACAAAAAAATTAGCCGGGCGTGGTGGCAGGCGCCTGTAGTCTCAGCTACTCAGGAGGCTGAGGCAGGAGAATGGCGTGAAGCCAGGAGGTGGAGCTTGCAGTGAGCCAAGATCACGCCACTGCACTCCAGCCTGTGCGACAGAGCGAGACTCCATCTCGGGGGGAAACAAAAGATGAAAGAACTGAAGTAAATAAAAGTCATATTTTTAATATGTAAAACTTTCTTTCAGGCTACTGTTGCTGCATTTGCTGCCAGTGAAGGACATTCTCATCCTCGAGTTGTTGAGCTACCAAAAACAGAAGAGGGCCTTGGATTCAATATTATGGGAGGCAAAGAACAAAACTCTCCAATCTATATATCCCGAATAATTCCAGGTGGAATTGCTGATAGACATGGGGGCCTCAAACGTGGAGATCAACTCCTCTCTGTTAATGGAGTGGTAAGGATGAATTTTATTTCTATTTGTAGTGATCTGTTGTGACCACCTGGGGGCGTATTTGAGTAATAGGAGAAACCTAAGAAACTTGTGGTTTAGAAATGCCTTGAGGGAATCCTAGGCAGTACTATTAATACAGTGATCCTTTTTTTTAAGCACTATAAGTGTATTTTGCAGTGTAAATTAGCAGTGCTTAATGTCATTTTTATGACATAAGCTCTTTATTAAAGGCAATACATTAAATTAGAAGTCTACCCTCATTTTACTCTTATAAAATGCCAATTGCTTGATCTACTGAAATAATAAGGCATATAGATTAATATGCTAATTATTTGGAACTTAAAAGCCAGCTTTTAGACTATAAACAGAATATGATGTAAGAGAGGATTTCATATAGATTAAAATGGTAAGGCAGGATTATTTCTTAGTTTTGTAATGTTGGAATAATATAACATTAAAACTTTTCTTCATTATATATATTGTAAACATTTTTGCATTTTGAGTTACTTTCAAAACTTAGATATTAGTGTATGGTTGGTTGTTTTTTTTTCCCCTAGAGTGTTGAAGGAGAACATCATGAAAAAGCTGTAGAACTGCTGAAAGCCGCACAAGGAAAGGTTAAATTAGTGGTACGATACACACCCAAAGTCTTAGAAGAAATGGAGTCGCGCTTTGAAAAAATGAGATCAGCAAAACGCAGGCAACAGACCTAATACATTTCAAAACTTGATATTTCATTTTGCGTTTTAGCTAGAGAAGTTTTCCTTGTGACTTACTAATGGCTGCAATGCCAATGATTGTAAGAAAACAAACAAATTTATCATGAAATTCTCCTTGTCATTTTATAAATGCCTATTTTAACATCATTTATGGTTCCAGAGATGCATACACTTTTTTCTGACAAGAAAAAGTAAAAGGTGATGAGGGCAATTCTGTCCTACTGTTTTTACAGGCCTTTTTCAAATGCAGATTTTGTCATAAAGTTGTTATAGATTTTTTAAAATGCTTTTTTAATATTAAAATGTACTTTTACATTCTTAATCTTTTTTTAGAAAGGAAAAGTTTTCTTCATTTAGCTGCTGATTTAAAAGTAAAGTTCTCCAATTCTTTTTTTTTGCTTACTCTATTTTTTTTAACCTGTGAAATTTCTTTACAGTTTTCCAAGAAATTAAGCATAACAGTCTCATCTACGGCAGTTCATTACACTGTCAATGTTAACATCATTGCTGCATTTTGTACTTTGAACACACACATAATATATATAACCAGTGGTAAATCATGACTCAGTACAGTGCAAGTTTTTTCACTTTTACTTAAACATAATATATAATGGATATTCATTTATACTGATTTATGAAAGTAAGTTTTTAAACACTGAAACAATCATTGCTAAAATACATATTCTTAATATTTGAGCATTGAGGCAAGAGGATGTAATTGATAGCATTACTTATTACATCCCTATTTATGTTCAACCGTACATCAAATTATAAATGCAAAACAGGTTCAGATTTCATCTTTTGTGATTTCTTTTAAATACTATTCATTTTTATTTAAATGCACAGTATTTCCCCTATATTTTAGTCCTTCCATTCCTAGAGACAAACCAGTTATTTGGTGGTGGGAAGTAGCTGAAGCAAAGAAGGAAAAGTAATACCTTTAACCTCACTAGCTTCAAGAGTAGACATTCTTACTAGCTCAATTTAAATAATTGATTTTAAATAGGAAGAAAAGAGGATATATTTAAGATACATAGAAATTATGATGTGAAGTATTCATGAGAATCTGTAGATTCCATCAAAATAAGTAGGAACTCATACTAAAATTGTTGGATTTAAAGAGGCAACTTTTGTTTATGATTCAAATATGGGAATTTGAGAAATATTTCATTTGTCCACTGGATGTCACTATTTTACTAAAAGGCAGCTATTAGTGTGGGACTGTGACTGAGGTCTTAAAGACTGAAAGAGTTGGGGTTCATTTTCTGTTACAACTTACAGGAACATTTGTACTTTAAGAAAAATTTAAGTGACAAATGTTAGAAGATGATGGATTGAAAAATATAAGTAATTTGGCATATTGACCCTATATAAAAAAGTGGGCATTTTGTAACATTCCTTCAGGAAGAATAGAATTGTATGCTTTTTTCTGCATGTTTGTGATCACTGTGAGTCTCAGATGATTATTCCAGTTTTCAATGATTTTTCAAAATAAAAGTCAATCAGCATTGTTATTTATCATTAAGGTATTGAACACTGGATTGCATGGTTGAATGTGTCTTTAATCCACTACAAAATGTGCTTGTTATTGATAGGATCATGTTGTTAAATTGTAAATTTTCAAAATTAATTGATGTTTTAAAAATGTTGAGACCAAAGTAGTATAGAAGTATGGACTTAATTTAATTGTAAAATTATTAGAGGTATTTGTTGTAGAGCTTTATATATTAAAGAGAGGTATTGGTGCATATAAAAACAGTAATATTATTGTTATGCTTGTATTCTTGCATTTCAGGGTAAGTAAACCCTGAAGAAATCTTATTTTAGTATAGCTACAGCTGCAGTAGCTTTTAAGTATGTATCAACATTTCATTATAAATTATAGCTTCCTGGTTCTGTGTCTCAGCTGTTTCAGAACTTTCAGCCAAGTTAAATCTTTTTTGGTGTTGAAACTTTTAGTAAGTTGAGTAAGCTATTTTTTTCCCTACGGTAATCCACAATCTGTTCTTTGTGTGGGTTGACACCTATTTATAATTCTTAAAATAAGGGTAGCTCAAAGGAGCCAAGTACAGTAGTTTAGCTTGCTACTGTTGAGCATGAATAGCAGTAGGTTGTTTTCATTAATGCAGTTTTCATAATGTATCCCAGAATTTTAAATCTTGACCATAGAAAAATACAGTCATTCATTGGCAAAGATGTACAGTGGTGGTTTAGTGCAGTGAGGAAATGATGGGAATTTTTATCTTAGAAATGGATGATTCGTGAATAAAACTAGGTACATAGTAAGTGTATGATAGATGTTTGATTTGTAAATTACAAATATAAATTATCACCCCCATTTCCATTTATTTTCTTGATATATCAAAATGTGTTGACTTAGTGATTCTCAATCTTAGCTACATATTAGCCTGGCAGAGCTTTAAAAAATTGATACCTGGGTCCTATTCCATAACAACTAAATCAAAATCACCCTTTTTTTTTTTTTTGTAAAGCTTTCCAGGTGGTTCTAAAGGACACCTAGGGTCAATAACCCATTATAAAATGATCTGATTACACTGGACACTCTTAGGAAGTATCAAAATAGAACAGTTCAATTTGCAGCTACTTAATGATTAATTACATTTCTTAGGTTTTTTTTTTGTTTTTTTTTTGGTTTGTTTGTTTTTTGTTTTAAAAGAGACAGGATCTTGCTTTGTCTCCCAGGCTGGAACACAGTGGTGTGATCATAGCTCACTGCAGCCTGAAACTCCTTGGCTTCCACCTCAGCCTCCCAAAGCATTAGGATTATAGGCGTGAGCCACTGCACCTGGCCAAGTAATTTCTTTTAGGAATAAAAGGTACTTGGCATTCCTTATTTGGGAAGTAATTACAGTCTTATCTTTTTTTTTCTTTTTTCTTTTTTTTAATAAAATCTACCAGTAATTTAAATGTGAGCTTTTTATGTCTGTCATCATTCTGCCCCCTTTGCCTTTAAAACTTACAAAAATACGTGTTTGTTATTTGAGAAAGCATGTTTAAAAATTGCAGATGAGAAATATTGTCGTTAATAATTATGTACTGTCTTAATGTGGGCACTTCATTTGTTAGTATAATACTAGATAATAGCAGCCTAGTTCTTTAGGATTTGACGATTCAAATTTTTTTTTTGTTTTTTGTTTTTGTTTTTTTTTGAGACAGAGTCTTGCTCTGTTGCCCAGGCTGGCGTGCAGTGGTGTGATCTCGGCTCACTTCAGCCTCCGCCACCTCAAGGCAGTTCAAGCAATTCTCCTGCCTCAGCCTCCCGAGTAGCTAGGACTACAGGCGTGTGCCACCTCTCCCGGCTAATTTTTTTGTATTTTTAGTAGAGACGGGGTTTCACCGTGTTAGCCAGGATGATCTCGATCTCCTGACCTCGTGATTCGCCCGCCTCGGCCTCCCAAAGTGCTGGAATTACTGGCGTGAGCCACCATGCCCAGCCTCAAATATGTTTTTAAAAAATATCATTGTCCTCCTCCTCTTAAGATTTTTTTAAGTTATTTTGCTCAAGTACTTAAGTAGTCTGGCTCAAGTACTTTGTTTACAATTAAAATGGATATTATAGCATTTAATAGAAGAAATGGTTATGGCTTATCCAAAAAGAATGTCAGCATGACCTGGTGTAGACTTAAAAAACTACATGTTTGTGAATATTTTATAATGTGGAATGATCATTGAAATATCAAGGATTCTAGTAATTGTATTTCCTGAATAAATGTATGTTTATGAATTTTCTAACTTACATTTTGTTGTGTCCTCTGCCAACAATCTGGTTTTATAATTGTTGTCTAAAGTTTGCTAGTAGTGTTTCTTCAAAGGTTATTCCAGGTATGGTTAAGTAGTGAGAAAAATCACTTATTAATTTTCAAGAACTTTGAGACTAATTTGTATTGACTCGGTTTTTTAAAATAACTGGCAAATGCTATGCTTCTACTTTTAAAATTTGTGGTAATACCCAGAATGGATGTAAAATAACATTTTTCAATAGATTACTTCATTTATCAATTTAATTCTGATTTTAAGGCTTATTTAAAATAAATTTGTATGAGTTATGTCCTCGTTCTTTGGATTTGAAAAAAGTTGATATAACTACACAATAGATAACGTTTATGAAAGGTATGTATAAAAAAACATAATTCCTGGTGGCTGCTGAAATGAAACTTTGAATTTCTATATTTTGCTTTGTCTTTCATAAAATTTAAAGAAAACATTTTCTTGTGTTATTTCAAGAGCGGCAGTATGACGTGATTGAGAGCACAGATTCTGAAGCCAAACAACTCTGGTTTCAATCCCAGTTCCACCATTACCGTGTGTCACCTTAGACAGGTTGCTTGATTTCTTTGTGCCTTAGTTCCCTCACCTGTCATTTGTTAATAAGAATGCCTGTAAGTGTCATGCCATTTTCTGTAAGGCCCTTAAAAAGGTGCCTGGCATAGTAAATACTGTTTGTGTTTGCTTTTGTTCATGTAAAATAGCTTCAGAACCTTATGAGCTAAAGGAAATAATTCTGGTCAAAAAATTAAAATTAGCAAGTTTTTATTTTTGGTATTTAGAAAACAACCTTTATGCTTAAAAACTTTAGAAGAATAAGATTCATAAGAAATTATCAAATTTATATTTTGATCAAAGAAACTCGGAATTTTTAAATTGGAGCTTTGAGGATTGAAGCCATATTCTAATGAAAATCATTGGAAAATAAGTCCAAGTAAGGATTTGTTAAATTAACCTTTAAGGTGATGACCTAGGC
The DNA here is from genome assembly GCF_000001405.40 of Homo sapiens. Lineage (NCBI taxonomy): Eukaryota > Metazoa > Chordata > Mammalia > Primates > Hominidae > Homo > Homo sapiens. The sequence continues at coordinate 27,493,880 of NC_000011.10, read as the reverse complement.
ATAGAGACAGGAGACTACTGGACTAGGTGTTAGACAGTCCAAGGCATCACCACCATTAACTTTAAAAAAGTGTGGAAATGTGCCACACAGCCGAGGAACAACAAAAAGCATTTAGTGTTAGGACTCAGTTTTTTTCAAAACTTTAGTAGACCAGAGTATCCATTCACTAAATTTTTCTATTCGGGTTTTGTTATATTCACTATTTTGATTATTCTGATTTTACTATAATGAATTGCTGACCCATATTTTGTACGTTTACTTATTAGTGGCAGATAATCTCCCTGATGGAATCTTGAAGATTTACTTTATATACAGGGCAAAAGGTAAATTCATACAGAACCCATTTGTCAATTTTATTTTTTGAATTTTAAATTTTAAAGGGACAAATACTTCATTTTAACAAGGTATATGTAAGGCCTCTCCTAATTCTCATGAACAATACCTATTGGTTAGAATGAGAAATCATCCACACTTTCTTACCTAGAGACAACTTTAAAAACACCAAATCTTTTTTTTTTTTTTTGAGACAGGGTCTATTTGGACACCACAGTATGTATATTTAAAATCACCAAACATCAAGATTTGGTGTTTTGGGGCCAGGTGCAGTGGCTCACACCTGTAATCCCAGCACTCTGGGAGGCCTGTAATCCCAGCACTCTGGGAGGCCGAGGCAGGTGGATCGCTTGAGCCCAGGAGTTTGAGACCAGCCTGGGCAACATGGCAAAACCCCGTCTCTACTAAAAATACAAAAATTGAGGCCCAGCATAGTGGCGCACACCTATAAATCCCAGCACTTTGGGAGGCCGAGGAGGGTGGATCGCTTGAGGGCAGGAGTTCAAGACCAGCCTGGCCAACATGGCGAAACCTCATCTCTACTAAAAATACAAAAATTAGCGGTGCATGGTGGCATGTTCCTGTAATCCCAGCTACTTGGGAGGCTGAGGCAGGAGAATTGCTTGAACCCAGGAGCCAGAGGTTGCAGTGAGCTAAGATTTCACCACTGCACTCCAGCCTAGGTGACAGAATGAGACTCTTGTCTCAATCAATCAGTCAATAAATAAAAGTACAAAAATTAGCTGGGTGTGGTGGCACGTCCCTGTAGTCCTAGCTACTGGGGAAGCTGAGGCTTTCATGAGAATTGCTTGAGCCCCGGAGGCAGAGATTGCACTGAACCGAGATAGCATCACTACACTCCAGCCTGTGCAACAGAGTGAGACCCCCATCTCAAAAAAAAAAAAAAAAAAAAAGATTTGGTGTTTTTAAAGTTTGTCTCTAGGTAAGAAAGTGTGGATGATTTCTCATTCTAACCAATAGGGATAGAAATTTTAGCCCCTGCAGCAGGTAAGTTTCCTGTATATGGCAGTTACTGAAAGTAATTCATTTCATCAGAGGGTATTAAAAACCCAAAACTAATTTTGTGTTTGTTTTTTATTTGGCAAAGAAATGCAATAAAACCATGAAGTAGGAAGTTATTACTGGTATCTCTTAAATGACATAATTTTGAGCCCAGACTTTAAATGATATCTAACCTTTGTGTTTTACAGTGTTATGGGTTGAACTGTGTTCCCCTAAGATAGGTTGGAGTCCTAACCCCCAGTACCTCAGAATGTGACCTCATTTGGAGATAAGATCTTTACAGAGGTAATCCAATTAAAATGAGGTCATTAGGGTGGGCCCTAATTCAGTATGGCTAGTGTCCATATTTTTTGAAAAGTTGGGAGAGATTTGAACACAGACGCACACCCAGGGAGAACACCATGGGTAGATGAAGGCAAAGATTGGGGTGATGCTTCTACAAATCAAGAAATATTGAAGATTACCAACAAACTACCAGAAGCAAGAAGAAAGGCATAGACCAAATTCTCCCTCACACTTAGAAGGAACCAAGTCTCCTGACACTTTGATCTTGGACTTAACAGCCTCCAGAACTGTGAAACAATTAACTTTCACTTAAGCCACCCAGTTTGTGGTACTTTGTTATGCCAGCCCTAGAAAATTAATATGTGAGAGAATCCACCTTTCAGCGGCATCACTACCAAAACTGGGTACAGAAGCAAAATTAAATGTGGGTTCTCCAGTGTGTGATAAAAACATTCCAGTAGAAGTGGCTTTGGCTAAGAAAGGATGAGATTCCTGGCCCTTGGGGATGAGGAGAATGCTGGTTTCTTTGCTTTCTGTGGTTGAAATGCTTCCTTGGATACCTGTGCAGCTGTGTAACTGAGCTTGTGCCTCCACGTTGGCCCCCTGGACTCATGAGCACCTAAGCACCTAGCCGTTTCTTCACTTTAGGTTGTCAGTTACTGCATGGATGCGTCTTAACTCCAGGACTCGTCAGGAGTTGGTATCGTCAGGGCATTGTCTCCTTCAGCACTGAGAGTAGTTTATGCAGCAGTCCTTGCTCCAGCTGGGTGAGATGAGGATTTGTCTTTGACATGGGACATTCAGCCTGTAAAGGTTTGTACAGGTTCCTTATGATCCATGGGCCTGGTACCAAGCATTAATTAAGCCAGAACCAATTGTGTTGCTCCCTTTTTAAAACTCTGCATTGTACTTAGGATAAAATCCAAATACCTTGCCATGACCTCAAAGGTTCTGCATAATCCCTGCCCTACTTCCTCTCAGGCCTCATCTCAGTCCACTGCCCTACTTGTTCTGCTCCACAGCCTATTCCCTTGCTGGAAGGCTTCCCTCTGGTTCTTCCACTAACTGGCTGCCCCTCATTCAGGTGTCAGCCAAAGTTGCGTTGCCTGTTAAGTTCACCATCTAAAGGCTGATTCCTCATCCTTTAACATGGCAACACCTTGTCGTTTTTGTTTTTTGGGGTGTTTTTGTTTTTTTGAGAGACAGTTTCGCTCGTTTCCCAGGCTGGAGTGCAATGGCATGATCCCAGCTCACTGCAACCTCCGCCTCCCGGGTTCAAGAGATTTTCCTGCCTCAGCCTCTCAAGTAGCTGAGATTACAGACATGCCACGATGCCCAGCTAATTTTGTATTTTTAGTAGAGATGGGGTTTCACAATGTTGGACAGGCTGGTCTCGAACTCCTGACCTCAGGTGATCCACCCACCTCGGCCTGCCAAAGTGCTGAGATTACAGGCATCAGCCACCGTGCCCAACCAACACCTTGTTTATATTAACATGCTTGTGTCTTTTCCATTAAAATTTAAGTTGCATGACAGCAAGAAGGACACGACTGTACCCCCATTACTTAACACAGTGCCTAAAACGGTATGATGTCTTGTTATACCTTGTTGAATTGACTGGCTTTCCATAATTCCACAGGTAGATCAATAACTTATATTGGCACTGTATAAACACAATGATGTGTGTATCAGGTAGACACAGTATTTATCAACTGATCTTGATGTTAGATGTCCTAGAAAGGATCAAAATACTATAGGGACAATACCCTTGTCAATCTTTTATTACCTTGCTCCATTAACATGCCAAGTACCATTTGTGGAGGACAACAATGAAGGTTACTTTCATCTTTTATGTAAAACTGTTCCAACTAATGTTAATAGTAGATAAAATTTGTACAGTAACACCTAATTTTTAAAAATAGAACAAAGATTTTCTTTGGGTATTGCCACAACCAAAATTAAATGAAAAATTGTGTACTGCTAACCAAGACCTAATTTTTAAAATGTCTATTGTGTAATTTTAAATAAAAAATAACAAGGCTGGACACAGTGGCTCACACCTGTAATCCCACTACTTTGAGAGGCCAAGGCAGGCAGACCGTTTGAGCCCAGAAGTTGAGGACCAGCCTGGGCAACATGGTGAAACCCTGTCTCTACAAAAAATACAAAAGTTAGCCAGGCATGGTGGTGCACACCTGTAGTCCCAGCTACTGGAGAGGCTGAGGCAGAGAATCAGTTGAGCCTGGGAGTTCGAGGCTGCAGTGAGCCCTGATCGTGCTACTGCCCTCCATCCTGGGTGACAGAATGAGACCCTGTCTCAAAAAATAACAGCAATGACATAGTGTAGTGGAAGAAACACTGGACTTACATTCCAATTATGCCATTAACATATGATCCTTAAGTCTTCATTTTCTTGATTGTATAATAAGGGAGGTTGGTAGTTTCCAATCTGGTTTCATTTCTTTATTCCTTAGAAAAGTCCTCTCTTCAGCCAAAGCCTAATATATAGAACTACGCTGGTTCAAGAAGGCTGTCCCCTTCAACCCCCCTTCCCATGCTGCAGACAGGAGTTCCTCTGAGCACAGTTTGAAAACCTTTGTCCTAGAGCTGGGGTCCCCAGCTCCATGCCGCAGATCTGCTAGGATCTGGTAAATCTGTTAGGAAGCAGGCTGCACACCAGGAGGTGAGTGTCGGGAGAGCAAGCATTATCGCCTGAGCTCCGCCTCCTGTCAGATCAGCAATGATGGCGTTAGATTCTCACAGGAGCGTGAACCTTCTTGTGAACTGCGCATGTATGCAAGGGACCTAGGTTGCCCACTTGTTGTGAGAATCTAATGCCTGATGATCTGAGGTGGAACAGTTTCATCCTGAAACCATCCCTATCTCCCTGTGAACCACAGCCTTCCCCCGCAACCCCGGTGGAAAATATTATCTTCCACAAAACCATTCCCTGGTGCCAAAAAGGTCAGGGACCAGTTTAAAGTCCATTCCTGTTCTAAAAGTGCAATAACATTAACACGCAATTGGTTTGATGTGAACTATTTTGTATCATGTAATGACATATAAGCTAGTTTATGCACAAAGGGGGTATTTTCTAAAATATCAGAAATATTGATAATCATGCATGGCTGCCTTTCATAAAGCATCTACTAAGCACTGCATCTAATCCTTATAACCCCCCAATAAGATGGGTGTTATTCTGTTTCACAGAATCAGGAACACCAAATAGTTTATTCATAATTACACACTTACACTGACTCATGGACCAGATTCTAATCCCAAGTTTATTTTCAAAACCCATAATTTTCCCCCAATACCACACTGCACTTTTAGCAAGATTTTCTCTCTCATTCATTTTATTTTATTTTTTTAGGTTTCTTGTTGGATTTGTTGTGGTTTTTTTTTTTTAATCTAGAGCCCTGTAAGAACAACAACAAAAAAAGCAGAGTATGAATCTAACTCGTATATTATGTCAATATTCAATTGGATATTTTTAAGTTGGCATCTCTTCCCCAGTATATAGGTATTATTTCATTAAATAGCATTAGCACATTGAAAATACCACCTATTATTTTCTACCTATTGTTACTTTGTATCACAAAATTATAAATGATACGTATGTTGTAGCAATTAAAAATTTTTAAGAGATGAATTCTACGGAAAATGGCAGCAATTTAAGTGAATTATTTCCATAGGGGGAAAAAAAATTTAAAAAAAATAGGTTGGGTGTAGTGGCTCACGCCTGTAATCCCAACAGTTTCAGAGGCCGAGGTGGGAGGATTGCTTGAGGCCAGGATTTGGAGACCAGCCCGGGCAACATAGACCCCATTTCTACATAAATTTTTCATTAAAAAATAATGAAATAGCATTCTATTAACTGTTAATGATGGTGGAAGGAACTAACTGAAGAAATGACAATGGGAAAAATTGGAAGAAGAAAGTGATCAGCTATGGTTTTATACATTTCAATAAAATGAGCATGATTTTGAGTCTTGTTTTACTGGGTACATACCATAAAATTAATTCATTTATTCATTCACTCAACAGTATTTATTGAGCATCTATTATGTACTGGACAGTGTAGTTAAGATATAGCAGTCTACAAGATAAAATCCTGATAAGGAACACATATTCTAGTGGGAGAAGCAGAAGAACAAGAGAACAAATAACGTAATTTTAGGTAGTGACAAGTATTATAAAGTCCAGCAGGCTACGAGCGCTAGAGAGCAATAAAAAAAATTAGACTCACGGAAATTCAATCACTTGTCAAGGTGCCAGCTAAATCCCACAGTCCCTTCTCACACTGGGGTATGTCTGGAGTGGACTCAGGGACATGGGCTCAACATGTCTAAGCAGCTTATTGTGGCTTTTGTCAAAACCTCCATACAGCACCAACTGCACTTCCCATTATGCTTGTCATCACTAAGCACTCACATTACCTTTTTTTTTTTTTTTTTGAAACAGAGTTTTGAGCTCATATTTCTGGACCTCTGTCGCCCAGGCTGGGGTGCAATGGCGCAATCTCAGCTCAGTGCAACCTCCGCCTCCCAGGTTCAAGTGATTCTCCCTCCCTCAGCCTCCCAAGTAGTTGGGATTACAGGCACCACCATGCCTGACTAATTTTTGTATTTTTAGTAGACACAGGGTTTCGCCATGTTGGCCAGGCTAGACTTGAACTCCTGACCTCAGGTGATCCGCCTGCCTTGGCCTCCCAAAGTGCTGGGATTACAGGCATGAGCCACTGCACCTAACCAGCACTCATTATCTTGAAAGCACCTGCTGTGTGCTGGTGAGCCCTTTCCACCAGTTATCCTTAACACATCCATTGGCTGCCCAGCCCAGTTAGAATAGAAACCCAAGCCCCTCTCTATGACCCACCAAGCCCTGCATAATCCAGCTTCTGCTTCCCTCCCCAGCCTTCACTCATACACTTTTTCCCTCTCTGTCTCCAAGTGTCTCCAACAGGACAGGCCTTCACACTTGCGGTTCTCTCTACCTGGAACCTCCTTTGCCCTCTATTGCTATATATTTGTCAATTTTGGCTACTCCCTCCTCAAGATTATAAACTTGTTGAGGGCAGGCAGGCCCCTGTTTAGTTTTCTGTTGTGTATTTAGAGCGGAGAACAGCACCTACCACATAGTAAACAATATTTGTTCACAGAAGAAACAATTTGAAAGAAGACTGTGGTGTTATTTTTGATAGGACAGGAAAGGACATCTGAGATGACATTTAAAGAGACCTGAATGGCGTGAACTGAAGAAGCCACTCTCGGACTATCTGGGAAATCGGGGTTTTTGACAGGGACCAATAAAGAGTATCTCCCTTCCCCACTTGGGTTCTAGGTACAGTAGGAAATAAATGAGTGGCAGATGAGGGCCAGAATATGAGCTTTATTATTTATTAATTTATACTGACCACAAATGTTTGTCGGATGTCCACTATTTGCCAGCCACAGTTAGGGGCTGGGAATTCTGTGGAGAACAAAACAAAGCTCTTGCTCTCACAGAGCTGACACTCTGCTCAAGGCTGGGCAGGGGCATGTACCTGAGGCCTGAGAAGAAAATGGGCATTCTGAAAACTGGCCAGAGAAAACTTCTCAGAGAAGCCTGTGGCTGGGGGGCTCAGTCTGGCCAATTTTCAGGCATGGAATGGGCATGGTCGGGACTGAACTCTGATGGTGCCCATCCCGCAGGGGCAGAGGTTGCCCCCTCTCTAGGAGTGGCTAGGATAAGGGCCTGTTGCCTCTCAGATTACCAGTCAGATGCCACTCCACTCCCATGGAGTCAATTTTACCAAGGGTGGAAGCGGGTAGGAGTGATCACTCACATGATAAAAGCTAGAAAGGATGGTATCCCTGCATCCAGGCAAACACATGAACCTATCCATAATTATAAAATAGAATGGCTGCAAACAAAATTAAACCTTTGTTGCAAATATTGGCAGTATTGGAATTTATAATATGATATTTTTCTTTTAAAGCTAAGGAGGGAAGGACTTAATCACACAGACACACACACATACACACACACACACACTTTTCCCCCCATTGCCTTCTGTAAATACAAATAACTCCTCACAAATTTATTATGCTATATGCATAATCCTTTTCTCCTACCTTTTCACATTTGACCACAAGGTGACGCCAAAGTGCTATTGTTTCTATTTTAGAATTTTCTAGCAGTTCTTGCTAACTGAAGCTCAGACCAAAGATTTAAAATGTACTCCATCTTTTCTTTTTAATTCAAAATTTAAATTGAAATGTATTTTATAAAATTCAAAGCTTTGTAAATGTGGAGAAACAACTCCTCCCAAATAAACCCTAAATAAAACAAACATGTAAAATACCAAACTACATGAATAGTCATCTACCACTTAGTATAAAGGTTTGGGAAGGTGGTGGGGTGGTGTATTTAATACTGCTTTTTCGGTCCTTCTACTAAATATAAACAACTTTAGATGACTGGAAATTATCTTTGGCTTTGCTTCTCTTACGTGTCTTCACCCCTCACAGGATGTTTGAGAAAAGTAATTTCATAGGGGATGTGGCAGCTTCTTTTAAATAAACTGGAGACCATCGGAATCATTGCGATTAACTTGTTGTGTGTGACAATAAACTTGTCAAAAATGTTCTTTTCCGTGAAAATTTAAAATAAAAATTAAACCGAGTACAGAGTAGAAAGAGCAGTTGACCTAGATATTAGCTCCAGTTCTGTCTATAACTAGGTATGTTGTGGCCTTGGGTAATTTGGTTATCCTCTGTGGGTCTGATTTCACACTATTAAATGAGAGGATTTAGCACATATCCCCAAAGTTTCTTCTATTTCTGAGGATTTTTTTTTTTTTTTTGGAAACAGTGTCTTTTTTTGTCGTCCAGGCTGGAGTGCAATGGTGTCATCATGGCTCACTGTAACCTCAACCTCCCGGGCTCACGTGACCTCCCACCTCAGCCTCCTGAGTAGCTGGGACTATAGGTGCAGGCCACCACACCCTGCTAATTATCATTTTATATATATATATGCATATGTATACATATATAGAGAGACATTTAATGGGAAATTATAATTGTTTCATATTGTTTCCTGAAAATGCTGATACAGTGTAGGTCAAAGAAAACACCAAAAGTATAATAGAAGAGGCAGTATACGTATATTATTTAGTATATCCTAAACCTTTAGAAACTTTTTTGGAGACAAGAGTCTCCGTCACCCAGGCTGGAGTGCAGTGGCATGATCTCAGCTCACTGTAACCTCTGCCTCCTGGGTTCAAGTGATTCTGGTGCCTGAGCTTCCCAAATAGCTGAGATTACAGGCATGCACCACCATACCCAGCTATTTTTTGTATTTTTAGTAGTGACAGGGTTTCGCTGTGTTGGCCAGGCTGGTCTCAAACTCCTGGCCTCAAGTAATCCACCTGCCTCGGCTGCCCAAAGTGCTGGGATTACAGGCCTGAGTCACCATGCCCAGCCTAAAAACATTTTTTTTAAATATTAACTGTAATTTTAAAACTAAACTGCCAGGTGCAGTGGCTCACACCTGTAATCCCTGCACTTTGGGAGGCCGAGGCAGGTAGATCACGAGGTCAGGAGTTCAAGAGCAGCCTGGCCAACATGGTGAAACCCTGTCGCTACTAAAAATACAAAAATTAGCCGGGCATGGTGGCGGGCACCTGTAATCCCAGCTACTCGGGAGGCTGAGGCAGAGAATTGCCTGAACCCAGGAGGTGGAGGTTGTGGTGAACAGAGATCGCCCCACTGCACTCTAGACTGGGCAACAGAGCAAGACTCCGTCTCAAAAAACAAACTAACAAACACTAAAGTTTGCAGTTTGCTCCAGTGTATCTCAAAATCAAACTGGTAGGAACAGACTTATAAAAAGCTAATAGATATATCTAACTTGGAAGACTTGTATCCTTATGCCATATTTTATCATTTGACTACTAAAAAAAGAAACTGAATTAAAATAATCCATCACAGCATGCTTCTCCAAAACGATAGTATTAACACAATGCAAACATCAGAATGTCCAATAAAGTTAACAAGCCAAGGCAATTTTGTTACATACATTAACCCATTTATTATAGGCCAATGATGTCTCAAAGAGTAGAAGAGCGTCTACCGGTCTTTGAATTCCTTCAGTCTTCTGATGGCGACTTTACCGTGACAGCAGAAGTGGTATTGTAGGTCCAGGCACTGCCAGCCACTGTCTTCATGCAGAAACCACAGTGCCAGATCCCCGTAGCTCATCTCTTCATCTTGGTTTTGCCACAGAAAGAGCAAATGTACTTGGTGTGCTGGGTGATTTCAATTCTTCTTCACCATTTTCCGGAGGGAGGCCCCATAGCGGGTCCCATATTTACTGATGATTCTGACTTTCTTGGTGCATTTGGCCATGTCACCGCAAACTAAGTCTAAGCCCAGAGAGCTATGTGTTTTTTTGTTTGTTTGTTTGTTTGTTTGTTTGTTTTTTTAAGTAGAGATGAGGTCTCGCTGTTGCCCAAGCTGGTCTTGAACTCCTGAGCTCAAGCAATCCTCCCGCCTCAGCTTCTCAAAGTGCTGGGATTACAGGCGTAAGCCACCACACCCAGCCTTATTTCTAATTTTTAAAGCATCAAGAAGAAACAGTTTGTCACAACGTAATACAACTTTCTAACAGCCAGAAGTGCCCAAAGATGGACTACTCCCCATGGAGGTATGAATATGCCAACTCTAAGGTATCCAAGAATAGCAGGGATGCTGTTCAGCCTTCTTAAGCCTTAGGAAGGTAATTAAACTAGCGTTAATGTCTTTTCTAACCCTGTGTTTCTACATTCTGAAAGTTGAATTGTAAACTGCTTGTAGGAGAGCTCCATGTCGTACCTTATATCCTGGGGCTGCAGTGAAAGGCACCTGTCAGACCTCTCACTGTGGGGACACTAATTGACTAACAGTCCTAAGGTAAAATCCTTCACCCTGTTTGTGCCAAGGCCACACTTCCTATGGGCTGGTCCCAGCCCATGACTGAGCATGGCTGAGATACTAAGGCAGTCCTGTTCCTGGGAGACGTGAGACTCTGGCAGATAATTTTTGTGGCTTTGCTGAAATTTTATAGAACTGCACTGAAATCTAAGACTCTTTTCCTTCCTTCACCTCCTCACCTGGGGCCAGACCCACATCTCAATCTGATGGTTTCTCAGACGCCCTTAGCTCCCTCCCCATTTTCCCTTCACAATCACTTCCCCTAACAAATCTCTTGCATGAGTAATCCCATATTGATGTCTGCTTCTCAGAGGACCCACACTTGCCTTATCTTGTAGCAAAAAGTCATACGTCTTGGTTAGTGGTGGAGGCCTACATCAGAATCAGGAACTTTTTAAACACTGGGAATTCAGGGACCCACAGAGACCTTCTATAATAGAATCAATGGAGATGGAATCTTGGAACTTCTGTATTACAAACCTTCCCAGGGTGATTTACATGCAGACAGCCCTGCATCAGTCAAAACTCTTCAGTACCTAGCGGAGTACATTTTGAAAAGTAGGTATGTGGTAAATAGTCCTTGAAAAACAAAATCCAGCTGGGTGCAGTGGCTCATGCCTGTAATTCCAGCACTTTGGGAGGCCGAGGCGGGGTGGATCACCTGAGGTCAGGAGTTCGAGACCAGTCTGGCCAACATGGTGAAACCCCGTCTCTACCAAAAATACAAAATTAGCCAGGCATGGTAGTGCAGGCCTGTAATCCCAGCTACTTGGGAGGCTGAGACAGGAGAATTGCTTGAACCCAGGAGGTGGAGGTTGCAGTGAGCCAAGATCATGTCACTGCACTCCAGCCTGGGCAACAGAGTGAAACTCCATCTCAAAAAAAAAAAAAAAAAATTCAAAAAATGTTGAAAAGCTTGACAAGTTTGTGTTATTTTAGAATAAAAGGGGCAAATTGGTAGAATTACTATAAAGTTTTTCCCTATTATCGCAACATCCTTCATTTTCTCTTTCATATCAAACATTTTCTAAATTTTCTCTTACGTTCTACAGATCACGAAGTATGTTTTAACATTAGCCTGAGGCAGAGGGAGAACGAGAGAGAGAGAGAGAGAGAGAGAGAGGTATTAGCAGATATTACCAGATTTTGCCAACCAGTCCTAGAAAATACCATCTTCAGCATCATCCTGACACCCAGCACCACTAACCCAGCCTTGAAGCTTTCTTTGCTTTGCCCCTTTCCAAAGTAATCTTGGAAATTACAAATGACTGGCAGTTTGCCTGTGTTTTTAAAAGCACTGCTTCAGGGTGTTTTATTTTGAAAATTAAAAGACATTTTCAAAAACTTTTGGATTGTTAACCTTTTCATTCTGGCTGCCGCTTTTCTTATTTGAAGATAGCCATGGTAGCTGTCACTAGACAAAAATAACTTAACAGCTTGGGAATTAGCAAACAGGTATTTAAGAGTGTCTTTTTTTTTTTTTTTTTTTTTTTTTTGAGACAGTATTTGGTGTCTAGTTAGGAAAAAGACAATTTACAGAATATGGAGTCTTCCCTCCACATCCTACCCAATATTTCTCCTTGGGTCTACATTTAATTTCCTCTTTCCATTTCAGATTTCTTTCAAAATATTTGATGTAGACAAAGAAGAGCTTTTCAGAACATTTCAGCACCACCACCACCACCACAGCCCCCTACTCCACCCTAAGTGCTGGTTTTCTGATTACACATCATCAGGGCATGCGCAGATTTTGCATGTAGTTTCTTGAAATAATTGTGTCATGCTAAGATCTTTCTAAAATGTTCACTTTTATTTGGGATTCTGAGGAAGTGAAAACTACCCAATTCCATGGCTGAACTTCGTGTTGGTATTTTGGTCTTAACAAATTATCAGCTTGACCAGGTGGTAATCTTCCTGCTTTTCTATTCTGATTTTTCTACCTTTACTTTTCTATCTCTTTTCTTATAACATCTAGTTTCTTTAAGAATCATTTAATTTTTGCCTACTTCTATTTCTCACCAGTAGTTTATGCACTCAGACTTTGGAACGAACCCACATGTGGTTCTGTAATTCAGAAGTTGCTCCCTTGAGTCTCATTTTCCTCTTGTGTTAGAATTGAAAGGGAAAGATCAGGAAAAGAAAATCAGATTTAGAAAAGATTAGGCATTGCCGGGCACGGTGGCTCACGCCTGTAATCCCAGCACTTTGGCAGGCCGAGGCGGGCAGATCACCTGAGGTCAGGAGTTCGAGACCAGACTAACCAACAGGAAGAAACCCTGTCTCTACTAAAAATACAAAATTAGCCAGGTACGGTGGCACATGCCTGTAATCCCAGCTACTCGGGAGGCTGAGGCAGGAAAATCACTTGAACCCAGGAGGCGGAGGTTGTGGTAAGCCAAGATTGTGCCATGGCACTGAAGCCTGGGCAACAAGAGCGAAACTCTCTCGAAAAAAACAAACAAGAAAAAAGAAAATGAAAAGATTAGGCATTTCCATATTTCTGATATTTATCCAAATGTTTTCAAATTTTGGGTCAATATGGGTCTTCAGAAGTATTGAAAGGCTATCTAACCCCGTAGTATCCAACCAGCTCAAAAGAGTAAGATGCTTTTTGGTGATGTTTTGAAAAAGGGCTGTCTTCAAGAATGGCCTTCAACCAGTCGTGCCAGAAGCCTCACTACGAGCCCTCGCATCCCAGAGGTCCCATCAGTTCTACACAAGTGGCATGTGCTGCTCCCAGCCATCCTTCACCCTTGCTCGAGCTCTAGGTACAGTAAAGAGGGCCCAGAGCCCAAATTTGGTCACTTGTGTAGCTTAAAAGGATGTTTAAAATTTGTCGACAATTTTACATTGTTATTTTTTGTTCAAAATAAATCATTGTTTTCAATTAGCCCTAAAAAATTAGATGCTGTTTCCTGTGTCCAATAGGACCACACTAGAGATGTTGATAAGGTGTGTAAAAGTATCTTATTTGAGACCATGATAGAATGACTGCAAGCCTCTGGGGCTTAATGTGAAAGCTCTTCCATCCCAAAGCTTCCCATGCAAATATGGAGGCATCAAAGCCTAGAAACTATGCACTACCTTGAAGATTCATTCACTAGAGTAGGTGCATGTAAGATATCTGATCAGTAGGGATTAGACTTGATATTCTTTTCTTTATTCCCTAACCCTATCATGTCTTGAAATATTTATGTATGTATATTTACGCATTTATGTATACAAATCTTTGTGTGTGTATTTATATGTATATGTATATAAATTTATATGCATATAAATACACATACACACATAGTTTCTTTTTTTTTTTTTAGACAGAGTCTTACTCTATTGCCCAGGCTGGAGAGCAGTGGCATGATCTTGGCTCACTGCAGCCTCTGCCTCCCAGGTTCAAGCGATTCTCCTGCCTCAGCCTCCCCAGTAGCTGGGATTACAGGTACCCACCAATTTTGTATTTTTAGTAGAGATGGGGTTTCACCACGTTAGCCAGGCTGGACTCGAATTTCTGACCTCAAGTGATCAGCCAGCCTGGGCCTCCCAAGGTTGGGATTACAGACATGAGCTACTGCACCCAGCATAGGTACATGTATGTATGTATGTATGTATGTACGTGTGTGTGTGTATATATATATACGCACACACGCGCACACACACACACACACACACATATATATATATATATATATTTTTTTTTTTTTTTTTTTGAGATGCAGTTTCACTCTGTCACCCAGGCTGGAGTGCAGTGGCGCGATCTCCGCTCACTGCAACCTCCGCCTCCTGGGTTCAAGCGATTCTTTTGCCTCAGCCTTCTGCGTAGCTTGGACTACAGGTGCACGTTGCCCCACCGGGCTAATTTTTGTATTTTTAATAGAGACAGGGTTTCACCATGTTGGTCAGGCTGGTCTGGTTTTGGACTCCTGACCTCGTGATCCACCCATCTCGGCCTCCCAAAGTGCTGGGATTACAGGCATGAGCCACGGCGCCCGGCTGATACATGTATATTTTTAATGTATAGCCAGCTTCTCACTTCAGGTAGCTTTTTGGCACCTATGCTTTTATTTAAGCTCGATAACTATTTCTCACAGGTTATGTTATTATTTGGGTCAAAAATATTTAGGGTGCCTTTTACACAAAGGGTGAGGTAAACTCTAAGTGCCCAGGACTCCCTCTGTGTCCTTCATTCCAGAAAGCAGGGCATTTTTAAGCTTGCACTCTGCTTGGCTCATTCTGCAACATAATCTTCAGCATGAGGTCATCATGGAGACTGGAATTTTGAAAGTGCTTGATCTTGGCCGGGCGCGGTGGCTCATGCCTGTAATCCCAGCACTTTGGGAGGCCGAGGTGGGCGGATCACCTGAGGTTGGGAGTTCAAGACCAGCCTGACGAACACGGAGAAACCCCATCTCTACTAAAAATACAAAATTAGCTGGGGTGGTGGCGCATGCCTGTAATCCCAGCTACTTGGGAGGCTGAGGCAGGAGAATCGCTTGAACCCAGGAGGTGGAGGTTGTGGTGAGCCGAGATCGCGCCATTGCACTCCAGCCGGGGCAACAAGAGCGAAACTCCGTCTCAAAAAAAAAGAAAGAAAAGAAAGTGCGTGATCTTAACTTGCAAGAAAAGATGGTTACCCTTTGAGGTATGTCTCTCTGAATTTTACATAATCACGTAAATTGTTTCCAAAACAATCAGTAGGCTGGGCACGATGGCTCATGCCTATAACCCTAGCACTTTGGGAGGCTGAGGTGGGAGGCTCCCTTGAAGCCAGGAATTTGAGACCAGTCTGGGCAACATAGCAATACTAGGTCTCAACAAAAAAATAATAATAATTAGCTGGCATGGTGGTGTGAACCTACAGTCATAGCTACTCTGGAGGCTGAGGAGGATGGATCCCTTGAGCCCAGGCGTTTGAGGCTGCAATGAGCTAAGATCATTGCATGCAACTGGGTGACACAGGAAGATCCTGTCCTTTAAAAACAAGCAAGCAAACAAAAACAAACAGAAATAATGAGTATATTTTAATAAAGGATTAACATCCTATAAAACAGGGTTAGCAAACTATGGCCTATGGGCCAGAACTAGTCCAACACCTGTTTTTGTCAAAAAAATCTTATTGGAATACAATGACATCTATTTTGTATTATGGTTGCTTTTGTGCTGCATGGCAGAGTTGAATAGTTGTGACAGAGACCATATGGCCCACAAAGTCCAAAATATTTACTACTGGGCCCTTAACAGAAAACCTTTGCTGATCCCCACTATAAAACAATAAAAGCAAATATAAACAACCCAATGGAAAACAAACAGGCCAAGGAAATGAATGGGCAATGCATAGAACAGCACACAAGAATGTCCAATAAATACATGAAAATATGCCGTTGGAATCAGGGAAACTCAAATTTAAACCACACAGATTTCATTTCCTATGCATTAGATTCGTAAACATTTAAGCCTTACAATATCAGGTATTGGTAAGATGTTGAGTAACAGGGGTTGTTATTCCCTTCTGAGGGAAGCACAGCTAACTGCAGTCACTTTTGAGAGCAATTTAGCAACAACATCTAATAATGGTAAATGCACATAATCTGCAACCTAATAATTCTGCTTTTTTTTTTTTTTTTTTTTAAGACAGGGTCTTGCTCTTGTCCCAGGCTGGAGGGCAATGGTCCAATCATGCACTCCCAAGCTAGAGTGCAGTGGTGCAACTTTGACCTCCTGAGCTCAAGCTGTCCTCCCACCTCAGCCTCCTAAGTAGGTGGGACTACAAGTGTGGACCACCAAGCTTGGCCAATTTTTAAAATTTTTTGTAGAGATGGGGTCTTGCTATGTTGCCCAGGCTGGTCTCAAACTCCTGGGCTCAAATGATCCTCCCACCTTGGCCTTTCAAAGTATTGGGATTACATGCATGAGCCACTGTGCCCAGCAGCAATTCCACTTCCAGACACACACAATACACACATATACACATGAATATTTAAAGAAAATACACACATTTTAGAGAAACTCTTACATGTATGAACAAGCAAATATATACAAAAATATTCATAGTTGAATTGTCATTAGAAAAAATAAAAATAATCTTAACCAAGAGGATGGATAAATAAATACTGAGTATAATGATGAATTTTATGTGTCAACTTGACTGGGCAAAGGATAGCCAGATAGCTGGTAAAACATTACATCTTGGATGTGTCTGTGAGGGTATTTCTGGAAGAGATTCAGTAGACTGAGTAGGAAGATGCCCTTGTGCATCCCATTGAGGGCCTGAATAGAACAAAAAGACAATGGAAGGCCGGGTGCAGTGGGTCACATCTGTAATCCCAGCATTTTGGGAGGCTGAGGTGGGTGGATCACTTGAGGTCAGGAGTTCAAGACCAGCCTGGCCAACACAGTGAAACCCCTTGTCTACTAAAAATACAAAAATTAGCTGGGTGTGGTGGTGCATGCCTGTAGTCCCAGCTACTTGAGAGGCTGAGGCAGGAGAATCGCTTGAACCCAGGAGGTGGAGGCTGCAGTGAGCTGAGATCACACCACTACACTCCATCCTGGGCCGCAGAGAGAGACTCCATCTCAAAAACAAAACAAAACAAAACACCATTTAAAAAAACAAACAAACAAAAAACGGTGGAAGAGTGAAAAGATAAATTTGCTTTCTGCTTGAGCTGGGACATCTGTCTTCTCTTCCCCTCAGACTTCACTGCTCCTGGTTCTCAGGCCTTCAGACTTCGACCAAAACATCATTGACTCCCCTGGGTCTCAGGCCTTCAAGTTTGGACTAAAACAAATCCACTAGCTTTCCTGGGCCTTCAGCATGTAGATGGAAGATTGTCACTTAGTCTCCATAATTGTATAAGTCAGTGCCTCACAATAAATCTCTTTCTGTATTTCTATATATATCCTATTGGTTCTGTTCTCTGGAGAACCCTAACACACTGGGCATTTCATTAAGTGGAATATTATATAGTAATAAAAATGAAGTTACAAGCCTCATAGTTCGTGAATGTCGATTACACTCACAGGTTGAGTGAAAAAGCAGGTTGCAGAACAGTACGCAATGATGTTGATTTATATATGAAAAACAATGCTGTTTATTGTTTAGGGATACATGCATACGAAAAGCATGAAAATATGCATGGGAATTAACTACAAAGTTTAGGAAACTGCTTACTTCTCAGGGAGAGGAAGAAAAGGAATATGATTGGGGAGTGGTACAAAGGGAGCTTCAACTACATTCGTAATATTTCTTAAGCTGATTGCTGTTAACTCTTTTTCTAAGTCGAAATAGTTCATAAAAAGTGAAATTCTACATGTTTGAGGACTTTTATCCAGTCAATCATTACAGCACTCAGAGCCCCCACTGTATCTGAGCTGTTGTTGTAACAGGGCACCTTGAACCGTTCACCCAACAGGTAGGGCCTCTGCATATACTTGTTCAGGTTCTATGTTTACAAGAGTTCTTGGGTAAAGGGGTGGTAGAACCGAAGTCCAGCTTATCCATCAGTCAACAAGTCCTGTGTGCTCTGCACAAAGACACCAAGGCAAGTATCACTACGATAGGGTACTTTCTTCATGGCCCATAAGCTCCATGCCACATATGCAGAGGGGTTGCAGCCCAGTTCTATTTTTTATCTAGCCTGTGGATGCCGCAAATTTACTTACACACAACCAATGAAAACTTTAAGAGGAACCGATCTGTAGACAGAGACCCTATTATTTTTTGCTTGCCGTCAATTTTTATTTGGTTTATCTCAGTATCTTTCCAGTCCTTATGATTTATTTAAGAGCTGATCATTTTTCTCTAGTTATCTGAGATATTACCTTAATCACTGGTTTTTTGTTTTTTGTCTTTATACTTTCTTGGGACATCTTATCCAAGAGATGGAGACTAATTGACCAATGTATCTCTAATGCAAAGCATACAAAATGTACCAAATAAGAAATACAAACACTTCAATATATCTTATCTTTTCTGTTCCCTACCCAAGTCTTTTGTTCCTGATCTTTTATCTTCTTGGCTAAGCTGCAAATTTGAATCTTCCTTTCTTACATTTGTCATCTAATAGACAATAGGAATTTATTTTTTAGTAAAATCTGCATCTCCCCTTTTTTCAAAATATAAATCTCTCCTTTCACCTAAGTTTTCAGCCATAAGATTTTATTATTTGAAGACAAAGAATAAAGTTCTCCAAGTGTGGTTCATGAATCACCTGTGTCACTTTCACTTGCTGTGCAACAAAATGCTGGTTTCTGGGCCCCACTTAGGCCTACTAAATCATTCTGCATTTTTAATCAAGATTTGCATATAAGCCGGACTCCGTGGCTCATGACTGTAATCCCAGCACTTTGGGAGGCCAAGGCAGGTGGATCACTTGAGGTGAGGAGTTTGAGGCCAGCCTGGCCAACATGAGAAACCCCATCTCTACTAAAAAAAAAAAAAAAAAAAAAAAAAAAAAAGTAGCTAAACATGGTGGTGGGCACCTGTAATACCAGCTACTGGGGAGGCTGAGGCAGGAGAATCACTTGAACCCGGGAGGTGGAGGTTGCAGTGAGCCAAGATCACGCCACTGGACACAGTGAGTGAGAGTCCGTTTCAAAAAAAAAAAAAAAAAAGAAGAGATCTTAAAGAAACGATTACAGAAACTAACTTTACAATTTCTTCCTTATTTGTTCATGACAGTTGCTAGAAAATAATGGAAATGATTTAGACGATGAAAGCCTATTTAGGGAAGGCTCTAAGAGTACCAGATTAGGAGCCAGGAGCCCAGGAGCTGTTCCGTGATGATGTTGGGCAGAACACACTCTCTCTCGAGCCTCAGATTTCTTATCTATAAAACCAGAGTTTTCTGGGGGTCTTTAAGTTGTCTTTCAGCCCTGCAGTGAGAGGAGATATGTCATTCCTAAAACTTGAAATGAAGGCATATGTTTATTTATTA
The DNA here is from genome assembly GCF_000001405.40 of Homo sapiens. Taxonomy (NCBI): domain Eukaryota; kingdom Metazoa; phylum Chordata; class Mammalia; order Primates; family Hominidae; genus Homo; species Homo sapiens. Next base: position 27,474,355 of record NC_000011.10, on the reverse strand, counting down.
ACTCTCTAGCTTCTAGACAGATTTACTGTATGTGACTTATGTGCCCAACCTGACATTATCTTTTAGATAAACTCCCAAATACAAAGATGATAAAATTTTTTCATTTTAAACTTATAGGTCTGCATCAACCTGTTTCCATTGTCCTAAGTTTTATTTACATACGATGGCTAGTCAACTTTATATGATAATTATCTTTAAATCCTGCTTTTTTTTTTTTTTTTTTTTTTTTTTTTTGAGACAGAGTTTTGCTCTTGTTGCCCAGGCTGGAATGCAATGGCGCGATCTCCAGCTCACCGCAACCTCCGCCTCCCGGGCTCAAGCAATTCGCCTGCCTCAGCCTCCCGAGTAGCTGGGATTACAGGCATCTGCCACCACACCCGGCTAATTTTGTATTTTTAGTAGAGACGGGGTTTCTTCATGTTGGTCAGGGTGGTCTAGAACTCCCAACCTCAGGTGATCCGCCCGCCGCAGCCTCCCAAAGTGTTGGGATTACAGGCGTGAGCCACCGCGCCCGGCCGAATCCTGCTTGTTTTAATGTATTCATTAAAAATGTCTCCATTATAGAGTAAAACGACTCAACGCCATGGCAGAGAGCAAGAAACGAAGTACCCTTAAAGCCGTAGTTGGTACAGGTAATGATTCCGTGGGGTCTATTAGGCCACAGGGACTCAAAATCCAGAAGAGGAGGGAATGCTGATAATTACCTAACACCAACGTTGCTGCTGGCTTCTCAGCCGTAGTCACCTCCCACTCAGATGTTTTGGAAATTGTCCAGTGTTCAGAAACATCACTTTCTCTGACCTTTTACAAAATTCCTGTGTTTCAGGATTTTAAAGTGCGTGAGAAAGGAGTCTAATTTGCAGTCACCAAAAACACCAAATACAGAGAGAGGACTGGGGAGAATGAATTGCTAAGACTTAGCTACCAAATGTGTATCAAGATAGGTGTAAAGATCCCAGGTGAAGTGAGGCACTGGAGAGGGTACACTTTTAACTTAGTGTATAGCTAAAACCCAAAGATGTGTGTCAGATCGAGGGAAACTTTTTTCCTCCTCTTCAAAATCTTTTTTCCGTTTGCAGAGCTCCAGACGTCCTCGCCCTTTGGAACAGCGGAGAGTCATTTAAAACTTAACTGAACGCTGGAGGGAAGTTCTACTTACCAGGTCATCCAATTTAGGAGATCCAATTTCTGCGGAGGGAACAAAAAGACGGGTGGGGGAGGGAAAAACTAGACCCCTTGTCCTACTATCCTTCTACCTTCAATCCACAACCTGCCAGACAAATCCAGCCAAGTCAAGATTTTGCCTTGAACCACCACCACCACCACCACCACCACCGCCGCCACCACCACCACCACCACCGCCGCCACCACCACAACCACCACCACCTTGTCACTCACGCCCGAGAAACACGCCCCTCTGGTCCTCCTCTTGGCCAATGGCGGCTCTCCTCTCTGCATAGTAATGAGCTCGAGACCTCCCCGGGCCAATGGCGCTCCGGGAGAAGGGATACTTTTGCATGTACCTAAGTGATTTGCATAAGCCAGCGGCCGGGGGTTTGGGAACCAGAGCGTGCAACCCTAGAAGGGAAAAGGACGGGAAGAGATTGAGCCGCGGCTGGGAGACAGCGAGCCAGAGTCTGGGTGTTTGTGCGAGAGCCACGGCGGGGGCTGGGGCGAGTGGCCGGCATGGCTGAAGGCTGCGCTCTGCAACCTTGAAGAGCCGCTGCATTGAGAGGCCAGGGACAGGGAGACCGGTGCGATGGCAGAGCGCGGCCCCCGCCGCTGCGCCGGGCCGGCCCGGCTGGCGTGAGCCGCCGGAGGAGCGGGGCTGCCTCTGCGCGTCCATGGAGCAGCGGGAAGGGCGAAACTCCGGAGCGCCGCGTCCCTGCGCCGCTGCGGCGGACTGCTGAAGGGGCCGAGCCCGCGCGGACCGCCGAGGAAGAGACCCCCGCTCCAGCCCGCAGGCCGGCTGCCCGGGGGCGGCGGGGGACATCGGAGGGCAGCGGAGCGAGCAGCGCCGCGGGAGAGGCCGGCGCGGGAGGCGGCCGCAGCAATGCCGGGCCCGCTAGGGCTGCTCTGCTTCCTCGCCCTGGGGCTGCTCGGCTCGGCCGGGCCCAGCGGCGCGGCGCCGCCTCTCTGCGCGGCGCCCTGCAGCTGCGACGGCGACCGTCGGGTGGACTGCTCCGGGAAGGGGCTGACGGCCGTGCCCGAGGGGCTCAGCGCCTTCACCCAAGCGCTGTGAGTGCGGGCGGCGGGGACGCGAGGGGGGGGGAGGAAACGGGGCCCAGCGGGGGGCGCCGCGGGGCGGAGCCAGGGGTCAGTCCCACCCCACCCCGCCCCGCCGCCGCCCGGGCCTGGGGAGGGGGTCCGCCGGTCACCTGCGTGCGGGCTGCCTGGCACCCACTCCTGTGCCACGGGCTTTCCGCACTTTGCTAGTCCGGGTTCGAGCCAGCAGTAGCTTTCGTTCCCAGACTTTTTGGGCACAAGCACCCTCCCACCCCACCGCGCACACCCCCAACTCACAAGTGCATCTGGGGCCAAGAAGGAGGAAGTAATCTAAAAACGCTTGCCCCTGGCAGCCTGTCCACGCGACCTTCCCTTCTCATGAGGGCCCTCGCTCAGCGGGCAGGAGTTCCGCTACTGGCGGGGCTGAGGGCGCCGAGAACTTGGCCTCAGTCTGCATACCGAGGCATGTCTCGTGGGGAAGCACCTGGAGCCTCCTGGGTTCCAGCATGTGGGGAGAAGAAACACCTGTACCTCAGTCAGGGCGAATCTCCTTCCAATTTGGCCCCATCCAGGTAGTGCGTCCCGGCACCTACCTCGGCCCAGTTCCACTCGGGACTACCCCACTAACGCCCAGGCTTCTGCAGCACGCAGGGGAGTCCGAGAAAACAAGGGAGAATTACAGGGTTCTGTTGGTGGACATGCTCTTACCCAACAAGGCCTTTTAAAGAAGGAATGCTGACCTGAGGTGCAGGATGTTGGAAGAGAAGCAAGTTCCGGAGCATATGCTCAGCCCAGGCTGCAAGGTAGCAGCAGGTTTCTAATGCACCTTCACGCAGCCAGCAGATCTTTTCTTTTGAGCTGCCTGAGATCGAGAGACACACTGAAATGTTTCAGACTTACAAAATCGCCCTGCCAAAACGGACTTGAGAGCTTTAGACGTTCCCTTGAGAAAAGAAGAGGAATCTGAACTAGGTTGTGGAGGTGGTGGCAAAGGCCACGGATAGAGGAGGAACAGGGTAGGGTTTTTGTGTTCTTATTGCTTCTTGCGTTGCGTGGCCAGCTGAATGCTTAAATCAGGAGCAGTCGAAGAAACGTGTGAGAGAGGAAGGGATCCTGAGGGGCCCTAGGGTAGAGGGAATTTCCTTTTACCTGTAGTGGAAGGGACCTCTTAGAAATAGACAGTTTTAAAGGACCCTGTGAAGAAATCTTTATGCAGGCAGGAGCATTGCTGTATTTCCAGGTGGGTGGTGGCAAAGGTGTTCCGCTTGCCCTCTCAGGATGGACTTTTAGTGAGCATCGAGGCCTGTTGTCTTGGAACCTGTTTCATTCTTCTACCTTCAGCCTTCCCCTCCCCATTTGTTATTTTTCCTGTCTCAGGTTAGTTTTAGTTATGTATTTGAGGTTTTTTTTTTTTTTCAGTATAGTGAAGTTTAACTTGTCATTAAAAAAAAAAGTTAACTTTGCAGTGAAGAGCATTTTGTTCATAAAGTTACATTAAGTGGGAAAGTTTGAGCAGGAATTGATTGAATCAAGAGAAAGAAGACCTGTGGAGAGGAAATGGGACTAATTTTTCCCCAAGTTCTCTAGAAACGTTTAGGGAATTCGTGCAGAAAGAAATGCAGAAAGAAAGGTCCCTTTACCTGAACCTCTTGCAAGGCTCTGCATAGAATAGAAAAGCACAATTTTACTATTTTGACCAGTAGTAAAGACCTTGTTTAGCAGATTCCTCACATTTTAGTGAGTAGACTTGTCCTATAAGGAAACGGGCTGTTTTACATTAGTATCTAAAACCACAGAGAAATAATCACACTTTTATGAGAGCATACTCCTCTCTCCAAAGCATCTTCTGGTAGAACTCACTGAAGGTGGTGAAATGCTGTATCTTCAACTTTGGGCCTTAGAATAAGTTAGTGTTCATGGCTTAGGAAACAGAAAAATAATTGGTACCAGTCTCAATTAGAGTGCCTAAACTAGCATTATCTTAGCACTTTCTGAGCTTTGGTGGTGTGCAAATGTGTTTTATTTTCTTAGATTTGTGACCTGTAGGTAGAGTGATCGTACATTCTGGTGACTCCTTATTTCTCCTTAGTACTCATTTCACCCTCAAAAATATATATAACCACCCTCTCTAAAAGGGTTTTCAAGGACAGCATATTTGCATTTTACTCATGGGGAAACTAGCTCATTCAGTGATTCTCAAAAGCAATGTATGAAGCAAGGCCAGTGCTGCAGGTTTGCACACTCCAGTCGATCATATATGGGACATGTTGCGATCACCTAGGGTCTTTTTCCAAGTACTTCCAGTCTGCTCTCCCATCGCAGCTTTACTGAGATACAGTTACACATCAGGAGACTAGTTCCGTGGTCTCTAAGCGTTTGTTCACCTATTCTTAATTGCTGGAGCATGTGAACCAAAAACCTCTGTAGTTATACAGAAAATTACAATCATGAAAGTAGAAGTTAAAAAGATGAAACTATAATTACTAATCAGAGTTCTTCATTTTCTTCTCATTGCTCAATGGCTTGTCCTGGAGTAGTGCTTTCACCTTCCCTGGGGACAGGGGTGGGGGGTGCATTTCACTTTAAAGATCCTGGGACTGACAGGGCAGTGATTTTATTTTACTCAACTTGGGATCCCCAGAGCCCGGTACATAGGAGGCACTTAAAAATGCTGGAGTGAATAAATAAGGATGCAAGGCCACACCGAGGAGCAGAACCGTGGCATGGAATTCAGACACCATTCCCACAGGGGATTTTCAGATTCATTCTCAGCACTTAGCCTTTTGTCCAGATTTGAGAAGGTCCCAGAGAGAGAATACCTGCTTCTTCTCCTTGAGGCTGGTTGAAACTTGTTCAGTCTAACAGTGTCTATTTCCTGGTGAAAGCCGCTTTACCGGAGTCTGGGGACAGCGTCAGATGTGATCCTCAGTACTGTGAATGGGATTCCTGTATTCACACCATTTGCTGCACCTGTAGCAACTATTTATGTTTTTGAACAACAGTATTCAATCTTGTGTCACAATGCACTGGCCTGTCACAATTCACCCCGAGGAGTGTTCAAGGCAGTAATCTTACTAATATTAAAATTCCGAAGTTTAATCAGAAGGATTCAAGGTTATTACTGTATTTGTGCTAATAACTCAATCACCTACATTCCAAGATTGGGAGAAGAGATGAAGTCATGGGGAGGGGAATGTGTATGTGAGTCCTCTGGTTTGTGTGTTATTGCTACGGTGTTTGAGAAACGTAGACCTCGAGCACAAATTTGCATGTCCTAGGTTATGTTTGGCACATAGTTTTAAGATTAGCAAGGCTATTTCTGTGACTTCGTGAAGAAAGTGGTGGACCTGAGTCCTTGATCATAGCTTTACTATGCCACTGAGTAATTGAATGGCCTTGGGCAAGTCATTCACTTTTTTTTTTTTTTTCTCGTGACAATTTCCTCATCTGAAAAGTGAAGCAACTGGATTCACTTGATCACCTCTAAGGCTGCTGCTTACTTCCAGAAGTTCTATGATTTTATATTTTTTACACCATTTTAGGATGGCAAGGTGACAATAAGGTTATGATCCTCTCATAAAAATATCCCAGGAGTAGCAGAATATCCTTTTAGTTGAGCTCACACCACCCTCTTTATTACTTGGAGGAGTTCTTTGTGTTTAGAAGTGTGTGTTAGGAAATTTGCCATGGAGACTTGTTGCAGAATGCATGACTAGCTAAGGCACTTTGCTAGGGTAGAATAGCCCTGGTTGTTTCCTGTGGGTATGGCTTAACACTTGGAAAATAAAATCACTCTGTTTCAGTAATTTGGATACTGTACAAAAAGTTACTCAACATCCTCACTTCCATATAATTAGTCATAATCTCTCAAACCTTCACAGTGTATGTATCCTGTACATGAGCAGGTTGTTGAGCTTTTTATTTAGAATTGAGTTACCTGAAGGACTTTAAAGTGTTTTTAAAGAATCTCCTTTTGGAAAGATCATCTCAGATTCTTCCCTAAGGTGTATTTTTTTTCCCCCACTACTCCAAGCACCTTTCTTCTTTTACTAATACCATTTGAAAGTACTTTTTAACGTATTCTCTGATATCTACTGTGTATTTCCTGGCAGGTCAGGTCAGTAGTCAGTGGCTACATGTTTGTATTTATTGATGGTAGAGTTTTGTTATCTTTTGATTTCTGAATTACAGAAATCAATTGTTGGCTTAGTTTGTGTTGTGTGTCTTTCTAGAGATGCATTAGTTTTATATACAAGTGAACTTTGTTCAAAACAAGAACGATGTATGAATATCTTTAAGTATAGGTCCTTTATTTTCCAAACTAGTGAACCATGTGTTCTCTTTAAATATAAGCGAGGAAAAAATATTCTGCCAGGCATAGGGAGTGCTGGGTTCCAGATCTGTCAATAATTCACAGGAGTGACCTTGAATGAGTCATATTCTTAACCCTTCAGGACCTTATTTTCCTCATCTGTAAATCTGTAAAACAAGTCAACAACTCTTAACTGCCAAAAGTGTTTTTTATTGTTGTTCTCTATTTAATTTGATTTTTTTTTTTTTTTTGAGACGGACTCTTGCGCTGTTGCCCAGGCTGGAGTGCAGTGGCACGACCTCGGCTCACTGCAACCTCCACCTCCCAGGTTCAAGCAATTCTCTGTCTCAGCCTCCCGAGTGGCTGGGATTACAGGCACCCGCCACCATGCCTGGCTAATTTTTTTGTATCTTTAGTAGAGTCGGGGTTTTACCATCTTGGCCAGGCTGGTCTTGAATTCCTGACCTCGTGGTCCTCCTGCCTCGGCCTCCCAAAGTGCTGGGATTACAGGTACAAGCCATCGTGCCCCGCCTTATTTTGATTTTTATACATTCCTTGGGTCCTCTCTATTGTGTTAAATGAAGTATAGGTGTCTAAACTGTAGAATCTCTCACCAACCCAGGAGACTCTTCCAGTTGTCCAGTTCACCTGGAATATTTCCATTGCATGGGGAACTCATGCCTCACAGGCAAAAGTGTACTGGATATGATCTGAGCAATTCTTAAGACTTGAGGCCAGGTGTGGTGGCTCACACCTGTAATCCCAACACTTTGGGAGGCCAAAGTGTGTAGATCCCTTGAAGTCAGGAATTCAAGACCAGCCTGGCTAACATGGTGAAACCCCGTCTCTACTTAAAATAAAAAAAAATTAGCCGGGCGTGGTGGTGCACGCCTGTAGTCCCAGCTACTTGGGAGGCTGAGGGAGGAGAATCTCTTGAACCCCAGAGGTAGAGGTTGCAGTGAACCGAGATTGTGCCACTGCACTCCAGCCTGGGCAACAGAGCGAGACTCCTCTCAAGAAAAAAAAATAAAAAAGACATGAACCAGTAATTCTCTCACTTAGGGTTCCTTAACACTTGCAGTAACCAATAATGTTTTATAATTTCCAGTCAAACTAAATGCTCTGCCGGTTATGGTATCATAAGTGTTTAATGTCCAGGCCCTTGGCTCTTAACATTAGGATTGTAAGGTAACATTTGACAACTTAATCTCTTAGGAAAGATCAAAGTTCTGTATTAGTAGGTAGATCCAGGCAAGTTTAGGCATATTCTTGGCCTCTGTCTCTGTCAGGTCTATCTCTCAGCTTCTTATTTTAGTCATCTTTATAATAATGGAAAGTACTGGCAGCCTGCAAGTTTGGATTTTGGTTTCTGGTCTCCTTGATTGTGCCTTTTATTCTCATTCTTCTAATCAATAAATAATGGACATTTGACTAGATGATGGCTAATGCCTCTCTCTTTGCTTTGAATTTCTGTGAATCTGAGTAGAATATTAAGTAAAGTTGCAAGAATCATTTAGTAATTTATGGAAATATTTTTAAGACTGTCTCCTGCCTTTTCTCTATTAAAAAAAGATAAATATCTATAAAAGTACAGTATTTGTTGGTATACTTGAGTTAAAAGTTAAAACCCTGCCAAATGTGCCTTTAACTCTGAAAAATAAAAGTAATGTAACTTAGAGTATTCTTTATAAGACACCTTTGCTCTTTTAATTTTTTAAACTTGATCTCAAGGTTTTGGAGTGAGAAATATGTTACCCAGCTTGCTATTTAACCGTCCCGTGCGGCCTTCAAGTTGTTGGCAATGTTAAAGCTTGTTTTCCTATACATAAAAGAATATGGATGACTTTTTTTCTTTTTTCCCCCAACTTTGTTCGGTGAAGTGTGGTTTTTTAAAAGCTTGATTGAAGATGATAAAATGCTGTAATTGTAAATCCTGTCAGTGAAGAAAAAAATCTAGGACATTTAGCAAATCAGTACTCTTACACAATGGCTAATTTGTCTGCCTCTCTTGACATTTCTTTTGTGCCTTTCAGCACCTGATGGTCACACTGTATGCTAGGTGTCAACTCTATTGTCTAAAATTGTGTGAGTTAAAAATTGAGTTTAGAAATCAGTCTTAGCATGAGACAGATCGTGATTTTTTAGCTCATGTACAGTTGATAACTTCTCAACTTTCCGAAGACTAACAAGTTAGTATTCAAACACCTCTTTTAAATTGCAAGATGTAATTGTGTGCTAGTATACTCTGAGTTCACTCACACATAGACAAATATTCGTTATTAAACTTTGTGTATGGCTGAGCTATTTTTAGCAAGATCTTTAAAGCATACTAAAATATTCTGTGTCGTGTCCAGGCAATTAAAACTCTGAATGATTGGGTTGGTTGGTTTTAATCTCTAAAACATGTTTTTCATACCATTACGTATTTTAATTGTCAGAAAAGCTCACTAGCCTGGTCTTCCCCCAACCACAAGATTTGGCGTTATGCATCTGGGTTCAGCAATGCCTTTCTAATAGTCCAGGTCCCTGAAATGAATATTTAAAATATATATCCTTCTTAGCTTTCTGTCATGAAAGATCTTATGGGTAAGACATTGAACCACCCTCCTGTGGCAACATGTTGGTTCATAAGAATATAAGCATATCCTTGTAAGGAAATGTAAACCATAGATATTTTGGGAGGCAGCTGGGCCAAGATTGGGTATACGTTTAGATCCCAGGCTGGCCTGCTGTTTGTGCTAGTGAGAAAATGTGCAGAGGAAGCATATTTAATATGTTACAAGACATTTAGTGGTTCTTTATTCCTTATATTTAATTTGTAATTAAGTAATCTGAATCAAGATAAGCCTTTTTAAAAGGCTGCGTAAACCCCTTTAGCTGGTTGTGTTTTCTAGATTGACACTAGGAGAATGCAGGTTTTTTTTTTCAAAGTTTTAAAAACAAAATTGACCCTTGAAAGAGTGAAAATCTCATTGTACCCTGGCAGCAAAGTACTTTTGGTATTTGAATCAGAGTGTAGAACCCGATATCCAGAAAAAATAACAAGTTACATTCTCTCTATCCCCTTATATTTTTAAAGTTCTATTTGGGGAAATTTTTCTTCCTAAGAAGAGTGACATAAATTTGGCAGGGAGATAGCTCCTTACCTTGGAGCTGTACTAGGCATAGCTAAGGAATGTGCCTGGGATTGCTTCAGGTCACACTTCTCCACTCCCCTCAGGCTTTGAGGTTCCTTATGTAGCTCTTAGTGTAAACAGCAGAGTCATTTAGTACAAGTGGTGACATCGAAACTCCCCTAAAGAGTTTTATTAGAGCTGTTTTCATGTGAGGGGAGATGAATTTTATAATTCGCACTCTCTTCAAGTGTCTGGTTTTGAAGTTGCTGAATGGGAGGTGTGTTTGCAAACTGGCAATCTCTTCTCTGAAACTAGGGAGTAAGGAGTGGGCTATGGCTAACTTCCTGGTTTCTCCCATTTCCCTAAGGGATCAGCTGTATGCCTAGAAGCCCTTGAAGAAACCATAAGGGTCACATATGAAGGGCTTGGCAGACCAGATATTTTCAGGAGGGAGGAAACTCATGGTTGCCACTCCATTCTAGATTGCCAGCCTTCTCCTGTGTGCAAACCGTCTCAGAGAACTGCATTTTTGCAGAATAATTCTCCAGAAAATGAGAGAACACTCTCTCTTGAGTAACTTAACAGGAACTCTTAGGCCAGCCTATCAACTCTTTTCTGTAGTAGGGAAGAGAAAGCAGATATGTTAACTGTGGACCTTCAGATTTCAGTTCGTGGAAACTGTTCATGTGCTCTTCAGCCTTCTGTTTTAGGTACTAAATTAATTCAGATTTTGCGTATTTTAAATGTGATAATTGCTCTTCAGTTGCCCTTCAGGATCTCCTTCTCTCACACAAGTTGAAGTGTACGCGGAATTCTTACTTAATTTAATCAGAGTTCATAAGAAGGGAACATTAAATGAATTTAATACATTTCAAATATGTTTCTGTCATTTTTTTTGTTTTGTTTTGTTTTTTTGAGATGGAGTTTCACTCTTGTTGCCCAGGCTAGAGTGCAGTGGCACGATCTCGGTTCACTGCAACCTCCGCCTCCTGGGTTCAAGTGATTCTTCAGCCTCAGCCTCCCGAGTAGCTGGGATTACAGGCACCTGCTACCGCACCCGGCTGATTTTTGTATTTTTAGTAGAGACGGGGTTTCACCATGTTGGCCAGGCTGCTCTCGAACTCCTGAGCTCAGGTGATCCGCCCGCCTCAGCCTCCCAAAGTGCTGGGATTACAGGTGTGAGCCACCACGCCCAGCCAAGTGTCATGTTTTAAATATTACACATTATGGGTTTATTAACTGATATTTAGCAGTTTATCATAATCTCAGTTTTCATCCCTTCTCTGCTATTTCTGCTATTTATCTCATTTGATTAGTTTTTAAACATCTTAATTTTTTCTACAAGGAAAAATTTTCTTGTTGGCCTTCCGTTCTCCAAGTTCATTTTGAGTCCATGGTCATGTCATCTAGCTTTTTATGTTACTATCAACTCCCCAGTCTTTTTATTTTTGAGACAGGATCTCACTGTGTCACCCAGGCTGAAGTGCAGTGGCACAATCATGGCTCACTGCAGCCTCAACCTCCCAGGCTAAGGGCATCCTCGTACCTCAGTCTCCGAAGTAGCTAGGACTACAGGTGAGTGCCACCATGCCTGGCTAATTTTTGTATTTTTTTTTTTTTTTTTTTTTTTTTTTGGAGACAGGGTCTCACCATGTTGCCCAGGTTGGTCTTGAACTCCTGGGCTCAAGTGATCTGACTGCCTTGGCCTCCCAAAATGCTGGGATTACAGGTATGAGCCACTGCGCCAGGCCCTCAGACTTCTTTTGTAGGCATATTTTTATGAATAGATTTTCAAAAATGGTTTGTTTTTTTCCTTTCTTTTTCTTTTTTTTAAGAGTCTGGCACAGGAAATGAAGACATCCGAGTTCAGGAGGGCATTGTAGAGCTTGGGCAGGTCACTTAACCACTTTGGACTTAGCATTTCCCATGTGCAAGAAGAGGCAGCTTGCATTATCTTCAGGGTTGCACCAAGGAAACGCTTCAGCATGACTTTTTTGAGTGACGCCGAGTGAGAATGCAATTTGTCATTTCTTGTGGGAGTGACTAAGCCGTTGTCTGTGTGTTATAACAGTGAATTAAAATTCTAACCCTGTTTCTTTGGTTCTTTGAATGTATATCAGGTTCAAAGCCCATAGACTTCACAGGTGAGCCACTGTGCTAATGGAAAAAGGCTACTCATCTGGTAGATTCTTCATATAAAAATCCATGAAGACCCTGGTAGAGAAACAGTAGTACATCTGATTTTATAAAGATACCTTCTTGTAGATGGTGCTACTTCCCTCTAACAAGAAAGCCTTATGGAGGAGAGGTACAGTTTATCTGGAGGAGGGAGCTCAAGGGAAATCTTACATTTTTGCCTGGGTCTCTGTGACTTGTTGCTGCCTTCCTGAGATGGCTGGTCAAGTAGAAAGGTGCTGTCCTAACATGGGAACGCAGGGTTTCTCTTCAGAGCAAATGGGCGTGTGATAGCCCATCCTTTAAAGACAGTGTCAATGTGATCTGTAGATACTGACTTTCTACTTCCAGACTTTGTGACACTGAGGACTTTCATTAAAAGTCCTAACTCAGTGGCTGGGGGCTGTGGCTCACGCTTGTAATCCCAGCACTTTGGGAGGCCGAGGCGGGTAGATTACCTGAGATCAGGAGTTCGAGACCAGCCAGGCCAATGTGGTGAAACCCTTCTCTACTAAAAATACAAAAAAGAAATTAGGCTGGCATGGCGACGGGCACCTGTAATCCAGCTACTTGGGAGACTGAGGCAGGAGAATTGCCTGAATCCGGGAGGGGGAGGTTGCAGTGAGCCAAGATCCAGCCTGGACGACAGAGTGAGACTCCACCTCAAAAAAAAAAAAAAAAAAAAAAAAATCCTAACTCAATCTTTGGGAACCTTCATGCCAATGAGAGCCCACTGTAGTTTCTTGGATCACTTTCTTTCTTTCCATGTGGACATAAGGAGCAGGGGTGTCCAATCTTTTGGCTTCCCTGGACCACACTGGAAGAAGAATTGTCTTTGGCCACACATAAAATATACTAACGGTAACAATAGTTGATGAGCTAAAAAAAAAAAAATGTGCAGAAAAATCCCATAATGTTTTTAGAAAGTTTATGAATTTGTGTTGGGCTGCATTCAAAGCCATCCTAGGCTGCATGGGGCCTGTGGGCTGTGGGTTGGACAAGCTTGATGTAGAAGATGGGTAAGATTTACTTATCATGGACAATTTGGCTGCATTCTTATTTTTCACATCACTTTGGTTCTAGAAATATGCAGATTACACATGAACTTTTTAAGTATTTTGAAAGTATTTATTTTATGATTTTACTGGTTATGGGGTACCTATGTGTTATTTTTTTTTTTTTAATTTATGGAGATAGGATCTCATTTTGTTGTCCAGGCTGGTCTCGAACTCCTGGCCTCAAGCAATCCTCCTGCCTCAGCCTCTGAAAGTGCTGGGATTACAGGTGTGAGCCACGGTGCTCCTATGTTTTTTTTTACATTTGAGATTAATGCTTGGTTTTGTAGCTAAAGAAAAGCTTATTATCTTAAAAGTAAATTTAGAACTAAAATCCTTTCTTTAAAGTATTACATATTTTAAAAAGTTTATATGACATTCTTAAGCACGGTTAAATCTTTCTCAGAAACTAAAAACTTCTCTGAGTTTTGATTCAGACCTGATTTAAACATGAATTACAAAGACAGAATAGTAGCTAACGTATGCAGTAGCCCTCACAACCTATTTAGATTGGCTGAGTGTTTCAAATACAGTTGTGCGTTTTCTACCCTGGGTCTCCTTCTTTAAAAAAAAAAAAAAGTTTGAGATGTTTTTCCCATTACCATCTTGACATCTGCCTGGTTACACATGAATAGCTTGACCCAGTCCCTCAGCAGGGAGACTACCATGGCCTTGCTTTCAATAGCCATGTCACTGACAAAGAAAACATATGGAATATTTCATTCCTACCCTTCACACACAGAGTCTGGGGCTGTGAGGGCATGCAGCAGAACGCTTCATTCTTCATGGTAGGTTGGCAAATCTGTGCACAAACCACAGGCTCTGCTGTTAGTAATCAAACTGTGTTTTCCAGAGCCTCATTACATTCTGTAGAAAGAAAATCCCTTGTTTTGGATAAATCAATTTCTAATATCAGTTTGAATTAACTTAGGATGGCTGGCTTCCATGATGGGTTTTCCACCTAATCATGTATTTCACCAAAGGACATTTGTGTATGCGTGAGCACAGGGGATTTGGGTATTGCTCTGCCAGATTTGATATGTGGTGTGTGTTGGGATCACAGATGCTTGAATTCCCAGTAGGATAGGCCTTGAAAACTGCCTGCCTTTATGTTTATCTTCTTGTCAGCCCACAGAAAGAGATCAATTGATCATTGTCCTGCTAGCCAAACACTGCTGCAATGACCTTTAAAGGTTTCCGTTGCATATAGTATTAGCCTTCTTCTTGGGAGCTCGGTTTCAGGTCAGCTAGCATTGAGGGCTTTGGTCTGTGGCATCTGAAGCTATAGTATTGAGGCTCATCAGCAGGTGTGACAGGAGATGGTCAAGAACATGAAATAGAAGGGTAAGTTAATTCCTTTCTCAGCTCTTATTCTTTTTTTTGAGACGGAGTCTTGTTCAGTTGCCCAGGCTTAAGCATAGTGGTGCCATCTCGGCTCACTGTAGCCTCCGCTTCCCGGTTCAAGTGATTCTCATGCTTCAGCCTCCCGAGTAGCTGGGACCACAGGCACATGTCATCACACTTGGCTGATTTTTGTATTTTTAGTAGAGATGGGGTTTCACTATGTTGGCCCCGCTGGTCTCGAACTCCTGACCTCAGGTGATCCACCTGCCTTGGCCTCTCAAAGTACTGGGATTACAGGAATGAGCCATTGCACCCAGACTCTCAGTGCTTATTCTGTGTTAAAAGAATTTGCTAGCCAGGTGCTGTGGCTCATGCCTGTAATTGCAGCACTTTGGGAGGCCGAGGTGGGTGGATCATGAGGTCAGGAGTTCGAGACCAGCCTGGCCAAGATGGTGAAACCCCGTCTCTACTGAAAATACAAAAATTAGGCAGGTGCAGTGGTGGGCACCTGTAATCCCAGCTATTTGGGAGGATGAGGCAGGAGAATCACTTGAACCCAGGAGGTGGAGGTTGCAGTGAACCGAGATCGCACCACTGCACTCTAGCCTGGGTGACGGAGCAAGACTCTGTCTCAAAAAAAAAAAAAAGAATTTGCCCTTCACACCATCCTGGCTGAGGTGGCATTCCAGAATTCCAGAAGGAGGAAAAACCCCCCGCTGTGACATCCAAGGATAAGAAGATTTATGACGTTGGCAGAGGAAGTAATGACATCCATTTCATCAGGGTCCTTCCCAACCCTCAAGTTACTCGAGCCTGAGTTTCTAGTTTCATTGTTTTTCAGACATGTAGACTGGTTTTGACAGACAGAAGTTGATGATTTATCTAAAAGGAAGCAAGCTCCTGTTGATTATTTTATCTCAGATATAGCCACATATTTAAATTTATATAGACATCTCTTCTAGAAGTTATTTCTGATGGTTCTTGGTATCATTACTGAACATAAGCTGAATAACAACATGCTAAAAGAAATTATTGCCTTTCACATTTTCTCATAAAACTGATTCCTTTTGTAGTTCTTGATTATAATAGATTTCCTTTAAATTTATTGGCTCATTTAAGGTTAAATTTTTAAAAGTTTCTGTTTTATGGTTCTTCATAAATGAATCTATTTGTGGTTCCCTTTTTATTTATTGCCTCCATATTTTTATCCTAAAATAAATGGTTTAATCTTAGATGTTCCATCTTCCTTACTTTGACTGCTTCCCTGACTTTCAAAACTGTGAATTCAAGGCCCGGCATGGTAACTCATGCCTGTAGTCCCAGCACTTTGGGAGGCCAAGGTGGGCGGATCACCTGAGGTCAGGAGTTCGAGACCAGCCTGGCCAACATGGTGAAACCCCGTCTCTACTAAAAATACAAAAATTAGCTGGGCATGGTGGTGGGTGGCTGTAATCCTAGCTACTCGGGAGGCTGAGAGAGTAGAATTGCTTGAACCCGGGAGGCAAAGGTTGTAGTAAGCTGAGATCGTGCCATTGCATTCCAGCCTGGGTGAAAAGAGCGAAATTCCATCTCAAAAAAAAAAATACTTAAAAAAATTAAGAAAACAAAAAAACTATGAATTTATAGAGAAAACTCCCCCAAGCTCCTCAATTTTAAAAGTCATCCTTTTTAATGTTCAGTTCTATGAGTTTCACAATGTATACAGTCATGTGACCACCATCACTGTGAAGATATAGAGCATTTCTTCACTTGATGAATTTCCATGCCTCTCTGTAGTTATCTCCTCTCTTCACCTCCAACCTCTGACAACTGCTGAACTATTTTCTACCTTGGTTTCCTCACTTTATGTAGTTTTGCCTTTATTAGGATGCCATATAAATGTAATAAAACAATGTAACCTTTTGCGTCTGGCCTATTTTTCTCACCATACTGCATTTGAGATTCTAACATGTTGCGTATATTAATATGTAATACTCACTTTCTTTTCTTTTTCTTTTTGAGATGGGGACTTGCTTTGTTGCCCAAGCCGGACCACAGTGGCATGATCACAGTTCACTGCAGCCTCTAACTCCTGGGCTCAAGCAGTCCTCCTACCTTAGCCCTCCAAATAGATGGGACTACAGGCATGTGCCACCATGCCTGGCTAATTTTTTTTTTAATTTTTGCAGAGATGGGGTCTTGCTGTGTTTCCCAGGCTAGTCTTGAACTTCTGGCCTCAAATGATCCTCCTGCCCTGGCTCCCAAAGTGCTGGGGTTACAGGTGTGAGCCACTGTGCCTGGCCAGTACTCATTTTCATTGCTAAGGAGTGTTCCATTGTGTACGTATACTATAATTTGTTTCTCCATTCACCAGTCAAGGGACATTTGCCCTATTTCTAGCTTTTTGGCTATTATAAATAAAGCCACCATAAATATTCACACAGAGTTTTTGTATGAACATAGGTATTTATTTCACTTGCATAAATACCTAGAGTGAGATCCTGGGTCATATGGTAAATGTATGTTTATAAGAAAATGTTGGTCTCAATTTTAATGTCTTAGACTGTGGTGAGGTTTGTTATCACCAATTACTTATAGTCACAATATATTGTTAGCATGGTATGTAGTATTAGCAAAAGCTGTTAAAAACTGATTTTGTTTAAATGTCTGCTTTCTTTAAGTTCTTTAAACTCCTCTATGCTGAGAATGTCTGCTTTTAAAAGAGAAGAATTCTTAGCTCCCTTTATGATACCTAGCAGTTGCTGTAATCCCCGCCAGAGACTCCTGTAGAAATTACCCTAATGTGAAGCATTTTGCTTACAGTGAAAAAAGTTTGAATTATTAATGTATTCATATTTGGAATGTCTGATTTTTTTAAAAAATGGATATTTAGTGAAGAATTGCTGGGCCTACCTATACATTATGCATTTTACATGTGCTAACTAGAATTTCCACAGTAACCATCTTGGTCCATGGCAGGATTCCCATTTTATCACTGAGCAAACTGGGATTTAAAAGGATTAGGTAACTTGTTCAAATATCCCACAGTTAGTGGGTGGTAGTTTGTGAAGCTCAGGTGTTCCATATTTAAGTTTGCTCATCCCTGTAGTTTGCTTAGATATTTGACAATTTATCAGAAGAGGAACAGGTGAAATGAGAAACAAAATGGTGAGAAGCTACAGGTTATTACAGGAAAAAAAAATCAGAACAGAAAAAAATGTGTACCCAAAAAGCACACATACATCTATATGTCTGCATACACTGGGAGACTATGACTTGATTTAGAGTCAAAAATCTACACAATAGATTCAAAATCTGTTGTGTAAAATGAAGTTGTCTGTTATTCATAGCAGAACTTTTAAAAAGTATCTCTAACTTGGTCTTTTTGCTTTTTATACATACTTGTTTAAAAGCTTTCACATCATTTCCCATGTTAATAGTGTTTTTTTGTGTGTGTCTGGAAAGTATCAGTCATATGCTTTTTGACTGGCTTTTTCTTTCTTCCGTGGACTTCACTTACATGGTATATGAGGATCAGATCTGTTAGCAGACTCACTTTTCTGTTTCTAAAGGAGCAAATTTCTGAATGTGCTCCTTTAAACCAAAACTTTGCAGTAGATTAAAAAGCAAAATGTGCAGTATGATGGTTTCCATATAGCTGCCCCCTTTCACTCACTGGAATTTCCTGCCTCTCCTGTTGAAGATGTTTTTATAGGGAAGTCAGCATAAAAGTGAATCACCCATGAGCCTTTTTCTCCCCCAAGGCATTTCATTTAGTCAACTTGGTATTAATTTAGTTGGTACTCTTTAGTTGACTCGAACACTGTGTGTTGATGGTGTGAGCTGATGTTTATTAAGCTGTTAATGTTTTACAGACTTGATGGGTTCCCATTTGGATCTGTGTGCTCTTTCCTTTAGCAGCAGGGCTATTATTCATGATTGAATCTGTGGCCACAGTTTTAATTTTGAATGTACTGGTGATAGCCAGCCTCATGCTAAACAGTCATTTGCTTGGTGATTCTAAAGGTTGTCTTCTTCCCCTGGAAGCATTTTGCTTTCTCATTTCACTTATGTTGCATTCTTAGTCATGAAGAGCTCTCTGGTCTGTCCTGCCATTCAGATAATATCATCACCATCCTCTTGTTATTAACTTAGATGCTCATAATAATGTTATTGAATGCCAGGCACTAAATGAAGTGCGTAACACGTGTTATCTATTTAATCCTCCCAATAGGCCTCCAAAGCAATGCTATTATTCTCCCCATTTTAGAGATGGAGAAACCATGGCAAGTGAGGACTTATTACCACTAGTAATGAGAGGTTTTGCAGGTAGGGTGTTGGATCTTGCTTTTATAGACTAGGGTTATTTGGTTGAGTGGGCTGTATAACAGTATCTTTCAGTGCTCTTCCTAAATGTAGGCGTTCATCCATTGTACATGTCTTAGGTATCGGAAACTTCTCATTATGTAGATGGGGAATTAATTCTGGAGAGGTTTTGTTTTGTTCTGTGCTTGAAGTGTTCTCAGCTCCTTAGAATGTAGATTTGGAAAGGATCTTAAAGGTCATCTAATGCAGTGGATCTAAAACTCTTGTTTATTATGGCCCACCCATCAAAAAGGCTATGTCGTTCCATGGGGAAAGCAAAAAGTCAGTTTCTCCCAATGGTGTATATTATATTAACCTGTTTATAGACATGGTAGTTATTATTTGTTAAACTTTTCAGTCACATAAATCATAACACCAAATTCTTGTTGTTGTTTTTTTTTAGACTTTTCCTCCCTTCTTTGTGTACTTCTCTATTAAGAGCTGGCAGTTGATCTGGCTCAAATTCCCCATTTAATGGGGGAGAAATCCAGTTACATTTAGTTGTATGACTTGACCAGAATCATTTATAGTGCTCCAGGGTATGTTAAAAATGAAACACCCCATCTGTACAAAAAATAAATTAGCCTGGCGTGGTGGCACACACTTGTAGTCTCAGCTACTCAGAAGGCTGAGACAGGAGGATCACTTAGAGACCAGGAATTTGAGGCTGCAGGGAACTATGATGGTGCCACTGCACTCCAGCATGGGTGACAAAGTGAGACCTGGAAAAAAGAAAGAAAGACAGACAGAGAAGGCAAGTGGAAGAGCATTATCAGAAGAGATGGTCCTTTCTTTGACTGTGTTAATCTTTAACATTTAATTTAATATTAACATTTAGTAAGACTTTTGACTTGTGTTGCTGTGGCTTGTGTCTGTTGGATGACAAGATAAAATTTCCTGTGCTTCTTCCTTGTCTTCCCAGTTTTCCATGGGCTCAGTACTTTGTTGAAATTGTAGGAGATAATTTGTGGAGGTGAATAAAAATGTTTAATGCAAATAATTTTGCTTTTTTTTTTTTTTTTGAGACAGAGTCTTGCTCTGTCTTCCAGGCTAGAGAGCAGGTGGCATGATCTCGGCTCACTGCAACCACCACCGCCCTGGTTCAAGCAATTCCCCTGCCTCAGCCCCTGATGTAGCTGGGATTACAGGTGCATGCCACCACATCTGGCTAAGTTTTAGTATTTTTAGTAGAGACAGGGTTTCACCATCTTGGCCAGACTGGTCTCGAACTCCTGACCTCAGGCAATCTATCTGCCTTGGCCTCCCAAAGTGCTGGGATTACAGGCATGAGCCACTGTGCCCGGCCAATAATTTTATTTATTCAAACTATTCTTTGAGAGCTACAAATATTTGTATAATGGTTCATGGAATTGTCAACCCAAAAGTATCTGTGACAGATCTCAATCAATTTAGAAAGTTTATTTTGCCAAGGCTAAGGACTTGCCTGTGACACAGCCACAGACAGTCTTGAAGACGTGGTTGGAGTACAGCTTACTTTTATACTTTTTAGGGAGACATAATATATCAATCAATACCTGTGAGATGACATGGGTTTGATCTGGAAAGGAGGGACAAGTTGAAGCCAGGGAGCTTCCAGGTTATAGGTAGATTTAAAAATTTTCGGATTGGCAATTGGCTGAAAGAGTTTAGTTTTTATCTAAAAGCCTGGAATAAATAGAAAGGAATGTCCGAGTTCCAATGATAAGGGATTGTGGAGACCAAAGTTTTATCATGCAGATGAAGCCTCCAGGTAGCAGGCTTCAAAGAGAATAGATTGTATTATAAATGTTTCTTATAAGTCTTCAGGTCTGTGTTGATGCTAATGCTGGTTGGCTCTTACTAAATTCCAAAAGGGTGTAGGATATAATGAGGCATGTCCAACTTCCCCTTCCCATCATGGTCTGAACTAGTTTTTCAGGTTAACTTTGGAATGCCTTTGGCCAAGAGGAGGGTTCCATTCAGAAGGCTGGGGCCCTTAGAATTTTATTTTTGGTTTACAGAATCAGTACTCTTTCAACTTTAAAATAATAATTACTTACTGAGATAATAAGTCAGAACTTTAAAAATTAATTTGTTCAACATTTGTTTATTAAGTGTCTGATGTGTTAGGGACTGTTTTTGGTGCTGGGGACACAGAATTGAACAGTATCTGATGCCATCCTTGCATTCCTATAACTTACCTGGCAGGGGGGTGGGGGATTAGTGGTAGACAGTAAATAAGCACAATGAATATAAAAGGTCAGGTAATGTTACATACCATCAAGGAAAATAAAGCAAGATGAAGGTGGTTTGCTGTTAAAGTAGGGTAGCCAGGGAAGGCTGGAATGAAATTTAGATATTAAGATAATTAGTCAATATCTATAGGAATATGAATCCATCTTAAGCAATGGCAAAACAAAATTTAAAAAGTTCCTCTTGGCCGGGCGTGGTGGCTCACGCCTGTAATCCCAGCACTTTGGGAGGCCGAGGTGGGCACATCATGAGGTTGGGAGTTCGAGACCAGCCTGGCCAACACAGTGAAACCCTGTCTTTACTAAAAGTACAAAAATTAGCTGGGCATGGTGGCAGGCGCCTGTAATCCCAGCTACTCGGGAGGCTGAGGCAGGAGATTTGCTTGAACCTGGGAGGTGGAGGTTGTGGTGAGCTGAGATCGCACCACTGCACTCCAGCCTGGGCGACAGAGCTAGACCCTGTCTCAAAAAAAAAGGTTTCTCCCTACCCCATAGTGACAACTTAATTAAACATAAAAGTCACTGTGCATGTAGGAACATTAAAAAAGAAAATAAAAGATAAAAGAAAAAACATAAAAAGGTTTGAAGTCAATGTGGCAGAATAAATTGGTATGTCAATACAACAGGCTATTACACAGAAGTATACAAACTATTGATACACATGACTATGGATAGTTTTCAACGGTATTAAGGCTGAGTGATTAAAACCAAGTTCAACAGTGAAACACCGTCTCTACTAAAAATACAAAAAAAAAAAAAAAATTAGCCGGACGTGGTGGCGGGCACCTGTAGTCCCAGCTACTCGGGAGGCTGAGGCAGGAGAATGGTGTGAACCCGGGAGGCGGAGCTTGCAGTGAGCCGAGATCGCGCCACTGCACTCCAGCCGGGGCGACAGAGACTCTGTCTCAAAAAAAAAAAAAAAAAAAAAACTCAAAAAGTTGTATACTGTATGATTCCAGGTTTACTATAAATGACAAAATTATAGTGTTGGCGAACAGACCAGTGGTTGCTAGGGTTGGAGATAGGAAAATGATGCGACAGAAAAGTGTCGCAGGAGGGCATTTCTTTGCAGTGGTGGAGCAGTTCCTTACCATGATTGTAGTGGTAGTTACATGAATCCATCTGAGTAGGGTCTGTAGCTTTAGTAAATAGTGTTGCATCAAAGTAAATTTCCCGGTTTAGCTGATATATTATGGTTATGTAAGATGTTGCCATTGGGAAAAGCTGGGTGAAGGGTATGCAGGAACTGTCTGCACTAGTTTTGCAACTTCTAGTGAGTCTTAAACCATTTTTTAAAATAACAACAACAAACATACCAGATCTGTTGAGAGTCCTGAGAAGTCTTAGCCATGGCCTTACCCCTTAAAGAAGATGAGGAAACTGAGTCTCTGAGGTAAGATGACAGCCTGAGGTTGCAGAGCCAGAGTCTCAATCTAGATCTTTTAACTTTCACATCAACATTATTTTGCTCCCTGAGAGCATAACCAGTTTTAATTTGCTATTGAGCAATTGTTGGAAGATTACGTGGGTGTCCATTTTTTCCCCCAGCTTCATGCCCACATTCCCCCCAGCTATGTATGTGTGTATGTGAATTCTCTTTTATGTTCTAAAGCAGAGAAAGTACAATATGCAAATTATGCATTAGGTTTATAATTTAAATGGTTTGAATCATATTTTTGAATGGAATGGACATGGCTCTCCTATTATGAAAGTATTTTATTACTGAGTGCTTGGTACAGTCTTAGTATGAGGAATGACCTTGGATCTCTGCCTGTGAATTAGTAGCTGAATGGTGTTTTACTTCTGATGATTCAGTATATTTGCCTTAATTACTGGATTAACCAATTTCTTGCCTCCCACTAAAAGCACACACATTTATCTAAACAGGGGATGAATGAATGAAGTTTTAGGGACTAATTTTTGTGGTATTTAAGCAACAATAGTCTAGATTACCCACAACCTTAATTTCCTTTCATGAGTCTTGTAGATGGGCTTTGTCACCATTTACACTTGATTACTTCATTGTTAACCCCAGTGATGTGATTTAGCATGCAAAGACTTAATTATTCCTTTCTGGCCTAGTGAGAAATTTCCTTCCAATAATTGCCTCCACTGCCCTTTAGCCTCCTTAAAACATTTAGTTTGTTTGAAACAACTTGGTTGCTCAGTAAGCAATTCCAAGCTCAGCAGTGCCTGGCGCTGTCTTTGGACCATAATTTATACCTTTGATATAGTGACTTAGGCCTCAGTTCTTAAGTGATGTCTGGTGGGTACTCTTCATTAAAATAGTGGTGTGAAGCATTTGTCTGAAGTTATGGTTCCAAACTAAATGGTTCTAAACAGTTCTCTGGTGGTCTCTTTAAATTTAACATTTCCTTATTTTAAGTGAAAAATTGTGCTAACTTTGGAAATAAAAGTTGACTCTTTAAACTTTAGTTTTAAGTATTGAAAAGTACCGTTCATTTAGTTGTGAATACTAAAAACTGTAGTGTTTTTAAGAAGTGTTTTTGTAAGGAGTCCTAGAAATAGTATAGATCCTTACATAACCTAGAAATAGTAATCCTGGAAGTAGTATATAGATCATTACATAACCTGCCACTGGACATTATTTTGTCCCAGGGTATCAGACTTGTTGGAGAAATTGAAAGGTTTATGAAGAGTTGGCAAAGAAATGGTTGTTTTGTTTCTAAATATAGGTGCATTGCATCTAGCATCCCAAAGCAAGGAATGGATGTGAGAGCACAATTTTCTTTCTTTTTTTCTTGAGACGCAGTTTTGCTCTTGTTGCCCAGGCTGGAGTGCAATGGCGCGATCTCAGCTCACCGTAACCTCTGCCTCCCGGGTTCAAGGGATTCTCCTGCCTCAGCCTCCCGAGTAGGTGGGATTACAGGTGTGTGCCACCACCCCCAGCTAATTTTGTATTTTTATTAGAGATGAGGTTTCTCCATGTTGGTCAGGCTGGTCTCAAACTCCCGACCTCAGGTGATCCACCCACCTCGGCTTCTCAAAGTACTGGGATTACAGACGTGAGCCACCGTGCCTGGCCTGAGAGCACAATTTTCTGTGTTGAGTATTTTTTATTATACAGCAACAACATTATGGGAAGTTCCGTTTCATTTCCAAGTGGAAGTTTGTGGAATTGAAAGTGTCTATTTTCTACCAGGAGAAATTGAAGATATTCTGCCGGAAGGAAAGTATTCTGCCAGGAGGAGTTGAAAAGTATTAATTGTACCATGTTTCAAGTAGAGGAATATACCCATGTCTCTACTGACAATTTATAAGGCTTGTTGAATGTTGCTTTTTAAATTTTTTTGGTAGCATAGTTTTAAGCTTTAGTCTTAAGGCCCTATTGCCCATCTTCAAAATTCTGTCCCTTCCGTTGTCCTTAATATTAACAGCTTCATTTTGCTCAGAGGATCTAGAATAACAATAGCATATAGGGAATTGGATATTATACAATAAAAATACTAGTATGCCAGTCTTTTGGAAAGCAGAATATCACATTCATCAGACTTAACGAAAGCGTTTTTCAGGGAGATGTAGCCAAGTTCTGCCTTTCAGTTTCCATGTTGAACAAGGCATTTTTGCCTCAAATCATCAGCTTCTAGGGGAACCAACTTTTAGCTAACCTAGAAATAAGTCAAAGGAACACTCACTGAAGAGATATTGTTAATAAAGCAATTCTAATTGTTAAAATATTGATCAGGAAGCATAGCAGAAACAATTGAAGGTCATCCTGTTATATTTTCTGGAGTGTTTTTAAAGAGTTTAGAATATTCAGCTAATTATAGACATACGTCCTTTGAATTCTGGAAGTGGTATCTCCTACAGAATTTTTCTCAGAAATGATATAATTGTCAACATTTTAAACTTTATTTTTATTTTATTTACTTTTTATTTATTGGTCTTCTTCTTTTTTTTTTCTTTTTTTAATAATAGTAAATAACCAAGCAAGTTTTTGATTTTTTTAAGAGACAGCATCTCACTTTGTCGCCCAGGCTGGTGTGCAATGGCGTGATCATGGGTCACTGCAGGCTCAAGCTCTTAGGCTCAAGTCACCCTCCTGCCTCAGCCTTTTGAGTAGCTAGGACCACAGGCACAGGCCACCATACCTGGCTAATTTTTTATTTTTTGTAGAGACAGTGTCTCGCTGTGTTGCCCAGGCTGGTCTTGAACTCCGGAGCTCAAATGATCATCTTACCTCGGCCTCCTGAAGTGCTGGGATTACAGGCATGAGCCATCTCGCCTGGCTGACATTTGACAAAATGATTGAATAGATTTTTGTTAAACTTTAATTATTATGATACTATACATTCAATATTAAAAAATAAACTCTTAGGCATGTCTTGAGGATTCACTCATTATACTTAAGTAGGTATTTATTATTTTACAGCAGCTGATAAATACTGGACAGTGTTGATGATGGGCAGCATGTTCTCTTGGATGAAGATAATGCAAATAATAGTCTTGACTTCTGATAGTTTTATTATTATAAGTTAGCTAACTTATGATAGTTAGATATTGTCAACTAGGTGAGTTTTACCTCCCATTTGCATACTTCCATAGAAAAATCAGAAAAGATGTAAAAATTTATTATAGTATGTGTTTATTATGTTTTATTTAGTTTTTATTAAGTATCAGTGAGTGAATGAGAAAGGCATTTGTTGGTAGTCTTAATCTAGTGAGAGTAGAAGTGAAAGGCAATACTTCTGTCCTCAGGGGGCTTGCTCCAATGGTTGATTTAAGGAGCTCATTTTTGTTAGTCTCATTACTCTCTTCTAGAAAAATGGAATACAGTAAACCTACCTGATATTTTCAAATGCAAATACATATCTGTAGCTTTAATGTTTTATTCAGACTCATGAAATTAGTGTTTCATGACAAAATAATTTGGATTGTGAACAAATGTACAGCAAAATCATTTTGTTTCCATACATTCTTTTCAGCTAAAGAACAACTGAGGCAGGGCGCGGTGGCTCACGCCTGTAATCCTAGCACTTTGGGAGGCTGAGGCGAGCGGATCACCTGAGGTCGGGAGTTCGAGACCAGCCTGACCAACATGGAGAAACCCCATGTCTACTAAAAATACAAAATTAGCCAGGCATGGAAGCACATGCCTGTAATCCCAGCTACTCAGGAGGCTGAGGCAGGAGAATTGCCTGAAGCCAGGAGGCGGAGCTTGTGGTGAGCTGAGATCACACCATTGCACTCCAGCCTGGGCAACAAGAGCAAAAACTCTGTCTCAAAAAAAAAAAAAGAAAAGAAAAAAAAGAACAACTGAAACTCTGGATGATTTATTCTAATTTAAACATGATTCTAACTTACTGATGATTTTATTAAACTAGGTCTTACTAGATTGCCACATTTAAGCCAGTGATCCTGTATTTAATGGTAAGGTCTTTGAAAAGAGCATTATGGAAACAAAATGATTTTACCACACATTTGTTCATGATCCAAATTCTTTAATTTCATACATAAGTAGTTTTGACTCTTACAGTGCTACAGAGAGCAATAACTGTAATCATAGAACCACAGGATATAGACCTGGAATGCATACATGGTGCTATGTTAACATGGAGCATTAGTGAGAATTATAAGGTTCATTGAAGTATATTAAATATAACATGCATAAACCCTATTACTTTCTATTCCTTTAGTGAAATGCGATACTTTGGTTGTACATATATTTTTAAAAATTTAAAGACTTAACACACTGTTGACAAAATGCACATTAGTCAAACATATTGTGAAAGCATAGTGTCAGCCATGAATACAATAGACATACATTTCTAGATGCTTTGTCATAGGATGAACCCCAAAATTGGGGTTCAGCCTCGGAGACCACAGGAATTCTTGGCTTTGCACAGGAAGGAATTCAATAAGAGTGACAAAGTTAAGTGAAAACAAGTTTATTAAGAATGTAAAGGAATAAATTGGCAGAGCAACCCCAAGGGTTGCTGGTTAGCTATTTTTATGGTTATTTCTTTATCATATGCTAAACAAAGTGTGGATTATTTATGCGTTTTCCAGGAAAGGGGCAGGGAGTTCCCCAGAACTGAGGGTTCTTCCCCCTTTCAGACCATATAGGGTAACTTCTGGACATCGCCATGACATTTGTAAACTGTCATGGCACTGGTGGGAGGTTCCTTTAGTAAGCTAATATATTATAATTAGCATATAATGAGCAGTGAGGATGTCCAGAGGACGCTTACACCACCTTGGTTTTGGCAGGTTTTGGCCAGCTTCTTTATTGCATCCTGTTTTATCAGAGTGGTCTTTACCACCTGTATCTTGTGCAACCACTCCTGCTGACCTCCTATCAGCTTCATGCTCAGAATCGTTTGTAAGCGCTTTTTTTTATTATTATTATTATACTTTAAGTTCTAGGGTACATGTGTACAACATGCAGGTTTGTTACATATGTATACATGTGCCATGTTGGTGTGCTGCACCCGTTAACTTGTCGTTTACATTAGGTATATCTCCTAATGCTATCCCTCCCCCCTCCCCTGACCCCATGACAGGCCCCGGTGTGTGATGTTCCCCACCCTGTGTCCAAGTGTTCTCATTATTCAGTTCCCACCTATGAGTGAGAACATGCGGTGTTTGGTTTTCTGTCCTTGCGATAGTTTGCTCAGAATGATGGTTTCCAGCTTCATCCATGTCCCTACAAAGGACATGAACTCATCATTTTTTATGGCTGCATAGTATTCCATGGTGTATATGTGCCACATTTTCTTAATCCAGTCTATCATTGATGGACATTTGGGTTGGTTCCAAGTCTTTGCTATTGTGAATAGTGCCACAATAAACATACGTGTGCATGTGTCTTTATAGCAACATGATTTATAATCCTTTGGGTATATACCCAGTAATGGGATGGCTGGG
This sequence comes from Homo sapiens, assembly GCF_000001405.40. Lineage (NCBI taxonomy): Eukaryota > Metazoa > Chordata > Mammalia > Primates > Hominidae > Homo > Homo sapiens. Next base: position 27,446,664 of record NC_000011.10, on the reverse strand, counting down.
TCAAATGGTATTTCTAGTTCTAGATCCTTGAGGAATCACCACATTGTCCTCCACAATGGTTGAACTAGTTTACAGTCCCACCAACAGTGTAAAAGTGTTCCTATTTCTCCACATCCTCTCCAGCACCTGTTGTTTCCTGACTTTTTAATGATCGCCATTCTAACTGGTGTGAGATGGTATCTCATTGTGGTTTTGATTTGCATTTCTCTGATGGCCAGTGATGATGAGAATTTTTTCATGTGTCTTTTGGCTGCATAAATGTCTTCTTTTGAGAAGTGTCTGTTCATATCCTTCGCCCACTTTTTGATGGGGTTGTTGCATGACTAAAACACCAAAAGCAATGGCAGCAAAAGCCAAAGTTGACAAATGGGATCTAATTAAACTAAAGAGCTTCTGCACAGCAAAAGAAACTACCATCAGAGTGAACAGGTAACCTACAGAATGGGAGAAAATTTTTACAATCTACCCATCTGACAAAGGGCTAATAACCAGAATCTGCAAAGAACTTAAACAAATTTACAAGAAAAAATCAAACAACCCCATTTTTAAGCTCTCTATAGGCAGGAATCAACTCTCACTCAGCATCTTTTTAGTTCTTCCCTTGGTTATATTTGTGCCTTGCATGTAACATACTCTTAAATGTTGAATAATTTGAAGGACATAGACAGATTGTCTTTCGATATTCTATTATATTTTACTGGTGACATTTTATTAATTAACTTGCTTAGCCAAAGTTTATACCATGAACATCAAATATGTGGCTACTGCACTTTTTTTTTTTATTTTTTGAGACAGGGTCTCACTCTGTTGCCCAGCCTGTAGTACAGTGGCGCCATCTCAGCTCACTGCAACCTTCACCTGTGGGCTCAAGTGATCTACTGGCCTCTGCCTTCAGAGTAGCTGGGACTGCAGGCATGCACCACCAGGCTTGAAAAATTTTTAAATTTTTCTGTGGAGACGAGGTCTTACTGTCTTGCCTAGCTGGTCTCAAACTCTTTACCTTATACCATCCTTCTACTCGGCCTCCCAAAATGCTTGGATTACAGGTGTGAGCCACTGAAACCAGCCTCTATTGTACTTCTAAGTGTGCTGCTGTATTCGTTGGGGGAGGAGGGACAATATGAACTGTGCTTCCTGTTTTAACATTTATGAAGCCCTTCATGTGTACCAGATATCATGCTAAGAGCTTTATATGTGTGAGTTTACTTGATCGTCATAACAGCTGTATAAGAGGTATTCTTTATCTCCATTTTAAGCTCAGAAAACTGAAGTACAAAATGTTTAAATAAGCGTTAGTCAAATATATTGAAAATATATATCCAGGGTCATGATTTATAATCTGTAACCAGAATTTGAACCCACATAGTCTGACTCCAGAGTTCGTGCCCTCCAGTCTCTCACACTGGCCCGCACGTGTCCATAGGTGATAGGGTTTGGTGGAAAAGACAGACATGCACGAATCAAATACAGTATGAGAGTACCCTAAAGGAGGGATGAACAAAGGGCTGTGGGAGCAAAGAGGAGGGGAATTTACTCTGCCTTGGGGATTGGAAGGCTTCACAGCAGAGGTGACATTTGAGCTGGGTCATTTAGTCTTCTGTAGGGCAGCTGCCCGAGTTCTGCCTTGTTTGAAATAAGCACATTTACAAGAGAATAGTGGAGCACATTCCACTTGATGGATTGGATTGACAGATTGAAAGTAACTCCCCAGAATGATGGCTTTGTTAGGTATTTGTTCTCTGAGAACCCTACCTGCCACTCCCCTTTGGTGAATTGTGGCAAGAAAGCTGTCACATTAAGCTGTCACTCAGGATACTTGTGAGAGGGGGAGGGAAGAACAAATTATGGGCAGAACTAGGTATTTTCAGAACAGTCTAAAACCCGGAAAGATTATATTTCAGAGCATTTAAAAGTGAACACAACAGCCTTTATTTAAGTTGTGCAAAAAGAAAATTGAATAATGAAAACTTAATTAGGCTATGGATATTTTTAAAGCTGGACATTCTGATTCTTATCCACCCTAATTATATGAAGCTTTTTAAAGGCCAAGATAGAAAAAGAAATCAATTATAGACCTACACAAAGTTCTTATAGAGATTGTTTAATTGTAAAAATATCTTTCTTGTGTGTGATTTTTAAGGAGTGTTTCAGAAGTAGATTCAATTCCAACTTGTATGACCCTTTGTCTCGGTTGACTAGTTGTTTGCTCTAAGAATATTTCATGTTTTGCTGTTTCTTTCAGTTTGTAGGTGCTAAGCTATTGAAAGGTTTAGAGACTAATCTAGGTCTTTCTAAATTATGGCTGCTTGCAGTTTTATTCCTGGAGAAATGGTTTAACAGCACTTCTTTGAGTTGGCACTCTTCTGCCTGTCTCAGCTCTAACTTTCCCGCCTCCTTCTCAGTAGTCCCTCTTTCACCCTCCACTCCCCAAGCCTGAAATGGAAAGAACTTGCTTTGTTACTGATGATAATATTTAAGCTCTAAAATTTTAACAGTGTTTCAGTTGCAAATAAATGGAAATTGTGTATTCTGTTTAATGTGTTTCAGAAAATCCCTGCTATTTTTTTTTTCTTTAAATACAAGAAAACAGGCGTGTAATGCCTCATTGAAAAAAGCCTGTAGGGGTGCTTTGTGCAGGTCTTAATTAAGGGCTTTGAAAGACCAAACAAAAGGAAAAAGGAAAATGCTACAGGGTTATTGTTATTCCACCCCATTGGCTCAGCTAGCTGACCATCCATTGGAGCATTTTGTCCATTTTGAAACTGAATGACACTTTTGTTCGTGATTAACAGAGGTGAAAGAAGCCAATTATTGGGCCGTCTTTTTCCATAGAGCAGCTGCTGTTGGATTTAACTGCAGGCAAATATGGCCTTTTACTACCACAAGGATGTTGTGATGACAGTTTATTTTTATAGAACTCTGGTAGAAAACAAAATCTGTCTGACTCCTGTTATGAATATGCCCTGGAATTTTCATGAAAGGGTCATTTTAATGTTCTAGCTGTCCCAGAGTTCTCTTTAAAAAACAATGTATATGTATATAAATACCTATGTACATATTTTTAACAGCTCCTTGCGTATGGATTCAGCCTTAAAGTTATGTAAAGATATTTTTTAATTTGTACATTTGTAAGCTGCTTCAGCCTTTCCCCATTTTCATTTTAGTAAAATCCCCCAAAGCTTGTTAAAGTGGCCAAGTAATTAGGGGAAAACAGAGTCGTCTTGCTGAAGCTGTTTTGATATACAGGCTACTTAGGTGGGACGCATGAGTCTCAGAGACCACCTACCCATTAGTTCAGACTTCTAACCTCTCTGGTGTTCAGTGGTAGGAATGAGCTTGGGGAGGAATTTCCCATCGTGCAGTGGTATTACTTGAGTGTGTAATAACAGGTGTACCTGGGAGAGGGGCACATGGTTCAGCTGTCAGGATCCACCCAACTCTGATATGCCCTTAGACAATGGAGTGGGAGATGGGGTTTGGAGACCAGAGATCAGCCAGGATTTCTTTCAGTAAGACTCTAGGCCTTCCATTTTTGAGGCATCCTTGTGTTGTGGATAAAGTGCCCTGTCCAGTGTTTCCTTGGGCAAGTTTCTTAACCTTTCTGAGCCTCAGTTTCATCCTCCAGTTGGAGTTAATAATACCTGTCTCTCAGAATGGTTGTGAGAATTAAATGAGTTGAGCACGATATGTGTCTAGTACAGTCCCTGTTATATAGGAAATATTTGATGAATACTAACTTCCTTTATTTCTCTTTTGCTGTGAACAGCTCCTTATACCAAAATCTGAAACCAAACTCTGCTTCTTACCCAATTAGTCTTCTTCCTTCCAGATTTTCAAGTAGCAGAGGATTCAGTTTTCAGGGATAATTTAATGAAAATAACTGTCTTCTCTCTACGGCCCTCTCTTCTTCATTTGTCTAGAATAGAACCAACACAGCTCTTGTGTATAATGTGAAGAACATGGAATATTGACTCTTTCTTTGTGAATGATTGTCATAATTCATTTTAGAGTCTTCTCAGGTCTGGTGCTGTTTTGCTCTGTAATCTTTTGAAAATCACCTGTGTTTTTTTGTTGTCGTTGTTGTTGACAACATAGTGGTAATAACATTTAACTCACTACCCCTCAGATGTGTTTGAAGATGATTATAAGTGGTTTATAAGCCCTCTGTAGGTATCACTACATTAAAATGGAAGAATGAGGCCCCTAAAATTGTAAAACAAAACAAAATAAAGTTTTGCGGCAAGGTAGGTAACGTAGTTGTGTAGCTGCATGGGACTAAGTTATTAGTTGAACAAGGTGTTTAATATTGAGGTTCATCTTGTGGCCTATCAGGCTCTTTGGATGGCATTTTCACCCCTACAAAAGAGTGAGTAGTTCTATTTGTAGACCTCCCACAAAATGTGGTATTGGAGCTGGGTTGCTAGTCTCTTCTTCTCTGGTTTGATTTCCCACTCCTCTTCTTAATCCCAAGCCCTTGCTTGCCCCATTCTGTCTAACCCTCTTCCATGGTTGATATGCTTTTCTCCATCTCAGCCTCTTCACTAGCTCTTCTCTGAAGAACTGCTTCCCCTGCAGACTTTTGGTTAGAGGCTGCTCATCTTCCTACACTGTTAAGAGAATAGGATTGATTCTCACCGCTCCTCATTGTTGCCCATAGGTCACTGGGCTTTCATCTTAACTCACAATCTCTGTTCCATCTGTGGTCCCTGACCTTTAGTTCTGATCCTTCGCAAATACTGTCATCTACTGGCTTGTCTGTTGGTCCCCTTTAAAGGAGGATTGGGTGCCAAGTTCATGATCTTATGATTTCTGCCATCCTCTCCCCTGCCGTAAGTTCTGTCATTCACCCAACATGGACAATCCTTTTGACACTTTTGCCTCTCATTTCATTTATCTCCATCACATTGGTGAGCCCTGTCTCAACTCCACTTCAGCCTTTTCCTCCCATGACCAAATCTTGGACCTTGTGACCACAGAACTGCTAAATCCCTCTGACTACAGCCCCTCTCTCTCTCTTTTTAAGAAAATTTTTAGCTCAGTGTATACAAATTTTTCAGCCTCATTAAGCCCTCATGTCCCTTGAACTTTTTACTTTCTCTCTATCATTCATTTCTTTCTCTGGTTAGATTAAGATCTGTCCATTCCTTTAGCCTCAGTGTCCTTAACCCTCTTACCCTGTTGTCTTATTAAAGGCGATTTTTTATGTAATGATGAAATCAATCTTATTTAGTCACCCATGCCACTTTTTTTGTGTGTGAAATACCTAGTAAGTCCCAAACTAAGTACTTATCATACATGACTTAACTCATCATTTGAGGAGGTAGTTAACTAGTAGAGGCTGACTGCTTAGATGTAATGGTTTAATGGAGAATGAGAATGGAACTTTGACAGGAGAAAAGGCTTTCCATTATGGCACTGTGTGATCTTGTTCACATCATTTAGCCTCTGGGTTCTAGTTGCCTCACCTATGCATTGAGGATACTTGGCTACATGATCCCCAATATTTCTCTAGTTCTATGAATTTCTTATTCTGTTTGCTTAACTGTGTCACTTCAGGTAAGTCAGTGTCACTTTAGGTAAGACTCCTCTGGGCCTCAATTTCCCCATTTGTAAAAGGGGACACTCTCCCAACCCTACCTGCCTTGTAAAGTTGCTGTGAAGTCCAAATACTTTCACGAGCATAAAAGTGCTTTGTGAGAGCCGGGCAGTGGTTCCCCGTTGTGCCACTATAATGTGTATTCGAATCACCAGGAGGGCTGTGTAAAACACATTGCTGAGACCCACCTCTAGGATTTTTGATTCCATCGACCTGGGTGGGGGCCCAGTTACTTGAATTTCTGGCAAATTTCCAGGTGATATTGGTGCTGCTAGTTCTGAGAGCACAATTTGAGAACCCCTACTTTAAGGAGTTCTAGATATGTGAGATACTACCTTACCCTTTCAGACAGTTCCATGTGAGTATGTTAACCATACTTCTTAGTGAAAAATAAAGAGAAGCCTCCGGGTCTTTGTGGGAACAAAGTTACAAATTAATTGAAATCCATACTCTTCCTAAGCAGCTTGGACCTACTACTGTCCCACATGTAAGTATGCAAAACTACATTTTGCCAAGAATTAACTCATGAGAACCATTGAACTTGTATTGAAAGTCACCTTAACAGTGGTATTGTGCTCTGTAAAACTGGAATCTTTTCCCACAAGATGCATGTAAATAAGAGATCTCAAAAATAGAAAGACTCTCTTTCTCAAAGAATACAAACAGGTGTCACATAGAAAACTCGAGATGACATGGGGATTATTTTTCTCAGGTTTCACAGACTGCGGTCTGGGTTGGCTTTCAGGATTGGTTTGGAGAAGGGTCCATCTGCTGGGTGGGCAGGTGTATTCCTTCCCATGTGCTCCGTGCCTCTCCACACCCCTCCACTGTGGTCAAGATGCATTGTAGAAATCCTACCTCAAGGCTGGGTGCAGTGGCTCACGCCTGTAATCCCAGTACTTTAGGAGGCCGAGGCGGGCAGATCACCTGAGGTCAGGAGTTCAAGACCATCCTGGCCAACATGGTGAAACCACGTCTCTACTAAAAATATAAAAATTAGCTGGGCGTGGTGGTGGGTGCCTATAATCTCAGCTACTTGGGAGGCTGAGGTGGGAGAATCGCTTGAACCTGAGAGGCGGAGGTTGCAGTGAGCTGAGATCGTGCCACTGCACTCCTGCCTGAGCAACAGAGCGAGACTCCGTCTCAAAAAAAAAAAAAAAAAAAAAAGAGAAATCCTACCTCAAGGAAAACCAGAGAGTGACAATTCATATTTAAAAAATCACTCCCTAGGGTGTCTTTAAGAGTGTCCCAGTTTTTAAAGTATTCGCTCACTACCTGCTTCATAAAATGGCCAGGGTACAGGGAGGGAAGTGGAGCAGAGAGAGGTAGACAAAAGAAAACTTCTGCTATTGAGAGCATTGCCGAGTAAAAATGCACCCAAGGGAATGTTAAATGACATAGTTTCTGTGGAAAACTGTGGTGGTTCCTCAAAAAATTAAAAATAGAGTTGCCATATGGCCCAGCAATTTCACTCCTGGGTATATGTATTCCCCGCAAATTGAAAGCAGGATTTTAAAAGAAATATTTGCACACCTGTGCTCATAGCAGCATTATTCACAATAGCCAAAATGTAGAAGCACCCCACATGTCCATTGATGGGTAATTGGATAAACAAAATATGGCATATACACACATACAATAGAATATTATTTAGCCTTAAAAAGGAAGGAAATCCATCCTGACACATGCTACAAAATGGATGAACTTTGAAGACATGCTAAGTGAAATAAGCCAGTCACAAAAGGAGAAACACTGTATAATTCCATTCATATAGGTACTTAGAGTAGTCAAAATTCATAGAGACAGAAAGTAGCATGGTGGATGCCAAGGGCTAGGGGGAGTGGGGAATAGGGAGTTACTGATTAATGGGTAGAGTTTCAGTTTTGCAAGATGAAAAAAGTTCTATGTGGATGGATGGTAGTGATGGATGCTACTGAACTGTACATTTAAAATGGTAAATCTCCATTTACCATCACGACATCTCCATTATGAAAATGTCAATATTCTTATACATCAGGGTTTTTTAACCTTGGCATTGACATTTTGTGCTGGATAATTCTTGTTGTAGGGGCCGGTATTAGCCTGGGTTTTCCAAAGAAATAGGACCAGTAGAATATATATAGGATATATGTATATATGTTTACTGAGATTGATTAAAAGGAATTGGCTCAGGTGGTTATTGGAGGTATAGTTCCAGTCCACGACTGAAGGCCTGGGACCCGGGAGAGCTGATGGGGTAAGTTTCAGTTAGAGTCTGAAGGCCTGAGAGCCAAGAGAGTCAATGGTGTAAGTTCTAGTTCGAGCATGAGTCAGAAGGCCAAAGTCTCAGCTCAAAGACAGTTAGGCAGAGAGAGCAAATTCTCCTTTACTTCACCTTTTAATTGTTTTCTAACCTTCAACAGATTGGATGAGGCCCACCCATATTAAGGAGTGCAATCTGGTTTACTCAGTTTACTGATTACAATGATCATCTCATCCAGAAACACCCTTATATATATACCAAGAATAACGTTTAACCAAATATGTGGGAACTCCATGGCTTAGTAAGTTGACACATAAAATTAACCATCATAGGGTCTGTCTTAGGCATTGTAGGAGGCTTAACACCATCCCTGGCCCCTACTCACTAGATACCAGTAACCTCCCAGCTTCTGCCTGCCAAGTGGTGGCAACCAAAAATATCCTCAGACATTGCCAACTGTCTCCAATGCCAGATCACCCCTGGTTGAGAACTATTGCTATACATTTTTCAGAAGAGTATAAATGTCTTAGGTAAGGAAAATAGATGTTCATTCTAGACTTGCATTTGTTTTGCCATCTCTTGCAATTTTTAGATAATGATGTTTTTATGTAATACATACTAGTTATCAGTTTGTATTGGGAGAAATGTGGAAAATGCACAGACCAAGATTTGGGTCTTGATTCTGGTTGTGTGGCTTTGAATAAAGAAATGGCCTTTGATTTACTCATCAGTACAAGTTCCAAAGGTGGGGGTGAGAATGACTTGAACTAGGTCATCTCTATGGTTTCTATGTCTTTTTTTTCCTGGGGCGGGTGGAGAGTCTTGCTGTGTTGCTCAGGCTGGAGTGCACTGGAGCGATCATAGCTCACTGCAATCTTAACCTCGCAAGCTCAAGTTGTCCTTCCATCTCAGCCACCTCACCCCTGTCCTGAGTATCTGGGACTACAGGGCACGCCACCCCTCCTGGCTGTATTTTTTAATCTTTTTTGTAGAGACAGAATCTCACTATGTTACCCAGGCTGATCTCAGACTCCTGGGCTCAGGAGGTCCTCCTGCCTGTACCTCCCAAAGTGCTGGAATTATAAGCTTGAGCCATTGTGCCTAGCTTTATGATTTCTTTTAGCATAAACACACACACACACACACACACACACACACACACACACTAGTCCTTTAAAAGAGATTCAAGTAAAAATCCATAAAGACTTTAAAAATAGGACCACCTTCTTTTCATGCCTAGCATTACAAGGATTGGAAGGACGGATCTAGTCCCTGTTCTTGCAGGAAATACCTGACCAGGTGACATGCAATAAAAATAGTCACTCCTTCTCAATTTTAACTCACTATTTATTTATAAAGCATTTGATAAAAAATGCATTTTATGGAGGTACGTTGGTTTTAATGATTGCTTCTAGGTAGCACTTTGAAACTTTTCTCAACACTAGAAAATAGTAGCATGTCTTTGGTCTGTTCAATACACATGGATAATTATAATTTCTTTTCAAAACAGCAATTTATAAAAAAAAAAATTGGCCAAAACAGTAGGGTTCCTTGGCTATTTTTAGGGAAGAAATTACTAAGATGCAAAATAAGTTTTAAAATATAAACAAGTGTGTGTATATTTGGACTAACTTACATGTTTACATTGGTTGTCCTGAGTCAGCCACATAAGTGGCAGTTTGCATTCTGGGCCAAGCTTTTTAGCCTGCTGGCCCCCAAATTTAAGACCCATCCCAACTTTTTTGGCTCATGTTTCTATCTAAATATTGGGTGGAAACAGCAGAAGAACCAAAGTAAAATGGAAGGGGGGATTTTTTGAAATTAAAACTAGTTAGTAACCAAACAGACAGATATATGCCAGATTTTTTAGTGCCATTCCCACCCCCTCAAATCCCTCCATCTCCCTTCAACACCCCCTCCTATCCCCGCAATGCAGTGCAAAGACTGGTATAGCTAAGGGCCTATCTATCAAACAGATTCAAGATTTGCAAGCGTAAGACATGTAGGGTTAGAGTTACCTGCAGCTGTGTGATAGGTACGTAATAACATATGAACAAACGATATTAACACCTGTGGTGAGTGAGTGGTCCAATAGCTATTTTTATTGCCATGTTGTAAACTATAATGACAAAAATTGTAGGGCTTATAGAAAATATCTTTACTGCTATCATGATTTATTTTCCTGGGATTTTGTTCTTTTTCCTCTCCATATACATGATAAAAAAATATGGTGAAAACACTATTACATATATATTGTTAGTTATATAAGTGTTGTCTTCACTTTTCACCAAGCCAAGTGAAACATCCATCCTTATAATTTATCCATCCAGGATAAATTTCCTGGATAAATAAGTAGTTTTAGAATATTTCTTAAAATCATTCATTAGTGCCTGACAGTTTCTTTCCTTCCTTCCTCCCCTCCCCTCCCCTCCCCTCCCATCCTCTCTCTCTCTCTTTCTTTCTTTCTTTCTTTCTTTCTCTCTCTCTCTCTGTCTTTTATTTCTTTCTTTCTTTGCATTATGGTGTAGTGATTCGGGAGACAGGATTTTGAAGATTGTCTGGGTATTCAGATCCTGGCTTGACATCATTTCGAGGTGACTTTAAGAAGTTCCATTTGGCCAGGAGCAGTGGCTCACACCTGTAATCCCAGCACTTTGGGAGGCCAAGGTGGGTGGATCACGAGGTCAGGAGATCGAGACCATCCTGGCTAACACGGTGAAACCCCATCTCTACTAAAAATACAAAAAATTAGCCGGGCGTGGTAGTGGGCGCCTGTACTCCCAGCAACTCAGGAGGCTGAGGCAGGAGAATGGCAAAAACCCAGGAGGCGGAGCTTGCAGTGAGCCCCAGATCGCGCCACTGCACTCCAGCCTGGGTGACAGAGCGAGACTCCGTCTCAAAAAAAAAAAAAGAAGTTCCATTTCCAGTTCTGTAAAATGAGAATAGCGATAGAACCTACCTCTTAGGATTATTGTGAGGTTAAGATATGTGAACCATTTGCCTCCAGCCTGGCACTAGATGCATTCAAAGTAGTTGATGAGCTGGGCACAGTTGCTTATACCTGTAATCACAGCACTTTGGGAGGCTGAGGTGGGAGGATCACTTGAGGTCAGGAGTTCAAGACCAGCCTGGCTAACATGATGAAACCCCATCTCTACTAAAAATACAAAAATTAGCTGGGTGTGGTGGCAGGCATCTGTAATCCCAGCTACTTGGGAGGCTGAGGCAGGAGAATAGCTTGAACCCAGGAGGCGGAGGTTGCAGTGAACCGAGATTGCACCACTGCACTCCAGCCTGGGCAACAGAGTGAGACTTCATCTCAAAAAAAAAAAAAGTAGCTGATGAACAGAACAGAAGAGGCACTTGGTCAAATAAGTGTTATCTAGAAAGGATAATACCATCATTAGAATTTGATCATTTAAGAGACTCTGTCTAGTAGCATTGTTATCTCTGAGTTTTTGTTGTTGTTGTTGTTGTTTGTTTGTTTGTTTTTTGAGACAGAGTCTCACTCTGTTGCCCAGGCTGGAGTATAGTGGTGTAATCTCAGCTCACTGCAGCCTCTGCTTCCTGGGTTCAAGCTATTCTCCTTCCTCAGCCTCCCAAGCAACTGGGATTACAGGCGTGCGTCACCATGCCCAGCTAATTTGTATTTTTAGTAGACATGGGTTTTCACCATATTGGCCAGGCTGGTCTCGAACGCCTGATCTCAAGTGATCTCCCGACTTGGCCTCCCAAAGTGCTAGGATTACAGCCATGAGCCTCTGCACCTGGCCAAGTTTTATCTATAAGTAGCTCGTCAGGAAGGTCATCTGGTGTAGTGTTGTGGGTTTCCAGCTGCCTGTTTGACACGTTGCATGGTGAAATATGAAAACTAGGGGTATTGTCATGATTTTTAAGTGACTCTATTATTAGTCACTTTAAGGGGCCATCTTTTATTGTAAGATCATACCGTTTGGCTTTTGGGGGAGAATATTAAATTTAATGTTCCTCCCCTCTCCCCTCTTTAGATTGATGGAGTTGTTTTATAAATGTGCTTATAAGTCAAAATAAAAAAGTTGACAACCTTGAATTGGTCTCTCCAGTTGTGTGGTATTTCAGGGGCTATGAATAGGCATTGTATTGATTTAAGGTACCAGAATTCTAGGAGTCACATTCATGGTAGGAAGCTCTTCTCTAGTGTCCTTGACAGATTGTCTTTAGCCACTGCGTTTAGTATCTCTGGCAAGGCAGGGGCTTCTCTTACTGAACAGCTCAAGACATTAACAGTAATCTTTTTTGTTATTTTTTGTGATACAGTTAGCTTCCCAGTTCAGTGTAGTGGACAGACCACAGGCCTCTACTTCACCAAAAATTATTTTACTTTGGGTATGTAAGGCCAGAGTTGTGAATATTAAAAGGGGAAATGAGATGTAAACACTAAGCTATATTAAACATTTTGGAATTATTAGTTCCTTTCTTCCTTCCTTTCCCATTGAAAGCATCTATTGATTGTACTTAATTCATGCATCTAGAGCAATGGAGATATTCTTCTCTTATTTACATGAGAGCTCTTCAGGTTTCTTCCTCAATCTCATCTTCTCCAGAACAAATAGCCTCTCTTTTCAGTGGCTGCCTCGTCAGGTTCCAGATCCCTCACTGTCCTGGCCTTCAGTTTTGGAGGCTGAATATGTGAAGTTTCTATGTTTGGTTCATGAATTCTGCATGGGCACCTAGTATATGTAGGATAGTAATAAAAATGCCTTAAGTTCCCAGAAGGCTCTGTGGTTTTAATGGTGCTTTCCAATCTTCCCAGCCCTGAGGTAGGGGAGATATTTTCCCATTTGACTGTGAGGAACCTGAGAGCCTTTCTAAGAACAAACAGACATCATTTAATTTTAGAGTTGGGAAGGCTTTGCATGCCATGCCGACCTCACATCACAGAAGAGAAACTAGAAGCTCAGAAGAGTTAAGGGACTTGCTTCAGGTCACATGGCCAAAGTTTGGCTGTGGCCCATGGGAATTGGACTCCATTTTTAAGTCCCTTTTTAACCCAGAAGTTGAACCACCACACTGTGCTGCGTCTGTGTTGTGCAAAGGATGAGAGAAGCATAAAGCAAATAACGGGCTCCTTAGTGCAAAGAACTTGCACAGGAATAGAATGAATGATTTGTTTTGCCTTTCTGTTTAGTTCATTTAAAAAATTCCAGCCGCTTACATGATAATAGGGTATAAACTATAGGAGAAACATTCACAGGGAGGATAGTTTAGAGCACACTCTGAAGAACATTAGGTTGTGGGAGAAAAGAATAGAAGAGTGGGCCGGGCATGGTGGCTCACACCTGTAATCCCAGCACTTTGGGAGGCTGAGGTGGGCAGATTACAAGGTCAGGAGATGGAGACCATCCTGGCTAACACGGTGAAATCCCATCTCTACTAAAAAAAAAAAAAAAGAAATAAAAATAAATTAGCCGGGCGTGCATGGTGGCAGGCGCCTGTGGTCCCAACTACTGGGGAGTCTGAGGCAGGAGAATGGCGAGAACCCGGGAGGCGGAGCTTGTAGTGAGCCGAGATGGCGCCACTGCACTCCAGCCTGGATGACAGAGCGAGACTCCGTCTCAAAAAAATAAAAAAAGAAAGAATAGACGAGTGTTCCCTGTGACTGATCTAGGGTAGTGTTCCTTAACATTCCTTTTCTGATGTGTCAGTTTTTTGTTTTAGTTTTTAATTTCCAATCCAATATGGTTCGTGTTTTTATAAAATATAAACATTAATTTTCAGGAAAATAAAATGGAGCAAAGAAAGCCTACATAATACAAACCCAAAGTTCTTATTATTGATTCAAAATCATAAAATTTGTCATGTTGCCATGATGTGAACTTTCAGTAGCTCTGCTTGTCTCATTGTGGAATGTTAACAGTTTACAGACTACTCAGGTTTTGAGTAGCAATGGTGTAGTGGGAAAAAAAGTGGGAAGAAACCAGCTGTTGTGGTGGGGAGGATATACGGGTAAGGAGATCTAAGGGAAGAGGACCTAGCCAGAGCGGAAGAATATAGGTGAAGCATGCAAAGAAAAAGATTAAGGTAGTATAACTGATGGAGAATCTCAATTTCTTCCAGTGGGTGGAGAGGAGTTTAAATTTGCCTCCAGAAGCAATGGGGGGTCCTCTGTAAGATCTTAGGCTTGTCAGCGCTTTGCTTTAGACACTCTCGGATGTCCTAGTAATTCTAAAATATTTGCTGCTGTCTGTAAGTTCTAGGTATATCCAGAACTTCTTCGTTATATGTCAATTGTTCTTCCATGATTTCTTTTCTCTTTATTTTCCTCTGTTATTTGAAGGGCAGAAATAGGCTGCTTTTTTCCATGTCCACCTCTTTGAATTTTGCCATTGGGTCTTCTCTGGGACAAACACTTTATATGAAGTAGGTGAGCCAGTCTCCTGTACTCCTTATCCTGTGGCTTGACCACCTCTGGGCAATTTCATTCAATTGCAGACATCTTCCAGGAAATGTCTAATTTGTTAAACAAATACTTGTTTTATTTCTGAGCATTTTGAAAGCAAGGTCAAAGATGGTGGCTGGGGAGAGAAGGTGTTCAAGTGGAAAAGGCTGCTAGCGTACAGTAGGAAACTGTGGGAAGGAGGATTTAGGGAATTGTAAAGACTAGCCCATCTTAAGTAGGGTTAGTGCTCCTGGTATGTGGAATGCCTTTTTATTCCTTGCCTAGGAGTGAGTGGCAATGCTCTGCTATGTAGATCAGTATTTCAGTCCTGAACCACCAGGGCCAAGAATTTGCCATCCTGCTGGGGATAATAACCGGCAGGATGTGACATATTACAATCAATGTGCATAGAGTACCTTCCTTATGTCAGCATGATCCAAACACTTTACATGATGAATTACTTTATTCTCACAGCAACCTTGTGAGGTGGATGCCATGATTCATTATTTATAGATGAGGAAGCTAAACACAGAATTTAATCCATCTGTGGAAGATCACGCAGCTAATACATGGTAGAACTTGGATTTGAACTCAGGCAGCCTTGCTGAAAGTCATGTTCTACTGCCTGAGACTGAAATAATATTATATGGATGGAGTGCTCTTGAAGATTGGTCATCTTACACGGATTAGTAAGTTCTTTGGATGGACAATCCTTTTGTCCTGAGTGCCAAGAAATATGGAAGAAAAAGATAGTGACCCAAGAGTCATGGAAGAAGAAAAACAGAAGGAAGAGCAAACCCAGGCTAGGCAGTGTCTTTGGGGGACGATGAAAAACAGCAGACCATTTAAACGTCCATGGTGTTTACATAGCTTTAGTTTAGTAGCACAAATATTGGTTATGGAATAGGATATCTCCTCCCCGTGAATGTTTATAGTATGTTAGGTGTTGGGCTAGGGGTTAGAAAATTGATAGTGAACAAGGTAGACTAGCTCTTTGTCCTCATAAATGTTCTTTTCTAGTGGGGAAGACCATGAACGCATAAGGGGCCATTGTAATATACTGCAGTGGTTCTCACATGTGAATGTGCATCAAAATCACATGGAAAGTTTGTTAATACCCCTAGAGTGTTTGATTAGTTGGTCTGGAGTAGGGCACAAGAAAGTGCCTTTCTATCAAATTCTCATTCCCAGGTGACATTGGACCACTTTCTGAGAACCCCTCGCTCAGTGGTTAATGCTGAAGAAAGTTTGTTTTCTAATAAAGTAAAAGGAAAGAAGATAAATCCAATGATAACTAGACAGAGGAAATAAACTGGTTGGTAATATAGAGTTTACTGGGGGCCATTTTAGGGGGGCTAAGAAGAGACTGTCTGAAGGGGTGACATTTGAGAGAAAACCAGGAGGTAAGAAGGAGGTGCTATGGGAAGAGCTAGGGAAGAATAGACCAGGCAGAGAACAAGTGCAAAGGTGGAAGGAGGAGAGGTTTGCGTGCTTGTGGGGGTTGGGGGAGCTGGGAGTGGGGTGGGGATGATTTGAGATGATGTTGGAGAGGATGCAGGAGCAAGTTCAGGTAGGGCCTTGATATAGAACAAAGAGACTGCTAAGCACTGGATTGGCATGAATTGTCTTCTTGTTTTAAAAAGATTGCTTTGACTGCCATGTGTAGGTCAAATTCAGAGGGGCAAGCATGGAAAGAGGGAGACCAAACAGAAGGCTACTGTCGTGGTCCCGGGAGAGATGGTGATGGCTTGGATTGAGGCAAGGGGTCGAGGGGTGGAGAAACAAGATAGAAGTGAGCTGGAGGAATGCACTGTTTTTGTTTCTACTGGCTTATCACCGCCTGGGGATGCTCATAATGGAGGCCCATGAAAAGCTTAAATTATATTTCCTATGTGCTGTTTTAGAAAACAGAGAAGCACAGATAACATTTTAGAAAAATAGTCATTATCAAGTTATTTAAGTGTCTGTGCCTCCACCTCCTCCATTCCCCTGAAGGTAAACCTCAGCTATCTGGAAAGCTTGGCTGTCCAGGGCAACTTGTTCTCTGAGATCTCTGATTTAGCCCTGTTAACGTGGAGTATAATCTGTGTGTGTCATTGCTTAATTGTTGGCATGTAGTGACTCAACTGGTAATTTAAATTAAAAGACTGCATATAAGCATACTATTGTTCTTCTTGGATCTCGATGGAGCTTTGAGTGGCACTTAAGTGATGGTGTCTTTGAATTAATTACTATAGCTGGGGAAGAGCTGGGAAAACACACTAGGGAAAAAATGCATAGTTGTGATGTAGGAGTGAGAGGAGTACGTTCGATGTGAGAGTGAGCCTAGAATGAACCATACCGGAGTTAGAGAATAAAGGAATAGATGCCAAGTACTCACAGATGTCTGGGGCCCCATCTACACCACTGCACCCTGCTGAGGTGTGGTCAGCTGGTAGCCCCACCTGCTCACTGATGGGGGAACTTCCCCCTGCCCTGCAGGGCTGCAGGGGGAACAGTCACATGGAGGTCCCCCCTCTTCCTGTCTCTCAGGATCCCAGCCCAGGCAATTCCACCTCAGGCAGTCTCTTTCTCACATGTTTACACACATCCTCTTCAAACCTTGTGTTTCTTTTCCTTTGCTCTTTTAAATCTTGCCCAGTCACCTCAGGAAATTCTCTCCTTTTCTTTGTTCTATTCCAGAGCCAAAATAAGGGAAAAAACTTTTTAGTCATGGTTAATATGCGTGAGATTCATGCTATGATAAACATATTGACAAATGATCTAATTACCAAATCCTGTGGCTCCTCTATTTGCAGGTTGTTTGGACAGCAGAACACTTTCTATCCTGGAAGCTTTTCTTTTAGGTTCCTCCTCCACTTCCTGATCACTCCTGTTTCCCACCTCCCCACCTCCCCTTCCTGTTTCTATTCCCTTTTTTTTTTTTGAGATGGAATCTCGTTCTGTCACCCAAGCTAGGGTGCAGTAGCGCGATCTCAGCCCACTGCAACCTCCGCCTCCAGGGTTCGTGATTCTGCTGCCTCAGCCTCTTGAGTAGCTGGGACTACAGGTACCTGCCACCATGCCCAGCTAATTTTTGTATTTTTACTAAAGATGAGGTTTCACCATGTTGGCCAGGCTGATCTTGAACTCCTGACCTCAAGTGATCTGCCCACCTCAGCCTCCCAAAGTGCTGGGATTACAGGCGTGAACCACCGTGCCTGGCCTGTTTCTATTCCTCAACTCTGGTTATATCTAGAAATGTTTTTCTCAGCCATTTTCTTTATTTTTCTCCTCTTTATCTCTAAGTGATGCCATCCACTTCTGCAGTTTTAATGCTCCGTGTTGCCCACTCCCTCACCTTTACCTCCTCTTTGGCATTTCTTCTCAATTCTAGGCTTGAAGTTACAACTCCCTGCTGGATAACATCACATGACCCAACAGATCCAACACACTTTTTCCTCCTGTTGTGTCTCCAGGTGACAGCAGCATCACTCTACCGGCTACATGGACAAAAAAACCACCATGTCATCTTCAGAGTTTGCCTTTAAGCTGCACACAGTGGTACATGCCTGTAGTTCCAGCTACTTGGGAGGCCAAAGCAGGAGGATCCCTTGAGTCCAGGAGTTTGAGTCCAGCCTGGGCAACATAGCAAGAGCCTATGTCGTAAAAAAACAAAAAAAAGAAAGAAAGAAAAGTTCACCTTTTTTTCCAACCTCTAATCAGTAACATTCAGTAACAAAGTTCTACTGGTTCTGCCCCTCAGGGGGCTCTTATCTATCTATACCTTTCTGTCCCTTGTGCTGCTGTATTGGTTCAGGATCTCATTTATCCCTCATGGTTGATCTTTCCTTCTTGACTCTGCAATCACTTTTTTATACTTCCAAGCAAGACATGTTTGTGCATTTGTTGGTGTATGCATGCCAGGCACGTAGAGCGTGCTCACAAGATACTAACATAATCCATTTTATTCCAAAAAGAGCGCAAGATAGGCCGGGCGTGGTGGCTCACGCCTGTAATCCCAGTACTTTGGGAGGCCGAGGCAGGCAGATCACTCAAGGTCAGGAATTTGAGACCAGCCTGGCCAACATGGTGAAACATCGTCTCTACTAAAAATACAAAAAAATTAGCCAGACGTGGTGGTGGATGCCTGTAATCCCAGCTCTCGGGAGGCTGGAGAAGGAGAATCACTTGAACCTGAGAGGCAGAGGTTGCAGTGAGCTGAGAACGTGCCACTGCTCTCCTGCCTGGGTGACTGCATCTCAAAAAAAGAAAAAGAAAAAAAAAAAAGAATGCAAGATAGCTTACCAAAAAATGCGTAAGATAAAATGCAAAATAAGTCGATGAGATGACCAGGAACTACTTCCACCCCCCGACTCTTGCCAAACAGGGCAAGAAAATATGAATCCAGGACAGGAATTACTGAAGCTACTCACCTAATGTATGCATTTGTAAACATCGGGTTACAATTTTGGCTGACAGAATCTTTAGCTGATAGGGAAAGAGGGTCCATTTCTGTGATTCCACGTTGTCCATAAGATAAAAAAGACAAGTTGTGAAGGAGAAACGCAGCTATTCTTGGAATGGAGGTCAGAGAGAACTTTTTTCCCAAGGGCTCTAATAAGGGAATTCGGTGTAACTTCCTGAATAGTAACTTCATTGGCATTCTTGGAATAGTCATAGCAATCAGTTTCTTGAAGCTGCTACTTCTAACATCACTCATTGTGGGCCAGGAGAAGAGTGCCAATGTGCTGTTTCAATAAAGGTAGTTGCAAAGGTGTAGGAATTGTAAAAATTGTGCCTACCCACCAGAATTTCTTTGTAAAGCAACCTTGTTTATGTTTCTTAAAAAATATTTCATACCTTCTTGCTCCATTCTCAAACTCTGTATTATATGGAGCTTCCCTGGCAACTGTAATATGAGCCTGGGTTATCTTTCTAGGTTGTTCCGAGACTGCAGCCTGTACCTGCCAATGTGCTGCCCCATAACCCAGCCATACTTGTCTACTTGCAGTTTCCTGAATGGCTCTGTCCTCTAGACTCTACCTTCATGCCAGCTGTTCTTTCGTTTCGGAGGCCCTTCCCTGTACTCCTTTACTTGGCTGTTTTCCCTACTTGCATACAGCTGCTCTTTTTCCCCTTAAGATCAGAGGGAATGTTTTGCTCATCATGCCAATAAAGATATGTTGATCAACAACCAGAAAAGCTGTGAGTTTTTTAAGTAAAACTGAACATACTACCATCAATAATACATCCACTCCTTTTAAAGGTACCCAGAATTCCATGTTATAAATTTTGCCTCATTTTAAATTTATTAAACTTCTCCAAGCACCACTATTATTAATAAGCAAGAAGAGACTTTTCCTGCATTTCTTTGGTTAGGTACAGGTAGTACTGTTTTTCTCTTTGTTTTGATGTTTTGTTGTAACATTAGGTCATTACTTTAGCTACAGGGAGGGACTCACCCCACTGTGACCCATTAACCTCATAGTCTAAGCACCATTTGACCATTGTTTCTGGGGAAATTATTTTCCCAAATTCCAAAGCATATTTTTAAAACATCACTGCAACACAATCCAGCTTAAGGTAGTGGAAAGAATCATGGACCAGGATTTATCATTTGGAGTCTGATCTTGATACTTTAATGAATTATTTAACCCCTCTGGGTCTCAGTTCCCTCATTATTAAAATGAGATGGTGAGATTAGATGGTGATTGCATGTTGGTGGTTAACAGAAAAATAATAATAACTGACTTTTTGCTATGAGCTGGGGACTCACCAGAGGTCATGTCATCTAATCTTTATAGCAGTGTTCTAAAGTCAGAATTGTTATCTCCGTTTACACTTGCAGAAACTGAGGCACAGAGATTAAGGGACTTGCCCAGGGTTATACAACTAGTAAGAGTTATACAGCAGGCTCTTGGGCTGGCTTGGGGAAATTGTTAACCACTGTGCTTTCTAGTTCAGTGGTTCTGTGAGATACTATTTATAGGATAAAGCCTGTATTTTGAAATTTTGAGGAAGAAAAATTAGTTTTACTGAAATCCAATTTTACATCATTCCTCCCAAGCTATTTTTAATGCAGTAACTTGTATTTAAATGAAAACCTTACTCTCTTTCCTGCTTTTCCCCCAATGTGTTTGCATGTAAAGTTATTATTTGGTTGTAGCAATAGACAGGGAGGAAATCTGTCGTTAACGCTCTTTACTGTCCATAGGAAATGTTGGTCTTTCCCGGAAACTTATTAGGTGTCCCATGTAAAGAAGATATTTTATATGTCTTCCCTTTCTTTCCGCCTGCAACCAGCTCTTTGATTTAGATGGTTGGAAAATTGTTAAGCCTGTTTTTTCTTTGGAAGTGCCAAGTAAGTACTTACTACTATTACTATGTAAAGCATTTAATGCAATGTCTGGCACATCATTCACTCAACAGATGCTATGACCACACATGGCACTAGAGGCTTGGCATATAATAGTGAGCAAAACACAGACCCTACCCTAACAGAGGAGCATAGGGGTCCAGGGAGAAGAGCAGGGAATCCATCAAAGAGATATTTATAAACTTTACAGATTATCCATAAGTTTAAGTTTTTCATATTATCATAATATTGTACAGATGAGGAATTAGCCTTTTATTCAAGCCCTTTTTCCAAGGCAGTCCAAACCAAAAATTCCACCTCTTCCCATCACAACCCACCCAACTTCATTCAGCCATATCTACTGCTATTAGTGGGATGGTCAGTTCATTTACTGTCCATAGTAGGATACCTTTGAGAGTGAAAGGGTGTACTATTAATATTTATGATGGAGCTGGTTATGGTGGCTCCTTCCTATAATCCCAGCACTTTGGGAGGCTGAGGTGGGATCTTCGCTGAGGCCAAGAGTTCCAGACCAGCCTGGGCAACAAAGCAAGACCCTGTCTCTACAAAAAAATTTTAAAAATCAGCCCCTGCATGCCTGTAGTCCTAGCTACTGAGGAGACTGAGGTGGGAGAATCTATTGAGACCAGGAGGTCGAGGCTGCAGTGAGCTCTGATTGTGCCACATGTACTCCAGCCTGAGTGACAGAGTGAGACTGTTTCAAAAAAAAAAACAAAAAAAAAAACTGTGCTGAGACAATAACTATAAACTGCGATTGTACCAGGCCAACCAGAATATATTATTGTTGTCACCTAATTCATGGTATCTGAGTTGACCCTCCAATCTTACATTCTTTATTTTTTATTTTATTGCTATGTATCTCTTCAACCATGTGAAGATCCATTACTTTATTTCTGATTGTCAACATATCGAAGTTCAAAAGCCGACTCCACATTATGCAAATAGACTGATAAAGTTAAGCAGAGGGGATCGATATACTGGATGGCTACTAATCTTAATATTATCGCCAGGCAGGTGTCTCACGCCTATAATCCCAGCAACTTTGGGAGCCTGAGGCGGGTGGATTGCCTGAGGTCAAGAGTTTAGACCAGCCTGGCCAACATGGTGAAACCCCGTCTCTACTACAAATACAAAGATTAGCCAGGTGTGGTGGCACGTGCCTATAATCCCAACTACTTGGGAGGCTGAAGGAGGAGAATTGCCTGAACCGGGAGGCAGAGGCTGCAGGGAGCTGAGATCGCGCCATTGCACTCCAGCCTGGGTGACAAGAGTGAAACTCCGTCTCAAAAACAAACAAACAGACAAAAAACCTAATCTTAATATTACAAACATGATCAGGTCGGGTTGCTAGTTTAGCTGAGCATCCACGGCGATGGGGCTTCTACTGTCATGGGCTCCCTCTGTGATGTGGCCTTCTTTCTGTGATGAGCTCCGTGAGCTCCGTGGGGTTTCTCCTGCAATGGTGTGATCAGCTCCCATTGCATTCTGGTTTTAGGTGACAGCAGAGGGACTACCTGGAGAAAGTGTGCATCTGGGCCTGGGAGAATTAGTAAGCGTGGGGTCTCACTTTATTGCCTAGGCTGGAGTGCAGTGGTGCCATCTTGGCTCACTGCAGCCTCAACCTCCCAGGCTTAAGCAGTCATCCCACCTCAGCCTCTGAGTAGCCTCCCTCAGGCTCCCGAGCAGCCTCACTATGTTGCTGAGGCTTGTCTCAAACTCCTGGGCTCAAGCAATCTTCCTTCCTCGGCCTCCCAAAGTACTGGAATTGCAGGGGTGAGCCACTGTGCTTGGCCTTATATTCTTTAAGATTATGGTCTTTATAATGTGTATGTGTGTGTGTATGTAAGTGAATTAGAGGTGTGTGGCTGGTTTTGCTGGAGGTTAGAGGAATTAGATATTCTCTTCCTTGTAGGAGCTTATTTTCTAAGACATTTGTTTCTCTGCTTACTAATTTAGTAACAGAAACTGCTTCAATAAAACACCAGATCAACTGCAGAATTGAGAAATTTTCTCAGGTAAATGTCATAAAGCAGTAACTCTCAGTCATCTTTCTCTGGACAGAAAACTATGTTCTGCCGTGAAATTTATGTTTGTGTCTGGGTGTGTGTATGCTTTTTCTCTGTTTTTTCTTATTAAGCAAATTTCATGGTAGCACGTTGTTTTCTCCCTGGAGAAAGAAACAAGGGACCATATGATTCATTCTGATTGCAAAAATTAAAAAGAATTTAACCTTTTTGTTTGTTTCTGGGACTTTTTAGAACTTAAAGACTTGTCACAAGTGGAGCTGTCCAAGAGTATTACAAACCAGGTTTAAGAATATTTGCTCCCCAAGATTCAGGACATTGTCATGCTCTGATGGCATAGCCTCTTCTCTGCTGAATAAATCATTAGTGATTTTAATGAGTTATAAGTCATTCCCAAGGGAATATTTCTAGTGACATTTTATAAACCATCATTATCAATGTCTATTGTCTTACAGTTAATAGAAACAATTGAATCATCCCAGTTATAATTTTGAGTCATTTCTTTAAGGATAGAATACATTTTTATAAGCCTTTAAAAAATGGCCATCAGAGCAGAGGGGAGAAGGAGAGAGAGTGTGTGTGGGGTATGTGTTTGGGAGGGGAGTCTGCACGCCTCATCGCCTGAGGCGAAGTGATTGCTCCACAAGCCTGCATTATGGGGATGGTGAAATCCCAGGAAGCTTGCCTTTGGGTTCAGGCTCTGACGGTTGGCAGCTGGTCTTCAGGGTATATGGATTGCCTCATCATTTAGAATTCTCCTCTTGCCTCAACATAATGAGGTCAGTGCCTTAGTGTCTTAGAAACTGGAGCTGTTCTTGCCTAGGTCACTTATTGGATGTACAAACAGTGCTTATTGGAAGGCCCCTTTCAGACTGGGGGCATTAGGAGGGATTTACTGGAGTGTAGGTTTTTTGTGTTTTTTTCCCTTTGTTTTGTTTTTTTAATCTTAAAATCAATATGTTATCTAGGGATGGTTTTATCAGGTTATGTATAAACATTTTATGCACAGTAAGTGAAAAAAATGTCACGATGTTAATGTATACTTCTAAAAACTCAATAGAACCCAGGAGTAGCAGAGTGAAAATACAGCTAACTCAGTTTATCACCAGTTCTATAGAAACAGTTGAAAATAGAAGTGTAAGAAATTCTTGTAAATACCCCATGGGATCTCAGTGGCATTCTCTCATACTGTTACTGTCAGTTTTAGGGGGCCCATGTCACTAAAATATTAAAGATTAGGGTATGGACAAAGAAAAGGGAAACTTTAAAGGTTTTTAAAATCACTGGGCCAAGCTTGTGGTACTAGGAAGGCAGCTGTAATTTTGATTCAGTTTAAATGGAGGAATAAGAAATATTTGACTTGAGTAGGCAATTCCTTGAACTCATGGTTTTGAGTCTGTTTCATGGACAATATATTCGAACTTGAGGCTAAATCAGGGCATTCAGAGTTTGCAGTCAGGAAGAGAGAAGCAGGTACATGCTGAAACATTTTCCTGAATTGATACTTACCTTTACAACATTTGATGCATTCTGGCATTTTTCTGTTCTATTCTTTCCTCTTTCAATTTTTTAAAAAAGTTGGCTATGACCCATTGAAATGATTTCACAATCTATTAATTGGTTGTGAGCTGAAGTTTAAAAAATACGCGTCTAAACAGAAGTTTTCGTGGGCGTGCATGTTTGAAGGCAAGGACGGTGAAGTAATGTTTTCCTATCAGTCGCGTTAATAAGTGTAGCCATAATAAAACATAACCCATTTAGTTAATTAGAATATTTACCATAGTAAATGCTGTTGGATTGTTTTCTTTATGAATAGTGCATTTTGTCTGCTAGGATGAAGTAATTGAGTGTTTCCAATTTGCCCAGACGATAATCTTTATAATACTTCTTGTTGATGTTAAATGGACTATTGAAATAGTATTTTGTCTGTGTGTTTTGGCTGGTAATAAACACTGTTTTGTCATCGTAGGGTTACCAGAACAGCTGTTGACACCCAGAGATGCCTGGGAACACCAGTTAGGTAGGAAGAAAACAAGGAATATTATAGTTTTAACCCTTATCTATTCCCTGTGTTGCCAGATGGTAGGGTTCTTGATCAAATTAGAGACAGGAAAGTAATTTTTTTTGTCTTTGGCATTTATTTTTCTTTGCCATTTAATAGACATTACTCCAGAATTAGAGCATTTTATATTTTTCTCTTTAGAACATATCCCACACTTGTGAAAACTAGCCTGTTTAAAAAGACCAAAAGAAAAACAAACAAATAAACAAAACCAAAAGAAGCTGAACTTGTTTTAAAGCTAGAAAATATTGAATTAGTCTAACTAGTTTTATTTATTTTCTTTCTTTCTTTGTAGGTGGGCACCATCTAATAGTTTTATTTTTTAGTTACCCTTTTAAGAATTTGTAATTTAAGCCACACATACCTTTTGTTGTGTTGTGATATTTACACACCAGTGTTTTATCCTCACTCTTTTCTACCTTCTAGTGTTAGCTTCCCCTTGAAGAACACACCCTTAAATGTCTCCTAGGCTGTATTGCTTCATCAAGAGTGTAAACAATTACAGCATAAAATGGTACCTTTGGAAATGAAGTCATGCGTCTTTCTTAATTGCTGAACTCTTGTAATTCTGAAGGGGGTCTATTTTAGCCTGTACTTACTCCCATACTTGCTAACACAAGCAAATGGGCCTACACATACAGCTAGGAAAAGCATGAATCTAAGGGTTTCTTAGGGTTCCATAATTATGCATGGAATGTGCAGGAGCAGGAATGTCAAAGTAGGAGTAATCATGATAGATTTAGAAAGGGCCTTAGAGGTTAGTTGGTACAAAATATTTTACAGTGAAGGAAGCTGGAATTAAGCAGGTCTGGGTTTCTTCTTCCTAGCTTCCCCTCCCTTCGTCCCATTGTAATATATGGCTGTCAGGATGACGTTTCTACAGCAAATTTGATGTGCATAAACTTTGCTGGCAGCTTTCCACACTTTTAGAATAAAGTTCTGATTTCTAAAGGTCACATATGAAGGCCTTTTGGGATGTAGTTTTTGCTTGTCTTGGTAGCTTTTCTCACCACTTGTACACATACTGCCTATAATGATCAAATTCCTTGGTGGTCTTATCTTTTTGGACCATACTGCTTGTAATTCTCTAATTCCTTGATGGTTTTATCTCTTTGACCACTCTGGTTTTATCTCATTTGACCATGCTTTCACACATGATATTCTTTCTGACAAGAAGGCGCCCTCCACCTTCCCCCAAGACACACATTATCTAGTTCAGAGGCTTTCAACAAATTTTTTCTTTTAGTATGAACCCAGTGTGGATTGCAATTACATTATGACCATATACATATATAGGTGTGTGTGTATGAATGTACATGTGTGTATGTATATTATACGTAATATATATTTTATATAAAAATCTAAATAATTGTTATGAACATACTTATTTTTATATGTGATATACTTAACTTTGATATTAGTAATATCTGCCCTTTGTACCTGTGCACAACAGCTTTGGTGTTGGAAGCCTTTTTTGAGCTCCAGGTCTGATTCGATCATCTTCACTTGCTGAGTCACACGTCATAGTATTTACTTGTTTTGTTCCTCTCACTGCCTCAGACAGCTCTTGAGGGTAGAGACTGTGTCTCACTTGTCCTAGCACACAGGCACAGACCTAATAGGTGCTCAGTAAAGAGATAATGAAGAAACTGGACCCAGTGTTCTGCTACAAATTGATAGCCAAAATCGCAAAGACAGAAAAGAGCCCCATATTTCTCGATTCTCAAGACAGAGCTATGCATCAGAATTTTTCATTTAGAGTAGGACTTGGAGAATGGCTAGACATAGGATGAATTATTTTTTTTCTGAGGGGGAAATGTGAGAAGACACTATCATATATACTCTTAGTTATAAAAGAAAAAACCCACAAAATACAGGTATTGAGACTTAATTACATACAGCCAAATTCACACTTTTTAATATACAATTGTTTTGAAAAACTACAATTGTGTAACTGCTATCAAAATCAAGATATAGATCATTTCTATCACCACATAAATTTTTTTAATGCCTCTTCGTAGCCAGCCTTTTCTCCACCCCCCAACTGTTGCCACCACTGATCAATTTTCTGTGTCTATAGGTTCACCTTTTCCAGAATGCTGTATAAATGGAATCGTGCAATATGTAGCCTGTTGCATCTAGCCTCTTTTACTTAGCATAAGGTGTTTGAAATCATCCATATTGTTGCTTGTATCAGTAGTCTGCTCCTTTTTGTGCTGGATAACATTCCATTGTATAGACATACCAAAATTTCTTTATCCATTCACTAATTTAGGTTGTTTCCAGTTTGGGGATATATATACACATATATATGTGTATATATATAATTATATATATTATTATATATTATATTTATATATAATACATATATATTAAAACATATAATTATGTATATATAATTTATGTCTAGGATTGCTGGGTCATATAGTCATAAGTATATGTTTAATTTTATAAGAAATTACCAAACTGTTTTCCAAAGTGGTTGTACCATCTTGCTTGTTGCCAACAGCATATGAGAGTTCCAGTTGTTCCACATCTTTATCAGTACTTGGTATTGTCAGCTGCTATTTAAAAAAAATTTAGCCATTCTAAAAGTTGTATCATGTCTCATTGTGGTCTGATTTGCATTTCCTTCGTAACTACTATGAACATCTTTTCATGTGCTTATTTGCCATTTGTGTATCTTATTTGGTGAAGTATCTGTTCAAATCTTAAAAGCCCATTTTAAAATCAGACTTTTCTTATTATTGATTATAAGAGTTCTTTCTACATTGTAATATAAATTCTTTATATGTTTTGCAAATATTTCTTCCCAATCTTTTTTGTGTTGTTTCATTTTCTTAACAATGACAGCACAGCTTTGAAAGTCTTTGAAGGGAATATCCTAAAAGGTACTAAAGTAGAGGTTTTACCAGCCTGGGCAACACAGTGAAACCTGGTCTCTACAAATAATAATAAAATAATTAGCCAAGTAAGGTGGTGCTTGCCTGTAGTCCCAGCCACTTGGGAAGCTGAGGTGGGAGAATTGCTTGAGCCTGGGCAGTTGAGGCTGCAGTGAGCCATGATTGTGCCACTGCATTCTAGCCTGGGGCAACAAAGTGAGACTCCAGTCTCAAAAAAAAAAAAAAAAAAGATTTCAATCCACGAAAGTAGATGATCATAAAATGAATTAAACATTTTTCTGATAGAAACAAGTTTTTTTAAATTCATTTCTAAGATTTGAAGGTGACATTTTCTCTAGCCTTTCCAAGTTGTTAAGAAAGATTATACTTAGGGTGTTGAAGTACCTTAAATAGATAATGACTTTACAAGTTGATAACTTGTCTCTGCCATAATTAATGTTTATTTTTAAGTGTCAATATGGGTGTTGTGGCATCTGTCCTCTTAAGGATTCCAAGGCTGTAGAGAAGCATGTTTTGGATTCCTCTTGCTGGGAAGTACTCAGCCTTGGTACCTGAAAAAAACAGAAGATGTCAGACAGCATGGAGCCAGTTTATCCTACTGCTCAAAACTGTTTGTAGTAGAAATGGAACACAGACATTAGAAGGGTGTCTATTGTGACACTTGGTTGGATTCTAGTCGTGCTAAAACATGTAGGGTCAAAAAAATATCTTTGGAGCAAAATCTAACATGGCACATATACTGTTTTGGCCGCATTTCTGCGGCCGTATAAATAGCCGTATCTTCATGTAGCTGTTCTTGTTGTTTTCAAAATGAAATAATGCAATTTGAAAACAGTTAAATTTAATTGAATGTTGCAACAGTGTCTTAAACAGTAATAGCAAGTTAAGAATAGAGTGGACTAATGGAGTTTAATACAAAAAAAAACCTATTGATAATAACATCTTTTGACATAAAAGCCTTACTATCCACGTACAGTACCTTGCACATATGTGCATAATGGATATTTTGTAAATATTTGTTCAATGGATGACAGGATATCTCCTTTCCCTCTTGTAAAGGAAGCCCTTAATTAACCTCTATTCCTTTTGGCATGGTGGCTTTCAATAGCAAAGATGTTCCAATCCCATGATGTATGGGCTGCTAAAAATAGCATTGATATATATTAGACTTCAGTGTTTACACTTTCATTCAAAGGTATTTTCAAGGAAGATTTTTTTCATTTTGCAAATGAAGAATCTTTTAGGTGTCAGGAGATGAACATGTTCAGAACTATACGATTTCAGATTTGTAAAAATATATACCATACATAGAAAAAAATCTGTAATGAAATCCATGAAATATGGCTGTGGTTACCAGTGGGTGTTGATATTGTGGATGGTTTTCTCTGTATTTCAATTTTTTAAAAACAACAGTGGTTACTTTTGTTATCATAAAAAGGTGGGGAGAAAATGAGATTACTTGCCCCAAAATATGGAATAGTGTCAGAAATCAAATTCTTAATGAACTTTGATTAGAACTTTGGTGTTATGTGTGTCTTTACTACTTGTGGTTGAGAGAGACCTTCCCTTCAAATTTGTTCCACTGGAGGCATTTTGCAAAGTTCATTTTTAGTTTTCAGTTTTTGGTCATATTGTAGACATCCGTTAACTGGAGATTGGCCTGAAATTTCTGGTTGATTACCAAAGACCCTGGAAAAGTCATTGGGAGAGTTTTTTTTATTTATTTCTAAGATTTGAAGGTGACATTCTTGGTCATTATCAACATGTGTTTTTTGAGTTTATGGACATCACCATCATTTTTTTTTTCTTTTCCTAGAGAACATTTTAGAGAACCCTGTGTTCTCTTGAACCTGTATATAATTTAGTGACTTTTTAAACTGCCAGATAATATTTGAGATAAAATTAACAATATAGTAGTAGCAGTACAGTTTTATCTAATACAAATAGGAGGGCTTGTTCAAATTTAGATAACATTGGGTCAATCACGGTATATTTAAAATTAAATAATTCTGTGGCAGAAGGCCCAGACCCAGTAAGGATGCAGTGTTAGAGTCCACAGTGGTACATGCTTAGCCATCAGCAAACAGGTTAGGCTTGCTTAGGGATCATTTTACAGGGATCTTAAAAGGTACCTTGTTGAAACATGATATTCTTTACTCTGTAGATACTTTAGCATTAGTGAATTTTATGGGGGAAAAGACGATGAGAGTTTAACCACTGGAGAGATTTGGCAGTTTCAATTAAACAGTTGCACCCTTTAAATTTTAATTTTGAAATCAATGACTGCTGGTATTTGGGAGTTCATGTTTATTTTTCTAGGAAGGTGATGTGCTTTTGTATTTCTAATCTTTTGTTTAAATGAAGTATTTGATCTTGAAGGGTTCTCCCAGCTTAAAATCTTTGTCTCCTGGGGTTCTGGAGTTTAGTTTTGTGTTTAGGAACAACTGCTCCAAGTTTTAGGTCTTCTGCAACATTTAGTGTCTTCTGTAAAAGTGGTTTCTTTCTGAGAAGGCCAACAAAGGCAGTGTGGTGTCTCCTTTTAGTCTGGTCTTGGTCCACTGGATTCAGATGGCTTCCAGGAGCAGCGAAAACATGGATGATGATAAGATAACAGCTCTTTCTTGTTGAACTTATTATACATGACCTGACATTTTCTGATCTTCACATCAATCTATAAGGTTCAGTTATTACTGCCTCCGTTTTACAAACGAAGAAGCCAGGGCAGAGAAAATATCAATTTGCCAAAGATCACACAGCTGGTGGTAGTAAGTCCATATGTAAACCTTGGTCTGTCTGGCGCCAAAGCCCGTACTCCCAGTAAGGCCATCAGCTCTCTGGAAATTGCCCTTCTGAGACATTTGGGAGTTGGTGGTGCTTTGACCTCATATGATATATATTTACATTTGGTTTTCTATCCCAGAAGGTGAAATCCTGCGATTTATTACTGATGCCACTGGTAAGATTGTACAACTCATGTGAATTTGAAGGTACTAATCTGTAGGAGCATCTTCTGGCTGAAAATTCTTTAAACAACTTCCTTATATTTATGTATCATAATAATTTATATGGCTTTTGAGCCTCATATATTTGTAATTATTGTCATAGGTCATCCTTTCTAACCTCTTATTTATAAAGTCTGTGTACTTCAGATTCTCTTTATGGTGTTGGTAATGTCAGATCTAGAATCTACTCTTAAGACTATCTATAGATTGTTTATCACCATCAGCCCTCATTATTTTAAATGGATACCCACGCAACTATACTCTGTAACTACAGGTTTCCAGAGCTTCTCCGGAGATAACATCTTGTAGCTCACCACTGCCCCCACACCCAACTTTTTACTTCATAAATGTTGTAACTGAATCCCAGAAAGTATGAGAGAAAACATCTGTAAAGAGGGAACTTCTCCGGGTGTGTGAAATTAAGAAAAATTTAGAAATAAGTATTACTCCTGAATCTGAAGCTTTGAAATAAAAACTCACCGTGTGTTTTACATATGTTAGTTTGTAAATATGGAGTCTCACTAATTGCATTTACAGCTCACAGCAAAACTACCTGTTACGTCTTGTTACTATAAGGAAAAAAATCAGAGCTGTGCGTGTGTGTGTGCATGTTTTAAAAAACTGGAATGCAGAGAATAGTGTGGTGTAAATTGTCTCTAATTATGTGTCTTTTTCTGGTGAGGCAATTAATTGGTTCTCTCCAGACCTTTTTCTGATGAGGAAATTAATCAGTTTTTCTGTTACAGTGATAACTCACCTGAATTCAGGTGTGCCAAGCTTAGAGGAAACTGTACAGAATGCCTCATTTTGTAAAGCAATCAATTCTTGTTGTCCTTCCTCTTTTTATTAGAATGACTGAAAAGCACCAAAACTGTCTGATATTTTACAGAATCATTGTTTACTCATTTTGGATCATTATTTTGCTTTCGATATGATTAAATGTTTTGTTGTATTCTTGAGAATGATTTTATTGGTTAAGGCCAAATGTATCTCCCGTGAGAGTGACTTAGTAATTTAATAATGACAGAGGGATAGTCTTTAAACTTTGCATTATGATAAACTTTTCAGAAACATTCTATAAAATGAATCTCATCTGTTTTTATCTGAAAAGGTAGACTCCTCCATGAATAAACTACAGAAAAGGGTGAATCAGTATATAATGTCAGTATAAAGGTGACAGTATATCATGTCAGGCCAGGAAGCCACCCAAGCAATCAGCTTCAATTTACTGATGAGCAGATGGAGGCCCACTATCGTACAATGGCTATGTGGCAGTGTGGGAGTTGCGCCTGCCTTTTCTGACCCCTGTTTTGGTGCCATTTCTCCAGTATCTTGCTAGAGTGTTTATGAAAAACAAAACATTTCCTCGCCCCTTCCCCCAGGGATAATGATCACTGACTAAAGTAGTATTGGGGCCTGGGTTTTAAAATAGTAATTCCTAGAGAAGCATAGTAATTTGGCTTTTCTTTTAAGCTCCTTTAGTAGGATTTGAGTTGTTTTCAATGATATAACATTTTAGAGTGCATGTATGTCTCTATGGTCATAAGACTCATCTAAAGGGAAATTTCTTGTGCTAAGAAATGTATATTAATGTTGGTTAATGTTGGTTCCTTAATTGCTAAAGCTATTCCTGGTCCTCTTTTTCTTTTTTCTTTTTTTTTTTAAACCCCGGTTGTCAAGCAAAAGTGCTCTTCCAGAGATTCATGGATAATTATGTCAAGGTGTTAGGGGCATTATTCCTCCCAGTTTTTAAGCTTGATGGGACTCAAGTATTTGTTTTACATCTTGGCTACCACTGGAGAGAAGTATTAATAACAGGATTCAAATAATACTTAAGAAGACTCATCGTTTGCACTTAAGGTCATGGGCTCTGGTGTTTTCTGTTACACTGCTTATTGAATGGTCTTGGGGAAGCTTTTTTAACCTCAGTAAGCCTCAGTTTCCCCATTTGTAAAGTAAGATTTTCTATGTAGTCTTACCATGTTAAAAGCATGCACTGCATCTTAGCTGCTGCTCCTGCTGTTTTTGTTGCTGCTACTGTTACTGTTATTCCCAAGCCAAAAACTTTTCCAAACCTGCTTTGGGAAAGGCTAGTAAGAAAGGATGTAGATTCCATTTCTAAATTTTAGTGAGAGGAAAGATGGGGAGAAAGGACGTACCTAGCATGATACTGAAGGTGTCGCCTCCTTTAAAAGAAAATTTTACCTGATGGAATGGATGGAATAACACAGTATTATTGTTGTAAGCTGACTTCGGTATGCTTCATTTCTCTTCTCCTTCCTCATACCAATATATGTACTATACTAATGGACATGTCCTACATGTGAAGTTTCATGCCAGGTTCTAGAGAGGGGAGACCCAAGGGCTCAGCCACAGAATTAAACACCATGGAACAGAAGGAGGCAACTCCACTGCCCCAGCGCATGCTGGGACTTTCCCTTATGGGGCTGTTTTAACCTGTCTTTCATGGTGCTGATGTCAAGTGGAGTGTGGCAGAGAAAGCCAGTTCAAAAGGCAGCTGCCAGGGAGGAGGGAAATGGTTAATAAAGTATTTTTTAGCTGTTTGAATTAGTGAATTGTTGAGTTATATTGCTGGGTGAGTTTTCTTTCTGCGGACGCTCTTAAGGGAAAACTGGAAATGGACCACATACCTATCATGTACGCACTTGTCCTTAGCCTGCATCTGTTCATAGGCGGAACATGAAATCCACTGACAACTGTTACCTGGAGGACTTTTATAGGTTTTGAAGAAAATATGACTAGGGTAGAGCTAGGACATGCTTTTATTGTCCTTGAGTGACTCCAGAAGCCACCCTCACCTATAAATTCTACATATCGTTCCTAGGGTATTCATTTGTTTATTTTGATCAGGTATAGGTAGTACTGTGAATACCAGAGCACTGGGAAGCCACCCTGGCCCACTTATTTTAGGTGGTTTGAGACTTTTTTCCAAGGATACTTAAGAGGGGAAAATACAGGATCTGAGTACATTTCTAAATTATGGGACATAATTTATAACAGAACATTTAACTTTTCTGTGTTTTCTGAATATTGCATTCTGAAGCCAAATTGTGACTGTTTCTATGTGTCTTCTATGCTCTTTCACAAAATTGTAACACCTAGTTAGTTTTCTGTTGGATTAAATACTTTAAGCTTCATACCACTTAATTAACAATATTCTTAACTTTACGTTTTCCAGGGATATCAGTATGAACAACATTACTCAGTTGCCAGAAGATGCATTTAAGAACTTTCCTTTTCTAGAAGAGCTGTAAGTATTACTTTGAGAAATGTGTGTGTATGTCTTTTTCCCCAATTCATTTTGGAAGCTTTTGCTACAGAGAAAGTCTGATGTTTTCTGTTAGACATTCTGATAGCTTAATTTCAGTGGGCTTTGTGAGGAGGAAATCATGTTTCTTGGGGGAAGTAAACTTGGTTTTCTAAGCAGCATAGTTGCTGAAGCTATTTTTGAAAGCCATAACTAAAAAAATGCTACTTCCATAGGACTTCTTTTTTGCTGCAATTATTATAACTACAAATGCTGCAGTGACACCAGTTAATTACAGTGTTATTCTGAGATAACAAGGCTGCTGTATAATTACCATTGTTACCAAGGAGTTGCTATATGGGTAACAGAACCACAAAAAATAACACAAGGTGTTTCAGGGCCATGAGCAACAATTTCAACAGTGAGCCAGCAGAAAACTGAGGGTAGGTCCCCTTGGACAATTGCAGATGACCTTTGGAAATGGGGTGAAGGCATGAAACACTGTCTAGGTCTCTAAGAGCACCTTTAACTTTAAGAATGTTTCTGAACTTGTCAGTTGCATCTCACATTTCCAATTTAACAGTTTGCACTGTGGAAATATTTTCTCCTTGTTTCAACCTCCTTTTTGTTGTGCTCTCCACACTTTTTTGAAGTCCATAATCAAAATAGGCACTTTCGGGTTTTAAAAGAATTGGGAACTATATATTATATTTTGAGAATCCCAGTGAAAAAATAAAATCGACTTGAATTAAGTTAATATAGGCTTCTACAGGCCAAGCTAATGGATTATATAATATATAGAGGTAGGAAGGTGATGGTTTGATACTAAGAACATCAAAGAGATATAGCCCTGAAGGAATCTAAATTCATATTACAGATTGTGTCATACAGCCCAGCTGTTGAGTATTAGATCCAAGTCAGCGAATGTCTTCCATCTTTTAGCTCGGCCACTCCCCTAGAGAATGGGGAACAGGAGTCTAATAAGATATCCAGGTTATGTACTCTGATAGAATATTGAAATAGTAGTTAAAGAGAAATGTTTCTTCCCACACTACTTAGTCAAACATAATGCTCCCACTGCAAAAGTTGAACAGAGATTATTTGCCACTTACAAGTTTATGAGCTAGGTCAAATTATTCTCTCTGCTCAATTTCTTTGAAAAAGGTGCAGCTAATAATAGTCCCTCCCTCATAGTATTCTAGAGAAGACAGAGTGAATTCATTTATGTTAAATGCTTAGGACAGTACATGAAACAGAATGAATGTTATATAAATGCTGACTAATGTTTATTTTACTATTTTCAAAGTGCATAAGAAAAAAAGCAGAAGAGTATATACCAAATGTTATCCTTGGGTAGAAGTATATGTTTTATTTTTGCCTCCTGTGTTGTTGTTTTTTTTTTTCTTATAGTGAACATTAATTATTTTGTAATAAAGTTATTTTTAATTAAGATTTTTCAATTGAGTTTAAAAGAAGCAAACCATCCATTTGAAGTTTCCACCTCCACCCCCTTTATGAAGCCTTAAGATGCTTTACCTCTTCCTTTTTATTTCACATACAATTTTAGACTATAGGGTTAGTCTCTCTTTACAGAAGTAATTATGTGATGGAAGGACATTAACAAATGGTTGTTCAGCCATTGTATAATATAATCACTATGGGATGGGTAATGTACCAGGCCAGCAATGGAGAAGCTCCCCTCATTCTGGGTGGGGCCACTGTGTGCACACCATCTTCGTTGATGCCTTCGATTGCCAGTTATACTTTAAGGAATTTCGAAGTGAAGACCTGGATGTGGAGTCAAACCTGGTTAATCTGCTTAGCGAAGTTCACATCTTGGATTTCTTAAAATCTCAAATGACCAACCATATGCCAACCTCATGAATTCTGCCAACCAGGACTTTTAATTGGAACCAAATTGAATTTGACTGCTGATTCTTTGTAGCAAGGTCATATTCTCTCCATATTCTCCTATCATAGTAATGAAACCCATGAAATCAAGTCCGTATACTCTCTCTAAATGTTGTATGGTGTTTCAAAAATGAATTCAGTTAGGAGAGCAGAATGTTATTTTTAAAGAATACTTCAAAATAGTCTTTAATAACTTTTACAGTACTGTAGGCACTCAAGAGAATTTATTTTCCACATTAATATAAATACTAAAATAAATATAAAAAGCCTATGCTTTTTCCTTATTAAACAGTGTAGTTGATTTTGACATTCCAAAATGATGCCGCCATGACTATTGTAATATTTCATAAACAGCATAACTGTTTGTCTAGGAGTCATCTGGAAGTCATTTAAGAGTGATCATGAAGCCAAATGCCCTGA
This sequence comes from Homo sapiens, assembly GCF_000001405.40. Taxonomy (NCBI): domain Eukaryota; kingdom Metazoa; phylum Chordata; class Mammalia; order Primates; family Hominidae; genus Homo; species Homo sapiens. The sequence goes on along the minus strand of NC_000011.10, from coordinate 27,410,460 downwards.
GTAGAAATTATTTGCTGAGGGTTTTTCCATGTTAGTTAATGAGGTGTGCTTTACAAGATGTGACTGGGTTTGGCAAAATTTGATGTGATGAATGTTTAAATGTGATAGAATGCTTGGGGTATTGGGAGAAATCACTTCCCAAGAATACAGAAGAAGTATGTATAGATACTTACACATTTCCTTATTCTTTCAATAAACTCTGAATCCTACTCTATGCCAGGTGGCAGGTGCTGGGAATACAGATACAAGCATGACCCATCTTCAAAGTTGACAGACCCTCTAGAGTTGTGCTGTCCAGCACCGTAGCCACTAGCCACAGGTGGCTATTATGTTTAGATTTAAAATGAATAAAATTAAATAAAATGAAAAATTCAGTTCCCTTAGTTGAACTAGCCACATTTCACGTGCTCATATAGCTGCCTGTGGTTGCTACTATATTAGACAGTGCAGATGTGGATCATTTCCATCATTGCAGAAAGTTCTATTGGACAACATTGATCTAGGGGGAGAAATGAAACTAACACTTGTTGCATCATAGTGAAGACGTGTGTGCAGGGAGGAAAGGCCTAAAACAGTGTATTTTCTTAAGACTGTAGGATTTGGGATAGTCTTCCACAGTAGCTTCTGCTGAGTGTTGAAGGACATGTAGGAATTAACCAAATGAGGGTAGTAGTAAGGGTGTTGTAGGAAGAACTTCATAGTATGTGGAAGGCATGGACATAGAAAATTTCAGAAGTTTTAGGACGCATAAAGTTGTGTCTTGTTATGACAAGACTAAAGGGTACATATGGAAAAATGTCAGGAGACGAGGCCAGATAATGAAGGGTCATTTTAAGATAAGAAATTTAGACTTGTTCTGAAGGAGTTTAATTTGATATTTGGGGAGTGATAGGAATGAGACTAGGGTTTTTGCCCTGAATAACTGGGTGCCATTTGCTGAGACCGGGAACACAGAGAGCTGATCTATTTGGGACCCAAAGAATTCCATTTGATAAAGATAAGAGTGTAAATAGTATGTGTTTAGAGCTTTACAATGAACAGAAGTCCATTCCCATAACTCTGTAAGGAAAGTCAGTTTCACAAAAGTTGAAGCTGAACTGACAAGGTTAAGGGCCTTATTGGAGTTCATGAGCCTGGTATGCTGTTTTGCTGGGACTTGAAGTCAGGCCCATAGAGCCCAGTTCTTTCTGGAACACTGTGAGTGATGTGCTGGGACTTGAAGTCAGGCCCCTAGAGCCCAGTGCTTTCTGGAACACTGTGAGTGATATGTATTTGTTCTCAGGAAAATATTCCATCCAACTTTTTCAGTGAAATGTACTTTAGATACTATTGTTGCCATTTGTTTTGTTTTCACATTTAACCTACTTTTTTTCCTCCTTCTTTTTCCAATCCTGCTTCTTCTGTATATTTAACCTACTTTTTGAAAGTTTTATAGTTCATAAATAGTGTTACCTAGTGATTCCTGCTCTCCCCCAACACCTGTTGGGAATATAGAAACATAGATTGTGGCCCCAAATTCAGTACATGAAAGGTTCTGAAATCTTTGCACTTTACTTTCCTATTCTTTACAATGGAACTTCTCACAGAACTACCGTAAAGGAAATATGGGATAATTTATGTAAAAGTGATTTGTAACCATAAAATGCTATGTCGCCGTGAGAAATTTTACTAATCATCTTAAACATTGCAGTCTTCCTTGATATCATTTGGAAGAGAGATGGTTTTGCTTGGGGGTAGAAGTTGGAGTTTCTGTTCACAATGTAAAAGGAAAGCCAGAATTTTAAGAAAACATTCACTTAGCGTTGACAGGCTCTGCTGCCTGATGTGACGTTGTCAGACATGTTTTTGGCTCTCCTTTAGGCTTGTTGGGTATTGGTAGTCATTTGGGGGATGGCTGAAATTTGGAGCTGTGAAAATGTTGGAGTTAGGAACAGCAGAAAGGAATATCCAGCTAATTTTCCATAAGCTGTCACTGAAAAAATTGCTGTGGCTGTTACTTTGATGTGGCAACAGCAGTAGAAGCCATTGCCAGCTTTGGCACTTGGACAGTTATTGTTTAATGCACACTATATGACTAGGATAATTCCAGTTGTTTCAAAACATGATTTGACTTTGGAAGACTTCACAATGCTAAAGTGAAACTTAGGTCTCTGAATACTAATTGAAGATTACCTGTCATTTTGTTTCATCTGTAGGACAGTTAATTCTAAATGGAATTACTACTTTACCAAACGGGGCTAGTAAATAATTTAAACAGAAAGGTTTAAAATCAAATAAAAACAGGGGTGGGTCAAATTAAATAGTTTTAAATAATTGAATTACATATTTATACACACACACATAACATATGTCAAATACAGCTATTCAATTCATATATGTAATTCAATCCATGATAATAACATATACAAACATATTTAAAACATTCTGCACACAGATCTATATAATATTCTGTATCAAGGTAATTTCAGACTTTCAAAATATTGCAAGCATAATTTTTCATATACCCTTCACTCCAATTTCCCAAATGTTAACTTTCTCTCTCTCTTTCTTTCCACACACATACAAAATATATGTACATTTTTTTCTGAACCATTTGAGAGTAAGTTTTAGATAAATCTTTAAATATTGCAGTGTGTAGTCCAGAAACACAAGGATATTCTCTTGAATAACCACAAGATGATTGTCAAACTCAGAAAACTAGCTTTGATATATGTTATCACCTGATCTACAATTCTTATTCAAATTTCAACAGCTGTCCCACTGATATCCTTTAGCGAAAAAGAAAAAAATATTCTGGTCCAGGATATTATCCAGAATAATAAACTATATCTGGTTCCTGTGTTTCAATAATTCATTTTAAATTTCTAAAAGTATTTTTTCATAGTCTTTACCTAAGTTAATGCTAAAAACTTAATTATGTGCTAAAAATATATTCTATTGCATTTAATACTCATGAGACCCCTATGAGGAGTTTATTATTACTTATTTACAGGTGATGACACGGAGGCTTTAGAGAGGTGGAAAACCTAACTGTGCTCATAGAGTAAAAGCACAGCCAGGAATTGGATCTATGTTCATCTGATTCAAGTCATTGCTCTTAGTTTCTAAGCTATAATGTTGCCTCAAAAGGCACAGAATTGGAGGGGAGCTAAAGGGACCATCCAGTCACTATTACCTGCAACTCTAAGTAGGTCAACATCTAACTGTCAAAGGGGATCAGCTGCCCAGTATTTCCTGTAGTAAGTTTGCTGACCAAATTTGTGAACAAGGAGTTCTTCCTAGAATAAAATTTCCTTATCTAGCCATACCATTTTACAGATGGGAATATCAAGACCCAATAGTAGATAAGTGGCTTGTCCAAAGTAACACAGTTAGTATGTAACTAAGCCAGAATTAGACCTTACAGAGTTCAATGTCATCTCTTCTATATCTTACCAATTTTTATATCTCTGAGATGCATAGTCTCAAATAGTCTTCCTGGGTTGTTCAGAGCTGTAGAAAGTAGCTATTGTTCTCTTCTAATACAAGGAATTCCCTTTGCTTCCAAACTAAAGTTTGACTCACTTAACGTTTACTCCCTTGATGCAGCTTTCTCAGATAAGCTCTCTTGACTGCAGTAATTTCCCAGAAAAAGCAAAATAGTTCCTCAGTTGCTCTGGTGATGTTTCACAGTTAAAAATATTAACTTCTTTGGAAGCATTCTCTTGTTCCACTTTGCAGCCCTCTGGTAGGATGACTTGGTAGCAAAGATCACGACCCTTACTGTTGGGAAGCACATACAGAAGTCATAGAGGAGTGTTACTTATCTTACTCAAGACATTGCCTATAGTGTGTCATTTGGGGAGCTCTCAGAGTAGAGATTAAGGGTGAAAACAGATAAATCATAAGGGAGTTTGTGCTAATATGCCGTATAGGCCCTTCTAGAAAACATTGTTTTGTTTTATTTTAACTCATAAAACTCTGTGAGCTATCATTATTCCCATTTTGCTGATTGGGAGCCGAAGCTTTTCATCAGAGAGGTTAAGTAACTGACCCAAGTTTACATAGCTCATTATAAGCTGGGTGTCAATCCCAGATCTGCCTATGCCCCTGTAGATGTGGAGAGGGTGAGGAAGGACTTGCTAGACAATGTATAGTAAATTCAACAAACTTTTGTTGGCTGAACCACTATGTTCAGTGCTGGATCAAATGAGATTCTTGCTTTCAAGGGAGAGGGATAGTATACTCGCTATGGGAATTCAAATTGGAAGGAAAATTACTTCTAGCAAGAAGGAACGATGGCATTTCTGGAGAGCCTAGAGGGGATAGGGGGAGTTATTCAAGAGGACATGTACAAAGACCTGCAGAGGAGCATGAGCAAAGATGGGGACACAGACTGGGATAGGTGGTAAAAATGGTTGGTTTGGTTGCAATTTTGAATTATTGAAAGGAAGTTATGGAAAAGATACGCAGAGCTTAGGGCTAGACTAAGGACATTTTGGCAGACTGAAACAGACTTTAAACTCTTGAGTGACTCTTGAAGTTTTTTTGAGCTAGGGAATGATTTGTTCAGATATGACCTTCAATAAATGTAGTCTCATAGCAGAGAGTTTGAAATTGAGAGAGTTCAGGGAGAAATGAAAATGCCACTGGCAATCGTCTAGGTGAGAATTATGAGAATCCAAATTAGGGCAGATGGGAGGCAGGGATAGGGAGGAGGGCACCTATTCAAAAGATGTTATGGAAATAGAATCAAGAGAATGTCTTGGCTGGGATGATAGGGGTAACATCATTAACAATGAATTTTAAGATTACCAGGAGTCTGGTGGTGCTTTGACGAAAATTAGCAATAATGCAGAAAGAGAAATTTTTTTAGAAGAGAAGATAATTAAATGCTGTTTTTAACATACATGTGGAGTTCAGGTGGGATATGGGTGGAGGCATCTGGAAATTCAGGAGTGGAGTCCAGGATAGAGATCGAAGGGCATAGATTATAGAATAGTGTATCGTGGGTATAGATTTAGGAGTCTTTTATTTTGAGGTCATTACTGGAAACATTAGATTGAAAGAGCTTGCCAAGGGAGAGAGGGTAGAAGAAAAGGGAAGAAGGCCAAAGACAACTCCTTGGGAAACACTTGAATCAGGGTGTGGGAAGAAGACCAAGTGCCGGAGGAGCAGGAGAACTGGGGCAGAACTCTGCCCCAGGAGCTGTGGGAGGAGAGGTTTTTCACAAAGAAATGAGAGATCAACACTGACATGCTGGAGAAAGATGCCCATGACTAGTGAGAAAGGGCCTTGACTTCTTTAAGTATTTTTGGAATCATTTCAGTAAGTTGTTGAAAGTGACTTTGGGTAAAGAAGCTCATCAGGAAACAGACATTTGGGGACTGCTAATAGGTGGTTTTTGGAGAGTGGTTAAAGCTTAGAAGTTGTACTGCATTTGACTGGAGTCTATTGGGTTTAAGAGACAGAAACCCAGCTGAGGCATAATAGAGGATTTATTGTTGCATGTAGATAGAACTAGACAGTCCAGAAGTGGAGTTGGCTTCATATGTTACTGGATCTCGAGGCTTAAAAGCTACAAGAGTTTTCTCATGCTTTCCATTTCTTAGCTTCAGTTGTCTCTACTTTTGTGTTCTGGCTTCATTCTTTCCTGTTGCAAATAGCCTGTCTCCATAGAGTGGGGAAATACACCTTTCAGTACATTGTTGCTTCTAGGCACCCAAAATAAATATCTAAAAGTGTTCCTCACTGCAAAACTCCTAGGGGGATCCTGATTGGCCAGACTGACCTCGTATGCCTGTCCTTGCACCATCACTCTGTTTGAGATGGTATGGTGCAACCTGGGTTTTGGACTCATCCTAATAGGACTGCTTAGAGTTGGGAATTCCCCAAAGGAAGCAGAAGAAAAGAGAAAGGAAGACCTGCTGGGCAGAAAGAAACCATAGTTATTCACTGGCCACTAGGATCTAGGGACTAGGCATACTGTGGGAAACATTTGTTTAATTGGGCCAGTCTGAAATGAACAAAGTATTATTGAAGAATCGTAAGCCCTCAGTTGGGCTTAGATAGTATAAATTTGTAGTGAAACCAACTAGATCTTTAATTTTGTCCCATAGTGCTTAGCAGCCCAGGAACGAAGGTGATGAAAGATGTGATGGACTCAAAATTTGGATTTGATAAATCAGGACTTCATAGGAGACTAGTAGAAATCAAACAGGAGAATCAAGTGGTTCAGTATTATAGTGTTTGGCATGGGGTTCCAAAAGTGTAGCGAGGCAAATGAAACCATGGTTTGCTGGCTCATTTATTTATTTTAATCAATACTGACTATTATTTGGCTAAATATAGTACTGACTGTAAGTAAATGAAAATGTATTTGATTTTCTACTAGCAGGATTCAATTTTCCAGCAAGAAAATAGGCTAAGTCATTCTTTCATACATTGACCACTCTTAGTCAAGCCATGCTTATTCAATACAATAAATATGTGCTTTAGTAGGACCTTTGACTTAGAATTTGTTCATCATTTTCCCCTGTTCACTACCTGTTAGTTTGGACTATATGCATACTTCAAAGATGATCATTTTAGAGATGCTAGAATATTTGTATCACAGATACATTCAGCTTTTTAAAAAAATCATAGTTATAAAAATGCTTAATATAAACTGGACTTTTAAAAAACAATTACAAAAATAAGTGGATACTGTTTTTTAAATCTTGAAGATGTATCATATTTGAAAGATATGGAGCCATTATCCTACTATGGAGAGATAACTATGGTTAATATTTTGTACATGTTTCCAAACTTTTCTCTGAGTATATGTATACAATTTCCTTTAAAAAATAGACTCCTACTATATTTACCACTTATGCTATATCTGCCTTATTATAATTTTACATATTAATACATCTAGTTTTTACCATCATTTAATAAATGCATAGTGCTTTATCATTTGGATGATTCACATTTTATGTAACAAGTCTCTTGCTTTGTGGTGGTGTTATGAACAGCAGTTTTAGAAACTTTCTGTTTTTTTGAGACAGGGTCTCACTCTATTGTCCAGGCTAGAATGCAGTGCAGCTCACTGCAACCTTGACCTCACGGGCTCAAGAGATCCTCCCACCTCAGCTTCCTGAGTAGCTGGCACATGCCACCATGCCCAGCTAATTTTTGTATTTTTTGTAGAGATGGGGTTGCCCTGGCTGGTCTCTAACTCCTGGGTTCAAGCAATCCTCCTGCCTTGGCCTCCCAAAGTATTGGGACTACAGGCATGAGCCATCGCACCCAGCTGTGGAACATTCTTATCCTATCTAGTCTTTGTTTATTGGATGTACTGTCTTTAATTGTGCTGCTTTTATTACAGTGTGGCTTGCCAAATTTAGCTCTTTTCCTAAATTCTTACATTACAATTAGATTTAGCTGTTTATAAGGGAAAACTCCAAGTAACAGTGTCTTTAAACACATCAGGCTTTATTTTATTTACCTGAATATGAAATCTGCAGCCTGGTGACCTGGAGCTGCTATGATGCATCACAAAGTTAGCAGAGACGTAGGCCCTGACATTCTGCTCTGTAGTTGTTTGTGTATTTGCTTCTACGTCAAGATCACTAGATGACTGTGTACTGGAGCTGCAGCCATCAAAACCCTATCCTCAGCAGTAGATAGGATGAAGTAGGGAATAAAGAGGGGCATAGTTCCCAGTAGCCAGCTTTCTTTAAGAAGGCATCTTGAGCATACCGCACAATGCTTCTATTCACATCTCACTGGCTAGAACTTAGTCACATGGCCAAACGGCAGGGGATGCTGGGAAACAGGACCTTTGAGCTGGGTATATTGTTGCCTGGACTAAAATCTTTTCTTACTTTATTACTAGGTAAGAAAAGAAGAGTAGTTATCATTTAGGCAGTTAAGGTGCTTTTGGCAGCAAGTGACAAAACTCAATTAAAAGTAACTTTTAAACAGTAAGGAAGTATATTATCTTACATGACAAGGTGGTAGAACTATTCCAGGGCTGATTTATGGAGTTGCTCAGCCACGTCGTCAAGAACCCAGGGTATCTCCTTACTTTCTAGTGTGCTCTTCCCCAGGAGGGTCTGTACCATCCTGTTATCACTCCACATAGAATATTCAGACAGGAAAGCACCTAGAAGGAGAAAAGGGTCATCCTTCTAATGCGTTCTCATTTAGGAGTAGAGCTGTCTTTCTCAGAAATCCCTAGTAAACTTCCTCTCACTTCATTAACCAGAGCTGGGGTCACAGGTCTATCCCTAAACCAATTACTGGAATGGGACCAGCAGGAAGGGTTAAGGCCAGTTGGTATTTACTCATGGAGCTGAGTCATGTGGACGGGAGGATATTTGAACAAATATAGGCTCTGCCAGGAAGGCGTGAATGGGTGTTAGGTGGGCAACCAACAGGGTCTGTCTGCCAGAGTACCTCTCTATATTCACATTTTACCCATTTTTATAGAGCCATTTTGAGCCCTTTCTGCCATATGAAGCCTTCTCTGATCTTCCTTTTCCAAGCCCCTCTTGCACTCTCTACTTCTCACCACTTAGCAGCGTATTGCATGCCTTGTTATTTCGTGCTTCAAGTGTGTCAGTGTGTACTTATCCCCTCAACTCTATTGACTTTTCTCTAAGGAAGGGCAGGGCCTGTTGTCACACTTCTATATGACCTTGGTGACAGTTACCACATTCTTGAACTTGAAATTGAGGGAGGGGTTAAGACAAAGGATTTCTTCTCATTTTGAATTGATTGATGTAAGAAACCTTATCAGTCTATATAAAAACGGAATTCTGTTGAAGTTTGTGATTAATGAACTGTCCTTATTTAAAAGAAATGAAATGAGAAATGTCCTGGGAAAACTCAATACCTCCTTTGCCATGCTTAGGGTACTTAGCCTGTAGTAAAAACTCAATAAATATTTGTTGGTTGACGTTAGCTGTATTTTTTTTTTAAAGCTGGAACATATTATTTCCTCACATGGGTGGATATTGCATGTGTTTATTGCCAGAGGGTAAATGACTAGGTTGTCAGGATAACTTTGCTCAGGAAGTATAACTGTTGCCTGGGTTTTTACTGATTTACCTCTAAAATAAAGTATTCCATGGGTTCCTGTAAGAAGTGGGAGACGCAAAGGCCAATTCGGTGCAGGTGGAACTTAAAGTTTCCGTGAATTGAATATAAAGCTCTTTAGTAGGTAGAAGAGTTCTAGATGGCCTATAAACCAAGTTTTAGCAGAAACGTACTTATTTTTTGTTAAGCATTACTGCTTTCATTGTTGTGCATTTAAATGGAAATATATAATATGAAATATGTGTGAAATAACTTCTCCCTTCTCAGCAAATGAAAGCTATTCTAAAACCTTGAGAATTTCCATAATAAGGGTTTCTTAATTCATGTATATTCTTAAAACATATAAAATTTTTACATATACTTTCATAAGAGTTATATGAAGATGCAAAAGTCTTCCCTAGTATGTGAAGAAATGGGGTAGTACATCATTAGTTGATATAGGACTGTTCTGATGTGCTTTCTTAGATGAGGTTTATACTGATAGCAACAGTGTCGAAGCAGAACTATAAAGGATGCTATTAGTTGTTAGCCCTCTTTATTCACTAAGAAAGTAACCATATCCTCCGGTCCTCTTGAAGTCAACGGTAGAAAATAACACAAAACAGGCCAGGCGCGGTGGCTCACACCTGTAATCCCAGCACTTTGGGAGGCCAAGGTGGGTGGATCATTTGAGGTCAGGAGACCAGCCTGGCCAACATGGTGAAACTCCGTCTCTACTAAAAATACAAAAATTAGCTAGGCATAGTGGCGGGCGCCTGTAATCCCAGCTACTCAAGAGGCTGAGGCAAGGGAATCGCTTGAACCTGGGAGGTAGAGGTTGCAGTCAGCCGAGATTGCACCACTGCACTCCAGCCTGGGCGACAGAGTGAGACTCCTTCTCAAAAAAAAAAAAAGGAAAAGAAAATAACACAAAACAACACTTTTTTGTTTCTAGGATTTACATTAGTTTATTTACATTGTTTTATTCCTGGGATTTACATTATTTAGGTGCTGTAGGTCTTTGGAGAAGGCACGTAGGAAACAGGCTCACATTCCTTATCTGTTAAAAAAGAAAAACAAAAAAAGCAGGAGGAGTAGGGGGCGATAAGCTTGCTTGACCCATGACACAGGGTGGTTTTGAGGGCCAGTAGGTTGAGTACCCCTTATTTGAAATACTTGGGACCATAAGTGTTTTGTATTTCAGATTTTTTCAGATTTTAGAATATTTACATCGCTTGAGCATCCTAAATCTGAATATCTGAAATTCAAAATACCCAATGAACATTTCCTTTGAGTGTCATGCATGTCAACACTCAAAAAGCTTCAAATTTTGGAGCATTTCAGATTTCACATTTTCAGATTAGGGATGCTCAACCTGTATAATAATAGGATGACGAAAATGAGAAGTACTACACAAATGATAGTTTTTTATTACATATATTGATACCAAATGCCCCTACATGGGAACCAGTGTACCTCTTTCAGTTTTTATTTCTCACAGGAGCCAACATAGTTCTGAACACATAGTCAGCCCTTGACATATTAATAAATATATGGCTCAGGACTTTAAGAAGTATGTATTTTGCTTTTTAAAACAGTTGCCAGCCGGGTGCGGTGGCTCATGCCTGTAATCCCAGCACTTTGGGAGGCCGAGGCAGGTGGATCACCTGAGGTCAGGAGTTTGAGAGCAGCCTGGCCAACGTGGTGAAACCTGTCTCTACTAAAAGTACAAAAATTAGCTGGGCATGGTGGTGGGCGCCTGTAATCTCAGCTACTCCAAAGGCTGAGGCAGGAGAATTGCTTGAACCCAGGAGGCTGAGGTTGCAGTGAGCAGAGATCACGCCACTGCACTCCAGCCTGGGAGACAGTGCGAGACTCCACTCCATCTCAAAAAGAAAAAAAAAAAAAAGTAGTTGCCAAAATTTTGGAGCTTGCTGATTTCAAATTACATTTAATAAAAGAATGTCACTCACATCCTGTTAAATGCCTTAGTTCAGTTTTGAACTAGAAATGCTTTCTCTGGAGGCAGTATCATGGGCTGGTGGTTGTGCCTAGTGTTCTTTACACATATGCGGCACTGTGGTGATCCATCCATTTGAGGGAATAGAATGGCATCCCAGGAGAAGCAGCCTGGCTGTGTTTGGGTACCACCTGTGATACTTCCTATGTGTGTCTTCAAAAGTAGGTATAGAAAGAAACAAGGAGGGCCAGGCCTGGTGACTCAGACTCACACCTGTAATCCCAGGACTTTGGCAGGCTGAGGGGGGTGGATCACCTGAGGTCAGGAGTTTGAGACCAGCCTGACCAACTTGGTGAAACCCCAGTCTCTACTGAAAATACAGAATTAGCCGAGTGTGGTGGTACATGGCTGTAATCCCAGCTACTTGGGAGGCTGAGGCAGGAGGAGAAATCGCTTGAACCTGGGAGGCGGCAGTTGCAGTGAGCCAAGATCCTGCCATTGCACTCCAGCCTGGGCAACAAGAATGAAACTCCGTCTCAAAAAAGAGAAAGAGAGAGAGAGAGAAAGAGGAAGAGGAGAAAACATTGCTGAGGGGTAGATAAATGTTGGTCAGAAGGGAATGGTGGTGCTCGAAGTACTTTTCAGGCAGGACTTGACGGGAGCCCAATGCCAGGCCATCTGGTAACCACCTCTGCAAAGGGAAGGTAGGAACATGAGTGAATGGGAGGCTGTGGTCACTGTCTTCTGGCTTTATTATCTAGTCTTCAACCTCTCCATAAGGGGAAAGGGAAATTGCCATTAGTAAGAAAGCACTCTATTATTTGTGTGCACAGTTGCTGTAGTCTCCCTCTGCTTTTTCTGCCCGACGTCTCCTCGCAACAGCTGCTGAAAGCCACTGAATCCTCATGTGCCCTCCCTGCTGCTCAGTCCATATGTCTAATCAGTGTATATATGGTATTTCTTACTCCACTAATTCTTGGCTAGAATTCCAGCCAAAAGGCTACAATGAAATTTCTGTAATAGACCACAAGAAACCTAAGTCCCATCATTTCTCAGAGAAATAACACCAATTGGTAAATTCTCTATTTCACACTTGCCTCTCTTGTTTTTTAAGCTGCTTCCTAAGTGAAGAAACTCTAGTGTCGCTCAGTGCATTTCATGAAGGAGTTAACTTTGGCCCAGATTACCATCTGACATGTGGCCTAGTCCTTCACACACACCCTTGACCAGTGCCCCATATTTAAGACAGCGCAGTTCCTGCATTTTCCCCCTGCTGGAAGGGAGAGCAGATAGGAAATTTCAGGTCATATATGCATTAAGAGTCAAGGATATTATTGAAAATTCTTGCTTTCCAAAAAGCTTTCCCTGGAAGGAGCCCCTAATGTCAATCCATGGTCTTTATGAATAATAAATGCACACAAAAGAGATTCATAGAGACATTGCACACTGAGCCACTTGTATGCCGCTTCCTGGAATGGTTCCAAATCCAGTGGGAAAGCGGAAATCTAGAGGATTACTTTTTGCTTCTCCTCTGCCCTTTCTCTTTCTCTCCATTCTCTGTCTTTGCTCTCTTTGCTTCTGGGGCTGTTGTAGCAAACAGAGTAAGTGGGAGTTGCCTTGAGGTAAACGGTGTCCCCTTTGAAATCCTGCTAGACTTGTTTTAATTCTGTGTGATCATGTGCACAACACAGCGTGTGTTGAGATACTACTGTGGACCAGTGGACTGATGTTCCCATGTTTAGAGTTCCTCCCCACCTTTCCTTAAGAAAATATGCTTCCAGCATATGTCGAGAAATAAAATGTTTGCCCTGGCATTCGACACTTTAGCCACGTAGTTCTTTCCTGTTAGGAGAGTGAGGGAGTAGAAATGAAATAAGAAAAGTTGCAGAAAAGGGAAAATAATCAGGAAGCTTTCTCACCCTTTTAGTAGTAATATTAGCTTTGCAAATCCAGAGTCTTACAATGGGGCTTAGCGGAGACATTATAGCAAATACCAAGTGTCTTGTCTTTGTAAGGGGTCATACAAGGGAATATAGAATAAAGATGACCTAGTCCCTGCTCATGAGGGACATATAAGATCATTGAAGAAGATCAGAGCAGTACAAAGGAACTAAAGGCAGAATAAGATGCACCCAATGGGATAGCTTTGTCTAAGGTACCCGTGGAATCAAAGGAAGGTGATATCATGAGTTCATACCGGTGGTAGCGTACCCTACTTGGACAACTTGAACAAGGCTTCAGTTTGTAGAGGGCAGAGTTGTGGGTATTTCAAGTGAAGGAGATGGTGTGAGCCAAGAGTCAGAGGTGGCAATGCATGGTGTGTTTGGATGTAATAACGGTGCTTAGTTGCACCAGGGGAAAAGAGAGCCTTTGGGAAAATGCTTAGAATTGTGCTTTTTCAGATTAAGTGGTTTGAGACAGGAATCCTGTGGAAGTTCATGGCAGTAGTCCAGGAGGAAAAAAAATCAGGTGATAACAGGAAGAGTCAAAGAGTGGATGGGTTGAAACCTTGCAGAGAGACACTCTCGTGGTCTTTGGAAACAGAACACGGAGGGGAAAGAACTGATGCCTGGGACTCTCCACCTTCACAAACAGAAAACCATACCACTTTCACTCTTATTTTTTCACCCTAATTATCTTTTTCCTTTAGTATTTCACAGCCACTGGAAAATAGTAAAAGAATATTGTTTGTGGGACAAAAAGAAAAATATAAATAACAAGATTTAGTCAATGAAAAAGGTTTTCTGAGGGCAGCCAATAGGTCCTGAAGTAGTGAGAAGCTACGAAAACTGTTGGCTATAGCACAGAAGTGCAAACCCAGGCATGGAATGGGAAGTGGCTGGTCTTTGCTAATAGAGGGCCAAATTCCTGCTCAGGATCAGCCACCTCTTTTTCCTCCGGAGTTGCCTAAAAAAATAAAAAAAATAATAATAAAAAACAAACAACAGAGAATGGTATGTATCCTTAACTAAGTCTCACTGAGTTTAGGGCATGCCCTACCTTTGGGCACTCAGGGAATCCCATTCTCAGCCCCTCTTGCTGGTCATCTTTGGCTATGGGAAGGATGGCACTGTAGGTCTGTTAGGAACTTCTCCGTAACTGCAGTTCTGGGCTCCTAATGCATAGTCTCTCCTTACTAGCTTTATTCTGCTAGGTGACATCTATTGATACTCAGACAAGGCTGTTAACTTGCTCAAGTCCACTCTGCCCCACCTTTTCTGTGAATTATTTCCTAATCTTTTGGTGACTACCAGAGGCATCACAATACAGGTAGAAGTGGATAAGTATTTCAGCCAGCCGGGCAAGAGAACTGGAATGCTGGCTCCTTCATGTACAAGCAGTGTGACTTATGCCAAGTCACCTAACCACTCAGGGACTCAGAAAAGCAGGGCAGTTGTCTTGAGATGATTAAAATGAAAGAATGTTTGTGTACCAGCTATCAGTATCACAGTGTCTGCAACTACTGTAGGCGTATAGTTTTTTTCTTCCAAAGAATTTGGGATTTTTTTCCTAACCTTGCTATTTATTTACTTTGCTCTTTTCTGAATCTGAGCTTTTAGACATGAAGCATCCCCAAGGTTTACTATAAGAAATACTAGCTCATAAAATAAGCAACATGTGAAGAGCTTCTGGCGGGTGCAATTACTGGAGCTGCAGAGCTTTTACCACGCTGCTGTGCTTGTTACTCATTAACACAGCAGCTCCGTAAACTTACGTAGATACATTCCTGAAGGCTCCACAGGATATGTTTACTCTACTAACAAACTAAGTAATCAAAGTAGAGTGTCCTCTTGGACAGCATTATCACTGTCCACCACATACTAGTAGTGTTTATTTCTCCAGATCGTTGGCTTGTATTTCAGGATAAGCCTCATGCAGAGCTCATTTTGTCATTTATATTAAAGATAAATAGAGGAGAAAGAGAATGCTTTTTGAAGTTAGGTGACTTTAGTTTTCTCATGGTTTATAAAACGGGCAGAGATTTGGGAAAAGGAAGCAAATATTTTGGCTAATGTGGTCAAACACTCTTTTCTGTTGACAAGTTAAGATAATCAGGTGTTCTGCATTTTGCCACTTTGTTACTTTATAAAATACTTTTTTTTTTTTATGAGCCCAGCACAATAGGCTGAACTCAAGGAAAGCCCATAGATACAAGGACATTCACAACTAATATTAGAGACAAAAGAATAATAAGAATCCTGTAACAGCCTTACTCTGTTTATAGTGTTTCTTTTTTGGAGGACTCTAGCTTTTTAACACTTGGAAGAGCAGTCACAGGGCTATCTGAGGCCCTGGGGAAAGATGGCTACTGCCTCTTATGGCTTTTATGGTGCAATTTGATCTTTTAAAATGTGACCTTTTAAGCACTTTGCATTACAGCTGTGAGCATTATCAGTTGAATTTAATGGGTGAGACCGGGGTCCCTTTGAGATTGCTTGTACCAAGCTTGCACTAAGGTAGACTTTGGGATGCTATGGCATCGGAATGGTGAGCATTTTCAAGGAGGAGCTTCTGAGAAAGCAGTTTCTGTTTCATGAATTGGCATGTTGGTGGGTGGTAACAGAAGTTTGAGATGCACATCCTGTTCTTGAAGGCATTTGTACTTGGCCCACAAGACTAATGTACAAGAAACAACCAGTAGACGGTAGCTTGTGACCCAAGTTTATGAGCTCCGAGTGTTCAAGCATAGGGCACATTTATAAGAACTGAAGCTTTCAAGAGGAGCAGCATTGCAGTTGGGTGTTTAAGGGGGTACAAATGAGGTTGCTAGGTGAAACATTTAAAAGATGTAGTGCTTTGGGAGGCCAAGGCAGGCGGATCATTTGAGGTCAGGAATTCGAAACCAGCCTGGCCAACATGGTGAAACCCCGTCTCTACTAAAAATACAAAAATTAGCTGGGCGTGGTGGTGGGCGTTTGTAATCCCAGCTACTCTGGAGGCTGAGGTAGGAGAATTGCTTGAATCCAGGAGGCAGAGATTGCAGTGAGCTGAGATTGCACCACTGCACTCCAGCCTGGGCGACAGAGTGAGACTCCGTCTCAAAAAATAAATAAATAAAATAAATAAGTAAGTAAAAAATGTAGTGATAAAGCTGGCTAGTCTAGAACCAAGAGGATTTGCTAAAGAGAAATATTTTAAAATGGAAGCAACTGAAGAGGCCTTAAAACCATCTTCTTCGGTCTCTTGTTTTACTTCTGGTGAGCCCTGGGAGGTGAAGGCTACAAGGCTGACAGCACAAAGCAAGCTGTTGTGAGCCTGGGTTATGGGGAAACCTTGAAAGGCAATGCAGTGTAGAATTTAGGTACTTGGATGCCTTGTAAGAAACAAAGTGTATGGTGGGAGGACTTTTTAGGAAGAATTTAGTTTAGGAGCATGAACTGTGCTACTTGGTGGTATCGCCTGAGAATCCGGCATTGTTATTCTTGCCATTGAAGAAATAATTCTTCATACTTACCCCTTTGGTTTCTGGGTCTTTTGGCTGTTTGCTTTTCTGTCCCCTTCCCGCGCCCCCCCCCCCCCCCAATCTTCAGTGCAATCGCCTCTGTGTTAATGCTAGGTAAGGATTACACTTCCCAGGGCAATTTGCATTTTATTAGTAACTGGAACACCACTTCAAGAGAAAATAATGCATCTAAAAGTAGAGCTTCAGGCCACAGTGACTTCACATTTTAAGGCTGGTAAAGTGTCTTTCTTGTATCCCTAAAATCAGGATATACAAGTAGAACAGATTAGAAGTGGGGGAACCTAAAGATGTTGTGTGTCTGGCACTTAGTAGGTACTCATTTTTAAATTAATGAATGAATTAATGAATAAGGCTTAGGGATGCAGAGTTTTTAGGGAGGGAATAGGAAGAATAGTGGAAATACATACCTTTTAAAGGAGGGATTATAAATGTTAAGTTTTATATATTTTTTAAATTAAAAAATTTAATTATAAATTTTAACAGAGGAATTTTAAAGGAGGACTTGGTGACTATGTGGTCCTGAGACATGTGTAGAAGAGAGCATTAAAATATATATATACATAGTTACAGAATCTAGCTGTTTAGGAGAGTATCCCTGACAGAACCAGGACCCAGGAGAGTCCTGTGTTTGATCATATGAACACACAATCATCATTTTTGAGTACACATTTGAAAACCTTCCTTCACTTCACCTGTCTACAAGTTAACTTATGTGAATCACTGCCCTGCATCCTGATTCTTCTCCCTAATATCCTCTGTTCAAGTTTTTCTTCTATTTCTCTATGCCCAGGGAAATAGGAGGAAAAGTAGGGCTCAGTATGAATTGGGTGCTCAGATTTCTTACAAAAGGATCCAAAGAATTCTTATCCTTTCCTTATTCTACTTTTATCTCCACTTGAATTTGTCATGTCAAAATTTCTTTAGGAAAACCTCTTTACTTCAGAAAAAAATATATAGGCCATTGTTTGGAAAGTTATGCTTTCAATGACTCACACTTTTTGCCTCTCTTTTGCACTGGATATGCTGCCCTTGGTTATGCAGAGATAACAGGCTGACTTTCCTCCCAAAAGCATTCTTCCTTGACAGACTGGTTTGCTCTAATCTGTATAAACACTCTTGCCTGCTGACCAGTAGTCTTGTATTTATGAGGCCCTTAGAAAACACTGCAAGCTGCAGAGTGACCATGAATAGCAAACTTAATTTGGTTTAATGTGTTTTGGCTTGCTTGACCTCACCAGAATAAAAATGTGCCTGCTTAAATTATTGTATTGGGACTTAAAAAAAAATTCTAGAGACATTTATCTCATTGGAAGATTCACAGGATCATTTTAGCAAGGGTTTAAGTCCACGTTTAATGTCAGATAGACTTGAGAAATGTTTAACATAGAGTTTTAATCACAGATTAGGTTTTTGTAAGTTCTGAATTTTAAGTCTGAATTACTATTTTTTTCTTGCTACTTTTTTTTTTTTTTTCTCTAGACAATTGGCGGGCAACGACCTTTCTTTTATCCACCCAAAGGCCTTGTCTGGGTTGAAAGAACTCAAAGTTCTGTAAGTAATGCAATTTTAGAGTTTCACAGCTGGCTGTGTATTTTCTTTCTGCGTAGTCAACATGCTTGGAACTAGGTTAAGCACAGTTTCTTTTAGTTCAGGATTAAAAGATTTAAGGAGTGGCCAGTGAGTAGTATGAGAGGCCAGAGTTTGATTTAGGCAACCCTGCATCTAGATTAACAAAAGTTAAAACTCTAAATAATACGTATTCTGACCTCCAGTATATTACGGTTGAATGTTAGGCTTTTTGGGTGCCTAATGCATTGGAGCAAACCCTTACTTCAGTTTTACTGGTAGGGTTTTGTTTCTACTTATTTTATAGCTATAAGAACTTTGAATTACCTGACTCTAAAAGGGAAAAAGGCTTACAAGTGCTCCAAATGTTAAAATAATTTTAGAGCTCAAGGGAATTCAGATGCCTACAATTTGTATAGCCAGCGAATGGTGAGGAAATAAATTCTTGGCAGTGGTCAGGAGCCTGGAGTATGGCAGATTAGGAAACAGGTGAACTGACTGCCCCCACTTCTGCCACTACCATGCTGGATGACCTTCAGAAGGTCATTAGACCTCTCTGGTTCAGTGAGCTAGGTGGGACCTTTATCTCTTCTATTCTGTGGTTATGACTCACGTCAGGCAGTCATTTTATTAATGTGACAGGAATGGCTTCAGGCAAAAAAATCAAAAGAATTTCATTTTCAGTATGGATCTATGCATCTATTTGGCAGGCCCTAACTAGTAGATGATCAAAGCTCTATTTCTCTTCTGGCCCCACATGCATTGAGGACATGCCTGCTGTTCCTTAAGAGCTTGGGATCTGCCATCCGCTTGAAAAAATTGGCTTTACCTAATGTCCATGTTTCCGGGCTCTGCTTTATTCCAATTTGAAAAGGCATTAGGAATTCCAACGGATTTGCTTATTATACCTCCCAGTTAACTTGTTATAGCTCCTAATTAACATTAACTAATAGCACCCAGGGTGATGAACATTAACTAGTGTGCCTTAATTACCAGAAACAAAACCACCCTTGGAAACATGGATTACCCAGCAAGTCTGTATTAGGGCATGGCTTGGGATAGCAGTATAGATTTCCTTTCTGGCTTTACAACAAGTGCTTCTTGAAGTTTTGCAATTCTCTTGTCTTAGATGCTTTCCACCTCCACCTCCCCCCCATTTTCCCATTGGAAATATTTTTTGAAAAAAAAAAAAAAAAGGCTCTGAATTTTTCTAAGAAAAAATGGTAACTATCACTTGTTACTCACTAACCAAAAATTTTCTTTCAGAACGCTCCAGAATAATCAGTTGAAAACAGTACCCAGTGAAGCCATTCGAGGGCTGAGTGCTTTGCAGTCTTTGTAAGTAACTTCTTGGTTTCTTGACTCACCAAGAGACTACTCTGGCTGTTAAAGATGTAAATAACTAGAATTGTAAGGAAAGAGGAGATTTATCCTTTCATCTGAGATAAAAACAGAGATAGCTAGTCAATGTTATCAAAACGTCCTTTGGTGAGGGAGAAGGAGGTGGTTCTGTTTACCTCTTCTCTTGTCTTAGAGGCTGAGAGAAAGCTACTGGGTATTCACTGCTGGGTGTACTTCCATGAACTTGTGCACTGCTGGTGATCAGCATCCCTTTGGAACCAGTTATGTGTGTACAGAAGTTTTAGTGTCTTGTGCCTTGACTGTCAAGAAACAGCCACAAAGAGGTTTCTGTTTCGTGTGGTAATGATAATCAGAACAAATCGATTGTAATTCCTCAATTTTGTCAAGGGAACTTCTCGGAAAAAATGAAAAAGTATTCTTCAAAACAAGGAACTTCATTAGCTTCTACTAGAATAATGAATACAAATTTGCATTGCCTCACTTCATGTCCTAAATACCAAATGCAATGGGACTCTGGGGCATAGTTTCTCTAAGTGTGGTACTTTGACCACACTTTGCAACAGACTCACTAGGGGGAGACTGCTAAAATGCAGAACCCTAGGCTATATCCTAGAAGTAATGCTGGTTTTCTTTTTAAAGGTAGAATTCAGAAGTCTAATTTTAAATAACAAATAATCTCCCCAGAAGCACTCTGAATAAAAAATGTTAATAGTTATCACCCTTATGTGTGCTGGTATAAAATTGTGTTTTAGCGACATCACATATTTGCATACAATTTGTCTCTTAGGTTTTGTATTATACTTTGAAATAACTGCAAATAGTAGGAAATGCACGCAAGTTAGAAAATACAGCGTGAAAATGATTGAGCTGCTTGTCCCATCAGTTTGCTAACATAAAGCCATTTTTAACGGCACCAAAGAGACATCCCTGGAAATTATAAATTATAGGTTACCATTTGATTTTAGATTAGATATTCTAGTAGTTAATGAGCAATGAATGTGAAAATAAAAATATATGCTGTAAAGTTAAACTTTAAACTGTATCTAACCCATAAACAAGGAATATCCACGGTGTTGGCCATTCAATTCTTAGTTGAAATGAAAGTTTAATTTAAGGTGGTTGTATTAAGTAGCTTCCTTCACTAAAATGGTAAGTTATGGAACATAAGGATTTGTTTTTCACCACAGCTAATTGGGTATGTTCTAGGTAGACTCTTAAAATGAATCAATGGGAATGAGTTCCCTTATAGAAATGTTATTCGGCTGACTTCACACACTCTCTCACCTCGGGTGGATATACACAGGACAAGTCATCTGACCTCTCTTGGACCTGAATTCATCAGGCATTTTAAATAGTCATGTTTTCTTTTGCTTCTTAAGAATATATTTTACTTCAAGACCTTCATATTGAATTGTCATTTTGTAAGATTTAATAATCAAAATACTCAATTATTTTGTCTAGTTTAAAGGGTAATAAAGAGAAGACTAAAATCTCATTTTCAACTGTAGAACAGAAAAATTACCAAAAAAATACAAATATTCTCTCTAATTTGTGGTCAATAAGTACATTAAAGTACGAGACATTTATTGGTAATGTAGATGATTTAAAGTGATGTTTTTCACAGAAATCATAGGTTTCTCTTTCATGTTTTAGAAAAGCATACTGTGCTTATCATTCATGGAGCAAATTGCTTAGTTTAAATTATCTCCAAAATTGGGATGAGTGTATGGAGTGGAGGTAAAACAAACTTTTTTTTAAAGGCTTTGGGATGTTTTCATATACATCAGAAACACAAAGAGCTGCTCTGTGTCAGGCCTGTTTTCTTTAAGGAGGAAATGTTCATACGTTTGTTAGTAGAGTGGGTGCAGTGGTGAAGTTAGATAGAGTTAAAGTTCTCTCATGGTGTAAAACAGTCTTATCAGCACTTGAGTCATTTTGAAAATCTGTTCTTCAGATCTGAATTACATGAAAGATTTCATTGTGGTTTTGAATAGTGCTTAAAAGAAGCAAAGTTCATTAGGGATTGAAATTGACCAGAAGTGGTTTGATGCAAGTGTATGTTTGATAATGACTATAAAATCTGAAAGCCAATTGTTGATACTAATAAAAAGGTAGCATAATTGCCTCCCATAAAGTTAAAATAACTAAAACATTACCTCAGCAGGGTATTAAAATGACATGTCATAATTATCTCCATTAGAAATTTTTTAACATCAGATTACATTTTTATTGACTATTAAAAGATCTCAAAGATTAACTTTCCTAGGTTTTTCTCAGTTTTAAAATATGTTTATAACACTTACATTATTGGTAAGTTAGAACAGAGAGAAAGGAGATCTTTTGATTATACAGGTGTTTATTGATAACAAAGACTTTCAACAGTTAAATATCTGCATTTAATATTATTTTGTTACTGTAGTTTGTTTAAACAAGAAATTTAAAAATACATGAGTTTCAGTCAATTGTAAAATAGGCTTTTGAGAATAGAAAATAGAAGCATGTCTTCCAGACAAAAATAACAAAGAAATTGAGTGAATAAATATGTTATTCACCGTTTAACAAGAAAACTGCGATTAACAAAGCAATAGTTTAATCTCTTACCACATGGAGTTTAAATAGAAAAATACCTTGAATAAACCCTCATATTCTTTCTACTTTGTGAGATAGCTGATGCTTTTCAGCATCTACTTAAAGAATTATAGTATTTTCTTCATCTGTTATTTGGGGTGAATACTAATAGAATAGATCATTGTTACAAAGCCACACTGAGACAGTGCTCTGAAGCACTGGTCTCAGTATAAGTACATACTCTTTACTCTTATGGGTGCCTCACCACACCCACATGTGAATTGAGAGATAAGGATTAACCATTTGAGTCATCACAAATCGTTTTTCTCATTTAACCTCTTATTTAAGAGTTTCATTTTTCCATAGTTCTTTTTAATCCCTACTTATATGTGACTTCACAATTTTTTGGAAATTTTTAGTACGGAGGAAATTGTATCCATGCTTTTATTGTTGTATTATGCTATTTTGTATAGAAGATAGCTTTATTACTGTCTTAGCTCAAAACTCACCTAGTTTTCTAGCAGTAAGTTAAGGCTATCTTTTTTCCTTGATGACACAGAATTCACAAGAGTTTAACGGTTGTATACAGTACTGAATTTATATTAAAAAGGCACTGACCACTTTCCTTGTTATACTATTTTCTGTATCAGTGGAGGCATTGTAGGTATTTGGAGGTGCATTACATACTATTTTATTGAATATGAATATACATCATCAGCATGATAAAATAAACAATTTAAACTTTTCAGCTGCAGTAACACTAAGGAACTTCAATTTGTAATGAAAATACAACCCAAACCCCCTACCTGGCCTATAGGGACTTAAGGAATGTGGACCCTGTTTGCATCCCCTGCCACATGTGTGTCCCTGGTCCCTCTACTCCCCTCCTCCTGTGTTTTAATCACTCTTAACCTTCTGGGAGTTGCTGGATCATACTAAGTTGGTTTCTGCTACTGGGTCTCTGACGTGGCTCTTTCCTTTGCCTAAAACACTCCTTGCCCAGCTCCTACTTTGACTCATTCTTGCATTTTCTTTAGGTCTCACTTTAAATGTCACCTTAGAAATACTTTTCTTGACCAAATGCGTTTTGAGTAACTACCCTCCTCCTCAGAGTCCCTCAGTCTTTAACCTCAGTGCCCTGTTTATCTATTCCAGAGGTAGTTTTTAGAGTATTTGTTATCATTTTGTAACGTGTTTATTGTGTTGTATGTTACCTCCGCCACTGGAATGTCAGTCTCTTGAGGACAGGCCTCATGCCTGTTGTGTTAACTATTTTATCCTTTGTACCTAACAAGATGCTCAATTTAACTGCGTTGAGTGAATTGCAGGTAATTATCTACAAGTATAATTTAGCTACATTAATATTTATTTATATAATATGCTTAATTGTATGATTATGTATTTAAGTCTTTTTCTTCCTAAGAATGGAAAAGTTCCATGAGGGGTGTGTGTGCGTGTGCGCATGTGTGTGTGCACACATGTTTGAACACAGTTCTATCTGCTCATTAAAGCAAATCTCCTAAACAGCTCTGTAGGCAGTACTTTGCCGCTCTGTAGCCAGTACTTGGCCAGTCTGTTATGTAAAAGTTGCCTGTCTCAGGGCAAGTTCTAAAAGCCCCCAAAATAAACAAGTCTAAAAATGTGTGTTTCTAGGTAGATTCTTAAGGCAGCCGCTCAATATCCTAAGCTCTCCCTTTTTAAGTGTTCTTTCAGTTATCTTGACTCTATTAGAAAGAAAGCTTCCATCAGATACTCACCAGGACCAATGATCTTTAAACCCTGCTAATCTGTCATTAGGAAGGGAAAATGCATCTGGGGCTGGGAGCAGTTAATTGGGACCAGGGGCCCAGAACTTGACTGTGGTGGAAAGGGACAATTATGGCAGGAACTGAAGTTGGAACAGCGCAAGGAAACAGGAGGCACAAAAACCACTCTAAAACTCAGAATTTCCTGAACCTGAAAGTTGTCAAACTATTTCTTTAAAAAGATGCAGGCATTTTGAATTTTTAACCAGTTTTTTTCTGTTCTGTAATTTTCACAAAGAAGTCCAAGGCTGTGAGGCATGAATGTAAGTAATGAAGATACATCAACAAGGGATTTGTGAGGAAAGCTGTGATTTGCCTGGCACGTAGTGTCCCTCATCATATTAATACCAGATTGTCTTTGTGTTGAAAAGCAATTATTCCAACAATTACATCTTGTTGTGCCAACAATAATACGTAGGACTTAGTTTCCTGATTTTCAGATGGGGACTTAATTTTAAATATAAGTAATCCTATTAGTAAGGTGTTCTTAATTCCAAAATTTTTGGAAAAATTGAAGAACCTTTAAAGCCACAGTAACATTGATTCCAGGAGCTGCTTGGTTTTTCCAACAGATAATTTGACCTTAATAACTGTTAATTTTGGTATACTGATTTTTCAAAAGCACTTAACTGCTAAGAGAAGAAGAAAAAGTTGCTTTGCCTGTACATGACACTTATATTTTTAACTTGCCTAGAGGTAATAAGGATGATTGAAAATCTATTTAGATTCTTTATTGCTATACAAAAATTTTAAGTATTTTCTAATATTTCTCTTTGGTACAGAATCAGAGTAGCAACTAAATTTAATGTCTAATGTTAGTTATAATGTAACATTGGAAGCAAAGTAGCCTATTTGGTCAGTTTAGTTTCTTTTTTTTTTTTGTATGCCTGATAATTATGCTCTAAAACATAATTTCAATATGAACTTTGCAAGTGTTTTTAAAAAATATATCTTTCTGCTATAAAGTTACTTCTTAGCCAAAAGCCAAAGATAGTTGAAGAATATAGATTTGGATACATGCCATTCTTATGAAGAAAGAGAAAGAACTGACTTTCATACACTATACAGATCATGAAAAAGTTATTAGATGTTATGAGGACTTCTAGTAAAATTAAAGATGATAATTTTTATAAGTCCTTTTTGTTTTGAAAGCTTTGAGTTGTGAGACTTGAACTGACTCATTTCACTAGAATTTGTTACTGAACATGGTTGTTTTTGTTTCTGTTAGGCGTTTAGATGCCAACCATATTACCTCAGTCCCCGAGGACAGTTTTGAAGGACTTGTTCAGTTACGGCATCTGTGGCTGGATGACAACAGCTTGACGGAGGTGCCTGTGCACCCCCTCAGCAATCTGCCCACCCTACAGGCGCTGACCCTGGCTCTCAACAAGATCTCAAGCATCCCTGACTTTGCATTTACCAACCTTTCAAGCCTGGTAGTTCTGTAAGTATCTATCCCTTTTAATTCCATATATTTGTGTTAATTGGGGTACAAAAACAGATTTCTTCTGACAGATTATTATCAAGGCATCTCGCTGAATATGCTCCTGAGTAGTTAGTGCTTTGGGAGCTGCTTTTGTACAATATTAAACAGAATAGGATAATTTAAAACATTACCAGCTGATGATAATTGTTGAATCTCCCTAAGACAAATGACCAGTTATAATCATGAGAAGAAATTGGGTCATTCAGCACACACTTATACAGCTTTTACGTGTGTCCCAGCAGCGTATTCAATGTTAAAAGAAGGGAAGTCATTTCGAGGTGTCCATAGAAGTTAGTCCCAGGGATATTTCGTGTTTTCCACTTGTTCAGAGAGTATGTGATGCAGTGTGTTTTTAATCTTCCAAGACATAACAAAATAGTGCTTCTTTTAAAATCTGTTGGAGATCTCACTGGTGTAAACTACACACTTCCTCCACACCATTACCCTCATGTCCTCAGTAAGAGAGCTCATCAAATTTTTCTTCATATATTTAAGAGCTAATCAAAACTTTATTTTGATATGAATAAATATTAATCTTCCATGTATGTACCATATTTCCACTAAAGATACTTTCTCTTTCCATGAGGTAGTCTATGTTTAGTGAGTCTGTGCAGTGTACATAGCAAGAGATAACTATCCAATGTC
This sequence comes from Homo sapiens, assembly GCF_000001405.40. Taxonomy (NCBI): domain Eukaryota; kingdom Metazoa; phylum Chordata; class Mammalia; order Primates; family Hominidae; genus Homo; species Homo sapiens. The sequence continues at coordinate 27,384,565 of NC_000011.10, read as the reverse complement.
ACTTGTTTTCTGTGGTCAACAGAAAACTGTTTAGCTGTTTAGCTGTTGATATGTTTAGCTACATCATTCCTTTACACACCAACTCAGACATATAAAACAATGATAATAGTTGCCAATGGGAGATGGAAAAGTCATTTTATGCTTTTTTTCCCCCTTAGGCATCTTCATAACAATAAAATTAGAAGCCTGAGTCAACACTGTTTTGATGGACTAGATAACCTGGAGACCTTGTAAGTATATTCATATTTTGGGCAACTGCATTGTGATATTGAAAGTATAATTTTATACTTCACTGCAGAAAAAGAAAAAAATATTGGCCTTAAGTTCAGCTCCTTATTAATTCACTTTGATACTGGATTAAATTCTTGCTATCAAATAACCTAATTATGAATACTAATCTAAGTCCATGGCTAAAAATGGCAAAGTGTGAATTGCATATTTTCCCCCAAAGAATACACATTCAAAACAGCTCAATCTACAAAGATTTATACCTTTCCAGAAATGTTGGTTTTGTTAAATGTATGACAGTTTTGGAAGTTAGAAAGTTCTAAAATGAATTCTGGATAGTGTTATTTTTTCCATGATCTCAGTTGCCTTCTAATTGTTAACACTGGGTTTGAATACTATATCTGCTTTTACAAGTAACAAATGAAGATTTTATATTCTGCTATGATACTTTTGTTGTTGTTTCCACGAGCTAAAGTGTTTGAGACCTCTGGCTGTTTCAACTGTACATTGCACCACTATATAAGTAAAAGGCATTGTGTAGCTGTGTATAATTGAGAATAGGATATTTATTTTTGTTCTTTTAGCCTATATTAGTTGCCTTTATTGCCTTCATTCAAAGATAATGTAATTTTTGCTGTTGTGATGAGTAAATGATTCAGAGAAGGTCCCAATTACATGGGTGAGTAAAACCTGATTAGAATGCTCAGGGTATGTAGTATTTTATTTGACTGAATTTTCTGGTTAACTGTCAATTAATGAGAAGACTTAAAATCTTTTAGGACTCTATTATTTCACTTTTCTATCTAAATTAGAGGATAGGAAACATCAATGGATATATGAAAGTTGAAAATCTTGTAGAGGATAGTTCCAAACTCAGATCTCCTTTGCTAAGTGTGTGAGTTCTAGTGTTATAAATAAAAGATTGAATAGGTTTCCTAATCCTAAGCTGTGTACACTATTTCAATTATGTTAAAATTAAACCTCTTCCCAGTTAAATTTTTATTTGCCATTGTTTCTTCTCTGTTACAAAAAGGAAAAGGAAACCAAAATAGGTCTCAAAGGAGCTGAGCTTTTAATTTTATTTTACTTTCATTCTGAAATCAATCATGCAAATCGTATGCCAGTGTGCTCTTTATGTTAAAAGAAATTAAACTTTAAACACTCTCAGAACTAAGACTTTTTAGTACAGATCACTATGGCTTGTCTTTCTCCTAACTAATGTAAAATTCCCAATAATTCATAACTTGTATGAGGACAACAGTTGTGTGAATCTACCCTGGTCCTTCTGATTATTTTTTATTTTTTTATTTTTTATTTTTTTTGAGACAGAGTCTCGCTTTGTCACCAGGCTGGAGTGCAGTGGCATGATCTCGGCTCACTGCAACCTCCGTCTCCCAGGTTCAAGAGATTCTCCTGTCTCAGCTTCCTTAGTAGCTGGGACTACAGGCATGTGCCACCATGCCCTGCTAATTTTGGTATTTTTAGTAGAGATGGGTTTTCACTATGTTGGCCAGGATGGTCTCGATCTCTTGACCTCATGATCTGCCCGCCTCAGCCTCCCAAAGTGCTGGGATTACAGGCATGAACCACTGTGCCTGGCCTCCTTCTGATTATTTTTATCTCAGGTCATCACGCTGATGGTGGAACTGAGGTCAGCTGCTCTTATACCAGAATTTCAGGAAGCCACTGTGAACTCCAAATGGAAACCTCAGTTTCACGCTGTCATTTACAAATGGATATTCAATGAATTATATTCTAGAATGAATTTTCAGAGAAATACCATTCAGATGATTTATGTATTTAATGCATCAGTAATACATGATTCTGAAAATTATTTGAACTTGTAAGTTTCTTGACCTAAAAACATCATGGAAGAAGAATGATTTCTCTCTATTCATTATTGTAAGAAAAGGTGTAAATTCAGTTAAACTCCTACATGGTTTTGAATGACGATATGGTTGATAAAGAAAGATTACCATACAGAGGATATGATTTAAAAAAATACTTGTCTGTAACAAAATGCCTTATGAATTATGACCACTATTTAATATTTTGATATATTTTCACCCATTTTTTTCTAGAGACTTGAATTATAATAACTTGGGGGAATTTCCTCAGGCTATTAAAGCCCTTCCTAGCCTTAAAGAGCTGTGAGTATTGCTTCATTCTCTTTATGTCTTCATATCCCTGAAACTCACCATTTAATGTTCCAACAATGGGATTTTAGAACATCTTGTTCCATTACGTATATCCATAATACATGCACACAAACACACAAATAATCATAAAGTTGGATTGTGTTCGATGACAGAGACAATTTTGAGTATAGATTGATGTATAGGGTTAGATGCTGGTAAAACAAGAAGGCCTGATATACAGCGTCTGCCTTTAAGGAGCTTGTAGTCTTAGTCTTACTGGGGAAACTGATCATGTTAAGACAGACAGCTGTTTCTAGGTAGAAATAAATGCTGAATGAATAGGATAAATAAATCATTCTGGAAGAATACCTAATTGAAGTTTGGAGTTACTGCAGAAAACATCACCAAAAGGAAGGAGTTTGACCAGACTTGAAAGAACAAAAATATTTAAACACAGGAATGAGGGAGCATTTTTGTTTTTATTTTTTTTTTTGATTGTTTGTATGTTTTGAGACGGAGTCTCACTCTGTCGCCCAGGCTGGAGTGTCACGGTGCAGTGGCATGATCACAGCTCACTGCAGCCTTGACCTCCCAGGCTCAGGTGATCCTCCCATCTTAGCTTCCTGGGTAGCTGGGACTGCAGGCATGCACCACCACGCCCAGCTAATTGTTAAATTTTTTCTAGAGATAGGGTTTCATCATGTTGCCCATGCTGGTCTCAAACTCCTGGGCTCAAGTGATCCCCTCAGAATGCTGGGATTACAGGCGTGAGCCACTGTGCCCTGCCTGAGGGAACATTCTGGACGTCGGGTTTGTCATGGGTAGAGTTAGTGACTGTATATGGCACAACAGGGACTGTGTGTCATGAGCTAGTTGATGGTTAACATTCTAAGATGCATTGCCAAGAGGCTAAATACAGGCTACAGTGAGAGAGATTTTGAGGTTAGAACACCTGTTTCTCATGGTCTAAAGCTTTTTTTTATGATGAAGCAACAGATAAATGCATATGAGGGATCTGATAGATACCAAGCTAAGCAGTGGGTTAAAAAAGAATTAGGTATGATACTGAAAAAGATAAAATAAAATTAAAATTTGAGATTTCCTATGCTTTTGAAAATTTTCATGTAGTCATTATCAGTTGTATTTTATATAATGCTGAACAGCAGTAGATACTTGGGTTTTATTTCGCAAGAGGATAATGCATTTCAAAATACTTTTCTCCTATCTTTCTAGAGGATTTCATAGTAATTCTATTTCTGTTATCCCTGATGGAGCATTTGATGGTAATCCACTCTTAAGAACTATGTAAGTATTTTTGAAAGTTTCTTTTAATGTATAATTATGTGAAGCTGTGTCCGTACAATGCCAAACACCCTGATAAAGAATGAGAAGTCAGGATTTTAGATATATGTACATTGTGAACATAGAGTTAATATTAGAGTGCTTGTGAACATATGAAAATTTTACTTTTTTTGGATATTTTCACAGACATTTGTATGATAATCCTCTGTCTTTTGTGGGGAACTCAGCATTTCACAATTTATCTGATCTTCATTCCCTGTAAGTATGTGAATTTAAAAACAAACCTGGATATTTATACAGTTGTTTTAGTGGAAAACAAGAATTTATTACTGGAACTCCAGAAAACAAAATCTTTAAAATTTTTTTCTCCCTTGGGCAGAATTTATAATTGTTCTTATTTTTGTGAATACTTTGCCACATTATCATACTTTCAAGTACATTCAAGAGATGAAACTAGTTTTATTTTTAGTTATAGTTGCACTGTAATTTTAAACTGTTTAAAACATAAAATATGAAAAAAAATTTAAAAATTACCTTGTCTTTCTCAATTTCATAAAGAGTCATTCGTGGTGCAAGCATGGTGCAGCAGTTCCCCAATCTTACAGGAACTGTCCACCTGGAAAGTCTGTAAGTAAGGCCCTTTGAAGAGGGGTTGTATAAAGATAACACTACTGGACTGCTAGCAGGGTGCCAGGGTCTTTTAGTGACAATGATGGGTTTATGTTGATTCCTCCGGTTTCCCTTTGTATATATCATGCATGGAGAAGAATATATTGGGTATGGGGTCAGTGAGCTTAGGCAGAGTAGAGCCGATTATGTGGATAAGATCTGAAAGGTTCACAGAAAATACAAGGCAGTAACAAAGTGCCAAATTAGAAGCAGTGCTTTCAGAATTTAGAAGTGGGGGCATTCGATGTAGACTATCACAGAAGGCTTCACGGAGGAGGTAGAAGGTTTGAATACTGTCAGGTTTCCCAGAGCTGAGTGTTTAATTTAAGGCAGGATTAGTAAAACTGGAAATACCAAAAGTATTCTCAGAGATAGCATATAGATGAGCAAATATAGCTAGAATTGCATGTTTATAATAGAATGGGGATGGTATGGAGAAATCGGAGAATTGTTTGGTATTAGACTTTGAAATGACAAGCTTTGAACGTTGCACATTTGGTTGTGGCAGTTTCCCAGTGAGTGGTCTGTGCATGAGTTTACAGGTGCACTTAAGATCTTGATGACCTCAGCCCTCCAGACAGTCAGTTGGGGCCTGAGGCAGCTAGGACCTCTAGCCACAGGAGTCTTACTGCAGCGTGCCATTTAAATGTTACAATGGTCACATGTGACAAGATATTTTTTAAAAAAGAATTTGGGAAGCACTGAGGTAAGGAGTTTAAACTTGACTCTTAAGGCAGTTGGAGGTGTTGAGAATGTTTAAGCAGGTAATGTGAGGAGGGTAAGGAGAAAGAGACTAGAGATGGGGAGAACAGTGAGGCGGCTGTGGGAATAGTCTACCTGACCAGATGAACACATTGAATTATGACAGCTCCAGGTCTTTAATCCATCACTGGATTTGCACCAGGACAAATAGCATGGTCTGTCTGAGAGTCCTCTATCCCTCTCTGCCTCACTTCACTCTTTTTCTGAAAGAATTAGATGCTAGAAACACAACAGAGGAAGAAATAACAGGAACTGGTGATAGACTACAGAAGGGAGGGGAATAAGAGAACATTTTCGAATGCTGAGCCAGTTTGACTGAAAGAAAAGACAGAAACAAGATTTGGGGGCAGAATGCAAGTTGGTTTCAAAGGTCTTGGGTGTAAGAAGGTGACAACTTGCAATTAACTGTGATCAGACTGTGTGACTGTAGATTAGTGTTTTCCTCCTGGTCCATGTGGGAAATCAAGCCCAGTATCAACATCTAATGTCACAAGTGTTTTTGAGTTACTGTGAAGATGATATCAGAATTGGGGTTCAGTTCACCTTCTTGCATGTCTAACTTTATGGAATAATTAGGCCATGGGATGTATAGAATCTAGTCCATATGTAAATATGTGAGCACTTATTCTATATGGGAATAAATTTTGCTTACTATCTTGAGTTGAATTATTTCTTACATGAATAATGTTTTTCCGCAGGACTTTGACAGGTACAAAGATAAGCAGCATACCTAATAATTTGTGTCAAGAACAAAAGATGCTTAGGACTTTGTAAGTTGGATTCTTCTTCCCTTCCCCTCATACCTTTTGTTTATATATTCACACATGTTCAATTTTATTTTAAGGATCTACTTTCATAAGGTGGTTTTGAGGTATAATTACTTCTTAGTTGTTGTAAAGGAGCAGATATTTGAGTCATCTCCAGGGTGGGTAATGTGCATTTGAATTAGGTTTTAGGGTTTTGAATATATCATATACTTGTGACTTTATTTTGAACAAAGTAAAACCAAGATAGGTTCTTTCTTCATTTTTTCTCATCCTGCTCTTTGTCTTTATTCTAGTTTCTCCAGGGGTATCTCTCCTCATAGTCTCCTTCTTTCATCTGCAGCCTAAGCAGAGCCTAACTCTTTATTCAGTCTGGAATGAACTAAAGCTTGTCGCTTTCTAAAAACTTTAGGCTGACCTAGAAACTAAAAGTAAATAAAGGATGTAAAAATGTCTCCAGAATAAACGATTAAGTTATTAAGTTGTTAATAAGTACTCAGTGGCAGGAGATAGTAACAAAATAAATGACTGATTGATTAAGCAAGTAAAGTCACACATCCACTTAACAATAGGAATACATTCTAAGAAATGTGTCATGGGGCAATTTTGTCATTGTGTGAAAATCATAGAGTATGCTTACACAAACCTCGGTGGTTTCTTCTACACACCTGGGCTATATGATATAATCTGTTACTCCTAGCCTACAAACCTGTACAGCATAATACTGTACTGAATACTGTAGGCAGTTGTAACATAATAGTAAATATTTGTATATCTAAACATAGAAAAGTTGGAGCAGAAATATGGTATTATACTCTTATGGGACCATATCATTGTATATGGTGTCTGTCATTGACCAAAACTGTTATTTGGGTCATGACTATAATTTAGTGATGTAGTGGTGTATCAAACTTAAACATAATGATCACTGTTGAGGAAAAACTGCAGTGGGACTGAAAGTTAACTAGTTCTGGTGTTTGATGTAATATAACTGTTTTTTAAAATGTTGATAAGCATACCATTTCTCTTAGAGCTTTTCAACAAAAGAACATATAAGTTATTTATGGGATAAACAATATTGAAAAAATACAAATTTTTAAACCGTATAAATACAAATTTAAAAAAATGTAGCTTTACCACTTAAATTTTATATATTTTGTATATTTTTCTATATTTGCCTATTTAATTTTATATATTTATGTTATGTACTTTATATATATACTTTATAGAAATGTATTTTTACATATATTAGTGTCTATGCTCAACAATATATTCTTGAACTTTATCAATCTTAGGCTTATTGTATCACTGAGGTATTTGAGAAGCTGACAAGTCTTAGGAAAAAAGACTTGTTTTTCTTATTCAGGCATATCTCTTTATTACTTATCTTAGCTCTGCTTTCAACGCTTCTGAGTACCACTCTTTTAATATAATACTCTGATAACATAGCATTAATTTGTTAATTTCCATTGTTTTAAGGGACTTGTCTTACAATAATATAAGAGACCTTCCAAGTTTTAATGGTTGCCATGCTCTGGAAGAAATGTGAGTTGGTCTTTGACTTATTCCTTTTGTTGTGGTGTATTGTTAGTTTGTTGAGCATTTCGTATTTTTAATAGATGGCTTTAATAGTAAGAAATTAGAAATTCCTGTAATCAGATGTTCCCATAAATAACATGTCAAATTGAACCAGATGTGTTCATGCAACCAGCATGTATTAGGCACTTAGCTATCAGGCATCCCATGAAACGCTATGCGGGGGGGAGTTGGAAGTTAGTGTATATTTAAAAGAAATAGAAGACAAAAACTTGTCCAGCTATTGAGGGAAACCAGACATGAATGCCAGTTCCCATCATGTCCTGTGTTGCACAGCTCTGGTGGAAGCTGGTTGGGAGATGGGAAGGGGGAGGCATTAATTCTCCCATTTTAACTCTATGTAGTCCTGTAACTTTATTCCTACGGTATTTGTCATAGTTGTGTTGTCTTGGTTCCTTTTCTCCCTGCATCATCTTCCTTCTCTTATGCCTGAGTGGGGTTGATGGGGGAATTTAGATAGCATACCAGTTAATTCCCAGTATAATATGGGATGAAATACCAATTAGTCTCTTTCATTTTATAGATGAGAAAAGGGCAATTCTCTTTCAACAAGATCACTGTTACATAAGAATAGTTATTTAAATTTAGAAAAAACTCAACTAAGAAATGTTATAATGTTATTTTTCAAAATAGAAAGTAACTTTTTTCTTTTTCTCTATCCCTTTCTCTTTCCTCCTCCTCCTGTTCTCTTCTTTGTCTTTGTCTTCGTCTTCTTTCTTCTTCTTTTTTTATTTAGTTCTTTACAGCGTAATCAAATCTACCAAATAAAGGAAGGCACCTTTCAAGGCCTGATATCTCTAAGGATTCTGTAAGTTTGTCTATGATTATTAAAGACAATAAATTTTTTCCAAACTATGTTAATATGTTGTTATGATTTCCATGTTACTAGATATACTTAAAGATATAATTTTAATTTCAGCCTGAACAACGTGGTGAAACCCCATCTCTACTAAATACAAAAAATTAGCCGGGCATAGTGGTGCATGCCTGTAATCCCAGCTACTCGGGAGGCTGAGGCAGGAGAATCGCTTGAACCCTGGAGGTGGAGATTGCAGTGAGCTGAGATTGTGCCATTGCACTCCAGGCTGAAAAAGAAGAGTGAAACTCCGTCTCAAAAAAAAAAAAAAAAGATATAATTTGTGTTCAATAAATATTATTTTTAGACTTTACCTAAAATATTATTTTAGACATTGCAAGATTTTTAGACTTGCAACTTTATAAATAATCTTTCAATATTTTTTACTTTAGCTAATTGTACATTGGCAAGTAGAAAAATGTGTAATGTGTATAACTGAAGTGATGTAGCTTGTTTGTTTTCAAGTTATAATAGTGAGGTTTGCCAATTCATTAGGGCAAGGGTAGGCAGACTACAGCCCATGGGCCACATCCAGCCTGCTTCCTGGTTTATCAATTAAGTTTAATTGAACACTGCCAGGCCTTTATTATTAAAGTGCCGTCTAAAGCTGCTCTCACCCCACTATAGCAGAATTGAGTAGTTGCAGCGGAGAGTATATGACTCACAAAGGTGAAAATATTTACTATCTGGCCTTCTACAGAAGAAGTTTGCTGACCCCTGCACTGGAGTATCTATCATGACAAATAGAGTTCATAAGCCACAGAAGCACTTACTTAAAAAATCATTTGTATTTGACTACATATTTGTTCCAGGTACTCTCATAAGCACTTGGGAATATAGAGGTGACTGAGACAAACCTTGCCACTCACTATCTTCCTAGAACTTTAGCACAGAAACATAGTACACTAAATTAATGAACATTTTTCTTTTCTTTTTCTTTTTTTTTTTTTTTTGAGACAGGGTCTCTCACTCTTGTCGCTCAGGCTAGAATGCAGTGGTGTAATCACAGCTCACTGCATCCTCCAACGCCTGAGCTCAAACAATCCTCCTGCCTCAACCTCCTGAATAGCTGAGGGACTACAGGTGCACACCACAATCTCCAGCTAATTTTTTTCTTTTTTTTTTTTTTGGTAGAGATGGGGTCTCCCTATGTTGCCCAGGCTTGTCTCAAACACCTGAGCTCAAGTGATCCACCCACCTTGGCCTCCCAAAGTGTTTGGATTACAGGTGTGAGCCACCTTGCCCAGCACAACATTTTTCTATTATAGAAAAAGTTTGAAAAATTGATAGTGAATGAAATTACATATATTGAATACAGTTTTTTAGTATATCCCCTTTAAGAAATATGACATGTACTCTACTAGAAACTATTTAATTGGTAGTTGGGTTGCTGGATCATCTCAAGTTGTGGACTAACTTTGTGTAAGCCTGGGCAGTCATAGGGAAGAAGACTGGCTCCTAGTTGCCATCACTTTTAGAAACTGATAAGTGACACTAAGAAGCTGGTCTTTTCGTGATTTGGAACCAAGTGTGTTGAGTTTCCTTGTTATCTAGGAAATATGTCTCAGAATGAATTTACTCAATGTTTAAATTTCCTTTAAGGTTCAGTGTAAGTGTGTTTGTAGATTATTTCTGTTTTATTAATTCTATAATATCAGAATTTCTCAGGGTGTGTTCCTGAATACGGAGCTGGCTGTACTGTTGATGCAATTTTTATATCGTGCTTAGGAAAAGAAGGGTATCTGCAGCCCTCCTGGAATGCTCTTGTTTGCATATTGATTGTTTGTCTTCTCTCGGGGCCTTATCACTAACCTTTGAGAAGGCAAACAATACGAAGTCTGTTTTTATTTTCAGCTTTTTCAGAAACTGAGCTTTTCCTCACTGAGTTAGCAGTACCAAAGGTTATATCATATCATTTATATGTTTGAATTGGTATCAGAATGATAAAGTGGGAAAATTCACACCTGTTTTGAAACAGATGCCAGCTAGAATTACTGCTGTACAGAACATATTCCAAGAAATAGATTGTTGTGAAGGAGAGGCATTCAACATAAACATGAAAAAATATTGCTGGCCAAGATTGAAGATCTTTGTTATCTTATCAGCGATATTGTGTTACTACCTCTAATTCTAAAGTATAGTCTAAGTAAGTGGCATTCTGAGTGTTTATTTGAAAGATTAACATGTTACTCTTATAATTGCAGAGATCTGAGTAGAAACCTGATACATGAAATTCACAGTAGAGCTTTTGCCACACTTGGGCCAATAACTAACCTGTAAGTGGATGATTATGCAGTAATGTCATGAAAGTAGTAACTAGTGCTATAGAAACATCTGTTTTAACATTGTCGAATCAAAATATTTTTCTGTTTAGTTATTCCCTTGTATAAATGCTAAGCTGTATTTATAGTAAAAGTCTTCTTAAACGGCAAGATACATGCTAGAACTATAATTTTAGCACCCCCACTTGAACTTCATCTTAGGGATCTAATATTTATGATGTTAATACGTGTACAGATGTTTTTATGTGATTTATATATTGGGCATTAACTTGAAGTCTCATTCATATTTTAGAGATGTAAGTTTCAATGAATTAACTTCCTTTCCTACGGAAGGCCTGAATGGGCTAAATCAACTGAAACTTGTGGGCAACTTCAAGCTGAAAGAAGCCTTAGCAGCAAAAGACTTTGTTAACCTCAGGTGTGTTTTTGCTTATTTTTCTTTTTTGTTGAAGTTATGGTAGGCTCCAAAATTACAGAGTGTCCTGGTTTTTTGCTCTGGTTCTCAGATTTTCTGATAGGCTATAATTTAAGGGTGTTTTCTACGTCAGTCTTTGCAAATTTGGTGAAAAATAGAATATGAACATTATTCCACAGTCTTTAAGAATGTGAACTGGAGCCCTTGATGGCCTCAAAGAGATAATACAGCTATTCACCAGAATGGTTTTTTAATACAGTGGACTTTTCATTAGCAATAAGATGGCAGAAACCATGTAAATGTGAACCTGCAGAAAACAATGCTATAATACTTCATGAAGGTTTTAGAGTTATGGGGGACTGCATTAAATATAATAGAGAGTATTGTTACGAGGCCGAGCGTGGTGGCTCGCACCTGTAATCCCAGTACTTTGGGGAAGGCCAAGGTGGGCTGATCACTTGACACCAGCAGTTCAAGACCAGCCTGGGCAACATGCTGAGACCCTGTCTCTACAAAAAATATAAAAGTTAGCTGGATGTGGTGGCACGTGCCTGTAGTCCCAGCTACTTGGGAGGCTGAAATGGGAGGATCACTTCAGCCTGGGAGTTCTAGGCTGCACTGAGCTGTGATTGCGCCATTACACTATAGCCTGGGTGACAGGGCAAGACCCTGTCTCTAAAAAAAAGAGAGAGAATATTATTGTTGGAGAAGAGAATAAATATTTTCATTACATTTATTTAAACCAAGTAAATATATTTAATGGTATAAAGTCACAAATGACCTGGGGCATTAATTTTAAGTGAAACTATCAGTTTCGTATGATAAATTGTGCATAGTTAATACATTTATAAAAGGAGTCATAAGATATTACTTTAAATTACAGTACTGCTGTTAAATTTTAAACAGTTTGATTTACATCCAACTGTTAAGAGAGATCTTATAGAAAGGGAGAAAGTCTCGTTGTCATCTGATACCAGAGCTGTTTTCACAGATGAGGAAACTGAGGCCCAGAGAGGATGAACGACCAGCCTAAAGCACATGACAGATCTTTCTGACTCCTAGGCTGAGGTTTTCAAAGTTTAAAATACTTTTACAAAACAAAACCATAACTGCGGAGTTGCTGTTCAGTGTAGATTTTACAACTTTTTTTTCCAGGTCTTTATCAGTACCATATGCTTATCAGTGCTGTGCATTTTGGGGTTGTGACTCTTATGCAAATTTAAACACAGAAGATAACAGCCTCCAGGACCACAGTGTGGCACAGGAGAAAGGCAAGTGCATGAGTTTCAAAAAATAGAACACTCCTTTAAGGCATTGATTAAAGTTCCTGTTATTATAATTACTTTGTGAATGATCAATAGGAAATCTGTGAGAAAAATGGCATTGTCTGGCCAGGTGTGATGGCTCATGCCTGTAATCTCAGCACTTAGGGAGGCCAAGGCGGGAGGGTCATTTGAGGCTAAGAGTTCGAGACCAGCCTGGGCAACAAAGTGAGACTCTCTCTATATAAAAAATTTTAAAACTAGCTGAGTGTAGTGGCATGTGCCTGTATTCCCCACTACTTGGGAGACTGAGGTGGGAGAATCCTTTGAGCGGAGCCCAGGAGTTCAAGGTTGCAGTGAGCTATGATTGTGCCAATGCATTCCAGACTGGGCAACAGAGCAAGACCTTGTCTCTAAAAAAAACCAAAACCAAAAAAAACAATGGCATTCACTATGCTACCAGCATCTTTAATATGTTATTGAACCTTCTATAAGGAGAACTCACACTTATATACAGAGAAAATTGCAGGAAAATATGGTTCTTTTGAGTTGCATAAGGTTTTAATTAAACATGCTTTGTGTTATATGTTCAGGTACTGCTGATGCAGCAAATGTCACAAGCACTCTTGAAAATGAAGAACATAGTCAAATAATTATCCATTGTACACCTTCAACAGGTATGCCTGGCCTATTTTTTCACAGTTACCCATGTTAAACAAACATTAGGCAAATATATCTAAATGTCCTGGGTATAGATGTGATTTCTGTAATAGGGATGGTACTAGAGGATCCTGTGAGGCCTTCTGATTTTGTGCTTTGCGTACCAGCCAGCAGCTTAGGAATTTTTTGCAGAATCTCAGGCCCAGACCTACTGAATCAGAATCTGCATGTTAACAAGCTCCCCCAGGTGAAGGTTGTACACGTTAGAATTTCAGAGGCACTTTCTTAATGCTCCTTTAACTCTGGGACTAATTCTGTAAGTTAGTAGTCTATGCAGATTGTATGTGTGTGCTTAATGTAGCCTTGCCTTTCCTTATTTCCCCTCATTTACTTCATTGAACTTCGTAGTCTTGGGAAAGTTATTAAACTGATACCACATATTTGGTCATGATTGTCATAGTCTGCCTAATCTACTAGAGAAGATGTATTTATAATTTTACTGTAAAAGGAAGGCTTAAATATTTTAGTCAAATTGTGTGCTACAAAGTAGATTCCTTTGTTGGTATAATATCACAGGATAATCTGGACATTAATTTTATGACTCAGAATTATAAGTATTATGGATTCACTAGTGATTGCTGCTGAATTGTGAGCTTCTTAAGGGGCTGCGTATGTATTTTATGAATACTTTCTTTTGTAGAGAATAAGCTCTAAGTTACTAGATAAGTGAATGCAGTTGGCAAGAATCATCTAAGTGTATGTAATTTATTTTATTGTGTGTTAGTGTCTATATTAATTTTTAAAGGTTGGGGTGCAGCTTGCTTACTTGTCTCACTGGAGTTCATGTGCCAGAGAATGTACATAAAGAACTGATGATCCAATGAGAAGGGAACAGGTTTATTAAAGGGGGGGCTGGACTTCAACATGCAGCGTTTCCATTTCTTCCACCCCAAATGTAAACTTGGAGATTGGCCAGGAGGAAAGCTGGTCTGAGCTCATCTCCTTGGGCTGCCATGGGGATGAAATGCAGGCCTGCCTCCCCCTACTCAGCTGTAGTAACACACAGACACTGATGTGCTTGCTGCAGAAGCAGGAAGTGGAGGAGAGCTGGGATCCTTCTGTTAGCACCAGAGGAGGCAGCAGGCTTCCAAAGACAGGGACGGTGGAGGCTGCTTCCCAGGCTTTTTTGGAAAAGTAACCTTTCTCACCCATAAAAGGGTTCTCAAAAGGTATCCTATTCTCTCAGGTAGATGAGCTACCCCTCCTTCCATGAAGGATGAGTTTAGATAACAGAGATAAAGGTGATAACGAGCTTTCTCTTAGCACTTCCTGAAGGGGGAATAGAAAGGAAATTTAAAATAAGAGTTTCTTGTATTATTTGGAAGCCTGATAAATGATGCAGAACTGGCTTTTGAGGTCTGTGAATATCTTAACAATTTAAAACATTTTATTGGATATGTCATTTTCATGAAAGTTCATAAAACATGTTTTTTAGACAGTTGTAATACATAGTTTTCTTGTGTTTCATAGTCAAAATCTTGTTTTTCTTTTCTAATTTTTCAGTAAAACAGTTGTAATTTGTGTCATAACTAGCATGTCAAAGTCAGTTACTGGAACATGGAGTTCAGCGACTGAATGAGTTCTTGCAATGCTAGTTTGTATTATGTAGGATTTTATTGTACATAGCTTTGTATGAATAGTTAACATCACCGAGGTGTAGTCCTAGCTATATTATCTTACTGAATGGCCTTTGTCAGTTTCTTTGAAATATCAGTTTCTCTGGATGAAAAATGGGGATAATTATACTGTCTTAACCTGCTTCATCAGGTTGCTTTTGAAAGTCATAAGAAAATATATAAAAAATATGTGTAGATACATACATATACATACATGATTATAAAGTATATTGGGGCTAGAAAGGAAGAAGAAAAGGGAGCTAATATTTATTGAAGTCTAACTATATATCCAGCATCCTGCTTAGTTCCTTATGTGTATAATTTTACTTAAGCTGCACAACTGTATGAAACAGGCATTATTATCCACAAGTGAGAAAATGAATACAGGTTAAAATTTATACAATTTTAAGTTGCTTTCTTAAGGTAAGAATAGCAAGTTATGAACCATCTCATTCCAGACCCTCAGTCATCAAATACCTCTTATGCCCTAGATATTGTGCTATGTAAATTAGCTTAGATGCAAGAAAAAATGAAAAATTTCATCTAAATATCACTCTTTATCAAATATTTAATAAAAGAAATATTTATAGCCTTACCAAATATTTAATAAAATAAATTAAAGTCAGTTTATTTTTAAAATAGCCTGGTCCATGACCAAAATATCTTAGAACTAGTAATCAGTTCAGTTTTGTTCAAGTAGAGAGCAGATTTAATTAGTCTATATCATTAGTTTTTCTATCAAGCCATATCATTTTCTAAATTGTTTTCTAAGTTATCTTTTATTTCTCTCTCTCTGTGTGTGTTTTTTTTAGGTGCTTTTAAGCCCTGTGAATATTTACTGGGAAGCTGGATGATTCGTCTTACTGTGTGGTTCATTTTCTTGGTTGCATTATTTTTCAACCTGCTTGTTATTTTAACAACATTTGCATCTTGTACATCACTGCCTTCGTCCAAATTGTTTATAGGCTTGATTTCTGTGTCTAACTTATTCATGGGAATCTATACTGGCATCCTAACTTTTCTTGATGCTGTGTCCTGGGGCAGATTCGCTGAATTTGGCATTTGGTGGGAAACTGGCAGTGGCTGCAAAGTAGCTGGGTTTCTTGCAGTTTTCTCCTCAGAAAGTGCCATATTTTTATTAATGCTAGCAACTGTCGAAAGAAGCTTATCTGCAAAAGATATAATGAAAAATGGGAAGAGCAATCATCTCAAACAGTTCCGGGTTGCTGCCCTTTTGGCTTTCCTAGGTGCTACAGTAGCAGGCTGTTTTCCCCTTTTCCATAGAGGGGAATATTCTGCATCACCCCTTTGTTTGCCATTTCCTACAGGTGAAACGCCATCATTAGGATTCACTGTAACGTTAGTGCTATTAAACTCACTAGCATTTTTATTAATGGCCGTTATCTACACTAAACTATACTGCAACTTGGAAAAAGAGGACCTCTCAGAAAACTCACAATCTAGCATGATTAAGCATGTCGCTTGGCTAATCTTCACCAATTGCATCTTTTTCTGCCCTGTGGCGTTTTTTTCATTTGCACCATTGATCACTGCAATCTCTATCAGCCCCGAAATAATGAAGTCTGTTACTCTGATATTTTTTCCATTGCCTGCTTGCCTGAATCCAGTCCTGTATGTTTTCTTCAACCCAAAGTTTAAAGAAGACTGGAAGTTACTGAAGCGACGTGTTACCAAGAAAAGTGGATCAGTTTCAGTTTCCATCAGTAGCCAAGGTGGTTGTCTGGAACAGGATTTCTACTACGACTGTGGCATGTACTCACATTTGCAGGGCAACCTGACTGTTTGCGACTGCTGCGAATCGTTTCTTTTAACAAAGCCAGTATCATGCAAACACTTGATAAAATCACACAGCTGTCCTGCATTGGCAGTGGCTTCTTGCCAAAGACCTGAGGGCTACTGGTCCGACTGTGGCACACAGTCGGCCCACTCTGATTATGCAGATGAAGAAGATTCCTTTGTCTCAGACAGTTCTGACCAGGTGCAGGCCTGTGGACGAGCCTGCTTCTACCAGAGTAGAGGATTCCCTTTGGTGCGCTATGCTTACAATCTACCAAGAGTTAAAGACTGAACTACTGTGTGTGTAACCGTTTCCCCCGTCAACCAAAATCAGTGTTTATAGAGTGAACCCTATTCTCATCTTTCATCTGGGAAGCACTTCTGTAATCACTGCCTGGTGTCACTTAGAAGAAGGAGAGGTGGCAGTTTATTTCTCAAACCAGTCATTTTCAAAGAACAGGTGCCTAAATTATAAATTGGTGAAAAATGCAATGTCCAAGCAATGTATGATCTGTTTGAAACAAATATATGACTTGAAAAGGATCTTAGGTGTAGTAGAGCAATATAATGTTAGTTTTTTCTGATCCATAAGAAGCAAATTTATACCTATTTGTGTATTAAGCACAAGATAAAGAACAGCTGTTAATATTTTTTAAAAATCTATTTTAAAATGTGATTTTCTATAACTGAAGAAAATATCTTGCTAATTTTACCTAATGTTTCATCCTTAATCTCAGGACAACTTACTGCAGGGCCAAAAAAGGGACTGTCCCAGCTAGAACTGTGAGAGTATACATAGGCATTACTTTATTATGTTTTCACTTGCCATCCTTGACATAAGAGAACTATAAATTTTGTTTAAGCAATTTATAAATCTAAAACCTGAAGATGTTTTTAAAACAATATTAACAGCTGTTAGGTTAAAAAAATAGCTGGACATTTGTTTTCAGTCATTATACATTGCTTTGGTCCAATCAGTAATTTTTTCTTAAGTGTTTTGTGATTACACTACTAGAAAAAAAGTAAAAGGCTAATTGCTGTGTGGGTTTAGTCGATTTGGCTAAACTACTAACTAATGTGGGGGTTTAATAGTATCTGAGGGATTTGGTGGCTTCATGTAATGTTCTCATTAATGAATACTTCCTAATATCGTTGGCTCTACTAATATTTTCCAATTTGCTGGGATGTCACCTAGCAATAGCTTGGATTATATAGAAAGTAAACTGTGGTCAATACTTGCATTTAATTAGACGAAACGGGGAGTAATTATGACACGAAGTACTTATGTTTATTTCTTAGTGAGCTGGATTATCTTGAACCTGTGCTATTAAATGGAAATTTCCATACATCTTCCCCATACTATTTTTTATAAAAGAGCCTATTCAATAGCTCAGAGGTTGAACTCTGGTTAAACAAGATAATATGTTATTAATAAAAATAGAAGAAGAAAGAATAAAGCTTAGTCCTGTGTCTTTAAAAATTAAAAATTTTACTTGATTCCCATCTATGGGCTTTAGACCTATTACTGGGTGGAGTCTTAAAGTTATAATTGTTCAATATGTTTTTTGAACAGTGTGCTAAATCAATAGCAAACCCACTGCCATATTAGTTATTCTGAATATACTAAAAAAATCCAGCTAGATTGCAGTTTAATAATTAAACTGTACATACTGTGCATATAATGAATTTTTATCTTATGTAAATTATTTTTAGAACACAAGTTGGGAAATGTGGCTTCTGTTCATTTCGTTTAATTAAAGCTACCTCCTAAACTATAGTGGCTGCCAGTAGCAGACTGTTAAATTGTGGTTTATATACTTTTTGCATTGTAAATAGTCTTTGTTGTACATTGTCAGTGTAATAAAAACAGAATCTTTGTATATCAAAATCATGTAGTTTGTATAAAATGTGGGAAGGATTTATTTACAGTGTGTTGTAATTTTGTAAGGCCAACTATTTACAAGTTTTAAAAATTGCTATCATGTATATTTACACATCTGATAAATATTAAATCATAACTTGGTAAGAAACTCCTAATTAAAAGGTTTTTTCCAAAATTCAGGTTATTGAAAACTTTTCATTTTATTCATTTAAAAACTAGAATAACAGATATATAAAAGTGTTAATCTTTGTGCTATATGGTATGAAATACAATATTGTACTCAGTGTTTTGAATTATTAAAGTTTCTAGAAAGCAATCTATTTTGCCTTAATTTAAAACTAGGTATATTAATGAATTTAGTTTTAAAGTAAGCAAATTAAATATTTGTAAGTGGACAGTATTAGAAGAAATGTTGGAAGTAACCATTAGAAAACACTATTTTGATATTTATTTGTAAACATATAAGAACATTTTGCTGAAACTTAGAAATAAGGTTTTATCCTAAGTCTGAACTATACTCATGGAAAACAGATTATGAAATTTCAGAAAAACCATTGATTCAATCTTTATCTAAAAAGCAAATGATTAAAAAATCTGCATGATATTAAATGTAGTCAGTTGCCCAGATGCTTAGAAATACTTCAGTATTTACAATCATTAAGTCCTCATTTTACAGATGAGAAAACAAAAGGCTTAATGAAATTTAAGTGAATCCCTGAGTCACAGCAAATTTGACCCCAAACCAGAACCCAATGCCTCTTCATTTGGGACATAATTTTGTGTGTGTGTTTGTTTTAAATTTCATATATGCTTGAAATTTCCATAACAAAAAGTAGAGTAGTATAATTACCCCACCTCCCTACCCTTCACCCCATACCTGTCACTGCTTTGACAATTATCTGCAGCATGTAGTGAACCTTGTTTCATCTTCATCCTATTCACTAATCCCCTCCAATCCCTCTGCCCCTTGCATTATTTTGAAGCAAATTTAAGACATTATATTGTTTCATCTGTAAATACTAATGTCTAGGGATAAATTTTTAAAGTTGCATAATATATGCCACAGGGCTAACTGGTGATGGAATTATTTAAGCAAAAGTGACTCTTATATAAGTTTCCAGAGCCAGCAAAACATAATTACCTCAAATATACCATGGCCAAAGTACTAATTGTATGAAAAGATGTCACTAAGTCAATACCCTAAAACTTAAAGGGAGAGACACTCTTTTATACATTTGTACATTTATATATAATTCTACCCATCTCGATTATGGCTTCTCAGCTCCAGTAATGAAAAGGCACTGTAAGAAATGAGGCCGCTGGACTTAATTATGTTCAAACACCAGCACCAGCACCATCTGACTCTGCCTCATACCCTTGGGGGGGTCCAGCATTGCTAGTGCATAATGTCACAGTTGGTCATAATGATGACCCTGGCGCATCAAGAAAAGGGTATACTTTGTTTAGGAAAACATTTTAAGGGGACAAAGAAGTATATGACATTTAGATTCCCATGCGTAGAGGTTAAAGTGAAAAAGTTCTGAAGTTTACACACAACTTTTCATTGTATCTTTCTGATTCTGAGCTTAGAAACTTTGAGAATTAATGAGATAATATGACCCTGTGAGGTAAATTTTTCCCCTATTTTCAGAGGAGTGTTAGGAATGGAAAACCTATCAAGTACCAAGAAAACCACTGATTCCAGGTCCCTTTCATACTAGTGTTTTTCCCACTACAGTTATGTTTGGTTATATCTATTGGAAAACAGCTTCTCAAGCTTACCTCTTTATGAGGCCCTAAGGCAGCTCAGTGCGTTTCGATGTTACTGATTCTAGAGATGTTCTGATAAAAGGTTTTTAAATGCCAATATTGAATAACTAGGGTCGAGAACGAAAACTCCATTAGGTCAGTTTTATTCCTTGATCAACTTTATTACTCATTTGGAGTGCTCCAATTTTCTTTCATTTTGTTTTCACCGAAATTTTAAAGAAAATATTCAATTTAAATAGATTTAATCATGTCATATTTTATTAATTATAGCTCTGCCTTCTGAATTGCCTTTGGTTGCTATTACTTCTACCATAGCTAATTCTCCTGTGTTAAATTTTGCAGATCTAGATTTCATCAAAGTTTTTGTATCACTCTGGTCACTAAAAAGTTTTGTGTGATGTGTTAGCCATGGTCAATTTTCGTTTATGGTATTTCTACCGGTAATATACATTATGAACTGGACAAAAGCCCTATTTATTTACAAATGTACAGTTTTGTCAGCATGAATAAAGCATCTACCTTTCCTTTACTGCCTTTATCCCCATTCCCGAGAGTGCCCCTCAGATCCCACATAAAATGCATATCAGCATATTTACTGAGATCATTTTTCACGACAACAGGATGAGGAACTTAAGGGCGAGACTTTTAATCATCTATCCCTTGTGCTTTACGCAGACCCTACAATACACTAGAGGCTTCAAAGAGGTCAAAAATTCACATGTGTAGACAAATTAGGTCCCTTAAGATGCCAGGCAAACGAAGTGCTACCAAAACACGCAATGACTGTCCTAAAAGTGCGTTCTGGGATACACCTGTAAACTTGGATCAAGTTCCCTCCCCTCTCCTCAAAATATATCGACTTGTGCTGAAAGAAATCACGACCGATGCTCACAATTCTGACCTCGTAATTATATAGGGGGTGGTTTTGGTTTCTGCGTCTTTCCCTGATTCAGTGGCAGGTAACATATTTCATGTACAAAATGAACTGCAACACCACGGCAAACAAGGGACAGGCCCTCAAAGTTGTCGGTAGGGAGCCAGGACCCCGCCAGTGGCGTGGGGAGACACCGTACTAAACAAGCTTGCAAACAGCAGGCACCTTCCTGCCACTGAGGAGGAAGGGCTGGCTAAGGGAGGCCGGGGCGGAGGAAGCCAAGCTCTGCAGGCCCTGACAAAGTCCTCCCGGCCTCCACGCGTCGCCATGGCAACGCGGGGTCTGTGCTGGCCGGGATTGGCCGGCCTGGCGCGCGCAGGGCCCGCTGGGAAAGCGCGTCCCCGCCGCGGCTCCGCCAGTTTGAACTTGGCGGGCCAGATGTGGGCGGCGGGGCGCTGGGGGCCTACTTTTCCCTCTTCCTACGCCGGTTTCTCTGCTGACTGCAGACCCAGGTCTCGGCCCTCCTCGGACTCCTGCTCAGTCCCTATGACGGGCGCACGTGGGCAGGGGCTGGAGGTGGTGCGCTCGCCGTCGCCGCCGCTGCCGCTGAGCTGCAGCAATTCCACCAGGTCGCTGTTGTCTCCCCTTGGCCACCAGAGCTTCCAGTTTGACGAGGACGACGGTGACGGGGAGGATGAGGAAGACGTGGATGATGAGGAAGACGTGGATGAAGATGCCCATGATTCAGAGGCCAAAGTGGCGAGCCTGAGAGGAATGGAGTTACAGGGGTGCGCCAGGTAAACCCGAGGCCGCCCGGCCGATTCAGCCCTTTTCAAGATTCCTTAGACCCTCTTAAGTACCCCCTTCTAACATCCTCCTGCCCTCCGCCCCAAAGGCAGAGCAGGCACTTGCAGACTGAGGTGCCGTGGTTTTTTTTGCACATAAAGAGCCCTGTGCAAATTCTTGCAAATGACCATAGATTTCCTATGGCTCTTAATCCTTTTTTCCTGAGATATTATGATTGCTGCAGTCTCACTTCCCAGAAAAATGTACATAGTCTCAAACACACAAAACTCTGCTACCATTTCAGGCGTTCTATGAATCCTCAAAAGCCAGATTGTGCACTGCAGAACTCTTATCCCAAACCTGAACACCAGAACGTGGTTTACTGCACCTTAGTAGTACCTGTGGTTGGTTATTCTGAAAACATACTGATTGCTAGTGAAGTAGGTTGTAGTAAACAGGTCACTTTTTATAACATAAAGTGCTGAAGCACAGAGATTAGCAATGTCAACCTCAGCATGTGGAGACGTGGTTAGAGAGGATCTGAGCATGCACAGAGGAATGGATGTCATTGTATCAATGTTAGGACCAATGGGGTTATTAAAACTGTCTTAATTTGTTTATTTCTACTGTTACTCACTCAGCAAACATTGTTTGCCACATATTAGTCTACGTACTGGGGACCGTAAACAAGATACTGGTCTCTACTCTCATGAATTGAAGCCTAAATCAATCCACTTATTTTACAGATAATAAAACCATGGCTCAGAATGCAAAAAGTGACTCAAAGGCATGCACCTAGTTATTAGCAGACCTGGGTCTACTACGAAGATAGACAGATCATGTTCTCTTTCCTAAACTGCATGCCTAGTATTGGGTATACAGAAGTAGGAGCAAAGGGCCAATCCCTGAAGGAATATTTCTGAGACAGGCCCAGTAATGCAGGTCTATTCTGGGATAGACTCATTACGTTTTCTTCGGAAATCATTTACAAGTTTATGATTGTCAAGCTGTGTAAGGCACAGTACAGGAGCTCTAAGAAATACAGGCCAGAGAACTCATGCTTTATGTGTAAATAGCAAGATTCCCCCTTCAGTACAGGGTGTTCATATCCAGCATGAGTGAATGGAATATGGAACCCATATGAAGTAACCCGTATACATGGTTACAGGAGTGAATTAGTTACGAATGAGAAGTAAAAGTAAGTACATTGGTGGGAATGGAGATCAGAAAGAGTAACCAAGCAAGCCACTCATCCAGGCTGGTTGTAGCAACAAGAAACAGGCCTCCTCTGATCAACCTGATAGTAAAATTTAATGGTAGAGTTAGGGTTTCAGTAAATTGTTTTCATCTGGGCCTTTGTAGGTATTCTTCAGGACTGAGTTGGTCTCAAAGGTATTTAAAGTAAATTTGAAGGCTTTAGGAAATACTTTCTGAGCATAATCAACTGGACTAAGCAATCTGGACACAAGTTAGTGACCTGCGGAATAAATGACCATCGGAACTATAGCTCAGCTACTGAAACCTTGCATTAGTTTCCAAGAGCCAAAGCCCTGACTAAGTGGAGCCTGCCAGGGGAGGAGGTGAACGTATGTACGTCTCACTTATCCAAAGCCAGAATGAGCTGGTAGCACCACAGGGCTAAGGCTGCCTTCCTTATCACATTTCAGTCCCTATGAATCAAAGGAGTAGCTGGGACGTGGGTTTGAAAAGAGAATGCTGAAGTTGTCAAGCATTGTGTGTGGCAAGTGTCAGATGCTTATTAGGTGCTCAATAAACGTTTGCTGACTGCATGTCCATTTCCCACTTCCTAAAGAACAGATACATGCAGTGATTATTGTCAAATGCTTCAGAAACTTAGCACTTCCTTTCAGGAAAGGTAGATTTTTAGAAAATTTCCTCATTCTTTCTCTCCATTGGTCCTAACATTCTTTGATACAATGACATCCATTCCTCTGTGCATGCTCAGATCCTATCTAACCATGTCTCCACATGCTGAGGTTGACATTGCTAATCTCTGTGCTTCAGCACTTTGTGTTATAAAAAGTGACCTGTTTACTACAACCTACTTCACTAGCAATCAGTATGTTTTCAGAATAACCAACCACAGGTACTACTAAGGTGCAGTAAACCACGTTCTGGTGTTCAGGTTTGGGATAAGAGTTCTGGAGTCCACAATCTGGCTTTTGAGGTCAAACTGCTGACCTCTCTTTGGTGCCCTGGACAGCTTGGGGGTGACAGGATGAAGAGAGCAGGCAACCTGAGTCAGCCCTTTCATTGTTCTGGGTTTTGAGTATTCTGTGTGAAGCAGAGAGCAACCTAGAGCTGTGTGGGATTTTATGCCTTTTCTCCATGCCTCACCTGCCATATTGATCTGACTGGCAAAACGAATCGGGTAAGGCTTCTTTGAGCTAGGCTCAGGCATCAGCTGCACATAATGGATATTACCTCAAGGTATTTTTGGTATAAATAGTGCCATGTTTAGAGGATGCATTGACCTTCAAGGGTATTGGTCAGAACTGAGATTAAGCTCAAAGTTAGCTTCAGACAAGATAATGAGAAGCGTTTTCCTGGAATATTTTACAATGTGCTCTGGGCCTGCTGTTTATTCAGCTTTATCCTGGTTTTTCTACCACTATCCATTAGGAAAACCATGCTGTAATAAATATCTTGTTCACAAATGGCCACTTGTCAAGCCTTTCTTGATTATAAGTAGAGCTGTAGTGTGTGCGCCACACATTTTGAACACATTTGTTATAAATATTAAGGAAGGAAATTTAATATTCAAAGTGTCATTTCTTAAAAGAAAAGCCCACTGATCTGATTGTCTTTCAACAACTGTTTCCTAGGACCCTACTATATTCTAGACCCTAAGCCAGGCTCTTGAAATAAAAAAATGAGTTGAGATATATTTTCTTTAAGGAACTCATGACCTGTGGCAGAGATGAGCAAGTGACAGGAAGCCCAAGAGTTGTGGCTCCAGGCAGTGCTGGAGTTGAATTTTGAAGGGACAGTAGGAGTTCGTCATAAATGACTTACTAAGTACTTACTGAGTGCCTGGAACTATATTAAGTGCTTTAGCATGGATAGTTTCATGCAATTCTGCCTGTAAGGTAGCCAGCCACAACTGTCATCTCCATTTTATAGACAAGAAAACAGAAGCTTAAAGAAGTTTTTTAAAAAATGTACATAGCTTAGCTGGGCGTAGTGGCGGGCGTCTCTAATCTCAGCTACTCGGGAGGCTGAGGCAGGAGAATGGTGTGAACCAGGGAGGCGGAGCTTGCAGTGAGCGGAGATCGCGCCACTGCACTCCAGCCTAGACGACAGAGGGAGACACCGTCTCAAAAAAAAGAAAAAAAAAAGAAAAAAAATGTACATAGCTAGGAAGAAGCAGATAGGATTTCACCCCAGGCTGTTTTACGCCCAAATCTAAGCTCTTAATCTGACTTTATGCGGAGGTGGAAGAAAGGAATTTCAGATTTAGGTGAAAGTTACAGGGCATGGGGCGTGGCACATTCATCAACCTGCAGGGGTTCCTAGTGAGTGAAATGTAGAGTCTGGATCAGCCGTTGGTGAAAGAAGAGGCTGGAAGATAGGCAAAGGGCAGATTCATGGGTGTCAGGCTAAGGAGTTTGGATTTTATCCTGTGGGTAAAGATGCCATTGAAGAACTTTAAGATGAGGAGTGACATGATAGAAAGATAACATTTGAGGGATGAATCTGGCAAGAGGTGTGGATAATGATTTGAAAGGGAGAAAGGGAGGCCAGTTTTGTCCAGATGGTGGTTGTAAGGTTGGAGGAAACAAGAATGGCTTTCAAAAATGGAAAGAGGAATTAACATGACTAGGTGATCATGTGGGTATGGGAGGTGGTGGCGGTGGGGGGGGGGGGTCCACATGTTGACAAGGAGCAGGTGGAGTCAAAGAGCTAGGGCTTCTGGCTTGAGTAACTGGCTGGAGGGTGATAACATTCACTGACGTAGGATTGTAAGAGGAGTATACTTTCTTGGTGGGAAGGGTGGTGGGTGGATGGTAGAGGATGATTAGATTTGTTTTCAACTGATTGATATTTAAGTTGAGTTATGTATCACATAGTTGGAAATAAGGATCTGGAACTCAAGATGACGGTCTGGCCTGGAATTACTGATATAGACATCATCAGCATGTAGTGGTAGTTGAAACTGCACTACAGTGGGGGCAGATGGGTTCCTTCTGCAAGACTGGGAAGGAAAGACGCATATAAGAAATAACACATCAACAGTGTCTCTTTCCCACTAGAATGCAAATTTCATAAGGGCATGAATGAATGAAGAAATAATAGTAGCAGAAAATAATGAGTAAGCTGAATCTATGAAGTAGAAAAGTTGTGCAAAGCAGTGGGTGAAGCAATTGGTTGCTATAAGCAGGAATGTGAAAGAGACAAAGAACTGAGTCTGTAATAAACTAGTCTTTAGAGCTACCTTATGTCCTGAACAACCTTGCTTTCTATGGCTGCTGATTGTTAAGCTTTTTCTCAGTTTCATGAGGCTTGTGTATCTGGCCAAGACCCTGTGTTCTTTATTTATGTATATACTTATTTCCCTGCCCCTCTTCTCTTTACCCTGAATTGTTATTTTTCCTTACCCTCAGAAGAGACAGACTGACAGAGGTGCATGGTGGAGATGGAGACTATGGTAGGAGGTAACCAGACTAGAGAGTCATACACACCCTGTCTAAGGATTGGCAAAAGGGTGTCAACCAAAATGTTAAAGAATGTTTTGTGGCTTCTTATTTCAAAACAATTTCAAACTTATAAAAAAGGTGAAATAATATAAAGAACTTTCATTTACCCTTCACCCACAGTCCCTAATTGTTACATGTTTGCTCTATTATTCTCTTTGTGTGCACTACATAATCTTTTTTTCCTGAACTACTTAAGGGCGGGAAAGGGAAGAGTCTGCTTCAGTATCTGATTAGGATTATATGTTGTAATGAGTAATTAGTTATCCAGGTAAGATTTTTAGAAATAAAAAAGTGTTGGCATTGAGGCAAATGTATAGGGTGTGGGTTATCCCAATGGGGTTTTAAATAACGTGGTTTTAGAAGGTGAAGGAATTCAAAGGCAGTTTGATAGGTAAACTAATTCAAATATTAGAATTTCTTTTCATGATTTTTTAAATGTATACTTATGTATAATTCCTGTATATTTGTAAAAATCACAATATTGAAAATACACTATTAAGTTTTGCTTTTACTGTACAGTTAAGTGATTTGGACTAGGAAGCAAAAGAGGTTCTTGTACAAGTACTATAGTAGCCTCTCTTTTGTAGCACTCAGGTTGAATCAGAAAATAACCAAGAAGAACAGAAACAGGTGCGCTTACCAGAAAGCCGCCTGACACCATGGGAGGTGTGGTTTATTGGCAAAGAAAAAGAAGAACGTGACCGGCTGCAACTGAAAGCTCTAGAGGTAAAACTAGACAGTGTTCTTTTTATTTAATCTGTGAGCTCACAAAGTAGAGCTGCAGTTGTAAATTAAAATGTTAATGTTATTATTCCTGAAAACAAAGTCTTTGCATTTATGTTAGTTTACTATATCAAATTTAATAACTAATAAGTTATAATAATAGAAATATGTTCATTGTTAGAGCATTTGGAAAATACAGCTAAGCATAATTAAGAAAATTAAAATCTCTTCTAATTTCACTGTCTGAAGATAATCATTGTTAGTATTATGACATAGCTTTCCAGATTTTCTTCTATGTAAATTATTTTGAAATACGTACAAATGTATGTATAAGTTGTATGTCTACATACACTGGAGCATCAACATATGTACATTTAACTAAAGTAAATTCAACTGTATACACTCGGCAAAATTTTTAACTTTACTGAAACAAAATAGAGGCAAGAATCTACCTGCCCCCCCCCACCACCCCCAACCCCACCCCACCCCACCACCCCCAACCCCACCCCACCCCACCACCCCCAACCCCACCCCACCCCACCGTGTGTCACTCAGTGAGCATGTGCCCTATGTGCTGGGCGGTGGGAAACTGCTTGCTAGTCTTTCAGGGTGTTTCAGTTTCTCTGTGCCTCCCTCACTTATGGACATTTCCATGCGTGAGTCTCTTTTGAACTTTTACTATATGAACTCAAAAAATAAATAGTTGTAGATGCATTTTCACATCTCTTCTTTAATGAGAATATTCACATATTTTTTGAACTCTTACTGTTTCAGAACATGGCAACCAAATAGATTTGGATAATTTGGCATCCCCTAAACCCACTATCTAGACTATCTGAATTCTTCCTATCCAAACACTGAAGCCAGATAGATTTGAATGATGAGGGACACTTCTTCTTTTTAATGAAACAGGATAAAACTCTTTTTCTCTATCATTAAACATTTTTATAACATTTAAAAATGGCTGTCTAATATTATTTAAATATATTTAAAATGTATTACATATTTGTTAAAATATAGTTATCTGTTTCACTCTTGTTGGATGTTTCAGTCTATTAGTAACTGTTGCTAAAAAAAAATCCTGGGAATTGGCCGGGCATGGCGGCTCACACCTGTAATGCCAGCACTTTGGGAGGCCGAGGCAGGTGGATCACCTGAGGTTGGGAGTTTGAGACCAGCCTGACCAACATGGAGAGACCATCTGTACTAAAAATACAAAATTATCTGGGCGTGGTGGTGCATGCCTGTAATCCCAGCTACTCAGGAGGCTGAGGCAGGAGAACCACTTGAACCCAGGAGGCGGAGGTTGTGGTGAGCTGAGATCACACCATTGTACTCCAGCCTGGCCAACAAGAGCAAAACTCTGTCTAAAA
This sequence comes from Homo sapiens, assembly GCF_000001405.40. NCBI lineage: Eukaryota > Metazoa > Chordata > Mammalia > Primates > Hominidae > Homo > Homo sapiens. Next base: position 27,356,032 of record NC_000011.10, on the reverse strand, counting down.
AAAAAAAAAAAAAAAAAAAAAAAATCCTGGGAACAAAAGCTTCATGATCTTCCTTAGAATAACTTTTCTGTTAGTTTTGAAACCAGTTATTATTTGATAAGTTTCTAACCAGGCAAGCAGTCACATGTCCCAGAGGCTTGGCATAATTCAAATGATTATGAAAACTAATACATTCTGCTGTTTTCCTATTGTATGATACTTTGTATTCTAGATTACAAATTTATTCCTGGAAAAGTGCGCTGTGAGAGTGGCACTTATTTCCTCTTGACAGTACACAGGGCTTGAGAAAGACCTTACGGTTGATGTTAGGCAAGAATAATAAAAACCCTGGTTCTTTTTATTTGCTGGGTGTAAGCAAGTTATTGAAACTTTTATGTTTCTATTTTCTCGTCTGCTTAAGAGGAATAAAATAATACCTGTGTCACAGGGGTTTTGTGAGGATTAAATGTAACAAAGTATAAAGATGCCTGGCTTTGTTTTTATTTGTATTGTTATTTATATCATTACTATTCATAGTCTTCTTAAAGCTTTTTCATTTATTTTCAGAATTGGGGTGTATTTTTGAATTCCCAGACTTACTTCTCTTACCTCAATGACTAAGTCCATTATTTAGTTAGTAGCTTTTAAGAATATTTGTTCATAGTGAGCACTCTATTTTTTTATGTTATAAAAACACATACCTACATATATCTCTCTATATATATGTATTTATACATATGTATGTGAAATAGCATCTTAATTTTGTGCAAAACCTGGTATTCTATTCTTTTTTCAAAAGGCTGGTCATAATTCATTAAATTGGTTTTAAACTTACAATTCGGAAAATACTGATCCTGTGAGTTAATGGTAGAACAAAATTCAATTTCTGGTATTGGGCTTTATCTACAGTCTCACAAGAAGTTACTTGTTATATTAAGAAAAGGAGGGTCACTTCCAGTCATTTTTAGTCAGTGTACAGAGAGAAGTTAATTGAATTTCAGAAAGTTAGTAAAGCCCGGGCTTGGTAGTCACACAGAACAAGGCTGAAATTTTAGCCTTGCCATTCTAATTCTGTGACATTAGAAAAGTTAATTAACTTCTCTGAGCCTCAGTTTCTTCATCTATAAGCCAGATGTTAGAGAGACAATAGTGGAGTAGTTAAAAGTGTAAATTCTGGGTTTTGTTTTCGTTTTTTGAGACAGGGTCTCACTCTGTCACCCTTGCTGGAGTGTAGTGGCGTGATCACAGCTCACTGCAGCTTTGACCTCCCCTCCTCTTCCACTTCAGCTTCCTGAGTAGCTGGGACTGTAGGCACACGCTACCACGCCTGGCTAATTTTTGTTTTTATTGTTGTTTGTTGGGGTGGGGGTGGGGGGGTTGCCATGTTGCCCAGGCTGGCCTCCAACTCCTGGGCTCAAGTGACACCTCCCAAAGTGCTGGGGTTACAGGTGTGAGCCACGGTGCCTGGTTTAAAACCATAAATTCTTGAGCCATACTTCCTGCATTCAAAATTTGGACTTTGGGCAAATCCTTAACCTTTCTGTGTCTCAATTTCCTTATCAGTGAAAGGGGGAGGATAATATTTGCTTCATAGTGTTGTTATGAGGACTAAATGAACATCAGGATATGGACTAATATGTACAAAGCACTCAAAGTTATTATATGTGAAAGGAGATCATAATAACTGCTATGAAGATTTGTTTTGAGAACAGATTAAAATAATAAATATAAACCCTATCACAATGATAAGCATGTAGCAGGGTATAATTATTTGTAATTTGGTTCAAAGATTAAAACCTTTTTATATATTTAGTAGTTTGACATTTCTTATGGCTACTTTATTACTCAACTCTGAAGTGATTCAGTTTTAGCATGACTCTTACATATCAGTTATGCCAGGGATATCCTAACATATAGGCCAACTACTCAGCTTGTTGTAAGCTCATGTTGAGCTCTTGTGGTATTCACATTCTTTCACTGCCTTTTCCTTTATTTTGTTTTTATCTCATGTTTTCCTTATTTTTCTGTATTTACTGTATCCCTAATTTGTTTATAAACCATATCAAATTTTTAACCATAAAGAATAGTCATCTCAGATCCCTATTAAAACTAAAAAGCATGAAAGGCAGAAAAGTAATTTTGCCAAGGCTTCGTCCATGGCAGAACTGGGACTGGCACCTAATTCTTTGACTTCCATTTAAATGCTTTTCCCACAATATCAAGATGTATTTTAGAAATAAGTGAGTCAGACTTAGTATTTATTTTTTAATGAACTCTGGCTTTCGTATTTTCTTCCTTTAAGATTTAAGAGAACATTTGTAGGATAATTTAATCATTAAAAAGATCATCCACACTCATAAATTTGATTTGAGCATCAGACATTTGGTTTGTTTCAGACATCTCTGTGGGACTAAGTTAAAAAATTATTTTAATTCATAAAAATTACCCACTTACAAAATGGTATACATTTGTAACTTTTGTTGAGATGATAAATATGGTAAATATTGAATCAATTATCAAGCATTATGAAAAACTAGTATATTGGTTTTATAGGTCATTTAATTTTTATTTACTTTTTAATTATTATAAATAATTATTTAGCCAACTGCTCCAGGTTCTCTATGGTCATTGGCTGATTCTAATTCTTAATATTTGCTTTAATATTATAATCAGTTGTAAATTATAAAAATTACCTAGTTTGTGAGTAGTCCTGGTGCCTTCTTTTTTCTTTTTTTTTTTAACCATCTTGCCTTTGGCCATTTTATTCATTAGCCCTTAATGAGCCCTTAACGAACGAATAGGGCAGGATATAGAGCTGTTGGTGAAACTCAAAACTGTCAGTTTTTCTGATTATTATTACCTTCAGTGGTAAAAAATTATTTGAAAGTAGGCAAAACCTATTAAAATAAAAATGCATGTTTAAGATCTTCTTTGGATTTTGGTTTTCCATAATCAAGTGTTGTATTCCACGGGAAAATATTAATAGCTATCTGTAATCCTGTTGAAATTCAGTGGTATACCAGAAGACCATGTAGGGGCCTTTCGAAGGAAGACTCCAGCTGTGTCCTGAAGGAGACTGGCCTTTGTGGTAAACATGGAGTCATTCAGGGTGGGAAATTCTAAGAAGGGCCAGACTTGGAAGGGAGGGTTGTGTCTCAAAATGTGATGTATATTCTGGTTTGACAAATTACTTGAACAGACATCCAAGATTAGAACACTGTTTGGGTTATTGGTAGCATTTTCTAGATACATTTTGACCCTTTTTCTTTAACCCTTCAATCAACATTAACTAAAATTTGTTAGCCATCAAATAGGAGTACAGGGTTTCTTTTTTTCTGATTTTTTAGTTTAGGTAAATGAAGAATCTTAAAAGGTACATAAATATATAGTCAATCATGTCTTTAGTTATACATTTAAATAATTACTTTTCTTGAAAATAAAATTTGGGACTATTTTGGAAAATTTTTGATATGTAGTTGTCAGGTCTATATCTAGCCAATTAATTAATGTCTTTCATATTTATATATTTGTATATATACACACATGCACATATAAACATACATATATACACATGTATTTGTATGTGTACATGTATATATATGTATAATTTTTCCCCCTTTTGTTTCCTAAGTCCAAACCCTCTTTTCCTTTTCCTTTTCCTTTTTTTTTTTGAGATGGAGTCTCACTTTGTCACCCAGGCTGGAGTACAGTGGTATGATTTCAGCTCACTGAAACCTCTGCCTCCCAGGTTCAGGCGAGTCTCCGGCCTCAGCCTCCCCAGTAGCTGGAATTACAGGCGCCTGCCACCACACCTGGCTAATTTTTGTATTTTTAGTAAAGACAGGGTTTTACGATTTTGCCCAGGCTGGTCTCGAACCCTTGACCTCAAGTGATCCATCCGCTTCAGCTTCCCAAAGTGCTGGGATTACAGGCATGAGCCACTGCGCCTGGCCCAGAGGCCCAGGCCTTCTTTTTCTTATAACTCATATACTATGGCACACTCTTCGTCAGTCTTCCTCAGAATAGTTCTCATCCCTTCAAATGCAGTCTTCAGCCTTTGTCATTAAGAGCTCTGAATTTTCCCTTTTGCCGGGTATTCTTGTTTCATATAGTTCACTTTACTTTGCCTGTCTCAAAAGACCTTCTCCATCTACCTAGTACCACGCTCAAATTTTCTACCCCCTCCCACCTCCCAATCTCTCTCCTTTCGAAGCCATCTTTTCACTGTTCCTTGTATGGTGCTCATTTCTGACTAGCCTGGTAGACTAGGCTAGGGGGAAGGAAAGATGTTTCTCCTCATCTTCCCTTCCCTTCTCTGAACTTTTATGATATGCAATAACTCGCAATGTAGCACTTATTTCTTTAGTGTATAGAAAATCAGATCAGAGACTTCTGGGATTTCATCTTTATATCAGATTTATATCAGTTATTGCTAGGTCCATAGTAGGTGTACCATAAAAGTATACTGAGTAAGTCATCAAAGAACAATAGCTGCTGAAGTGATGAAAAATCCTTAAAGATGGATATTTGCTTTTGGGGGTATAGTGTTTAAAAGTTGGAAGACTTCCTGAGTGAGGGCGGCTATCTTCTATGCAGCAGAATTTTAGGATGAGTGATTATGGAAGACAGATTTCCTGTGACCAGTTGTTTAAAATGCAAAAGAGATGTTCTTGGTGTCAAGTTTTATCTTCATTTAAGACACTGGAATTAGTCTGAGGGTTGGAAAATTGTCTTTCCCACTACCACCCATGCCCAAGTAGGTAGGTCTTTGGGAAAGAAAGGGCTATGGAGGAGTGTGGAGACCAACAGAAGATACGTAAGGTATCTGACTATTAGTATCTAAAGACGGAGAAGAAAAATAACCAGTAATTATGGTTGTGGAGTCCTAGTGAAGTCTAGTTTGAACAGCATTCTAAACCAATGCAGTAATTTAACTGATGAGTGACAGAGTGGTGGCATTCAACTTGTAGTTTTATTTGGCCATACCTTTCACATTCTTTTTCCTGAGGAAATGCCCAAACGTGTAGATTCGAGTGACAGCAAGGCAGTTAAATAATCTGGGATATGAATGTGATTTTGTTTTACACTTCAGCAGCTATAAAACCAGTGAAGAAAACTCTGGGTTCTTTTTTCCCTAAGGAAAATTGAATGGTTTCTTTGTATTTCTTTTGTGTAACTGAATTAAATTTTTAATATAGGGATTATTTAATTTCTATGCTTTATCTTCATCAGGAATCCAGAAGCTTCTTATAACTGTTTAAAAAAAAAAGTTGCAATTCTCTTGAGCTTCTGCCAGTAGCTTAGAGTGATGCCAAAATTTATGTGTGGGAAAGTTGATTTCAATGAGGGTAATTTAGCTGAAGTTTAGTCTAGGAAACTAGTGTTTTGCTGCCAAGCAATTATTTGCACATTTCTAAAAAATGACTTATACTTTTACCAATGCTTTTTTTCATCATAGACTGGTTACTTAAGTAAGTTATTGCCACTAGTGGCATATGCTCCATAAAGGAAACTATATTCTTGTTTAATTTGGTTAATAACCTCAGACTTTTAAAATGTATGTTATTTGGGTACTTCTATTAAATGTTGCCTTTTGTCTAAATAAAATCCACAGGAATTAAATCAACAACTAGAAAAAAGAAAAGAAATGGAAGAACGTGAAAAAAGAAAGATAATTGCTGAAGAAAAGCACAAGGAATGGGTTCAGAAAAAGAATGAGCAAGTAAGGAGGGGAAAATGGATACACACATTGACATCTCTTTTGCAAAATATTTCTTCCTATTATACTTCATTACCTAGGTTTTAAAAAATACTTCTCTTAGAGTCTTTCTTCTTTGGCTTGTTTTGTTTTTCTATCCTGGTGGACATTTATCAAGTCTCTATCTTCTGCCCTTTGCCCTCTACTTTTCTCCTTTTTCCCTCCTGTGGCTTGCACTAATATTTGCCTGCAGGCAGTCACCAAGTCTGTATTTCTAGGCCTGACCTTTTGGATCCTTATGGCAAGTGCCTCCAAGTCTGCAAATCTAAAACAACCCATTTTGCCCATTTCTCCTTCGTAAATCCATCCTCCCATTTCTCTGTTTCATTCAGCTGTCTTCTCGGTCATCAAGGCTTAATTAGAATTCTTCTGTTGTTCCTAATCATCTCCTCCTTTTCTTTACAATTACTACTCCCCTGTTTGTGATCTCTTTCCATTATATCTTTCAACTTGTTGTTTACTTCTTATACTGGATTGTAAGCTACATAAGGGCAGGGATTTTTGCCTCTTTTGTTCAGTTTTCCAGGAGCTAGATGAATACCTGCGCATGATATATGTCCAAAAATAGTTTAATTGAGTGAAGATGTTCATTGAATGGCTGCATTTTTTCCTTTTAATTTTAATATATTCTTCTATGGATCACACACATTCGAAATTTTAAAAATACTTATTCTGTGGTCAATTTGTCTTCTGTTGTGATTTTTACATATTTAGAGTGGTACTGCTTTTATTATTATAATCCAGTTTTACAAATGTGGAAAAATGTTTAAATTGTAGGACAATATTTTAAATTTTAATTCTAACTTTTTATCTTTATTGTTGAATCTAATGCCTAATGGTATTAATAAGAGTACTAAGTAAATAATTTCAGTAAATTGAAGATGATATAACCTTCTTCATCCAAGTATTATAAGAAGGAAATTGGTTAGATGTATGTGTGTTATAACCATATTTGTTTAGAAGTCAATTACTTTGTTTTTTTAAAAAAGTTTACTTCATCCCATGATATAACATGAAAGAGATCTTTGTGAATAAATTCAAAAATCAAAATAAATCTCTGTGACTGTTATAAAACTTTGGGTAATATCTTTTTGAAATTTGTAACTATAAAACAAAATTATTTTACACATGCAGAATAGTTTGCTCTTTCCTCTAAAAGTCCTTCTTATCTTCTAACTCCATTAAGCTAATTTTACCATGCCAATCAAACCTAGTTGTTGTTTGTCTAGGAATGTAAGATACTTCTGGGAGACAATATATTCACTGTTTTAATTAGTGGCAGTAGACCTAATCCAATTATTTGAAGAAAAAAAAAATTATTTCTTTTGGAGGGAAGTGGCTTGCCCTGACATAAATCACTAGTTATTGAAGGCAAAATTCCGTAATGTTGAGAATTATTTAAAAATAAAACTGAGACGTTATATTTACCTGTTCTGCAGAACTCTTGTTCATGTTAAGGAATAATTGATTATTCTTTTTTTTTTTTTTTTTTCTTTAAGACCTATCAGATTTCTTCTTTCAGACATAGTTACATTTACCTCTATTTGTAAAGACTGCTCTCCTGGTTCTTCTCTTCCTGTCTGGCATCTAGCTTTTTTCTCCTCTGTTTACATTTCATGGTGTGTGGTCCTCAGCTGCCTCCAGCTTCATTCACATTTTAGCTGTATCTGTGGCTGCTATTTTCTCTAAGTCATATTCACTGTGTTTTATCAAAAAATCAGACACAAAGAATTTATGCATTCATTAGCAAAGCTAGTTTCTTATAATATGACTGTAAATTCTTAAGTGCTTTTAAAATAAATGTTCTATCTCATCTGGTACTCCTAACATTTGTGTTGCCGTGGTAATTTATTTTCTGGATGTGTTTATTACAGTGTTATCACATATTTTGTAAAAGGTCCTTTACTTTTAATGTTTTTAAAAATTATTTAAAAATAAAATCGTTTTTCGTTCTCAAAACACAACTGATTTTCTAATGTAAGACATTAATTCAGATCAACAAGGTATATGATGGATAACACTGTTATCATTGCATTATTCATGCTTTCAACAAATATTTACTCAGCTTTTACTGTGTGCGAGGCACTATTGGAGAAAGCAAAACAGAAATCCAGAAACTTTAAGTAGCCAATTGTTATGTTAGTTTCCTTTAGTTGTATGAAACAAAGGTTCTCTCGGTGCAGCGTCTTTAAAAAAGGAAGATTTATTGTTGTGCTCTGTGTGGTGTAGAACTAGCGTGCCAGAAAATCTGAAGCCACTTAGTGGCTGGTTCCTCTCTCGGTAGTAGTGACTGCTCTGAGTGCCTGTTGTGTCTTCCTTTTGCTAACTAAAGGCATTCTGTTCACACTTCTTTAGTTTAAATCCTACAGAAGTCTGTCTGATTTTTTTTCAGAATTAATTCTATTGAGCTGTAGTTTGCATACAATAAAATACAACTATTTTAAGTTTGATGACTTTGGCAAATTTAGGTACCCATGTAACCATCACCATTAAAGATACAGAACATTTCCATCACCCCAGAGAGTTTCCTTTTGCCCCTTTGCATTCACCCCCACTCCCTGCCCCCAGCCAGCCTCAGCTCCAAGGAAACCATTAATCTGCTTTCTGTACTTGTAGATTAGAGTTGCCTTTTCTATAATTTCATATAAATGGAATGATAGAATATATAGTCTTTTGTGTTGGTCTTTTGTTTTAAAACTTATCCTGATATTTCATGTATTATTCCTTTTTATTGCTGACTATAGTATTCTATGAAATACATTTCATAGAATATGTTTATCTGTTTCATTCAATTTCATAGAAATTGTTTATCTGTTCACTAGTTGATGGACAATTGAGTTGTTTTCAGTTTGGGATATTATGAATAAAATTCTGTGACCACTCATGTACAAGTCTTTTTGTGGACACTTGTTTTCATTTCTCTTGTGTGAATGCCTAGGAACTAAATTACTGGGCTATATGGTAAGTATGTGTTTAACTTTATAAGAAATTGCCAAACATTTGTCTAAAGTACATGTACCATTTTACATCTCCACTACTATTATAATAAGAAAGTTCCAGTTGCTCCACATCTTTGGCAGATTTGGTATGGCCAATCTTTTTCATTTTAAGTCCTTCTAGTGAGTGTGGAGTGGTATGCCATTGTTTTAATTTTCATTTCCCTGAGATCTGATGATGTTTAGCGTATTTTCATAAGCTTATTATATTAGTCTTCTAGAGCTTCCATAACAAAATACCACAAATTGGGTGGTTTAAACAACAGAAATATATCTTTACTCACAGTTCTGGAGACTGGAAATCAAGATAAAGGCATCTGTAGGTTTGGTTTCTCCTGTGGCCTCTCTCCACGGCTGTCTTTTTATGTCCCCACAGGGCTTTTCTCTGTTCACATATATCCCTGGTGTCTCTTCCTCTTCTTGTAAGGACACCAGTCCTATTGAATTAGGGTCCTACCCTTATGACCTCATTTAAACTTGATTACCTCTTTAAAGATGCAATCTCCAAATACAGTCACATTGAGGATTAGGGATTCAACATAGGAATTTGGGAGAGGGGCAGGAATACAATTCAGTCCATAACATATATTGACCATTTCTACATCTCTTTTGTTGTTGGCTTGTTTTGTGTTGTTGGCTTGTTTTGTGTTGTGTTAAGTCATTTGCCCATTTTTGAAGGGGTTGTATGGCTTATTATTAAGATATGAGAATTTGTATATTCAGACTATAAGTCTCTTCTCAGATATATGTATTGCAAATATTTCTTCCCATTTAACTTTTCCTTTTTTCCTTCCTTCCTTCCTTCCTTCCTTCCTTCCTTCCTTCTTTCCTCTGTCTTCCCTCCCTTCCTTCCTCCCCTCCCCTCCCTCCCCTCCTGTTTCCCTCTCTTCTGTCTCTTTTTTTTTGAGTCAGAGTCTCACTCTGTTGACCAGGCTGGAGTGCAGTGGCATGATCTTGGCTCACCGCACCTCTGCCTCCCGGGCTCAAGCAATTCTCGTGCCTCAGCCTCCTGAGGAGCTGGGATTATAGGAGTATACCACCACACCTGGCTAATTTTTGTATTTTTAGTAGAGATGGGGTTTCACCATGTTGGCCAGGCTGGTCATGAAATCCCCATTTAATTTTTCTTAATGGTATTTTTTTTTTCACTAACAAGAAGAAGCACTGATTAATGGTATTTTTTAAAGAGAAGTTTTAAATTTTGATGAATTTCCATATTTCAGTTTTTTTAATTGTTGGTAGTTTTTGTATTCTATTTAAGAAATGGCCATCAGAGAAATGCAAATCAAAACCACAATGAGATACCATCTCACACCAGTTAGAATGGCAATCATTAAAAAGTCAGGAAACAACAGGTGCTGGAGAGGATGTGGAGAAATAGGAACACTTTTACACTGTTGGTGGGACTGTAAACTAGTTCAACCATTGTGGAAGTCAGTGTGGCAATTCCTCAGGGATCTAGAACCAGAAATACCATTTGACCCAGCCATCCCATTACTGGGTATATACCCAAAGGATTATAAATCATGCTGCTATAAAGACACATGCATGTGTATGTTTATTGCGGCACTATTCACAATAGCAAAGACTTGGAACCAACCCAAATGTCCAACAATGATAGACTGGATTAAGAAAATGTGGCACATATACACCATGGAATACTATGCAGCCATAAAAAATGATGAGTTCATGTCCTTTGTAGGGACATGGATGAAGCTGGAAACCATCATTCTCAGCAAACTGTCGCAAGGACAAAAAACCAAACATCGCATGTTCTCACTCATAGGTGGGAACTGAACAATGAGAACACATGGACACAGGAAGGGGAACATCACACACCGGGGCCTGTTGTGGGGTGGGTGGAGTGGTGAGGGATAGCATTAGGATATATACCTAATGCTAAATGAAGAGTTAATGGGTGCAGCACACCAACATGGCACATGTATACATATGTAACAAACCTGCACGTTGTGCACATGTACCCTAAAACTTAAAATATAATAATAATAAAATTAAAAAAAAATGTTTGCCCACCACAAGAGGGTAAAAATACTCTCCACTGTTTTCTTCCAGAAGCTTTATAGCTTTAGCTTTACCTGTATGTCTATTTGAGTTTAATTTTAATGTATAGTATGCATTAACGGTCAAGATTCATTTGTTTGCATGTGGATATCCAATTGTCCTAACAATATTGACAAGATAATCTTTTCCCTATTAAACTACCTTTGGCACCTTTGTTTAAAATCAATTGACCACATATTTATAGGTCTGTTTCTGGATTCTAGTCTATTCTATTGATTTATATCCTGTGCAGTACCACACTAACTTGTTAGTATAGTTTTATAGTTCTGAATTTTATTATTCTTGAAATCAGATAGTGTAAATCCTCCAGGTCTTCAATTCTTTTTCAAACTTGTTTTAGTTGCCCTGCATCTTTCCATATACAGTTTAGAATCATCTTATCAATTTCCCTAATAATGCCTGTCCTAATAGTGCTTGGCACTATTGGGATTCTGCTAAATATAAACACATAGATCATTTTGGAGAAAATTCCTATCTTAATAATATCAAATTTTAAATCTATAAACATGGTTTTTCTTTCCAGTTATTTATGTCTTCTTTAATTTCTCTTAGCAGTGTTTTTTAGTTTTCAATGTATAGCAGTATTTTGTTAAATATATTTCTCAGTATTTCATGTTTTTGCTGATGAGGGCAGTTATCTTGCCTTGTTCCTGATATATAATATATATTTTATATATTTACACGTATGTACAACACAGGTTTATAGCATATATGTAATGTACACATGTTTATAACATGTAACAATGCGTATAACACAAGTAACATGTTATAGCATATATGTAACACACATGTTTATAATATATAGCATACATGTTTGTAACATGCAGCATGCATGTGTTTATAACATGCAGCATGCATGTGTTTATAACATATACATATGTTTATAACATATATATGTTTTTTTCCCAGCCACACTCATATGGAACGTTTCTGATATCACCTTGTAATTTCCATGCCTGGTTTTGATGTCAGAATAATGCTGGACTCTTAAAATGAGCTTTGATATGTTTACTTTTTCTCTGTGTTCTAAAATCATTTTTTTAAGGTTTGATACTATTAAGATATGCCACAATAATATTTTATGTTATTAAAATATGGAGTATCTTTAACTGTAATGGAATCAACTAGTGAAGCTTTCAGTGACTGGAGTTTTTGTAGGAAAGTTTTTAATTTTGAATTGTTTTTATAAGTAGAGGATTATTCAGACACTACTTTTTCTCGAATTCATTTTGGGAAGTGGCATATTTTAAGGAATTTTGACATTTCATTTAAAATATTGAATTTATTGGCATAAAATTGGTTTTAACATTCTCCCATTTTGATTTCTGTATGATGTCTGTGTGATCTGTCACTCACCGTCTCTATGACCTTAGGCAAATTAGCCTCCATGTGCCTTAGTTTCCTCCTTTGTAAAATGGGATAATAATGGTATCTACCTCACATCATGATTATAAGAATTGAGAGTGTGTACAAATAAAGTATGTAGAATGGTAACAGGCATAGTTAGCACTCAATAAATGTCAGCTGCTATAATTAAAAACAATGTAAGAACTGGTTGATTTCTTATAGGTAAAGTTGTGGAGGACAGTCATGAGTCACATGGAGATTAAGCAAGATGTACTCCAAGGTCCTTTTCAATTTGTAGATCTTCTGACAGTTTGAAGTAGTTAAAATCCAGTATTGTTCCAATGGCTATTGAGTTCTCAGCATGAAAAGATTCTGTTTCACAGCTATTGGCTGCCCAGCAAGAAGGAAATACAGCAACTTTGATACAACTTGGGGAATTACTTGAGCTTTGATTTTTTTTTTTTTTTTTGAGACGGAGTCTTGCTCTGTCTCCCAGGCTGGAGTTCAATGGCACGATCTCGGCTAACTGCAACCTCCGCCTCCTGGGTTCAAGCAATTCTCCTGCCTCAGCCTCCCAAGTAGTTGGGATTACAGGCGTATGCCACCACGCCCAACTAATTTTTTGTATTTTTAGTAGAGACGGGGTTTCACCACGTTGGCCAGCCTGGTCTCGAACTCCTGACCTCAGGTGATCCACCTGCCTTGGCCCCGCAAAGTGCTGGGATTACAGGCATGAACGACCATGCCCATCCTGAGCTTTGATTTTTAAGACCTGTCTTTCCTGCACAGCCCTGGACATATCTTGTCTATAACTGATGTTTGTTGGTTGAGTCTTCATTGAATTGCTTATATTAATGTATTCTATAAGCTGCTTTCAAGGGAAGAATTTCTTTTCTTGGCTCATAATTATTTGCCTGGGTGATATGTATGGCATTTGTATTGCATATACTTTTTATGCCTTCCAGATTTGTTTCCAAACCTTTGATAAAGAAGACTGGCTATGTCATTGGTTATTTAGAATTTAGCTGTGTTGGTAGATTATCATTTAAATAAGGAGGAAAAAATATTGAGTTATAGTCTGTGTCAAGGATCAATATTTTTTTTTCTATAAAGGGCCAGTTAATGAATATTTTAAACTTTTGGGGTCATGCAGTCTCCGTTGCAGCCATTCAGCTTTGCTGTCGTAGTGCAAAAGCAACTATAAACAATAAATATGTAAACAAATGAGTGTGGCCACATTCCTATAAAACTTCATTTACAAATACAGGTGATGGTAGATCAGATGTGATTGTCAGTGCTTAGTTTGCCACCCTTTGTTCTATGGAAGAATTATATAGCCAGAGATTTGCCTGGATGTGCCCTTACATACAGTGTTTAATGAGCATTATTCACTTCTCCTCTCTTAATTCACTGATGGCAAAGATTTATGCAAATATTAATATTGACAAACTGTCCTGGAAATATGTGTGTGTGTATATATAAAAATATATATACATATATATTTACATATACATATATATACATATATTTATATATAAATGTGTGTGTGTGTGTATATATATATATATATATATATATAGCCCCTGTTTTAGAATGAGAGTAAGCATCCATTAAAAAATACTAAGATTCAGACAATCTAACAGATTGTAATTTTTACTCACTATCATTTATTCAACAAATTTTGATTGAACACTGTATTAGTCTGTTTTCATGCTGCTAATAAAGACATACCTGAGACTGGGAAATTTACAAAAGAAAGAAGTTTAATTGGACTTACACTTCCATGTGGCTGGGGAAGCCTAATAATCATGGCAGAAGGCAAGGAGGAGCAAGTCACGTCTTACATGGATGGCAGCAGGCAAAGAGAGAGAGCTTGTGCAGGGGAACTCCTTTTTTAAAAAACCATCAGATCTTGCAAGACTTATTCACCATCATGAGAACAGCATGGGAAAGAATTGCCCCTATGATCCAGTTACCTCCCACCAGGTCCCTCAAAGATGATATTTGGGTGGAGACACAGCCAAACCATATCAAACACCTGCTTTTCACTCAGTACTGCCCCAGGCTCTGAGTGGACATTGGTGAGCAAGATCTTTGTCACTGACCTCATGAAACTTATAGCCCAGCAGGTAGACTGACATTGTACTGTTAATTGCAGGTATGTTATATATTTTCATAAACCATGTTGTGCCAACTGCCATGATATCATGTCTATTTTTAAAAATAATTGAAGTTTAGAAAATTGCTGAATGCAGCAGTCTTTCCTTAGATGAGTATAATTACTGGTATTACAATTAAACTTTATCTATTTTTATTTAAGAAAAGAAAAGAAAGAGAACAAAAAATTAATAAAGAAATGGAGGAAAAAGCAGCAAAGGAACTGGAGAAAGAATACTTGCAAGAAAAAGCAAAAGAAAAATATCAAGAATGGTTAAAGAAAAAAAATGCTGAAGAATGTGAGAGGAAGAAGAAAGAAAAGGTATTTTTATTAAAGTGACCAGTTAGAATACATAACTTTGGTGTTCATATGTGTCAACTATATCTTAGAAAAAGTATCTAATAGAAAATTGGCACTATCTTAGCATAAAATAAACACAAGAAGCTATCCTGTTACGCTGTGTTTAAACTTCAAAAATGAATATGCATTTGTAGTTTTCTTAAGTTGAGAAATAGTAAGCCTGTTGATATTTTTTCAGTCAGGTTTAAAACTGGTTGCTGTTACTCCTTTTAAATATTTTTCAGTGCATTTTATGGGAAGTCTTACTGCCATTTTATAAATTACTATTCTTTGAAAACAGCAAATACTTTTTTCTTTGTGGGTTTGATGTCTTATTGTTTTTCAGAGCCAGACACCTTAATGTATGTCCATGATCATGTTCAATATTCTACTCATATTATAAAAATATGATTCAGTATTATGGCCAGTAAGCCATTGGGGTAGGAAGCTACTGGAGAAAAAAAAATCAGTAGAATTTGAATGGAATGTATAGTTACAGAATATCCCTGGAAATATTTTGGTCTTGTCATTTTAAGGAAAAAGAAAAACAACAGCAAGCTGAAATACAGGAGAAAAAGGAAATAGCAGAAAAAAAGTTTCAAGAATGGTTGGAAAATGCGAAACATAAACCTCGTCCAGCTGCAAAGAGCTATGGTTATGCCAATGGAAAACTTACAGGTTGGTTTTTATGTTGTGTGGCTTACATAAATATGGTTTGCAGAAGCAAATATTATACTCCTTTTGACAGAAATAGAAATGTGTAAAAATTATTTTTCTTTCAAATTACTATTTTCCAGAAGATTATATTATAAACATGTCATGTTCCTATGGAGATGCTACAAATGTACTGTCATTCTCCACATTTGTATTTCTTAAAAGCAGTAGTTACAAAACTGCAAACTTATTCTTTAAAGTAGTGATTTGTAACATTAAGAAATGAATAATGTTCTCTTACATTTTTTCAGTGATAAAGCCTTAATCAGGATATATTTTAAGGGGTCGTTTTGCCTCCTCTCCTTCTAACCCTCTCTAAGGCAGAGCTTCCCATGTCCTTGGCACATTCTTTGTGTGAGGTAGAATACTAGACAGCACATGAACCAGACACAAAACCGATTGGCCTTTAGTCTTGGTCTGATTATAAAGGGTAGTGCATGTTTTTCTTTGTGCTTCATGTTGGAAGCTCATACCTTGCTGACAGCTGCCTTCACTTGTTTAAGTGATTTATTATTAAAATACTCCCATTCTGTTTTGTTCACACAATAGAACATATTCCAGACTTTGTTTTGACCATCTTGGTGAAGTGAGTGTTGGCATATCTATGCCAAGTGGGTTGCCAGTGTCTGAAAGACACATTCCTGCTGTCAGGATTAGGCCTCTCTCATATGTCACGAAGGTCATCTGTTTTAGCTACTGAGCATGTCCCGCTCCTTCTTTTTGTTTCTTGCTTGAAAAAAAGAGTAATAAGCAGTGGCTTTAACCCAGTAATTGGGTAGTAAAGTTAAAAGTTTAGGTGGGAATACTAAACATATTGACTAGAAGTTAACTGCTAAAATAATGGATTGTTTTATTAATTTTTTGCATTTTTAATGAGTTTAATTCTAACAAACAGCATATTTGTCTGCAAATGCTGTACTTAAGTTTCTTTATTCTTTATGCTCATATCATTTTTATAAATTATGAAATAAAGGAATTTTTGTGTCAGTAGTGACTGAAGGATTTGGAGATGATATGTAAAATGTTCTTCCTTCAAATGTGTTTATTAGATGGCAGACATCACAATACTTTAAACACTTCATATACATTAGCAAAAGAATGCTCCGTAACTCATAATCACAATTACAGTGATATTGTGAAATCTTATTGACACTGATTCAGAATTTCTGTGATTCTAAACAAGAACCTTGATTTACTATAACTTCATATGAAAAATAAATGTTTTTCTGTAAACTTCAGTATCTGACAAGAGGAAGCTAGTACACAATCAGTAGTTTCCCAGACTGAGTTAAGAAAATGAAAGTTTTGTTGAATTTAAGGATCATAAAATTAATTTCTTAGTAAAAATTTTATAGGAGTTTGATTTACATAGGTTTTAACACTAATGTTATTTGGATTCTTAGAATTATCATTTATGCTTTAATTTTAACTAAATATTTACTGTATTTGGAAAGTGTTACTTATTTGAAAATATCAAGGAGTTTAAGTTTCAAATAAGTCACATTGGCTTATTAGTGATAATTTGTCCATTTGACATTTTAACATTTTTCTAGAAGTTTTAAGTGGCTTCTTTGATGTCAAGAAAGTTTTTCCTTGTTTTGATCTGATTTTTCAATAATTTTAGGTTTTTACAGTGGAAATTCCTATCCAGAACCAGCCTTTTATAATCCAATTCCGTGGAAACCAATTCATATGCCACCTCCCAAAGAAGCTAAGGATCTATCAGGAAGGAAGAGTAAAAGACCTGTGATAAGTCAGCCACACAAGTCATCATCTCTGGTAATTCATAAAGCCAGGAGCAATCTTTGCCTTGGAACTCTGTGCAGAATACAAAGATAGCGTATGTGGAAAATAACATGCTTTTATCTGGAGCTATTTAATTTAAAAATCAGAAATTGTTTTTTACTGCTCAGTCAATAACTCAACACTTAATGTGATTATTGACAAATAGCAATTTTTGCATTTGTATATGGAGTCCTTAGAGTTGAGGAAGATATTTTCTGGATTTTGGTTTTTATAAACTTTTTAAGGTTGATCTTGGCATGTTGTTTTGCAGAATAAGTGGCTGAATATGTAAGAATTGTGTTTGTATTTAGCTTGTATTAAAAGTACACTGTAATACCAATAAAACTAACAATTTTTCTTGTATTGTTTTATATTGTTACTAGTTTACATTTATGAACATAAGATTAATTTGTTCAAAACAAGCACCTCTAAACTGCATGCTTGAGTAACCCTTAGAAGAATTTAAAGCAAAAAAAAGGAAATAGAAAAAAAGTTTAAGGGATGGTGGGTTAGAATTTAAGTGGGTTAGCACCCTAGAGTAATCAAAAACAGTCTTTGCTGATGGGTTTTGGCATATTTTTCCCTGTGTA
This sequence comes from Homo sapiens, assembly GCF_000001405.40. NCBI lineage: Eukaryota > Metazoa > Chordata > Mammalia > Primates > Hominidae > Homo > Homo sapiens. The sequence goes on along the minus strand of NC_000011.10, from coordinate 27,338,284 downwards.
AATATTTTAATTTTATTTATATTACATTAATTTATTTATTTTGAGACAGGGTCTCCCTCTGGCTCTGTTGCCCAGGCTGGAGTGTAATGGCATGATCATAGCTTACTGTAACCTTGAACTCGTGGGCTCAAATGATCCTCTTACCTCAGCCTCCTGAGTAGCTGGAATCACAGGAGCATGCCACCAGGTACAGCTAATTTTTTTTTTTTCTTTTGGCACAGATGGGGTCTTCCTATGTTGCCCAGCCTCGGATATTTTTAAATTAATAACTGAAGGCATGTTTGGTTACAAATAAATCAGGGTTGGGGTTTCCAAAGGAAATTTTTTTATTTTTTTATTTGTTATTTATTTTTATTTTTGAGATGGAGTCTCGCTCTGTTGCACAGGCTGGAGTGTAGTGGTGCAATCTTGGCTCACTGCAATCTCTGCCTCTCAGGTTCAAGCGATTCTCCTGCCCCAGCCTCCTGAGTAGCTGGGACTACAGGGGCACGCCACCACGCCCAGCCAATTTTTGTATTTTTAATAGAGACGGGGTTTCACCACGTTGGCCAGGATGGTCTCGATCTCTTGACCTTGTGATCTGTCCACCTCGGTCTCCCAAAGTGCTGGGATTACAGGCGTGAGCCACCGCGCTGGCCTCCGAAGGAAAATTTTAAAACATTGTTTTATACGCTGGCTGGGTGTGGTGGTTCATGCCTGTACTCTCAACTCTGAGGGAGGCAGAGGCGGGAGCATAGCTTGAGCCCAGGAATTCAAGACCTGCCTGAGCCATATAGTGAGACCCCATTCTCCACAAAAATGAAAAAACAAAAGACAAAGCCATTGTTTTGTACTCTGATCTTAGATTAACGTGTAGTAATCTTGAGACACGGATAATATTTTGCCACACTGTAAAAATACATAAACATTAATTATAATTAGGTTGCTAGTTTCAAAATTAGGATTACTGCATTATTTTTTAATATTAAAAATGTTGAATGTTAAGCGATATTTTACTGAGGTAGAAATCACAGATCTTATTAATAAATATATTTTAAGAATAGTGGTTCAACCGGGAGGCGGAGGTTGCAGTGAGCCGAGATCACGCCACTGCACTCCAGCCTGGGCGACAGAGCGAACTCCATCTCAAAAAATAAAATAAAATAAAATAAAAGAATGGTGGTTCAAATGATTACCAAAACAATGCCTAGCATTTTTTATTAAATTTAAAAGTGTTTTATCTTTTTTAGAGGATGATCAAGAAATGAAAATTTATTGTGGCAGTATAAGAATCAATCAATTCATTTAAAAGTGACTTCTATTTAGAATATATTCCATGTTTCTGCCAGATGAGTCATCTGCCAAGCTTCTGGTGATCTGCAGTGGTGCTGGTCAATGCAAGAAAACAGCAATACACTCTTTGAAGGGTATTCATGTCATCAGAAGTCTAGGAAAATTTAATTCTAAGCAGAGAACAGTTTATTAGGAATCAGTAGGGTTCATTGGGTCCAAATGTTGCTGAGATTTAGAGGCATGAGCATACTTCTCAGAACCTGTCAGATACAGTGAAACTTCCAGATGATCATTCTACTTGAGCAAATTCACTCATATAGAGAGAACATAGAGTTTGCCTGGATAGCAATAATCTTGTTTATAAGAAACATATATAGTATACATATTCCTGAATTTGTGAGGGTTTTATATACAGTTGTTACATCTTACAAACCAATTCTACAGAGTAGGTTAACTTTCAACTATAACTATAATCCTAATAAGTCTTTACAGTCATTCAATCATTAATCATTCATATGTATACCGAGTTCACTAGTTTGAATTTTATTCTAATCATAATAGGAAGTGTCCGGAAGATTTTAAGCAGGCAATTGATAAGATCTAGTTTATCTTTTGAGATTACTATGGCTGCTCTGAGGAAGTTGGCCTGTTGGGGGCAAAGAATGGCAGCAATGACACCCATTGGGATGACTTTGCAGTATCTGGCAGAGAAGTCATGATAGCTTGGATTAAAATGGCAGCAGTGACATGGTAAGAAGTAGAGATAAATTTGGGATTTATTTTGGAGGTGGAACAAACAAACACTAACATTCGGATGTCAGATTGAGAGAAGGAAGAAAAATCAGATTTGACTAGTTTTTTGGCCTGATAACTAGGTGAATGATGATACTATACCAGAAATATGAAGATTGAGAAGAGCAGGTGTATGGGCTGAGATGGGGAGAGGGAAGTCTTTAAGAATTCTGTCCTAGATTTGTTAGGTTTGCGATACCAACTTAATGACCTGGTAGAGATGGTTAAATATATGATGCTCTGGGGAGAGCCAGGATAGGAAATACAAATTTGAGCAACATCAGCACATACATGGTATTTAAAAGCATGGGACTTGATCAGGTTACCTCAGAAGAGTTTAGATAGTAAAAAGGGAAGGCTGAGTAATCCAATATTTAGAGATTAAGCAGCCGGCGAGGATCCTGAAAATATGCAGCCAGTGAAGTAGAAGGAAACCCAATAGAGTAGGATGTCACAGAATCCATGAGTAGAAGTGAGATGTGGACTCTGTCCAGTGCTGCTTGACAGAGAGGAGTCTTCACTGTTGTATTTCATAAGATGAAGGAGGGTCATTGTTGACTACAATGGCAAGCATGTCTTGAACAATTTCTATATGACTGGTATTCTTGTGCTTTTATATGTGCTATTTTAATCCTCACAACAGCCCTATGAGATAGTTACTTTTATTATCCTCATTTTAAGTTGGGGAAACTGAGGCACGAAGTTACGTTGCTTTTATAACTAGTAAATCACAGAACATGGATTAGAACCCATGAGGTCAAAGCCCAAACTTAATAACTGTATTTCCTCTCCTATATAATATATATGATAAGAAAAACAGGTATAAAACTACAATCGAATAGGCTGGAGAGAGAATGGAAGGTGAGAAAGAGCCTATAACTAAAGACATTCTGGAAACGTTTTATAGTGAAGAAGAGAAGAAAAGTGGGATAGGGGCCGGGCGCAGTGTCTCATGCCTGTAATCCCAGCACTTTGGGAGGCCGAGATGAGAGAATCATCTGAGGTCAGGAGTTTGAGACCAGCCTGGCCAACATGGCGAAACCCCGTCTCTACTAAAAATACAAAAATTAGCCGGGCGTGGTGGCAGGAGCCACCCAGCTCCTTGGGAGGCTACTTGGGAGGTTGAGGCAGGAGAATTGCTTGACCCCGGGAGGCGGAGGTTGCAGTGAGCTGAGATCACACCACTGCACTCCAGCCTGGGCAACAGAGCAAAACTCTGTCTCAAAAAAAAAAAAGAAAAAAAAGTGGGATAGGAGCTAGAAGAGAACATAGGGTCAAGGACATTTTCTGTTTGTTTTGCTTAGGCTGGGTGATACTAAATATACTTCTCTGAGGCTGGTAATGATCCAATTGAAAGGGAACCTGAAGATTTAGGAGAGATTAGGGGTGATTTTAGGAATGCAGTTCTTAAATAGCAAAAATGCTGGTTTATATAGAAGCAAGGAAATTTCTTCTATTCACAGGGAGAACAAATTGTACATACAGGTTCTGATTTGGCTGGATTGATAATGTTGGTGGCAGGAAGACAAGATAGGCAGTTCTTGTCAAATCACTTCTTGTTTCTCAGTGAAGTGTGAAGGGAAGGCAAGGTCATCAGCAGAGGGATAGAATAGGATGTTCCAAGTTTGAGGAAAAGGAAAAGGTTAATAGAAAAGTAAGCATTTTGGAGAAAGAAATTTGCCAGAGAGATTAGCGAGACTGATGGGCAATGTTGTTTGCCATTTGATATTTTTGGGCATAAAGACCAATTAGTGAAGTTCTGTTATGTTTCTCTTTATTTCTGGAGAAAATTTAGCTAGTTAGATGTAGACCCAGAATCACTTATAATTGGAGCTGGACAAGTGGGCAAGTAGGATGGAGGGAAAAAGGAACAAAGCAGTTAAAGTGTTTTCAAGGGAGTGATTATGGTACTGAAACATATTACTTAACACAGGTGGTGAGGAAGGGGTCTTCGTAGATTTCCCGTGCTGTTTTGAGGTTGAGTGGGGGGTGCTTGAGGGAAGCTAGAGAGATAGGGGCTTTTGGTCAGGATGTTGATGACAAGAACCAGAGTATGGCCATGGCAGTCAGTGGCCCAGATGGAACATAACAACAAAGTTGAAGAAATTAAGAATGTTAGAGGCCAGAGCCAGGTGCAGTGGCCTGCACTTACAGTCCCAGCTACTCAGGAGGCTGAGGCAGGAGGATCACTTGAGGCCAGGAGCTGGAGTTTCCATGCACTGTGAGTGCACCTATGAATAGCCATGGCACTCCACCCTGGCAATGCAGTGAGACCCTGCTCTAAAAAAACAAAAAGTATGGAAGTAACTTTTTAATGTGGATATTGAAATTGCCAAGATTATGATAGAAGTTGTGGTAGAGAGGAAGATGGCAAGCTGGGTGCTAGAATTTCAGCAAACCAGGGTAACTGGCTAGCCAGATGACAGTCAAAAGGAGTAATATTGGCTAATGTGGTCAGATGGAATAATCTTCAGAAGAGTAGGAAGTTTTGAAGGAGGAAGGAGATGAAGTGGTTTGGAGGTGCCAATGGGGAACAGGATGGGTAGAGAAAACACCTTCCTACCTACCAACTCCAAGCCCCTGGAGGTTGGAGGCTACAAACGGTTAAAAAACTTCTCAGGAGTCCATTGCAGGCATGAAAAACGTTTAAAGCATGGCCGTAGCAAGATGGTTTTGAGGGACAGAGACCAAAGACAGAGCCACCAGTAATGACATTATGGAACATTCCAGGAAGAGGTGATTGAGGATCCAATGAGGGTAGTAGGGTTGAAGAGAAGAAATGTGTGAAAGATCCATCAGAAGTAGAACTTAGGCCAGGTGTGGTGGCTCATGCCTATAATCCCAACACTTTGGGAGGCCGAGGTGGGAGGATCACTTGAGCCCAGGAGTTGAGCCCAGGAGTTTAAGACCAGCCTGGACAACATAGGGAGACCCCATCTCTACAAAACATTAAAAAATTAGCTTGGCATGGAGGCTTGTGCCTATAGTTTCAGCTACTCAAGAGGCTGAAGTGGGGGGATCGTTTGAGCTCAGGAAGTCAAAGCTGCAGTGAACTGTGATCATGCCACTGCACTCCAATCTGGGTGACGAGCGAGACCTTGTCTCAAAAAAAAAAAAAGTAGAACTTAAAGGGCTGCTTTGGAGCTGACGGGTGATGATAATATTAGCAGAGAAAGGGAATACAGAAAGGAATGACAGCTTTGGGGGTGAGAAACTGAGGGTTTTTTTTTTCCCCTTTCAAATTGTTTATCAAAGTAATATATGCACATAGTTTAAAATTCAAATAGTACTAAATGTTGTTTGATGGAAAACAGGAGCGTTTTGCTTACTTCTCACTGCCTCACAGTCTTGCTCCCAAGGGGATATTTTATTGTATTATTTATTTGATAATTTCCTCTCATAATATTCTCTGGTCCCTTTTTTCTAGAATCCTGTTAGGCAATTACTGGTCTTCCTGAATTAATTCTCTAATAATTTAAAAGGAAATATTTTTCTCCTGTCTTACTTTTTTCCCCCTACCCTGGTGAGGGAGACCACTTTCTGTGAGAAGTCCTTGATGTTATTTTCCAATTCTTGAATAATTTTTTTATGGCTACCTTATTTTAAATTCCAAACATTCTTTTCTGTTTATTCCTTTTTCATAGCCTCCTATACTTATTTTATGGATGCAATATCTTTTTTCATCTCTAAGGACATTAGTTGCAGTTTTTTTTCTTAATTGGCTCTGTTTCTTCCAGATGCCTTTTTTTCTTCATTTTCTCTTTTTCTGAGGTTTTATTAGAGGTTTTCCTCAAACGTTTTTTAATCCTTGTCTGACATTTATATTTGTTATATGAATTCCTGTCTGTTCCTATTTAAGAATAGGGCATTAAAAGGCTGAATAGAAGCTATGTGGGCATAGGTAGGGCTTGTTGATGGTGGATTTTTTATTGTTGTGGGTAGACTTCCAAATACCTGGAAGTCTTTCCCCCTTAGGCTGTTCATTTTCTCAGAGAAGGATCTTCTAATCTTCCGGAGAGATATAAGCCTAGCTGCCAGCATTCCGGAGTAGGACCTGGGAATGTAGTTCTGTATATCACAGTTCATTTCTTGGTAAACTGTCACTTCCTGTGTTTTCAGTCTAGCTAGTTAGTGTATAAGCTTCATTCTCCTTAGTAGCTAGTGTTCCCCTATGCTGAGCCCTTCCAGGATTCTGCAGGCTGAATTTTTGTTGTTGTTGTTGTATTTATTTCAGCATTTAGAAACCTTTAAACAGTAAAAGAGAAAAAGAAAAAAAAAAGGCACTCAGAGGAAACAGAGCCAATTAAGAAAGAAGAAAAAAAATTGCAACTATCATTAATGTCCTTAAAGATGAGGAAAAACACTACATCCATACTGTCCTAACTCCAGTACTCTCCTAAGTCAGTTGTTTCACCTCTATCCTCTCTGCACCATCCCAAAATTTGTAGGAATCTGTGGTTAACCATTGTATTCTCTTCTGTTTGCCCTTGTGGATTTGTACATTTTTTCTTAAAAGAAATTCCTTTGCCATCATCTTAGCAGAGATTGGAGTGGGAAAGGAGATAATTCTGTATGATTAATCTGCTATGTTTAATTGGACATCCTGAATTTAGTTATGAACATATTGACATAAGGGGGTGTTACAGATAAAGGTTTGTTGCCCAGATGAGAAGTGTAGTTTTGGGAATATTTAGACCTTATTAGTTTAACATAATCATTGAAACTATGGAGGTGAATAGCATTTCTCAAGAAGAGTCTGAAGCATGACATTCTTTTATTCCTTCATTCCACCCATATTAAGTGCCTGCCATATTTGGCCCAGAAAAGATAGACTAGGATGGAATGTAGAGGTTGAGTATAAAGGTAAGGCAGAAGGAAAGAAGCCACTGGAAGACCAGTGAAAATGGTGGGAGGTGCAAAAGAGGAAAGTGTGCCACAGTGAGAGAGGGGAGCTTTCAGGAAGGGGAAGTAGAAGGTCTTCTAGAATATCAAATGCTGTGCAAGCAGTCAGGTAGAATGAGCAAGGCATTCTAGTATGTATTGAATTCCTAGCACTATGCTAGAATCTGGGGATTCTAGTGGTAAACAAGACTGAACTAATCCTGAATCTGTTAGCATTTACATTCTAGCAGAGATTACAGTTAAAGCCATACTTACCTTAAAGCACAAGCTGTGAGGGCATATGAGGAGGTAGCTAACCTTTGTTGGAGTCAGGAAAAGCTTCTGGGACAAAGTGATTAAGCTGAGACTCAGGCTTGAGGCACCCGAATAAACAAAACTTAGAATTTAATAATTTTGGAGGCTGGAGAGTAAGGAATGGACTTAGAACACTGGTGGTTCCCTATGTAACCTTTCTTTCTTTCAGATTCCAAGGATAGGTGATATGACAGCTTTTGAACATCAAAGGGACTTTCAGATGCTTGTATATATTGACACATTACTACAAAGTTACAAAGGAAATTTCTAAAATCCTGGTCATTTGTAAAGAAAATATTTAACATTCTATGGGAAAATATACTTTGAGGTTTGATGACAAACATAGGCCATCTGTGGCCTCAGAGTAATAAAGATGGGGCTTCTTATTTTGAAAATAAATTGCTAATGATCTAATTAGCAATTCAAAGCTTATTCTTTCATGGACTTGCTTATTATGATACCTAAGGCCTAGGTGAATCAAGAATACAGTAGTTATGTTACACTAACAAATTACACTGTGATTTAAATGTAATACCTCAAACTATAACAATCCTAGAAGAAAACCTCAGAAACACCATTCTGGATATCAATGTTGAGAAAGAATTTATGACTAAGTCCTCAAAAACAATTGCAACAAAAACAAAAATTGACAGATGGGACCTAATTAAACTAAAGAGCTTCTGCACAGCAAATGAAACTATCAACAGAGTAAATAGACAACCTACAGAATGGGAGAGAATATTTGCAAATTGTGCATCCAACAAAGGTCTAATATCCAGAATCTGTAAGTAACTGAAACAATTGAATGAGCAAAAAAAAAAAAAAAAAAAAATTAAAAGGTGAGCAAAGGTTATGAACAGACACTTCTCAAAACAAGACGTACAAGTGGCCAAGAAACATGAAAAATGCTCATCATGACTAATCATCAGAGAAACGCAAATCAAAACCACAATGAGATACCATTCTCACACCAGTCAGAATGGTTATTATTAAAAAGTCAGAAAACAACAGGTGTTGGTGAGGCTGTGGAGCAAAGGGAATGCTTATACACGTTGGTGGGAATGTAAATTAGTTCAGCCATTGTGGAAAGTAGCTTGGAGATTTCTCAAAGAACTTAAGGCAAACTACCGTTTGAACCAGCAATCCCATTACTGGACATATACCCAAAAGAAAACAAATTGTTCTACCAAAAAGACACATGCATGTGTATATGTTCATCACAGCACTATTCACAATAGCAAAGACATGGAATCAACCTAGGTGCCCATCAGCAGTGGATTGGATAAAGAAGATGTGGTACATATACACCATGTAATACTACACAACCATAAAAATGAACAAAGTCATGTCCTATGCAGCAACATGGATGAAGCTGGAGGCCATTATCTTAAGTGAATTAATACAGGAACAGAAAACCAAATACTGCGTGTTCTCACTTATAAGTGGGAGCTAAACATTGAGTGCTCATGGACATAAAGATGGGAACAGTAGACACTGGGGATGACTAGAGGGGGAAGGGAGGGAGAGGGACAAGAGTTGAAAAATTAAATGTTGGTTACTATGCTCGGTACCTCGGTGGGCGGGTGGGGGTCATTCATACCCCAAACCTCAGCATCATGCAATATATCCAGGTAGCAAACCTGCCCATGTACCCTGGGTCTAAAATAAAAGCTGAAAAGGAAAAAAAGAGTGTTTTCTCAAGCTCTAAAAAAAAAAAAATAGTAATACACTTTATGACAAAAAACTAATTTTTCTTTCTCCAAAAAAAATATAGTAAATGATATTCATGTATTTGCCGTGGTCATTAATATCATAAATTAAATTCATATGTTGGCTTGAGGGAAAAAACACAGTTACTTTACAGTGAATATTTACCTACTACTATTGATAATGGCAGTCTGCCTAAGAGAGCAAATTTTTCAGAAAGGGCAATTGTATCTTGAATTACCTTTTAAAATTGAGAAGGGAAAATATTCAATTATCTGTCATTTGGGAGAAAGCTATGCCTTATGCGCAGAAGTCAGAGGGAACACTACCCTTTCCTTTGCTAGAAACAACAGAGCCACCTCTCCCTTTTCTCGTTCCTGGGCTCTTAGCTGATAGAATGCGCGTATGACCTTGGAAAAAGAAAGAGCCTCTCCCTTCCTCCTTGTTTCATGTCCCTGGGAACCACCTGAGGGGCAGCTGGAGATGGAAACTATCATTGTTTCTCTGGTGGTGGCAGCACAGGGTGGCGTGGGAGTGGAATGTGTTCTTAGTTGGAAAAATTTACCAAAACAACCATCCAGTACATACCAGTCTGCAACTCCCTCTCCCTGGGCCAAGAGTTTTCTTCCCTTTGTATAGGCTGAGATGCAAAGTGCTTACATAGGTAAATCTAAAAGGTAAGTCTTGAAAGATATCTCTCAATAAAATAGAGGAAATGCTCACCGGTTTATTGGTTCAATGAAGATGTTAGGCTGATGTCAAAGGCCCGTTTCTATCCTAAAAATTCTATTTTGTGTGGTTCATTTTTTGTGTTTTTAGTATGTGAACATTGGTCACTGCTTATCTCTAGTAAAGGTGGTGAGGACAATGTCATTCCCATCTTGAAAGAGTGGGTGGTTCATAAACAACTGACTTCAGGAAGCCTTCCTCTGGGCCAAGCCCAGTTTCTGCTGAGAGGCACCCTGGCTCAAGAGAGCTGTAGGGACTCACCTGAGGTTAAAAACATGGTCTGAGCCAGGCACAGTGCCTCATGCCTGTAATCCCAGCACTTTGGGAGGCCGAGCCCGGTGGATCACCTGAGATCAGGAGTTCGAGACCAGCCTGACCAACATGATGAAACCCCATCTCTACTAAAAATACAAAAATTAGCTGGCAGTGGTGGCGGGCGCCTATAATCCCAGCTACTTGAGGGGCTGAGGCAGGAGAATCACTTGAACCCTGGAGCTGGAGGTTGCAGTGAGCCGAGATCGTGCCACTGCACTCCAGCCTAGGCAGCAAGAGTGAAACTCCGTCTCAAAAAACAAACAAAATACATGATCTACTACCTACGCTGTGGGAACTTAGACAAGTCTCTTAACCTCTCTAAGGCACAGTTTACTCTTCTAAAAAATGCGCTTAATAATACTTGCTTCATAAGGTGATTGCAAAGATTAACAAACCATGTAAAGTACCTCATACAATATTTGACACATAGAAGATGCTTAATAAATCATTTTGTGTACTTGTTAATAACAGCAGTAGCATATGCCTACTGACAAATTATGTGATGTTACACATTTTCCAATACGTGATGCTTTATGGGATTTAGAAGCTTTAATGCAATCAGTTTCTTTGTTGTGATTTTGCAGAAATCTTCCAAATGAATTCTGTAAGGGAACTCTAGACATATGTTGGTTTTCTCTGGCTAGATTGATTTGCCTAATTAAATTTGATGCTTTTTTTTTCTTTTTTTTAAATTATACTTTAAGTTCTAGGGTACAATGTGCAGGTTTGATACATAGGTATACATGTGCCATGTTGGTTTGCTGCACCCAGCAACTCGTCATTTACATTAGGTATTTCTCCTAATGCTATCCCTCTCCCAGCCCCCAACCCTACAACAGGCCCTGGTGTGTGATGTTCCCCACCCTGTGTCCAAGTGTTCTCATTGTTCAATTCCCACCTATGAGTGAGAACATGCAGTGTTTGGTTTTCTGTCCTTGTGATAGTTTGCTGAGAACGATGGTTTCCAGCTTCATCCATGTCCCTGCAAAGGACATGAACTCATCCTTTTTTATGGCTGCATAGTATTCCATGGTGTATATGTGCCACATTTTCTTAATCCAGTCTATCACTGATGGACATTTGGGTTGGTTCCAAGTCTTTGCTATTGTGAATAGTGTCGCAATAAACATACATGTGGATGTGTCTTTATAGTAGCATGATTTATAATCCTTTGGGTATAAACCCAGTAATGGGATGGCTGGGTCAAATGGTATTTCTAGTTCTAGATCCTTGAGGAATCACCACACTGTCTTCCAGAATGGTTGAACTAATTTATACTCCCACCAACAGTATAAAAGTGTTTCTATTTCTCTACATCCTCTCCAGCATCTGTTGTTTCCTGACTTTTTAATGATTGCCATTCTAACTGGCATGAGATGGTATCTCATTGTGGTTTTGATTTGCATTTCTCTGATGACCAGTGATGATGAGCGTTTTTTCATGTCTCCGTTGGCTGCATAAATGTCTTCTTTTGAGAATTGTCTGTTCATATCCTTTGCTCACTTTTTGATAGGATTGTTTGTTTTTTTCTTGTAAATTTGAGTTCTTTGTAGATTCTGGACATTAGCCCTTCTTCAGATGGGTAGATTGCAAAAATTTTCTCCCATTCTGTAGGTTGCCTGTTCACTCTGATGGTGGTTTCTTTTGCTGTGCAGAAGCACTTTAGTTTAATTAGATCCCATTTGTCTATTTTGGCTTTTGTTGCCGTTGCTTTTGGTGTTTTAGTCATGAAGTCCTTGCCCATGCCTATGGCCTGAATGGCATTGCCTAGGTTTTCTTCTAGGGTTTTTATTGTTTTAGGTCTTATGTTTAAGTCTTTAATCCATCTTGAGTTAATTTTTGTATAAGGTGTAAAGAAGGGGTCCAGTTTCAGCAGTTTCAGTTTTCTGCATATGGCTAACCAGTTTTCCCAGCACCATTTATTAAATAGGGAATCCTTTCCCCATTTCTTGTTTTTGTCAGGTTTGTCAAAGATCAGATGGTTGTAGATGTGTTATTTCTGAGGGCTCTGTTCTGTTCCATTGGTCTATATCTGTTTTGGTACCAGTACCATGCTGTTTTGGTTACTGTAGCTTAGTAATATAATTTGAAGTCAGGTAGTGTGATGCCTCCAGCTTTGTTCTTTTGGCTTAGGATTGTCTTGGCAATGCGGGCTCTTTTTTGGTTCTATGTGAACTTTAAAGTAGTTTTTTCCAATTCTGTGAAGAAAGTCATTTGTAGCTTGATGGAGATGGCATTGAATCTATAAATTACCTTGGGCAGTATGGCCTTTTTCACGATATTGATTCTTCCTATGCATGAGCATGGAATGTTCTTCCGTTTGTTTGTGTCCTCTTTTATTTCATTGAGCAGTGGTTTGTAGTTCTCCTTGAAAAGGCCCTTTACATCCCTTGTAAGTTTTATTCCTAGGTATTTTATTCTCTTTGAAGCAATTGTGAATGGGAGTTTACTCATGATTTGGCTCTCTGTTTGTCTGTTATTGGTGTATAAGAATGCTTGTGATTTTTGCACGTTGATTTTGTATCCTGAGACTTTGCTGAAGTTGCTTATCAGCCTGAGATTTTGGGCTGAGATGACAGGGTTTTCTAAATATACAATCATGTCATCTGCAAACAGGGACAATTTGACTTCCTCATTTCCTAATTGAATACCCTTTATTTCTTTCTCTTGACTGATTGCCCTGGCCAGAACTTCCAACACTATGTTGAATAGGAGTGGTGAGAGAGGGCGTCCTTGTCTTGTGCCAGTTTTCGAAGGGAATGCTTCCCGTTTTTGCCTGTTCAGTATATTGGCTGTGGGTTTGTCATAAATAGCTCTTATTATTTTGAGATACATTCCATCGATATCTAGTTTATTGAGAGTTTTTAGCATGAAGGGCTGTTGAATTTTGTCAAAGGCCTTTTCTGCATCTATTGAGATAATCATGTGATTTTTGTCATTGGTTCTGTTTATGTGATGGATTACGTTTATTGATTTGCAAATGTTGAGCAAGCCTTGCATCCCAGAGATGAAGCCAACTTGATCGTGGTGGATAAGGTTTTTGATGTGCTGCTGGATTCGGCTTGCCAGTATTTTACTGAGGATTTTTATATCGATGTTCATCAGGGACATTGGTCTAAAATTCTCTTTTTTTGTTGTGTCTTTGCCAGGCTTTGGTATCAGGATGATGCTAGCCTCATAAAATGAATTAGGGAGGATTCCCTCTTTTTCTATTGTTTGGAATAGTTTCAGAAGGAATGGTACCAGCTCCTCTTTGTACCTCTGGTAGAATTCGACTGTGAATCCATCTAGTCCTGGGCTTTTTTTTTGGTTGGTAGGCTATTAATTATTGCCTCAATTTCACAGCCTGTTATTGGTCTATTCAGAGATTCAACTTCTTCCTGGTTTAGTGTTGGGAGGGTGTATGTGTCCAGGAATTTATCTATTTCTTCTAGATTTTCTAGTTTATTTGCGTAGAGGCGTTTATAGTATTCTCTGATGGTGGTTTGTATTTCTGTGGGATCAGTGGTGATATCCCCTTTATCATTTTTTATTGCATCTATTTGATTCTTCTCTCTTTTCATCTTTATTAGTCTTACTAGCAGTCTATCAATTTTGTTTATCTTTTCAAAAACCAGCTCCTGGATTCATTGATTTCTTGAAGGGTTTTTTGTGTCTCTATCTCTTTCAGTTCTGCTCTCGTCTTAGTTATTTCTTGCCTTCTGCTGGTTTTTGAATTTGTTTGCTCTTGCTTCTCTAGTTCTTTTAATTGTGATGTTAGGGTGTCAATTTTAGATCTTTCCTGCTTTCTCTTGTGGGCATTTAGTGCTATAAATTTCCCTGTACACACTGCTTTAAATGTGTCCCAGAGATTCTGGTACATTGTGTCTTTGTTCTCATTGGTTTCAAAGAACATCTTTATTTCTGCCTTCATTTCATTATTTACCCAGTAGTCATTCAAGAGCAGGTTGTTCAGTTTCCATGTAGTTGTGTGGTTTTGAGTCAGTTTCTTAATCCTGAGTTCTAATTTGATTGCACTGTGGTCTGAGAGACAGTTTGTTGTGATTTCTATTTTACATTTGCTGAGGAGTGCTTTACTTCCAATTAAGTGGTCAATTTTAGAATAAGTGCAATGTGGTGCTGAGAAGAATGTATATTCTGTTGATTTGGGGTAGAGAGTTCTGGTGCATTAGGTCCTCTTGGTGCAGAGCTGAGTTCAAGTCCTGGATATCCTTGTTAACCTTCTGTTTCACTGATCTGTCTAATATTGACAGTGGGGTATTAAAGTGTTCCATTATTATTGTGGGGGAGTCTAAGTCTCTTTGTAGATCTCTAAGGACTTACTTTATGAATCTGGGTGCTCCTGTATTGGGTGCATATATATTTCGGATAGTTAGCTCTTCTTGTTGAATTGATCCCTTTATGATTATGTAATGGCCTTCTTTATCTCTTTTGATCTTTGTTGGTTTAAAGTCTGTTTTAGCAGAGAGTAGGATTGCAAATTCTGCTCTTTTTTGCTTTCCATTTGCTTGGTAGATCTTCTTCCATCCCTTTATTTTGAGCCTATTTGTGTCTCTGCATGTGAGATGAGTCTGCTGAATACAGCACACTGATGGGTCTTGACTCTTTATCCAACTTGCCAGTCTGTGTCTTTTAATTGGGGCATTTAGCCCATTTCCATTTAAAGTTAATACTGTTGTGTGTGAATATGATCTTGTCATTATAGTGTTAGCTGGTTATTTTGCCCGTTAATTGATGCAGTTTCTTCATAGCATCAATGGTCTTTACAATTTGGCATGTTTTTGCAGTGGCTGGTACGGGTTGTTTCTTTCCATGTTCAGTGCTCCCTTCAGGAGCTCTTGTAAGGCAGGCCTGCTGGTGATACAATCTCTTAACATTTCCTTGTTTGTAAAGGATTTTATTTCTCCTTCACTTATGAAGTTTAGTTTGGCTGGATATGAAATTCTGGGTTGAAAATTCTTTTCTTTAAGAATGTTGAATATTGGCCCCCACTCTCTTCTGGTTTGTAGGGTTTCTGCTGAGAGATCCACTGTTAGTCTGATGGGCTTCCCTTTGTGGGTAACCCAACCTTTTTCTGTGGCTGCCCTTAACATTTTTTTCCTTCATTTCAACCTTGGTGAATCTGACAATTATGTATCTTGGTGTTGCTCTTCTCGAGGAGTATCTTTGTGGTGGTCTTTGTATTTCCTGAATTTGAATGTTGGCCTGCCTTGCCAGGTTAGGGAAGTTCTCCTGGATAATATCCTGAAGAGTGTTTTCCAACTTGGTTCCATTCTCCCCATCAATTTCAGGTAAACCAATCAAACGTAGATTTGGTTTTTTCACATAGTCCCATATTTCTTTTTTCTTTTTTTTTTTTTTTTTTGAGACGGAGTCTTGCTCTGTCACCCAGGCTGGAGTGCAGTGGCGCCATCTCAGCTCACTGCAAGCTCCGCCTCCCAGGTTCACACCATTCTCCTGCCTCAGCCTCCAGAGTAGCTGGGACTACAGGCGCCCGCCACCGTGCCTGGCTAATTTTTTGTATTTTTAGTAGAGACGGGGTTTCTCCGTGGTCTCGATCTCCTGATCTCGTGATCCACCCGCCTCGGCCTCCCAAAGTGCTGGGGTTACAGGCGTGAGCCACCGCTCCCGGCCTAGTCCCATATTTCATGGAGGCTTTGTTCATTTCTTTTTACCTTTTTTTCTCTAACCTTGTCTTCTCACTTTATTTCATTAATTTGATCTTCAATCACTGATATCCTTTCTTCCACTTGATTGAATCAGCTATTGAAGCTTGTGCATGCATCACAAAGTTCTCATGCCATAGTTTTCAGCTCCATCAGGTCATTTAAGGTCTTCTCTACACTGTTTATTCTAGTTAGCCATTCATCTAACCTTTTTTCACAGTTTTTACCTTCTTTGCAATGGGTTTGAACATTCTCCTTTAGCTCACAGAAGTTTGTTATTACTGTCCTTCTGAAGCCTACTTCTGTCAACTCATCAAAGTCATTCTCCATCCAGCTTTGTTCCGTTTCTGGCGAGGAGCTGCGATCCTTTAGAGGAGAAGAGGTGCTCTGGTTTTTAGAATTTTTAGCTTTTCTGCTCTGGTTTCTCCCCATCTTTGTGGTTTTATCTACCTTTTGTCTTTGATGTTGGTGACCTACAGATGGGGTTTTGGTGTAGATGTCCTTTTTGTTGATGTTGATGCTATTCCTTTCTGTTTGTTAGTTTTCCTTCTAACAGTCAGGTCTCTCAGCTGCACGTCTGTTGGAGTTTGCTGGAGGTCCACTCCAGATCCTTTTTGCCTGGGTATCACCAGCGGAGGCTGCAGAATAGCAAACATTGCCAAACAGCAAATATTGCTGCCTGATCCTTCCTCTGGAATCTTTGTCCCAGAGGGGTACCCCCCTATATGAGGTATCTGTCGGACCCTATTGAGAGGTGTCTCCCAGTTAGGCTAAACGGGGGTCAGGGACCCACTTGAGGAGGCAGTCTGTCCATTCTCAGAGCTCAAACACTGTGCTGGGAGAACCATTGCTCTTTTCAGAGCTGTCAGACAGGGACATTTAAGTCTGCAGAAGTTGTCTGCTGCCTGTTGTTCCGCTATGCCCTGCGTACAGAGGTGGAGTCTATAGAGATAGTAGGCCTTGCTGAACTGCAGTGGGCTCTGCCCAGTTCAAGCTTCCTGGCTGCTTTGTTTACCTACTCAAGCCTCAGCAATGGTAACGCCCCTCCCCCAGCCAGGCTGCCACCTTGCAGTTTGATCTCAGACTGCTGCACTAGCAGTGAGCAAGGCTCCGTGGGCATGGGACCCACCAAGCCAGGCACGGGAGAGAATCGCCTTGTCTGCCAGTCGCTAAGACCTCATGAAAAGTGCACTATTTGGGCGGGATTGTCCCGTTTTTCCAGTCTTTCACAGCTTCCCTTGGCTAGGAAAAGGAAATCCCCCGACACCTTGCACTTCCCAGGTGAGGCGATGCTCTGCCCTGCTTCATTAAAATTAATTTTAAAACAGTTAAAACCTTAGTGTGTTATATTGGATCCTCTGAGAAACAGTAAGACAGTATTAGTCATGCAAGAGATTATCTGGGTAATAGTCTGTGAGGGAAAATGGGGAGGGAGCCAGAGGAGGCCAGAAGAGCCATCAGGCCATGATATAACTCTAATCCCTGTGGAGGAGAGAGGGAAGGAAGAAAAGTTGGGTAGGAAGTCTTAGATTGCAGTGCAGTTCTAAAAACAGTTCAGCAGGGCTGATGTGGGAGTCCTCCAACCAAAACTGTCCATCAGAGGAGTCTACTTCTTGTAGTTATGAGCCTTAGAATCCCTACTGTCTTCAGTCATTGTCTGGGAGCACACAGGGGAGGGATGGCCTCAGCTGGAACACAGTGATAGATTCAGAGCTCAGCATCTAGGGACTTCGGGCAATGATGTTTCTGACAGTAGATCTCAAAGTCCCATTTTCATGGCCACCACACTTAAATACCACACCACCACACTTCCAATAGCCTATGTCTCATCTCCTATATAGTGAATATTCAAGTTTTGGTGTCACAAAATTATTGAAAAGGAATATGTAATGCTGCTTTGAGATATACTTGACAGTATTTTAAAAGCACTTTCAATTGCAACCTGGAGCTAAGGTAGAGATTGGGCCCCAGTCCTGTTCTCCCAGCCGTCAGTGGCATACTGGGTAACGGTAGAATATGAATGGTCTGCCCTGAGAGCAGGCAATAAGGGGGTAATTGATCTGTAGAGAATTTAAAAACAATAAAACCAACTAAAATGTGGTCTGCTTTTTTATGATCACCATGTGCTGGCAACTTAAGGGATGTCAGTTATTCCATCCCGCCAGGGCAGACTGCCACCCACCCACCCTCTACCACCACCACCTTTGTGTGCCACTGCCAGGCTGCGTTTTCCTTTTTTGCATTTCCAGGCATGAAAGTGGATCAAAACATTCACATTTCTTCTTCAGATTACTAAAATGAATGTGTTTCAGAGAATCTTTGGGAATGCTAGATGTCAGAGGGCTTTCATGTACAGTGCCACATGGCTTCAAAAGGGGAGGAAATTACTTTCTTAAAGAGTGGTCAGGGAAGCCCCAAGGAACCAACATTGGATGCTGGAAGATGGTAGATTTTGACTTGGCAGAGAGGAAGACAGTGAGCTTGCAGGCTGGAGGGAGAGTGTCCAAGGGCTCAAGGGGCAGGGAAGTAAAGGATGTATTTGGGAAACTATGAATAGACAAAAATAACCAGCATCTCATGGGGTATGAGTGGGAAATAAGATGGAAAAGTACATTAAAACCATGAATTTTAAGGTTTTTAAATGCCTAAGGAGTCATGTAGTTAAATATGATTGAAGATTTTTGAGTAGGGAAATGACCCAATGAAAGCTCTATTTTACGAAAATTAGTCTGGCATTGGTGTGCAGCATGGAGCTAGTTGGAGGTTAATTCAGAGGAGCCTTGGACAGTCATCTTGAATATCAGGATACAAGGGCCTGAACTAGGGTAGAGGAGGAGGGTTTGGAAACTGATCCAAGGGATAGGAAGGAAGCATCAATATCTCAAGTTCAATGCATATGACACTAAAATTATTGTCTTCTCTCCCAAAACCTGCTCTCTGTCATCTTCTCATCTCTTCAACAGATATGTATCGAATGTCCACCATGGACCAGCAGCCATGTGGGGTCCTGGTAACTTGTTTGTTGGTTCAACTCTGCCAAGTGACCCTTGTTAGAAACCCGGGGTTTCATTTATCCTTGATTCCTGTCCCACATTCTCACCTGCATCTAATCAGTAACTGATTTCTACTGATTTTATACCCTTAGTCATTCCCTCTACATTAAAATAATCTGGGCAAAATTCCAAAGGCCAGGCCACACCCAGATCAATTAAATCACAAGCTTCTTTGAAGACCTCCCAAATGACATGCAGACAAGTTTGGAAACCACTGCCTTTAATGTTTTTCAAGTCTGACTCTGCATTCCTACTACCAAGGCCCTAGTCATTTCTCACTTGGATTACTCACCCAGTTTCTGTTTGTCACGATGCTTCTAATGTTATCCCCCTCGTATTTATCATCTCTACAGTAACCTGGTGACCTCCCAGAAATGCAAATCTGACCATGTCACTTCACTGCTGTGCTTTCATCTCTTCCAGGGCTCCCACATATACAGCATTGCTTCTCAAGCCTTTCTCTTTTCCTGCCTCCATAGCATTCACCAGCATAATACATGTCCTTATGTCCTTCAGTATTGTACATGATGATTTTCAACCTATTTGGGGATGTTGCCCCTGGGGGGACAGTGTAAGAATAATGGAGAAGGACTTAATCTGTGCAACTTTAAAAATACTTTCCACCACCTCTTTTTCTCTCTGTCCCCTTCTCCCCATTCTGATATGTTCTTGCCCACTAAGGGCCCAACCTTTAAAATGGAGTACAGCACTGCACCACCTTTTGATCTAGCCCTGTCTCCCTAATCTCATCTTTTATTATACTAATTTTTACCTTGTTATTTTACTTCATGTACTCCAAACTTCTGAACATTTCTAGTATAAACCATATTGTTCCCGCCCTTTAGGCCTTTGCTTATATCTTCTCTTTATGGAATGTCTTACCTTTTACTTTCCCCTTCAATGCTGTCACTTAAAGCAACCTGAAATTTTGAAAGTAACCAATAAGTCTCAATTCAGGGGTTACCTCTAATAAAGCCTTGGACTCCATACTCCAGCTGGGTTGAGGACCCTTTTTTATCAAGGTCTCTTTGTATTTTTCTCATTAATCTTGCTATGTTGTTCTATAATTAGCTGTTGTAATGGGTCTAGATTTGTTTTTCTCTAAGTTCTCCAGATTTAAAAATTTTATAATACTTTGGTTTTATTTACTCTGAGGTTTTGAAGCTAAGTAATTCAGAGAAGGGCATTGTGATTAACAGAAGCTAGAATCATAAAACATCAATATTGGAAAGGACTTTTAAAAGGAATTTTGTTCAATCACCAAAGTTGATTTTTTTATAATTAATGAATTTTAAGATAGTGCTGTCTATCCAAATGGAAATATCCCAGCATATTTTAGAATATGAAATTATAGTACATGCTGGAGAAATTAATAGAAAAAGTATGTGAAGCTTCTAAAGGAGAGAGTATAGGAAGAAAAGAACAAAACACAGAAGACTGATCATTAAACAACACCTGCCTTCAGGAAACATGAAGAAATTAAGAGATGCCAGTTAAGAAGACAGAAGATTTGCAAAAGGGAATCAGTGTAGTGTCACAAAAATCAGAGAAAGGGGTGTTTTATAAAGCAGGGATTGCCTGTGAGGCCAGTACTCCAGGGGAGGCTCAGACAGCACGTGTTCTTGCAAAGTGACTCTCTGCTGTGACTCATCCTCTGGGAGGGATCATCCACTGGGGGATAATCTGAACCTCTAAGGAATCAGACTTGTAAATTTATGGAGACCCCAAGGCCTCGGCCATAACCTAAACTGAAGTAGTTCCTGAAATTTTTTGGGACTCAGGACCTTTTGATAATCTGATGAACCCTAATGACGCTGTTCTCAGAAAAATGCACATCAGCACACATACGCATACAATTTTACATGCGATTTCTCGTGGCTCACTCTACCACCACCCCAAATATCCTCGAACCTCTCCATGTTTTCCCACATTAGTACTTACAGTTCCACTGTCAGATACCAAAACTTGCTGGGGTCACAAGGACAGGTGATGGTCTAAATCCATGGAGGCCTTAGAAGAAATCCTCCGTCTTGCTTTATCCTAGGGAGCAATAGGCTGAGTAGAGGTATTTCTTGGTGCTTCCAAGACTGCCCAGCTTGCCAATTGAACATTTTCTGGATTCGTGGCTACTGACTAACCAAGTCACTAACTTAAGGACTGCTGGCCACTGTACTTCTCCAAGCCTGGTTTCTGAAAAGGCCTCCTTCAGAATTTTAACCAGCAACACGACTTACCTCCTTTCCACCTGTCTGGCTTTTGACTTTCACTTCTGTTAAGTGGCTCACCCTCATTTCTTCCTTTTTCAAAGTAAAGAATTTAGGAAAGCAATGAAAACATTTTTAGCTTGCACAAATAGAAAAACTGATTGCTTAAATTTTTATGGGAAAAAAGTACAATTAGTTAACTTTTGTCCATCTCAGCCTTAGAAAAGAGCAAAGATGTGGAAAATTCAAACACTGGACAATAAAATGCTATATTTGATTGTGATTCATATTATGAATCTATTATGAAGCTTTTTTTAACCTATTTTTCTGATTTTAATTTCTTTGGTTGAGCATGGAAATGATTCTGCAATGGCTGTATGGACAAGGACATGTTGGGAACTATACTAAGATCAAAATGTGTTCAGTTGATTCATACATGTCATTAGTAATTGAGACTTGAAATGTCTTCAAGAGAGAATTTTAGAGTTCTGTAAATAATGGAAGTTTCTTAATGTGGAATATGAACTTTGAGTGAAAAAAAGTAAAAGCAAATGTGAAAGAATATTAGTCTAAAAATAATTACGGTGGTCAATTATATATTTGAGTTTTGTTTTTAATTTTTAAATTTTTTTTAGAGACAGAATCTTGCTCTGTTGCTCAGGCTGGCACAATAATAGCTCACTATAACCTCAAACTCGTGGGCTCAAGCTATCCTCCCACCTCAGTCTCCTGAGTAGCTGGGACTACAGGCATGTAGCCATGCCCGGCTAATTTTTGTATTTTTTAAAATAGAAACAGGCTCTCACCGTGTTGTCCAGGCTGTTCTCAAACTTCTGGCCTCAACCAGTTCTCCTGCCTCAGCCTCCCAAAGTGCTGGGATTAATGGCATGAGCTACCATGTCTGGCTGTATATTTGAGTTTTAAAGGAATATGGGTCTAGATAAAAATGCTGCCCCACTGCACAAGGAGATTTTTTTAAGGTGAGAAGCTGGTCTAATAGCGCTGCGGTATGGGATTGCTTTACTCTGCATTTTCCAAAACCCATAGAATTGTATAACACAAAAGTGACTTTTGCTGTATGCAAATAAAAAAAAAACACCCAAGATGTTAGGAGAATCCAGGATGGAATGCAGACTGTAACAAATGAATCTAACTCTATTACAAATATAGCTCCTCTGAAGGGGCTGGGGAAAGAAGGAGTTGACCTAAATAACTATGGAAAACCATATTTTGTCTAGATACTATTGTAAGGATCTAAAAGAAAAGACTAAGGAACTGTAACAGATTAAAGGAGACTTCAACAGTCAACTAAATGCAATGCAGTGTCCTGGATTGGAGCCTGGAATAGCATAAGGCCATTAGTGGAAACAGTGGAGAAATCCAAATAAGGTTGTAGTTAATGGTATTGTGCCAATGAAAATTTATTAGTTTTGATAAATGTATCATAGTTATATAAATGTTTATAAATGGTTATATGTTAATGAACCATAGTTATAGCTAAGAGTAAGACGAAAGAAGAGGACATCTCAATACTATGCTTTCAACTCTTGTAAATCCAAAATTATTTTAATATGAAAGTTAAAAAAAAAGCTGCCCTGCAAATTTATACAAATTCAAAGGGTGTTTATTATTTACTTATTCTTTAAAATGTTAGCTATCTTGTTATTCTTCTATTTTAACATGATAACTTGTCATTTGGTAGGACAGCATTTAAACATACTTATAAATACCTGGAATTTATTTAAAGTAAGAGCTTCACTCCACTTATTTACAGGTCTTAAACAGAACTAAAGTCAAACTGAATAATAATCATGGCTAAGGTCAGATAGGTTATGAATGTGCAAGAATGGCTACATTTCATTCAACATAATGCTTTTGCTGAGCAGAGAACTAGTGTTTAAAATATTTCCAACAGAACATTATCCACAGAGAAAAATTCATTATTTCAGATTAAATACATGAAAGGGAACTGTAATTTCATGGTGTTGTTTGGGGGAGAAAGTAGCTTCTTTTTTATATCATGGCGTCATCTATCTAAAATAAGTGCATGTTTGTGTATAGCTATACATATTAAAGTAAAACACATTATCTTAATCCACCTCTAAGAATTTGAAATCACAAAAAATACAATAAGCTTATAGACAATTAAAAATATTCTGATTTAAATTGGGATTGACTATAACAAGTTTGCAAGTTGGTAGCTCATGGGATGCCCTTAGCCCTGTATTTTCATTGACTGGCATAATTTTAAATTTTTTGAATTAATTGGCAATATTTAAAATAGGGAGTTTTTACATTAAAATCTGAGTTTCCATTCTCTCTTAAACAATCAGATCTGACAACACCAAGCCCACGTTCTGATATGGCAGAACTTGGTAAGGCTGGGTAGTAGATGCCTCTATTGGAAGGTATGCCCTTTCTAGTTTACCATAGTTCTTTTGTTGTTTTTGTAGATAGATTTCTTTTAAATTGAGGTGAAATTCACATAACAGAAAATTGACCTTCTCAAATTGAACAATTCAGTGGCATTTAGTACATTCACAAAGCTGTGCAACCACCACCACTATCGAGTTCCAAACTTTTCATCACTCCAAAATAAAACTGCATTCCAATCAAAGAGTTACTTCTCGTTCTTCATTTCTTCTAGCTCTCCTGACAACCACCAATCTGCTTTCTGCTTCTATGGGTTTATCTATTCTAGATGTTTCATATAAACACAATCATACAGTATGTCACCTTTTGTCTATGTCTCTCTCACTTAGCATAATGTTTCCCAGGTTCATCCACGTTGTAGCATGTGTCAGTACTTCATTCCCTTTTATGGCCAAATAACACTTTCATTATATGGATATACCACGTTTTGTTTATTCATTTACAGGTTGATGGACATTTGGCTATTACTACCTTTTAACTATTATGAATAGTGCTGCTATGAATGCTTGTGTACAAGATTTTGTTGGAATGAATATCACATTTTTGGTATTTTTGATTCATGTTGGGGTATTTCAGCCACAGTTCTTTTTTTTTTTTTTTTTTTTTGAGACCGAGTCTTGCTCTGTCACCCAGGCCGGAGTGCAATGGCACGATCTCAGCTCACTGCAACCTCTACCCCCGGATTCAAGCGATTCTCCTGCCTCAGACTCCTGAGTAGCTGGGATTACAGGTGTGTGCCACCACGCCCAGCTAATTTTTTTTTTTTTTTGTATTTATTTAGAGACGGGTTTTCACCATGTTGACCAGGCTGGTCTTGAACTCCTGACCTCAGGTGATCCGCCTGCCTCGGGCTCCCAAAGTGCCTATTTCCCCACACCCTGGCCTGATCTACCCACCTGCTATATTATTCTGCCCCCATAAGCTTTGCATTTACATTTTCTGGCCTTTGTAAAGGGCATGAGCATATTCATTTCTCCACAATTTCTGCACTTTTTTTCAGTACAAAACTTGAACTAATTAATAAAAATATTTCTTTTTTTTTTTCTTAAAAATATACCTATACACTAAATTTCTTTGTTTTTTCTCCCACAGTTGTGGTTACTCTCTGGTAAATATTGACGATGGATGAGGGTTGTTTTTATTTTCTTCTATTTTTAACATTAAAAAATTGGACAGTTTGAGAAGATCTAAATTGGAGATACAGCTTTGCCCCATTTATACTAAGCAGTGACTTTATGTATGCATCTGGGTTTAATTATAGTTGGCATCTCTGAACTCTGAGGCAAAATATGCATTGCTGAGATGTCATGTGTTTTTGGCAATCCAAGAATATAATCACTCCAATGTATAATCACCCCTCTGGCTTTTTAAAACTCAGCCTCAAGGTCTGTCTAACCTCCTTCCTTCTGCCTATGCACTCCTGCAAAGGCCTGTTTTTCACTTCAATCCCTATCAGTGCCTCCTCTGATTTCTCTTTATTTGCCGTTTTGTCATTTACTCTAACATGACTTAACTTCTCTGTGGTTATATTTTGCCTCTCTAACTAGATTATAAATCCTTACTAAGCAGAATCTAGTTTTGTGTTTAGTTTTTAAATGTTACATTGCAGGACAAATGTGATAAGTGTGCAATAAATATTTGAATTAGTGACTCCCCAAACCAGAAAAATGACTCTTTGCAGTATACCTAATTTCTCAGCATTATGTTGAACAATTCCATGTTTTAGTATAATGCTTATAATCAGGATTAACAGACAGCACATTAAAAAAATAAGTTTTGTGCTGTCATTATTGCAACTAAATCCCTTTTCAAGTCTAATTAACGCATTGGTGTAAGTTGGTGATTCTAAAGATGTGTATTGCGAACCACCTGCATCAGAATTGCCTGTAGTGTTGGTTAAAAATGGAGATCCTGAAACCGAACTTTGCATTTACACACTAGTACAGTCTAATGGTTGAGCCCAAGAATCTGCATTTTTTAAAAAAGCTCTCCTGGAGTCTTATGTACTCTAAATTTTGAGAACCACTGAGATTGTTTGAGAAGTTAGTACCATTGTTTGGCCTAACTCAGGTAGATTAGAAGTTTAACTTAAGTTGGTATGGGGGAAAATAAACAATGAAATTGTATGTTTAATGTATGATGATTTCAACTTGATATTTGGGAAGTAATTTTTTTTGGTGCGAGTCTACAAGTAAATGTTACTGATCTTGCAGTTTTAAAATTTAACAAATATAATCTAAAAATTTAAGAAGCCCTAATAACCTGAGCATTATTGAGGTTAAATGGAATAAAATCATTGAAAAACACTGTATATGATTAACACATAAGTTACTCCCACATAATTAGATAAAGAAATGCTACTTTTTCTTCCAAAAGCTGAAGGTGTAGTCAAAAACAATTGCTACCTAACACCTTCCAAGTTAGAGTTAATATTCACTGTTATTTAAAAAAAATCCTGCATCATTTATTGCTATTAGAAGGAAGTTCTGAACAGGGTTGAACAGACTTTTAAAAGCATTGCATTCAGATAATGCACACTTTTGTGTCCTAGGAATTAAATAAACAAACCATTAATAAGTAATCCAGGAGTATTACGAAATGATCACAAAACAAAAGTGACACAGTACATTGCTTGCTAGTAGCAAGTAATTGAAATGAAACAAGTTTGTTATACTTTGGATAATGTAAGGGAATATGTTGCAGGCAATAAACTAGGGCTTTTTGTTAGAAAAATCAGTAGTTTTTTTGGCAATCTGTTTCATCCACTTGTAAATGTTTTCCTCCGTCTTGACCTTTTGACATTTTTCACTTCTTAAATATATCACTTTATGTAAGTCTTCATTGGGTTGCATTGGTGTTTTTCCTTTACTCTGCACAGGTGTTTAAATATATTTTTCTTGTGGGATTATATTTAATTCTTACCCATACATTGATAATTAATCATGTGATTTAGCTTGAGGTTGAGCTTCTTCCCACCTAAAGCTAATATAATGAAGCTATCATTTTTACAGAATTAAATATGATTTGCCACACCATCTCATTTAACCCTAACCAGAATCAGCTCATATGCAAAGGAAAGGAAACTGAGGGCAGTAACTTACTTAAGATCATCCAAAATCTGTTTATCCTTATTTATGCATTGTGTGGCCCTATTAATAGCCACTAGAAGGGTTTTCCACTCCATATGCAATTTTCTCCCTTACTTAATGGAAGATGTAAGCCTCAAAGACTGCAGGCTAAAAAAGGAAAAGCTCCACTTGGGTTGTTAATCTGGCAAATAAAACCTCAACTCCTGATGGAACTGAAAGCAGAAGGGGCTGAAGACAAGTTCAAGGTAGAGAATCTGGGCTGCTTTTCCTGGTTCTTTGAGTCAAATAGTGTGACTTCATTATTTTGTTTCAGTTTCCAATTCCAGAAACTGAAGATATGCCCAAGATCAAATGTAAATACAAAATGCATTCCAAAATTGAATAAATAATGTTTGGATTATCTGGGTCACTGGTCCCCTCCACTAATGTGTATCATCAGGAGGTGATGATGCCACGTATAATCAGCAATCCTTGATGGAAGACTTGATGCTTCATTCCTTGTAGGAGTTTAGAGTTCTGTCAGTTTTGACAACACTATTTTTGAAGGATGCCCTGTTCAGTCCTCTGGATTTTAGAATGTCATTTGAAATTCTTAGCCATTAAAGAAAAGGAAAATGAAGTCAAGTTTCAGAAAAAAATGACTCCAACTGGGAATAGCAACTTGAGCCAGGTAGGACATCATAAAGCATTAACTATGACTGTTGAAATAACAAGTTGGCAATCATAAACCAGAGTTCCATCAAAAATGAACAGTTGGCCCCCACTTTTTTCTTTTCTCTTACTTACAACTTTTATAATGCACTTGTCAGGCCAGTCATTAAATTCACATATGTATGCTGACCATGAAGACTGTTTTGGCTCCCAAGTTGGTCAAGTTGAACTGCTTTGAAGCTAGTAATCTGCTGAATTAGCTGACTTCTTTCATGGTATTCCAGAACAAACAGATCCCCTAAAAAAAAATCCCCACTTTTGTTATTTCAGGTGGTTTGAGTGTTATTCTTACATAAAGATGTTAAGGTTCTTCCAAGAGAGGTTCAAAGAGAATTTAGAAATAAAATGTTAAACAGATTAAAAGGACCTTTAATATAATGATCATGTCACTGGGTGAAAGATGAGGTTAAAATTGGTCATCACTTTACTGTATAGACAATCAATTTTTTTAAAAAAAAACTTGCATAGAAAGTTTCAAGGTAGCCCTAAATATCAGAAAGAAATGTCATCATTAGGACAAACATCAGACTAATAATAATAATATTTATAGAGTGCTTACTCTAACAACTCTGGGATGTAGGCACTGTTGTTGTCTCCACTTTACAGATGAGGAAACTGAGGCACAGAGACTAAGAGCATATGTTCAAGGTAAGACTGAAAACTTATCAGATTGAGGAGGCAATGTGGAATAATAGGAAGCATGGGTTTCAAAGGCATGCAGAAATGGGTTCAAATTCCAGCTGTGGCTTTAATTAGCTGAGTGTGCATGTTTATTGGCCTCTGAACCTCAACATCCTCATCTGTAAAATGGGATTATTATACCTTCTTTAAAGGGTGGTTTTGGGGATTAATTTAAATAATAGTAAGTAATAATAGCACTGGACATTTATTGAGTGCTTTCTATGTACCACACATTTTTCTAACTACTTATTGGTAATTTTTACAGCAACCCTATTATGTAGGTACTTTTATCTTTGTTTTTACAAATAAGGAAACATAGAGAAGTTAAATTGCTAATAGACAGCAGAACTGGGTTTCAAAATATCTAGCACAACAGTTGACATATAATAAACATTTCATAAAAATAACTCTATTATTGGTAGCTAGAGAAAGGGAAATGTTAGTAATATATCAGAATAACAGAATAACAGGAAATATTCCTTTTTCTCCTGACGGCTTTACTAATATATCTTGGAGAAGGACAAGGGTACAGAAAAAAACAGGTTCATGGTGTCTAGTTAGGATGATCTAAACCTATGCATTAGGATGAAATCAGAAAGGAATAAATAATTTTTAGCAAATTCAATTTCAACTCTGTTACATATGATACATTAAAACAACAGTTGCTACTTTTTCATCAATGGGGCCAGTCGAATGGACATATCTAAGCAAAGTATGAAGAATAATTGACAGTCATATCTAGATACGTATCCCCATGTTTGTGTATAATTAGGTTTTGTTGTCTCCTAAATGAATTTAGTAAGTCAGAGTCCTAAAATTATGTTTTGGGACTGTTTTTCTTTTGCACATTTTGCTATCTATCTTTTTTGACTATGAATGGTTGCCATGTGAGTTCACTTTTAAAATACTGTCAGTCCTTCAAGCTCCGTTTTCTCTTTTTTTCTCCTTTATCCCCAGCCCTATCCACGGCCCCAATACACACACACACACACACACACACACACACGTGCGCACGCACACACAGAGCTATACAAAAATAGGCTTTTAAAACTCCATCATTAAGCACAAAAAAAGCCAAGGAATGTTTGGAACTGGTATGTTAGAGCCAAAAAGGTTTATCACATTCTAAAAAAGAATCTTTGGCATTAATGGCAGAACCAATTGTAAAGCGTAATTACTGCACAAACACGCAGTATGTGTGAAGCTATGATCATTCCTTTAATCACTCATACCAGAGAAAATCTAGACAATGTGTCTGTTGTTTGAATTCCCATGCACACTCCTCCCATATCCTGCTAAAACATTGCTTTGCTTATACATATATTCATATAAAATGCAAGCAAACACCCAAGCTTAACTTCTTGGAAAATATGGTTTGAGTTCTTGAAGTAGACTTAGAGTCTGGGCTCCTCATACACATAAAAAGGGTGGGTCACATAGCTTTATGGCTCTAATTCAATAGCCAAAGGGTCTCATGCAAATGAATGGACACCTTTCACTCCCAAGCAATGGTGCTACTTAGGGAAGCTATGTGATAAACCCACTTTTAGGAAGGAAATCTATTTTTCACATTTGTGAAACAAATTTCCCAGCAGTATCTTAAAAGTGTCTTGGGTTTCTTTATACCACACAAGGATTTCTGTAACCTTCACAAACTTTTTTTTCTTCGTAACACAATTACAATGAATATTAATTATTATTGTAACGAATAGATTATTATGATGATATTAACGTGGGGGGGAGGGCTTGCTATGTTCTAAGCACCTTGCTAAGCCATTTATATGCATAGCTCACATCATTCAACACCACCACTTGGTAGATGCTATTATTATATTCATTTTCTTGATGATTTTATTTGGTCTGTCAATTTGTTAAAACACCATTCTCTAACTCTTCAGTTTTTAGATAAAATGTTTTTTTCATAAGAGTCATTTTAATTATTATGCTTCAAGTATTAATTTCTTCTTAATTTTCCTAAAATATATTTTTGTTCATTCAGTACATGGTTTTAGGAAGAAATGTAGGGAAGGGATGGAAGACATCAAGGAAAACTGGCAGGATGAGCTAATGCATGAACTGGAGTTTAAAGGACAAGAAGAACTAACCAGATGAACAAAGGAGAAAGAACAAGAGCAAGCGAGAGCAAGAACATGTGCAAAGGCACAAGGCATAAAACCGCTTTGTATGTTTAGATAATTATAAACTTGCTATGTATATTATCGGCAATAATGTTTGAAGTGAAAGGGAAAGAAAAGAAGATAGGCATCTTGTTGTGAAGGGCCAAGAAAGCAACACTAAGGCACTGAGACTCTATTCCATAAGTAATTAACTTGTGTAGGGCTTTAAAGGAACAAGAAAGGCTTATGTTTTAAAAAACCCACTTCAATGGCTACTGTGTCAGTCTAAGCAAAAAATATTAAAGTCCTGAACTTATATTCTGGCAGTATGAAATGAGCAGTAAGGGAAGATTTGAGAGCTATTTAGGAATCAAAATAAGCAAAATGTGTTTAATGCGGTGCAGGGTAGGGGGCAAGGAGGGGGTGGCAAGGAAAAGAAAATAACCTAGCATGACTGAGGTTTGAGATTTCGGAGAGGTACTAGTTAGGCCTAGACTCGCTGCTTAGAACACTCCCTCTCTCTTCCAAAATAACGGAAGCTCACACATAGAGATTTACTTCTCTCTCATAAAGAAGTTCAGAGATCGATGGTTCAGGCTAATATGGCTCCATGGGGTCAGTAAGGACCTATCCTGTTTTCATGCCTTATCCTCGTAGTACATGGCTTCCAACCCCACAGTCATCTCTTGTCCCAAGATGGATGCTGAAGGTCCATAATCATTCCAGTCATGTTGTAGGACAGAAGATGGAGGGAAGACAAGGACAGAGAGGGGCCCCTCCCAGCCAAACCAGCTCTCTTCTTTTCTTCCTGGAAATCCCATACAACACTGCCATGTCATTGGCCATAACTTAGTCACAAGGCTCTATTTAAATGCAAAGAAGGCTGGGAAATGAGTCATTCTGAGCAGTATTATGCCAGATAAAATCTGCAAATTTTGGCCAGGTGCAGTGGCTCACACCTGTAATCCCAGCAACTTTGGGAGGCTGAGGTGAGTGGATTACTTGAATCTAGGAGTTCAAGACCAGTCTGGGCACATGGCAAGACCTCATCTCTACAAAAAATTTAGCCAGGTATGGTGGTGTGGACCTGTACTCCCAGCTACTTGGGAGGCTGAAGTGGAAGTATCACCTGAGCCCAGGTGGTCAAAGCTGCAGTGAGTCAAGATCATGCCACTGCACTCTAGCCTGGGCAACACAGCAAGACCATGTCTCAAAAAAACAAAACAAAACACTCTGGGGATTTTTACTGAGGAAGGGAAAAAATGGTTTTGAAGATGGCATCTAGTAGTATATGGTTTGTGAGATTTGGTAAAAGATGATGCTACAAAGAGAAAATGAAGGAAAAACTTTTGCAAAGTATTGAAAAGAAGTGAGCAGAGAAAGAGGATCCAATGAGAAGAAATGACAGGGGAGGCAGAAGTAGAATTAGAATGATGTAAAAGAACCTAAAGAGGAGAGAATGTCATACTGGAGAGAGTGATCCAAAATACCAGATGTTACAGATTAGTCCAGAAAGATAAGAATGTTTATTGGAGTTGGTAGGTGGAGGTAATCACTGTTGGTTTTCTAAAGACCAGTTTTACTGGAGATGTGGAGGCAGATGCAGATGACAGTGGGTTAAAAGATGAATTAAAGATTATAAAATCAAGATGACTGTAGTCAATTCTTTTTAAAAACTTGGCTGGAAGGTAGTGTGAGAGAGTGCTACATTTAAAAGAGAGGATCCAGGGTTAAGCAAGGATTTTTTTAAGGATGTTAGATACTTGAGTATGTTACCAGCTGATGAGAATTAGCCCCTAGAAAGGGTCTAAAGATACAAACAAGAGTCTTTATTCTGTCATGATAACAGAATAGGCATTGTAAAATTAAAATAGCTAAAATTCAGAAGTGACATTTTAAAAGGAAAATGCTGAACTGCCATAAAAATAAGGAATCTACAGATACTTAAAACAATATGAAAAAGTAAACCCTGGGAGATAAACCAACAAAGCTGGTTTTTGTTTGGAGGATTTCTGAACCCAGAAGATGCTGAGCTTCTCTTTTGATGGCTGCATGGCATGTGGGGGACAAGACTTAACACCTAGGCCCTATGTTGCATTCCCAATAGAAGCAGCATGCATAAAGCTGGGATCCCAAAGGCTAACAACTCAGTATAATGGTGAACAAGAAATAAGCCTTGTCTTGCAGTAGGTGGCATTAAGAAGACTTTCCTCTCTCAACAGTAGTGTCACAGGATCCTTGGGGTGTCACTTCACCAGCCAGAAACCTCTGTGGCCAGTGGTGCCTTTGCCCAAGTTTTGCTCAAGCCAGCTGGGCTTGTTCCACCCACTCGGCCTGGCAGGCTGCACTTGTTTTGCGCTACAGGCTGGGATCCCATGCCTGCCAAGGGTGAGCCAAATGCAGAGTGGCAAGGGGTAGGTGAACAAGCAAGTGCAGTGTCCAGCCACTGCGCACAGCCAGGCATGCTGGGGAATGTGGTGGTGCCCAGAAGCTTGGAGGTGCCAGGAACCAGAGAGCCCCAAAGAGGGTGTCACAGCCCTGGCTCAGGGAGCTCCTAGGTCTGGGGTCCCCAAAGGGCCGCTGCTCTTCTCTCTCCTTTTCATTGATCACAACATGGCAAGCCAGTGGCGGGGGTGGGGCAGGCATATTTCAGCCTTCTTTGCGTTACAGCTCTTTCAGTCCTGCCATTTGGTGGGTCCCGAGTTCTTGTCCCACATCCAGGAAGAATGAGGTATGCAGATATCTGGGGGGTGAGCAAGGTGAAGAGGTGCTTTACTAAGTGATAGTACAGCTCTCAGGAGACTGGAAGTGGGTAGCTCCTTTCCACAGGCAAGTCATTCCAGCATCTATGCAGCCCTCAGCAAAGAGGAGACCTGGAATGGGCAGCTTCTCTCTGCAGGCAGGTCGTCCTGGTGTCTGTGCAACCCTCAGTGGAGAGGAGACCTGGAGTGGGTAGTTCCTTTCTTCAGGCAGGTCGTCTCAATGAGTGTACAGCTCTCAGTGGAGAGGAGACCCACAGTGGGTAGCTCCTCTCTGCAGGCAGGGTGTCCCCATCTGCCCAAGTCTGTCTGAGTCCTGGGGTTTTATGGGCTTCAGAGGGGAGGTAGTGCCTGCTGATTGGTCCATGGGCAGTCGTGAGCATACCTGGAGAAAGCACCATAAGGTCTCATTCTGGTTTGTGGAACTGGCAGCCAAGCCCAAGCCCCCAGGCTTCAGGCCGTCCCTGACTTGAAGATAAGGTTTCACTGGGGACCTTCCCCTTTCAGCCCAGGAGCCTGCCTGCCTCCTACTGCTATTCATGGTGCCCAGGCTGTTCGTGTTGAGGGGTGCGTGCAGGCCTGCACCAAGCCACCCTCAGCACCCCCTCGGCCTTCCTCCCATGCTTGTCAGTGCCCAAAGTCTGGAGGGAGCCGAGGCGGCAGGGGGCTGGTGTGTCAGTGCCACCCTGAGCGTGTGGATACCTGGCTGGATCATGACAGCACCTGGGCTCAGCCACAACTTTGCTCCAAAATCAGAGCAGGCGCCAGGGGCTGGGAGAGGCCAGGCAGCAGGAGCAGACACTTCCAAGCCTGCAGGGGGAGCAGGGCTTCCTGAGCCCTGGGGAGCACAGAATGCCCGGGTCTGTAGCCATGGCTGGGTGGCTGCAGTTGCGCCTGGGAGCAGGGGCTCCTGCCCCACCAACTTGGAAGGAGGCAGGGCTCCCGCCTCTTCCTGGCTCCCGTTGGATCTGTGGAGTGCAGCTCCTGCCACACCCCCTAGACTACACCCCCAAGTCTTTGCAGCAGCCACTCCAGATGGGCTGCTGCTGTTATCGGTAGTGCTGAGTCGGGGGTGGGGGTAATTCTGCCTGAGAATTGGTAACCACACATTCATTCACACAATTCAAGTGAAGAATTTAACTTTAAAGTGGTCCTTAACTGATAATGTTTCCAAGTCATCGACAGAAGCAAACACAAATCTCTTCTGAAGGAAATCAGCTCTAAATTGAGCCTCGAAGAATTACCCTAAAAGGTAAGTTCCAAGGAACATCTGCAACTCCTAGTTAGATGTCACAAAGTACATAAGGATACGAGTCAGGACTTTCACCTCCAGCCGTGATAGAGTAAGAGGAACCAGGTTTATCCTCCCACCCAAAAAAATAGAAGAAAGTACATGAAATAACAGTTTTTCAGACTTTGGACATTAGGCCACAATAGACAGTGACCTCTGAGAGATGGGCAACAAGCCACGTGATCCCTAACATTGTTTCAGTTTACTGCCTGGAGAGAATTTCCTGCCTGTGTGCAGGTAGGGGGACCCCAGGCTGAGAGCAGTGGTAGGCCTGAGTTGAGGAGATAGAGCTGGAAGTCTAGGAAGATCAAGATGACTAGACATTGCAGGGCACCATTACTGGCGTGGGAAGAACGGCACAGAAAGAGGACTCTGAAGATTTGCAGAGTCTCCCTCATGTTTTCAGCTCAGTACTACTAAGTGCATGCAGGCTAAGAAGTTACCTAAGGCTAGGAAAGAACCACCTGAAAGGATTACAAGATACAATCTCAAATGCCCACAGAAGACTAGTAATTGTTCCTGCTTCCACTAGCCAGAGTCAAAAATCTCCTACTCATGTGGTGGAATACTACTTAGCAGTGAAAAAGAATGTGCTATAAACACGCAATATGAATAGACCTCAGAATAATTATACTGAGTAAAAGAAGCAGACTAAAAAGAATACATACTGTATGATTTTATTTATCATAGTTCATTAACTACAAGTTAATCTATTCTGATGACAAACTGGTTTCTTAGAAACAGAAGTGTGGGTAGGGGCAGGGAAGTTGTTGAGGGAGGATTCACACAGGGACAGGAGAAAACTTGGGTTCTATCCATTATTTTGATTGTGGTGATGGTTCACAGATGTATACATATGTCAAAATTTATCAGACTGAACACCTTAAATATGTACAGTTCATTGTATGCCAATTATATCTCAATAGTGCCATTTTAATGATGCTATTAAAATTTTAAGAAAAATCGCAAGAAAAGAAGGAGCCACAAGTAAGGATCATGAAGATGACAGATAAAATAATAAAAATTCTTTATATAGAAAGGAACCTCCTTAACTTATAAGGGGAACTACAAAACCTACAGCAAATACGTTTTATGATGAAATGTTGAAAGTATTCCCTTTAGGATCAAGGGAAAAGAGGGAGGTCAGCTAGGATCTGAATGCACTGTGTATCCTGGCCAGTACAATAAGGTAAGAAAACGAAATGAAATGATAAAGACTAGAAAATAAGAACAAAAGATCATCATTAATGCCAATAATTCTAAAGAGCCTACAGATAAAACATTTTATCTAATGAGAGAAGTAGGCAAAGCTGGATATAGTCTCAACATAGAAAAATTAGATGCATTTCTATTTACCAGTAGCAATTAGTTAGTTGCCTTTTTATAATAGCAATGCAAAATACAAAGTTCTAAGGAGTATAGACCTCTTTATGAAGAAAATTATTAAATATTAATGAACATATTGAAAATTATTTAATTATTAATTGAACCAGATAATCTAAATAATATATATACCATAATCTTGAGTAGAAAAACTCAGTGTTGTAAGATGCCAAGCATCACTAGATTCACCAATAGAGTCAAAGTGATTCCAATAAAACTCCAAATGGGTTTGTGAGCAAATTGAAACAGTGATTTTAAAATGTATATGGAAGGAAAAAAAGTCAACAACAGACTAGAAACTTGTGAAGAAGAACAAGGTGTAGGGGGGATTGCTTTACCAAGATTTAAGTCTCATTAGACAGCTGTAATGATGAAGACATTGTATTGCCCCAGAGGTAGAAAAAGGGATTCATGGATCAGAATAGAGAAGATCTAGAAACAAACCCACTCACACATGCAGTCTTGATTCATGATGAAGTCACTGCAGATCACTGAAGAAAAGATGAACCATTAAATAAAAAGTGCTGGGGTGGTCCATGTATATTAATAAAATAAATATCTCAACCTTGCACCATACATATAAATCAATTTTTGGTGGATAAGAGATTTAAATGTGAAAGCATAAGCTTAGCGCTTTTAGAAGACTAGGTAGTAGAATATAATCTTTTGATACAGAAAGAGGCCTTACGACATTAAACAAGGACAAAAATGCAAATCATAGAGGAAAAGATTGATAAATTTGACCATGTTACATAACTGCAGTTAATTAAGAAACACAATAAAATTAAAAGACAAGCCATGAAGTGGGAGATGATATTTCAATTTATTTCCAAAAAACAATCAGTACCCAGAAAATATTTACGACTTCTATGAATATATCAGATGTGGATATCCTAATAGGAAAATGGCCAAAATATAAACAGGCATTTCATGAAAGAGGAAACACAGATGACCTATAACATAGGAAAATATGCTCTATCTAACTGTGAAAATGTAAATTAAAACCACAATGAAATACCATGTAATAACAACAAATGGAAAAAAATTATAAATTAAAAAGTTACCAAGGCCATAGAACAATGTAACTTACATTTTCTGTTGGTGGTAGTATAAATTGAGAGTGTGCCATTGGAACATGATTTATTGAAAAGTTAAAATATACATGTGCTTCAAAACTCCGCAATGTCACTCCTAGGTATGTCCTATGGCACTTTCTAATTTTTCTTAATTGGGGTCAGGTCACACTAGTGGGTGAACCAGCATTTAAAAAAGTGAATTAGAACAGGATATGGTAAAGTTAAACAGAACAACAAAGAAACAGAAAATATCAGAATGCATTACTGCAGTTTTGTTAATCTTTTGGGTCGCTAATAGTCATGTTTTGTATTGTTCTGTTCATCTTTTTTGGTTGTGTTGTAAAATGTGTTTCTTATTGTGAGTTGTGATCGAGAAATTTTGAAAGTCACCTCCCTAGAGAAATCTTCATATGCATCAGGACACAGTACAGGAGTGTCATAAATAATAGTATTTCTTATAATAACTAAGAGCTCAAAACAGCTCAAATACCCAACAACAGTAACATGATAAATACATTGTGGATTAGTCATGTAATGGAATATTCTACAGATGAAAGAACCTTGTGGATCAGTCATGAAATGAAATACTCCACAGAAGTGAAAATAAAGAAACTAACACTATACACACCCACATGGATAAACCTCTGGAGCATAATATTGAGAAAAAGAAATGAGTCAGAGTATAATCAGTATGATTCAATTTACATAAAATTTAAAACTAAGCAAAACTAAATGATACACTGCTTAAGTCTACATACACAGGTAGTAAAACTATAAAGAATGGCTAGTTTACACTTGGGTGAGAGGGAGAGAGATACAACAAGGAGGTGCACAAAGTGTGTTTGAAGGTATCAGTAGCGCTCTATTAACCTGAGTGATGGTTATACGGGT
This sequence comes from Homo sapiens, assembly GCF_000001405.40. NCBI lineage: Eukaryota > Metazoa > Chordata > Mammalia > Primates > Hominidae > Homo > Homo sapiens. The sequence continues at coordinate 27,300,919 of NC_000011.10, read as the reverse complement.
GCTTGTATTTTCTTTTTTATTTAATTTAATTTATTTTTTTGAGACGGAGTCTTGCTCTGTCGCCCAGGCTGGATTGCAGTGGTGCGATCTCCGCTCACTGCAAGCTCCGCCTCCCGGGTTCACGCCATTCTCCTGCCTCAGCCTCCCGAGTAGCTGGAACTGCAGGAGCCCGCCATGACGCCCGGCTAATTTTTTGTATTTTTTAGTAGAGACGGGGTTTCACCGTGTTAGCCAGGATGGTCTCGATCTCCTGACCTCGTTATCTGCCTGCCTCGGCCTCCCAAAGTGCTGGGATTACAGGTGTGAGCCACTGCCCCCGGCCTGTATTTTCATTATTATTTAATTTAAACAAATATGTTTATATTCTTTTCTATGCATAACATTTCACAATTCAAAATAATTAAGATAACGACAAGCAAGAGAGAAGTTATTTGATGGAGTAAGATCCTTAAGGCAGTCCACTGGGATAAGCTTCAGAACACAAGCAAGTGGACATTTCTTGAACAGAAAGAAGGGCAACTTCTCTTCTGAGAGCAGAGCAAGTAGATCCAAGGATGGGAACCAGATGAAGTAATGCTTTCAGGTCTCTGTATGGAGTAGGAAACTATGGCGAGAAGCAAGTTGGGGGAATTCAAGTCTGACGGACTGCCTTTTTCAAGAAGGTGGCGTGGTCTGCTGAGAATGAAGGGATAGGTTTGGATAGGAGGCACGAGGTGGGTAGTGGGGGCTTTAAAGAGTATTTCACCACGCCTGTAATTCCAGCACTTTGGGAGGCCAAGGCGGGGGGATCACGAGGTCAGGAGATCGAGACCATCCTGGCTAACACGGTGAAACCCCGTCGCTACTAAAAATACAAAAAAAAATTAGCCGGTTGTGGTGGCGGGCGCCTGTAGTCCCAGCTACTGGGGAGGCTGAGGCAGGAGGATAGCGTGAACCCGGGAGACAGAGCTTGCAGTGAGCGGAGATCAGGCCACTGCACTCCAGCCTGGGCGACAGAGCAAGACTCCGTCCCAAAAAAAAAAGAGTATTTCACAAAGTGGATCAGGTAATGCCATGGATAATACTTGGAGGTGATTTTCATGGCTACATAGGTGTTTTTAAACTTTTAACAGTTATGAGATTATTTTAATGCTTTTTTTTTTTTTTTTTTTTTTTTTTTTTGAGATGGAGTCTCGCTCTGTCGCCCAGGCTGGAGTGCAGTGGCGCAATCTCGGCTCACTGCAAGCTCCGCCTCCTGGGTTCACACCATTCTCCTGCCTCAGCCTCCCAAGTAGCTGGGACTACAGGCGTCCGCCATCACGCCCGGCTAATTTTTTGTATTTTTAGTAGAGACGGGGTTTCACCATGGTCTCGATCTCCTGACCTCGTGATCCGCCCGCCTCGGCCTCCCAAAGTGCTGGGATTACAGGCGTGAGCCACCGCGCCCGGCCCCGCATTTTTTCATTTTAATAGTTTTTTGTTTAATGTGTATTCATGAAAAATGGCATGTCAAATCTCATATTTCATGGATATTACAGTACTTACAAAGCAAAAGTGATGTTAAAAGTTGAGTTAAAGAAAGCTTTTCAGTAAATATTAGCTCAGGTGCTACTTTAATATGGCAAAAATCTTGAAGGTAGAACTCAAACACCTAAAATTTGGGAAATTTTGATTTAAATAAGATAATCAATGATTGTGAAAAGAGGAGCACTATGGGTGAAAAGTCTAGTGAGCGGTGGTTAGGACCCAACTGCACCTAAAATCCCAGCTTTGTAGTGGTTTAGCCCTTAATTTTTAATTTAGAAGCCTCTGTGCCTTCATGACAGTGTTGCCAGTAACTGCTAAACAAAATTGGATGTGTCAGAATCAAAATAAAAAATTGAATTTGCAATCAAGATAAGCAAAATAAACTGGAGAATGAGAGGTATAGTTCGTTCTTGAACTCAGCACCTCCCGCTCCTGTTGTTGGATTTACTGCCATATGGGGAAAAATATATATAATCATGATAGTATCATAGCACAGTCATAAAGGTATGAACTCTGCTATGGAAACAAGCAGGAGTTGCCAACCAGGGGAGCTGGAAAAGACATTTTTGAGGTGACATTGTAGTAGGTGGGCAGAGTCTATGAAAAACTCAGGAAAGTTGTATGATAGAAGCTCAGACACATGCAAAGGCATGATGAGTAGGCAGTACATAAGAAGATCCAAAAAAAACCTTCCTAATTCAGAGGAACACTTAGGGGTCTGCCTTGATATTGAAATGTTCTTCTAGTCATTAGAATCTTGCATTTTTACTCACATTTTAAAATATCCCTTTTAAACTGTGACACCATTTCTGGGAGGTTTAAGGTAGGAAGCTGTTGTTATTGCTTAGGTTGGTTTGTCACCCAATCTAGACTGCAGGAGAGGATCACGGGGTAAAGAACAGAACTTTTCATAAGAGTGGCCCAGTATCCAGAGCCTGAGGTTGTCTATATGTAGAGTTCTAGATAACCCTACATACAGATAGATACAGATAGATAACAAGCCCAGATAACCAGAGGCCATTGATTAGGGGGAAATGAGTGGGTTCCCAGAGGGGCTGACTCAATGAGGACCATTCACATATTCATTCATTAAATATTTGTTGAGTGTGCACTAGTGTCGAGGGTGGTGTTTGGTGTCCAGAATTTGAATGAACAATATAAACATGCTCCCTACCCTCGTGGAGCTTACCTGGAAGAGACTCATGTTAATTAGTGAATTAGTCACTGTTCATTCACGCTTTTCCAAAGCCATTAGAAATGCCAGGATGTACCTAATGTAAATGACGAGTTAATGGGTGCAGCACACCAACATGACACATGTATACATATGCAACAAACCTGCACGTTGTGCACATGTACCCTAGAACTTAAAGTATAATAAAAATATATATATATAAAATTAAACAATTAAAAAAAAAAGAAATGCCAGGATGAAAAGAGCTAAGAATTTAGTCAGTGCTGGGTTTTGTTGACTGAAAAAAGCTCTTCCTATATTCACTGTGTTGCTTGTTTAGGCTCTTCACAGAGCTAGCCAGTGAGACTGTGGTGTGCTCCTACATTTGAAAAAAATGCTTCCAAATTGCTACTTTCCTAGAAACGTCTCAATTTGCTACTAATCCTAGACATGCCTGTGGGAATGCTAGAATGCCTTCCTTGATTGCAATATCCACAGACTTTTTCTTAAATGTTAGTGAATATACACTGATTTATTCATTCTTTGAAAATACTCTGAATAATGGGCTGAAAAGATAACTGGATAAGCATGGAAAACACCATAATTAAGGGAAAGAGTAAGAGCTACAAAGTTAAACTTCCTTGGGTTCTTGACATCTCAAGATTGTAACCAGTAGTTATTGATGGGTTCTTAACTTGGGGTCCTTGGAGTCATGGAGGATCAGTGGACGCCCTTCAATGTGGTCCACAAATTTCCTGATATTGTATGGAAACATTTGTAAGTATGGGTTCATAACTCTCATCTGATTTCTAATGGGATCCCTTGAAAATCAAGAATCACTTCCATAAATTCCCTGAAAGTGATTTCATGAAGGTAGAAAGGATAGTAGCATTTATGACAGTATTCATGGATAATCACTATGGTGTGAATATTTATCCCCTCCAAAACTCATGTTGAACTTTGATCCCTGATGTGGCAATATTGAGAAGTAGGGTCATTAAAAGGTGATTGGATCATGAAAACTCTGCCCTTGTGAATGGATTAATCCATTCGTAGATTAATGAATTAGTGGGTTAATGGGTTATCACGGGAGTGGGACTGGTGGCTTTATAAGAAGAGGAATAGAGACTGGAGCTAGCCTTCTCAGCCCTCCCTGTCATGTGATGCCCTGTGCCACCCTGGGACTCTGCAGAGAGTCCCCACCAGCAAGAAGGCTCTCACCAGATATGGCCCCTCAACCTTGGAGTTCTTAGCCTTCATAACTGTAAGAAATAAGTTATTTTTCTTTATAAATTACCCAGTTTCAGTTATTCTGTTATAAGCCACATAAAACGGACTATGACCATGACTTTATGTAATTGCCATAGAATATGAGGCAGTGCAACAGAGCAATAGGGCCTAGGAGTCAGCAGACCTGATCTCTAGCTCTGGTTTCCTAGTTACCAGCCATGTGACCTTGCATAAGTGTCGGTCCCATTTCAGCCTCAGTTTGCCTACCTTTTAAATGGAGGAAACCATACTTCATGTGGCCTTATTTTAAATGATCAGATGTGTGTGAAAATGCTATTGAAACTTCAAGGCGTTATCTAAAAGCAAGAGATGTTTACTCTCATACCTGTAGTTGGTGTATGTTCTTGGTCACTAGAGGGAGCCTTAGCATTCAGGGGAAGAATAAGCTAGTGATACTTATTCTTGAAAGCTTGAGGCCTCTATGAGAAGTAATTCTTTAAAAAACTTGCGCTTTATAAATATCCACTTCGATTTTTTAGAAAATTCAGAGAAAGGTCTATAAAAGCAAATATGACCACAGTTCCTTGTGACATAGATTTTCCCACCCATTAACCCACAGGATTCTTCCTTTTAACTTTCTCTATGATAAATTTAGCTTGTTGAAAATCCTAATATTTATGTAGAATTAATTTAACAGCAAGAAAAAGAAAGTAGAAAACACAATTTTCCAGAAGGCCATAGGAAGAAAGTACTTTTCCATTAGCAAAAACAATCCATTGTAAATTCCATGGCACATGGTAATGCTGTTAGAGGATTTTTGTATCCAGGCAGGACAGGGGAAGTACATTGTCTAACTTTGGCTTTCGATGTCCTATTGGGACCTTCTGAAGTTCTTAACTGGTGTGTTTTCCTCCTGCTAGTGCTAGAGTGGGAGGAATCTTACTCATTTGAAAAGAGCTTGACTGTTACATCAGAGGACCCCAGGATGGTCTGAAGGAGGAGGTATGAGAGAATGAAACATACTGGACTTAGGCTGGGTGTGGTGGCTCACACCTGTAATCCCAACAATTTGGGAGTCTGAGGTAGATGGATTACTTTAGGTCAGGAGTTTGAGACCAGCCTGGCCAACATGGTGAAACCTTGTCTCTACTAAAAATACCAAAAATTAGCTGGTCATGGTGGTGTGCACATGTATTCCCAGCTACTTGGGAGGCTGAGGTGGGAGAATTGCTTGAACCTGGGAGGTGGAGGTTACAGTGAGCTGAGATCGCATCACGGCACTCCAGCCTAGGTGACAGGGTGAGACTCCATCTTTTTTTTAAAAAAGATACTGAACTTGTACTTCAGGGAATCAGAATTTCACTGACTCGTTGTGTATTTTGGAGACAATATTTGTCCCCCTTTGGGGCCTCAGTTTTTCTCTCTGATTCTGACCAATACTATCCCATGTACTCCACATGTATACACTCATGGTCTGATGGGCATTCCTTATCAAGTATGGGACATTAGGTGATTAGACTCAGGCCCCAGATCGTGAAAGGCAGTGTTTTGCAGGAGCACAAAGCCCCTAGATTTATCTAATTTTCAACCCAAATGTATCTGGAGAAGGTGGAGTCTTGATATTTCTCTTTATGGCCCTTCAGATTGTGTTTTCATTCTGCAGTATAACAAATGCCTTCAAAAAACAGTGAACTTCATTTTTTCACATACATTTGCAGGAAGCAATGTAAAAACTTAATTGCTAATGTTTGTTAGCAAAACTGGCCAATGAAATGGTCAAGCACTGATCTGCCAAGTTTCCTTGATTCTAAGATATACTCCCACAAACCCTCCCCTCCTTAATTTAACTTTTTTTAAAAACAGGGACATGTCTGTGTCTCATTTAAAGAAGCATTGACTACCCCTCCTGAAGAGCTATTATTAAATCTATGGTATTTCCTACAGTGAATGGCCTTTTTGAATTCAGCAAGTATTTTTGGAAATACTTTATATTTGTTTTGTGTATTTATCATACGTGGAGGTGCAATAAGCTCTTCTTTACTACCATTCAAGCTCGAGCTTGCGTTGCAGCTATTAGTGTCTCCAAAGTCATCCCAGCAGGAAGGGATTTCTCTCTGTTGACAAAGGCAGGAGACTGAAGGTTATAAAGGATGAATGAAGCCTAGCTAGGCTTGTTCATTGCAGTTTATGAGAAACAGCTGCCTTTCTTTGTCAAGGCGCTTGTTTAAGGCTTTCCTCTCCTTTCCCCTGAAGTGTAATAACTACCTGAGACTAATCAGCTGACTTGGGTCAGAACAAGCCAGAGGCTCTGCTAGCCCAGTTAAAGCATGCCTGCACCATGTTAGCAATAGGAAATTTTCTAGAACAAGGCAAATGGATTGATCAATGATTCCATTCATGATTATAGTCCAAGTAATTTTCTCCTTTTTTTGTTTTTCAGAGGCTGTTTCTTCTTAAAGCTTTCAAGTGGTGTATAAGTCCCTTTATGCTGCTATAAAGGAATACCCAAGACTGGGTAACTTACAAAGAAAAGAGATTTATTTGGCTCATTGTTCTGCTGGCTATACATGAAGCATAATGCCAGCATTTGCTCTGGTGAGGGCCTCAAGAAGCTTATAATCATGGAAGAAGGAGATGGAGAGCCAGCATGTCACATGGAAGCGTGAGAGGAAGCAAGAGAGAGGGGGGAGGAGGTGCTAGGTTGTTTTAAACAACCAGTTCTCTTGTGAACTCAGAGAAAACTCACTCATTACTGTGAGGACAGCAGCGGCAAGTCATTCATGAGGCATCCACCCCCATGACTCAAACACCTCCCACTAGGCCCACCTCCAACACCGGAGGCCACATTTCAACATGTGATTTGGAGGGGACAAGCATCCAATCCATATCAGGTGGGGAAGGTCAGGAGGTGGACAACAGAATCATTGTTGCCCAGTTTAGGACTTCTCAAATTTTAGTGTACATGGAAATCACTGGAGTTCTCATTAAAATGCAAATTCTGATTCCATAGGTCTGGGAGTGAAGTCAGTGGGTAGAAGAGCTGATTCAGCATTGCCAAGGCATTCCCAGGTGATCCAGTATGGCTGGTCTTTGGACCACACTGAGTAGCAAGGCCTTAAATAATTTGTATGTCTTGTGTTTCCTGTTTCAAGCTGATGCACGATGTTAGTAGGATGAGGAATACATTTTATAAGCTATCCCCCTATCTGTCAGAAATGAAGAATGAATAAGTAATGATTGCAAAGCATATGAAAAATCATGAGGTCACACATTCTGTCTTCTGAATTAACACTTCAAGCAGATCTGGTTTTTCTCATGAGATTGCAAAGCAACTGTTTATTTGAGCATCCTCTCCCCTCCCCTCCCCCTCCGCCTCCCCTCCCCTCCCCCTCTGCCTCCTCTCCCCTCTCCCTCCGCCTCCCCTCCCTTCCCTCTCTGCCTCCCCCACCTCCTCCCCTCCCCTCTTTTCTTTTCTCTTTTCTTTTCTTTTTTTCTTTCTTTTCATCTTAGTCTGTTGCCCAGGCTAGCTCGCTCACTACAGCCTCCACCTCCTGGGTTCAAGCGATTCTCATGCCTCAGCCTCCCGAGTAGCTGGGACTACAGGTGTATGCCACCACACCCGGCTAATTTTTGTATTTTTAGTAGAGACAGGTTTTTACCATGTTGGCCATGCTGGTCTCAAACTCCTGACCTTAAGTAAGCCGCCTGCCTCAGCCTCCCAAAGTGCTGGGATTACAGGCATGAGCCACCATGCTCAGCCTATTTGAGGTTATTTTTCATTGGTGGGCATCACGTTCTATACCACATTTATGCAGGAACACAGTAGGACAGCATGAGACTCAGTCTACCAATTCCTCTGGCTCTAAATCATCTGTTTTCTTCTTCTTTCTCTTACTACCAGGAAGTAATCCAATTATTGCTTATGCAAAGGGATGAGAAATTTCAGGTTTTTCTTGAATATTCTCTGGAGAGCTGCATTTTGGAATTGTTATAGTGAGTTTTTAGACCATTAATTTGGCTCATTTTATGTTGCTTTGGAGCTGCTGTTATTTTTACAATTTGTCTTATCTTGGTGAAACTGTAAGTTCATTGTAGTTGGAGGTCATGCCTCTATCTTTATAGGACTGGAAGATTGGAAGTGAACTTTACACTCATCAAGTCCCGTTTCCTCTTTAATATTTGAATTTCTACAAGCCAGCCTCTGCTTGAAATACAGTTGGTGATGGGGATCTTACTACTTTATATTCTAACCTTTGAACGGCTCTAAGTATGAGAAAGCTTTTCTATTATTGAATTTAGAGTGGTCTCCCTGTGGCTTTTGTCCACTAGCCCAGTTTTATTGACTGAGGGCAATTCTTTTGTCTTGAGTGGGGTGTGGACACTTAATGCATATTGTTGGATAATGACTTGTTCAGGCCTAGGTCGTGGGGTTCTCTGTGCCTTTGGCAATTCCTCATGCAGCAGAGTAGCCTTTAACTTCCGAGCTGTGGAATAAACCTGGGGCAAGGTCCAAAGCTGCACTGCCAGAAATTGCCTGAGCCAGGGTGAAGTAAAATAGTCACTCCTCATACGGACTTTATCTTGCTTGATTACAGGGGTTTACCATTTCCTGCATTTCCTTCTTACACCCATCCTGACTTAAGCCTTAAATCAAATGCAGGATGAAAATTCGTGATTACTCATGAATTTTCACTCAACAAGATCATTCAATAGGAATCTTTAAAATGGTGTCAATTTACAAAATATTTTTTTCTTTAGTCCTTACCTAATGCAAAATTTTAAAACTGGCAAAGTTGGACTTTGGTCCTTCTTTCCTATCCCTCTTCCGGAACCTTTCCACCCTTCCTGTTTTATGCTCCATGGGTGATCTGATCTCCAGGGATTCTCCCTTGCAGTATCATCTATGCCTTAGACCATACATTTCCTCTTTCCTCTTCAAAACTTACCTGTTTCCACTGTCTTATTCTTTCAGCAACTGGCTTTATGCAATGGGAACTTGGTTGCTAATGGGTTTTTCTCCCCTTAACAAATCCTTCATAATGTGTAAGATAGCTCTTGCTTTATCTGTCTACCTCAGTGTCATAATCTCTTAATCTTGTCAAACACGTGTTTCCAGATGGCCCTTATGGAATGGCTTTATAGTGAGGAAGGATAGGTATCATGATAAGGTCATGGATGAGAAAATGTTTTGGTCTGTGTGTCCCTCAGTACAAGTTCACATCATGCATTTCCCTCATTACATCATACTAGTCTCTATAAACAACAAAACAGCTCTTATTACATGGGATTATTAATTACAGCTACTTGCTATGTTCCAGGTACTGTGTCCAGGGCTTAATCGATTTCTCATTTAATGTTCACAACAATCCTGCCATGTAGGAAGAATTATTCTCATTTTACAGCAAACTGAAGTTCAGAGAGCATAAGGGAAATGGTTGTGCTTTAGTCAGGGGTAGGCTGAGGTGGCATAGCATGACTCAGCGGGTTTGGAGTGCAGGTGCACAACTCTGCACATTATGGAACCACGCCACATGAGGCGCATTAGGTGATCACCCACATGAGTTCCTGCTTGGCTCAGAGCCACTATTGTCTGTAAAAGGTATAACTACCCTGCTGTTGCTGTACATACAGCTTGCGCCCAGGCTCACTCATGCCCAGAGAGAGAGTAAAGCCATGTCAAAACTGTTTATGCTTCCTCGAGTGTTTTTCCAGCTACCTGCCACTTGCCCACCAACTCCCCTCGGACCTCAGTTAGAACCTAACAGAGAGGTTAGGTAATTTGCTTATCATCACATAGCTACTACATTGCAGAGACAGGGTTCAAACCAAGTTCTGTCTGACTGAAGCCCATGTGGCCTTCTTTTCTCTGATCACCCGAAGAACAGAAATCTAGGATTAGTGAGATTCCTTAGACAAGCCCTGCTTTGTCCACTTGCAATGTAACCTTCCTACTTCATCTAAGTGTGAAAAAACTACCACCTTCTTCTTCCCTGTTCTCTCAGCTTTCATCTCTCCCAGTTTTCTATGCTGAGAAAGGCTTTTTCTGGCTTCTACATGCACAAGAATAACAAATATCTGTTATTGAATTATAAGAATTTATTATGGAATGGGAGGGGGAATACTAAAAAATCCCATCTGGGGCCAATTAAAAAGAACTGTGTTCCCAAGTGTACGTGGTTTTTCTTTTTTCAGGAGAAGAACAGCTTCATCAACTCTTTGGTGCAGGAAGCATGGCATGGCTTCAGGGGAGCTGGGTGACTGAGATATCTCTGTACTATTTCTCAGAAGGCAAGATGGGTTCATCACCTTTAAATGACCAAGGCTCTACAGTGTCAGCCTTGGACCGAAGCATTTGTATCTGTGCCTAGATTTGTCACATTTTTTTAAAGGGCATCCCCATGAAAGTTTTTTGGAGGGACGGAGGGAATAAAAAGATGCCAAAATGCTGCTTTCAGGATAAACACATCAGTTTGCAAAAATTCATAGAGTTTCCCAGGGTGGCCACCCACAGAGGAGGCAACATCTGGTGGCCATGCTGTCACAACAGGGAGAGCAGTGCTTGGGCACAGGACAAAACAAAACATTCCTTATAACTGGATGGAATACATGTAGTTAGACTGGAGCCACGAGGCAACAGACCTCTGCAGGTCCAGAAAGTGCTGAGCTGAGAAAGTCACAGGACCCTATGTGCAGTCACACTTATCCTATGATGCCTCAGCAATTTTGAAATAGACTTATTCATTAATCAGAAAAATATGAATCTCCAGAGAGATTGTTGCATGTTTTTAGAATACAAGTAGAATAAATTTATATTTTTAAGATGAATAAGGAAACATCTCCATTCTTTAAAATGTGTTTGAGATCCCCTTCTCCATGAAAGACAATTTCCATTTATTCATTCATCAAATGTTTATGAAGTGTCCCCGCTGTGTTGAGATCTGTGCTGTGTGCTTGAGGTACAAAGAGGAATGAGAGACTGCCTCTACCCTCAGGAAGCTCATAGACTAGCAAAGACTTAAATCTAAATGTGCTTCTAGGAACCCTGAGGAGGGCACGTAACCAGCCTGCAGGCATCCATGAAAGCTGCCCGGAGGAAGTGTCATCTCAGCTGGCTCTTGCAAGCATAGTCAAAAGTTATGCTCCAGAAATCTATATTTGCATAATATTCCTCTGCCATGTAATAAGGGAAGAGATGAAATGACTAAATAGATATTGTGGGGTGTGGGCATTGGAAGGTAATAAGTAAATAATAGGAATTAAAACATTCAAACTGGAATGTTTGAGGGAGGGTGTCGGACAGTGCAGGTTCTGACTTTGGATGACTGAAGTTGGGATCTCTACCATTTCTAGGTGTGAGAACCACAGTAAACTGTTTAACATTTCTAAAGATCCAGTTCCTCACAGGGTTTTCAGGTTTCAGATACTTTGCTCAGGGCCTGGCTTATTTAAATGTTAATAAGTAAATGTTAGCTCTTATTATTAATGTTGTTATTATCATCAATGTTTCCTTTTATGATTTTCCTTCTATGATTTTCCTTCTAAGCTCCCTGAAACTCCTCTCCTTGGTTATTGCCCCAAAAGAAAAATAAGGGAACAGGGAAAAAAAGAAACCTAAGAGGTTTTTTGTTTTTTTGTTTTTTTTTTTATGAGGGTATGATAGTGATCTCAGTCAGAGTTGGTGGACTCAAAAGAATATCTTCCAAAGAACAGGAACACAATGCTGTTTTCTCCGTCCTGTCACTAATCTTGCTTTCAGCCCCCTGATCTCTTTGCTCAGAAAGGCAAAAGCATTAGTGACATGCACTTATAAAATATAATTAAAGCTGGGTGTGGTGGCTCATGCCTATAATCTCAGCACTTTGGAAGGCTGAGGCAGGTGGATCACTTGAGATCAGGAGTTCGAGACCAGCCTGGCCAAGATGGCAAAACCCTGTCTCTACTAAAAATACAAAAATGTGCCTGGTGTGATGGTGTGTGCCTGTAGTCCCAGCTACTCTGGAGGCTGAGGCAGGAGAATCACTTGAGCCCAGGAGGTGGAGGTTGCAGTGAGCCAAGATCGCACCATTGCACTGCTGCCTGGGCAACAGAGTGAGGCTCTCAAAAAATTAATTAATTAATTAATTAAATAAAAAATAAAAATAAAATATAATTAAGACAACTAGGTCTGCTGGGACCAGGTAATCTGTACTGTAAAATTTCTTTTAGAAAGTACTAGTGCACTTTCTACTACTGTAAAATTTCTTTTAGAAAGTACTAGTAAGATAAGTGAAATTTCCAGAGGCAGGGAAAAAAAAAATGAACAAAAGGGCATAAAAACTGAAGGAGAAAGGGTGTGAGTTGAGCTGATGCTGTGGCTACAAGTGGTGAAGGGAGATGAGGCAGTGGGCCTGCCTGTGGTGAAAAGTTGAAACTTAGACCATTCATGGAGAAGGGTTATGTCTTTACTACAGGGGGGCTAGAAAACAATCTACCGTCCATACAAGAAGATGACAAGGAAGAGAGGCCTACATCACAGGGGCTTGGGGCTTGAATTTAAACCATGTGTGCAGTTCTAAAATCACATGCCACACTTCCCCAGCTGGGAAGTAAATATGAAAGGTAGCTAAGGCCAGTGATGTCCCAGGCAGTGACAACTTTGGAGCACCTTACAGAAGCAACTCTGACAAATAGATTTTAAAACAAAGGTTGTTTTACTAGTCTAAGGCAGTTAACCACTTGCACGTACTTAAGGTGTCCTCAAATATATTTAAAGCAGAAATCAATCAAGTTAAGAGAAATTTAAAAACCTATAGACAGTAAGTTATAAAAAACATCTCTCTTAGTAATTGATGGAGTAAAAAATATAAAATAATAAGGATATTGAATATCTGAATAATCAAATTAACTAGCTTAATCTAGTCAACACATACAAAACCCAAAAACTGATTGCTTGCTAGGCCATAAAGAAAATCTCATCAAATACCAAAGACTCAGTAACATATAAGACATATCCTCTGACCACCTTCTAATAAAATATAAACTTGAAAGAGACACTTGAGCTGGCCTGGCGCAGTGGCTCATGCCTGTAATCCCAGCACTTTGGGAGGCCGAGGCGGGTGGATCACCTGAGGTCGGGAGTTTGAGACCAGCCTGACCAACACGGAGAAACCCCGTCTCTACTAAAAATACAAAATTAGTGGGGGGCGTGGTGGCACATGCCTGTAATCCCAGCTATTTGGGAGGCTGAGGCAGGAGAATTGCTTGAACCTGGGAGGCGGAGGTTGCAGTGAGCCAAGATCGCACCATTGCACTCCAGCCTGGGCAACGAGCGAAACTCCATCTCCAAAAAAAAAAAAAAAAAAAGACACTTGAAATTACTCTATACATTTGAAAATTAAAAAGAGAGAAGGAAAGATACTTCTAAAGACTATTTGGTCAAAGTAGCATTTGGAATTGTATAAGTTATGCTGCAATAATACACAAACTGAAAATATCTTAATATTTTAAAACAATGAAGGTTTATTTCCCATTCATGGTACATTTCCAGTGTAAGTCAGCTGGGAGCTCCCTTCCACATTTTCTTATGTTGGGACTCAAGCTAATGGAGACTCCATCACCTGGCATATTGCCAGTTGCAGTGGTGGAATGAACACACATCACTTTCACTCGTATTCTGTTGACCAAAACATATTCATTGGCATAGCTGACTTCAAGAGGATGGGGACCTGGCCAGAAAGAGGAGAGCTGGACAGGTCAGTTACCAGTACTAGTGATTATCACAAAGAGAAAATAAATATGAAAATGAGAAAACATTTACACTTTAAAAATAATGAAAATGAAACACATTAAAACTTGGGGAATGGTGCCGGGCACAGTGGCTCACGCCTGTAATCTCAGCACTTTAGGAGGCCGAGGCGGGGGTGGATCACTTGAGGTCAGGAGTTAGAGACCAGCCTGGCCAACATGGTGAAACTCCGTCTCTACTAAAAATACAAAAAATTAGCCAGGCGTGATGGCACATGCCTGTAGTCCCAGCTACTCGGGAGGCTGAGGCAGGAGAATAGCTTGAACTTGGGAGGTGGAGGTTGCAGGGACCCAAGATTGCATCACTGCACTCCAGCCTGGGCGACGGAGAGAGACTCCATCTCAAAAAAACAAACAAAACAAAAAAAAACAAAAACTTGTGGGCTGTAGTGCTTAGAGTAGTGCTTAGAGTAAAATTTCCAGCCTTAGATAATTATATTAAGAAAAAGAGACTGTGAATTAAGGAGCTAATCATCTAATCTAAGAAAATTAAATATCCCAGAAATAGTAGGGAAAAAAAAGAAAGGTACGAGACGCATTAATGACACAGTCTTAGAAAACAGAACACAATGGCCGGGCGCGGTGGCTCACGCCTGTAATCCCAGCACTTTGGGAGGCCGAGGCGGGTGGATCATGAGGTCAGGAGATCGAGACCATCCTGGCTAACAAGGTGAAACCCCGTCTCTACTAAAAATACAAAAAAAAATTAGCCGGGCGCGGTGGCGGGCGCCTGTAGTCCCAGCTACTGGGGAGGCTGAGGCAGGAGAATGGCGTGAACCCGGGAGGCGGAGCTTGCAGTGAGCCGAGATTGCGCCACTGCAGTCCGCAGTCCGGCCTGGGCGACAGAGCGAGACTCCGTCTCAAAAAAAAAAAAAAAAAAAAAAAAAAGAAAACAGAACACAATAAAAAGAATAAGAAAAAAAGAAAAACTGCTGTTGTCTTAGTTTCTTCGGAAGCAGACTCTGAGATGAAGATGAGTGTGTATTTCACCCGTGAAGGAAAAGCTCCGTAGAGAAGCAGGTAAGGGGGCAGTGAAAACTGGCCAGGGAAAAATAGGCAAGGGTACCATTTCAGGCCAGGTCCCAGGGAGAACAGCTCCCATCTGATCCCACGGTGGGTTTCTGATGTGTGAAGTACACTCAGCGTTCTTTCTCCTGGGGCCTCCATACTCCCACAGCTGTCAGTTATTGGCTAAGGGCTAACTGGAGTGGATGTGGATTCCTAGACACTTCAGTGTCTCTGTGTAAGTGGCCAAAGTGCCTCCAGTAGCCTGAGGGCAGTCTTCTGAAAAAAAAGTTTTAGGTACTGGCCCTGGGAAGGGAAACCACCCTGAATCTGGAAGAGGAATAAAAGAGCCCTAGGGAATCTGGATGGAACTAAAGCAGTGTCTACTATAATTGAATCTGTGAAAAAAAACGAATGGACAAGGATTTGGCCAAACTTTTTGAAAAAACAAGTCAGCATTTACAAACAATATTAGAAATGAAAAAGGGGTCATAACTGCTGATGCCATACAGATGAAAAAGGAGATACTATACCAATAAATTTGAAAAGACGGAAATGATCAATGTCCAAGGAAAATATGATTTATCAAAGCTACCTTAAGAAGAAATTGAAGCAGGAGTACAGCCTTAACCATTAAAGACATGGAATCAGCTGTTAAAAAGCTTACTCTTGTCCCCCACATAGGCCCAGATGAGTTTGGCTGAGCATTCAAGGAACAGATCATCTCATGTTGGTGTCAATTTAACTGAAGAATAATTAACAAAGGAATATTCCCCAACTCAGATAAATAGAGTATAAAAAAAGGAGATTGCAAATCAGCCTTACTTATAAATGTATATCATATGTACAACTAAACAAACGACAAGAAAGTTAATAAGTGTATTAAAATAAAATAAAATTCGTCATAGGAATGCACAGATTTATATTAAAAAGATTAAACGAGAAAAGCCATATGATTATCTCAATAGCATTTGATAAAACTCAATACCTATTCATGATTAGAAAATTCTCTTAGCCAACCCCTCACAAAATAGGAATACAAGGAGTCTTTCTAAATGAAAGATAGGTACTAAAAACCTCGAATGACCTTTTTTTTTTTTTTACTTTTACATATTCTTTCTTTTCTTCAACTTTTATTTTAGACACAGGGGTACATGTGCAGGTTTGCTACATGGGTATATTGTACCTTGTACCCAGGTAATGAGCATAGTACCCAATAGGTACTTTTTTTTTTTTTTTGAGACGGAGTCTCGCTCTGTTGCCAGGCTGGAGTGCAGTGGCTCAATCTTGGCTCACTGCAACCTCCAACTCCTGGGTTCAAGTGATTCTCCTGCCTTAGCCTCCTGAGTAGCTAGGCCTACAGGCGGGCACCACCATGCCCAGCTAATTTTTGCATTTTTAGTACAGACAGGGTTTCACTATGTTGGCCAGGATAGTCTCGATCTCTTGACTTGGTGATCCGTCTGCCTCGGCCTCCTAAAGGTCTTGACCCATTCCCTGATCCCTCCCACCTATCTTTGGTAGTCCACATGGTCTATTGTTCCCATGTTTATGTCCATGTGTGCTCAATGGTTAGCTCCCACTTATAAATGAGAACATGTAGTATTTGGTTTTCTGTTCTTGCATTAATTCACTTAGGATTATGACCTCCAGCTCCATCTATATTGCTGCAAATATAGACATAATTTTATTTCTTTTGTGGGACAGCAATCATCTTTAATGATGAAATTTTAAAATCTTTCTCTCCAAAATAAGGAACAAAACAAAGATTCCTTATGTTGATGGGCAAAAGAAAGTATAAAATAATTTAAGAAGAAAAAAACTGTTATTATTCACAGGCATTATGAGTATCTCAATAGAAAACCCAAGGACATCTATAAATTATTAGAACTAATAAACCTTAGCAAGATTTCTGGATAAGTTATTAATGTACAAACTTCATTTGAATTTCTATAAAACAATTAGAAAAATATCTTGTAAAAACACATCACGTTAGCATAAAAATTAGTGCATTTGAGAATATGTGTGAAATAATGTACAAGACCTTTATGGTAAAATTTTATTTTTAGAAATTTTTCTCAAAAATTTTTAAGAAAAGCTAAAGAAATGGAGAAGCATATCATGTTCATTAATGTGATGATTCAGTATCAAGAAGATATCAGTTCCACTTCCAAATTGCCTTGCAGATTATGACAAAAATCTCAATAGGATTTTCCTAGAACTTAATCGAGTGATCCTAAAATTGATATAAAAGGGCAAAGGTTAATGTCAAAAAAGAAGATAGATAAAATGGAGTGGGGAGGGTATTGGAATTGTCCTACCAAATATAAACATATTACAAAGCTGTAGTAATTAAGATTGTGGATATCATAACAGGAATAGAAAGAACAGAGCTCAGAAGATAACCCATACAGTTATGTAAACTTGACATACAAAAAATGTGGCATTACCAATGTGGAAAGGATGGAGGTAGTGGGAATAAGTGAGATTGGGAAAATTTATTCTCCAGTGGGAAAAAGTAAATTAGATTGCTATCTCATTATTTAATCCAAAATAAGTTCCAAATAATTTATATACCTAAATATAAAAATTGAATATTTAAACCTTGTAGAATAAAATGTAGAGGAATTATTTTGATTTTGGGGGTTTAAAAAAATTCTTAAACAAGAGAAAGAACAGCTGAAATGATTGATAAATATGACTCCATTAAAATAAAAATAAAACTTCTGGACAATAATAGCAATCATGCAGATTATCTGGACAATAATAGCATACATGGAGAGGAGTGAAGCTTCATTGTGACTGAACACACAGTAAAGACTACTAGGTATTTGCTATTACTTCATGTATAGGTTATTTTCCCCCACAATAATTACAATAAAGCTATTTTTACAATGTATTTCTTTTCTCCTTCAGGGAGGAAAAAATGTACCTTCTAGCTTTCCATCTAATGATGTAACTAAAGGAAGAGAATATTATCTGAAAAACATGTTTTCATGTTAATGAAAATAAGTATTTTACTCTTAGGCAAACTTGCCAATTTTAATACAAGCATTTCTTCCATGGGAACCAGTCGTCATTTGCATAAACTCTGTAGCTTGTGGTCTTTTCTTGGTAATGTTAACATGGAGCAAATTTCTCCTGGTGACTTGTTTTGTGTGCCCCAAAATGCAGCCACTGGCTTTTCACAGGAATGTAACTGTTGGCAGGCCCCCAGCAGGTCTGACGCTGCCATATTGCTGGGGACTGAACTGGTTAGTGTGAAAACCAGGAGTCGTCTCTGTTTTCCCTTTTGACCCTGGGTCATCATTTCACATTTTCATCTGGGCCCTTCTCCATTTGTCTCTTGCAGGCTGCTGAAATAAACAAGTGAACTTCATTCCTGCTTCTATATTAGACTGCACCAAAATATTGGTGTAATTAGAAGAGAAACATTTGTAGAAGCTCTGGAGGTCTTATTAATAAAAGATAAAAGATAAAAATCAGATGATCTTGGGTTAATGTTGATCATTGGAGGTGAAGGGTGGCCATTTATAAGAAAAAGTCTTTCCTCAAAATGATATTATTTCTGGCTCTGTGGCCAAGTCCCTACTATTTTAAATGGTGATCTCTCTAAACCCAAGCTCTTCCACATTACAAATAAACTATTACCATGCACCTCTTAAGGAGCAGCAAGAGCTGTTTTTGCTTCAACCCATAGCACAGTTCAGAAGGTCAGACGTGACCACAGTATCTCCTGTTATTTCAGAGCTCACATGTGTTTGCTTTGGCTCTATTTCCCTGGCATTTGGTTTCCGTTATTTTTCCATGGGTTTGGCTTGCAGGAATCAAGGAAACATTTTTTAAAATAAGCAAAGTTTGTAAAGATGAAGTATTCTGAACTGGTCGTGACTGGACACAGTTGGAGGGAATGTAGGCCTCCCAGTTTATGTTCAGTAGCACGGCCCTGACCCCAACATGACGAATATGAGTAATGGTGAGGGCAGAGGGCTGTCCCACTTGGCCAGACTCGCCAGTGCCTCCCTCCTTGCTCTCCATCCAGACTCCAGCGCAGCTCAGCTGTCTTGGTTCAGGGTACTTACTAAGGCCAAAAGCTAAATACCTAGGAGAGCTGAGGGCCTCCCTTGATGAAACATTTTCTATTTCAGCCTCAGTTGCAGCTGATTGTTCTCAATGGAGAGATACTGTGATTGTCTCATTGCTGGGGCTGGTTTTGGTTCCTGCTGTTAGCTCTCTGCAGAATGTGTCTGGGAAATAGGCATTCACTCTGTATAAAGCATGATTAAGAACACTACTGTGGGGTTAAACCGACAGCAGAGACCTCAAGGCCAGATGTTATCAGCCTGTTGGTTTGATATGGGAGAAATGTGGTAGACTGGGTGGGGAGGAATGGAGTGAAGTACAGTAGTTCCCAAGCTTGTCTGCACAATGGGATCACCTGGGGGGTTTTAGAAACTACAAATACCCGTGTTCCACCCCAAGAGGTTGTGATTTAATTGGCCACCTGAAGTTAGGATGTTTTAAAAGATTCCTGGGTGATTTGGGAACCACTGATACAGTGGTAAAGAGCCCAAACTTTGATGTTGTGCAGCCCTAGTTTGAATCCCAATCCCACCACTTAATAACTGTGTGACTTTGACCAAGACGTTAAAACTTTCTGAGTCTCAACTTTCTCATCCTTAATATGGGGATGATCTTTTCTCCTTTATGTGGTTCTTGTGGGAGTGAGTATAAACATGCCGAGTTTTAAATACTAAAAATGTTGTATCAACAGTCAGTGAGCTAAGCAGCAGTGCAAACTCTGCCACTTCCTAGTCATACACTAGAGAGGCCATATGGTAAGAGTTGTTGCCAGTCTGGGTTTTGGAATCATATTGGCCTGGGTTTGAATCCTGGCTCCCCTCTTTGACCTTGGGCAAATGTCTTCACTTTTAAGTCTTCATTTTCCCTGTTGATAAAATAGACATTTTTACCCTATAGGCTTCATAGGAGGATTAACTTACATAACGCATTTAGTGTTTAGGTTGAACAATATAAAATTACCTTTCCTGACAGGTTAAATGATAAATATCAGCAATTTCATTTGTTCTTCACATGAGTCTTCAAAAATGTGAAAAGTCTTCATAAGTCTTCAAAAATGTTAGCAGTAATGGCTGTTATTACTATTAATCAGCATGACCTTGATGGAATTACTTTACATCAGAGGGTCTCAGTTTCCCCAACCATAAAAAGGACACATTGAAATTCTGCCTCTTTCAACCAATTGCTATAAAATTTAAATGAGTTGATGTTTGTGTAATGACTTTGAAGATTATAAACTACGAGAAAATCATGATAATTTAGAAAAAAATTTTCTTAGAGCCGGGCACAGTGGCTCATGCTTGTAATCCCAACACTTTGGGAGGCTGAGGCAGGTGAATCACCTGAGGTCAGGAGTTCGAGACCAGCCTGGCCAATATGGATGAACCCTGTCTCTTCTAAAAATAAAAATAAAAAAAAAATAGCTGGGTGGGGTGGCACACACCTGTAATCTCAGCTACTCGGCAGGCTGAGGCACAAGAATGGCTTGAACCTGGGAGGCAGAGATTGCAGTCAGCTGAGATCGTGCCACTGCACTCCAATCTGGAAACAAGGTTCTGTCTCACAAAAAAAAAAAAAAAAAGAAGAAGAAAAAAGAAAATAAAATCTTCTTAGAAACTGAGCATTTCATGTATATAATGGTAAATATTCTGGGAAAGAGGGGTACATCTGTAAAGTATGAAACATGGGAAGGAAATTGAGTTACACAGAGCTTGGCCTTTGGGATTCAGACAGGAAATCATTTTTTAAGTCTACTCTGAGTTGAGCACCACTAAGCATTGTGGAGAACAGAAGGGGAGTGAAACCCGTGGCTCCTGCCAAAGAAAAACTTGTGTCATGATTGAGAAGATGCATTGCATTATCTGTGCGGAGAATAATAACTAATACTTACGTAATGCTTACCACATGCCAGACCCTGCTAAAGTTTCCTACATGTATTATTTCATTTCATCCTCACAAAGTCCCATCATTATCCTAGTTTTTCATAGGTGATTAACTGAGGCACAGACAATTTAAATAATGTGTCCAGGTATAATAATAAAAGACATTGAAGCAATGATTTTTGTGAAAAGTATTTGTGTCAAATAAATAAGTTCAAATTGCAACAAATTATAAGCAATAACAAAATATTTTACCTAGAGCTCTCTGTGCTTTCCTACTTTTTACTTTTAACATAGACATTTTCACTAGTATTATAAACATTCCTCACTGAAAATGTCTCATGGCTCATGTTGAGGACTGATTACCCATACTTTTGGTTCTTAACCTTGTTTTTATCCCTGACACTTTGGGTGGCCTTGGGTGGGCACAATGACATCCCTATGGCTATAGTTTCTCCACCTACAACGTAAGTCTAATAATGCCTCCCTTGAAAGCATGTTGTGGAGGCTAATTATCATAAAGTCATTTTTTTTTTTTTTGCCTCGGATGTAGACTGGAAACCCAAAGGGCCACCCAGACTTCAGCCCTGTGGTAAAATCTTGGCTTCTCTGGGACAAAGACAAGAGTATTGCTTCTTGGTGGGCTTCCAAACCCTCTTACTGTCTGCTCTTTGCATAGGGCAGTTCTCGGTGTCTTTTTTCACATGCAACATTACTTGGAGTGAGTTACCATAAATACCCTGTGGTCGAGGAGTAAGTGATACCATTTATTATAAAGCTAGCTGGGAAATATTTTCAACTAATAGGGATCATTAAGGCAGTAGCAATGTCACTTGATATGCTCATGGTCTAATAGGGAAAATATTATTCCATATGGGAAAAACTTAAAAAGGATTGACTTTCTTTAAGGGCAGAGATAGTGGCTCCTGTGGATTCTATAGCCTCCCCTCTCCAGGTGTGGTCCACAGGTCAGCATAGATATCACCTGGGAGCTTATCAGAAATGCAGGTCCCACTCCAGTCCCTTTGAATCAGACTCTGCATTCCAACAACATCCACAGGTGTTTGGCACACCCATTAAAGCTTGAGATGCACCACTCCACGTGGAGCCATAACCAAGATGATACAGAAAGTGGTGAAGCTAGAAACCCAGATGAGGTCTAATGTTCTCTCCTCTTGGCTGCTCTGCCTCATCTTTTGGTGGATGCAGGTAGGGTCTGAGTTATTGCTGAAATGCAGTCTGACCTGCATGTAAGAAGCCTGAGCATTGCTCCTACAGCAGGTTGCAAACTCCTCAGCTCAGGGAACTTCTGAATAAAAACAGTTTTAACCACAGTGTTTGTAATTTTGTTACATTTTGATTTTCTGCCTTTATTTTTTTAAAAAGTTTAAGATATTTTCTTACCTGAGGGAAAAAAGAGCGAGGCAAGCAAAGAGGGAGTAAAGACAGAAAAAAGAGCAGAGAAGAAAGAAAAGCAAAAGCAATCATTTGCGCAAACCAAAAGTTTATTTTCATACTCCAGTTATTTATCTTGATTATGGGGCAAATGAATTTATTGTTAATCTTTAAGGGCCCTTGTTTTATTTCAAAAGTTTTTTTAAAATAAAAATCTTTCTGAAATCATGGAACAGCATCAGTGAAAGAGAATGCCAAAACAACTTATTCCTGTTTTCTTTCCCTTTCAACTTACTTATTTTTACAGACTATTAAAATTACCAAACCAGCAGGAGGTACCCAATAAATATTCATATTGTTAGAACTTGATTTTGATTGTCATTCTCATGAGGTTGCACATAATTAAAGAGCTATTACATTTATTCATTTTTAAGATAACTTGTACTATAGTCGGAATGACTTTGAAAAATGCAAATTTAAACTTCTGATGAATTATTTTATCTAGGCATTTGATAATCAATGGCTGTTAATATCATAAAAAGACAAACATCATGTGTTATGTGCCTCCCAATGGAAGCACACCATACCACCATAGGGAATATTCTTATTAAAAGATAGAATCTAGATCTCATCAATATTCTATATCTAATTATCAAAGTACAGGAAATATGGAAGTCACTTAACTGTCACCTGAGCCTTTTGGAATGCTTGCTCTTGGGTCACTCTGTCTTGGAATCTAACTGCCATACCCTGAGAAGCCCAAGTCACATGAAGAAGCTATGCAGAGGCAATTCGGTTGACAGCTCCAGCTGAGCTTCCAGCTGACAGTCACCATCAGCTGTCATTGTATGAATGAGCCATTTGGATGTCCAGCTGACACATGACTGCAACTGCATGAGAGACCCCAAATGAGAACCACCCAGTGAATCCCAGTCAATCCACAGAACAAAGAGGGTTAATAATAAATGTTTTGAGGCACTAAGTTTGGGGAGGTAATAGTAGTATGGACTGAATGTTTGTGTTCTCTCTCTCTGTCTCTCTCTGACATGTGAAGACACAACCAGAAGGTAGCTGTGTGCAAACGAGGAGGTGAGCTCTTACCAGGAACTGAATCTGCTGCCACCTTGATCACGGACTTTACCTAGCCTCTAGAACTGTGAGAAATAAATGTCTGTTATTTAAACCATTCAGTCTATGATATTTTGTCATAGCAGTCTGAGTTGACTAAGGCAAGGAGCAATAATCATCTCAGTGTGTAGATCACATTGACTCTGAAAGATAAAACACAGTGAGGATACTAACATGATCCCAGGTTTTGGGCTTGGAAAAATGTGAAGATCATGGTGCCATTCACTGAGCTAGGAAATGCAGGAGGAGAAGCAGTTTGGTGGTGGGAGGGCAAGAAGAAATAACTTAAATGTTTTCCATAATTATCTTAATAATATATACCAATTTTAGAAAATTTGTAATATACACAAAAAGTGAAGAAAAGGAAATAAAAATAACTTGTAATCCTACTACACGGAGCTAACCATTCTTGTTATTTATTATAGTCCTCTCCAGTGTTGTTTGTTTGTTCTTTGTTTTTTACAAACTTTCAGAGGCAATTTTCCCCAAACTATATTAAAGCTTACCAAGTTGGCAACCCTATTGGAGAGGATTTAGTTAACTCAAGATCTTGGACCAAAAAATCTAATGTTAACTTCTTGTTGCAACTCTTTTTATTCCCTGCGTAAAACTTCAAAATAAAAAAAATGGCATTAATGTTGGGAATTATTTGTTTTGGGGAAAAAAGGTAATTGTTTTCCAAAGAGTTAAATTTTCAGGGAAATTCTAAACATTTTCTCTGTGATGGAATTGCTGGCCTATGACAAAGGGGCAGATGAGGCCATGCTTCAGTGTGTGCAGAAACAAAATTCACTGGATAATTATTTGTCTATTCAGTCTAAATGGGAAAGGTAAGGTGAACCCGGAGAATTTATGGAAATAATATGAATCCCTGGTTGTCCTTTGGTCTGTTCACTCAATCATGTATTTTTAAATCAAGAAATATTTATTGAGCACCTACCATATATCAGCTCCTGAAGTAAGTGTCAGAGATCCAATGGTAAGCAAAAGTCATTAATTCCCTTCTGTTCAGTGGGTGAGACAATCGTTAATCAAATAGTTTCACAAATATATACATAAATACTATGACCAAAAAGCCTATAACAAGTAGCTACTGAGTGCCTACCATGTGCCTGTCCTGTGCTTAGTGTCGTGATGCTACCAGAATGGTTGAGGGGGCATTGGTCTTCAGCATCATTACCATCCAACTGGAGAAGCATGTGTTCCCTGCAGTGATGAGGGAATCTGGGTGCCCCTTTGTGTAGTGTAGACTTGCTATGACAGGAGATCAGAGACAGGAGTAGTCAGTGTTGGAGCCAACCAATATCTTAAAATGGAAAACTAATACATAATAAATACACTGGTGTCTTAGTTCTGGATGCTATAACAAAAATACCATACACTGAATGACTTAAACAGCAAACATTCATTTTCTTGTAGTTCTGGAGGCTGGAAGTCCAAAGATCAAGGTGCCAGCATGGTTGAGTTCTGATGAGGGTTCTCTTCCTGGTTTGCAGATGGTTGCCCTCTTGCTGTGTCTTCATGTGGTGGAGAGAGAGAGATCATCTGTCTTGTGATCTCTCCTTATAAGGACTCTAATTCCCAATCTCGGTTTGGTAACTCTTGCCTTTAAGTTCATTTCTGGAATTTGCATTGTCAGTGAACCCAGTGAAGGCACAATGGCTGTGAGGTTGAAGCCTTGGGTTTCAGTCTCCATCCTGCTCACAACTAGCCTCATGCAAGGCTAGCCAAGGTGCAAGGCACCTTAAGCAAGTGCCTTCCCTTATCAGGATTGCACTTTGATTAACTGAAAAATGAGTTGCTTAGAGAATAACATTGAATTGAATAGGAAATATTTTGCATGCATTAAAAGTACTATCTGTACTTTTAATTGACAAACAAAAAGCTCAGCTCTGAAATTTCATTAGCACCACCAGAATGTTTGCCTCACAGCTTCCAGGTGGGACAGGAGGAGAAAAGGTATTTTCTGAGCCCCACCTTAAATATGCAAGCACGAATTTCAAGGAGGAGCTATAGAGCCTAGAGCTCTCTCTCCAGTTATATTGAGAGAAAGAGAGAGAGTATGTTTAGTGGGTCATAGTATACAATGTATTTCTCAGGTGAGCCATGGCCAAAAAGTTTGAAAGTTGATAGACTAGAGGACTTTATGCCATGGGTTTAAGTGACTGGCCAAAGACTGTGAAAATGAAGGAACTTGAGATTTTCAGTGCAATAGACCATTGGGACAGAAAGAACTCTCTTGTGGTATAAGCAATGGGTATAGAGCTCCTTCTTCCCTGATTTTATTTGTTGCTGAGGTCCAGGGCCAGGAAAAAGATCCCCTTTCAATCAATTGTCCGGGTACTACATATTTGGGGGCATTTTGTTCACCTAGCATGTTTTGAGCAATTCCCAGATTGGTGCCAGTCCTAAATCATGCTCTATCATCTTGGTTTAACTTCTGACTCCTCCAGTCTTGGTTGTCTTTCTGGTTATGCTGCCTGCATCCTGGACCAGACTGTGTTTGCAATGTCCTTGAACTTCTGTTGCCACTGTGACACAGTGAAGAGTGCATTTCTGTGACACTTAATGGCTTCTTTGTTCTTTGTATCTCCTGATTCATATTTAGGACAGAGGAGATGGTGCTCCAAATAGCTGAAATGTCTGCACTCTAGGTTGGAAGTAGAGGGCTAATTTACAAGTGCTAGCAAGGAGGCAAAACATTTTTAGACCATTGTTTATTTTTGGACTGACATTCAGAAATGGAAACTGGATTTGACACCAGATGGTCAAGAGTGGGAAGGTGGAAAGCCCTCAAGGCACAGGCTTACCAGGATCCCCCAGTATATTTATCCTTTTTCTTCCTGATGTCTTTCAAGGGCTGTGGAGAAAGTCACATGATCTAGAGCTCTAGGTTCTATAGCTC
This sequence comes from Homo sapiens, assembly GCF_000001405.40. NCBI lineage: Eukaryota > Metazoa > Chordata > Mammalia > Primates > Hominidae > Homo > Homo sapiens. The sequence goes on along the minus strand of NC_000011.10, from coordinate 27,274,833 downwards.
CTCCTTGAACTTGGCGCTTGCATATTTAAGGTGGGGCTCAGAAAATACCTTTTCTCCTCCTGTCCCACCTGGAAGCTGTGAGGCAAACATTCTGGTGGTGCTAATGAAATTTCAGAGGTGAGTTTTGTTTGTCAATCCTAGGGCAGGCCCTGGGAGATTTGGGGGAAAGAGCACAAAGAGGTGGGCTCCACAGATGTGTACACTTAAGTGGAACCCGTTATGATGCTGTCTTGGGGAGCTGGGATTTATTTTTTTCCAGCCACGCATAGCCCTGGGAGCTGTTAGATTTCTCTAAAGCCTTCACAACTCATGACCCTAGGTAAGCTCAGGTTCCATTTTCCTACGTCCTCAACTTTATTAGCCTTGCTCTCCAAAATAAAAAGAGCAAAGTCTGTTAGAGTGGACACTTTTTGGAAAGGACATCCCTGATCAATTTTGGGAAAACATTTTACAAGCTTAAATTGACCATACATTTGGGAGGTGGGATAGCCATTCTGAGGTACTTGTTTCTGGAGGTTGATTTTTCACACGTTTTCAAATGACTGAACAAGGCTTATCTTTCAAAATGGTTATATTGTAGGCTTGTTACCTTCTTCCATATTTGTGCCAGGGCTCAGAGAATGTTTGCAATGTTCTCCAGAGCTAGTTAGGAGACATGTGATAGATTTGGTATCTGTAAAATTTCACCTCATTTTTGACCTGAACATCCATCTCTGGCTTGGTCTCCAGGCTTGTTCACTAGCTTTGGTATTGAATACCAGATGGTTTTTCCAGAAATGAAAACTTTCTGGGCTATGTGCAGTGGCTCACACCTGTAGTCCACACAGTTCGGAAGGCTGAGGTGGGTGGGTCTCTTGAGCCCAGGAGTCTGAGACCAGCCTCCATGGCGAAACCCCGTCTTCACAAAAACACACACAAAATTAGCCAGGAATGGTGGCACGCCCCTGTAGTCCCAGCTACTTGGGAAGCTGAGGTGGGAGGATGTCTTGAGCCTGGAAGAAGGTTGCAGTGAGCCAAGATCATGCCACTGCACTCCAGCCTGGGCAACAGAGCAAGACCCTGTCTCAAAACAACAACAACAACAACAAAACACAACAAAACCCCTCTTTCTGAAGGTCGTAATTTTGCCATTATTGAGGAAATCCAAAAGAATATACTGAGACTTTCCAGGCAAGTTCCAAAGAGGTGTTTTAGAAGTACACTAAATTGCTCTCCAGATTCCTCCTCTCTGGGCAGGGCATATCTGAAAGAAGGGCAGCAGCCCCCGTCAGGGGTTTATAGATAAAACTCCCATCTTGCTGGGACAGAACACCTGGGGGAAGGGGCAACTGTGGGCGCAGCTTCAGCAGACTTAAATATTCCTGCCTGCTGGCTCTGAAGAGAGCAGTGGATCTCCCAGCACAGTGCTCAAGCTCTGCTAAGGAACAGTGTACCTCCTCAGGTGGGTCCCTGACCCCCGTGCCTCCTGACTGGGAGACACCTCCCAACAGGGGTTGACAGACACCTCATACAGAAGAGCTCTGGCTGGCATCTGGTGGTTGCCCCTCTGGGACGAAGCTTCCAGAGGAAGGAATAGGCAGCAATCTTTGCTATTCTGCAGCCTCTGCCAGTGATACCCAGGAAAACAGGGTCTGGAGTGGACCTCCAGCAAACTCCAGCAGACCTGCAGCAAAGGGTCATGACTATTAGAAGGAAAACCAACAAACAGAAAGGAATAGCATCAATATCAACAAAAAGGATGTTCATATAAAAACCCCATCTGAAGGTCACCAGCATCAAAGATCAAAGGTAGATAAATCCATGAAGATGAGAAAACACCAGTGCAAAAAGTTTGAAAATTCAAAAAACCAGAATGCCTCTTTTCCTCCAAAGGATCACAACTCCTCACCAGCAAGGGAACAAAACTGGACAGAGAATGAGTTTGATGAATTGACAGAAGTAGGCTTCAGAAGGTGGGTAATAACAAACTCCTCTGAGCTAAAGAAGCATGTTCTAACCCAATGCAAGGAAACTAAGAACCTTGAAAAAAGGTTAGACGAATTGCTAACTAGAATAACAGGTTTAGAGAAGAACATAAATGACCTGATGAAGCTGAAAAACACAGCACTAGAACTTCATGAAGCATACACAAGTATCAACAGCTGAATCAATCAAGCAGAAGAAAGGATATCAGAGATTGAAATTCAACTTAATGAAATAAAGCATGAAGACAAGATTAGAGAAAAAAGAATGAAAAGGAATGAACAAAGCCTCCAAGAAATATGGGACTATGTGAACAGACCAAACCTATGTTTGATTGGTGTACTTGAAAGTGACGGGGAGAATGAAACCAAGTTGGAAAACACTCTTCAGGATATTATCCAGGAGAATTACCCCAACTTAGCAAGATAGGCCAACATTCAAATTCAGGAAATACAGAGAACACCACAAAGATACTCCTCGAGAACAGCAACCCCAAGACACATAATTGTCAGATTCACCAAGGTTAAAATGAAGGAAAAACTGTTACGGGCAGCCAGAGAGAAAGGTTGGGTTACTAACAAAGGGAAGCCCATCAGACTAATAGTAGATCTCTCTGCAGAAACCCTGCAAGCCAGAAGAGAGTGAAGGCCAATATTCAACATTCTTAAAGAATTTTCAACCCAGAATTTTATATCCAGACAAACTAAGCTTCATAAGCAAAGGAGAAATAAAATCCTTTACGGACAAACAAATGCTGAGAGATTTTGTCACCACCAGGCCTACCTTACAAGAGCTCCTGAAGGAAGCATTAAATATGGAAAGGAAGAACCGGTACCAGCCACTGCAAAAACATACCAAATTGTAAAGACCGTTGATGCTATGAAGAAACTGCATCAACTAACGAGCAAAATAACCAGCTAGCATTATAGTGACAGGATCAAATTCACACATAGCAATATTAACCTTAAATGTAAATGGGCTAAATGTCCCAATTAAAAGACACAGACTGGCAAACTGAATAAAGAGTCAAGACCCATCAGTGTGCTGTATTCAGGAGACCCATCTCACGTGTAAAGACACACATAGGCTCAAATAAAGGGATGGAGGAATATACACCAAGTGAATGGAAAGCAAAAAAAAGCAGGGGTTGCAATCCTAGTCTCTGATAAAACAGATTTAAGCCAACAAAGATCAAAAAAGACAAAGAAGGGCATTACATAATGGTAAAGGGATCAATGCAACAAGAAGAGCTAATTATCCTAAATATATATGCACCCAACACAGAAGCACCCAGATTGATGAAGCAAGTTCTTAGAGACTTACAAAGAGACTTAGACTCCCACACAATAATAGTGGGAGACTTTAACACCCCACTGTTAATATTAGACAGATAAACAAGACAGAAAACTAACAAGGATGTTCAGGACTTGAACTCAGCTCTGGACCAAGTAAACCTAATAGATATCTACAGAACTCTCCACCCAAAATCAACAGAATATACATTCTTCTCAGCACCACGTCACACTTATTCTAAAATTGACCACATAATTGGAAGTAAAACACTCCTCAGCAAATGCAAAAGAAGAGAAATCCTAACAAACAGTCTCTCAGACCAAAGTGCAATCAAATTAGAACTCAGGATTAAGAAACTCACTTAAAACCTGACAACTACATGGGAACTAAACAACTTGCTCCTGAGTGACTACTGGGTAAATAACGAAATGAAGGCAGAAATAAATTAGTTATTTGAAACCAATGAGAACAAAGACACAACATACCAGAATCTCTGGGACACAGCTAAAGCAGTGTTTAGAGGGACATTTACAGCACTAAATGCCCACAGGAGAAAGCAAGAAAGATCTAAAATCGACACCCTAACATCACAATTAAAAGAACTAGAAAGGCAAGAGCAAACAAATTCAAAAGCCAGCAGAAGGTAAGAAATAACTAAGATCAGAACAGAACTGAAGGAGATAGAGACACGAAAAACCCTTCAAAAATCAATGAATCCAGGAGCTGGTTTTTTTGAAAAGCTTAGCAAAATAGATAGACTGCTAGCCAGACTAATAAAGAAGAAAAGAGAGAAGAATCAAATAGACACAATAAAAAATGATAAAAACGGATATCACCACTGACCCCACAGAAATACAAACTACCATCAGAGAATACTATAAACACTTCTATGCAAGTAAACTAGAAAATCTAGAAGAAATGGATAAATTCCTGGACACTTACACACTCCCACCTTATACAAAGACTCCCAAGACTAAACCAGGAAGAAATCAAATCGCTGAATAGACCAATTACAAGTTCTGAAATTGAATGAGTAATTAATAGCTTACCAACCAAAAAAAGCCCAGGACCAGACAGATTCACAGCCAAATTCTACCAGAAGTACAAAGAGGAGCTGGTACTATTCCTTCTGAAACTATTCCAAATAATAGAAAAAAAGGGAATCCTCCCTAACTCATTTTATGAGGCCAGCATCATCCTGATACCAAAACCTGGCAGAGACACAACAATAAAAGAAAATTTCAGGCCAATACTCCTGATGAACATTGATGTGAAAATTCTCAATAAAATACTGGCAAACCGAATCCAGCAGCACATCGAAAAGCTTATCCACCATGATCAAGTCGGCTTCATGCCGGGATGCAAGGCTGGCTCAACATATGCAAATCAATCAATGTAATCCATCACATAAACAGAAACAACGACAAAAACCACATGATTATCTCAATAGATGCAGAAAGGCCTCCAATAAAATTCAACACCGCTTCATGCTAAAAACTCTCAATAAACTAGGTATTGATGGAATGTATCTCAAAATAATAAGAGCTATTTATGACAAACCCACAGCCAATATCATATTGAATGGGCAAAACCTGGAAGCATTCCCTCTAAAAACCAGCACAAGACAAGGATGCCTTCTCTCACCACTCCTATTCAACATAGTATTGGAAGTTCTGGCCAGGGCAATCAGGCAAGAGAAAGAAATAAAGCGTATTCAAATAGGAAGAGAGGAAGTCAAATTGTCTCTGTTTGCAGATGACATGATTGTATATTTAGAAAATCCCATCTCAGCCCAAAATCTCCTTAAGCTGATAAGCAACTTCAGCAAAGTCTCAGGATACAAAATCAGTGTGCAAAAATCACAAGCATTCCTATACACCAATAACAGGCAAACAGAGAGCCAAATCATGAGTGAAATCCCTTTCAGAATTGGTACAAAGAGAATAAAATACCTAGGAATACAACTTACAAGGGATGTGAAGGGCTTCTTCAAGGAGAACTACAAACCACTGCTCAAGGAAATAAGAGAAGACACAAACAAATGGAAAAACATTCCATGCTCATGGATAGGAAGAATCTATATCGTGAAAATGACTATACTGCCCAAAGTAATTTATATATTCAATGCTATCCCCATCAAGCTACAAATGACTTTCTTACAGAATTAGAAAAAACTACTTTAAATTTCATAGAGAACCAAAAAAGAACCCATATAGCCAAGAAAATCCTAAGCAAAAAGAACAAAGCTGGAAGCATCAAGCTACCTGACTTCAGACTATACTACAAGGCTACAGTAACCAAAACAGCATGGTACTGGTACCAAAACAGATATATAGACCAATGGAACAGAACAGAGACCTCAGAAATAACACCACACATCTACAACCATCTGATCTTTGACAAATCTGACAAAAACAAGAAATGGGGAAAGGATTCCCTATTTAATAAATGGTGCTGGGAAAACTGGCTAGCCATATGCAGAAAACTGAAACTGGACCCCTTCTTTACACCTTATACAAAAATTAACTCAAGGTGGATTAAAGACTTAAACATAAGACCTAAAACAATAAAAACCCTAGAAGAAAACCTAGGCAATACCAGTTAGGACATAGGCATGGGCAAAGACTTCATGACTAAAACACCAAAAGCAATGGCAACAAAAGCCAAAATTGACAAATGGGATCTAATTAAACTAAAGAGCTTCTGCACAGCAAAAGAAACTATCATCAGTGTGAACAGACAACCAACAGAATGAGAGAAAATTTTTGCAACCTATCCATCTGACAAAGGGCCAATAACCAGAATCTACAAGGAACTTAAACAAATTTACAAGAAAAAAACAAATGACCCCATCAAAAAATGGGTTAAGGATATGAACCAACACTTCTTAAAAGAAGGCATTTATGTAGCCAACAAACATATGAAAAAAAGCTCATCGTCACTGGTCATTAGAGAAATGCAAATCAAAACCAAGATGAGATACCACCTCATGCCAGTTAGAATGGTGATCATTAAAAAGTCAGGAAACAACAGATGGTGGAGAGGATGTGGAGAAATAGGAATGCGTTTACACTGTTGGTGGGAGTGTAAAGTAGTTCAACCATTGTGGAAGACAGTGTGGCGATTCCTAAAGGATCTAGAACCAGAAATACCATTTGAACCATCATTCCCATTACTGGGCATATACCCAAAGGATTATAAATCATTCTACTATAAAGACTCATGCATACATATGTTTATTGCAGCACTGTTCACAATAGCAAACACTTGGAACCAACCCAAATGCCCATCAATGATAGACTGGATAAAGAAAATGTGGCACATATACACCATGGAATACTATGCAGCCATAATAAAAGATGAGTTCACGTCCTTTGCAGGGACATGGATGAAGCTGGAAACCATCATTCTCAGCAAACCAACACCGGAACAGAAAACCAAACACTGCATGTTCTCATTCATAAGTGGGAGTTGAACAATGAGAACACATGGACACAGGGAGGGGAACATCACACACTGGGGCCTCTCAGGGAGTGGGGGCTATGGGAGGAATAGCATTAGGAGAAATGCCTAATGTAAATGATGGGTTGATGTGTGCAGGAAGCCACCATGGCACATGTATACCTATGTAACAAACCTGCACGTTCTGCATATGTATCCCAGAACTTAAAGTATACAAAAAAAAAAAAAAAAAAGAAAGAAAAAACATTATGCTAAGTGAAAAAAGAATCACAAAAGACTGCATGTTGTATGATTCCTTTTTTTTTTTTTGAGACAGAGTCTCACTCTGTCGCCAGGCTGGAGAGCAGTAGCGCAATCTCGGCTCACTGAAACCTCCACCACCCCGATTCAAGCAATTCTCCATCTCAGCATCCCGAGTAGCTGGGATTACAGGCACCTGCCACCACGCCCAGCTAAGTTTTGTATTTCCTTTTTCTTTTTTTTTTTTTTTTTTTTTTAGTAGAGACGGGGTTTCACCATCTTGGCCAGGCTGGTCTTGAACTCCTGATCTCGTGATCCACCCGTCTCAGCCTCCCAAAGTTTTGGGATTACAGGCGTGAGCCACCACACCCAGCCTGTATGATTTCATTTATATAAAGTGTTGAGAATAGGTCAATCTATTAAAAAAAAAGTACACTGAATTATTGTTGTATCTTTGGGAAAAGAGTCCAGCTTTAAGAGGAAAACAGTATGAAAGTCAATATTTCAAAAACCTATATATATATGTATATATACACACAGATATATAACTATATTATAAAGGGCACCAGTAGGTTATCTCCTACCATTTTCTAAATGTATTAATACATATATATTTTTTCTTTTTTTTTGGCAGGAGAAGACAGTGGGTAACCAGTTATTCATCATTGATTTGTTTATTCATTCATTCTGTCCAAATCTGCCTACTGTTCAGCTTTCAAAGGTGAAGAATAGATGGTTCCTGCCCACATTCAAATGGGAGAGATAGTTGAACATTGATCAAAGAATCAGGCAAATAACCAAAATCCACTGTGATAAGGGTTGTGGAGAGGAGGAGCATCCTTGGAGCTAAGGACCAGTCTAAGGGAGAGCTCCCTGGCCAGGGAGAAGCTGGAGGAGGAGGAGGAAGAGGAGGAGTGGTTTGGTGAAAGGGAGGGAAGTGGAAAAGGTTTCCAGCCAGAGAGGATACCTGATGTAAAGTCTCTAACAGGAGGATAATAGGGAGTTGGAGGAACAGAAAGAAGCCTAGTGGGGCTACTGCTCAGAGCACAGTAGGAGATGAGGATCGAGATATCTGTGATGAAAAGACCTCATGGGACATTAAAAGGAGGGGGAACCACATAATTTACCATCTAAACTGAAACACTTGTGAGAGTAAAATAAAGGGGCATGAATAACTACCCAAAGAGGCATAAACTCCAATTACCCTGGGGACACCAGGACATAGGCTCACCTTACTTATAGAACGTGTTAGGGATTTTGGTCTTCAACCTAAAAGCAATGCTAAGCCACTGCAAGGTTCACGATTGGGGATGAGAATGAATAAGGACATGATCACATTGGCATTTTGAATAGATCTTTCTGGTTATGCTGTGGAGACAGGAATAGTAGTTATTTCCTTATATGCCAAGAGACCTGGCTTGATTGGGATCTTCTTTATGTGCCACTCTCCTTTCTCTGCTCCCAGCCCAGTGCTCCACACACATCTGTGCAGCAGCTGCAGAATTGGATTCCAGAGGCTCTGGTAATTTGTAGCATTATGGAGATGGTGTCTGGCAGTGGACTGCTCCCATTAGTGCTGCTCATGTAAGCTTGATGCCTTCCACACGCCCCTGTTTTATTCCCGTCCTCCTGGGGCCAGGCCAGTAATTAACTCTTTGGGGAAATCTGCCCTGACCTAGTGTCTTTCATTGCTCAATATGCAAGAAAAACAGGGCCTGTGCATGTAAATCAGTGGGAACAGTGCCTCAAACCCACAAGGGAGCTATGTCTCTTCCAGAATCTCTTCTCTGTTTCCCATAGAATCGTAGACTCAGAAGGGGCTTCAAAAGATCTGAAACCCTTCTTTTGAGGGATATTGAGGGATGGCCTATTGAGAAGTGGTCATCCCAGTTCTTTTGAGGGATGGCCTACTGAGAAGGGGTCATCCAAGTTCTTCCAGGGATTTGGACCACACTCTCTCCCAGGATTCTATCCCAGATCTGCTCTCTTCTCTCTATCTCCATTGCCACCCCCTTGGTCCAAGCTACCATCTCTCACCTGGATCACTGCAATAGCCTCCTAACAGGCCTCCCTGTTTCCACTACAGCCTCTCTGGAATCCATTATCCATAGCAAAGCCAGTGATCATTTTTAAAACAAAAATCAATCAAGTCTTAAACTTGACTGCTTAAACGTCTTCAACAGCTTCAGCTTCTTGTAGCCTTCGATTAGGATCCAAACTCCTTACTATGCCCATAGGGTGCTGTTTTCTGCTTATTTCCCCAACCTTCCCTCTCTCTCTCCATTCTCCTCTTCTCACACTATGCTCCAGCATCATTAGCCTTCTTTCAGTATTTCAAACACATAAGCTCCTTTTTTTTTTTGCCTCCGAGCTATAGCCTGGAATATTTTGTTGCTGTTTATATGACTGGCTCCTTCCTATTTTTTAGATTTCTGTTGAAGTGTCACCTACATGGAAAAGTTTTTCTTGACTATTTGTTTGCAGTGATCCCTCTCACTAATCTCTATTGCAAGCCCTTTTCTTGTTTATAACACACAATTTGTGAATTTTTTTTTTTTTGAGACAGAGTGTCGCTCTGTTGCCCAGGCTGGAGTGCAGTGGCGCTATCTTGGCTCACTGCAACCTCCACCTCCTGGGTTCAAGCGATTCTCCTGCGTCAGCCTCCCGAGTAGCTGGGAGTACAGATGTGTGACACAACGCCTGGCTAATTGTTTTGTATTTTTAGTAGAGACGGGGTTTCATCATGTTGGCCAGGCTGGTGTTGAACTCCTGACCTCAAGGGATCCATCTGCCTCGGCCTCCCATAGTGCTGGGATTATAGATGTGAGCCACTGTGCCTGGCCTGTGAGTTTTAATTGGTGTATTTGATTGTTTTGTTTCAGTTGTGTCTCTGGCTAAAATGTGGGCACCCTGAGAGGGGAGCTGAGCATGATTGCCTTGTTCCCTGCTAGCACATAGTACTTGGCACATAGCAGGTGTGCTCAATAAATATTTATGGAATAAATGGACAAATGACAGTGGCCGTCTTTTTGTTTAACAGCTCCATTTGTTAGGAAGTAATTTCTTAATTTGAATCTTATAGTCTTATTTACCTTTTGTTACAGTTCTCTTTAGAATTCCCTTTTTATAATGAAAATCCCTCAGATATTTGAAGACCATTATCTTGTCCATTCTAAGACATCTTTTCTCTAGTCAAAACATCCTCAGTTCTTTCAACTCTTACCCTGTGAAATGCCATCTTGTTTGATTCATTGTATCGTATTTTCAGCCTATCAAATTCTCTTTGGATTCAGAATCTGTCATCTACCATAGTGGTTATGACTCTCAACTCCTGGGCCGCTTACAAATTTGATAAATATGCTAGCTAAGGCCTCATCGAATTCACAAGCAAATATGTTGAATGCCCCTGGAGTCCATTCTTCAGGCAATGATAATATGACCACAGAAAAAATTACAGAGACCGTTGCATTAAATAGAAAGCAAAGAGTTGAATGCTTCAACCAAGAAATACATTCTTTGTGGAGCTGTCTAGATGACATTTCCAATTGGATCTCTTGCCTGCTGCATACACTTAACATGTTTGAAAAGAAACTCACAAATTAAGATACATAATAGTAAGTGGCCATTTAAATGGTGGTTATAAAGACTATGTAGCAACGTAGAATAATGATTCTGCTATGTGATATATGGTAAATGGAAAAAGTACAATGCCAAATTATGAGCAAATTTTCTTCTCTATTTTGAAATATGTGTTTTCACATTTATAATGAAAAACATACATTTATAGGAAAACTACTTCTATTCCTCTTATAAAAATCAGTACTTTCTACTAAGGCGTCTTGCTTTCTCATAGAAATAGGAATCGGGATTTTTTTTTTTTTTTAGGAAATAGAAGGCATACAAACTTTTAGGGACTGGGAGAATCAATGCTCTTGTATCTTAACCACTTAGAGAGCTTAAAATTGTACCTACATACCATTTTGTAAGTTTGTGGCTCCTTTCTTTTGAATGACACTTTTTTTTTTTCTATGAAACTTTTTAGGAAAAATTGTGAAATGAAGACAGTTTTTTTTTAAATTTCCCTTTTTCCTTTACCTTTTTTCAGTCCTCAGGTACCTTGACTTCGTGCTGTCCTCACTATAGCACCCACCTTAATCCCAGAACTCTTTCTTTAATTCTCCTGACCTTCATCAAAGTTTACGGATTCTGATTCCTACTTCTTCCTACTCCAAAAGTAATATAGATCAGGAAAGGTCTCTCTATTTAAAAAATACATATGATAATTCAATTTGGCCTAAAATGTTTATGGATGGTAATGCCTTAGTCTCTCCTGTGCCTTTTTCACTCTAAATGAATAGTGGTCTTTAAACTCCTGAACTGGAGCGAGTGGCTTATTGGCGGACATTTTATTCCCTGTAATGAGGTTGCAGGAGAATTTTCTTAGGAAGACCAGGAAGAAAGAGCTGTTCACCTTTTTCAAATGAGACCAGTAAGCAGCCACTTACTCTGTCTTCTTAGAAATGCATCCTTCTCTTCAAGCTCCCATGTGGAGAAAATGCAATGTAATACTCTTCCCTTATTTCTTCATTCAATAATTAATCTCAGTCCTCACTTCCCACTCCTAGGCAGCTCTCCAGCTTCCAGTGCTGTTTATTGGGGACAGGCCACCCAGCTAGTCTATGTCTTCTTTGAATTCCTATTATATTTCATTGTCTATTCTGCTTGATTCTTTCCAGCCTTGTATTTTTCCTTAGTTGTTTCTTATAAAGAGGCTAGCCTTTCACCTGGACATGACTCAAAGGGCCAAATCTGTGCCTCACATAGGAAAATCTCATTTAATCAGAATGATTGAGGGGGCTTAGGGCTGGTACACTTTACTATAAATGTGAGTAAATAAAAAACTAATCTGAGTTTTTTTCCTTCAAAATATATGTAAGATAACTGATTCTTCCTTTATGCCTCTGTAATAAAGTTTAGAGAATATCATGAAATTTACCATAATTTTTCAAGAACTTGTGGATTCAGTATTCTGGACAAAGGTTCTCATTTCCAAAACTCTTACTGTTAAAGCAAGAATATAAGATCCAAGGTTTCATAGTCTCTTTCAGTCTTTATTCCCAAGACAACCTTCAGTCATTATCACTTGAGGTGTCCAAGTCAATAGAAGTGATGTTGAAAGGCAGGATGAAAGATGATGTTGGTGAGACAAGAGAAACTCAAAGTCATGGCCGGGGCTACTCATGTGATGAGGAAAGATAGCAGGGCACCAGGAGCCCCAGATTAGGGCAGTCAATGCATTAAGTTTCCCTGAAGGAGTGTCAGTCCTGTACAATTTTTCATAGGGCAAAGGGTGGTTGTTTGTGATGCTGGTTCCCAGAGACTCAACTTTTGACTAGAGGTAAAAACACATTTTACTATAATTTTTCTTTCCCCTTCCCAGCATCCAGTCATCTGTTCTCTTTGGAACTCCTCTGGGTATGTGATTGAGATGATACTGTTGAACATTTAATGGGTGAAAATATAAAATAAAGATCCAGAGTCTGAGACATAGAAAGCATTCAGTAAATTTCTAGTGGCTGGATGAATAAGTACACAGATTTGAATTCTGCCTTTGCCTCTAATTTCTTGAGGGACCCTGGAAAGTTGCCTAATCTCACTGAGCCTTAGTGTTCTCATCTGTAAAATGGGGTGCTAGTACCTTCCTTATAGGATTTCTGTGATGATTAAATGAGCTAATTGATATGGTTTGGCTCTATGTCCCCAGCAAATCTCATGTTAAATTGTAATCCCCAGTGTTAAAGGTGAGGCCTGGTGGGAGGTGATTGAATCATGGGGACAGATTTCTCATGAATGGTGTAGTACCATCTCCTTGGTACAGTCCCCACGATAGAGAGTGAGTGAGTTCTTGTGAGATCTGATTGCTTAAAAGTGTGTAGCACCTCCCACTCTGTCTCTTCTTGCTCCTGCTCCCGCCATGTGAAGTGCCTGCTCCCCCTTCGCCTTCCACCATGATTGTAAATTCCGGAGGCCTCCCCAGAAGCCAGCAGTTGCCAGCATCATGCTTCCTGTACAACCTGTGGAACTGTGAGCCAATTAAAACTTGTCCTTTTAATAAATTGCCCAGTCTAAGGTATTTCTTTATAGCAATGGGAGAAAGGATTAATACACTAATGCACGTAAAATACAGAGTACAGTGGGGGTTTGTGTGTGTGTGTTTTCTGTACTTTTAGTTGTGTTTTCTTTCTTTCCTTTTAACATTAAAAAAACTTTTATTTTAGGTTCAGGGTACTTGTGCAGGTTTGTTATGTAAGTAAATTGCACGTTGTGAGAATTTGGTATGCAGATTATTTCCTCACCCAAGTAATAAGCATAGTATCCGATAGGCAGTTCTTTGACCTTCACCCTCCTCCCATCCTCCACCCTCAGGTAGGTTCCAGTGTCTGTTGTTCCCTTCTTTGTGACCATATGTACTTGATGTTTAGCTCCCACTTATAAGTGAGAACATGCGGTATTTGATTTCATGCGGTATTTAGTTCACTTAGGATAATGGTCTCCCTGTGTTGTATTCCATGGTGAGTATGTACCACATTTTCTTTATTCAGTCTACTGTTGATAGGCAGGTAGGTTGATTCCTTGTCTTTGCTGTTGTGAATAGTCCTAAAACGAACAAACATGTGCATGTGTCTAAATGATTTGTATTCCTTTGGGTATATACCCAATAATGGGATTGCTGGGTTGAATGATTATTCTGTTTTAAGTTCTTTGAGGAATCTCCAAACTGCTTTCCACAATGGCTGAACTACTTTAAATTCTCATCAGCAGTGTATAAATGTTCCCTTTTCTCCACAACCTCTCCAGCTTCTCTTGTTGTTTGACTTTTTAATAACAGCCATTCTGACTGGTATGAGATCGTATCTCGTTGTGGTTTCTATTCACATTTTTCTAATGATTAGTGATGTTGACCATTTTTCATGTTTGTTGGTACATGTATGTTTTCTTTTGAAAAGTGTCTGTTCATGTCCTTTGCCCACTTTTTATTTTATTTTACTTTATTTATTTATTTTGTTTGTAAATTTAAGTTCCTTATAGATCCTGGATATTAGACCTTTGTTGGATGCATAGTTTGTAAATATTTTCTCCCATTCTGTAGTTTGCTTATTTACTCTGTTGATATTTTCCCTTACTATGCAGAAGCTCTTTAGTTTAGGCCCCATTTGTCAAGTTTTGTTTTTGTTGCAATTGCTATTGGCATCTTCATCATGGAATCTTTGCCAGGTCCTGTGTCCAGAATGGTATTTCCTAGATTATCTTCCAGAAGTTTTTATATTTTAGGTTTTATATTTAAGTCTTTAATTCATCTTGAGTTGATTTTTGTATACGGTGTAAAGAAGGGGTCCAGTTTCAATCTTCTGCATATGGCTAGCCAGTTATCCCAGCACCATTTAGTCAATAGGGATTTAGTGAATAGGGAGTCCTTTCCGCATTGCTTGCTTTTGTCGACTTTTTTGATCAGATGGTTGTAGGTGTGCAACTTTATTTCTGGGGTCCCTATTCTGTTCCATTGATCTATGTGTCTGTTTTTGTACCAGAGTACAGTGGTTTTTATAAAGTAAAATAGTAGCAATAGTAGAAGTAAGCCCAATAATAACTATTATTGTTATTTTTAGTATGTAATGCCAGTAAATTAAGACTACTTTTAGTTATATTTTGATGTGTGTTGAAATTTGTATTATACTTTTATATTGTAACTGTCTAGTTGCCCAGTATAGGTCTGAGTACACTGTAGGGCCTCAATAAATGCTGTTGCTGTGTTTTTCTTCTAGGGGCAGAATTGAAATCTATTCCTGTGATTCTTTCTCTAGTCTGTTAGACCATGTACCCTTCCTCATTATTCTCTAGATTATTGCAATGAACTTAATTATTGGTGGCAAAAATATTTCATGTATAAAAATTTCAGATAACTTCTTTAATGATGAAATTGCCACTTATGTCATAAGTGTATTTTGGGGGAAAAATGCTTAATTATTTTAAGATGTTGATCTACCTAGTCAGAAGCAATGACCTCTAGTGTCTAGTAGAATTTGTGGATCAAGCAAATAGTTTCCTTGGGAGAAGACAACCAGTGATGGCTTGGATCTGTGTCCTCACCCAAATCGCATGTCAGATTGTAATCCCAGTGCTGGAGGTAGGGCCTGGTGGTAGGTGATTGGATCATGGGGGTGGTTTCCAATGGTTTAGCACCATACCTGTAGAGCTGTTCTCGTGATAGAGTTCGTATGAGATCTGGTTGTTTAAAAGTGTGTAACATTTCCCTGCCAGCCTTCCTCCTGTTCTGGCCATGTAAGATGTCCCTGCTCCCCTGTTTGCCTTCTGCCATGATTGAAAGTCTCCTAAGGCCTCCCCAGCCATGCTTTCTGTACAGCCTGTGGAACTGTGGGCCAATTAAACCTCTTTTCTTTATAGATTAGCCAGTCTCAGGTATTTGTTTATAGTAGTGGGAGAATGGACTAATACAACCAGGTTATGCAGAAACATCTTAATCTTCAAAGTCCTGTCTTCATTTTGCATTTCTTGCTCTTATAATGAACCACACCTCCTGGTATTCATACCTTTGCATAGTCCTCATCTTCATACTTTGATTGTAGGCTTGACCAAGTTACTTGCATTGGCCAATGGAATATTAATAATTGTGATGCAAGCAGAGACTTGATAAACTCTTGCACATGGGAGCATGTCCTCTTGGAAAGCTTCCTCTTGGACTCCAGGCTTCATGCTGTAAATATGCTTGGGACAGGCCACTAAATGATGAGAGACCATGCGAAAAGAGCCTGAAGGATAAGAACCAACTTGGACATTCCTACTTGAGCTGAACTCAGAGTTGAATGCAGTACCTGAGTGACTTCAGCTATACCATATGAAACAGATGGACCACCCAGATAATCCCAGGCAACCACAGACTTGTGGAATATAACAATACATTGTTATTTTAAGACATTACATTTTGGGGTGTTTTTTTTTATGTCACGATATACAATGGCTACATAACCTCTTTTCTCCCTTCCTCCAGCACTCATGGACAGACCAAATGGAAGCATCCCATGATGTATCACCAAAAATATATTGGTGTTCAGAATAGTCACAGCTCTTATTTATCCTGGGAAAAGATCATTCATCTCTTCAAATGCCTTTGCTTTAAAAATGTAAATACTGAGGCTCAGAGAGAGTAAGTAACTTATCCGAAATCACTTGTTTAGGTCTTTGGATTCAGCATCCAATGCCTTTTCTATGAAGAGCCATGAAAATATCTTCAGTTTCAGAGAGAATTCCAGTCCAAAATCACATCATAACATCCAACGTATACATAGAAGTTTCTGTCTACTCACACAACAATCCTTGTTGATGGGATGGGATTCTTTTCTAATATGAACTAGTAATCAAAATATCCTAATGAGAGTCATGTTGGCCATGGAAGTTAAAAGCTAACTTAGCCCAAGGAATGCAAATTAGATGCTAGCAAAAATACAAATGGATATCATAGAAAGAATAAAGATGCAATTCCTACTGATTCTTGCTAAAACTTACACAGCCTTTTATAAGTTCAAATTATGCCTCACCTAGTTCTGCAAACCCACTCATTCAGCACCTATTGATTGGGCACTGTCTTTGTGCCAGGCACTGTGGTAGATGCTAGGGATATACTGTGAACAAGACAGTCCTTGCCCTCAAGGGAATTTAACATAAAGTTTAAGCGAATCATTCAGGGTCATATAGTTAGTTAGTGACAGATCTGGGGCTGTACCAAGGGATGGTCTGGTCTCCCTAGTGGCTGCCAAACATATGCCTGATGGCACACTGGAATTGTCGCATACTCTTAAATTGAGTAACTGTGATCTCAACAGGGGATATTTTCCTTGGGCCTCTATCTCCTTTTAAGATTAGGGTTATGATTTCTGAGGCTTTGCCATAATTTACTCTTTTTAATACTCTCCTTTGTATATCAAGAAAAATTTTCTTGTAGATTAGATTCAGATTTTCTCTCATTCATTGAGGCAGGAGTATAATCTGTGCTATAGTGTTATACTTGCATTCCTGAGAAGTCTTTTTATATAAATCACTTTAAAAATAATTATTTCAAAGAGTAAATAGGGGATTTGAGGCTGGGCCATTTCAAATCACAATAATAATTTTGCCTGCAGGCATTTCAATAATACTGGTGTTTTCATAGCTTTAAGTCTATAGATATAAAGCTAAATATCCCTGGGCAAATCCAGCCTTGATTACATCTTGCTTTTGATGAGGAGGAATGGCCTTTTTTTCCCTATCCTCCCAAGACTATCATTGGCACAAAGCTTTTTAGTCGTTTTTATCACATTTATCACCCATTGTTGGATAAACATATCACAAAGCCACTCAAAAAAGCTGAGAGCAAGTTTTTTCCCCTTTGTCTGATATGTTAGTTATAGCATTATAACCATGTGCATAATGAAAATCACATGTCCCATCATTTATTTGACAAATATTTTTTGATGCCTACCTAGTGATAGGCATTGAGCTAGGCAATGGGGATATACTAGTAAATAAGATAGACAAGTTTCTGCTGTCACAGAGCTTCCATTTCAGTAGAGGAGATAGTCCATAAACAGATAAACAAACATACAATATCATGTCACCTGATGGTAAGTGGTATGGAGCAAACCATGATAGGATCAGAGAATGGCCAGTAGCCAGATCATGGTGAGCCTCAGGAGTCATTGAAAGTACTTTGGATTTTATTCTGTGTGTGATGGAAACAATTAGAAGTTTTTGATCAGGAGAATGGCATAGTATGATTTATATTCTAGAAAACCTACTCTGGCTGCTGTAGAACAGACTCTAGAAGATTAAAAGGGATAGCTGGGAAAAATTAGGAGGCTATTGTAGCTTGAGTTGCTCTACAAAACCAAGCTTGAGACAAGAGCTTGTGTGTAGCCATTTATTTTAGGAAGTTATTGAAGGAATAGAAGTGGCGGAAAGGGAAGTGTTAGACAAGAAAGGACGCAAAGTCAATCTGGTGGGGTGGAAGATGCTGATAAACTCTGTAGGGCTCTGAGCCACTAGAGATCCTTTAAGAGGTCGGGTGGGGATACAGCTCTGATGTGCTCAGCTCCTGCCCCACATTGGTCCAGGCTGCCCATGGGGATAACTCTCTTGAACTGAGGGATGAGGCAGACTGAAGCAGAATGACTGAGCAATCCCCATAGGCATCCCACACTTCAAATAGCAGTTACAGAAGCAGGAGTTCTGTGAAGCAGCTGAGACTCAGTGAAGGACAGTTACATGCAAGAGGTATCCAATATAGATAAGCTGGTGGCATGCGAGATGATGGGAGGTTGAAGTTGGATGGCAGAGGAAGATGGTGAGGACTGGACAGATGCCCAGGTAATATGGTTTGGATTTATGTCCCTGCATAAATCCCATGTCAAATTGTAATACCCAGTGTTGGAGGAGGGGTCTGGTGGCAGGTAGGGGCAGATTTCCCCATTGCTTTTCTTGTGACAGTGAGGAGTTCTCATGAGATGTGTTTGTTTAAAAGTGTGTAGTGCCTCCTACTTCTCTCTCTTTCTCCTGCTCCAGCCATGTAATATGTACCTCTTTCCTCTTTCCCCTCTGCCATGGTTGTAAGATTCCTGAGACTTCCCCAGCCATGTTTCCTGTACAGCCTGCAGAAATGTGAGTCAATTAAACCTCTTTTCTTTATTGATTACCCAGCCTCAGGTAGTTTTTTATAGCAATGCAAGAATGGACTGATACATCAGATTACATCCAAATTAGTGAAAATTTGCACTGGAATAGAAATATCTATATTTCCATAGTGAGGGCAGGCCACTAATTTCATAATTACTTGCCTCTATGATGTTGTATTGGTCCATTTTCACGCTGCTGATAAGGAGATGCCTGAGAATGGGCAATTTACAAAAGAAAGAGGTTTAATATGGACTTACAGTTCCACGTGACTGGGGAAGCCTCCCAATCATGGCAGAAAGCAAAGAAGAGCAAGTCATGTCTTACATGGATGGCAGCAGGCAAAGAGGGAGAGCTTGTGCAGGGGAACTTCTCCTCTTTTTAAAACCATCAGATCTCCTGAGACTTATTCCTATCATGAGAACAGCATGGGAAACTTTTGCCCCCATGATTCAATTACCTCCCACTGAGTCCCTCCCACAACTCTTGGAAATTCAAGATGAGATCTGGATGGGGATACAGCCAAACCATATCAGATGTTGTCTTCATTCCATAGCCCTGTTCTCATTCATACTTACACAATTACCCATTTTGTGAGCATCAAAACTTAACATTTACAGTAAGGAAACTGATGAATGAAGAGTAAAAACCACAAGGAAACATAAGGTAACTATGAAAGGTGATAGATATGTTAATTTGCTTGACTCTAATCATTGCACTATGTATATGAATATCAAAACATCATGTATACCTTAAATATATACAGTAAAAATAAATGAATTAATTGAAAAAAGATTCAAGAACCCACAAACAAGTCTCTGTAGCCTTAGATGTCTTCTGTGTAATATATTTGATAGATTGTAGAGGTAAAGGAAGGTGAAGTAATGGGAACAAGCTTGAACTTGCTATATATTAGGACAGAAAAATTCATTTTGGTTTAGACAAATGTCTGAAAGGGTAGAAGACTTATGGGCAATGTCAAAAATGTCTGTTTAAAAGTCAAAAAACAAAAGATTATCCCTGCATTGGTCATGGTTATTCAAGTTTCTTATATCATGCTAACCCAAGGCCAGGAATACAATTTTCATGGCAAGAAACTCAACATTTTGAAAAACAGTATGTGTTAGGGTGTTTCTCAGGAAAAGAAGAACATCTGTAACTTGTCAAAAAATATTTCCTTGTTGATGAAGTTGCCTAGGAGAGTGATTCTGGAGAACAGCAATCCAAAGAATGCTGTCAAAACCCTCGGTAAGGAGGTTGAAGAGAAATGCATTATGGTGTCAGAGGTAGCTGTGCATCTCCTGGGAAGTATTTCAGAGTATTTTCACAGAAGCATTGTCTGTCTTGCCTAGAACCTGGCCCTTCTGCATTTCTGTCATTCTCTACAGTCACTGTAAGCTTTCTGTTAAAACTCACTTAGGCAAAGTGACAATAATAATGCTAATAGCAATAATAATAATTTCCATTTAATGAGTCCTCTTTTGTGCAAGCATTATGCAAATCCCTATGCATACATATGCATTGATAAAGAAAAAATGTTTTCTTAGTAGATGATGAGAGAATTCTTTGTGGAGAGACATTTTTTTTGCTGAAAAGTTAGTTTCTTCAACCCACTGAGGTATAGAAGGAAACCTCTGGGGCTTGGGCAGGGCAGGTTTAAAATGAGGAGGGTTCTTTGTAGTAGAAAGTGGGGCAAAAGGAGCTGATAGAGGATACTAGCCTGCCATACATGAAGGGCGAGGAAAGAACTGGCATCACATGGCTAGAACCAGGAGAAGCGACTTGGCAATAAGACTTGTCCAAAGGGGACTCTTGTTTTTTTGTTTTTTGTTTTTTTTTTTGAGAAGGAGTTTCACTCTTGTTGCCCAGGCTGGAGTGCAATGATCTCTGCTGTGTTTTAGTTTTTCTCCACTTTCAAGTCCTGGTCCACTCTGGGCCCTATTCTGTGCCCTGGGATGTTGACTTCTATGTCCAATGTCACCTGGGATCCTTTGACCTATGACTTCCAGTTGAGTTTGATCTATAAGTACTGACAGGCAACCTCCGCCTCCCGGGTTCAAGCGATTCTCCTGCCTCAGCCTCCCAAGTAGCTGGGATTACAGGCATGTGCCACCACTCACAGCTAATTTTGTATTTTTAGTAGAGACGGGGTTTCTTCATGTTGGTCAGGCCGGTCTCGAACTCCCCAACCTCAGGTGATCTGCCCACCTCTGCCTCCCAAAGTGCTGGGATTACAGGCCTGAGCCACTGCACCTGGCCTAATGGGGACTCTTTTAAGAAAACCATTTGTGCTCCTTGTTTAGTGAATCCTCCGGGTGAAAGTCATGCCTTTAAGTGAAAGTGCTGTCTGCTCTCAAGATGGACATGGAACTGAGGCAACAAGGGCTTTGCAGATATGGAGGAGAGAAGCTAACTGGTTTACTCTCAAAAGGCAATGGGGTGAGTGGTTAATAATATGGATTTGAATCCTACCTCTGCTGTGTTTTAGTTTTTCTTCACTTGTAAGTCCTTGTCCATTCTGGGCCCTATTCTGTGCCCTGGGATGCTGATCTCTATGTCCAATGTCACCTGGGATCCCTTGACCTATGACTTCCAGTTGAGTTTGATCTATGAGAAGTACTGACAGAAGATTAGAGGCAGAGAGAAAAGAGAGGTCAGGATATTAATCCCCTTTCTTCTTTCTTGCCAAGCTGTGGTTTTGGCAGTGGCTGGGTTTCTCTATGACCATCTCTCACATGTGTACATGGTTTCAGCTATACTGGTCTCTCTTTTTGTCCCTTCTGGCTGAGAGGTGAGAATGACTCTATTGGGTAGTCCCTGGATCTGCCATGATATTAGTCGGTCTTCATACTGCTATAAAGATTCTACCTGAGACTGGGTAATTTATAAG
Organism: Homo sapiens; assembly: GCF_000001405.40. Lineage (NCBI taxonomy): Eukaryota > Metazoa > Chordata > Mammalia > Primates > Hominidae > Homo > Homo sapiens. The sequence continues at coordinate 27,253,265 of NC_000011.10, read as the reverse complement.
AAAAGGAGATTTAATTGACTCACAGTTCTGCATGGCTGGGGAGGCCTCAGGAAACTTACAATCATGGTGGAAGAGGAAGCAAGCACCTTCTTCACGGGTGGCAGCAGAGGGAGCGCATGTGAAGGAGGAACTGTCAAACCCTTATAAAACCATCAGATCTCATGAGAACTCACTCACTATCAGGAGAACAGCATGGGGGAAGCTGCTCCCATGATCCAATCACCTCCCATCAGGTCCCTCCCTCGACACATGGGGATTATGGGGATTATAGTTCAAGATGAGATTTGGGTGGGGACAGGGAGCCAATCCATGTCAGTCACTATTAAACATTCTCAGTTCCCCCTTTGAACATGTCTGCCTCCCTGTCTTAGTCTGTTCACAGTGCTAAAACATGTATACCTTAAATGGAGTCTGTTCAAAGTGCTAAAATAAATATACCTTAAACTGGGTGGCTTGTAAAAAAAAAACCAGAAATGTATTTCTTACAGGTATGGAGGCTGGAAAGTCTAAGATCAAGGTGCTGGCAGATTTGTGTCTCGTGAGAGCCTGCTACTTCTTAGAGAGCACCTTCTCACTGTGTCCTCACACAGTAGAGGGGGCAAGTGGTCTTGCTTTGGTTTCTTTTATAAGGGTACTAGTTCCATTCATGAGGGCTTCATCCACATGACCTAATCACCTCCCAAGGGACCCACTTCCTAATACCATTGCCTTGGAAGTTAGGATTTTGATATATAAATTTTGGAGGAACATAAACTTTCAGTCCATTGTACTCCCTGACTGTTGCAGTGAGTGACCTTGAGCAAGTTACTTAACTGTTTTGTGCCTCTGTAGTCTCATCTGCAAAACGAAGTTGATAATAGTGTATACCATATGGGATTGATTGTTGGAGGATTAATTAACATATATAAGGTACTTTGCATGCAATAAGTGTTAGCTACTATTATAAATTCAGTTTCTTATTTAATCCTTAAAACTATAATGTAGGCATTTTCTTATTTTATATATGGGGAAACTAAGACATAATAAAATTTAGATGATAGAGTTGTGATTCAAAAACCAAGTCTGATTTGAAAGTTATTTTTTACCTCATTGTATTAAATGAGATTTCTCCTCTAGTTAAGGGGCAGAGAACAAATGGTAAGATTAATAGCTAGCAAAAAAACTACTGAAATACTCTAGTGATGATGGAGTACGGAATAGATTTGTTTTGAGAGAAACCAATCTCCTCAAAATGACTTTGGACAGTAAAAAGAACATTGATCAATGTCATGCCAATCATGCCATGAAAAATGGCTCTTTCCCCCCTCAAAAAGAGCTTGTCACTTATATTTTTATTTATTTTTTAAGCCAACTGATTTTTTCTTTGGCCTCAGGGGACTTTCCCTTTTAGTATGCTTTTGTGTCCTCAAACATTGATTCTAGAAAAGGACGATTTTCACCTTCCCTATTGCTCACTGGAAAAGTCTGAAATCCTGTGATTAACCAAATAATTATCACTCTCATTTTCCAAGGTAGGGCTTTTGTACTGAAGGTAGAATGGAAAAAGTGAAACTGGAAAGTCTCAGTTTCACATTAAACCTTCCTTTAGAAGGTTTTGTGTTGTTTGAGGGAAGACAAGGAGACAATGCATGTAATCAAGCTTGATTTGTCTAAGTCAGTGATACAGGATCTCCTGAAACCTCTTTGGAAGGAAATAAATTCTTCTTGGCTTCTACAGCATGAAGGAGGCATTATTTTTCAGACTGAAAACAAAATGATGGGCCCCAGACAAAGATAACTTGGGAATCTGTGCATGCCAAGTTCTGTCGAACAGTCTCCCCTAAGGCAGCTGGACCAGAAGGAGGAAGTGTAAAGCAGCTGTGTTAGAAAGGAGATTGGCCAGAGCTGTTAGGAACAATGTTTCTCTACAAGAAGGCACACTGAGGGTAGAAACTGGTAATTAATTACATTCAAATTGAGTAAATGAATATATATTACTTTTATATATATTCATATGTATTATGAATATACATATGTTATTTTTCTTCCTGGGAGATTACATGAAGATTCTCCCAGGAAGAAAAATAATTCACTTGAAAAAAAATAGAGGAAAGATTTGGTGGCATGGGAGAAAAACCAAGCCTAACACATTTGATTTTATGAGGTTTTGGACAGAGGTCATCATTCACTTGACTCTGTATAAAACATATCCAATTCACCAACTTCCTTTCCTTTCCTTTTCCTTTCCCCTTCCCTTTCCCTTTTTCTTTTCCTTTTTCTTCTTCTTTTCCTTTTCCTTTTTTTTTTTTTTTTTAACAGGATCTCACTCTGTTGCCCAGGCTGGAGTGTGGTGGCGCAATCATGGCTCACTGTAGCCCAGACTTCGCGGGCTTAGGTGATCCTCCCACCTCAGCCTCCGAGTAGCTGGGACTGCAGGCGTACACTACCAAACCTAGCTAACTTTCTGTATCTTTTGTAGAGACAAGGTTTCACCATGCTGCCCTGGCTGGTCTCAAACTCCTAGGCTCAAGTGATCTGCCCGCCTAGGTATCCCAAAGTGTTGCGATTACAGGTGTGAGCCACCACGCCCAGCCCTCTTTTCTTTTCATATCCCCGCCAAACCTGGCCAGTGTGTAGTGGTGCCCATGTTAGCACACATAGGGTAATTGTGATAAGAAACAATCTTTGCATCTCAAGACAAGCACAGTAAAGCTTATATTGTGCTCACTTGTAGACCAATACAGAGCAGTAGAATAGATTTCCCAAATTTGTTTCCTTTTATCTTAAAATTTTTTTAAGCCATCCTTTTTTTCCCTCTCCCCAATGACAGGAGCGCTACAATCAGGAACTGTCCTTGTCAGTGTGCCTGTCATCATTATCAGCATCATCACTAACAGGTGGATGAGAGCAACCACCATTTATTGCGTGTTACTTTGTGTCAGTTACCACAGCAAACATTTCACATAGATTGTCTCATTGATCCTTTATAAGGAATGATCATTAAATGGAATATGTCATTGGTTCCTACTTAATAGATTAGGAAACTGAGGCTTAGAATCACATAGCCATTAAAGCAGACCTGGAACGCAGACCCATATTTGTTGAAATCCTAAGTTTATATTCATTACCACTTTTCCATAGTGCCCTAATATGTCTTAAACATGGAACAAAATTGAAAAAGGTAGAAGGTAAATGATCAATTCAATTCACTTTCCACTTAGAATAAAAGGGAGAAAGCACTAGAAGATTTAGTCAATTCTTAGGGGTTGAACCCAGTATCATCATGGTCCCTAACCGCTGCAACCTGAGTTTAGCAACACATACAACTATCTCTTTTCCATATTGACCTAGAAGTGAAACTCAGGCCTTTTTTGGGTTTGCACAAGGCCATACTCACACAAAGCCATGTATGTATTTATTAGATTTTACTGAAATGTTGAGATGTGGTTAGGGGATAGAAGAACAGTTTATATTGCCCAAAAACAAAGAACTGTAAGTTGAACCTCAGGTGCCCCTATCCCCAGGACTTTGTATTGGTTGCTTGGCCCTAGCCTCAGGCCATCTCCTCTCCTGGCCACCTTCCCCTTCTGTCCTGGATGGTTATTCAAACTCTAACTTTTCCTTATTCTATTAAGTAGGATCATTCAGTGTTCTCTCATTTCACACTCTGCTTCATGCCCACCTTTTTGCACATGAATCCATCAAGGTGCCCAACAGAGCAACAGGCGTGTCTGCTTAACAGATTCCACCTTCCTTAGAAGACATTAGAGATTTCCTGTACTACCTTCTCTGGAGCCAGTGCCCTGGAGAGATTGGATCTATTCCTGCAAGGATCTAGCAGAGCCTAAGATCAGCGTTAATGGTAACTCCAGCATCTCACACGTCTCCCGACAGCTCGGATTAAGCAGATTCCCTGGAGACTAATTTGACTGAAGTCTGGGTCTGTGTCTCTACCTCCCACTGACTCTGGGTTAGGCTGGGGTTTCTGGAACCCAGGAGACTGCTTTGGGTTTCTAGGCTCCTTAAAGGGCATTTGGCACCTAGTAAAAGCTGCTCATTAAAGGAAACAGTAGGACTGCTTTCCCTTTAATAGCCTAGCCATGGAAAGCTTGATCCATTTGGGGAGGCTGGAGGTGGAAGACTGCAGAGTTTGAGAGGGTGGGACGAGCCTGTTTGGCAAGGCGATAGCAAGGCTGCAGAGGGAAGACCAGGCCTCTGGAGCCCTGAGGCCTGGTCCTCGGTGGTCAGGAAAAGCCCAGGGAAGGCTCTGTAAAAAATAATGATAGCAGCTAAACGTTCAAGGGCCCAGTTTGGAGCTGCAATTCCAGATTTTACTTTTTTTCTCCTCACTCTTGAGGTTTGGCTCACTGCTATTTCCCCTCCCCTAAGGTCCTGTTGACACATGAGTGTTATGAAGGCTTCCGGAGGGTGGGATGAAGGGCCGCAATGTCACAAAGGAAGGCTAATTGGCTGGAACTTCCCGCTCTGCCCCCTCCAGCTGGCCTGAATCTCTTTGGTTTTTAGTTATTCCTAAAGGGTCTTGGCATTGGTGGCCTGCCTCTCTTTTCAAAATAATTAAAACCAAAGAAATTCAAATGAGAGCCTTTCTCATTGTCAGTGCCGTTTTGCCTTTGTTTGTGAGGTTGGCGGAAGCAGAGTTCTGTTGGGACTTTTGAGTCTCCCTGGCTGGACCTGAACCAGTTAACTCCTCCTGCAGACTATGTCCAGGTTGTGACATCCCCTAAGGAGGAACGGCAAATTCTGGGCAGGCGAGTGGCTCCCAAACTTGTGGCAGATCATAATAATGGGCCGAGGCATTTATTTATTTATTTATTTTAACTTTTCCAGCTAAGCCTGGGCAAAGCCTCATGTTTCTTATTACTAGAACTGTCTCAGCAGCTACCAACAGGAAGCAATGTTGGTGCAGGGGTTGGAGTCTATTTAGTATCCTTGCCCTTGCCCTAAATTGCTCTAAAACTCAGAAGGCATTGCCTTCTTGGTAGGGGCTGGGCCACGGTTAATTGTGTCAATTTTAGGTTTGTTTCCAAATCCAAAAGAACCTCCTTTCTATGCCTTCAGGCTTCTTGTGCCTTCCTTCTTCTCTCTCCCATCTGCCTCCACTCTTCTTCTTCAAAATGCATCATTATAGCTTCTGAGGGGAGGCTCTCTGCTTTCTAAGATGCCTGCTACTGAGAATCCCAGTATTAGTGATGCAAAGTTTCACCCAGTCCAATTAAGGCACCCCCAGCCCAAAAGTTATACCACTTACAGACAAACTTTCGGGTTCGACCCTCAGCTAAAATGAAAAATATGTTACCTAGAAGGAATTGAGCCCATGACGGCGTTTCTGTAATGTTGAGTGAGTAGAGCAGAGTGATTTAGATTCAATGTACTAGGACCTGACACAGCTGGACTTAAATTGCAGCTGGACCACTTCCTTGCTGGATGACCTTCAGGAAGTTAATTAAACTTCTTTGAACATCTGCTTCCTAATCAGTGAAATGGAGAAAATAATAAAATCTTATCTTTTGTTGTGTTTTGAGGATAAAGTAAATTCATATCTCTAAGGCACTTGGCACATTTTGGCAAATTCTGGGCATGCGTGAGGCCCCTTTCTTCCTCAAACTTGTGGCAGACAATATTAATGAACAAAGCACTTAATAAAGTTGTGCTGATTTTATCCTCTACTTATTAACTACTTGAGAAAGAGGTGAAATTTGTTGTCCAAGGTCACATAGCTAATAAGACAGATTTAAGCTTTGGTTCTGTCTGCTGGATTTCAAAGACCATGTTCTTAAACACCTTGATGCTTCACGTTTGACCTTAAATAAGCTACTATGATTTTTAGCTTCCTGGAGGGAGAATGAGTTTCCTCACCAGTAAAATACAAATAATAAGCTCAATTTCATTGAGTTATTGTAAGGATTAAATGCATCATTGCTTGTAGAGTAGTGCTTGGTTAGAAACACATGCTATTGCATATTTATCATCATCATCAGTGTTATTGTTTTTATCTGAGTTCACTCCCTCTTCCCTATCATCTAGCACCGTAGTTGGCACATACCAGGTGTTCAGTATATGAGTAGCTCTTTTGAAGCAATATATGGCATTATTACTTCAGTAAGAGAGGCGGAATGAATGACTGTCAGGACTGCGTACTCTGGCTGACCTTCCAGTATCCTCATAAATAATTCCAGGAAATCTCTTTCTGGCTACCTAGGGAAAACCCTGGAGAAGAAGCTTAGCCAAGCAAGGATCAGAAGCTCTTCCCACTCCCAACAGAATCCCTGCTTTTTGTGACTATTCAGTAGAGGTTGGCCTTCTGAAGAGTCAGTGGATAAAAATTGAAGGAGAACTCATTAACTGTTGTGTCCCTATCTTTAACAGCCAATGCCTGGGATAGACAACTCATTTTGAGATTGTTAAGAGAGGTGTATTTTGTCAATAAGAGTTCTAAGAAAAGCAGAATTCCTTGAGCTTTTGCTTGAACTGTGCCCAGACAAATGCTAATACAGGATGTATTATCTGGATTCTTATACTTCCCCATCCCCATTAGCGGATCGCTATGATTCAGGCAGTCTTCCTTAAGCTCTGAGTGATCATTTCCTTCTTAAAAACATGTTAATTTCAGTGATGCCAACTTTATATTTCCAATGGGCAAATGACAGTGGTATTCCTTGCTTCTAGTCTGCACGTATCTGTTATTCTTCATGGTTCACCTATTTTTTTTTAATCAACTTTTTTCTAGATTACATTTTTTAGGGTAGTTTTAGATTCAGAGCAAACTTGAGAGGGAGGTACAGAGATTTGCTCCCACATATGCATCACCTCCTTCATTATCAACATTGCCCTCCAGAGTGGTACAACTGTTACAATTAATGAACTTAAAATGACACATCATAATCAACCATAGTTTACTTAGGGAAAGTTTACTTAGGGTCCATTCTTGGTGTTGTACATTTCATGGATTTGGACAAATGTATTGTGATGGTTAATACTGACTGTCAACTTGATTGGATTGAAGTATGCAAAGTATTGACCCTGGGTGTGTCTGTGAGGGTGTTGCCAAAGAAGACTAACATTTGAGTCAGTGGGCTAGGAAAGGCAGACCCACCCTTAATCTGGGTGGGCACCATCTAATCAGCTGCCAGTGTAGCTAGAATATAAAGCAGGCAGAAAAACGTGAAAAGAGTAGACTGGCTGAGCCTCCCAGCCTACATCTTTCTCCCGTGCTGGATGCTTCCTGCCCTCGAACATCAGACTCCAAGTTCTTCAGCTTTGGGACTTGGACTGGCTTCCTCGTTCCTCAGCTTGCAGACGGCCAATGTGGGACCTTGTGATTGTGTGAGTTAATAGTCCTTAATAAACTCCCCTTTATATATATATCTATCCTATTAGTTCTGTATATGTATATGATGACATGTACCCTCTGTGCTTGGCCTGTTTATTACTCTTCCCTCTCAGCCTCTGTCTTTTTACTGTCACCATATTTTTGCCCTTTCTAGAATGTTATGTAGTTGGAATCATATAATATGTAGACAAAATTTTTCTTGAAACTTTTAATTTCCAAATAATTGTAGATTTACAGAAAAGTTGGAAAGAGAGTGCTGACAGTTTCTGTATACTTTCGTGGTACATTTGTCAAAACTAAGAAATTGGTTTTGGTACAATACTATTAACTAAACTACAGGCTTTATTTGAATTTCATTAGTTTTTCCACTAGTATCTTTTTTGTTCTGTGGTCCAATCCAGAATATCACAGTTTCTGAGTTTTTCTTAGGTTTTCATGGCACTGACAAGATACTTTGCAGAAAGTATCTCTATTTGTTTTTTTAATGCACTTATTTATTTAAATAAATTTTTTAGTAGTTTTTGATTTACAAAAACTGCAAAAATAGAACAGAGAATTCCATACACCCCACATCAATTTTTCCTTATTCCTAACATTATCTTATATTATTGTGGAATATTTGTCACAATTAGTAAACCAATATTGATACATTATTATTAACTAAACTCTATAGTTTATAAATATTTTCTTATTTTTTTTTTTTTTACCTAATGCACTTTTTCTGTTCCAGAATCCCACCTAGGCTACCAAATGTAATGTACATTTAGTTGTCATATCTCCTTAGGCTCCTGTGGTCTGTGACAGTTTCTTAAGCTTTCCTTATTTTTGATGACCTTGACAGTTTTGAGGAGTACTAGACAGGTATTTAGTAGAATGTCCCTTAATTGAGATTCATCTTATGTTTTTCTCATGATAAGACTGGGGTTATGGTTGTTTGGTAGGAAGACAACAGAGGTAAAGTGCCACTCTTGTTACATCATATGAAAGGTAAATATTATCATTATTTATCACTGTTGATGTTGACCATGTGCCCTGGCTGAAGTAATTATTCTTCATATTTCTCCACTGTAATGTCACTCCTCCCTCTCTCATCTTTCTTATCCTGTAATCTTTATAAAAATGTCATTTAAGGACTGAGGAGTCATGTTCCACCTCCTTGAGGGCAGAGTATCTAAATATATTATTTGGAATTCTTTCACATGTAATATTTGTGTTATCACTCCTGCTTATTTATTGATTGATCATTTATTTATATCTAAATAGACTCATTGATATTAATTTTATAACTCAAGACTACTTTAATTATTCTGTTGCTCAAATTGTTCTAACTTTGGTCACTGGGAGCTCCGTCACTTGGCTCCTGTAGGTCCATCATTTTGTATTTAGTTTTTTCACTCCTTGTTTTCTGGTACTACAAGATGATTCAAACTCATCTTGTGTAATTCTTGCCCCAATTCTGAAATCAGCCATTTCTCTATGAAGCTCTGGCTCTTTTTATTAGAGACTGGTATTAGAAACCAAGATCTGGGTGCTAAGAGTGCCCATTGCTATTGGGGTGTTATTTTTCTAGCCCCCTCAGCTGAGTGAGCAAGGAAATATATGTGTGTATACTAACCTATGTATCAATTAATATTCCTATTGTTAACATCTATATCTGTATTGTGCCAAACAGGAATTTGTCTCAATTTCTCTGGTTCTAAATACAAAAATTATTGAGGCATGGTGGCATGCATCTGTAATCCCAGCTACTCAGGAGGCTGAGGCAGGAGGATCACTTGTGCCTGGGAGGTGGAGGTTGCAATGAGCCAAGATTGCACCACTGCACTCCAGGTTGGGCACAGAGTGAGATTCCGTCTCCAAAAAAGAAAAGAAAAAAAAAAGATTATCTGTTCCATGGGAAGGAAATTATTTCCGTCTCTACTGGACAAAAATGTTCCAGGAGAGCTTTAAAATAGCTTATATAATAAAGACCAGTACTGTACTGGGAAAATATTCCATAATTGCTTTTCAAGTTTCAGATACTTTCTGATACTGAGTTGATAAAAAAAAATGAAGTGTAGGTGTCTAACAAAAATACATAATTGGGAATAGGACAAAAATTGGCAAAGAGATAACATTAAGAGAGGAAAGGGCTAGCCAGAGCCCCTTACTAATTAAACCAAGGTCATGGGTCTACCTGCTATAAGCCAGAGAAAAGACAGCTCTCTGATGTTCCCCACTGTGATGTGTCTGGCTAAGCTCATTTTCAATATATATCACTTGAAAAGGTGATAAGTTTGTGTTAATGGTGATAGAATAACAAATCCCCACCAAACTGCCTGTCACTAGAGCTGGTATTCCCAATCTTTTGAAACACACACATTCAAGAGCTGGGGGACTAAGAACACAAAGAGAGCTCTTTAGGCTAGAACAGGGCTCAGAGCAGAACAGAATTAGAAGGTCAACCATGGAAAAGTCAGAAACTTGCTCCTGCTTCTAGCTTGCTTTGACTTTTTTTGGTTAATCTCCCTATCATGTTTTTGCATTTTAGGTAGAGGTCCTTTTGAAATGTGTAACCTTTGTTCCTTCATCTGCATTGCAGCAGCAGAGAAAAGGGCACATTAAATCTCCATAGGTGGCATTGGAATTATCATGAAAGAAATCCTAGGAAGGGAGGAAAATATCAGAGGCCAAAAGTTGAGGTTACTTTTGTGGCTGGGTCGTCCCAAGAGCTGCCCTTCCTAGGAGCACATCTCTGCCCTGGTTTTACAAGGAAAACTTTATAATTGGTTCTTTTAAGGGGTGATTCCCTGACTGTGTCTTTATATAGAGCTGGAGTTGAGATCCTTTTTGCCTGAATCATGATCTGTCAGTCAAGAAGCAGGCTGTAGGATCTTTCCCCCATATATTAATACTATTAATAGAAAACAGCTTTGTTTGTTTGTTTGAAAGGGTGTTGGAAACAGAATCCCTTCACTGGTCTCAAATTCAGGCAGTGTTCTCTATTGACAAGTGTTCTCTCTTGAACCATTTTCATTTTCCCAGTGAGGTCACCACTTGCCTCCCTGGGAGGCCTCCCACATAGGGGAACATCACACCATCTTTCTCAGCCCTGGTGATCCTATCTGGCTGCCCTGGCAAGTGTCCTGAGCCTGAGACATGGTAAGAGCAGATATGGCTCCTCCTTGTCTCACCCACAAAGATGTGAATCTCAGCACTTTGAGTGATGGTTTTGTGGTTTGCACATGGTGAGAAGTGCTTATGGCAGCAAAGGAGCATTGTTTCATTCGAGGGTGCTTCATAAAACACAAATGTCAGGTTTAAGGCTGCAAAAACTTTGAGGAATTTTTCCATTTTCATCAGTATTGCTTTGTTATAAATTACCATAATGATTAGCATCTGGAAAATTCTAGGGACCAAAAGCACGAATATTCTACATATCACAAAAATGCAATGTCATATCTATACCCAGATACTATTTTTTTATTATTTACACCACCACCACTGCCAGCACAGAAAACAACAAAACTGCCTATAGCTGCATAAAAATGTCTCCTTCATATTTCTCAAGATTCTACTTACAGAATATTTTTCTGAATTAAGAAATCTCTCCAAAATTATAAGTTATCCTCTAAATTGAAGCCCATGAGACATAAATCATTCATGCTTCAGTCTTGTTTAATTATATAACTTGCTTTTTTCTTTCCATCATCCTTCTGAGAATTGGCCCCTAGGGAATTGGAAACTTTTATCAGAAAGGAGTGGGGTGGGGGTTTGGGGTGGGAAGGACTTGAATTGGGAAATACTGGACCATATCATAGGATCCTTTCAGCCTTTAGACTTTTTTCTTGTTCAAAATATCCTTTACTTACAAATGTATGCCCTATATGTAAGCCAATCTAGAGTATAATATGTGGTTACATTAATACACACAGGAGGATAGTCACTTAAAACAAACACCCAGTCAGGCTCTGGAATTAAATTTAAGTAGTGGTAAGAGAGCAGTTCCAAGTGAATGGTTTATTGTTTCGTGTGTGGCTCCTAAAGGGATTTCAAGCTATTGGTAGCTGTGACTACAGAGTGAGTCAAAAAGTAGGAGGGGAAAAGTGATGTCCTAACTTCTAAGATGCTTACAGGCAATCAACATGTAGCATATTCCACATCTTCCTCATCCCATGATAAGGTCTGTCACCCTTTTACATTACCCTGTTCAACACTCACTCTTGGATTGTTTGATCCATCCATTAATACATTCATCCATCCATTCATTCATTCATTCATTCATTCATTCATTCTCAAGCAGTTATACATTATAATTTTTAAATGGCAAACAACAGAAGCTGACTTTGATTAACTTAAAATTAAAAAGGGATGTAGTAGAAAATTAACAGGGAACTGAATAACAAAGCTGTGACGGTTTGCAGATATGACCATATTTTTCCACCCTCTCTGCATCCACACCCTTTGGAACATGACTTTGCAACTCCTCCTATCAAGAAGGAGAACCTAGTTTTCACCCTCTTCAATCTAGGCTGATCCTATAACTTACTTTGGCCAATAGAATGCAGTGGAAATGGTGATATACCCAGTCTGAGTGTAGGCCTCAACAGGTCTTGTGTATTTCTATTCTCTTTCTTGGAAATCTGCCCAACTGCATGTGAATAAGCTCAGGCTAGAATGCTGGAAAACAGCAAGACCCAGGTGAAGCCACCCTAGACCAGCAAGTTTCCTGTTCACCAACAGTCAGTTGTAGATGCATGTGTGAATCCCTCCAAGACAAGAGAAATGCCCAGCCTAACCAAGTTCAAATTGCATGTCTCTAAAATTTTGAGATAAACAAATAGATATTATTGTATACTACGATTATTTGTTACACAGCAAACACTCACTGGTTCAAAACATTGAGAAGAATAGACTCTAGGAACCAGGGCACTTGTAGCTCTTCTAGAGTGCTGCCACCAGGTAACATAGCTCCAGTTGCCTTTTATTCTTTTTGAATCCTCTTCATTCCTGGGTACAAAAAAAAATTGATTGGTCTATCTTGGGTCATATGCCCTCCCCTAGGATAGCGATGGAGTCCTCTGGTTGAGTAGCTTTACCTAAACCACAAGGAGCAGAGAAAGGACAGTTCCTTAAAGGATAGTAGCAGCTGCTATTTCCATGAATAGGGAAGAAGAGGTCCTGTATAGACAAAACATATGTCTGCTATAAGCATTTACTCTGTGTACTTACTCAGGGAGAGTAAGACATTCACTTTCAGCAAGGAAGTCCTGGTCTATTAAGGAGTCAGGTAAGCCATGGTGTCAGGCAAGTAACAGTGTGGCTACTGCTGTCACAAAGGGGCCAGAGATAGCTTTGAGAGCTGGAGGAGGACAACTAACCCAGAATGAATACCAGGAAGATTTTTGGGGAGATGGCATTGGAACCGAGCTCTGTGAGATAAATAATGAGCTAGGTGAAGGAGTAGCAGTGGTGAGGGACACAGGAGGCCTTTTTAGGCACTCGGATTTTAGCATGAGTGAAAACCTGGAGTGAGAGTCTTCATCTGTCACCATGGGCCAAATATAAACCATGTTTATGCCTGGTTTGGCCTAATTTCTCTAAAAAAAAATGAGATAACTCAATTCACAGACTCTACTAGTTCCTACTGTTTCATCTCCTCCAGTTCTCACACTTGTTATCATTGGCTTGGTCCTTGTAGGCACCTGAGTTTGCCACTCTTAGCTAAGAGGCCAGAGAGCATCACTGTGGTTAGAGTGGTAGAGAGGGTATGAGAAGGTAAGGGAGAAGGGTTTGAGGCTGAATAGCTAGTGGGGAATTATGGAGAACCTTGTATGCTTGCTAAGAAACATGTACTTTCTCTTATAAACAATGCAGAACTATTACAGGTATTTGAGCAAGGGTGGTAGTCATGCTTAGACTTCAAAAGGATCAGTCTGGTAGCAAGTAGAAGATGGATGGCAAGGGCAACAAAGGAGGCAGGTAGAACAATTAGGAAGTGATTTTTGTTTTCTAGATAATAAGTACTGGCTTTAACTAAAGGGAGTGGGATGAGGAAATGGTGAGGATGGGACACATCTTTTCATGATGTCCTCCAGGGAGATGTGGAGATGTTGGTTGCTTCTATCTTTAAAAACTACTGTTGTTTCCTTAGAGCAAAAACATAATTCAAAAGGCCTTTTGCATCTGATAACAGAACTTCCCTATGTCAAAAGAAGACACATCTGTTCTGGAGAAATTGGTGATAAGCTTTAGTCTACATGATGCTGAGACACAAAATCCCTCCTCAGTCTTGCTAGGAAAAATAAACGGCTCCCTTGGACCAAATCAACTTGCCAGAGACCACAGCACTTTCCACACCACTTAGAGTCATGGATGGAGGGCTGTCAAAGGTCGGCCCCGAACTAGAAGCAGATGGGAAAGGATTCTTGCCAGAGACATCATCCAAACCTCTTGCTATTTAGCGATCAGAGGTTGAATGTTCAGAGAAAGTGCATCTGATGCCTTATTCACAACTGGATCAACTGAAATAACAATGAAAGGCGGTGTCTGCCTCAAGAGGGATAAATGGAGCAGCTGCCAGGAGATTCGTGTTTGCCTTCTGGGGAGAGGGTAACGGGAAAGGGCAGTGTCCTTACTCAAAAGGGTTTGGAAAGAAAGCAAAGAGAAAGCATTGATATGAGAGTTCTTTTTCTATGTCATAGAGTAGGCATGATGGGGAGGGTGTATATGAGTTGGGATGGTAAAGAAAAAGTATGAATTTATGATGGAGAGAGATCAATTTTTTGTTAGCTAGTTTTTTTTAAAAACAAGTATCAGTAGTTCAATTAATATGTTGCATGTCTGTTACAAGCATGAAAAGTTATAGCAGAGTGTATGACCCTTTTACTCTGGTTGGGAAGCCCAGACATTTGCATGGAAAAATGCCAATAATAATACAAGGAATAAAGGCTAATGGTGCAATCAGAATCCATTGGTGGTGATAAAAGGAGGAGGTGTTTAAGGGAAGCAATTTGGCAACAAATCTCAATTTTAGACTTGTTTTTAATCTCCAAATGATGCCATTGAGTCACAGAGCTTCAGGGAAAGGATTGAAAGAAGGTGTACATCAGAGAGCTCTACAGTTTTGTCTCCTTACTAGGCCACCTTGCCAACACAATGTGTTCACAATCCATTACTTGCTTTCCATAAATCTTGAAATTATATTGTCAATTGCACAATTCGATTGTATTTTGGTTTTGCATGTATATGCGTAATTAAAGCATTGACTTGTTAAATGAAACATTTCAAATACATTGCACATTTTCTAACTCTGTTTTTCCATTTTTCTATTTTTATTTTTATTTTTTACTAAACTAGGCAGCTGCAGGAAATGAAAGTGAATCCATTCACTCTCAACAGGGAAGATCTCCTGATTTCCATGCAGGAGAAGTTAGGGCACTGTGTGATGAATTGCCAAATAATAGTGATTACTATTTATCAAAGACCTATAATGAGCCGGTTACTTTACTGATCTTTTAAAAAATGTTTAAAAGAAAGCAAATGCATTTATAGCAGAAACTACAGAAAAATCAGATGAGAAAGAAAATAAGCAAACTGCAATACTGTGGGATATCCCATTCTTGGAGCCCTTCTAAAAGGCAACCACATTATCTCAGAGTCTTGACACCTCAAAGTTGGATGGCGACAACACTGCTTCACTCTGGTCAGTGGGGCTGAGAGAATGAGGGGAAGGTGAGAAAACACTTTGCAAGGGAATGAAGTTGAGAGAGGTCTTGGTGATCCTGGGCACTGCTGGTCAGCAAGGGCGCCTAGTCCTGAGGTACCAGCAAGGGCAAGGGACCCAGAAGAGAGGTGGGGAGGATCACTGGGGGACTTTTTGCTTTAAGCTGGCTAGTCTTTAGAAAGTACTCCCAGACTTTTCTGTCAAACATTCTGTTTCCCTAGTGAGATGTCTGGGGCTCTGCTAAGCTATCAGTCCTGCTTTGCTCAAGATGACAGTCTGGGTGTGAGAGGCTGTGGTAACCCCTTCTGCCTGTGGGACAGAAACCTGGCTGGCTGTGCCATTGTTGGGTCCCAAAGAACAGCATCTGGCCTTTCTTTCCTTCATGATTTTATTACTCTTCTGATGGGTTTATGGTATTTACCTTATGTGTTTCTCTTCCCCAGGCCTGCCAAAGGTCAGGGTGAAATGTTTTGCCTGGTGAAGATATCTCCTTAGCCTAGTGAAGATATCTGCTTTCACCAGAATCTTTCTCAGGAGGGGTGTAATTTAAAGGAAATAAGATGCTGTGTTTAAAACAGGGCCTTCATGAGCCCTACATATTCTGACTTTTGGAGGCCTTACCATACAACATATCAAACATACTAATGGCACCCATATCCCACATTAAATATACTTTTTGGCTTTAAATTCTTTTTGTAAGGGCCTTTATATTTGTGCTTTAGAAATTATTTGGCTCTATGTAACTTTCATTTAATTTATGATTGGCTATGAGTTCCCAACAATCACTGTGTATACTTAGGGGAATGTGTGAAGTGAGAAAATTGAATCTATAAATCGTATTAGATGTAATGAAATCTTTATGAATATTAAATTTTAACAGTTAATGAAGTTGGCATGTTGGTGCATTTTTGTAGACATTTAATTAAACATTTATTCATTTTAATTTTTTATTGGTTTCTTTTGTAGTTTTGGAGCCAACAACTATTTTTCTACCTGAGGCTTATATATTTTCTAAGCCCCTGAAAAGCTCTTAGCTCTGGGATCACATTGCATTGATGACATATTGATGAAACAGTGCTTCTCAAAGATTTTGGCTTCAGGACCCTTTTAAAATTACTGAGGATTCCAAAGATTTAAAGATTATTGTGGACTTCAAAGATTAATTTAAAAAAATTTTTAAATGTGGGTTATATCTATCAACATTTATTGCAGTAGAAATTATAACTGAGAAATTTTAAAATCATTTATTTACTAGTGAGCTGACTGCATGTTACATAATTAACTTTTTAATGATAAATAACTATATTTTTCACCCCAAAACTGTAGTGAGAACAGCAACACTTTTATAAATCTCTTTAATGTGTGACTTAAGAGAAGATAGATTCTCATAATCTCTTTGGCATTCAATGTTTTGCCATAGATTGTTTTGGTTGCAGTATAGGAAAAAATTTAGCTTCATGCCGATATGCATTTGGAAAAAAGAGGTGTGATTTAATAGTCTTTTTTTGGGCCGGGCGTGGTGGCTCACGCCTGTAATCCCAGCACTTTGGGAGGCCGAGGCAAGCGGATCATGAGGTCAGGAGATCCAGACCATCCTGTCTAACACGGTGAAACCCTGCCTCTGCTAAAAAACAGAAAAAATTAGCTGGGCATGGTGGCGGGTGCCTGTAGTCCCAGTTACTTGGGAGGCTGAGGCAGGAGAAAGGCGTGAACCTGGGAGGCAGAGCTTGCAGTGAGCCGAGATCGCACCACTGCACTCCAACCTGGGTGACAGAGTGAGACTCTGTCTCAAAAAAAAAAAAAAAGCATTTTTTTGATACTACATCAAAACTTGACTGCCAGTTTCTTAAAAGGTAGTTATAATATGGAACCTGAAACTATGCAAATGAAATTTTCATGCTATGTTACCTTAAAATCCACTGGCCATTTTATGCTTTGAATGAACGTTTACCTGTGCATGATTTTGCAGTATGATACTGTGGACATTTAAAAAATATTGGTTCACTGAATTATACAAATCTTCCAAATGTTGACACATTGCCTTATACACTATCAAAGGATCACATTCTTTAATGCCAGCACAGATCTGAACAGAAAAGTCTTAATATATTGGGAAGCTGATGAGTTAACAGTAACATATATATTTTCCAAAATTCTAATCTTCACATGGAAGTTCAAATGTTACCATTGGCAACAAACATGGTCTGCTGTTTCCTTCCTTCCTTCCTCTCTCCCTTCCTTCCTTCCTTCCTTCCTTCCTTCATCCCTCCCTCCCTCCCTTCCTTCCTTCCTTCCTCCCTCCCTCCCTTCCTTCCTTCCTCTCTTTCTTCTTTCTTTCTTTCGACAGAGTTTTGCTCTGTCACCCAGGCTGGACTGCAATGGCACAATCTCGGCTCACTGCAACCTCCGCCTCCCAGGTTCAAGTGATTCTCCTGCCTCTGCCTCCCGAGTAGCTGGGACTACAGGCATGCACCACCACACCAGATTAATTTTTGTATTTTTAGTAGAGACGGGGTTTCAGCATGTTGGCCAGGCTGGTCTTGAGCTCCTGACCTCATGATCTACCCACCTAGGCCTCCAAAAGTGCTGGGATTACAAGCGTGAGCCACTGTGCCCGGCTAAGCTGTTTTCTTTGAAGTAAGAGGCTCACTTAGTTAAGTTTTGAGAACATGTCTGCCAACTACCAGAGTCTGAACACCCATAATTTCTCTTTTGTTCTTTCAAGTAGAAATGGTGATCTATGAATACCGAGCTTAGTTCAGATTGCAACTCAACAACTGTGCAGGTGCCTTTTCTTTGAGACAACCATGGTACTTAGACATGCCTTATGAGTTCTTCCTGTTTCCTCGTGCAGAATCTTAAAAAGATGTTCATGTGCTCAAGGGTTAAAATTTAATAAAATTAAAAATGATTCTGCTTCATCAAAGTCATGCTTATATGAATGGCCACATTTTTCTACCACAAGTGGGTGGCCTTGAAGAATTCAATGACTACTAGTGCAGTTTGGTGCACTGCCTTGATTTGTGCTATGGTGCTGGCAGTTTTCCCATCAGCAGTGCAAATGTAAATACAGTGGAAAAGGCAAACGCTGTTTTATTGTTTTTATGAATATTGTTTTGACCTTGTAGATCTCCTGTAAGGGTGCTGGGAACTCAGAGAGGTCCACGAACTGCACTTTGAGAACTGCTGGGATACCCAGCCCTATGGCAAGCACATAATAAATGTTCAATCAACTGCAGCTAAGACCATATTCTGTTTGCCTTTCTAAGCATCATTTTTCTGTTTTTAAAAATAGGGTTAATGTTACTTCTCAGGGCGATTGTGGAAATTAAATGAAGCAAAGTACGTAAAATGCTACCATAGTGTTCAGTATATAATAAATGTGCTATGAAGATTCAGTATTATCATTAATATTAATATTACTAATAAGAAGTTATTTAAAAACTTTTCCTGCAGAGGAACAGCAGGGTTGCTTCATATTTCTACCGCTAGTGCTTGACTGGAGTCTCTTTCCTATGGAGACTTTTAAAGGCAGTGGTACCTCTTTTCCCTTTTAATCTTCATCCTTCAAGCCAAGGCTACTGCTGCTGCTGCTGCTGCTGCTGCTGCTTCTGGGGATTTGCTCCTGTGTACTCTGGGAAAAGGGCCCCAGCCAGGAATTCCCACTTGTTTGAGGACCACAGAAAGCTGCAGTCATTTTTTTTTTTCCCCAGCCTTCGTAATCTAGTCTAGACACTCTGAGGAGGTGAAGGATATAATTACAGCTTGAAACACTTCACATGCACCAGCAATGCAGCTCCTCCCGCACATGTGTGATTCAAGCCCCAAGAGGGCTGTGAAATCTGATGATTCACTTGTCTAGATAAGCTGGAAGTGAAACCCTAGCGGTCCAGGGTCCAGTTGCCTTTACCACATAACACCCTTTACTTGCAACCAGTTTCTCCATTCGGTTCAGTTGAATTCAAAGCAGCACATGGGCCTTGAGGTCTTACTGGAAGCGCGCCCTTTGTGTACCGCACTGCGTCAGCTACCGTGCTGGTTATTCACTCTTGGCTGCCCCAGTCTCATTTCTGCTTTTCTCTGGGCTGCTCAGAGGCCGACCTTCATAGATGGCATTTCCAGGCTCTTCTGCTTTCTGGCCTCCAGTTGGAGTCCATCTCTGGCAAGTGCTGGCAAGAAAGGGATTGGAGGGTCATAGGAGAAACAGGTTGGTGCCACCTGACTAATTGTATAGCTGGTCTGCTCTGGCTAAAACTTCTGTTGGGCCACCCCTCTTCCACTGTTACAGCAGGCTATAGCTCTCGTCACAATCTGGTAATAATATTTTCTCCCTTTGTCCCTTTCAGGGTGGTAAGAGCCTCTCACTCTGTGGCTAGTCCCTGGCAAGCCGCTACCTCTGTTGTTCCCTTGTGCTGCCTGCCCACACAGCTATAAATATGGCCTTTGTTACACCCTTTCCAGCTAACCCTTTCAGTGTGCCATCTGTTCCCTGGCTGGACCCTTCTGACACAGACAGAAAGCTGCCTTGAGAAACTTACGGTCTACTTAGACTAGTTATCCCAAGCACTAGTCAGATGCATACCATCTTCACAGTTGTTAAAGCTAAGAACCAGCTCTACCATTATTATACATTTAATACTTGTGCTTAACTTGCTTCACTTTTTAACCATACATTATTTAATTCAGATAAAAAAGAGGAAGGGGCCGGGCACGGCGGCTCATGCCTGTAATCCCAGCACTTTGGGAGGCCGAGGCGGGCGGATCACCTGAGGTCAGGAGTTTGAGACCAGCCTGAACAATGTGATGAAACCTTATCTCTACTAAAAGTACAAAAATTAGCTGGGTGTGGTAGCATACGCCTGTAATCCCAGCTACTCAGGAGGCTGAGACAGGAAAATCACTTGAATCTGGGAGGCAGAGGTTGCAGTGAGCCAAGATCGTGCCATTGCACTCCAGCCTGAGCAACAAGAGCAAAACTCCGTCTCAAAAGAAAAAGAAAAAGAAAAAAAAAAGAGAGCGAGGGAGGGAGAGAGAGAGAGAGACTTTTTATCACCAGATAAGCAGGAAATAAATATGCTTGCTGCTACGGTCTGAATGCTTGTGTCCTCCCAAAATTTGTATGTTGAAATCCCAACAGGTAAGGCCTTTGGGAGGTTATTAGGTCATGAGAGTGGAGCCCTCATGAGTAGGATGAGTGCCTTCATAAAAGACACCTCAAGTGTTAGGTTGTCTCTTCCACCCTATGAGGATGCAGTGAGAAGGTGCCATTCATGAAACAGGAGATGGGCCCTCCCCAGACAGTGAATCTGCCAGTGTCTTCATCTTGGATACCTCAGCCTCCAGAATGGTGGGAAATATATTTCTGTTGTCTATAAGCTACCTAGTTTATGATATTTTGTGATAGCAGCCCAAACAGACAAAGACATTTGCCAAAAATATAAGAAGAGGGTAACAACAAATCACATGAAAACAAAACAGTATTGCTAAACCCCAGCACAGCATCACTGTGGTTAAAGGGCACCTGCTCTGTATACGCTGTCTAGGTTTGAATCCTGGTTCTCTG
Source organism: Homo sapiens (assembly GCF_000001405.40). Classification (NCBI taxonomy): domain Eukaryota; kingdom Metazoa; phylum Chordata; class Mammalia; order Primates; family Hominidae; genus Homo; species Homo sapiens. The sequence continues at coordinate 27,232,667 of NC_000011.10, read as the reverse complement.
ACTTTCCAGCCAAGTGACCATGAGCAAGTCACATAATTCTTCTGTGCCTCAGGGTCTTTATCTTTAAACTGGGAATGAGTCTACTTCGTAGAGTTGTGAGGCTAAGTGAATTAATATGTGTAAATATATGTAAAGTGCTTATAACACTGCCAGGCACACAGAAAGCACTGTGTGAATTTAAGTATCTTTTTTTTTTTTTTTTTGAGACAGAGTCTTACTCTGTCACCCAGGCTGGAGTGCAGTGGCATGATCTTAGCTCACTGCAACCTCTGCCTCCCGAGTTCAAGCAATTCTCCTGCCTCAGCCTCCCGAGTAGCTGGGATTACAGGTGTGAGCCACCACACCAGGCTAATTTTTGTATTTTTAGTAGAGACGGGGTTTCACCATGTTGGCCAGTCTGGTCTCAAACTCCTGACCTCAGGCGATCTGCCCACCTTGGCCTCCCAAGTGCTGGGATTACAGGTGTGTGAACCACTGCACCCAGCCAAGTAACATTATTTTTTTATGATCATGATGACGATGGTGATGATGGAATTACCTGACTCAGGCTCTGAGCTGGAGGTTTATTAGCAAGAGGAGAAAGATACATCAGCTCCAGACTGAGGCTTTCTCCTGGTGTAATCAGTAGAGTTTGCAGAGAACTGAAAATAATAACTTCCTTACCACGTGGTTCGGTGTCATTTTTCTCTGTTATCATCCAAAATTATTGATATTCCACAAAAATTTGCCTCAGGTCCAACAGTGGAGCATGTCCTGCACTTTGGGAAATGCAGGGAAACAATGGTTATACTACAGCAAACAAACAACAAGCAAGGTGGAAGAGGCGGCACAGAGTAAAACCAGCGACAAACTCGGGGGTGGAGAGTGAGAAGGAAGCTGTTGGCCAGGTTTATCGGAGTCTGAGTTAGGGCTGGAAAATTGGCAGACAAAGGGGGTTCTTGGGGATTAGAGGAAATAGCTGTTTGAAGACGGTTGGGTGTGGGAGGGATGAGTTAACAATGGTAAGGTTAGGAAAGAACAACGTTCACAAAGAAATAACTCCCCCCAACAGAGAGACAGTAATGGCTTATGAAAAGCTGCCTAGAGAAGCAGTTCTCCAAGGGTGGTTCAGAGAGCTACCTCATGAAGACCTGGGAACCTGTTAGAAATGCAATTGTCAGGCTTTATCCCCAGACTTACTTAATCAGAGACTCTGGAGGAAGATTCCAGCAATCTGGAATTTGATAAACCCCCAGGTGATTCTTACGCATGTCAGAGTTTGAGAACCACTGGCCTAGAGGAGGTTGGGAGAATATCAACAGCAACTGAGCTTGAGATTTTGTCCACAATAACAGTAAGAGCCGTTTACTGAGTACTTTCTATGCACTGGCAATTGTGCTTATTATTTTACCTGCTCTAGCTTCTGCAATCCTCGCAACAATCCTGAGAGATACATTATTATGCCCATTTTACAACTGAGAAAATTGAGGCTTATGTTGAAGTTTAATAACCATTTGTTCCAAGGCAATGGAGCCTAGGGTAATGAGACAATTAGGTGGTGGAAAGAAAGGCAGAGGACAGACTGGAACAGACTGTTGGAAGATTGTCTACAGCAGCTTTGTCTGGTAGAACTTTCTTTTTTTACTTTTTTGAGACATAGTCTTGCTCTGTCACCCAGGCTGGAGTGCAGTGGCATGACCTCGGCTCACTGCCTTCTTCTCCTTCTGGGCTCAAGTGATCCTGTCACTACAGCCCTCCAAGTAGCTGGGACTACAGGGGTGCACCACCGTGCCTGGCTAATTTTTGTATTTCTGGTAGAGACGGGATTTCGCCATGTTGCCCAGGCTGGTCTCAAACTCCTGAGCTCAAGTGATCCGCCCACCTCAGCCTCCCCAAGTGCTGGGATTACAGGCATGAGCCACGGCACCCTGCCTGGTAGAACTTTCTATAGTGGTGGAAATGTCCTGTATCTATATGGTCTAATATGATGGCTACTAGCCGCATGCAGATAGTGAGTTGACTAGTGTGGCTAGTGTGATGGAGGAGCTGAATATTAAATTTTATTTAATTTTAATGAATTTAAGTGTAAATAGCCATACGCAGGGCAAGTCTAAATTCATAGAACAAGTAGGTTCAAGGGTAGGACTTCACCTTAGGTCTGTCTGACTCACGAGCTATGGTCTTTTCTACTATTGCTCCTAATGTAGAGCCATTCTTGTCCATTGTCTGAAAAGAACTGGGATCTCTTTCTGGCCAAGTCCCTATGAAATTACCTCATAGACCCAGAATGGCTCTCTGAGAACCCTCTTCCTTAGCTGATCAGTATGGTTGGAGGGAAGGCATAGAAAAAAGCCACAACAGGCTGCACTCAAAATGTTCCCTATGATATAAATGACAGCTGACTGGTGGCTTTCAGGGCAAAGAGAGTGCAGGTTGACCAGGTCCTTCCTTAGCCTTTACTGTGTTCCTGGTGCTCTTTGTGTCAATATTAAACATTGGATGGACCAGCCAGAGACCCCAGGAGATCCCCTGGAAAAGATTTTTCTAAGCTAAATGCCAGAACTTGAGCATGCTTTTTTATTTGCTTGATTCTCCATGGAGCTGATGGAACACTGAAAACTCCTGCTCCCAGGAATTCTTGGCCTGATCAGCCCTATAACTTCTTCAGATCCACCCCCTGCCTTTCTTTCCACCATCCAATGACCTCATTATTTTAGACAAGAGGTTGGCAAACTTTTTTCTGTAAAGAGCCAGATAGTAAATATTTTAGGCGTTATGAGCCATGTAAGGTCTCTGTTCCATATTCTGTGCATGAGGTTTTTTTTTTTAGACAACTAAAAATTTAAAAGCCATTCTTAATGCTCATGCAAGGTTTGGCTTACCAGCTGTGATTTGCTCCCATTCTAGGCTCTCTTGCCTTGGAAATAAATGTTTATGAAACTTCAAGAAGCACAAGGATCTTCTATGTGAGTTTGTAAACCCCAGATTCCTGTGCTCTCAGAAGATTGTGATTTCGTGGGTTTGGGCTAGGGTGTAGGAATGCATATTTTAACAAATAGTCTAAGTAACTGTTCTCATGCAAGTGGTCTGTAGTCTACCTTTTGAGAAATGCTATTACAGGTGGAAGGGCTCTTAGACTCCTTTAGTGACCAACCCCTGTATTTTACAGATTAGGGAATTGAGGTCCAGGGAAGGGAAGTAATTTGTCCCAAGAGTTATTGAGTTAAGGCCACAAAGTATCTGTAGGAAGATCCCACTGCCCAAGGCAGGGCAAGGAGATGGAGACAAACTGGATCATCTTTGATTTAGCCGAGGGAACAAACATCCCCTGAAGGTGGTCATACTGGTGCATTTTCAACAAAATTTCCATTATGACTTAAGCCAATTTGAGTCAGATTCTCTGTTGCTGGTATGTGAAAACACCCTAACTGATACAGACCCCTCTTGTTACCAGCCTTCTTTGATCCATCTCTTTTGAGAGAACTGTCTTTGAAGAAATACTCCCAAGGCATCATCCAAATGTTTAATCCTTTAAACGTCAAGGCCTTTGTAATGAATGGGGTAGGTTACACACACCTCCCTGCACCCGAAGGCAGAGTGTATAGAGTTGAAAGTGGGCCAGGCCTGGAATTGGGAAATTTGGCTTCTATTCTTGCTTCTATCATCATATATCTGTTTGAAATGGGCAAATTACCTAATTTCTCTGTGCCTAGCTTTCTCATTTGGAAAATGAAGGGGGTGGAAAAAGCCATTTTTAGGCCCTTTTGTCCTAGATATTATCATAGCTTTTTAATTGTTGACACTACTTTTCTTGATTTTCATAACTTATTCCTTGCCTGTTTCTCTCACTCTCTTTCTTTCCAGAAAATAAACACAAAAATAAATGACAGCATTGACTTTGGGCCAGTCTATTCTTTCCTGGCAGAAATTATACCCCTGAAGAGCTGATATATGTTTGCATTTGAATCAACATCCCTAAAAGGTTTCTCTAGGGAATGTGAACGTTTCCTTCCCGGTTTGGAGAATGCAGCTAATCGACACAACATAGCTTTGTGTCAGGTGGAAACACGTTTTTTTTTTCATTTGCTAAAAAATAATCAGGCTAGTCAGTTAAACTGCAACAACAATAAAAAAAAAATGCACTGGTGCCTTAATTTAGTGGTGCTGGTGGAATAAATTACCTGTGTCCGGCACTCCAGGGAGAGCAGCCACCATGTCTTGGCAGGTTTTCCTTTTCACTGAGGGAGGGAGGACATTACCTAATTTTGCCTTCAACATGTTGTGACAGGAGCCAGGGAGTCCTAGGTAGTTACAGCCCACATTCTTGTGAAATCATTCTGGTTTGGGTTTCAATAACGTTTGCTCTTTTTTCTTTTAAACCCGAATGCATTACATGTTCAAAGCATAAGCTTATAGCTTTACTCTAAGAAAATATAGTAAAGCAAAAAAACACACAAAGCAACACAAATCATCCTGTAAGTTCACAACTCAGAGATGACCACTTGTCGTTTTTTAATTGTTTTGTTTCAACAACTTCTTTTCTAATCGCCAAAGCAATATAGGCTCAATGCTCAAGCAAACACTGAAGAGGAAAATTAATCACAGCGAATCCTACAGCCAATGATAGTCACATGAAGTCTTTGAATAAATACCCCACCCCACTGTGGCCTCCCAGCTTGCTGCCTTTCCTCATGTTTTCATCGTTCCCATGCTCCAGGATTTCATGTTCTGTGAACTGGAGGCATTGGGCCCAGCAAAGAGGCACCAGTGTATTTGCTTTAGCGCTTTGGAAAGATGCCTCCCCAAGGGCTGGACCCCAGGGAGGGTCTGTGCGCAGGAAAACCAGCTCCACAGAAACATACAGCCACCACGACTCCCCCTGCCCCTCCCCTCATCAAAATTTAAACAGTGTGTCTGGAACTCTCCCAAAAAAAGTTTTTCAAATTGGTGTGGTTGCCAACTGTACTCACAGGCTGTAATATCACCTAAAACATTGTTGTTTGATTTGCACAGTTAGTTTCTGATGCTATAATGTCATCGATCACCTTTCTTCCCAAACCAGTCCTCTTTTCCTGGTATTTCTTTTATTTGCCAGGAACCCCATCATTCTCTCTAACTCCCAGGATCCACATTCTCTGGTCCCATCTTTTCTGCCTTGAAAAATGTCTGGATATTTTCTTACCAGGTGATAAAGAGTAGTGGAAGAAACATTCCATTGGCTTTGGAGTCAAAGTGACTTGGATTTAAATTCTACCTTTGCTGCTTACAAGCCTGTGAGCTTGGATGAATCAATTTACCTCATTGAACCTCAGTTTCAGCTTCTGTAAAAGATAATAGTAGACATTATGTGTTGAGTGTTTACTATGTGCATAATACTCTTCTTACTGCTTTATATATATTAACTTATTTAATCCTCACTACTACCTTATAGGTACCATTATTCTCATTTTACTTGACAAAGAAATTGGCCCAGCGAGATTAAGCCACTTACCCAGGTAACACAACTAAGTGACATTCAAACTCAGGTAATATGTTCCTAACCATGCCTCTGTTTGCCCCTCTGTTGAGGGAAGTATTTCCTCCGAAGGGTACAATAAAAGTTAAATGAGAATTTATGTGTAGTATCTATAGCAGAACCAACCCATTCATGCGCTTCACTTTTCTTTAAAAAAATTGTTAGAAATAGTTTTTTCTTTCTAAATTTTGTCATCCATCCTTGTCCCTCTTTTTTTTTTTTTTTTTTGAGAGAGGGTTTTCAAATGCTAATAGTCTATAAGTCTATACATCTTCAATGGCCAGGTCACAATAACACAACTGTATACTGATATGGTTTGGCTCTGTGTCCCCACCCAAATCTCATCTTGAATTGTCCTCCTGTAATTCCCACATGTTGTGGGAGGTACCTGGTAGGAGATAGTTGAATCATGGGGGCAGTTTCCCCCATACTGTTTTTTTGGTAGTGAATAAGTCTCACGAGATCCGATGGTTTTATAAGGAGTTTCTGCTTTTGCTTCTTTTTCATTTCTCTCTTGCCACTGCCACTTAAGAAGTGCCTTTTGCCCTCGCCATAGTTGTGAGGCCTTCCCAGCCATGAGGAACTGTGAGTGCATTAAACCTGTTTTTCTTCCCAGTCTCCTGTATGTCAGCAGTGCAAAAACAGACTAATACATATACTGTGCATTTACTATGTTTCAGGTACTGTGCTAAATATTTTAAGTGAATGATTTTTATGAATCCTCATGGTAGCCTTGTCAGTATGCACTGTAGTACCCTCATCCCGTGGAAGACATGCTTCTTCTTGGTGTGGTTAGGTCAACACTGCCAAGGTCAAGCAGGTGAGTGACAAAGCCAAGATTCAGACTGAGGTTGCTTCATTTCAGAGCCTGAACTCTTAATCACTTTTGCTAAAAAAATATCATTCTTTGTGGTGTAATGTCTTTCCCGGGGTGAGAGGTGAAGTTGGGCAGAAATAGATAAGATCCTCTTTGAGAGATTATCAAATGATCATCCAAAGAGGGGCATTGGTAAATACTGCTGTGGCATCTCGGGGAAGGGGCATCATTGCAGGACCTGGAGTCACTGAGATATCGGATGGAGCAAAGCATCGACCTGTGGGTGGATGCATTCACAGGGTCTTGACAATGTGGGTCCCCTAGCCTTGTGCTTGAATATACCTAGAGAGCTACCCTGATTAACAATGGGAAGGAGAAGACTTTCAGATATTTTCTTAGCACAGGTGACCAGAATGTGGGGATGGGATATAGGTGGTGGGATTAGGAAACAGAGGTAGAGGAGTGGGGTTTGGGATGCAAGGTTTTTTGTTTTTTAGTTACTGTAATATTTCCTGTGCCCAGTTTAAGGAGTTGAGGGGAAATAATTAAATGTATAGAGCCTCTACTATGTTTCTAGATGCTTTCTGTATGCATTATCTCTTTTGAGCTTTGTAACAATTTCTTTCTTTCTTTTTTTATTATACTTTAAGTTTTAGGGTACATGTGCACATTGTGCAGGTTAGTTACATATGTATACATGTGCCATGCTGGTGCGCTGCACCCACTAACTCGTCATCTAGCATTAGGTATATCTCCCAATGCTATCCCGCCCCCCTCCCCCACCCCACAACAGTCCCCAGAGTGTGATATTCCCCTTCCTGTGTCCATGTGATCTCATTGTTAAATTCCCACCTATGAGTGAGAACATGCGATGTTTGGTTTTTTGTTCTTGCGATAGTTTACTGAGAATGATGATTTCCAATTTCATCCATGGCCCTACAAAGGACATGAACTCATCATTTTTTATGGCTGCATAGTATTCCATGGTGTATATGTGCCACATTTTCTTAATCCAGTCTATCATTGTTGCACATTTGGGTTGGTTCCAAGTCTTTGCTATTGTGAATAATGCTGCAATAAACAGACGTGTGCATGTGTCTTTATAGCAGCATGATTTACAGTCCTTTGGGTATATACCCAGTAATGGGATGGCTGGGTCAAATGGTATTTCCAGTTGTAGATCCCTGAGGAATCACCACACTGACTTCCACAATGGTTGAACTAGTTTACAGTCCCACCAACAGTGTAAAAGTGTTCCTATTTCTCCACATCCTCTCCAGTACCTGTTGTTTCCTGACTTTTTAATGATTGCCGTTCTAACTGGTGTGAGATGGTAGCTCATTGTGGTTTTGATTTGCATTTCTCTGATGGCCAGTGATGATGAGCATTTTTTCATGTGTTTTTTGGCTGCATAAATGTCTTCTTTTGAGAAGTGTCTGTTCATGTCCTTCGCCCACTTTTCGATGGGGTTGTTTGTTTTTTTCTTGTAAATTTGTTTGAGTTCATTGTAGATTCTGGATATCAGCCCTTTGTCAGATAAGTAGGTTGTGAAAATTTTCTCCCATTTTGTAGGTTGCCTGTTCACTCTGATGGTAGTTTCTTTTGCTGTGCAGAAGCTCTTTAGTTTAATTAGATCCCATTTGTCAATTTTGGCTTTTGTTGCCATTGCTTTCGGTGTTTTAGACATGAAGTCCTTGCCCATACCTATGTCCTGAATGGTAATGCCTAGGTTTTCTTCTAGGGTTTTTATGGTTTTAGGTCTAATGTTTAAGTCTTTAATGCATCTTGAATTGATTTTTGTATAAGGTGTAAGGAAGGGATCCAGTTTCAGCTTTCTACAAATGGCTAGCCAGTTTTCCCAGCACCATTTATTAAATAGGGAATCCTTTCCCCATTGCTTGTTTTTCTCAGGTTTGTCAAAGATCAGATAGTTGTAGATATGTGGCGTTATTTCTGAGGGCTCTGTTCTGTTCCATTGATCTATATCTCTGTTTTGGTACTAGTACCATGCTGTTTTGGTTACTGTAGCCTTGTAGTATAGTTTGAAGTCAGGTAGTATGATGCCTCCAGCTTTGTTCTTTCGGCTTAGGATTGACTTGGCGATGCGGGCTCTTTTTTGGTTCCATATGCACTTTAAAGTAGTTTTTTCCAATTCTGTGAAGAAAGTCATTGGTAGCTTGATGGGGATGGCATTGAATCTGTAAATTACCTTGGGCAGTATGGCCATTTTCACGATATAGATTCTTCCTATCCATGAGCATGGAATGTTCTTCCATTTGTTTGTATCCTCTTTTATTTCCTTGAGCAGTGGTTTGTAGTTCTCCTTGAAGAGGTCCTTCACATCCCTTGTAAGTTGGATTCCTAGGTATTTTATTCTCTTTGAAACAATTGTGAATGGGAGTTCACTCATGATTTGGCTCTCTGTTTGTCTGTTGTTGGTGTATAAGAATGCTTGTGATTTTTGTACATTGATTTTGTATCCTGAGACTTTGCTGAAGTTGCTTATCAGCTTAAGGAGATTTTGGGCTGAGACAATGGGGTTTTCTAGGTATACAATCATGTCGTCTGCAAACAGGGACAATTTGACTTCCTCTTTTCCTAATTGAATACCCTTTATTTCCTTCTCCTGCCTAATTGCCCTGGCCAGAACTTCCAACACTATGTTGAATAGGAGTGGTGAGAGAGGGCATCCCTGTCTTGTGCCAGTTTTCAAAGGGAATGCTTCCAGTTTTTGCCCATTCGGTATGATATTGGCTGTGGGTTTGTCATAGATAGCTCTTATTATTTTGAAATACATCCCATCAATACCTAATTTACTGAGAGTTTTTAGCATGAAGGGTTGTTGAATTTTGTCAAAGGCTTTTTCTGCATCTATTGAGATAATCATGTGGTTTTTGTCTTTGGCTCTGTTTATATGCTGGATTACATTTATTGATTTGTGTATACTGAACCAGCCTTGCATCCCAGGGATGAAGCCCACTTGATCATGGTGGATAAGCTTTTTGATGTGCTGCTGGATTCATTTTGCCAGTATTTTATTGAGGATTTTTGCATCAATGTTCATCAAGGATATTGGTCTAAAATTCTCTTTTTTTGTTGTGTCTCTGCCTGGCTTTGGTATCAGAATGATGCTGGCCTCATAAAATGAGTTAGGGAGGATTCCCTCTTTTTCTGTTAAGTGTAATAGTTTCAGAAGGAATGGTACCAGTTCCTCCTTGTACCTCTGGTAGAATTCAGCTGTGAGTCCGTCTGGTCCTGGACTCTTTTTGGTTGGTAAGCTATTGATTATTGCCACAATTTCAGCTCCCGTTATTGGTCTATTCAGAGATTCAACTTCTTCCTGGTTTAGTCTTGGGAGAGTGTATGTGTCGAGGAATTTATCCATTTCTTCTAGATTTTCTAGTTTATTTGCGTAGAGGTGTTTGTAGTATTCTCTGATGGTAGTTTGTATTTCTGTGGGATCGGTGGTGATATCCCCTTTATCATTTTTTATTGCGTCTATTTGATTCTTCTCTCTTTTTTTCTTTATTAGTCTTGCTAGCGGTCTATCAATTTTGTTGATCCTTTCAAAAAACCATCTCCTGGATTCATTAATTTTTTGAAGGGTTTTTTGTGTCTGTATTTCCTTCAGTTCTGCTCTGATTTTAGTTATTTCTTGCCTTCTGCTAGCTTTTGAATGTGTTTGCTCTTGCTTTTCTAGTTCTTTTAATTGTGATGTTAGGGTGTCAATTTTAGATCTTTCCTGCTTTCTCTTGTGGGCACTTAGTGCTATAAATTTCCCTCTACACACTGCTTTGAATGCATCCCAGAGATTCTGGTATGTTGTGTCTTTGTTCTCGTTGGTTTCAAAGAACATCTTTATTTCTGCCTTGATTTTGTTATGCACCCAGTAGTCATTCAGGAGCAGGTTGTTCAGTTTCCATGTAGTTGAGCGGTTTTGAGTGAGATTCTTAATCCTGAGTTCTAGTTTGATTGCACTGTGGTCTGAGAGATAGTTTGTTATAATTTCTGTTCTTTTACATTTGCTGAGGAGAGCTTTACTTCCCAGTATGTGGTCAATTTTGGAATAGGTGTGGTGTGGTGCTGAAAAAAATGTATATTCTGTTGATTTGGGGTGGAGAGTTCTGTAGATGTCTATGAGGTCCGCTTGGTGCAGAGCTGAGTTCAATTCCTGGGTATCCTTGTTGACTTTCTGTCTCGTTGATCTGTCTAATGTTGACAGTGGGGTGTTAAAGTCTCCCATTATTAATGTGTGGGAGTCTAAGTCTCTTTGTAGGTCTCTCAGGACTTGCTTTATGAATCTTGGTGCTCCTGTATTGGGTGCGTATATATTTAGGATAGTTAGCTCTTCTTGTTGAATTGATCCCTTTACCATTATGTAATGGCCTTCTTTGTCTCTTTTGATCTTTGTTGGTTTAAAGTCTGTTTTATCAGAGACTAGGATTGCAACCCCTGCCTTTTTTTGTTTTCCATTGGCTTGGTAGATCTTCCTCCATCCTTTTATTTTGAGCCTATGTGTGTCTCTGCACGTGAGATGGGTTTCCTGAATACAGCACACTGATGGGTCTTGACTCTTTATCCAATTTGCCAGTCTGTGTCTTTTAATTGGAGCATTTAGCCCATTTACATTTAAAGTTAATATTGTTATGTGTGAATTTGATCCCGTCATTATGATGTTAGCTGGTTATTTTGCTCGTTGGTTGATGCAGTTTCTTCCTAGTCTTGATGGTCTTTACATTTTGGCATGATTTTGCAGCGGCTGGTACCGGTTGTTCCTTTCCATGTTTAGTGCTTCCTTCAGGAGCTCTTGTAAGGCAGGCCTGGTGGTGACAAAATCTCTCAGCATTTGCTTGTCTGTAAAGTATTTTATTTCTCCTTCACTTTTGAAGCTTAGTTTGGCTGGATATGAAATTCTGGGTTGAAAATTCTTTTCTTTAAGAATGTTGAATATTTGCCCCCACTCTCTTCTGGCTTGTAGGGTTTCTGCCGAGAGATCCGCTGTTAGTCTGATGGGCTTCCCTTTGAGGGTAACCCAACCTTTCTCTCTGGCTACCCTTAACATTTTTTCCTTCATTTCAACTTTGGTGAATCTGACAATTATATGTCTTGGAGTTGCTCTTCTCGAGGAGTATCTTTGTGGCGTTCTCTGTATTTCCTGAATCTGAACGTTGGCCTGCCTTGCTAGATTGGGGAAGTTCTCCTGGATAATATCCTGCAGAGTGTTTTCCAACTTGGTTCCATTCTCCCCATCACTTTCAGTTACACCAATCAGATGTAGATTTGGTCTTTTCACATAGTCCCATATTTCTTGGAGGCTTTGCTTATTTCTTTTTATTCTTTTTTCTCTAAACTTCCCTTCTCGCTTCATTTCATTCATTTCATCTTCCATTGCTGATACCCTTACTTCCAGTTGATCGCATTGGCTCCTGAGGCTTCTGCATTCTTCACGTAGTTCTCGAGCCTTGGTTTTCAGCTCCATCAGCTCCTTTAAGCACTTCTCTGTATTGGTTATTCTAGTTATACATTCTTCTAAATTTTTTTCAAAGTTTTCAACTTCTTTGCCTTTGGTTTGAATGTCCTCCCGTAGCTCAGAGTAATTTGATCATCTGAAGCCATCTTCTCTCAGCTCGTCAAAGTCATTCTCCATCCAGCTTTGTTCCGTTGCTGGTGAGGAACTGCGTTCCTTTGGAGGAGGAGAGGCGCTCTGCTTTTTAGAGTTTCCAGTTTTTCTGTTCTGTTTTTTCGCCATCTTTGTGGTTTTATCTACTTTTGGTCTTTGATGATGGTGATGTACTGATGGGTTTTTGGTGTGGATGTCCTTTCTGTTTGTTAGTTTTCCTTCTAACAGAGAGGACTCTCAGCTGCAGGTCTGTTGGAGTACCCTGCCGTGCGAGGTGTCAGTGTGCACCTGCTGGGGGGTGCCTCCCAGTTAGGCTGCTTGGGGGTCAGGGGTCAGGGACCCACTTGAGGAGGCAGTCTGCCCGTTCTCAGATCTCCAGCTGCGTGCTGGGAGAACCACTGCTCTCTTTAAAGCTGTCAGACAGGGACATTTAAGTCTGCAGAGGTTACTGCTGTCTTTTTGTTTGGCTGTGCCCTGCCCCCAGAGGTGGAGCCTACAGAGGCAGGCAGGCCTCCTTGAGTTGTGGTGGGCTCCACCCAGTTCGAGCTTCCCCGCTGCTTTGTTTACCTAATCAAGCCTGGGCAATGGCGGGCGCCCCTCCCCCAGCCTCGCTGCCGCCTTGCAGTTTGATCTCAGACTGCTGTGCTAGCAATCAGCGAGACTCCGTGGGCGTAGGACCCTCCGAGCCAGGTGCGGGATATAATCTCGTGGTGCGACGCTTTTTAAGCCCTTCAGAAAAGCGCAGTGTTCGGGTGGGAGTGACCCGATTTTCCAGGTGCCGCCCGTCACCCCTTTCTTTGACTCAGAAAGGGAACTCCCTGACCCCTTGCGCTTCCCAAGTGAGGCAATGCCTCGCCCTGCTTCGGCTCGCGCACGGTGCGCGCACCCGCTGACCTGCACCCACTGTCTGGCACTCCTTAGTGAGATGAACCCGGTACCTCAGATGGAAATGCAGAAATCACCCGTCTTCTGCGTCGCTCACGCTGGGAGCTGTAGACCGGAGCTGTTCCTATTCGGCCATCTTGGCTCCTCCTGTAACAATTTCTTGAGGTAGGTAGTGCTAGGACTAGCTCCATTTTTGTAGATGGGAAAACTAAGGCTGAGAAAGCATAGGTTATTTGTTTAGGGTCTTGAAGAAATAAAATGGCTGAGCTGAAGTTTGAAATCAGATCCTTGTGGCCCCAAATTCCCTTGGGGCCCAGGAATAAAATGATACCACTATGATTGAAAGCCAACAAACCTATACCAATGATGTATTGATAAGGTGCTGTTTCGCTGAGAAAAAACTTAGTGACCAGTGCAATCAAAAACACACAGTAAAGGGACAAGACTGGTCCTCTTGTGGGTAAGAAATAGGATTCTTGACATGTCTACACTGTTTGTGAAAGTGAGTATATTTGTGATTTTGTTCCAGAAATTACTAGGGTTTTTTTTTTTTTAACTGATAGAACAGAGAAGGTTCTGAATAAATGCTAGCAACTGTTTTTGGGGAGCAAAGTACAGGTAGTGTGATGTGGTGACCTTGGTTGTAGTTATTACCAGTGGAGGGTGTCCAGGTTCTTGGCATCTTGGACAAAGAATTGGACAAAACACACAAAGCAAGGAAAGAATAAAGGAACCAAAGCAGAGATTTATTGAAAATGAAAGCACGCTCCACAGGGTGGGAGCGGGCCAAGCACAGGGGCTCAAGACCCCTGTTACAGAATTTTCTGGGGTTTAAATATGCACTAGAGGTTTCCATTGGTTACTTGGTTACACCCTATGTAGATGAAGAGGAAGAAGCAAAGTTACAAAGAAGTTACAAAGTCATTTACTCAGTGTATGCCCTGTGTAAATGGAGAGGGTATTTCCTGTCATAGCTGAAGTGTTTCCATTTGATTTAGTTCTAGGAAGTCAGCATGAATCGGCTTTATGTTCCCTGCCTCCAGACCCTATTCTCCTGCCTCACAGGGAGTGACCTCACAGAAAGGCATTTTTTTTTTTTAATTGGAAGTTTCTTTCAAACTCTGCCTGCTTTTAGATGGCTCCTCTTAGAACTATGCATCTCTCCTGATACTTGGATGCTTTTCCTCTGACTGGTGAGACCTCCATCTCTGATCCCATCTGCAGTCATTTGGGTGCAGTTCAACTCACAGGATTAGAAAAATCTGTGGCCGGACCAGTGAGATCTGGCCTGGAGTGCTGGTCAGTGACTTCTGTGACTGACCATCCCCTTGGGACGGACAGACCCTGGGTCTCTTCACCCTCCCCTCTCTTTTCCTGGAGAAGCCAGCTCTTTCAGGTTGGGCTGCTTCCTAGAATTTCTTGGTTTACTTAGTTCCAAGTGAGGTGGGAGGTGGAAAAGGGGGCAGCTTCCAAGTTCTCCTGGGGAGAGCAAACTCAGGGCCATATCATCATTTCACCACAGACAACCACTCACGGAATTTTTCCTGATGTCTGTGTGGTTCTCAAGTTTCCCAACCTGTTCACCCTGAACACTTGGAGTTGGCTTCTGAGCTCAGAGAAAATACTCACTGTTGCCAGGCCACCAGTTTAGCCTTGGGGAGTGATGATTAAATAAATAAGGGGACCCCTCCCCCAATCTTGTTAGTTTACTTCACAGATAGGACTTTCCACTAATGCTGCCCAGAAAGCCCACAGAAAGGACTGTGGGCAGTGGCTGCTGTGGCTGTGCATGGCAGCTGGGGACTCCTTATCCTGACCCATTTAAGTCACACTATGATTGATGATCAGAATGGAAGAAAAACAACTGCAGATGGATAGTCAGTGGGGCAACCAAAAACCAACACAGCCTATTCCTGGTGTCTGCCCTTGCCTGACGTTGAGGGGGCACTTGAAGTAGTACAGTGATTAAAAGCATGGGTTATGGAGTCAGAAAAATCTGGGTTCAAACCCCAAGAGCAGCACTTAATGATTGGGAGACTTTGAGTAGCTTTGTATCATTCTTCTGAGCCTTAGATCCTTGAGGGTGGTGGGGATAATAATACCTTCCTCTTAGTGTTGTTCTGAGGATTAAATGAGATAATACAGGGGCAAGTACTTACAGCAGAGCCTGGCAAATAAGCAGTGCTCCATCATTTGCAGCTCCATCACAGCTATTTGTTGGCTGTGATGATTTTGCGATTATGTGAAATACTCAGCACAGTATCTGGCACAGAGGAAATAATAAATGGTAGCTGTTTCATAGGATTATGGAATGTCAGGGTTGGAAGGAATCTTGTCGAAGCCAAATTACTTTTATCTTCTCCTTTTACAGATGAAGATCCTGAATACCAAAGAGGGCCGCTGACAGGTCTAGGAGTACACTTCTAGCACCTAGCAGAGAGAGGCTTCACTACATCATGCTTCCTGACATCTCTCCCTTTGAAGAGCAGTCAGACTCCTGCTTTGCTCTTCAGACTTAATTTGGGGGTTTAACAGGTGAGGTTGCTGGGGGAACTCTTTTACAACATCTCTCTGAAAGAATCCGGGCTGCCAGTTTCATTTGGTTTGGGTGTCAGTAGCATGATGGAAAGACAAAAAAACACAACTTGACATCTGCAGAAATGGGTTCAAATTTTACCTGCAACTCACCAATTCTGTGGCCTTGGTTCAGCAATTAAACTCCCTAAAATTCAGTTTTTTCTTTGTAAAATGGGGTTATGAACAGTACCTACTTCAAAATGTGTTTGTGAAGATTAAAAAAGTTAACATAAAGAGTTTAGAAGAGTGTCTGGCATATTGTGCTCAATAAGTGTTTATTTATTTATTGCTGAATAAACCAGTAATTTAATTAGTATTAATAATTAGTTATTACTAATTAAACTAGTATAATGTAGTAATAAATTATTACTAAAGATCAGGTTGCAAAGACTTAGTGCTTAGGAACTCATTTCCTGCCTCCAGCCAATTTTGTGCCTCAGTGACAGTGTTGGTGGCCTTGGTCACAAGACAAGGGGGAGGCAGAGCTGCCTGCAGGTAGAGGGTTAACACAGGAGCTACCAGAATCCACGGGACAGCAGGGGATTGGTTTGGAATCCTGGTGTGGATTTGGGGTACAGATCCGGAAGCCTGGACTTTCTCTGTGGCTGATGGCCTTGAGAGACACATGTTACATCATTCTTGTTATTTATTTTTTTGTCACTGGAGCAAAGCAGAGGCTTTTCTTGGTTCAATCAGGAGTCATGAGCAAGGACAAGTAGAGAAGCTGAGCAGCTGTCGGGAGAATTCAGGCTGGAGTGGGCTCAGTGCCCAGGCCTTGCAGCCTGAGCTAGGGAGGAACACGTTGAAATGTGACATCTGCTGCCCAAGCTCCCCCTGACGCCCACCCCCTTCCTTGTCCAGCTGCTCAGGAGAAGGGAGGAAGCTAGCATTTTCCCATTGCCATTGTGTACCTGACAAGTTCATTAATCTTAGCTTATCTTATCCTCATGACCTCTCAAGCTGGTTATCATTTCTTTTTTATGGAAAAGGAAAAGGAAGAGGAAGAGGAGATTCAGAAGTGCCCAAGGGCACACATGGGGGCAGAGCCAGCATGCAAGCCCAGAGTCTTGGACTCTAAAACCCATGTTCCTTTCACGGCACTTGATAGTTCTTGTGGACCCAGCCAAGATATCACTGGCAGCATCTGGTTTATCATGAATCTGTGCAGTGTATGGCCAGAGGAGACAGAAATAAACCTAGAGGCAGGTGGCTCCTGGCATTAATGGCCTGAAGAAAAGAGAAGCCCAGGCCCAAGACTCCTTCCTAGTTTGCATATCCTTCCCTCCCCCGCTACCTCCCCACTTCACCTTCCTGCCCCTAATGCCCTGGACCAATCCTTGACCTGGAGAGGGCAGCTTGTCCTGGTGCCAGCCCAGCATGCTCAGGCCTAACAACAATAGCTGGAAGGGCCTCTTGGAGCAAGTACTTCCTGAAGTGCCCAGAACAGCCACTGTCCTTGCGGCTCAGGAACAATCACAGCTCACGCCAGCTTCCGTGCTCCATTTCAGAGCCTCCAGCACTCTCAGTGGAGCCCCTGGGCCTGCTGTTGCAGGTTCCAAGCTTCAGGAGAGACAGGTAGACAAGGAGTCCAGGAGGCTACCCCTCAGACTGCTCAAATGCCTGTGGTTTAGGAGGACCTCAAGTTTTTTGTTTTTTTTTTTTTCTTAAAGTAAAGTTGGAAGAAAAATCTGGATAGTCGTTGTCCTTTACCCTTCCTGTAAACCAGTGGCCTCCTCCTTCATCTTTGTTCTTCTGTCATCTTTCTTTGGGCTTTGAAAACAAAGAGGGAGAAAAAGAAAACCACAAGTAAAAATTTAATTCTGGAATAACATTATACGCTTGACTCTTCATTCAGCAACACTGAATGAGGCCTGCTATGTGTAACCACTTTGGGGTACAAAAAAACTATTCAAATTTATTCACTTATTTATAAATGTATCTGGTCATTTCACAGTAATGATAGAGCCCCCGCCAAGCTGCAGGCATTGTAGATATAGAAATGCCTGGGTAGCTTGGACCCTGTCCTGTGCAGCTTCAAGTCAAGGGTGGGAGGTGGACAGAGAACCTGTAGTTGAAATACCCAGTTTATGTGCTGAGTGCTGGGAAGGGGAAGCACAGGGTGATGGGGTAGCACACACAGAAGGGGCAGCTGACCCTGACCAAGAATCCTGGAGGATGGATAGGAGGGAGCCCAAGGGAAAGTGAGGTTAGGTGGAGTAGGCGAATGCATAGGAAGAGACATTGACATTTGAGAAGGCTGGAGGTGAAAAACAATGCATATTTTGCATTAAATATAAAGGAGGTTCATGTGGCTGGATTGCGAAAGGAACAATAATCTCTAGTTGTTAGGAGTCCAAGCTCTGGATCCAGTCGGCCTGGGTTAGAATCTTTGTTGGGCCGCTTATTACTGTGTGTCCTTGGTGAAGCTATTAATGCTTCTGCAACTCAGTTCTCTTATCTGAAAAATGGAGAGGATGAAAATAATAGTACCTACTTCATAGGTTGCGGCAAAAATGAAAATGAGCAAATATGCATGAAGTACTAGAACCATAGCTGGCATGCAGTAAGTAAGGGCTTTAGAAGCGTCACCTATGATTAGGTGAGGAGTAGGGGACAGGAGGCTTGGACAAGCAAGGAAGTTAGTTCCATACACCTGTAATGCCTGTGGGCCAGGCATTAGCAAACCAAGCAGAATCAGAAAGACCCAGCTGCTGACTGCAGGGAACTTGCAGTATTGACTTGTTAAAAACTTGGACCTTGGAATCAGAGAGACCTGCCTTCCAACCTGTCTCATCTGTGTAGTCATAGGCAGATTATTTGCTGTCTTTGAGCCTTCTTTTCATCGGTAAAATGGGCATAATGATAGTATATTCTTTATAGAGTTGGGGTGAGGATTGGTGAGACCATATGTGTGTGTGTGTGTGTGTGTGTGTGTAGTCTCTCTGTATATAAAAACACATATAATGTGAATATATATATGTGTATATATAAAATAGTGCTAGCAAAATAGTAGCTATTATGCCAATCAGGGTAGGAGATGACAGGGAAATAACCATAATACAGGGAGAATATTTTATAATAATCAGGATGGTGACGCCCTTAGACACGGTGGCTACAGGCTCTCAGTGGTTTCCCATAGCTCTAAAATAAAGATGTACTTAGCTCACTGGCTTCATCTATCTTCATTTTCTCTGCTCTCTCTACTTCATCTACCCCGCTTTGTACTACACTGCCTAGACGTTCCTGCTCCCCAGACCTACAGATTCCAGGTGAAACATCATTCACTAGCAGAAGCTTTTCTTGAACCCCAGATGGGGTCAAGTTTATGTCCCCCACTAGATACTCTCACAGTATCCTTTATTTTGATTAGTGTCTGTTGTCCATCTAGACTATAAGCTTCATAAAGTCAGGGGTCATATCTTTTTTACTTATTATTGTCTCTCCATCAATTATTATGGTCCCCATATTAAGAAACCAATAAATATTTACTAAATACGTAAACACAAATGCAGCCAAGATCGAACTTTTATAAAGGGAGAAGCTGGAACCTGCTCCACTTCCACTCAGAGAACACAATTTTCCAGGGCCCTCTGCAGATTCCAAGACCCCATTTCTTTGCCTGAACAGCAGTGTAACTGATATGTCACACTGTAATGAACCAGAGGGCTGATTAAGAGCTTATGTAAATGTTGGGACTTTTGGCAGCATTCATTTCCCTCTGATTTTGGCATGACTCAAAGCATGGGAATTTTTCAAAAGAGAGAGCTTTCAGAAAATACCCACACCCAACGGTGGAAACCTTAGAAGAACACAGTGCAGAGGAACGTTCCTCAGCGAGGGATTAAGGGACTCTCAGCAGGTTTTCAAAGGCATATGGAGACAAGATGTCAGTGTGAGCTTGTTTCTCTGACAGAATCTGAAACGCTTTTAACCAGCAAGTTACCAAGAGGCTTTTAAGTGAAGAGGCTAATGTTGTAGGTTTATAAATAAATGGATGTTTGTGGTGACTTCTTTGTGGTTCATGTGACAGGGAGAACATCAGGGAGGGGAGATTATGTCTTGTATTAACAGGTAAATTGCTTTTTCTGCCTCTTGGTTAAGTGAGCAGGAGGACAGAGTGCCCTGGGTAAGGAATTGGGAGACCCCCCTTTTCTTTTCAACTGATCCTGGCTTTCCCTGTGATAAGCAGTGTGACCATGGACAAGATATTAACCGTCCTCTGCCTCAGTTTCCTCATCTGCCCAATGAAATTTATAATGCCTTGTCAAATTTTTATAAAATTAACTTGTAATACTGGTAGCTAAAACTTACTGAGCACTTAATATATGTCAGCCCCATATGAACTCGGTCAATCTTCACAACCACCCGTGAGATAGGTTACTACTATTGCCCCTACTTTACAGAAGAGAAAACTGAGGCACAGACACTCTAAATACCTTGTCCAATGTCACAAAGCTGGTAAGTAGTGGCACTGGGATTTGAACCTAGGCTACCTGGCTCTGGAACCAGATTTAATGACTGTGCTCTATGCTACTGCCTTTCTAAGTAGAGAGGGCCTTCTTAAAGGCCTTAAGAAGAATAAAGCCCGCTGGCTGGTTGGCTGGGCAGGATCTCAACAGAAAGTCTGCAGAGGAAAGGAGAAGACAGAGTGTCTACCAAGGGGAGATGTTATGGGTAATCATCTCTAGAAGGGGAGTTTTACCTTTTTATGGCTAGTATGGGAGAATGAGAGTTCTTAGACCTTGGGCTTGGAGACAGATATGGGCTTGAATCCATGTTTGGTCACTTAATATGTAACTTTTGGGGTAAATTACTAATCTGATCTGAGTTTCACAGCTCACCTTAAAGACAGAGCTATCAAGGTTACAGGATGTTGTGTGGATTATGTGAGAACATGTCAGGCATATGGTGCTCAACGAGTTTCTCCCTTCCCCTTTTTAACATGGTCCCCCCAAAATGAATTTATCTGGTGTCAATCACACTTTGAAACTGGTTTGGGATATGTTTATTCTCTGGGCTGCATTTTACATTGATAGTGTTTTTTCGGGTCAGGGTAATTGATAGGTTTTTGGGGTTCACTCCCACACTCACATTTGCCTACCAATGGGCAATTTTCTTGTCCTTTGGTGTGAGGCACATAGCCATTTCAGAGGAGGTTTTAGCCTTGTTGAGGATAAGGTCTCAGCCCCATCCCAGTGATGAACTGGAAATGGACAGGAAACATAAGGACACTGGATTCCATACACTTTTCCTGGGTACCATTTCTGTGCTGGACCCAGGGGTGTTGGTTGTTCAACCAGGAAGCCAGCTGGCTAGTTGGCTGTGGTCTCAGCTGAGAGGAACTTGAAGACATGACGAGAACTTCCTATCAAGGAAGTGGGGAGCCAGGAGAGTCAGCAGACAAACCCATGCCAGAGTCTATGAGGGCTGCTTGGACTCATACTCCAGAGAGTCCAGAGGCAAAGTCCAGTAAGGTCGGGAGAGATGGGGATTACACATAAAATCTTAAAAGCTGGATTGCATCTGGAAAAGGCCACAGTGCAAGTTCTGGATACGTCCAGGTAAATAGGTACAATCTGGATTTAAGGAAAAGAGCGTACATTGTGTGTGCGAGTGCCAGGTGATTTCAAATTAGGTGTCATATTAGGCATTGAAAGATAGCCAGATAAATCCTAGCATTCCCTGGCAACACCACAAGGGGGCAGACATTCAGGTGGGAGGGTTATGTTATAACAGGAAGAAACATTGATTTTGGTTCTTAGTCCCTTCTTAGCTCGTAATAATAGCAGTTGCATGTATTGAACACTTACTATGGGTCACAGACTGTGAGCATGCAATCTCCTTTAATCTCCGCAGCAAACGTATAATATTAAGACCTATTTTTCCATCTTTTTTTTTTCTTTCTTTGAGACAAGGTCTCACTCTGTTGAACAGGCTGAATGCAGTAGTGCGATCATAGCTCACTATAGCCTCGAACTCCTAGGCTCAAGTGATCCTCTTGCCTCAGCCTCCTCAGTATCTGGGACTACAGGAACATGCCAACACATCTGACTAACTTTTAGTTTTTTCAGTAGAGATGAGGTTTCACTACGTTACCTGTGCTGATCTGAAACTCCTGGGCTTAAGTGATCCCCTGCCTGGGCTTCCCAAAGTGTTGGGATTATAGGTTTGAGCCACTGTGGCCAGCCAGATTCTCTTTTATTGGACAGGAAACTATAAGCCTTGGTCCATATCCACAAGGTATTGATGTTGCCGTGACCACAGAATGATAGAATATCAGAAACATCCCTCTGATCAGTCCTGTCCTCATCTTCTCTACCAAGTCTAGGCCAAGTCTGGGGGCCTGAAGGCCAGTTTTGGGATTTGCTCCGTTGTAGAAGGCTGTAGAAGGTGGCCCATCTACTCACTCACTCGCTATATGTTAGTTGAGGTGCCCACTATGTGTCAGAGAATGTTCTTGACATAGGTGACGAGATAGACCCTGCTCTTACAGACCTTGCAGTCACAGGAGTGACCAAATTACCAGTGTGATAAACTCTTTTGTTAAGGAAGGTAGCAGGTGTTATAGGGACTCATAAACGGAGCACCACTTAAATAAATAAGAGGAGACTTCCTGAAAGAAGTAACAACTAAACTACATACACGGAGTCAAGCTCTGCATGAAAGGTGCCATCAAGGCTTAACATTCAAAGGGCATGGTCATATTCACTGTATACACTGGCATGGAGCAGAAATTTAAAACAAAAATGAAAAAGTATAATTAAAAACCTAGGCTTAAAATTAAAAAAAAAAATATATATATATATAAAAAACAGAACCCTTGTCTGCCATCTCTCTCACCCTCAGCACTGTGCAAACCCATCTGGGTACTGTTCAGTTCTTTGAATGCTGCTTGACACGGACAAACAAGAGGGCATTAAAAGGGGAGGTCACAGCTGGGCGCGGTGGCTCATGCCTGTAATCCCAGCACTTTGGGAGGCCAAGGCGTGTGGATCACATGAGGTCAGGAGTTCGAGACCAGCCTGACCAACATGGCAAAACCCTGTCTCTACTAAAAATACAAAAATTAGCCGGGCCTGGTGGTGGGTGCTTTTAATCCCAGCTACTTGGGAGGCTGAGGCAGGAGAATCACTTGAACCTGGGAGGTAGAGGTTGCAGTGAGCTGAGATCACGCCACTGCATTCCAGCCTGGTCGACAAGAGCAAAACTCAATCTCATTAAAAAAAAAAAAAAAAAGGAGTTCACCAAGAAGTGGAGAGATTTGAAGCATTATAATGCAAGAAATTGGTTGCATTTTGAAGGGTACACAGTGAGGTAGAGGCATAGCAAGGGGAAGCCTCACTTCTTGTCTGGGCTACAGTAGCCCTCCATCTTCCTCCTCTTTACACACACTCCAGATGAAATACCCTATATGATGACTCAGAGTCATTAATAACATGACCACTTGTGCAGCCCAAAGATTAGACAGCCAAAGCCAAGAGTCTGTTGTGTTGAAGTGGCTCTGGGTGGGAAGCATTCTCCCCAGAGACTGGGGCAGGGTATGACTTGCCAGGGGAGGGTTTGCAGAATGTTTAGACTGTGACTCATGAAGGTCTTAGATGAATAAATAGCTCTCTTTCTGCTGTGACTGTTGACAGGGCTGGTGACAGCTTACCTTTGCAGTTGCCAAGGAGAATCTCACTCTGATTTTTGACAAGTTCAATTTTCCTAACCAGCTGGGGTCTCCAGAATGGCCACCATGAATAAAGGCCTGGCCAAATATAAAGGGCAATGAAGCAATAGGTAATATTTGGAGGTATGAAATCTGAAGTGCAAACATCTCCTCCCAGCCAAGGAAGAGTCATCATTGGGAAGGGAAGATTAAAGGAAGAAAGTTTTCTGCTTTCTGGATTGGGAAAACAATATCTTGCATCTTTGTGTGGCTAGTTGGCCATTTTATTAATAGTCTTAGAGCTTCATAATCCTGGTGAGAAGAAAGATAGTCCTCTTTCTGGAAACATCTATATAATTTAAAATCTATTTGGCTATAAGTAATAAAACCCTGACGGATAGTGGCCCACACCATATCACTTTGATTATCTCACATAATAGGAAGTCTGGAGATAAGTAGTCTAAAGTGAGAACAGCAGTTCCACAGTATTATTGAGTTGACGGGCACTTTTTCATCTCTATATTTATGTAGGTCATTGATTCTTCTGCCTGTTTCTCATGGTTTCAAGATGGCTGCCGTGTCTCCAGATATTACAACAGTATTCAAAAGTAGACAGGTGACAAGGAGTGGGAGTGTGGAGTGGCAAAAGATCCTTTTCTTGGAATGACTATGTCATTTTATCAGTGAGGAAACAAAAGTATCCCAGAAGCCCTCCCAGCTGATTCACTCTTATACCTAAATGACCACAATATTATTGACCAGAACTGGGTCCCATGACTGCCCTTAGATGCAAGGGAGCCTGGAAAAGTGAGTGTCTGGCAAATGTTAATGAAATAGTCATGACTGACTTAGGTCAATCACGATTTAACCCCCACCAACCCAGGGCTGGCACTTTTCTGTCTTGAATAAAGCTAATGTTTTGTTGGTAAGGAAGAAGGTTGTTGGGGATGGGGCCTGTTTCTACCGCATGCCTTTGGAAAGCTAGTCCAACATTATAGTATGATAATACATCATTAGTACAAAATAAAAAACTAGAAATAGAGGTGTGAATTTGCAGGATTTTCAAGGCATGAAGGTCTTTGAGAGTGTGATGGACCCCAAAGACTGTCAGTATGTGCTAATAGAAGATTGCAGAGAAAAATAACAAGTCACTTAACACACCCATTGTCGTACTCACCCTTTAAGGCCCAAGCCAACTTTGCCTGCTTGTGAATCTTCCCATCCCTTGCAGGTAGAGCTAGCCCGTCCCTCCTCCTTGCTCCCATTGCACTTTTCACATACCTTGATTATACGAATCACCAGCTTGAATTCAGAATCAACAGGTATTTATTGTGTTCCTATTCTGTCCTGGCCCCATGCTTGGTATCTCTCTATGTCAGTTTAGAGTAGACCTTCCATGGCTTCCCCTTGTAATGAGGTAATGGACATTCAGGGATAGTAAACTCAAGTGAATTTTAAACTTAGCTCGTAAGGCCCTTTGTAGCCACTCTGGTTTACTTCTCTTATCTCAACTATCCTGACCACCATCTCTTTAAAACCTGTGTTTCATCCATTCTCTTGACTCATGGAAGCTATCCATTTCTTCTCTCCCTGCTATTCCTTCTACAAAAAAACAATATTCTTTTCTTCTATGCTTGGTCAGTTTTCACTTATCTTTCACACCTTATTTTAGATGTCATTTCCTGGAAATGAGCTAGGTAGGACTGAGCTAGGTAGCCTTTGTCTGTGATCTGTCTTGCCATCTTAGTCTGCTTGCATTGCTATCAAAGAATAACCAAGGCTGGGTAATTTATAAAGAAAAGAGGTTTATTTGGCTTATGGTTCTGCAGGCTGTACAAGAAGCATGGTACCAGCATCTGCTTCTGGTGAGAGCTTCAGGGAGCTTCCAATCATGGAGGAAAGGGAAGGGAAGATGGCTGTGCAGAGATCACATGGTGAGAAAGGAAGCAAGAGAGAGAGGTGAGAGGTGCCAGGGTCTTTTTTAGAAACCAGCTCTTGTGGGAATGAATAAAGCAAGATCTCATTTATTACCATGAGGAGTGGACCAAGCCATTGAGAGGGATCTGTTCCCATGACCCAAACACTTCCCATTAGACCCCACCTCCAACACTGGGGATCACATTTCAGCATGAGGTTTGGAGAGGTCAAACAAACCACAGAACCTGCCCTGCATATCATAATTCTAGTCACTGTAATGTAAGTCCCTGAGTTTCCCAGTGGTGGGACTGAGGTGCATTCATCCCTTCATTGCCAATGCATGGTACAGTGTCTGATCCATCCTGGGGGATATTTGTTGAATGGCTGAGTGACAAAGCTTTTCATCAAATATTTAGTGCCAGATTATGCGTCAGAGCCCAAAGTTGTAGCCCTGGCTCAGAGGAGGAGGTTCCTGAGCACTCAGTGGGGCTGCAGTTGAGTAAACACTGGGCTTGTTGCCTTGTCATGGTGTGACCACAGAAAAAGCACATTCTATCTCTAGGCATAAGCATTATTCTTCTGGGGGAGAAAAAAGAGGAATTAGTTTTCAACTTTTTTTAAAAAAACAGGAAAAGTCCCCTTTGTTTTCTTTCCCAAATAAACGATCACACTGAAAAGCAATCTCAAAAACATAGTGGAGATGATTTGCCTAAAACAAGGGTATACTAAGTTGCTATTTCTGTCATAACAAATTACCACAAATTAAGTCGTTCAAAAGAACACACGATTGGACCGGGCGTGGTAGCTCATGCCTGTAATCCCAGCACTTTGGGAGGACAAGGCAGGCAGATCACTTGAGGCCAGGACTTTGAGACCAGCCTGGCCAACATGACCAGCCTTAGCCGGGCATGGTGGCACATGCCTGTCGTCCCAGCTTCTTGGGAGGCCAAGGCATGAGAATTGCTTGAACCCAGGAGACAGAAGTTGCAGTGAGCCAAGATGGCGTCAGTGCATTCCAGCCTGGGAGACAGAGTGAGACTCTGTCTCAAAACAAAACAAAACACATGATTATCATTTTATAGTTCAACAGGTTAGAAGTCAGATGGGTTTCACTGGGCTAAAATCAAGATGTTGGCAGGACTGAATTCCTTTCTGGAGGTTCTGTGGTAGCAGCCTTTTTTTTTTTTTTTTTGCCTTTTCCAGTTTCTAGAAATTCCACTTTTGGGGCTCATGGCCCTTCCTCCATCATCAAAATTAGCAACATTGCATCTCTCTAATCATTCTTCCACAGTCACAGCTCCTGACCACAGCTGGGAAAGGTTCTTTATTTTCAAGGTCCTGTGTAATTAGATTGGCCCCACTTGGATAATCCTAGATAATCTCCCTGTCTCCCAGTTCTGAACTTAGTCATATCTGCAAAGTTCCTTTTGCCATGTAAGATAACATATCACAGATTCTAGAGGTTAGAACATGGACATCTTTGGGAGGCCATTATTCTGTCTACCACAGGGAGAAAGAAAAGTAAGATGGGTAGGGGCCTTTCTCTTTGACTTTCCCTTCTTGGACAGCCCTTGTGTCTGCAGTGGTCCTAGAAGCCCTAGAGCAGAGTTAAGACCTCACTGGTCTCTAAGATGTATTGTGGCTCTAATGAAAGGGCTAAATAGCTGTAGGACCTTGGAATGTTATTTATCTCTCTGTCTCTTTGTTTCAGTATCTGTAAAACAGGAAAAATTAGTCTATCTAGCTGATAGGGTTGTGCTGAGGTTATAGGAAACAATCTATGTGAAATACTTAGCCCAGTGCATGGCACACAGTAAACATTCAGGAAATGCTAGGTATTTTCATTACTAGGTGCCCTAGGGTCCCTTTCCATTCAAATAGCTGGCTCCATCATCCTAATTTAAAACAGAGCTGCAACAGATGGCATGAGAACTGCTTTTCCTGGGTCATTTAGCCATCACAATAAACTTTTTTTTTAAAGTTTCACTTATTTTCCCTAAAAAACAAAGCACATTTTTGTGCCTGTAGGGTTAAAAACTTCTTTTGTCCTTTTGAGCATCTATAAAATAATGGAAAATATGGTAGGTACCAATGAGAACCAAGAGGCTGGGTGACAGCAGAGTTCTGCTCTGACCAGAAGGCAGTGAGCAGGACCTGGTGTTTATTTAGGAACATATAAAGAGAGCTGAGGCTACAGCTGGGAGACAGTTTACGAAACACAAACACTAGGGAAGTTTACCAAATATTAGGCTTGAATTTTATAGCGTCTGGAAGAAGCACTGTATTCCAGAGGACAATAAAAATCTGGCCTTCTAAAGGTAAATAGTCCCTCATGTCACTTTTGAAGACAGGAATGTTCATGGGAGGGGTCCATTCCTGTTTGAGAGATGCAGGTCTTCCTTCTCTTGTCTCCAAAGCCTCTTGTGGCATCGTTGAACTGGAGCCAATCAGAGCAGGGAGTGTCAATACCCTTAAGTGTGTACTCATCCTTTCTGATTCGATCATACCACTTGGGGGATTCTACCCTCATATGGAAACTCCAAATGTGGAAAAATCTTTATGCACAAAGATGCTTAGTGCAGCTTTATTAGTAATAGCCCTAGATGGAAAGCATCTCAAATTGTCTGTTGTTAGGGGAAGGTCTTGGCAAATTATGGCACATCTTGACAATGGAATAGAAGGTGGCCAGTTCTTACAAGGAGCCTTGAAAGCATTACAATAACTGAAAAAATAGACACAGGATACACATTTGTATATTTAGTCTAATTTCTGTGTTGTTAGGAAATATATCAGAAAGTTATCTGTGGTTGTTCTTAGGTGTTTGGAGTAAAGGAAAATTTTCCCTTCCCCTTTTTATTACTATTTTTCTCTATTTTCCATCTTTTACAACTGAATGAATAACCTAGTGTTTAAACACCTTGGGTATGGAGGCTGCTGCCTGCGTTTGAACCCCGCCCCCTTCTGGCTGGCTGCTGAACCTTTCTGAGTCTCAGTATTCTCTTCTGTCTTGTGGGGGTAATAATCATTCCTACCTTGCAAGATGGATGTGAGCATGAAAGAGATAATCCAAGTGAAGGGCTTGACACAGCACTTTGCAGAGTAAGTGCTCATAAGATGCCAGCTGGTATTGTATTGCTATGTTCGGATTTCATAACTATTTCCAACAAATCTAAAAATCTTAGAGATGGGGCCAGGCGCAGTGGCTCACGCCTGTAACCCCAGCACTTTGGGAGGCCGAGGCAGGCAGATCATTCGAGGTCAGGTGTTCAAAACCAGCCTGACCAACGTGGTGAAACCCCGTCTCTACTAAAGATATTTTAAAAACTAGCCAGGCATGGTGGCTGCTGCCTGTAATCCCAGCTACTTGGGAGGCTGAGGCAGGAGAATCACTTGAACCTGGGAGGTGGGGGTTGCCGTGAGCCAAGATCGTGCCATTGCATTCCAGCCTAGGCAACAAGAGTGAAACTCCGTCTCAAAGAAAAAAAATCTTAGAGATGGAAGGCATCTCAAATAGTCTGCGATTAGAGGAAGGACTTGGTAAATTATGGCACATCTTGATAATTGAATGGAAGGCAGCCAATTGCTTACAAAGAGCCTTGAATATCAAAAGAAACTGCTACTCTCCTACCTTAATCAGTGAAAGACTTACTCCAAAGGTTTATCAAACAAACTTTCTTTTTCCTAGTTCTTAATCACTTATGGTATTTTGGAGAGCATCTACATAGTTAGCAGCTAAAGGCCTTCTGAATGAGAATACCCAATTTTTCTCTTGGGAGAAAAATGTCTAAGACTGCAGCTGTCTCTTCAGTTGCTGACAATCCCTGCTCTTCTACCTTCTCTAAGCATCAGTTCCCGTTCCTCCCATTTTGGGAGGTCTCCCTAGATGATCATCTGTGTATCCACCAACTATGTATCAGTTTGGCTGCACATAAAGAAAAGCTGACTAGAGCTGTGTAAAGGAGTGTGTTAGTCATTTATTGCTGCATAACGAATTATCACAAACGTCATGGCTTAACGCAACATGCATTGATTATCTCGAAGTTTCTGTGGATGAAGAGTCCAGGCACGGTTTAATTGGGTCCTCTGCTCAGCTGTTATGAATGTGTCAGGTGGGCTGCATTCTTATATGGAGGCTTGGCTTGGGAAGAATCCACTTCCAAGCTCATTCAGATGGTTGGCAGAATGTATTTCCTTGCTGCAGTAGGACTAAGTGCCCTGGCTTCTTGCTGATTGGAGGCCAACTTCAGCTCCTAAAGGCCACTCACAGTTCCTAGAGGCCATTTGCAGTTCCTTGCCATGTAGGCTTTCCCGACAAGGCTGCTTACTTCATCAGGTCAGCAGGGAGAATCTCGAGAGTAAGCCTGCTAAGAAGAAGCTTTGCATAACATGACATAAGCAGCAGAGTCACATTCCGTCCCCTTTGCCACACTGGTTAGAAGCAAGTCACAGGCCCTACCCATATTCAAGGGGAGTGGAGCACATACAGACATGACCACCAGCAGGTGGGGATCATGGGGGCCACCTTAGAGTGTCCAGCATAACAAGGAAGGGTTTATTTTTTCATGGTGACAAGGAGCCCAGCACAGGCAGATTGGGGTGAGGGAACGTATCCATGGTGCTATCCATATTTCAGCCTCTTCTGTGTGTTTTGCCATTTTTCACCCCACTTTTTTTTTTTTGTTTGTTTTTTGAGACAGAGTTTCACTCTTGTTGCCGAGGTTGGAGTGCAGTGGCGTGGTCTCGGCTCACTGCAACCTCTACCTCCTGGGTTCAAGCGATTCTCCTGTCTCAGCTTCCCAAATAGCTGGAATTACAAGCACACACCACCATGCCTGGCTAATCTTTGTATTTTTAGTAAAGACGGGGTTTCACCATGTTGACCAGGCTGCTCTCAAACTCCTGACCTCAGGTAATCTGCCCGCCTCAGCCTCCCAAAGTGCTGGGATTACAGGCGTAAGCCACCACGCCCGGCCCACCCTTTTGATCATAAAATGGTTCTTCTAAGTTTCACATCATCATCATTCAAAGAGCTTCAAACAATAGATTCCTGGAAGCCCTACCCAGACACATGGCCCATTGGCTCTTGCATTTGTATCAGTGGGCCATTTCCACCACAAAGACCATTGGGAAACACACACAGTTAATAAACAATATCCACTGTGACCCCAACAAAAATGCCAAATGTAGTTGGCATGTGTCTTTTGACCTTCAATACATGGGCACATGGGTTAACGCTTTCCACTGAGGGCTGGCCTATGAATAAGTTACAAAGCTTGAATGAGAAAATGCATACATAATCATTTGCACAGTGCCTGGCACATGACATCTTCTCAATCAGTGTTGCCTCTTTTCACCATTCCCTACCTGCTCCCCGACAACTCTGATGCCTTTTTTTTTTCTGCGTCGCCCCTGCCTCTGGGTTTAAATGCTCCAAACACAGCAGCACCTCCAGAGTTAAGCACCCTGTCAGGCCGACAAGTCTGTATTTATGAGGGAGGAATGTAATAGCCCCAGCTGGAACCCTGCCAGGGGACTAGCAACTGCAACGCCCTTATTTGCTCTGGGGAGGAGCAGCTTGGAAACTTTTTATGAGATTCCAGAAGCAGCAAGGTCATCAGTTTTATGGCCATCCCACTTCGTTTGTGAATACGGCCTTTGAATGATAATGTTTGGGTTCCTTGACACAAACAAGGCTAGTGTTAGCTCCGTTGGAATGGGAGACAATAAAATAAAATATATTCTGTTCCACGTGACTGCAAGGTGTTCTGAGTAATTTCAGACCCCAACAAACAACAACAAACCAGTTGTACATTCAGAGAGCTTGATTTTTAGATAGCCTCACTATAAAGCCCCTGTGTGTGTCTGAGGCAGGTAATCTGATTTGTCAGGTCACAAGCGAAGCAACATGTGTTTACTATCACACTCATTTCCCAGCCAGCTGCAAGTGTCTGAAGGAAAGCTCTTGGTCAGGCCTGTTTGCTGTGATAAAGTCAAGGCCAAGGAGGAGGGCTGCCTGCTCACCAGGCTCCATGTGTTCTTGTAAATAAGAACTACCCTCTCCAGTGACACCTGGGCATCTTTCTCTAATTGCTCACTGGACCGTGGCTTTTATTACAGTTGAATATTTGCTAGGCTGAGCCCAGGAAACATTCAGCTTCCATTGTCTGGCTGGCTGCCACCGTCTGCTCTGCATTACAGTTGGCCATGGGTACAAGGTCAACCCATTTTTGGGTTTCTTTATTTTGGGCCAGCCACATGGCAGCAAAGACAGAGGCCAGCCTCTGTGTGTGTGTGTGTGTGTGTGTGTGGACTGAGGGGGAGTATGGGCAGAGGAGGCAGGAAGTGGTAGAGAGGCAGGAAGACACTTCATAAATGAATGAAATTCTCCTTTATAGGCACAATTCCTGGTACCAAATACACTTTTGATGAATGTTTGTTGAATGAACAAATGAGTGATTCTATTCATTTAACCAGCATTTATTGAATACCTACTGTTTGCCAGGTGCCTAAAGTCTGATGATAATGCACAACTTTACAAACAAGATTTGTATTCTCCTGGAAAATGAATTGTTTGGGGAGTGAAGAGGATCAACAAATGAATGAGCGAGATGTAATTGACAAATGCCCTATGAAAAACAGGAGTCAGGGTGTGGAGGTGGAGGTGGAGGGGGCTGGGGATGGAGAGCTACTATAGATAGGAGACTTTCCTGAGGAGGTGATATTTGAGCTAAGACTTGAATGATGAGAGGGCACCAGTCATGAGATCTCTGGGAATGCATGTTCCTGGCAGAGAGAGAACACATTTCTAGAAGGTGTAAGGAAGGCTGAAGCTACAAGAGACAGGAAACTATAGCTTACACACTTCAGCTGAAGAGAGGGCTCATCTTTCCTTTAGAATGTGGGCAAAGATCAGGAAATTAAAAACAGAGGTATAAGGAGTAGGAGTAGGAGTAAGGAGTGGTGTTGGAAATAAGAAGTTTAATAGAAAGTCTGCTTTCTGAGCAGGTGGCCCTCTACCTTTGCAGTGAAACTCCTGGGAGCTAGGTTCTATCCCCAAGGCAGGCACATTGAAAGGCTATTCTCTAAAGAAATTGGATGGCCCTAGACAAATGACTTCCCCGTTGAGGAACTTAGGGGATCCCCCTGACTGATCATCCTACAGGGAAGCCTGCTAATCAGTCCAAGGCTCACTGGGGTACACAGAGCTCCCAAGCAGTCATTTATTCTTTGTAAATAATGACAATTAAGCTTCACTAGACAGATGAACAACACTTGCAATAAAAATGAATGAATAATGTTTCCACTTAGTAGACTGCTGACCTGTGAAAGTCTTGCTTAGGGCCTATCAGAGTTAGAGGGACCTTGGGAGTTAGGGAGGTCATTTGGCTTTCAGCTGCACAGAGGCCTAAAGCTTTCTAAGTTGGGCTTTTAACATTGTCTAGAAATGCACACATAGGTTTGAAAGAGGAAGATGTTCATAATTAAACCTATATGCCATTACTGAACAAAATGCCTACAGTATACTGTGAATTAACGTATTACATAAATCCTAAATTAATTTTTGAACAGCGTAAGTACATAGCATGTATTTTTGAACATTAGAAGTATACCTTTGTTAAACACAAAAATTTAACACATATCATAATTTCAAAAACTATTTTGGCATATATATATTTTGTAATTTGCTACAAACCTCAAGGAATAGAAGTAGTCTGCCTGCATACCTGAATCATCTGGACCGAAGTTCAAATGTACCCCGAAGTGTCATTATACACTTGCAACAGCTTCTTAGATAGAATGCAGGATTCCATTAAGCACAAAGATCTTTAGAGTTAGACTGAAAAGACGTTCACATATTTTTAGATTCTATTGCATTCAAAAGTCTATAACATGAGATAGAAGAGACATACAAAGATCTTAGGAACCAAAGAAAATACATAATCTAATCAAGAGATTGAGCTGGGCTGCAGTTTCAGATATATGTGAATAGATGGACGAATCAGGGTTTGTGTATAACTTGAGTCCCATGATTTGATCATGCCTCCTTTGAAGTTATAAAACCATTGATATAACCACTAAAAATAGAGTTCAATTGTCACATCAAGGCCACCAACATCTCTGATAATTACAACGCCCCACATTTCTCTGGATGATTTGATAGTTTTCTTAGTTTTTGTAAAAGCTGTCACAAGGAAGTCTGAATCTCCAAATCTTATGTCCAGTATAACAGCTCTTTGAAAGGTAATTTCAATTAACAAGGATGACGTTTGTGTTTCTTACTGGATAAGTATCTTTAATTTCCTGGAAAGCTTAGATTATATATACAAATGATGATTCAAATCATCATAAAAATATTTTTGTATTAAGAGCCAGACTACATTTGGCATTTCTATATACTTGTAATATTTAAGATAAAAGAATATTTATATTATTCTAATTTAAAATGCATACTAATAAATTATTGACATACAACTTTAAATGGAAATTCATATCAATCATATTTATAAGTATAATTTATTAGATTAAGTATTTGGGAACATTATTGATCAGACAATTGGGGCCCTGAAAGTGAAATTGAATTTCTAAATGTAGTTTAGACAATTTGAAGAAATGTAATTACCTAAGTCTGCAAATATAATCAAGCATTGGTTAAAGACTCTTTAAAAGTGACTAAAAAAGGTGACATTAAAATTTGCTCCATTTCTAAATGGGAAAATAAAGATTCATAAGTTGAATGTGAAACCCAAAGATAAAATATGTTCTTAGATTTATAACTTTAGTAAGTTGACTATTAAAATTCAAGATAAACTCTTCATTAGTCTTATCAATGCACACAACTTACTCTCAGGGCCGCAAAATAACTTAGATTCAAAGAGGTGTCCTCCTGAGGTCACATGGCTCATAAGTGGCACAGTCATAACTTGAGCCCAGGGTCCAGGCCCTGTATCTTTTGGTTGAACCTTGCTGCCCCTCTTGGCTGCATTTTCAGTACCTCCTTTATTAGCACCTGTAATATTTTGTCCTGGATTTTAGGTTGTTTATCTGTGTCTACTTGCGTCTTCCCAGCTGCCAACACTAGGTCAGACATGGGGTGGAGGTGGGGGTAACTCAATAAATGTGTCAGATTCAAATGATGGTAACCCATAAGCAGCCTCTGAGAAAGGGCGTCTTCCTGGTGTGGGGGATGGATAGATAATGTTTTCTCTCTGTGATACTGTTTAGCTTTAAGGGGGTCTAAGTCTGCAGCCCTGGACTCCAGAGACCCATACTCTGATGAAGTGGATGTAAACTAGCCCTGTTCTGTCTGCCTTATTTAAGATTTAATTCCATGGATAAGCTTCCTACTGCTCTCAGGATAAAGAATAAAATCCTTCCAAGCTCAGGGAGACCAGTATTGTCTAGCCCCTGCCCATCTCTCTAGATTCTTATTCCACCTGCTCTGAGTACCCTGGCCTTCATTGAGTTCCTTGAACAAACCAAGATTATCCCTAGATGTAGGCAGGTCTCCACATTGGCCATTCTTAGAGCTCTCTGAACCTCCTCTCTTTCACAGCACTTGCTAGAGGTTGTAACTATCCACTTTTATTTGTAGTTATTTATTTAATATCTTCCTCCTATGGAAAGTCTTTAGCTCTGTGCAAAGTGCCTGCTTTGCTCACCCTTAAGCTTTGTGCACTGTAGGGTTTTAATAAATGCACACTTCTATTATTAATATCTTTACCATTTAATACGTATCTGTTGTTGTGATGGATGAATGAATTAATATGTGGGAATCGATTTTATGGTGATCTTTTGGACTGGCCTGATCTCCACTCAGCCGGGAAAGATTTCAGATGAAATCTTATCAGACAGATAGGGGACATGATGTCTGAGATTCCTTCCAGGCCAATGAGCCTTTTACTTCAGGAAGGCTGTTTGTCACTTTGCTTTAGCCATTGCTTTTATCATTCTTACGGGGATCTGTGGCTGTGTGTGTGTGTGTGTGTGTGTGTGTGTGTGTGTGTGTGTGTGTGTGTATCACCAGAAAGAAAGAGAGAGAGACAGAGAGAGACAGAAAAAGAGAGACAGAAAGTGTGCTGGCATGCAAGGTGATGGGAAATGACCCAGGGAGGCCCCTGGAAACGACCTTGGTTTCCCTGCTTGCCTCATTCAGGCAAGTGAGATCTCATTTGGCAGGGAGTGCATCAGCTGAAAAATGTCAAGCCCTGCACATCAGTGAGTTTTGCATTTCCAAATGATGGGTTTATGATTAAACTCCAATAACTCAAATGCACCATCCGTGAAGGATGCCAGTTCCATCTGGTAATTCTTGTTCTCTTTAATCCCTTCCCCTGTTTATTTTCTGGTCTGTGCCTCAAAATCCCTCAAACCACAGCCATGGGTGGGTGTTTAATCAAATTTTCTGATGACATGTAGACGCTTACCCTCATGGGTAATCATCTACGTTACCTATCCTGAAAATTGTAGAAAAAGACACCAAAGAGCATGAGGCTAGTGAGGGAGATAAGCTGATCCTAAAAACAGGATCCTTGCTTTCTTCCTTGGAAAGACCAGAGTAACCCTGACCTCTAGCTGGGTGGAGACAGCTAGACAGAGAATTCAACTGGTCCCTCCTGCTCTGGTTGGTGGATGTTGCCTGATCCTCTGGGACTAAAAGATAATATTTGGAAATCTCCATCCTAAAAATGTTCACTGTACCCTGCCTGGCTTCTCTTCCCCTCCTCAAAGAATATCACCATTTATTTAGTCCTCAAGATTGGCAAGGCATGAATTCCTGTGTTAGTTCAAATTACACCCAACAACTCTGTGAGGTAGGTGTTACTGCACCCACTTCCCCAGCAGGAAAACGGAGACTTAGAATTTTGTAACTTGCCTGGCACATACCATTACGAGGTGGCCAAATCAGCATTCTTAATCAGGGTTGTCAACTCCAAAGCCTGTTTTCCTTTTAACTCTGAGTCTGGGAGAGACCCTAGGGAGGGTTCAGGTGTCTGGTCTTTTCCCCTCCTCTACGGGGACTTGCTTTGTGGGAAAGGTCTCTCAATCACTGTGCTTATTTGTTCTACGTCTACCTAACTAATTCCTATTTATATTCAGAAGCCAGGCTGATTCTTCTTCCAGATACGTCAGTCCCTGTAAAAGCAAGCAGCTGTCTCCCAGGCCCTTCACTTTCTTGGTGATAACATCTTCATTCTTGCAGACTGAGAGCTCTGTTTGAAACCATGAGGTGAATCAATGAAGCTACCCAATAATGACCCAAAATGGAATTTGAAAGCCCACTGGGGGTTGAAATGTCCAAGAAAGTGTAATTCAGTTTTCTGTTTATCTTTCTCTGTGTGTTTTTAAGATGTTCTAGTCTCAACTAGAGATTTTTCTGGTTGATGAATGGGTTTCAAGCGAACTCTGTTCAGATGAGAATAGGGGGAGGACATAGAAAAACAGTTTCATTCTCTCTTTGATGAGATGATTGAGCTGAGCATGTGGGTGGTGAGATAGGTGCAGTAAGAGGAGGAATTCTAAAAAAAAAAAAAAGCAATAAAAATTTCAGTTCTTTAAAAATGCATTAGCTGATGTAAGGACAATGTTGCTTATGTAATGTGGGCATCTCAGCTTTCCATGGTGGGGTGTCTTCCAGTATGTGTCTGGGTTGATCCACTGACATGGCTAAGATTTTTCAGTGGCTTGCAAACTAACACATTAAGCTAATGGACTTTTTCTGTATTACTTTATTCAGAAGAACAAAGCTTGCCCAGGGCAGTTTGACATGTTCCTATTAAGATACAGTGTTTACCTGACTTCACAGTATCTTATTTTTCTCATTTTAAACTTTTACAGTCACTCAAATAATTAAAAATAATCACATGTTCTTTTAGACATTTTCTATAAAGAAAACATTTATTTAAAAAATTTGATTATGATAGCAGACTATATTTTTTATTTGTTAGTATAACATTGTCCTTGTTCCAAGGCTGCAAATACTTCTATGATATGGTTCTTTCATTTTCTCACATTTATTGAGCACACACTCTCATTCTATTACATGAATGAACCATTATTTAGTTAATACATCTCTCATTGTTAAGAAATTTGATTGTTTACAATATTTTGAAACTATAAACATTGCTGTGATAAACTTGCTTATACATATACAAGATTCTTAGATTAAATTTTCAGAAGTGGAACTGCTAGGTCAAGAGTGGCATTCCTACTTCTGAAAAGGTATGTTTAAATTACTCTTTAGAAAAGTTATACTATTTACGCTTCATCCATGAGTGTGCATTTCCCTGTACTTTCGTCTGATCATAGAAACTTGTTTTTTTGTGTGTGTGCCTGTGACTTACCCAGAGACTTCTTAGCCTACTAATAAATGGCATGTTAAGAAAGCTGACAAAGTTGGAGACTTTAAATACATTCAGGAATCTCAATTTAAGAAACACTCATAGACTATAAGTAGTGAGGCATCCTGCAAGCTGGTGAGAACACAAATACCACTAAGACCAGCCACTGTCTGCAAGAAGCCCACTGAATACCAAAGGAATTAGACGTGGAAGTGCAGAGTGTGTCTGGAGAAATGCTGGCAGACTGGCATGGCAGGAGCAAAGCATAAGAAGATGGTGTTAGGATGGGGAAAGAAGGGTAAGTGTGGGGCTCTTGACTTCTCTAAAAAGCTGGACCATTCTGTTGGCTGTAGACAGACATGAAAGCTTGTGAGAAGGGGAATGTTGTGAGCAGATTTGATTTTTTTGAAAAATCTTTCTAGTTCTCTCTCTTCTTAGCCCTTCACCTCTTTATCACCTGTTTGCTTTTGCTTGCTTTAGGAAGCAAGAGGATAGGGTTGAGAAAATTCGTGTTTGTTTTTGTCTGCATGGATTATTTACTTCTTAAAATTGAAAGTTGGGGGTACAGAGGAATTTTCTCTTTTTTTTAATAAAGTTATATTTTTATTAAACAGCCAAAAATCTTAAGACAAATACCTACAGACAATTTCTTCATTGGCAAATATTTTCCAGTCATAAAACATGATAATTTATGGGATTATATTCCAGTTTCTATACAGAGGAATTTTCTTGTTGTGTTAGTGTCCATGTGGAAAACTAGAGGATCTTAAGAATAAAACAGAGGGCTGGTTGGAAGTGCTGATCACCTCATAATGCAAAATTAATATCATATTCCACTTTTTTTTTGGTTCTGGAACCAAAAAAAAAAGAGATTAATTTTGGAAAAATTATTCATTTAGCTTTTTTTCTTAAAAAAGGCACATTTTCTATTTATAGTTAAAAATTCATCATTAAAAAAAGTTAATAGTTTGATTAATGTTTCAGGAAATTAAATATTATGCATTTTATTATGTATAAAGATAAATCAATACTACAGTCATCTAGTTCTGCAAAGAATGTTGCATTTGAAAGCCTGATGAGTTAGATTTGGATATTAAAGAAGAAAGAGCAACTCAAAGGAAAGAAGGAAGGGGAAAAGGTGAAGGAAGAAAGAAGGGAAGTGGAAAGCTTGAGCATGTTTTCTCAAGTCGTTTTTTGAAGCACAGGCTCCCTGCAGAATTTTTTTTTCCTCCCTTTCTGCATAATCTGTTAGAAACAAATTGAAATTTATAGCAAACTCATAATCACATTAAGTTCTGGTATCTGTAACTTTGTATTCCCTTATTTGAGATCATACAGAAGGCAACTCAAGAGCCATAAAATTCCGCCCTCTGACATGACACGTGGCCAGAGTGCATCCAAAACCTGGAACCTCATTCACTTTTGATCTTTACTCCTGGACCCTGAAGAAGATGTAAGATAACAGATATGGGAGTGCTCTGGAGGATAAAAAAAAATTCTTTACAATTATCACGTCTTTTAAAAAATGGTTTTTTGTTGTTTGGTTGTTGTTGTTGTTGTTTTTTAGATTAGTTTAACATAATGCATTGAGACACACACATGACTCAGTGAAACGGTGATCTATTTCCAGCACAGAAATCTCCTGGTAACATACCCCATCTCTCTCACATTGTCACCAATACAGAATGAATTCCAAGTGGTATTTGTTGCACTAATCTTGCTGTGCAGATGACAAGCAGTTTTTCTTAAATATCTGTTTCCAGTTCTTCCAGAGATATAGACCATACTTGTTTTGTTTCACGTGTGTGCGTTCCACATCCCCATCCCCAGCCCCAGTAGCTAAAATCAAGTATACTCATGATTACTTTGGTAAAAATAATGTTTACTAATTGTTCTTACAATATCTTACATGTTGACCAGAAGTTTTATTGACTCTTATTTAAAAATAAATAATAATATAAATAGGAATGACATTATCTTTCTGTTCAAGAATTTCTGATAGGGCCAACATTGTGTCTGGTCAGTGGCCTATAATCTGCTAGCATAAATCTCTCATTTTGTAGAAATGGAAGGGTCATTTTTTGCACTGTTGTTTTATGACATTTATTTACGCAGATACATAGCATAAGTTTATTATGAAAATTAAAAAAATATCCAGGTGATTTTCTTTTCTGGGCTCCTGCTTTAGACATTTGAACCTCTCAACCATCACTCCTTTAAACAGTTCAGGCCAGGCATGGTGGCTCACACCTGTAACCAACCCCAGCACTTTGGGAGGCTGAGGCAGACAGATCACCTGAGGTCAGGAGTTCGAGACCAGCCTGGCCAAAATGGCGAAACCTCGTCTTTACAAAAACAAAAATTAGCTAGGTGCGGTGGTGTGTGCCTGTAATCCCAGCTACTGGGGAGGCTGAGGTAGGAGAATTGCTTGAGCCCAGGAGGTGGAGGTTGCAGGGAGCTGAGATGGTGCCACAGCACTCCAGCCTGAGAGACAGAGCAAGACCCTGTCTCAAAACAAAACAAAACAAAATATCCAAAAGTTCAATAAATTTTCCTGAAGAGATCTACCCCTCCCCCACATTTTAATCCCTCATATTGTGAAGAAGTTATTTTCTGTGTACAGCTGGAAACTCCCCAACTTTCTTCAAATCCTGCTGGCTTTGGGTAGGCCCCTGATGTCCTATTTGAGGCTAACCTAGTAAGGGGAAAGACCGTTAGATTATAAGAGGTCATTGGCTTAGGCTCTGATAGTGGGATGCTAGGTCTCAGCTGAGATGAAGGGAATTGATGGTCCTGTCCTGGATGGGATTACTGATGGAGGACCCAAGTTGCCCAGAGCTGACCTTTTGACCTTCAAAACTAATGTAACATGGAAAACCCCTCCCAGAGCCATCCTTCTTCATGGCAGTGTCAGGAGCCTTCTGTCTGAATATCTGACCTGTGTGGAGCGTTATATATATAACAGAGACAGGGCACCTCTGAGAAAGGTGATGTTTACCATGAGCAGAAAGAAGACCGATGGAAAGTCCCAGCTTATCTAAAACCCAAGGACCAGTCCTCGAGATAACAGCACACTGTTTTTAAAGCATTTACACCCAGAAAGAGGAATTTAGCAAGGTGCCACAGCATGGCCTTTGTGGCATTAATTGGGTCTTGTTACCATTGCCCAACCGTGAAGGTCTGTTTTGGAGAGTACCACAAGGTGGTTGGGAAAAGGAAATTTATATAGTACTTATGAGTCTAAAATTTTAGCAATTGGTAATAACAAAGTAAGATAATCTTGGTTGTGGAGAAAGTGAGATTAAATATGTGGAGGGAGATTTCTTTATGAATATTCCCTCCTCATTTCTTAATAACAACTATCAATGTGAGGGCCTGCAACTCTCAGTGCTTTGCAAAGACTTGCAACAACCTTGATTGTACCATCTCCTTTTACAGATGAGAAAACTGAGGGTCAGAGAATTTAAATAACTTGCCTGTGGCATAGAACTGCATACACAAATACACATGCATACGGGATGGAAAAATTGCACGAATAAGCCACTGAGAATCTCCATACTCCACTGTTAGGACCTAGAGGCCAATTAGTGGACAGACAAGTAAATAGCATAGGTTTTCTAAAAAACAATAATGAACAAGTCAATCTCAGTGAATTTTGTGAAAACAGTCAAGACTCAATCCCATACCTTTTTCATCTTCACTTATTGCCCTGAACAGTAGCAACTGAATGTTGTTACTGGTGAAAATGGTGCCAAGGCCCCATCAGATTTTCAGGTTACAAAGAACATTACTGTCATGTTTGCTGACTTTGACTTCCAGAGCGCTACGCTGGATTCACACTTTCTGGAAAGAGCTTCAACGGAAAATAGTAGAATAATGAACCTTGTCTTGCTTATTCCTCGGTTAATGACAGCATTCTAATTCATTAAGGTTCCTCTGTATTTATTTGGTACATTTCAAGGAACAGAATGGACAGGGTGGCTGGAGTGGAGTGAAAGGAAGGTGGGTGGCAGATGAGGCTGCAGAGGTGGCAGAACCAGCTCACAGTGTGATTTGTGGGCCCTGCCAAGAATCTGGGATTTTATTACAGTGCAAAGGGAAGCCACTAAGGAATTTGAAGCCAGAGAGTGACATGATCTGATGTAAAATTTAAAAAGATCATCCTGGCTGCTTTGTGTACTTAATGTTTGTGTAGTGAATGCATTGAAAGGGGACAAGAAAGGCCAGGACAGTTTGGACTTGGGTGGTGGCAATAAAGGTGGAGAAAAGTTGATGGATAGATTTGAGATATATTGGAAATAAGAATTACAGGATTTGGTGATGGATTGAATGTGGGAAGGCAAGAAAGAAGAAAGAGTCAAGGATGATTCATGGTTTTTGGCTTGAGCAACTGAATAAATAATGGGACATTTGTTGAGATGGAGAAGACTGCCAGAGGAGAAAGCTTGAAGGAGATAATCAAAAGTTAAATTATGGATATGTTAAGCAGATATCCCAGCTCAGGCATGCAATAAGTAGTTGGAGGTATCGATTAGGAAGTCAAAGCAACTATCTTGAAGAGAGTCATTGGCATATGGGTAGTCTTTGAAGCCTTGGGAATGAGGAAGAGCCTTATGGTTAAAATGTCAAGTGAGAAGAAAAATGGATGCACAGCTGTGCTTTGATTATTCCAATATTTAGCGATTTACTGGAGGAGGTGAAGCCAATAAATGAAACGGAAAGAAAGCTACCAAGGAGGAAACCAAAGGAAGGATACTTTGAAAAGGAGGGAATGAGGCCGGGTGCGGTGGCTCAGGCCTGTAATCCCAGCACTTTGGGAGGCTGAGGTGGGTGAATCACGAGCTTAGGAGTTCGAGACCAGCCTGGCCAACATGGTGAAACCCCGTATCTACTAAAAATACAAAAAATTAAGCTGGGCGTGGTGGCAGGTGCCTGTAATCCCAGCTACTCAGGAGGCTGAGGCAGGAGAATCGCTTGAACCTGGCAGGTGGAGGTTGCAGTGAACTGAGACTGCACCACTGCACTCCAGCCTGGGCAACAGAGCAAGACTCCATCTTAAAAAAAAAAAAAAAGAAAAAAAGAAAAGAAAAGGAGGGAGTGGTCAGTTACATCAGTTGAGATCAAGTAAGACGAGGGTTACATTATAAGGTTAAATATGCACTTACTAGGGAAAGTTATATGCCTTGGGTAGTCACAAAATTAAAGATGTGAAAAAGTCTCAGGACATATATTGGGCAAATAGTAAGGATTGACTGTTAGTTTATAGAATATAAAAGCCGTTTAAAACACTTCTCAACCTAGCCAGGTTATTGGTGTGGTGGGGGTAGCACTTGGGACAAAGTTAGGACTCCTTTTCCAGTTGAGATTACCTAATGGACAACTCACACAGAACACAAAGTTCTTATCAAAGTGCTTCGTAAGTAAGGAGGGAGAGAATTCAGGGAACATGCTCTTTGGAAAATCTAGAGCCGTGTGGACAGGGTAGAGTATATTGGTATATTGCCTTTATGGTCACAGCAGAGTTATCAGGCACCTTTTTCTTTTCATTTTTTTTTCCTGATGTTTAGCTCCTCTTTTTTTTTTTT
Source organism: Homo sapiens (assembly GCF_000001405.40). Classification (NCBI taxonomy): domain Eukaryota; kingdom Metazoa; phylum Chordata; class Mammalia; order Primates; family Hominidae; genus Homo; species Homo sapiens. Next base: position 27,189,783 of record NC_000011.10, on the reverse strand, counting down.
TTTTTAATTTCAATAGGTTTTTGGGGAACAGGTGGTGTTTGGTTACATAGATAAGTTCTTTAGTGGTGATTTCTGAGATTTTGGTGCACTCATCACCTGACGGTCACAGCAGAGTTATCAGGTACCTTTTTCATCTTCATTAACAGTATCTTTTGAGAGAAGATCCAGGAGGGGGATCTTGAGGGCACCAAATATCATATTAGGCTTTAAAGACTAGATCTTGCTTTTGGGGTCCTGACTAGGGACTGGGGTTCTTTTTGGGAGTGAGGGAAGGAGACTGTTATCTTCTAATCTGTTAGCATCAAGATTTCCCTTCAGGTGAATTTGAAAAAAACTGATCTGGGCCCGGCGAGGTGGCTCATGCCTGTAATCCTGGCACTTTGGGAGGCAGAGGCGGGTGGATCACCTGAAGTCAGGAATTCAAGACAAGCCTGACCAACATGGAGAAACCCTGCCTCCACTAAAAATACAAAATTAGCCAGGCGTGGTGGCACATGCCTGTAATCCCAGCTACTCAGGAGGCTGAGGTAGAAAGCAGGAGAATCACTTGAATCCAGGTGGTGGAGGTTGTGGTGAGCCGAGATCATGCCGTTGCACTGTAGCCTGGGCAAAAGAGCAAAACTCCATCTTAAAGAAAAAATGAAAGAAATAAAGAAAATAAACTGATCAAACCTGTTTGCCAAATATACGTTTCTTTTGAGATTGAAAAAAAAGAAAAGAAAAGAAAAGAAAAACCTTGAAGACCAAAATAGAACAGGAGTTTATATCCAAAGGAGATTAACAGATTTCTGGCAATCACTGCAGAGAACTAGAAGGACACACATGCACAGTTAGGGAGACAGAGAACAGGACGCAGATCACAGAGAGAAGTTCGCAGCACTGGAACTGGAGAATGAGATTTTGTGGGGAAGAGATCACACGCTGGAATTCTTCCATGAGAGTAGTTTTATTTATGGAGGACCAACGTTTTTCTAATTAGGTCCCAGACCCTTCCCAGTATCCTACAAATCAGGAAAATAATGCACTTGGAAAAGAAAAGAGTTAAGGACATGGATGGTTTTATTTGCAGTGTAGGGGCATTTGAGTTTCTTTGAATTCCTCAAGTCAGTCCAGGGTGAAGTTAATGTCTCTTTTAGGGGATAGCAGTATAAGTACCAAGGAGAACACTCTCACTGAAGGATAAAAACATTAAGAAAATGCAGCCTTTGTGAACGTCCCTGCTAGGTCTGGTTGGGCTCTAGTGCTGCCATTAATGCCAAGATAACAACATTAAGTTCATTCATTAGTTCAACAATATTTACTGAGTATCTATCATGTGCTAGGCATTGTGCTGAATGCTGGAGGCACAGATTGAAACAAAGCAGACAGAGTCCTTGACCTCCTGGTACTTAGATCCTAGAGGTAAACACAGACAATAAACGGGTAAACAAAAAAGCAATTAATAATGTAATTTCAGATAGTAATAAGGAATGGGAAGAAAACAAACACAAGCACAAAGAGTGCCGGATAGAGAATGCCTTGGGGTGGGGTTGGGAATTGGTAGAGTTTTACTGGTGATCAAGAAAGGCTTTTCTGAGAAGATAACCTTTGTACTGAGATAAGAAGGAGCCAGCCATATACAGATCTGGAGAGGGAAGCTATCAGGCTTACAAAGCTGCAACTGCAAAGACTGTTGAGTTTGAGAAATGAAAAGAGTCCATGTGGCTGGAGCTTAGTGCGAAGGAGAAGAGTAGACAACATGTTTGGAGAAATATTCAGGGAATAGACAGATTAGGGACTTGAGGGCCAATGATCAAGGTTTGAATTTTGTTCTAAGTCAAATAGAAAGCCCTTGGAGGGTTTGAGTAAAAGAGTGTTGCGGTGCAGGGTAAAAGAACACACTGAAGAGAATGAGGAGAATAGATTGAAGGACACAAAGAGTGGATATGGGGATTGGTTAGGAATCTATTACAATAGTGGTCCAGGCAAGGACAAAATGACAGGGGCACAGGCTAAAGGCGTTGCAATTTAGTATCTGAGCTGGGGGAAAACTAAGAGTTTTCAACATAGGTTGCATGAAGCCCTAGGTTTTGGAGGAAGTGCATCAGGACTGGCCAAGGCAGCAGATAACTGAATAGGTGGAGCCACCGACTTGCACTTAGGGTTGCCTCAGGGTCAGAGCTAATCACAGGGGATCTGCTAACTGGGGGCTTCAAGTGAGTGGGATTGCAGTGCTTTCAGTGGTGTGCTGGTAAATGTTTAACAGCAGGCACTAGGAGGAGGGAGAAGGCTGGATTTGTGGTGTTTGCCAATTAAACACTGCAAATGATCCCACAGTTGTTGATTTCAAGCTGCCAAGGTGATGCGAAGTGGGGAGGGGGTACATAAAATTGACTCCTTAGAACCTGTGCTACTGACCCCAGCCCACCACTGAGCACCTTCCTCACATCGATTGCTGGCTCTGGCTACTGCACTAAACTTTGAGAACTGGGCTGCTGAAGCCATAGCAGGGAGTAGAGTGGAACCAGACTCAGTTGTAACACTCTCCTCTACAGTCACAGGACATGTGGAGAGGTGGGCCTTTCTCCTTACAAGTAGGCAGCTACCTCCTATTCTTTCTGGAGTGAGTGTGGGTGGGACCTTTTTAAATCAGCCCCCACTGCCTCTATTTGTGCCTGCAGTTCTACCATTAGTAAATACTTCTTTCCTTTTCTTTCTGAAGTTCTTTAAGAAATTGAGAGCTCATGGGTTGGGTGCAGTAAGTTCCCAGCATTTTGATGTGAGCCTGTTTGGCACACTGGAGAGAGATCTTAAGCTGAACAGGCATAGGTAGGAGCTAAGGAACTCAGATAGTCTGGGGTCAGTGTGCTCATTCCTCACAATCTGCTCATTTAGTGAGGCCTCCAAAAGAATAGGGGAGGAGGCCAATTAGATTCTTCTTCCCCTGAAGTCCTTGGGTAAAGCCTGTGGTTAAAAGACTTTGTCCTAGTGAATGAGCCTAGAAAATTGACTTAGACAAAGGGAGGTGCAGGACAGTTCTGAAAGATTCTATTCTACCTTACTTACATCATAGCCCAAATCAATTCCAGATGGCATTAATGTGAAAGGCAAAACCTTAAACATTTTAGAAGAAAATATAGAAGAATAACCATATGACCCAGAGGTAGGAAATGATTTATTAAATGAGACTCATAAAGTACTTGATGTAAAATAGATAAATTCAACCACATCAAAATTAGAATTAATTTCTGTTCTCAAAAGGCACAATTAAAAAAAGATGAACCTCAAATTCCTCAAATTGGGAGAAGATATTTGTGATATAATTAATTAATTGTGATTAATATACAAAATATTTTTAAAAATCCAGAAATCTATACAAACAATGCAAACAAACATAGTTAAAAGAGAAATGGGAAAATTACATGAACAGGCAAATCACAGAAGAGGAAACATAAATAGCCAACAGTCATATAAAAGATGCTCATCTCATTAGTAGTAGATACTATATTCCACCCATTTTATTCCAACTAGATTGGCCAATATATATATTTTTAAAAGCTAACAGTACCAAGTGTTGGATAAAATATGGAGCGATGAGATTTACATACTCCTTGTTGGTGTAGAAATTGGTACATTTTGGCAAGCAATGTGATACTATCTTGTAAATTTGAAGTTGGCACACTTATAACTCAGAAATTTCAACCCATGTGTATCCTCCAGAGCTGGGTTTCTCAGACTCCGCACTGCTGACATTTTGATCCAGATCATTCTTTGTTGTGCAGGGCTGTTCTTGGCTGGTTAACGGCATCCTTGGCCGCTAGCTTCTAGCCAGAGGAAGCCCTTTGTCCCCATTTCTCTCCAGGGGTCCCTCTGGTTGTGATGATCAAAAATGTGTCTGGGTATTGTCAAATGTCCCTGAAGAGGGAAAATTGCTCTGATGAAGAACCACTGCTCTAGAGAAACTGTTGCACATGGGTGCCAGGAAATATTAAAAAAAACATAGCAAAATTCTTAACAATTAAAAAACCCTGGAAACCATTCACATATTGATCAACAGTAGAATGGATACATAAATTATGGAATATTTACACAATGAAATACTATTATAGATGAATGAGCTACAACTTTGGAAATCTTTGAAATATAATTTTAAGTGAAAAATGAAACTACAAAAGAATGCAAGCTTCATGATTGCATTTGTATAACATCTAAAAATGAGTGAAACAAAAAAATGCAATGTCTAAAGATATGTATGCATGTATTAAAGCTTGAAAGAGAAACTAAGGGAATGAAGAAAGCAAAATTTAAGAGAGTGGATACCTCCTGGCAGGGAGGTAGGGAGTGGGGTCAAGGAAGCACACATGTGTAGTTCCTATTTTTTTAAATTAAGGGGTGGATCATTTGTGTTTATTTTATTTTTACACTTTATTTCTTTGTGTGCTACACACATTCTTTTATACATAACAACAATTTTATTAGAAAAAAGTTAAAAAGGGAGAAGGAATTACAAAATATTTGTAGAAAGAGAAACAAATTGGTCCAAAATGTGTCAGGACTACTTAGCTGAGGTGAGAGAATCACCCGTGGCTTTGAGAACAGAAACACAGGAGTGTTCCTTGTCTGTTGACCCTGTACCCTGAACCGAGCAGCCTCAGGGTTACAATGCTTTGAAAATTCACCTCTTGTCCTTTAGCTGAATGACCTTGACCACTTCCTTTTTCTTCTCTGGGCCTTAGTTTCCCAATCTGAAAAAAAGAGAAAAATAGTGGGTCCTGGATTAGAGGTCAGGGTTAGTAAATGCATGCATATCCTACTGCATCGTATGCTCCTGGCAGACATGAATGATTCATTGCAACACACATTCTTTCTTAATTGGGAAGAGGCATCCCAATTGATTTCAACATAGAACTTCAGGTAGTCACATGTAGCAAAAGAGAGTAAGTCTGTGTTCCTAAAACTTGATCTCTGAAGGCCCTTCAAGAATTTTCCCTTCTCACCCCTCAATTTTATATTTAGTCACCCTAATTATTTTGGGAGTTCTTTAAATGAAGGAACTATGTCTCACTTCCATTGTACCACCCATTTCCATTTCTCAAGGCTAATGGACAATAAGTTTCAGTAAAAAATGGCTGTCTGGAAAGCACCTTCTCTTCTACCTTTTGCACCATTCACATCCCAGATCAAGAATGAAGCGAATCTGCCAGAGCCCATTAAATGGATCCTTGCTGTTTATGTACTAACCCCATTCAGTATGCCAGGGCCGTATTAAAGAGGCCCAGGCCCTGCTTTCTGCTGGAGGTTTGCGAAAAAGAAAAGAGAACTTGGAGAAGCCATGTGCAGGAGTGAGGAGAAGAGATGGGCTCACAATCTCCTAAGAGTTCCTCTTTAAAAAAGTTAAGAGAGGATGTGGCATGAAGGGCTGTTTAGGGATAATATTATGGAGAAATAAAGGTAGTAGAATTGGCATCAGAAAGATTAAGCACACTTCTCTCTGTTGAGTTTTCTAACTCACATCGTCTCTGCAGGCTGTACCTCCTTACCTATTAACTCTGTCAAAGGAAGGAGGTGGTTTCTTTGATTCTTTGATTCCAATTCAATGGACTGAAATTGAAGTTGTGTGCAAGAGAGCTAAAACCTAGAAGGCCATTTTACAAACAAGTACTGCACGCCCTCCAGTGGCAGAAAACCAATAAGTCAAGTGGTAATTAACTCAATTTTTGCCTCAACTAATTTTTGGAAGTATTATAATTTTTTTCTTTTGCTCTCAACTGGATATTCAGGATTTCGAAAACAGCTTGGACGCTTCACAGGAGTGTTATAGAATTTTATCAATTCACAAAATGTCAGAGCTGAAATTAATAAAAAAAACTATCCAATTTTTATTATACCTAAGAAGAAACGAAAGTTCAGAGAGGTATAGGGAGAAGGCTGATACTATGACCTCTGTCCTTTGGCTCAAATTCAGTGTTTGCTTCATTCTCTTGGCTTCTCTATAGCAGTGTTTTTTTTTATTTTTTTTTATTTTTTATTTTTTTTAGATAAAGTCTCACTCTGTCGCCCAGGCTGGAGTGCAATGGCATGATCTTGACTCATTGCAACCTCCACCTCCCAGGTTCAAGTAATTCTCCCACCTCAGCCTCCCAAGTAGCTGGGACTACAGGAGGGTGCCACCATGGCCTGCTAGTTTTTTGTATTTTTAAAGTAGAGACGGGGTTTCACCATGTTGGCCAGGCTGGTGTTGAACTCCTGACGTCAAGTGATCCACCCACTTCGGCCTCCCAAAGTGCTGGGATTACAGGCGTGAGCCACCATGCCCAGCCTGTTTTTGAACATGAGCATGGCACCATGTTGGCCATTGCTGGGGGAATAACGATAACGGTAGCCAAATACTGAGTCTTACTCTGCGCTGGGTACTATTCTAAGAGCTCCGTGTTGATTATCTTATTAGTCCTCACAACAAGTCTACGAGATAAGATTATGATTCTTATTTTATAAATGCAGAAACTGAGGCTCAAAGTAGTAAGAAGGGAATTACCAAAAGAAGTGGATGATACGTCCCTGCCCTCAAGTCATTTAGGCTATTTTTGCGTTTTACCACATTTGTTAATTTTATTTTTCAATTAGGCTTCTGACAGACTGGTCAGAAAGACAAGCTTGCTTATCTTAGCTGGAAGGAAAGATATATCTGTTATTGACTGTGGCTAGTTTGTCTAGAACACACAGAGTTTTGGAGATAGGACAGTAAGACCCCAGAAAGGATGTGAGTTTTCTTGGTGGATTTCTCTGTAATGCCGCTGGATGGGACTAACATCAGTCCTCCACGTTCCATCTCACATGACCACTCTTATAAGCAGCGCCTGCCCTCTACAGTGCTCTATCTAATGGGCATATTTAGGCTCAGGAGGAACTTATGTTTGAACAATGAGTGATCTCTGCTATGGGTGAGGAATGGGGGTGATTGGCATATGACACATATTTGCCATAATTGCTCTAAACAACACATACTTGCCATAATTGCTTTAAATGAATTAAATAATACAAAGCCTACACATCTCTCAGTGTTGTCTACAGACACAGAAGGGCATCACCTAGTTATTATACTCAGGTCCCATCTCAGATCCACTGAATGAGAATCTTCATCCTAACCAAAGCCCCAAGGATTTTATGTGCTTATTAAAGTTAGAAAAGAGCCACTGTAAAACTTTTTTTTTTTTTTTTAATAAATCTAGTGACATATCAGAGGTCAAGGCTGGACTTCTGCTGCATGTAATTGAACAATGTGATTATTTTTGCATTTTATCACTTTTGTTAATTTTATTTTTAAATTATCGTATAGTGAAATGGACTTTTTTGCTGTACAGTTCTATGAATTTTAAGACATGTGTGGATTTGTGTGACCACCATCACAATTAGGATGCACTACAGTTCAGTAAGCCCCCAAACTCTCTTGTGCTATTCCTCAGTAGGCACACCTGCTTCCACCCTTAATCACTGCTGACCACTGATCATTCTCTGCTATTGTAATTTTGTCTTTTTTACAATGTCATTATAAATGGAACCATACACTGTGCAACCTTTTGAGACTGGCTTTTTTCATTCAGCATAATAACTTTCATAACTAGGTTTTAATTTCTTTCTTTTTCTTTTTTCTTTCTTTCTTTCTTTCTTTCTTTCTTTCTTTCTTTCTTTCTCTCTCTCTTTCTTTCTTTTTCTCTCTATTTCTTTCTTTTTCTTTCCTTCTTTCTCTCTCTTTCTCTTTTCTTTCTTTCTTTCCCAGCTATAAAGATAATACTGTAGAGTAAATTATGTGACTCCATCCAAAAATGCTGATTTCACTGACATAAATGTTGAGTCTAGATGATCCTAGGAATATATCAATATATTCCCTCCAGGGTATCTATGCTCATTTAGGGGTGACAGTGTATATGGAGTTTACTTCCTAGGCACACTCAATCTGTTGTCACTTGGTATTTGCTGTACTTCATAAAATGCTCATTCATATTCTTCTTATTAGGCTAACATTTGTTTTATTTCTCTTTTTTAAAATGACATTTTTAGTCTGAGCCCGGTGGCTCACGCCTGTAATCCCAGCACTTTGAGAGGTCAAGGCGGGGGGATCACCTGAGGTCAGGAGTTTGATACCAGTCTGGCCAACATGGCAAAACCCCGTCTCTACTAAAAATACAAAAATTAGCTGGGCATAGTGGCAGGCACCTGTAATCCCAGCTACTCAGAAAGCTGAGGCAGGATAATTGCTTGAACCCAGGAGGCGGAGGTTGCAGTAAGCAGAGACTGAGCCTCTGCACTTCAGCCTGGGAGACAGAGCAAGATTCCATCAAAATAAAATATAAAATAAAATATAGAATAGAATAGAATAGAATAGAATAGAATAGAAAAAATAAAATAAAATACATAAAATTTTTAAAGGATGTATTCCTTACCTGTCTTTGTAAATCATGTTTTGGATGGAAAACTTAAATACATACATACCCCAATCCACCAGACATTATACAATGGGATAAAATTTAACATTCTTTTTTTTTTAAGTTTTGAAACAAATAGCTTTATAGAAATCTTTCTAAGAAGGAAAACAACAAACAGAATGTTTAAAATTCTGCCCTAGAATATAATCTTCATTATCATAGCCATCCTTTATGTTTATAAATCAGTTTCCCCTCCATCCTCTGTTTGAAATCAAGAGTCCTGAAAAGGGAAGGAGCCCAATTATTTTTAGTGTTATTGTGCAGATGAGAAATGTAAAAACCAAAGGGGAGAGGAGTAGTCAAAGGTTACACAGATGGTTGGTGATAGAGCCAGAATTAGAATGCAAAACTTTGGGTTCAATTCTGCTCACTAAGCCTCTGGTATTGCAAAAAATTTTTTTCTATTAGATAATCACAAAGACTTTGTTAGATCTTTGTTTTAAAAGACAGGAATAGTCTCTTATGAAAAACAAAGACTGTCTAATCATGGTACTTTTTTTTTTATATAACCTCATGAATATTTTGATAGTAATCCTTTTCTGTTCTTTTTGTTTGATTCTGGTCCCACAGAGCAGTGGGGTTTGAGGATACCACTCATTTGCCATCACAACCACACAAGTAGACACTTTTGTTTCCAGAGAGTAAAACTGTAAAAGACTGAATTCATTTCCTAGTTCCCTATTCCCCTGCTTCCCATTTTAGAGCCTTCCAAAAATAAAGTCTACTACAAAGCAGGACTTATTAGAAAATAAGACAGGATTCTCTTCTCCCTTGGAATTGCCATGGGATCTGGTAGTCACTTCTTTATGCCCTTGGGATCAGGTTTATGGGAAAATTTTACAATGCAGGGGATAAGTAATATTTCAATGGAAGTGGTTATGATTTTAGTTCATATCTTCACAGACATTTTGTTTGGGATTTTATCTGAAATGTGCTGCACATTGGCAATTTGGAAACCATTATCTTCAAAATCATGGAAACAAAAGCTGAGAGCCTCTTTAAAGCTGACTGGGTCTTAGTAATGGAGGAAGGCAATGCTTAGCCCTGGTGCATAAAAATTGCTTTATGTTCTCTTAACCACCTTTTCACCCATCCCCGGGACATACCCTGCACTGCCTCCAATCAAGAACAGTGCCTAAGCTGGGCATGGTGGCTCACATCTATAATCCCAGCACTTTGGGAGGCTGAGGCATAGGGATCACCTGAGGTCAGGAATTTGAGACCAGCCTGGCCAACATGGTGAAACCCTGTCTCTACTAAAAGTACAAAAATTAGCCGGGTCTGGTGGTGCACGCCTGTAATGCCAGCTATTCGGGAGGCTGAGGCAGGATAATCGCTTGAACCCGGGAGGTGGAGGTTGCAGTGAGCCGAGATGCACCACTGCCCTCCAGCTTGGGTGACAGAGCAAGACTCTGTCTCAAAAACAACAACAACAACAACAATAAACAGTGCCCAGTTGTCATATGGCTCTCCTGCAGGGATGACCCGCAGCCACCCCATGCTGCAGAAGCCTACTCAGGGTAAGTAATAGGCCCAAAATGAATTCATTAATTAACAAGGGTGATGGGAAATTGTAAACACAGCTGCTGGCTGCTGGCTCTGCAGACCTGCGTGCATATGGCAAGCGCAGAAATCTTGTGTGGTAACACAGCCATACTGTCTGGGGCTCCTTAACTGAACTTGACAGAATATCTTTGGCAGAGGAGCCAACAGCAATGTGGAAGTCTCTCCAGAGGTACCCTGAGGCAGGACTCATTTTTGCTCGGAGTTTCTCTCCTTACAGTCAAGCTGATGATGAGAGAGTCTTGGCAAAGAGTGGGAAGACAGCAGCCACCCATTTACAAATGGGCATATTTTCCAGTCATTGAGCAATTATGTTTTTGATGAGTTCCCAGAAGAGACAATAGCTGACCTTTTCTTCATAGCTGCCTTTTAGCAGTGGTTACTTAACTTTCACCCAAAAGTGGGCCACAGCAGTTTTCTGCCTGGGAGGGACACATTTATTCCTTTAGCAGACCAAGTTGTTTGATATACAAGATAGCACCTTAACTTTCCAGAGACCTAGGGTCTAGAAAATATTTCCATACTTGCTTTTTCATATGAACTCACCTATGGATGAAGAAAGCAAGGTTCAGAGACCTCAAGGAACTTGCATGAGGTCAAATAAAAAGCAAGTGGGAGGTCTGCAACTTGGATCTTCAGTCTCTGCACTCTGTGTTCTTTCCACTACATCCTACGTGCCCCACCAGGCCTTTGGAGAGGAGCAGGAAGTCATAACGAAGTCTGACTATTGGCCCAAAGTGTTGGAATCCCTCAACACGCTGCTGGAACCAGGGCTCAGACTTGCTGACGAACACTTGCTGCATCAATATTTGGACCAAAACAAAGCTCATTGACAGTACGTTCTGGTAGCAGAAAAAGAAAACACATGAGGCAGCTTGTTTGTAATTAAAAATGAGGAAAACAAGTGGACTCACAGGCAGGCCCAAGATGAATTCCTGATGAATTCCTTCCTACTGTGGGCAAAGTGTTTTCCATTTGTGCTTCAGAAGGCCCACACGATGTCTAGCCCTCCAGGAATTTCTAATACTGGGTTCTTTGAACAATTCAACTTGACCCATATACATACAGGATTGTGTATCTGTGGTTTGCAAAGCACCATGGTAGAGGTGGGGGTATCAGAAATGATTAAAGCAGGCTTCCTGCTTTTGAATTGCTTCCAGTCTTGTGGAAAAGACTGACCTGTTGTAAACAACTTTTTGGAACATGAGGCAGAATGAAATAAATGCCATAACTGAATGAAAAATTAAGTGCTATGTGAACCAGAGGATCACGACAGAGAAAATGGAAGACTTCAGGTAGAGGAGGGATTTGGGGTGGGCCTTGAGGGACAGTAGGATTTAGATAGAAGAAAGCAGGAGAAAAGCATGCTGAGGTCATGGCCCAAAGGAGCAGAAGCCTGTCTTCTGTGTTCTGTCACACCAGGGGATGTCCGTAGGGTGAGGAACCTGTGAATGGCTGGGAACAGAGGAAAGGGGACCAGGCATCAAGGAGGAAGTTCAGAGAGGTGTTAGGACTTGAGATGAGGTTTTAATGCATTTATGCCCAGAGACCTGGGAAGGCTTAGATCTACTCCACCAGTCAGTTCTTTTCCCAGTTGATTTCTTGATGAAAATGGAGTCAAGGAATAGAACCTAAATGGAGATGTAATTAGTCCCACATGTACCCAATAGCCCTCAGTGCAGAATGCTGGGGAAAGTGCTGTCTTAAGCTTGAAGACTAAGTTGGGCTTTAAATCTCACAAAAGACTTGAATCTGAATCCTTCTAACCAGCTCAATTCTATATAGTGGCAAACAGCAGCATGCTCAGACAAGCATATGGAGATGTAATACATTTGGCCTACTTGGATGTATACTCCCAGCCATATGAAGATAATGGGACAGATAGCTTTGTGCCTTTAACACATAGCGATCTTACCCCCAAAGAAAATGTGACATGAAAAATGTTCTAGAATTTTGATCAATCACATCAGTCACTTTCCCTCTCTTGAGAGGTCAGGGTGGGAGCTAGGAAGGGGTGGCAGAGGTCTGCATGACGTAGGGAGAAGGTGGGAGCATTCCTGTGATGACAGGCAGCAGTGGCTGAAAAGTTGGGGGAACCTCTATGAACCAGAAAGACACAGGTTCTGGTTGGCAGAAAACAATGGGGGACAGGGGTGGGCTCAGATCCTAGAAGGCAGTTAGGAGCTGATAAAGCTGATGGAGTCCCCTAGCCACAAAAAGGTGGCTGGTCAAAGGACGGGGAGATTGACAGGAAATAAGAAGCAAGGCAAGACAAACGAGAAGGAACACATGGTACTAACAAGGCAAATGGAAGTATTGTCCAGTGTTCCTCTTGTTGAGGTCAAGTCCCTGGTGAATGTCAGGCAATGCTGACCACCAGCAGCTGCCTTGGTAACAATGGAGTGGGGGGTGGGGGCGTGTGGGGAGACATTTATCTGTGGCAGTGGGAAGTAGGGTAGGCAGCAGGCATTTTAGGTCCCCTCCACCAACTGTAACAAGGGCAGTTCTACTGTTACGCCTTGATGTGCCATGTAAATATATTCTTTCCTGAAAGAGGGATTTTGATCCTTTGAAATGTTTGAAAACTTTTAGTATGGCAGAAAAGATTGTATTGGAAGTCAGCAAACAGGAGTTTTAGTGCCGATTCTGCTATTTCAGCCACATGACCTTGAACACTAATTAAAAACTGTAATGATCCTGATGGTCACTAATTGATATTATATGTTAAACTGAGTGTGAGATTGTATATGTAATAAGTACCTTATATGTACTACTTAATTTAATACTCATAATAACTCTGCGAGATAGGCATATTATTCCCATTTCACAAATGAGATGCAAAAAGTAACTTGCTCAAGGAGATACAGCTGATATTAGACCCAGTCCTCAAACCCAGGTCTGTCTAACATCAGGACTATGCTTTTATTGTACTAATTCTATTGCTTATTATGACTGTCACTCCCACCTATAAGAGATGAATAAGGATTGATTCCTATTTTCCTCACAGAGTATGGTCGGGGATCAAATGAATGAATGTTTGTGAAAACAAAATTATAAGCTAAAAGTGCTTTAAAAAAGACAAACCTGACAAAAACAAGCAATGGAGAAAGGATTCTCTATTTAATAAATGGTGCTGGGAAAACTGGCAAGCCATATGTAGAAAGCTGAAACTGGATCCCTTCCTTACACCTTATACAAAAATTAATTCAAGATGGATTAAAGACTTCAACGTTAGACCTAAACCATAAAAACCCTAGAAGAAAACCTAGGCATTACCATTTAGGACATAGGCATGGGCAAGGACTTCATGTCTAAAACACCAAAAGCAATGGCAACAAAAGCCAAAATTGACAAATGGGATCTAATTAAACTAAAGAGCTTCTGCACAGCAAAAGAAACTACCATCAGAGTGAACAGGCAACCTACAGAATGGGAGAAAATTTTTGCAACCTACTCATCTGACAAAGGGCTAATATCCAGAATCTACAACGAACTCAAACAAACTTACAAGAAATAAACAAACAACCCCATCGAAAAGTGGGCGAAGGATATGAACAGACACTTCTCAAAAGAAGACATTTATGCAGCCAAAAAACACATGAAAAAGTGCTCATCATCACTGGCCATCAGAGAAATGCAAATCAAAACCACAATGAGATATCATCTCACACCAGTTAGAATGGCAATCATTAAAAAGTCAGGAAACGACAGGTACTGGAGAGGATGTGGAGAAATAGGAACACTTTTACACTGTTGGTGGGACTGTAAACTAGTTCAACCATTGTGGAAGTCAGTGTGGTGATTCCTCAGGGATCTAGAACTAGAAATACCATTTGACCCAGCCATCCCATTACTGGGTATATACCCAAAGGACTATAAATCATGCTGCTATAAAGACACATTCACACGTATGTTTATTGCGGCACTATTCACAATAGGAAAGACTTGGAAGCAAGCCAAATGTCCAACAATGATAGACTGGATTAAGAAAATGTGGTACATATACACCATGGAATACTATGCAGCCATAAAAAACGATGAGTTCATGTCCTTTGTAGGGACATGGATGAAACTGGAAACCATCATTCTCAGCAAACTATCGCAAGGACAAAAAACCAAACACTGCATGTTCTCACTCATAGGTGGGAATTGAACAATGAGAACACATGGACACAGGAAGGGGAACATCACACACTGGGGCCTGTTGTGGGGTGGGGGGAAGGGGGAGGGGGGAGGGATAACATTAGGAGATATACCTAATGCTAAATGACGAGTTAATGGGTGCAGCACACCAACATGGCACATGTATACATATGTAACAAACCTGCACATTGTGCACATGTACCCTAAAACTTAAAGTATAATAATGATAAAATTAAAAAAAAGAAGCAATTATTACCCTGTTCAAAGCCTGGTACTTTAAAATTTTTGCTGAATGCATGCATACTTAATTGGGAATGCATTCTCTCTCTATATATTGATAATTTTTAAGGTCCCAATTGTGTGAAGAAATTGTCTAAGCCACAGAAAAACAATCTTTAAGAAAATCTTTTAGTAGGAGAACTTCCTCCCAAAATTTGGTTGGTTTAAGTGGGTCTAAGAATGATTGTGCTTGGATGACCTTCGTGAAAGGAATGATAGAAGAGTTCCCTATTTGTTTATTTTTAAGGCAGGGTCTCACTCTGTTGCCCAGGCTGCAGTGCAACAGCGCAATCACAGCTTATGCTGCAACCTTGACCTCCTGGGATCAAGTGATCCTCCCACCTCAGTCTCTTGAGTAACCAGGACTACAGGCACACGCCACCATATCTGGCTAATTTTTAACTTTTTTGTAGAGACGGAGTCTCACTATGTTGCTCAGGTTGGTCTCAAACTCCTGTGCTCAAGCAGTCCTCCCACCTCGGCCTCCCAAAGTGCTGGGATTACAGGCCTGCGCCATCGCACCCAGCTGAGCTCCCTTTTATTAAGCACATGGTATCTGTCAGGTGTACGTGATGTCTCATTTAATCCTCAAGTGTGGGCGTTATTTTCATTTTACAGGTGAGTGAACTTAACCTTTAAGAGGTTGAGCAATTTACTCAAATTTATCTAGCTCTAAATGCAATCACGAAACTTAAAAATATCTGAAAAAATGAAATGTGAATATAGCCTTGGAGGCACAGTTTGGGAATAACTTATAACCTTTCACTTCCTACCAAGCCAAGAAAAGAAAATGTGTACCACTGCCTATTGGAAAGGCAATTCCCAAAAGGTTTGGATAAATAAGAAAAGTTTCAGCAGCCTGTGACCCTGAAGAATGAGGAACAATTTGAGGGCCAGGGCTGGGGGCCGGTTGCGCTCTCTGGAGCCCTGGTGTGATCTCCAGCTCTTCCCAGTAGCCTTGGCTCCAACACTCATCTGGCGAGAATTTTTTCTCCTCAGCATGGCTGGGCTGGAGTTTTTTGATAGTGTTCGACTTCAGCAAGTCTCTACACGAGCCTCTGATCTAGTGTTGGAACAAAGCAATGGCGAAGGGAAGCCCAGCTTGGAATGAGTCAGGCCAAGACTGATGCCTTGTTTCTTGTTCAACACTGTTCTCCCTCCAGGTATGTACTTTCAGGTATGTACTTTTCCCCAACAGTCAAACTCTGTCAACACAAGTCTGGGCTTCCTTCTGCCACTAAAGCAAACACTGTCAATAGAAGGAAAGGAGAACAAGGTGATGGCTGAAATTTGCAATCCTGTGTTTTCAGATGGAGGATCAAGAGCCCTTTACCTTGCCAAACATTATTTGAATTTTGTAGAACAAACACTGGAGTTTAAGTTACATCCTCAAATTCAATATTTGGCATAGGTGATTTCTCCCACTTAGTGTACCTGTTAATTGCTTTGAGATAATGCAATAGGCACTATCAGAGGATTTTAGGAGTTTGTATGCATTACTCCACCTCTTTTTTAACTAGTGAAGAAACTGAGCCCCAGAGACGTGAAGTGATTCACCTAGGATTATATAGCTACTTGAAAAATGGACTCTAGAGAACCCCAGGCTCCTAACTCATATTACAGTGCCCTTTCAACTGTATGAGGTTTAATTCTGTTTGTTTTGGAATCTGTATCCATTAAAATAAAGCTATTTGACTTGGATCAACTTGAAAACACATTCTTTTTTTTTTTCCAGGTTTTCTTAAACCATTTTTTTAAAAAATTTCAACTTCTATTTTAGACCAGTGGGGTACGTGTGCAGATTTGTTACATGGGAATGTTATGTGATGCTAAGGTTTGGAGTGTGGATCCTGTCACCTTGCTAGTAAGCATAGTACCCGATAGGTAGTTTTTTAAGCCACCCCATCCTCCCTCCTCTGTCCTCCCTCCAATAGTCCAGTGTCTATTGTCCCCATACTTGGGTCCATATGTGCTCAATGCTTAGCTCCCACTTATAAGTGAGAACATGTGGTATTTGGTTTTCTAAAAAACACATTCTTAAGAAGTAATCTGCTGGTAAATAACAGTATTTACTATTGTTAAATATTCTGATTCAATTTGCCAGCACCGGTAAGGATGTGGTTAAGGGTGCACATTCTAGAGTCTGCCTGTATTGCATCTCAGCTGCACTCCTTACCAGCTCTATTATTCTCTTAGGAAGTTTTGTTTACCGCCCTGTACCTCAGTTTTCCTTTTCATAAAATGGGGATTCTGATACCAACCTAAAGGAGTTGTGAGAATCGAGATTATCCATATAACCGAAGTTAGAATGTGCCAAGTGCCTAGCAAATGCCTAATAAATGTCAAGTTATTTATTGCTAATCTTACATTGAACCTTGAGAAATGTTAGTTTTGGCTCTGTCATAAACTAGATTTGTTGTGCCTCAGCTTCCTCATCTGTGAGATAAAATTCTTATTTCTTTGCCATTCAAAACTGAAATGAGTTTATTTAGATGCTGTGCAATGGAGACAGTAATTCATTTAATTTATTCATTGATGGGTGAATATTTACCGCATGCCAGCTCTGCCAGGCATCATGTGAGCAAGACTGACAAGTTCTCTGTTTTCAAGGACTTTACAGCCTGTGGGGGAAGACAGAAAATTAACAAGTAGTTGTGTTAAAGGATGATAATTGTTATGATAGTTCAAGCATGGGGTGCTGTGGAAAGCAGGGGTAACTCACATAGTTTGGGAGTGGAGGTGAAGAGGATAAGGAAGACTTCTGAGAAATGTTGATTCAGCCAAAATCCAGAGGTTGGTAATAGTTACCCAAGCAAAGAGAGAGAAAAAAGTGTTCTAGGAGGGAGAACAGAATACATGAAAATCAGAGGTCAGAGAAAGCAAGAGAATAAGGTGGCTCCACTGTATTTAATCTAGTTCAAGATATCATGGATTTTAAGTTACACCATCATTTCATATACCCATAAGAAAGAAAAAACATTACCAGTTAAACTATGGCACAAGATTTTCTTATCACTTAGGGTTTTAATACTTTCTGAAAGAGCATTTTTAATCCTCAATTGGATGTGTATTTTATTATACGTCACTCTATCAAATATAACAAAATAAATATAAAATATGGCAAAATAAAAATATATATGAAATAATTTTCTCTCAGTATTCCTGAAACTTTACTTTTAGAATCAGATTCTTCTGAAAGACTTGATTCAGAGGCATTGACGTAATGCTTTTCCACACAATATGGGCAAGAGCATTGCAGAGGCAGCATTTCTTAACAGAATTTATGGAAGATCTGAAAACCATCAGGACTGGGCTTTTAAGCTGGGTTTGTGAGTATGTGGCATGAACCTACTTTTGATTCCCACTTGTGCAGTGTTGCTAAACACCTCTGTTTTGCTGCCCACCACCACCTCCCCACTGGGTTCCTAGCGGTAAAAAGGATTGTCCAGTGTTGTTTCTGAGATTTTCTTCCAAGCAAACATTCATTCTGACAGTTTTGAAGCTGGTGCTTTTTATGCTTGTGCATGCAAAGCCACAACAATTAGTTAAATCTCTTGTTTGTTCTACACTGATTTCCAGGTAATCTCAATCTCAGCAGTATTAGGATGTGTCAACATTGTGCATCTTCAAGGATAATGGAATATGGCTGAAGCAGAGAGGGTGTGTGCGTGTGTGCATGCACACTCATGAGTGTGTGTTGTTGCAGTGGGCGGGGTGAGGTGAGTAATCTGTAGCTTATCATCAGCTCAAACATCTTAAGGCATTTTGACTTACCCACAAAGTGTTTGTTAAGCTAACAAGGATACTAATCAGAGGAATGATAACCCTTGCTGCTGAGTGGAGAATAGATAGAATAGGAGCAAGATAAAATTTAGCGGATTCAGAGAAGAGGCAGGTTTTAGAGGATTCCTGCTTTGTGGGTAATTATTGTAAAAAGGAGGCAGAATGTTGATCATTTTAGGAGCTCTTAGTGGGGGCTTTAGCCATAAAGATTGCTTCTCTAGGGTAACCAGCTCCCCACCCAGTTCCTGGAACATGTGCTGTCTCAGGCAGAGGATTAAACACAGAAAAACTGCTAGGCTTTCACATTGAATGAATATCCCAGATAACTGAAACTTATCTCTTTAAAAACTAAATTCTCTTTCTAATGAAAATCTCTTTCAGTTCAAATTTACATGCCTTCTTACTTTGGGGGCTACTAAATATATCTATTTTTAAACTGAGGGCTCTATTTAAGAATACTAATATTTTGATTTGCATTTCTCTGATGGCCAGTGATGATGAGCATTTTTTCAAGTGTTTTTTGGCTGCATAAATGTCTTCTTTTGAGAAGTGTCTGTTAAAGACTTGGAACCAACCCAAATGTCCAACAATGATAGACTGGATTAAGAAAATGTGGCACATATACACCATGGAAAACTACGCAGCCATAAAAAATGACGAGTTCATGTCCTTTGTAGAGACATGGATGAAGCTGGAAACCATCATTCTCAGCAAACTATCGCAAGGACAAAAAACCAAACACTGCATGTTCTCACTCATAGGTGGGAATTGAACAATGAGAACACATGGACACAGGAAGGGGAACTTCACACACTGGGGCCTGTTGTGGGGTGGGGGGAGGGGGGAGGGATAGCATTAGGAGATATACCTAATGCTAAATGACGAGTTGGTGGGTGCAGCACACCAACATGGCACATGTATACATATGTAACAAACCTGCACGTTGTGCACATGTATCCTAAAACTTAAAGTATAATAATAATAATAATAATAATAATAATAAAAGAATATTAATATTGACTAAAGTACTTGGTGGCAGTGCAGCACATTTCAGAAGACTGTTATTGGGTTGTCAAAACAATTTGCCCCTGTATTTTAAAAGTAATTAATAACTAATACTTGTTTCTCATTCTATGGCTTTCAAAAAATGTTTGTATTCATGATTTCATTTGATCCTCACAGCATCCTCCTGTGTCATGTCAGGTCCTCCTGGAAGCAGATGCTAAGATAAAATGAAAAGTGCAAGAGAGTTATTGTGGGAAATGCCTGTGAAAGATAAAGGAGAAGATATATAAATAAGCATTATTATATATGAATATATATAAAATGCTCAACATCTCTAATCATCAGAGAAATGCAAATGAAAACCACAATAAGATATTACCTCAAACTTCTTAGATTGGTTATTCTCAAAAAGGTGATGAAAGGTAGGGGGTCCAATTTCATTTTTCTGCATATGGCTAACCAGTTATCCCAGTACCATTTATTGAATAGGGAGTCCTTTTCCCTTTGCTTATTTCACCATATAAAAATTAACTTAAGATGGATTAAAGATTTAAACAGAAGACCTCATACTATGAAAATCCTAGAAGAAAACCTGGCAAAGACTATTCTAGACATCAGCCTTAGCAAAGAATTTATCGCTAAGTCCTCAAAAGAAATTGCAACACAACCAAAAATTAACAAATGGGACCTAACTAAATGAAAGAGCTTCTGCACAGCAAAAGAAACTAGCAACAGAATAGACATCCTACAGAATGGGAGAAAATATTTTACAAACTATGCATCTGACAAGGGTCTAATATCCACAATCTGTAAGGAACTGAAAAATTCAAGAAGTAAAAAACAAATAACCCTATTAAAAAGGGGGCAAAGGACATGAACAGACACTTCTCAAAAGAAGACACACAAGTGGCAAGGAAACATATGAAAAAAGTTCTACATGACCAGTTATTGGAGAAACACAAATCAAAACCACAATGAATTCCTACCTCACTCCAGTAGGAATTGCTGTCATTAAAAAGTCAAAAATAACAGATACTGGTGAGGCTGTGGAGAAAAGAGAATGCTTATATGCTGTTGGTGGGAATGTAAGTTAGTTCAGCCACTGTGAAAAGCAGTTTGAGATTTCTTAAAGAACTTAAAATAGAACTACCATTCAACCCAGCAATTCCATTACTGTGTATATACCCAAAGGATAATAAATTATCCTACCATAAAACCCCACATACACTCATATGTTCATCACAGCACTATTCACTATAGCCAAGACATAGAATTAACCTAGGTGACTATGGATGGAGGATTAAAGAAAATGTACATATACACCACAAAATACTATGCAGCCATGAAAAAGAACAAAATTACATCCTTTGTAGCAAGATAGATGCAGCTGGAGGCCATTATTCTAAGTGAATTAATATAGGAACAGAAAACCAAATACTGCATGTTCTCATTTATAAGCAGGGGCTAAATATTGGATACACATGGACAGAAAGAAGCAACACTAGGAAGTACTAGAAGGGGGAAGTAAGGAAGGGGAGGAAGGGCTGAAAAACTACCTACTGGGTGCTATGCTGACTAGCTGGGTCACAGGACCATTTGTACCACAAACCTCAGCACCATGCAGTATACCCATGTAATAAACCTACACATGTATCCCTTGAATCTAAAATAAAAATTTAGTGTTGGCAAGAGTCTGAAGGAAGGGGAATCCTTGGACACTGTTGGTATTGTAAATTGGTATAGCCATTTTGGAAAACAGTGTGGAAGTTCATCAGAAAACTAAAAATAGAACTACCAGATGACCCAACAATCCCACTTCTAGGTATATACCCAAAGGAATTGAAATCAGTATGTCAAAAAGATGCCTATACTCCCATGTTCATTGCAGCATTAGTCACAATAGCCAAGATATGGAATCAGCCTAAGTGTCTATCAAGGGAGGGTAGACTTTTTTTTTAAATATGGCATATTTACACAATGAAATACTATTCAGTCGTGCAAAAAACAGGAAATTCTGTCATTTGTAACAGCAAAGATGAACCTAGAGAGGATGATATGTTAAGTGAAATAAACCAGGCACAGAGAGACAGATGCCATATGGTCTCATTCATTTAAACTCATAACACTAGAGAGTAGAATGGTGGTTACCAGAAGCTGGGGTGGGAGCAGAGGTAGTGGTGGGGTTGGATGGGAAAAGTATTATAGTAATACTAAAATTAAAAACTGTGGTAATACAAATTAATTCTAATAAACTTCATTACTAGAGTAAAGTTTGTCATGGGTACAAAGTTTAAGTTAGGAGGAATAAGTTCTGGTGTTCTATTGCACAGTATAGTGACTATAGTTAATAGCAATTTATTGTATATTTCAAAAGAGCTATTAGAGAGGATTTTAAATGTTCTCACCACTAAAAATGATAAATATTTGAGGTGATGGATTTGCTAATTAGTCTGATTGGATCATTCCACAGTGTATACATGTATCAAAACATCACATTATACCCCATAAATATATAATTATTATATGTCACTTTAAAATAGAACAAAAAATGAATTGAAAAAGATAAAGGGAAGAGGGAACAAGAACTTGAAAAGGATGGCTTTCAGGTTCAATGCAGGTTTCACACGCATGGAAGGACAAGAAGAGGGAGAACTGGGTAGAAAAAGCCTTAGATTGCAGTGTAGCTCTAAGTCTCTACTAGGTTGATGGGGAGCTTCTGAATGAAGAAGGCTTGCTAGAGGAACTCTGTGACAAGCAGAAACAGTTTGGTTCTTGTTCTACTGCCATACTTAGTCACTGGGGAGAAGCAAACTGGGGACAGTGTGGTCCTAGCATGAATGCTGTAGCAGATCCCCAAAATGCGGCAGCTGGAAGCTCTTGGCTAACTATCCTCCTCTGGCAAGTTTTTTTTTTTTTTCCTCTCTCTCTTTTTTTTTTTTTTTTTTTTTTTTTTGAGACAGGGTCTTACTCTGTCACCCAGGCTGGAGTGCAGTGGCGTGATCACAGCTCACTGCAGCTTTGACCTCCCAGGCTCAGGTGATCTTCCTGCCTCAGCTTCCCGAGTAGCTGGGACTACAGGTGCACACCACCATACCCAGCTAATTTTTGTATTTTTGATAGAGATGAGGTTTCACTATGTTGCTCAGGCTGGTCTCTAAGTCCTGGGATCAAGTGATTCACCACCTCCCAAAGTGCTGGGATTACAGGCATGAGCCACTGCACCAGGCCCGTTTTTCTTCTTTAAGGGAGATCTTAGCAGGAATCCAATCCTTCATGGCTGCCACACTCTGTGAAGTAGGCAAAGCAAGAACTATGAACTCTACTTTAAGAAGTTTCAGATAGTTAAAAATAATCAGTGTGATAATGGCAGATTCTTAGAGTTCAGAGTTGTCTTACGAGGTAGGTTTTTACAAGTATTTTTGTAAATCCAATTGTGATGGTTAGATAGTCTTCAAAGATGGTCACCATCTATTACTTCCTTTCTGCATCCAAAAATGGAATCTATGGCTTCTCCCCTTGAATCTGGGCTGGCCCTATACCTTGCTTTGACCAACAGAAGGCAGCTGAAGTGTTTGATGGCTACAGGCTTTAAGAGGAAAGACAGCTTCCTCTCTTCCCTCTTAGAAGCCAGCCATCATGTGAATAGTCTGACCAGAACTTCATCCAATTATGAAAAAACGTCCGACATAACCAAACTTAGAGATATTCTATAAAGTAATTGACTAGTACTTGTCTGTGTGTCGAGACCATGAAAGACAAAGTTGATGAACTGCAATAAATTGGAGGAGAATAAGGAGAAATAACAACTAAGTACAAATGTGGGATGCTGAATAGGATCTTGGGATAGAAAAAGATCACTAGTAGATCAACTGGTGCAATTTAGTACAACCTATAGTTTAGTTAGTAGTAAATGTACCATGTTAATTTCTTAGCTGTCATGATGTTTTAAGGAGTCTAAGGTGTTAACATCAGGGAAACCTGGGTGATGAGTATACAGGAATTCTACTTTTTTTATAATTCTTATGTTGGTCTAAAATTAGTTCACAATAAAAAGTTAAAAAAAATGGAAGTGTCTGATCACCCTGACGTCTCTGTGTTGAAAGAAAGCCAAAATTAGCCTTAAAGAGAGAAGAGAGAAAGGCCACATGGAGGAGCAGTGAGGTGCCACACATGTGAGTATAACCCTTCTGGATCAGCCAGCCTGATTTGGCTGTCTGGATATAGTCAGTGAGTGACTCCAATCTATGCCACGTGGGGCAGAAGAGCTTCTCAGCTGAGCTTTCCCTGAATTCCTGACCCAGAATCATGAGGAATTGTGCCATGGTTGTCTTAAGCCACCAAGTTTCAGGGTGATTGTAATGCAGCAGTAGGTTCCTGGAACATCTATAGAAGAGGCAGCAGCTCAGATAATCCTGCAGAGTTTCTCCTGGGTTGGAGAGAAACAGGGGAGTCCTGTTAGAAAACAGGACTGATCCCATGATTGAGAAGTCGGTAGCTTTTTCTGCGATGTTATTGGAAGGGTCATCAGGTATTTGCTTACCAAACAACATTTTCACTTATCTATCTCAAACCTGAAATTCCATCCTTTAGGTAATCTATTAATTTAAGGCAAGCACCATAGAGGGTATCTAGTGTAATAGTAACATTGGGAGATCCACCACAAAAGAAAAATCTTTGTTTAATGTTTGAGAAAGAATTGGACAGTTCACTTCTTAAAGATTATCTATAAACTTTAGCAGATGAAAGACTTGAGAAATCCTGCAGTGAAAAAAAAATCTAAAGAACTTTATTTACCTAGCATTTATTCCCCAAATTTATTACCATGGAATCTTTTTTACGTTTTTTTTTTATTTTTGAGACACGTCTTATTCTGTTTCCCAGGAGGGAGTGCAGTGGTGCAATCTCAGCTCTCTGCAGCCTTGACCTCCCAGCCTCAGGCGATCCTCCCACCTCAGCCTCCTAAATAGTTGGGATCACAGGTGCGCACCACCATGCCGGGCTGATTTTTATTTTTTGTAGAGCTGAGGTCTCCCTATGCTGCCCAGGCTGGTCTCGAACTCCTGGGCTCAAGTGATTCTCCCACCTTGGCCTCCCAAAGTGCTGGGATTACAGGAGTGAGCCACTGTGCCCGGCCACCACAGAATCTTAAGTGTGTGTATACAAACATGTTTCCATGGAAGATACTTTAGAAAATGCCATATGAAAGCATCTTGAGCTACAAGGGGCTTCAAGTAACAAAAGTGAATCCTCTTAGGAGAGCTAAAAGTGAAGCTGAATATCAAGATTAATAAGAAGGTCTCCCACATTAGAAGATAGTTTGGACTTGCTAGCCTCTATATATTCTTTACCACTTAAAAAGTCTGTCAGTCAATAGAAGGGTATATTAGCCAAGATTCTTAGTGGTGAATAACAGAATCCACTCTAGAACAGGGGTTTATGACAGTACATTACTTAGTTTATTTAATTTATTTATTTTTAATTTTATTATTATTATTTATTTGAGATGGAGTCTCACCCCATCACCCAGGCTGGAGTGCAGTGATGCAATCTTGGCTCACTGCAGCCTCTGCCTCCCGGGTTTAAGCAATTCTTGTGCCTCAGCCTCCCGAGTACCTGGGATTACAGGTGTGTGCCACATCACCTGGCTAATTTTTGTATTTTTAGTAGAGACAGGTTTCACCATGTTGGCCAGACTGGTCTCAAATTCTTGGCCTCAAGTGATCCACCCTCCTTGGCCTCCCAAAGTGCTGGGATTACAGAAGTGAGCCACAGCGCCAGCAGTTTATTCAGTTTAAATGAGGGCCAGGGAACCTGTTTTAATACCACAATATAGAACAACACAGGAAGGAGAAACCCTCAACTGCATTATGAAATCCCACCACCAATGATGTCCACCTGTTATTACCTGTGATGCCGGGACCTTAATCATAGCTACGCAGAAGAAGCCCAGAAGATCTCACAGACTATAAGTCACATGAGTATCCAGCAGCAAAGGCCTGTGGGAAAAGTAGTTTCCCGCCTTTTCTGGGAGCGATTGTATAGGAACACACATTAGAAGGGCTTTTTAATATTTGTTGGGTAATCTAATTTGCAGCATTGGCCACAGAGTACTACATTTACCCATTCTTCATTTGACACATGCAAACATGAGATTGGTTTCATACCATGATTGTCATTCCCCACCACCCCCTCTTCTATGTAGGCCTTAAAAGTAATTGTTATTTTATTTATTTATTTATTTTGAGACAGGGTCTTGCTCTGTCACCAGGCTGGAGTACAGTGGTGCAATCTCGGCTCACTGCAACCTCTGCCTCCCGGGCTCAAGCGATTCTCTTGCCTCAGCCGCCTGAGTAGCTGGGACTACAGGCACACACCACCATACTCTGCTAATTTTTGTATTTTTAGTAGAGACAGGGTTTCACCATGTTGGGCAGGATGGTCTCGATCTCTTGACCTCGTGATCCACCCGCCTCGGCCTCCCAAAGTGCTGGGATTACAGGCGTGAACCACTGTGCCTGACCAAAAGTAATTATTAAAACACTAAACATAGCAATAATAAAATCCTGAACTGTGACAATAATAACCATCACCATAAAACCCAGTACTAAAATAATACATGCAATATATTATAAATATTAAGCCAAGGGTTATAATAAAATTCAAAACTATGGTAATAAAAATTAATGCTAATAAAATTCATTACTAAAGTGAAATTCATTATTGTAATGGCAATACAACTTAATACTCTAATTAGACTGAATAACATAGTATGAACCTTAGTATTTGAATTTAGTTTCTTTCCTCTTCATGGTTAAGAACTTAGGTTCTGGAATCAGAGTTCCTGGCTCTATCCTGACTTTCTAAGGGACATTAGATTAGTTAGGTAAGCAATTTAGTTCTCAGTTTCACATTGTAGACTGGAGATAATAGTTGTGTCTTCCTCATAGCGCTGCTGCAAGAATTAAATAAGAAAATACTTATTAAGAAAAGTATCTTGCATATTGTAAGTATCTGTCTTAGTCCATTTTGGGCTACCATCACAGAATACCTGACACTGGATAATTTGTAAAGAACAGAAATTTATCTCTTATAGTTCTGGAGGTTGGGAAGTCCAAGATCAAGGCACCAGTAGGTTCATTCTCAGGTTCTAAGATGGTGCCTTGTTGCTGCATCCTCTGGAGAAGAGGAACCTTGTGTCCTCACATGGCAGAAGAACAGAAGAGAGAGGATCCACTTCTGCAACGTTTTTATAGTGGCATTAATCCATTAATGAGAGAGAAGCTCTCATGACCTAAACATCTTCCAAAAAGCCTCACCTCTCAACAGTATTGCATTGAAGATTCAGTTTCCAACACATGAATTTTGGGGGACTCACTTAGATTATAGCATCACTCAATAAATGTTAGCTTATGGCTGGCATTCTCTGCTTCTGTGAGACAGGAAGCCTGCCTCTGTAATCCAGCCTTCTGTGACACCCTAGTATACCCCTATTGAGTCATTTCCCACTGTCATACCTACCTGTACTAAGAGGGATATGCCATTCATTTCTATTTTTAGATTTATCCCTACTTAACAAACATGGAGTTTGGGACCTGCATTCTGTCAGCATCATGAGGACCTTTCTGGATCTCCATCTGTAGGGCCTAGCCTTTCTTTGAGCTTAGGGGTCTGCCTATCCCTTTAACTATCCAAGACATGGGCTTTGGAGCCAGTCAAGTTGGACACAAATACTATCTTCATCATTGATTAGCTGATCTTAGGCAAATTATTTTACCTCTCTAAACCTTGGGTTCACATGTAAAATGGAGTTCATGACACTTTTCTCAAACTGTTGCTATGAAAAGCAATGAAGTGATGCTAGATGGCGTCTGGCGCAGTTCTTAGCACGTAGCAGGTGTTTGCAAAGAATATTCCACTCCCTCCCTTGTCCCCTCCCCTGTCTGCTCTCTGCTCTGTTTTTACAATGCCATTATCCTTTTTTCTAATAATGTTCCTGTGGTGGAAGAGGGTGGAGGCTGAACATTGAGTTTGTTCTGACCTCAAAAAACCCCTAGATGTTGTGATTTTTGTTCTAGGTCAAGGAAAATAAATCAGCTTGTTCCCGTGTGTGTGTGTTTTTTTCCCCTAGAAGTGAGACTCAGCTAAAGTTCTGGGAACAGAGAGTTCAGGTTAGCTGTGTTCTGCTTGAGAGGTTTTTCTGTGTCTCTCCATTGAGCAGGTTAGTCCTGGGTGTCTTGCTTGGGCAGATACTTTACTTTTTATTCAATAGGTTAATAGCTACATTTTCTTCAGGGCCTTGAAAGAGTTTGTATAGCTTCTGAGACTCTACATTGAATCAGTATGATCATATAATCTTAATATAATTATTAGCACAGTGTTGGAATTTAGTATTTTGGTTATAGGGCAGAGAGCTCAAGAGGTCACATTGTGGTGTCAGGTAGACCTAGGTTTAAATTATAGGCTGTGTACATTGAGAAAATTATACCAGAGCTTCTTGGTGTGCCTTGAAACAATTCACTAGTATAGTCAACTGTTGGATGGCTAGATAGGGCCTGAGGTGGCCAGTGCCCCCACAGATGGTTTCTTATGCCTGCCAGGACCTACAAAGTGCTGTACAAATGTTATTCTTTTCGATTTGTGCCTTGACATGACAAGCCTTGTGTTTCTCATCTGTAAAATGATTATAACAATAGTATTTACCTTAAAATAATTAATATATCCAAAGTGTTTAGAATAGGACCTACCACATAGTAATATATGTAAGTAATTATTGTTATCAGCTATAATTGTTTTCCAAATATTATCTATAAAAGGGAGATGGATAAATATTTATTTATACTTTGGATAATAACCTAATACTACATTATTTTGTTCTTCAAATTATTTTAGCTTTGGCCATCAGGTGCTTTTCCAGGTTGACTCGTGTATACTTTTATCATCCTTTTGCTTTTTGAATACCTCCTTACTTTCTAGCATTGAAAGATGCTCCAGGCTCACTTTGTATTTTCTGTGCCCCAGCTCTGGAATCAGCCATTTCTCCAAGGATCCCTGGTTCCTTTTATTGAAAAATAGTATTAGACATCAAGATCTGGGTACTAGGTGAGCCACTAGATTTTGATCCAAATACTTTTGTATTATGTTGGTGTCTGTGAAATGACACATTGAGATGAGCTGGTCAGGGAGGCACTGCAGGGCAGGGTATAGAATAGTTATATCAAGCCAGAGTCACGGAATGAGAGTGTTTACTGGAACTTGAGTATACCCAGAAGGGAATGTTGCTGAGGAGAGTCTGTGGAAGAAATCAGTCTGTGGAAGAAATCAAGGATGTTTTTATAGGCAGTGTGAGTCACAATGATTCTGCAGTGGTGATTACATTCTAATGATCCCTGACTTCTTTAGAATTGTTTCGATGCTTTCTTTTCATTCCAATTATCTATTGCTGTGTAACAAATTACTCCAGAACTTACTGGCTTAATACAACAAT
Organism: Homo sapiens; assembly: GCF_000001405.40. NCBI lineage: Eukaryota > Metazoa > Chordata > Mammalia > Primates > Hominidae > Homo > Homo sapiens. Next base: position 27,161,064 of record NC_000011.10, on the reverse strand, counting down.
TGTTTTATCATCTCTCTTGGTTTCTGTGGGTTAGTGATTTGGGGAAAGGCTCTGCTGGATGGTTCTGGAGTCTTTAATGAAGTTTCAGTGAGCTGGTGGCTACAGCTGTAACAGTAGAGATATGGAGCAGCTGGGGACAGCTAGATCTCTCACTTATATCTCTTCTTCAGATAGTCTCAGGGCTTCTCCATGTCGTCTCCTCATGTAAACTAGCTTGCTTCCTCACAGCATGGCAGCCTCAGAGCAGTTGGAGTGCTCACATGGGAACCAAAGACCCCAGTGCAGGTGTTCCATGGGACCCTCACCCTTTCTGACCTCACTTTAGAATTTACTTTCACTGCAATCTATTTGTTACAAGTGAGTTACAGACTGCTCAGATTCAAGGGGAGGGGATACAGACCCATCTCTCGATGGGCAGAATGCCAAAGTTGCATTTTAACAAGAGTCTCTGGGATGAGAGTCATTGTTCTGAGCATCTTTGGGGGAAAAAATCCTCCACACATTCACATATGCTCCCAAGATTTCTAGCATTTGAAAATATGGCATACATTCATAAAAGCTGAAAGGTGCTGCCCTAAATTGGAAGGGTCTTTATCTGGTGTCTTTCTGTACATTTCTTCCTTTATTTCTCACTGTCATGACTTCTTAGAATTTCTTTCTTACCCACTATCACTCATCTACTTTCCCATGTCATGTTTTCTGATTCTGTCTTGAGGGACATAAAGATTTTCTTTAAGTGGGCTGTTTGCTCTTAGTGTGGCTGAAAGACGACATGTCTAATAAAACACATAAACGGAGAGAGATGACACAAATGAGTAACGGAAAACAGAAGGAAAAATGAACAACGATGGGGAAAACAGAGTCAGTGGCACTGAAAAATATGTGAGAGCACACACAGAAGGGACTGAAAAATGTTTAAGAGTGAAAATAAGGAAATATTAAACAAAAGAAAAAACTGCACCAGTGCTAAGAATTGTCACAGGCCTATTTTCTACAAAATAGTAAAACTGGGAATCAGGGATGTCCTTAAATCATAAAAATTGTGTAAAAAATTAAATGTAAGTGAGAGAAGAGGGTCCATATTGCTTATCAGACCTGCCAAGGGGTATGTGGCTAAAGCAGCTTTAAGATCCAGTGATAAGGTCAGGTGCGCTGGCTCACGCCTGTAATCCCAGCACTTTGGGAGGCCGAGGGGGGTGGTCACCTGAGGTCAGGAGTTTGAGACCAGCCTGGCCAACATGGTGAAATCCCGTCTCTACTAAAAGTACAGAAAATTAGCCGGGTGTGGTGGCATGTGCCTGTAATCCCAGCTATTCAGGAGGCTGAGGCAGGAGAATCACTTGAACTGAGGAGGCGAAGGTTGCAATGAGGCGAGATCATGCCATTGCACTCCAGCCTGGGAAATAAGAGTGAAACTTCGTTTCCAAAAAAAAAAAAAAAAACAAATCCAGTGATAAAATGTCAGAAGCTCACATGGAGAAGGACTTGTTCAAAGTTACAGATAGGAGCAGGAGAGCTCTGAAAATCTGACGTCACTGATTCAGTGACTATGTATGTCCCAGCTGAGATTCAGCTTGTTTTGGCCCCATTCTGCTTCCTGGTGAGACATGCTGTTCCTCCCTTGCAAGTTTGTTCATCTGCTTTTATCTCACTGTCCAGTTAACATTCATCCATTCTCCTGTTGTTCTTACTAATACTTATGATATGTCCACACCTTTACCAATTGCTATTGTCTATTCTACAGCTGAGCTCTTTCTTAGCACACTCTACACACACACAGAGACACAGACACACATAGACACACACAGTTTTGTTTCTTTGGTTGTTAGAAATCACAGTTTTCTTCTATGTGCAAAGAGATACACTGGGTATGAAAACTCCATGAATGGAGAGGGCATGACAAAATCTAGACGTTAAGAATGCTGCACTTCTTAGCAAGCAATGAAAGGACAGAATTCATGAGTTCAGGAGGGAAATTTTCCTCTGCCATGCTACATGAGGGAGCTCTAATTTTCTATTTTCATAAAGTTTGTGAAAAGAAGTAGTGTGTATTTAATAAAGGCTGCGGGTTAATTTCCAGGGCAAACCACTAGATGGAGGCCCTGCCTAAAGAACACACTTGAAGAATGAGTCACTCCGATCTGCAAGTTTCCTCTTCCAAACGTGAATTGGAAGGCCGGGAGCAGTGGCTCAGGCCTGTAATCCCAGCACTTTGGGAAGTCATAGGTGGGCAGATCATGAGGTCAGGAGATCGAAACCATCCTGGCTAACATGGTGAAACCCTATCTCTACTAAAACAAAACAAAACAAAAAACAGCAACAACAAAAAACCCAACCAAACAAAAAAACGTGAATTGGGGGCACCAGCTGAAATCCTAATTTATCCAAAAGGCTCTGTAATCTTGTCTTGTTGTAGAACACGCCTCCTTTCTAACCGCTTTGTCAATTCTCCACTTTCTTACTCATGAATTGCCCCAAAATTGGGTCATGCAATGCCCCATGGTTCCGTACACTTATACAACTAACTATAGGAATGTTTTTTACTCTTTAAAGACTTTTCCCTTCTGAATGCCAGAATGCCAACTTTGTCTTTATTCTCCATTTCATGAGCTTTAAGTGCTACCTGACCTGTGAAGAGTTTGTTGTTTCTTGAAAGGAAACCTTGACAACACAGGTAATCTCCCCAGTATGGGATTTAGAGTCTACATAGTAAATAAACAGAGACAAATCTGAAGGTAGCTAACCTCTTTTTCTGGGGGTGGAGTTAAGTTTTTCTGACTGATACAGATTACTCCATAGCTAAGGCACTTGGGACAGGCCTTATTTTTTATTGTGAGTATTATTAGAAGCAAGTGTACGTTTACTCTGCCAATAAAACTCCATTGGTTTAAACGTATTATAGCTGCATCTCATAAGCTATACACTCACAAATATTTAACATTTTCATCAAATAAATCTTCACACTTGAGATATACAAGTCAATCAACAATTCACAGAGCTTACTTTCTTTTATTTTGTGTATAAGAAAGCAAGAATGGAGATGGGCCTAGCTTCCCAACCTACATCTTTCTCTCGTGCTGGATGCTTCCAGGAATACTTGAACATCAGACTCCAAGTTCTTCAGTTTTAAGATTCGGACTGGCTCTTCTTGCTCCTCCAGCTTGCAGACAGCCTATTGTTGGAACTTGTGATCATGGCTTGGGAGCCAAGATGGCCGAATAGGAACAGCTCCAGTCTACAGCTCCCAGCATGAGCAATGCAGAAGACGGGTGATTTCTGCATTTCCAACTGAGCTTTGAAGAGAGTAGTGGTTCCCCCAGCACGCAGCTTGAGAGATGGGCAGACTGCCTCCTCAAGTGGGTCCCTGACCCCCGAGTAGCCTAACTGGGAGGCACCCCCCAGTAGGGGTGGAATGACACCTCATACGGCCGGGTACTCCTCTGAGACAAAACTTCCAGAGGAATGATCAGGCAGCAGCATTTGCGGTTCACCAATATCCGCTGTTCTGCAGCTACCGCTGCTGATACCCAGGAAAACAGGGTCTGAAGTGGACCTCCAGTAAACTCCAACAGACCTGCAGCTGAGGGTCCTGACTGTTAGAAGGAAAACTAACAAACAGAAAGGACATCCACACCAAAACCCCATCTGTACGTCACCATCATCAAAGACCAAAGGTAGATCAAACCACAAAGATGGGGAAAAAACAGAGCAGAAAAACCAGAAACTCTAAAAATCAGAGGGCCTCTCCTCCTCCAAAGGAACGCATCTCCTCACCAGCAATGGAACAAAGCTGGATTGAGAATGACTTTGATGAGTTGAAAGAGGAAGGCTTCAGAAGATCAAACTACTCCGAGCTAAAGGAGGAAGTTCGAACCAATGGCAAAGAAGTTAAAAACTTTGAAAAAAAATTAGATGAATGGATAACTAGAATAACCAATGCAGAGAAGTCCTTAAAGGACCTGATGGAGCTGAAAACCATGGCACAAGAACTATGTGACGAATGCACAAGCCTCAGTAACCAATGCGATCAACTGGAAGAAAGGGTATCAGCGATGGAAGACGAAATGAATGAAATGAAGTGTGAAGAGAAGTTTAGAGAAAAAAGAATAAAAAGAAATGAACAAAGCCTCCAAGAAATATGGCACTATGTGAAGAGACCAAATCTACGTCTGATTGGTGTACCTGAAAGTGACGGGGAGAATGGAACCAAGTTGGAAAACACTCTGCAGGATATTATCCAGGAGAACTTCCCCAATCTAGCAAGGCAGGCCAACATTCAAATTCAGGAAATACAGAGAATGCCACAAAGATACTCCTCAAGAAGAGCAACTCCAAGACACATAATTGTCAGATTCACCAAAGTTGAAATGAAGGAAAAAATGTTAAGGGTAGCCAGAGAGAAAGGTCAGGTTACCCACAAAGGGAAGCCCATCAGACTAACAGCTGATTTCTTGGCAGAAACTCTACAAGCCAGAAGAGAGTGGGGCCCAATATTCAACATTCTTAAAGAAAAGAATTTTCAACCCAGAATTTCATATCCAGCCAAACTAAGCTTCATAAGTGAAGGAGAAATAAAATACTTTACAGACAAGCAAATGCTGAGAGATTTTGTCACCACCAGGCCTGCCCTAAAAGAGCTCCTGAAGGAAGCGCTAAACATGGAAAGGAACAACCGGTACCAGCCACTGCAAAAACATGCACAATTGTAAAGACCATCGATGTTAGGAAGAAACTGCATCAACTAACAAGCAAAATAACCAGCTAACATCATAATGACAGGATCAAATTCACACATAACAATACTAACCTTAAATGTAAATGGGCTAAATGCTCCAATTAAAAGACACAGACTGACAAATTGGATAAAGAGTCAAGATCCATCAGCATGCTGTATTCAGGAGACCCATCTCATGTGCAGAGACACAAATAGGCTCAAAATAAAGGGATGGAGGAAGATCTACCAGCAAATGGAAAACAAAAAAAGGTAGGGGTTGCAATCCTAGTCTCTGATAAAACAGACTTTAAAACAACAAAGATCAAAAGAGACAAGGCCATTACATAATGGTAAAGGGATCAATTCAACAAGAAGAGCTTGGGCGATGGAGTGAGAGACTCAATCTCTAAATATTAGTAAGTAAATAAAATAAAATAAAAATAGTTAAACAACTATTTTACTTTTTAAATTGATCTGTTTTCTAGGTCAATATAGTGAAGTTTTTATTACCTTGTAATAAAAGCACAATTTGTTGGTCAGCAAATATATTTAACAATATTAAGAAATATTAAGAAGTAGGTCTTAATAAGACCCACTTCTCCCAAGAAGCCTTCCTTATTAGGCTTAGAAGAGCTCTTTACTGACTTTGAGCTCCCTGGGCCACACATGGGGGAAGTACTTAAGCTTTTATCTTATACTCCCCTTTATTCTAACCCCTACTAACATCTTAGCTTACCACAGGGAGATTTAAGCCCCTGGTGCTCAGAGAGACTCCGAATTGTACTTGCTATAGGTCCCCGATCCACAGACTACTAATAATACTTACTAATGTCTAGAAATTACCAAGAGAACAAATTGGTGGTTTTCTGAAGAAGAAAACATTCTACTTCTCTTGCTTGGGTTATGGGCTATTCCTGCAGATTATCTCTTTATGCTTTCCAGTTATGTAATTTAAATAATCAGAAAAGATATAATAAAAATTAATTAGTTAGAAAAATTTAAAAATGCTAAAGCAACTAAAATTAGTATAAAAACAGGATAAAACAAGTAAAATGGAATCTTGATAAAGCCCTAAGAAGAATGGAGGTAAGAAAGCAGTATAAATAATCATAAGGAGGCAAAATAAACTAAGAACAATGAAAATAGAGTAAAAGGCCAGGCGTGGTGGCTCACACCTGTAATCCCAGCACTTTGGGAGGCTGAGGTGGGAAGATTGCTTGAGCCCAGGAGTTCGAGACCAGCCTGGGCAATGAGGCAAAACCCCATCTCTGCAAAAAATTTAAAAAATTAGCTCTGTGTGGAGGCATGCACGTGTAGTTCCAGCTACTTGGAAGGCTGAGGTGGGAGGATCACTTGATCCCAGGAGGTTGAGAATTCATGCCACTGCACTCCAGCCTGAGTGCCAGAGCAAGACCGTGTCTAAAAAAAAAAAAAAAAAAAAAAAAAATACAGTAGAAAAGTTAACACAAAAAGAATAAAAGAGTCAAAGAATAAATCTAGCTAAAATGATACAAAAGTGGGTACAGGTTTAGGTTTATAAAAATCAAATCAGTTAAAGAGAATGTGTACTGAGCAATATTAGGAATTCTATGTTTTAGCCCATCACATGAAAACAATTTTGGCCTAACTGGCTAAACCAGGCCTTGCAGAACTCTATGGAAAGAACTCTAGGGCAGAGGACCCTCAGTGCTCTGAGGTAAAAAATGGAAAGCAGCTTAAACCCATTAAGAAAAACTGTTTTTTAGGCCTATTTAGGTCACAGGTCATGGTGCAGTAGATGATTCCTTAGAATAATTATCTAGTCCAATCTTCTTCCTATAGATCTGTGAAATAAGGCCTACATTGATGAAAAAGGTGCAATTTCAGTGATGGGAGTAGAGAGAGGTGGAGCCACAGGAAAGTGTTCTTGGCAGCACATGCTGATTGGGAGACCTACACATTTAAAGTTTTATCAGCACCTTCTTGAGTAATCCTTTTTTTTTTTTTTTGTACTCAAAGTTTGGAATTGACACAGGTGTGTTTGATGTGTCCTAGGTGGGCATTTACCTCCCTGGGAACTTACTCCCTAGGCTGTCTGGGTATATCCAGTTGCTCAACGGAGAAGTACCTGAGAACAGTGATTTCTCACAAAGACACATGCAGCTCTGCTGGCCTGGGGTGAATTAAGGTTGAGGCATAGGTGGAAAGTGGGGGAGGGTAGTCTTGTAGAGCCTTGCCTGGATTTGATGGGGCAGCTGGAGAAGGCCCATGAAGGGGGAAAAAGGAACAGAGTGGGCAACAATCCTGGCTGCCCCAGCTTCACTCAGCCTCCCAGGTGGTGCCTGGGGATCTCTGCAAGGCTGCCTCTGGGAAGAGAGCTGCAAACACAAAGCTTGTGCAGGTAGGTCAAGGCATCTACCGTAAGACTCAAAAGGCTTGCAGGCCTCTTCAATTGTGACAGTTTTGGGGCAAGGGACTGTGTTAGTTTTCTATTAGCTGCAGTAACCACTTATCGCAGATTTATTATCCTGTAGTTCTGGAGGTCAAATATCTGAAATGCGTCTTACAAGGGCTAAAATCAAGATATCAGCCGGGTGCATTCCTTCTGGAGATTCTAGGGGAGAATATATTTCTTGCCTTTTTTAGCTTCTAGAGACCACTTACATTCCTTGGCTCATGACTTCCTTCTCCACCTTCAAGTCCAGCCATACAGCATCTTCAAATCTCCCCCCTGACCCCATCCCCTCTTACCTTTGCTTCTCTTTGACTCTCCTGTATCACTCTAATAAGGACCTTTGTGATTATATTGGGCCTGTTTGGATTATACGGGATACTGTCCCCATGTGAAAATCCTTAACTTTATTGTAGCTGCAAAGTCCTTTCGGCCATGTAAGACAACACATTCACAGATTCAGGGGATAAGGATGTGGATATCCTTGAGGGACATTACTCAGCTTACCACAAGAGCTGTTCATTCCCTGTTACTTCAGCAGATTTGTCCTTGTAGGAGAGCCCACACTGAAGAAGTTCTTCAGCTCCTGGTAGGAGCTGGAGGCAGGCACTGGCTTGTGGTTTCATTAAAAATAATGAGTGATTGAGCCAGCTGCTTTAGGACTAGCTTGTAACTCCACTTCCTCTTGGAAGTTTCAGCAGCTTAAGCCCCTAACTGCTTAGGCAGGAAAGAGCTGAGGGTTGGCCAAAAATGTTACAGTACTAGACATGAGCAAATTCATTGAGCAAATTTATACTCAGTACTTGGTGGGTAGTGAATATTGTGCAGGACAGTAGAGACTCATTGGTGAATAAGATTGGTTGCTTTCAGATATTAATTTTATTTATGTGCTATCTCCCCTTTTGTAGTAGAATCTAAGCTACATTAGAGAACATATTTTGTCTTAATCACTACTAAGTCCTGATGGCTGCTTTTCACGGATTTTGATGGTAAATTCTCAGTAAATTTTTGCTGGTTTAGTAAAAGATATGATCTCTGACCTCAGTGAGCTTATAATTTAATACATTGGACTAGAAGTTGGCTAATTACGGCCCTTGGGCCAAATCTGCCCCACTGCTTGTTTTTGCAAATAAAGTTTTATTGGAACTCTGATGTGCCCATTCATTTACATATTGTCTTTGGCTGTTTTGTCGTATAATGGTAGAGTTGAGTGGCTGTGCCAGACTGTATTGGTCACAATTTGGGGTTAAATATTTACTGTCTGGCCCTTTACAGAAAAAGTTTACTATCACCTGGGCTGACAATGGTAGCCAAAAATGGCAACAAAAAATGGTAGCTACATTGAGCATAATAAGATCCACGATAGGATGCCTTAGGAGCTCATGAGACAGACAACACTTTCATTATTCTTGGAGCTTCCCATGCTCCTAAGTTCACACATTTAGAGAGACCCTTTAGCGCATCAATCATCTGACCACAGTGGTTGTCATGGAGAGCCCATTGTTCCAGCCTTCATATCCTTTTGGTTCCTGCAGGTTTGTGGCTTTGTAGTCACCTATGAGACTCTTTGTTGAAGTGGGAACTCTAGTGTCTAGGATCTAGATTCTCTGGGTGGACCATTCCGCCTTTTATTCTGAGGCTTCTCTACCTTTCTACTGCACTGTTCGAGGTGTAGCGTTTAGATTCCTACTGTGCATACATTTTTCTATTTCACCCCCAATGCCCTACAATTGTTTCCTATGACCTCATCAGTTCTGTCTCCTCATCTTCCAGGTGATCTAATGTAATCTAAGTACTGTCTACTCTTCAAAAGATGTAGACATTTATAAAAGACCCCAGTTTCTAATTTTCTCCCATCAGAATCTCTAGGGCAAAGAACTGCAAGTCTTGGTTACCAGTTTGGAAGCAGCATTAGATGGTAAAGGAGATAACAAACAAAAATGGTATTTTAGGAAATTATCTCTCCTGCTTTGCATTGAATTATATCCTGAAGGCAACACATTTTAAATAAGAGAGTGGTTTTAAGGAAGAGAGTGGCAAGATCAACTCCCAGGATAACATTTAATATTTAGCAGGTGGTATGTATTTTAACCACACAGACTTAAACAATTGTGTGGCAATATGGGTACTTACTGGCTATGGATCAGTAGGATTTGCATTTTGGAAGTTGATCTGGCTGTCAAGGGCAGAATGGATGGGAGGCATTCCCATAAGATTAGAGGGAGGCTAGGGAGGAGGGTATTATACTAGTCTAGGGAAGAGATAGTAGGATCTCTACTTGGAAAATGACTGTGGGAATGGAGTAGGGTACGCAGAATCTAGTACCATTGTATATATGAAACCAAAGGGATTTGGTGAGTGGATATCTAGAGTGGGGAACTGGAAGAAGTGTGGATTGCTCATAGGTTACTGACTTCAGCAATGGGATGGATAGTGGAACTCTTAGGAGACAGGATGAAGAAGTAAGTGTCGAGTATGTTAGGAAGATGTAAAATTAACTTTGGTTGGGGGATTGGACCTTCTGCTTTACCTCTGGAATCTTCCCTTTCATTGCTTAGTGATATGGTTTGGATATGTGTCCCCACTCAAATCTCATGTTCAATTGTAATCCCCAATGTTGGAGGTGGGGCCTGGTGGGAAGTGATTTGATTATGGGGGCAGATTTCTTCCTTGGTACTGTCGTTTTAATAGTGAGTGAGTTCTTGTGAGATATGGTTGTTTAAAAGTGTGTAACAACTCCTTTTTCTTTCTCTTCCTCCTGCTCCAGCCATGTGAAGTGCTCACTCCCCCTTTGCCTTCTGCCATGATTGTGTGTTTCCTGAGGCCTCCCCAGAAGCTGAGAAGATGCTTCCTGTACAGCCTGCAGAACTGTGAGCCAACTAAACCTCTTCTCTTTATAAATTACCCAGTCTCTGATATTTCTTTATAGCAGTGTAACAATTGACTAATACAGAAAATTGGTGCTAAGGAGTGGGGCATTTCTATAAAGATACCTGAAAATGTGCAAGCAGCTTTGGAACTCGGTAATAGGCAGAAGCTGAAACAGTTTGGAGGGCTCAGAAGAAGACAGGAAGATGAGGGAAAGTGTGGAACTACCTAGAGACTTGTTGAATGGTTGTGACCAAAATGCTGATAGTGATGTGGACAATGAAGTCCATCTAGGCTGAGGAGATCTCAGATGGAAATGAGGAACTTACTGAGAACTAGAGTAAAGCTCACTTTTGCTGTACTTTAGCAAAGAGCCTGGCTATATTGTGCCCTTGCTCTAGGGATCAGTGGAACTTTGAACTTGAGAGAGATGATTTAGGGTAACTGGTGGAAGAAATTTTTAAGGAGCAAAGGTGTTTAAGATATGGGTTGGCTGCTTCTAGCAACCTTTCCTCATATGTGTAAGCAAAGATATGGTCTGAAACTGGAACTTGTATTTAAAAGGGAGGAAGAGCATAAAAGTTTGAAAAATTTGCAGCCTGGCCATGTGGTAGAAAAGAAGAGCCCATTTTTAGGGGAGGAATTCAAACAGGCTGCAGAAATTTGCATAAGTAAAGAGGAGCCAAATGCTAATAGCCAAGACAACTGGGAAAAAGTCTTGAAGGCATTTCAGAGACCTTCTTCGCAGCCCCTCCCATCACACGCCCAGAGGCCTCTGAGGGAAGAATGGTTTTGTAGGCCAGACCCAAGACTTACTGCAATGCACAGCCTCAGAACCCTGCTTCCTGTGTCCCAGAAGCTCTAGCTTCAGCCATGGCTAAAAGGGGCCCATGTAAACCTTGGGCTGCTGCTCTGGAGGGTGCAAGCTATAAGCCTTGGCTGTTTCCACATGGTGTTAAGCCTGTGGGCACACAGAATGCAAGAATTGAGACTTGGGAGCCTCTACCTAGATTTCAGAGAATGTATGGAAATGCATGGATGTACAGGCAGAAGCCTGAATGAGAGGTAGAACCCTCATGGAGAACCTCTACTAGGGTAGTGCAGAGGGGAAGTGTGGGGTTGAAGCCCGCACGCAGAGTCCCCACTGAGGCACTGCCTAGTGGATCTGTGAGAAGAGGGTCATCGTCCTCCAGCCCCCAGAATGATAAAGCATGGTAGAGCCACCAGCAGCTTGTACCCTCGGTCTGAAAAAGCCATAGCCACTCAACACTAGCCCTTGAGAGCTGCTGCAGGGGCTAAATCCTGCAAAGCCACAGGGCAGGACTGCCCAAGGCCTTGGAAGCCCACCCCTTGCCACAGTGTGCCCGGGATGAGACGTGGAGTCAAAAGAAATTATTTTGGAGCTTTAAGATTTAATGACTGCCCTGCTTGGTTTCAGGCTACATGGGGCCAGGAGCCCTCCTCTTTTTTTTTTTTTTTAATTTTTTGGCTGATCTCTCCCTTTTGGAATGAGAATATTTACCCAATGCCGATACTCGCATTTTACCTTGGGGGGTAATTAACTTGTTTTTGATTTTACAGGCTTAGAAGTGGAAGTGACTTGCTTTGTCTCAGATGAGACTTTGAACTTTGGACTTTTGATTTAATGCTTAAAGAAGTTAAGACTGTGGGGGACTGTTGAGAAGGGATTTTGAAAAGTGAGAAGGACATGAGTTTAGGGAGGGGCCAGGGGCAGAATGATATGGTTTGGATATATGTCCCTGCCCAAATCTCATGTTCAATTGTAATCTCCAGTGTTGGAGGTGGGGCCGGGTGTGAGGTGATTGGATCACGGAGGCAGATTTCTCCGAGGGTACTGTTGTCACAAGAGTGAGTGAGTTCTCATGAGATCTGGTTGTTTAAAAGTGTGTAGCACATCCCCTGTTGCTTTCTTTCTCCTGCTCTGGCCATGTGAAGTGCTTGCTCCCCCTTTGACTTCTGCAATGATTTTAAGTTTCCTGAGGCTTCCTCAGAAGCCAAGCAGGTGCCAGCATCATGCTTTCTGTACAGCCTGTAGAACCATGAGCCAATTAAACCTCTTTTCTTTATAAATTATCCAGTCTCAGGTATTTCTTTATAGCAGTGCAAGAACTGACTAATACACTTAGTAAATGCCTTAGCTATCCCAGGAAAGAGAAGTCCCTTTATACAGAAATGGCCAACAATCCCTGCATCAAGAGAACTGTCCTGTTTTATGCAAACCAAGCTCAGGGATCTTGGAGGGTTGCATATTGTGATGGAGACATAACTGTTTTTCTAAGTCACTTTCTGCTAGCCTGCCAGAATTTCTGTATGTGGAGTCTATTTTATTAAATTTGGAGCCTTCTGGTATAATCTCTTTCTCCTCTATTTTAGGTCCAGATAGTTCTATGTAGCATTTAAGATCACATAAAATCACAATAAAACCTTTCCATTCTGGTTCTATTGAGTTACTTTTTAAAAATTTTTGTCCCTTCAAAATAAATTATATAAACCACATAAAACACAACACATGCTGGTTCCATTTACTGTGATTCTACAGAGAGAGGTTTTCTGACAGGATGATATAGATAAGAAGTACAGGATAAAATTATGAAAAGAGAGCTTGTTCTTCTTCTTCTCCTCTCTTCCTTCCACATTCTGTCATCTTTTTCCTTTTCTTCCTCATCCTTCTCTTCCTTCTTCCCATATTAGTAAGAACTGATTATCATACAGTAGCCTAAACACATTTCTCTGCCTATTACTCCCAAAATAGAAAATACAAGAGAGGTTAAGTAATGCATTTATTTTTAAAAAATGAAATTATGAAAACTGTTCAAAACTTTTCCAATAAAATTTTGATTCTGATTCAGTCCAAATTCTTTTTTAAGTGGTTGGCTCAAACTTAGCTCTTCAGGGAGTAAAATGAAATATTAAAAAGCAAAATTCTTCTGGTAATTTTAACAATACTAGAGCCTGCTGTTTTTGTCTTTCCATTAGATCTAAAGCCAATGTTCTTTTAGTAAATGTGCTCTTAGAGACAGTTTTATTATTATTTTTTAATCAAGAAATTCTATTTTTATAGAAGTTTTAGTTTTAGCAAAATTGAGCAGAAAGCGCAGAGAGTTCCTGTAAATCCCATGTCCCCACACACATGCAATCTACTCCGCTATCCACATCCCGCACCACAATGGTACATTAAATGAACCTGTGTTGCCATATCATCACCTAAAGTTTACATTAGGGTTCTCCCTTGGTATTGTACATTCTATAGGTTTTGACAAATGTCTACTGGCATGTATCTACTACTACAGTATCATATAGTTCCCTAAAAATCCTCTGTGTTCCACCAATTTTTCCCTTCTTCCCTACTAAACCCTGGCTACTACTGATCTTTTTTTTTTCTTTTCTATTTCTATAGTTATCCCTTTTCCAGAATGTCGTATAGTTGGAATTATACAGTAGGTAGCTCTTGAAGGTTGGCTTATTTCACTTAGTAATATGTATTTAAGTTTCTTCCATGTCTTTTCCTGGTTTGATAGGTCATTTCCTTTTAGTGCTGAGTAATATTCCATTGTCTGATGTACCATAGTTTATTTATTCATTCACTTACAAGGGACATCTTGGTTGTTTCCAGGTTTTGGCAATTATGGATAAGGCTGTTATAAATATCCACGTGCAGGTTTTTGTATGGACATAAGTTTTCAGTTCATCAGAGTAAACACCAAGGAGTGCAATTGCTGAATCATACATTAGTTTACTTTTTAAAAATCTAAGAAATACTTAGTGCTCTTCAGTCAACCCTGGTAACAATGAGACAAATTAACTCATCCAAAATAATTTTATGGAATAGATGTTAAATATAATTGTATTTAATATTCAAATTATTTAGTATTTAAATTATATTCAAATACAATTATATCAAATATTTAAATATAATTATAAAGTATTTTCTTTTCTTTCTGATTTTACTTTAAGTTCTGGGATACATGTGCAGAACGTGCAGGTTTGTTACATAGGTATACATGTGCCATGGTGGTTTGCTGCACCTATCAACCCATCATCTAGGTTTTAAGCCCCGCATGCATTAGGTATTTGTCCTAATGCTCTCCCTCCCCTTGCCCCCCATGCCCTGACAGGCCCTGGTGTGTGATGTTCCCCTCCCTGTGTCCATGTGTTCTCATTGTTCAACTCCCACTTATAGGTGAGAACATGTGGTGTTTGGTTTTCTGTTCCTGTATTAGTTTGCTGAGGATGATGGCTTCCAGTTTCATCCATGTCCCTGCAAAGGACATGAGCTCATTCTTTTTATGGCTGCATAGGGTGTATATGTACCACATTTCCTTTATCTGGTCTATCCTTGATGGGCATTTGGGTTGGCTCAATGTCTTTTTTATAAATTTACAAATATGCAATTATGATTAAATGTTTCAGAATCTTTCAACTTCCAAAATACTGGTTTTCTATAATGTCTGGGATATTCTTGAGCAGGAAATTTTGTCCTGAGACAACAGTTATTTGATGACTATGGATCAGAGGTAGGGGAAAAGGAACACACTGACCTGTAAGTGTGTAGCAGTCAGTGTAAAATCATCTTTTGGGAAAGAGGAAGCCTTCCTCAAATGCACTTTAGTCTCATTTGTGGGCATATGTAAGCCATCACATTTTATTTCTTACAAACACTTAAACACTTTTCATTTTTACCACCCTCTCTTGTGCTTGGTTTCTTAGACAACTCATTTCTTCCTACTATTTTTTTACTTTGAAATTTTTTCATCAATTTAATTGAATAATATTTTAGATACAATAAACTGCAGCCATTGGAGGTATATAGTACATAGATGAATTTTGACATCAGGAAAACCACAGTCAAAATCGAGTTACAGAACATTCCCATCACCTCAAAAGCTTCCTTGTGCTCTTTTGCAGTCCAAACATCCCTCTGCCCCAGCCTAGGAAACCCACTGATCTGTTTTTGCCATTGTAGATTATTTTACATTTTCTAGAATTTTTTTATAAATGGAGTCACACACACTGTGTATTCTTTGATTTTTTTTATACTTATGCATGGTGCATGCATCAGAAATTTGTTCCTTTTTATTTGCAGAGTAGTAGTTCGTTGTGTAAATACACCACATTTTATTTATCTAGTCACTGTTTGGTAAGCATTTATATGTATCCAGTTTTTGGACATTGGCTATTGTGAATAATGCTGCTGTAAACATTTGTGGACATGTTTTCATTTCTCTTGGGTACATATATCTAGGAGTTGAATGGCTGGATCACATGGTAAATATAATACAACTTTTGCTTTAAGTATTTGTATATATTTTAAAGACATTAAGAAAGAAAAATTTGCTAGACATGGTAGCTCATTCTTGTAATCCTAGCACTTTGGGAGGCTGAAGTGGGAGAATTGCTTGAGGCCAGAAGTTTAAGACCAGCCTGGGCAACACAGTGAGATCCCATTTCTACAAAAACTAGAAAAAATTCTCCTGGCATGGTGCAATGTGCCTGTAGTCCTAACTACTCACGAGGCTGAGATGGGAGGATTACTTGAGCCTAGGATTTCTAGGTTTCAATGAGCTATGATTGCACCCCCACACTCCAGCCAAGATGACAGAGTGAGACCCTGTCTCAAAAAAAAATGGTTCTTATATGAACCAAGTTTTTACTATTTTGGATGCTTTTTGTTCATTCTTAAAAGATCTGTGTTTAACTCTGTCAAATTCATTTAGTCTGAAGAATTTCCTTTTAGCATGCCTTTTAGTGTGGGTCTTCTGGCAATAAATTCTCTTAGTTTATTTTATATGAAAGTGACTTTTTTAAACCTTTATTTGTAAAGGATATAGAATTCTAGGCTGACAATTTTCTTTCAGCAATTTAAAACAAATCACACTGTTTTCTGGATCTCATAGTTTCTGAAAAGTTCACGGTTATTTGAATCTCTGTTCCCTTCCTGCAATATGCTTATTTCTGGTTGTTTTCATTTTTTTTCTTTTTGTGTTTGGGTTCAGCAGTTTGACTATGATATGCCTAGATGTGGTTTTAGTAATGCTTATCCTGCTTAGTGTTTGCTAAGGTTCTTGAATGTGTGGATCAGTATAGATGTCCTTTACCATATTTAGGGGTTTTCAGCTATGGTTCTTGAATGTGTGAATCAGTATAGATGTCCTTTACCATATTTGGGGGTTTTCAGCTATTCTTTCTTCAAATAATCTTTCTTTCTTTGTTCTCTCTTTTCTTCTTTTGGACAAAAATTACACATATTCTGTAGTTTTGAGATCTCCCCACATGCTCCTGAGGTTCTGCATATTATTTTTCAATCTTTTCTCTCTTTTTCAGATGGAATAATTTTTATTGATTTATTTTCAAGCTTATTGAATATTTCCTCCATTATGTTCATTTGTGTTTTTAAGCCCATTTAGCTAATTTCATTTCAGATTTTGTATATTTTAGTTCTAAAATTCCAATTTACTTTTAATTTTCTATTTCTCTGCCAAGATTCCTACTCTTTTGTTTCATTTAAACATATTTTTCTTCAACTTGTGGGCATAGTTTTAATAGCTTCTTTAAAGTCATTGCCTGATAATCTCCAAATCTGGGTCATTTTGGGTTGACATCTAATGTTTGTCTTTCTTCACGAGAATGGCTCATACTTTCCTAGCATGTTATAATTTGAGTAATTTGGGATTGTCTCCTAAATGTTGTGAATTTATGTGTCAGGATGCTATGTATATTTTAATCATCTGAAGAGTGGTGATGTTTTTGTATTACTAGGCACTTAACTTGATTAAACTCAGATAAGAAAGTGAGTCTGTCTCACTTGCAGTGGAGGTTTAGATCTCAGATTAGTTTAGTTTTAGAGGGGTTGTTTTTTGAGTATATCCAGCACATATGTTTCAGAATTCTGTTTTTTTGTTTTCTTTTGTTTTGAGACGGAGTCTCACTCCGTCACCCAGGCTGGAGTGCAGTGGCGCAATCTTGGCCGCCTCCTGGGTTCAAGCAATTCTCTTGCCTCAGCCTCCTGAGTAGCTGGGATTATAGGAACCCGCCATCATACTTGGCTAATTTTCGTATTTTTGTAGAGACGGGGTTTCACCATGTTGGCCAGACTGGCCTCGAACTTCTGATCTCAGGTGATCCGCCTGCCTCGGCCTCCCAAAGTGCTGGGATTACAGGCATGAGCCACCGCGCCCGGCCTGTATTAGAAATCTTACACATCATTTGGAGCCCCCTTCTTTAGATTTCTACTCTCTAAGACTGCCTCTTCATTTTCTGGTGACTGTGAATCCTCCAGGCTCAATTGTTCAGTCCCTGCCTGGTGGAAGGCTTTCTTTCAGGGAATTAGCCTGCCTACATAATGTGATCATTGCAATTTGTCCTCAGGCCAAAGGAACAAAAATTAAAATCCCATTCCATCCCAATTTCTTTGCCCAAGTTTTGAAGTCTCATCAAAATTTGCCTGTCTCGCTCACTCTGCAGAGACCACAATTAGGGTTTCTTTCTCCCCTGCATTTTCTCTCTCTATTTTTTTTTTTTTGTGTGTGTTTTGATATGGAGTTTCACTCTTATTGCCCAGGCTGGAGTGCAGTGGCGCAATCTCAGCTCACTGCCACCTTCGCCTTCCAGGTTCAAGCGATTCTCCTGCCTCACCCTCCTGAGTAGCTGGGACTACAGGCACGCACCACCACACTGGGCTAATTTTGTATTTTTAGTAGAGACGGGGTTTCTCCATGTTGGTCAGGCTGGTCTCGAGCTCCTGACCTCAGGTCATCCGCCCGCTTCGGCCTCCCAAAGTGCTGGGATTACAGGCGTGAGCCACCGTGCCCTGCCACTTTTCTTTTCTTTTTTTTTTTTTTTCTGAGATGGAGTTTTTGCTCTGTTGCCCAGGCAGGAGTGCAATGGCACAATCGGCTAACTGCAACCTCCACTTCCTGGGTTCAAGTGATTCTCCTGCTTCAGCCTCCTGAGGAACTGGGATTACAGGCTCCCACCACCATGCCCGGCAAATTTTTGTATTTTTAGTAGAGAAGGGTTTCAACATGTTGGCCAGGCTGGTCTTGAACTCCTGACCTCAGGTGATCTGCTCGCCTAGGCCTCCCAAAGTGCTGTGATTACAGGTGTGAGCCACCATGCCCGGACCTGAATGTTTTATACATTCTTTGTTTCTTACTTTCTCCCTTGCTGTCATCCTTTATGATTTGATGAGTTTTTAAATAGTGTTATGCTTCGATCTAATTCTCCTTTTTATTTGAATGTACTACGGGTTTTTTCTCAGTGGTTTCCAGGAGGCTTACATAAAATATTTATAATTATACCAGTATTTTATGCTAATAATATATAACTTCATCTAGATACTGTACACTTAACAAAAACTGCACTTTTACCTCTCCCTCCACATTTATGTTATTGATGTCATAATTTATACTTTTTAATATTGTATATCTATTAACAAATTATTGTAGCTATAGTTATTTTAATATTTTTGTCTTTTAACTTTTATATTAGAGTTAATAGTGATTTAAGCACCAATATTACCATATTAGAGTATTCTGAATTTGACTATACTGTTACCTTTATAGGGACTTTTAGACTTTCATATGTTTTCATGTGGTTAGTTAGCATCCTTTCATGTTAACTTGAAGAACTCTCTTTAGTATTTCTTGTAAGGCAGGTTTACTGGTAATGAACTTCCTCAGCTTTTGTTTGTCTGGGAAAGTCTTTATCTCACCTTTATTTCTGAAGGGCAGCTTTTTTGTGTGTAAATTATTCTTAGTTGACAGTTATTTCATTTTAATGATTAAAGATATCATCCCACTCTTTCTTAGCCTGCAAAGTTTCTTCTGAGACACTTGCTAATAGTCTTATGGAAGTTTCCTTGTGTGAGATGAGTTTTCTTTTTTTTCTTGCTGCTTTCAAAATTCTTTCTTTGCCTTTGATTTTTGACGATTTTATTATTATAATGTGCCTTATGAAGTTCTTTATGAATTGACCTTGTATGGGGACATATGAGTTTCAGGTACCTGGATGTCCATAATTCTGCAAGATTTGGAAAAATGTAATTTACGTTTTTTAAAATAAGCTTTCTGTTTTTTTTTCCTTCTCTATACCTTCTGGAACTCTCATAATTTGATTGTTTACATTGGTGGAGTCCCATAATTCACATATGTTTCTCCATTGCTTTTCTTTTTTTTTTCTTTTCTCTTCTGCATGGATAATTTCTAATGAGTTGTCTTCAAGCTCAAAGATTTTTCGGTTTGATCAAGTCTGTTGTGGATGCTCTCTATTGCAATTCTCATTTCATTCATTATATTTTTCAGCTTCAGAATTTCTGTTTGGTTCTTTTTAATGATTTCTGTGTGTTGGACTTCTCATTTTGTTTGTATATTCTTTCATTATTATTTTCCTGATTTCATTGAGTTATCAGCTTATCTTCCCTTAGAGCTCACAGAGCTTCCTTAAAACAATTATTTTGAATTATTTGTCCATGAAATTTTAGGTATTCATCTTTGGGTTTGTTACTACAAAATTATTGTGTCTCTTTGGTGTTGTCATCTTTCTTGATTTAAACAAAATTTTTGTTATAGTCTTGTGTTGATGTCTGCATATTTGATGGAGCCAGTTACCTCTTCCAGGTTTTATGGACTGGTTTTGGTGGGGAAGGACCTTCATCTGTGGGTAGATGTGAGGGTGCCAGCTGGGTGGAGTGTGGCAGTTACAGTTCTGGGAAAGGCCCAGTGGTATAGTATCTGTGCCTGTCTGTCACCTTTGATCAGCATCTTTGAAGATTTTAGGAGTCCTCAATGGCCAAGGCTCTGGGTATCTTCAGTAGCAGCAAGGGCTGTTGGCGTAATTGGTGGAAGGCTGCTGAGGACTTCCTGATCTCTTTTTGTTGTTGTTTGTTTCTTATGGGGGATTTCATGGCTGATGGGATTCCTCTTGGTGCCAGGTCCAGCTCATAGGTGGCATTGTGCTAGATAGCCCATTGTTTCAGTAGCTAGCCCACAGTGGTGATAGCTTCAGGGCGTGACATGCAAGTGCACATGGAACAGCCATGGAGCTGGGGTTAGGAGCATAGACACCTGTAGAATGACAGTGGCCATAGGGTCCAGGGCACAGGATAGCCAGCCCACAGTGGTTGCGGTTCCAGTGATTGAGATGGTGATACATACTGAGCAGCCATGAAGTTGGGATTGGGAGGATAGGTATGCAGGGAGAGACAGTGACTCTAGGGTCTGCGTTGCTGCTAAAGGAAAGTTAAGTGGTATCCTAGATTGTCTTAACTTAAAAGATTTTACAGGGGTACCCTGATTTAATTTTTTGCCCAATAATCCCAGTGGCAAACAACTTAGTGATGGCTTCAGATGTGAGCTTTTTCAAGCTTGAGACTAGGTCTCCCTTTGATTGCTGAGAAAGTACATTATTCATCATTACTAGAACTTTCAGCTGTTTTCAAGAAAATGTATAGGACATTCCAGAGATCATTAAATGCTAGCTTTCATGAGAGTTTCATTTCAATTCTGGTTGAATCCAGTATTTCAAGAACACTGGCTAAAATTTGAAAGCAAATTATATAAGGAAAAATAAAATCTTATAAATAAGTTTTCTTTTCCCTTGCACATTTATATTCATTACATCCTTTTTCTTCATCTGCCTTTGTCCCACCATTGGTCTGAGAATGAGGACTTAAACAACTAGGGTGGTAAGAACTGAGTTTTGCTTAGGTGTATTAAAAAAGGAAATATTATTATTTATGTCTTAAAGTGAAGCAGCATGTCTATATTCACTGCATCTTCTGCACCCTGCTACCCTGCCACCAGCTGAATAATTAGGTCTCTCTGTGTATGACTTAACCCAGAACAGTCAGGTGACAAATTCTGCAATTTTACATGAGTGTATTAAAAGGGAAACCTTGTGATTTATATCTTTATATGTATAATGAAAACTAAGCCTCTGGGTCAGCACACTGATATTTCTTAGAGAGAAGTTATAGCATTATTTAGGCTCATGAAACATCAGTGACAGTGATATTTTCCATATGGCTTGCAGAGATTGTCAAGCTTAGGTCAGGGCTTCTGCTTACATCATATACAAATAAACAAAAGTACTCATTTTGCACTCAGTATAAATGTTTCATTATTATATTGATTTCAGTAATTTGAGAGCAGTTATAATCAACATCTTCCCAGCCACATAATGGGATCATAATTATAAATGCAACTTTCTCTAAAAATAAAAGGGAGGGAAAATGTCTTCTACCTATCAAATGTGAGTTTTGGATTATTTCCAAAAGAAATATTCTACACTCAAAAGTGATACTTTACTTATTTATTCAGCAACTGTTTATTGAATGTCTGCTGGGTTCTGGGTATGCCATGTGTTGTTAATATAACTGTGCCAATGCCATCATGTTTGTCTAGGGAGGAAAAAAAATCTGGATCATTAATTATGCAGAAAACCTTTTGATTACAGTGTGGTAAATGCTTCCAAGGAAAAGTTTAGGTTATAAGGAGAGCATGTGGTAAGTGAGAGGCTGAGGAAGAAATATGACTTATTATGGCTGAAAAAAGGATCTAGTTATCAATCCCTAATGTCATAGAATAGGGTAAGCATACCCTGTCTGGATGCCTCTCATTGCTACTGACATACCAAAGGAAAATAACGGAAATCTTTGCCTGAGGAAAGTGAAACAAGTACAGACAAGGCATGGCCATTAAAGGTCCCTCAGGATTTTTTTAGTCAGAATGAAATGCTTCTTTTGGACCAGGTGATATGAATGCTATTTCTTAAAGTATGGTTCATGGACCACCCACACCCAAATCTTTTGGATGATGGTTAAATATCCAGATTCTTAGACCTAGGTCAGCTGAATCTGAATAGGTGTGGCCTAGGGGTCAGCATTTTAAATAAGCTTCCCAGGTGATTCTAATGTGTTCTGCAATTTTAGAGCTTTTGCACTGATTTAGATTCTCATAAATATTAGACCCTCAGATGACCTCTTTGCCCCTTCATGTTTGTTCTTGAATCATTTCTGGGATTGCTTCAAAGCAAATGCAAAGTAAAGCCATTGGTCAGACATTTGGAAGCATCATGGAGCCAAGCTAATTCCACATGAAATTGAAATCCTCACAGTGTGAAACAGTGGAATGAGAAATAATGTGGAATCCAAAACTTGTGTTTGAATTCTGGCTCTGTTACTCACTATGTATAGCCATGGAAAGTAATTTCTCTTCTGTGATTCTATTTGCTTGTTCATAAAATGATCAGCATTTTCCAAACTTTGGTCAATTCAGTACTACCTTCAAAATAGTACCACCTGCACTGTTAGTAGTATTTTTAAAATAGTTACTTAAGTTTAATTTTAAAAGGAGCTTTATGTAATTATTATAAATGGAAAATCAGCATCACTTACCATAATTAGAAAATTTTAACTATAAAATATATAATAAACATTTTTAAAAAGTTTAAATTCTGAAATTTTAAAATAACTATCTATTGCTAATGATATTGTTATACTTTTGGAAATAGTGAATTTAATGACATTTAAGATGATTTCATGTTTTATAGATCTAAGTATTTATTGGAGTGTAATGCAAAAGGTTATTTCATTATTTCTAGAGGGAAGGGGAATCCAAGTTTATGAAGAAATTTCTGAAAAATCAACATTGGGTGATTATCAGACAAAAATTTCATAATAAAAGTTGTAGGAAAATAATGGCTTTTCCTCTTCCTCTAAAAATGGCTTTTAAACGTTACTCAAATATTTAATTAAATGCTTACATTGGGTATGTAGCATTTAAGTAGGAAATATTTTTCTTAATAACATCTGCTAACCCCATCTGTTTCTATTTTCAAATCTTTAAAACTAAATTGGAATTAGAAAAAAATTTACAGTTTTAGCAGAAATAAAATTCCAAGTCTGTTCACAGTATACTCATTGTGCTTTCTTTAGGTTACTGGGTGGTGAGGATGGGGAAAGTTGGGAGGTGGGTGTTTGTGGTAATGAATCTGAGGGTAGTACCTTCTAAAGGGATACTTCCTAATAATTTCAGATTGTACTGTTGGGTTTTACACTGACCTGTTCACACTGCTTATCTTAATGATGGGAAGGGGCAGCTTCCATTAAGACTTGACACAGCGATCATCACTAAAGGCATTTATTATGGTTGTATACATGTTAACAAAATAATTGGTTAATTCAGTAGGAAAAAAAGGATAATCAAAACTAGCTATCACAAAGAGTAATATTGTAAAGAATAATAGCTAGTTTTGATTATCCTTTTTTTTTCCTATGAGACTGACTAATCTTATCCACTAGCAGTATTGAAGTAAAGATGAACACAAACTCATCTCATTTTGATGTGGTGTTCTACCAAACAAAATGAAAAGACTGTCTCCTCTACTGGCATAAGGGCAGAACAACCTTGCCTTTTTCAGAGACCTGTTATAAATATAAGCAAATGAATGGATTGGAAGTGTTTTTGAAAACCTGTAAAAGGCAAAAACCCAAGTAATGTTTTTTTCATCCAAGGGCTCAATAACAACTTTATAAGAATAGTTTTTTGTTTGTTTATTTGTTTGTTTTTACAGGGGATCTCAGTTACCTACAAAAATCTGATGAACTAATAATCTTTTGACTCAGAAAAACGTGTGATACATACCACATGCATAAATACATAGTACATATAATTTCAGGGTGTTCATGAACTTTCTAAAGTCAAACGCCTGAGCCTAGAATCCCACAAGAGAGCAAGATCCTGTGGTTTTATTACAATGATTGCCGTCTGATACCAACATGGTAATACTGTAGCCTGATATTAACATTATAAACATGGAAAACACTCAGTGCTATCTACTAACATTAAATGAAAGAAAGAAGTCCTGAGACTTGATCAAGGTAGTTCACGTTCTAACTAAAGCTGGCAAAAGCTGATTCTCATCAGAGACATTGACTGAAGGATTCATGTAACCAAAAACTTGAGAACCTAATTACCACTCAAGGTATAGTGATGTTTTATTTTACTTTCACTTATTTATTCTCTGATGCTCTTCGTTTTTTATGTAGATTAGAGTTTCTGGCCTACATCTTTTTCTTTCTCACTGAAGAATTTCTTTTAACATTTCTTGTAAGGCAGGTCTACTGGCCACAAATTCCCTCAATTTTTGTTTTAGAAAGTCTCTATTTCTTTATCACTGTTAAAGGATTGTTTTTCTCTGGGTACAGAATTCTAGGTTGATGTTTTTCTTTCTCTCAACACTTAAATATTTCACTTCTCTGTCTTCTTGCTTGTTTGTGTGCATGGTTTCTGAAGACTAGTATGGTGTAATTCTTATTCTTGTTTTTCTGTAGGTAAAGTGTTTTCTTCCCTCTGACTTCTAACAAGGTTTCTTTCTTTATTTTTGATTTTCAAACTTTGAATATAATATGCTTAGGTGTAGTTTTTGTTGCTATTGGGATTTATCTGGCTTGTTGTTTTCTGAAATTCTTGGATTTCTGGTTTAGCATCTGATATTAATTTGGGGAAATTAGTTATTATTGCTTCAAATACTGCTTCTGTACCTTTCCGTCTTTCTCCTCCTCATATTCCTGTTACATATCAGGGAAACCAGCCCCCAATATTTCAGTGTAGGTTCTTTTCTATTTTCCCTAAGGGTCAACCGGTCTGAGAAATAAAGAGTACAAAGAGAAAAATTTTACAGCTGGGCCTCTGGGGGTGACATCATGTATCGGCAGTTTCTGTGGAGCCCACCTGAGCTGCAAAACCAGCAAGTTTTTATTAGGGATTTCAAAAAGGGAGGGGTGTACGAATAGGGAGTAGGTCACAGGGATCACATGCTTCAGAGGGCAATAAAAGATCACAAGGCAGAGGGTGAAATTAGAATTACTGATGAGGTTCCATGTCCCGCTGGGCACGTATTGTCTTGATAAACATCTTAACAGGAAACAGGGTTTGAGAGCAGACAACCGGACTGACTAGAATTCACCAGGCTGGAATTTCCCAATCCTGGTAAGCCTGAGTGCACTTCAGGAGACGAGGGCGTATTTCATCCCTTATCTTCAACCACATAAGACAGACAGTCCCAGAGCGGCCATCTGTAGACCTACCCCTGGGAATGCATTCCTTCCCCAGGATTATTCCTTGCTGGGAAAAAATTCAGCGATATTTCTCCTATTTGCTTTCTGCAAGAAGACAAATATGACTGTGTTCTGCCAGGCCCCGCAGGCAGTCAGACCTTATGGTTATCTCCCTTGTTCCCTGAAAATTGCTGTTATCCTGTTCTTTTTCAGGATGCCCAGATTTCATATCATTCAAACACACATGTTTTACAAACAATTTGTAAAGATAACACAATCATCACAGGGTCCTGAGGCGACACACATCCTCAGCTTACAAACATGATGGGATTAAGAGATTAAAGTAAAGACAGGCATAGGAAATTATAAGAGTATTGATTGGGGAAGTGATAAATGTCCATGAAATCTTCACAATTTATGTTCAGAGATAGCAGTAAAGACAGGTGTAAGAAATTATAAAAGTATTAATTTGGGGAACTAATAAATGTCCATGAAATCTTCATAATTTATGTTTTTCTGCCACAGCTTCAGCTGGTCCCTCTGTTCAGGGTCCCTGACTTCCCACAACAGTTACACATTATGCCTTTTGTAGTTGTCCCACAGTTCCTGGATATTCTGTTCTGTTTTTTTTTTTTTTTTATAAGTTTTTTCTCTTTATTTTTCAGTTTGGGAAGTTTCTATTGTTATGTCCTCTAACTCAGAGATTTTTTTTCCTCAGTCACGTCCAGTTTACTAATGAACCCATCAAAGGTGTTATACATTTCTGTTATAGTTGTTTTTATCTCCAGTATTTCTTTTTGATTCTATGAATTTCCATCTCTCTCTTTACATTATCCATCTGTGCTTGCATGCTGCCTACTTTTTTTCTGTTACAAGGACATATTAATCATAAAAAAATTCCTGGTCTAATAGTTCCAACATTTCTGCCATATCTGACTCACCATTTATTGAAGAGACTATCATTACCCCATGTGTGTTCTTGGGGTCCTTGTCAAAGATTTGTTGACCATATGTGTCTGGGTTTATTTCTGGACTTTGTGTTATGTTCTGTTCATCAATATGTCTGTTTTTATGCCAGTACCATACTGTTTTGATTACATAATTTTGTAAGAGAGTGTGAAATCAGGAAGTGTGATATTTCCAGCTTTGTTTTTCTTATTCAAGATTGCTTTGGCTATTTAGGGCCTTTTGTTGCTACCTATGAATTTTAGGATTGTTTTTAGTGTTTGTGTCTTCTTTAATATTTATTTCTTTCATCAATGTCTTACAGTTTTCAGTACACAGATCTCTTACCTCTTTGGTTAAGTTCATTCTTAAGTGTTTTATTATTTTTAGTGCTGTTGTAAATAGGACTATCTTCTTAATTTATTTTTCAGATAGTTCATTATTAGTGTACAGAAATGTGACTAATTTTTTTGTATGCTGATTTTGTATCCTGAAAATTTACTATATTTATTTATTAATTGTAACAATTTTTATGTGACATCTTTAGGGTTTTCTTTGTATAAGATCATGTCATTTACATGAGGAAACAGTTTAACTTTTTTCATCTTGTCTAAGTATAGTCAACCTTGTTCTCTTTTGGTTACCATTTGCATGTAATATTATTTTCATCTCTTCACTTAAAGCCTGTGTATGTCCTTGAAGGTAAATTGAGTCTCTGCTAGGTAACATATAGTTGTGTCCTGTTATTTAATTGATTCAGTAACTCAATGTATTTTAGAGTATTTAATCAATTTACACTTAAAGTAATTATTGATAGGTAAAAAACGACTGCCATTTTAAAAAATTGTTTTCTGTTCGTAGTTATTTTTTCCTCTTTTTCTGTCTTCCTTTGTGATGTGATGATTATCTATAGGCATATGCTTTGATTCTAGAGGTTTTCTTTGTGGATACCATGAGGCTTGCATAAAGTACCTTACAGGTATAACAGTCTATTTTTTAAACTGATAGCTTCAATTACATATTAAAATTCTACACTTTTACTTTACCCCTCACATTTTATGTTATTGATATGCTTTTAAAAAATATTCTGTATCTATTAATAAATTATTATAGCTGTAAACATTTTTAATACTTTTATCTTTTAACTTTTATACTGGGTTTAAAAATGACTTATGCACCACTATTATAGTATTCAAATATTCCAAATTTGACCATATATTTGCCTTTGCCAATGAATTTTATACTTTCTTATGTTTTCATGTTGTTACTTAGTGTCCTTTCATTTCACCTTGAAGATCTCCCTTTAGCATGTTTTGTAGTCTGGTCTAGTGGTGATGAATTTTCTCAGCTTCTGTTTTTCTAGGAATGACATGTTTGCCTCTATTCACTTTATCTCTTCTTCATTTCTGAAGGACAGCTTTGATGGGTATAGTATTCATGATTGATATCTCCCTCACACCCCCTGCCAGCCCCAATACTTTGAATATGTCATCCCACTCTCTCCTGGCCTGTAAGACTTCTGCTAGGAGTCTGCTGATAGCTTTATGGAGGTTCCCTTGTCAGCTGCAGTTGCTGTTCTCTTGCTGGTTTCAAGATTCTCTCTTTGTCTTTGATTTTTGACAATTTGATTATAATGTATATTGGTGTAATCTTCTTTGAGCTAATGTTGCTTGAGCCTCATGATTATGGATAGCCATATTCCTACCAAGATTTGGGAAGTTTTCAGACATTATTTATTTAAATAAGCTTTCTACTGCTCTTATTCTTCTCCTTCTTGGACTCCCACAATGCATATGTTTGTTTGCTTGATGCTGTCCTTTAGGTCCCATATGCTCCCTTCCTTCTTTTCCATTCTTTTTTTCTGTTGTTGTTGTTGTTGTTGTTGTTCCTCTCATTGGATAATTTCAGGTGACTTGTCTTCAAGTATCCTGATTCTTTAGCACTATTGAGTAAGCTGGTGAAGCTGTCTATTGCTTTTGCAACTCTGTCATTGTGTTCTTTAGTTCAGGTTTTCTTTTTAGGTCTTTTTTTTTACGGTTTCCATTTCTTTATTAAACATCTAATTTTGTTCATGTATTTTATTCCTGATTTTGTTTAGTTGTCTATCCTGTCTTCTTGCATCTTGTCAAGCTTCTTTTAGATGATTACTTTGTGTTATTTATCAGAAAATTGATAGATCTTCATTTCTCTGGGGTCGAGTACTAAAACTTTAATTTCCTTTAGTGATGACATATTCGCCTCCATTACTGTGGTTCATCAAGCCTTGCACTGGTGTCTGCGCATTTGAAGGAGCAAACGCCTTTTCCAATTTTTACAGACTGGGTTTGGCAGGTAAAGACCTTTTCCTGTTGGGTCCTTTCCCTGATGGGATTGCCTCTAGGATCACAGTTGTGTAGGATTGGGGTCAGTTTACATGGCTGCTGATTGGTCTATCATGGGTTCAGTGATTGGTTGGCCTATTACCAGAGCTGGTCAGATATGGATCCTGTCTGGTCCCTGGGTAGACTGGACTGCCTCCATGACCTGGGTCAGTAAGATTGCAGCCGGGACAGGACCTACTTCAGGGTCTGCAGCAGTTAGGTTCATGGACAGCTGGCATGCTATCTGGTTTACAGACAATTCTGGCTCTTGCCAGGCCCCTTGGATGGCTCTTACCAGGTTACTAGGTAGGTTTCTGGGTGGGTTCTTTGGCAGGGTGGCTTGGAATCAAGTTATAGTACTGCTTCAGAGTCTATATCTGAGAGTGTAGCCTGTATGTCTGCCTCCAGGTGTACGGATATGTATGCCACCTGCTGGGCTCATGGGAGCCATTTTCTAGGGCTACTTCAGGATATGTAGTCTGACTGAAGTTGGCAGATCTGCTTCTTGGGACATGAATGGGTATGTCTTTTGGCAGGTCACTGCAGAGGAGGACCATTCTTGGTCTGCAACTGAAAGGGGCTAGAGCCAAGTTGCAGGGTTGTTTCAAGATCTGCTATGGGATTGAGGTAGGAAAGTCTGCCTCCAGGGGCATGGATCCTGGTGGGTCACAAGACTGGAGATGGGTCACAGGCTGCTTCAGTGTCCTCAGCTGACTGTGGTCAGCAGGCCTGTTATCTAAGGCACGGAGTGGGGGTGTGACTTCTCCTGGGTCCCTTGGCAGATGGTACTGCTGGCAAGACCAATGCTAAACAGGTGTGTATCTAAGTCCATAGGAAGTTGGGGGCTGTTTTGGGGTCTTTAGCTGGTACCATGGTCAGTGAGCCCTACACCTGGGTGTAGACTTGCCTTTTCAAAACAGCCCTGTTTGGTCTTGAGCTTCACTGGATTTCAAACCGCCTATGTGGTTCCCAAAGCTTCTACAAATGCACTTTTGTCTGTTGATGGCTGCCAAATTATAGTTGCTGTGGAGGGATATGAGTGGGAAACCTCCGGCTTTATCATCTTGCGGACCAATCTTAGGCTGAACTTTGAAGGAAGAAGGGGAGTTTTCCAGGCATAAAGGGTTGTAGAGCAGGGTATTCCAGACAGCTGGAAAAAATGTGCAGAGACTCAGAGGTATGCTCCAAACCATAAAGTCCAACCAAATTACATTTTCATTGCAAGAAATTTTGGTTGACATCCCTCCTCAAAATGTTATTTAACATAAAGGAATATTTTTGTTTATAAAATACCTCTTGTTTCACAGTTTAAATTCCTGAAGAGAAATTACCCTCAGCATCACTCTGTTTTTCTATAGAATTTCTTTTTTTGTTTAAATTCTTTATACCAATATTCTTTTGCCTGCCCTTTAGTGGTTGACTGGGGAGAGAAGTAGAGACCAATGAAAATACTTTGTGACATGTAATTCTGGTGACCTGTGGAGTCATTTTGATGAACTAGCCAAGTAGCTAACATTCTCCAAGTCAAATCAGAGAAATGGAACAGAGAGTAAGAATCCATACTGCCAAATAAGGGTAAATTCTAATCCAACTTACATCAGGTCTATTATGAGGTTGGGGAGAAGTCAAATCTTTAGACAATTATATCCAGGAAACCTAATCATCTTCAGTTAGCACCAGCTGCTGTAGCCCATAATATGTCATGTCCTATATAACACTTTAGAAATTGTTTAACTGCATCCAAACCTTCTGTGTCTCCTTTCCAGGACAGAAATAATATTTGCAATAGAAAAGGAAACAGTCAGGCCATGGAGTAGTGGCTTGGAATGCTGTTTTTTTAGAGACAAAATATAATATGTAAGAGATATTTCGGATTTTGAATATAAGCCTTCTCTGATTCTGAGTGTAACTGATTCTATAAGCTAGGCCAATATCATTAGCTTATCATCCAACCATTAGGGATGTGACTTTGGTCACATCACTAAATGTCTCCAGGAAAACATAAGATGATTTCAACTACCATCTATATACTTTCCAAGTGTAGATCTCTAATTCAGATTTCTGTTCCGTAGTCTATGTGCACATATATCCAACTGTCAGATGGAATAGCTCAGTGGCAACTCAATCTCAGTTTGTTCGAAATCGATTTTATTGCTGAACAAGCTTGATCCTACTATTGTGGCTTCTTTTCCCTGTGCACAACCCATTTCTCCTAACTATAAACCCATAAGACAACAAGCTAGACTCTCCCTCATTCTTTACATGCAGTGGGTCAAGTCCTCTAGATTTTGCTTTCTATGTATCTCTCGATTCCCTCTTCCAGTGTTCTAATTCAGTGCTCCTTAATTTTGCATCTGGCTTCCTGTAGTTACCTCATAAATAGTTTTATGACCTTCTTTCTTGCCTGTTTACAATTCCCTTCACCATGAAGCTAGATGAATCCTTAAGAAATGAATATCTAATCAAGGCACTTTGCTCCTTAAAAACCTTTAAATGGTTCCTAATTGCTTTCAAGATAAAATACTAACTCCTTAATGTAACATGCATTTAGACATTTCATGACTTGATCATTGTTTCTGTTTCCAGCTTCATATATCCCTTCTCATACTAAATCACCCTCTTCCTCTGCAAATTCTGCTTTTATAACTAATTTATAGTTAATATCTATTGAGTACTAACCCTGATCCTGGAACTATGCTAAATGTCTTATATCAGTATTTTCCAAACTTCACTGATGATGAATATCACCTGGGATCCTTGCTAAAAATATAATTCCTGGTCCTCATCCCAGACCCATTGAATCATAATCCTCAGGGAATGATCTGGGAAGATGTATTTTTTAAAAAAGCACCATGGGTGTGACTTATCATCTGAGAAATTTGAGAAAACACTGCTTTACATGAACTTTCATTTAATCCTCATAAAAATGTAATGGGATAAGAACTGTTATTAGTTTCATTTATAGATAGAAATAATGAGGCTTAAGGGGAACAGTAACAGTTATTTGTCCAAAGACACGTGGTTTGAACCTAGGCATACAACCCCAGAATTCACATTACATCGTAATCTATTTCTTTCACTTGTAAGTCAACACATGCCATGTTTCTACTCTCAATTCTCTGTGCCTCTTCTACCCTTTAACTTGGAGTTTTATTTCACCATCTTTGCCTGGAAAACTACTATGAACCTTTATAATTCAACTTAGACTGAAGGTTTTCTTAGCATTCCCAGTCTGGTTTGGTTGCCTTCCTGAGGGTCATTCTGTTAACACAGCACATTATAATCTATATCCTTATCTGCTCCCCTACCAGACTCTAAGAAGGTAAATTTCATGTCCTTTGGTATTCTTATTTTAGCAGAGTGCCTGACATATATCAGATATGTGATAAATATCTGTTAAATAAGTAAAAGTATAAGAAGTCACTTTAGCTGGGCAAGTGCCTTGGGTTTAGATGCTATGAATGGATGAATCTAGGGTCACTCCAGCAAATTATTTGTTTTTAGGTATTGAATGTTGCGTTTTAGAATCAGGCCATGCATCTCGAATTTACTTGTTTTTATTCTAGGAGCATTTTAGGAGGTATGGGATTGAGAACCCAACTCATTCCCTTTGTGGTTCAAAGGAATCAAACATGTGATATACTACAGTAGCCCAAATCAAGACCAGATGATAGAAAAGGACAATGAGGACCCCAGAAAGGGGTAGTGTTATAAGGGAAGGAGGAGTCTTGGCTGGAGATGTGGACTTCATACCAGAATTCAAAGTGTCCGAGTGGTGTGCCCACACAGGCTAAAGGTAGTCTTCATCTAGACTCCCTGTGCCATGGGCGCACTTTGTGGAAATTGAAATGGATGTGCAGCAAAAGTCAAAACAACAATGGAAGTAATGTTTTCTACTTGGTCTGGAGGCAACAAGTAGAGAGCTCTGCAGTGGTGGCAATAATTAAGACTTTTCGAACAGGAAGCTTGATTAGGTCCAAAAATCTATGAACTACCAGGATTTCAGCAAATGGTAATGCTAAGTCTTCTTGGCAGGGATAGAGAGAGACTGGATTCAATAAGAATAGGAATTCCATTGCTGGCAGTGACACCTGTGTTCCATCACTAGGGCAAGGCAGTGACTATGGAGGAAGCTGGGACCAGCAGGGAAAGCTGTCCAGAGATTTGCAGACATCGTGTTATTCATAAGTAGTACCTGTCTCTTGGTTTTACCTTGTCCAGTTGTTAGTCAAAAACAAGAAATGAGGAGATCTGATTCGTAGACACATGGAAGCAATGCTGACAGCGGTTGGGAGTATTTATTTGGGACAAGATAAAATTAGACGAGGCTGAGTGCAGTGGCTCACTCCTGTAAGCCCAGCACTTTGGGAGGTTGAGGCCGGTGGATCACCTGAGGTCAAGAGTTTGAGATCAGCCAGGCCAACATGGTGAAATCCTGTCTCTACTAAAAACACAAAAAATTCGCTGGGTGCGGTGGCAGGCACCTGTAATCCCAGCTACCCAGGAGGCTTAGGCAGGAGAGTTGCTTCAACCCCGGAGGTGGAGGTTGCAGTGATCTGAGATAGCGCCATTGCACTCCAGCCTTGGCAACAAGAGTGAAACTCTGTCTAAAAAAAAAAAAAAAAAAAAAAAAAGTGAGACTAGATTTTCTCTTTATTAATCATGCTTTGTTTAGATGTCATAATTTAGGTAGTAAAAGAAAATGTTGGAATCACTAAATTGGCAAGGTCTGGAAATTTGGATAAAAGAATTCTATAATAAAAGTGCATAAAACAGATCTTTGGAAATATAAAACCTTTTCCAAGCATGCTAAAGATGGTCGTGTGCAGTCTTGGAAAATGAGATCCTATAGGCAACAGGGTAGAAGCATGTTTTGAGACAAGTTTTATTTGAAACAAAAGGCTTATTTGAAGAAATTTTCATTTGCTACAAAAACTATTTGTAGACATTCTGGAGATACTCATATATGGGCAAAAGAAATTAGAGCAGGCATGCAACAGAGCAGAAAGGATGCTTTATTTGCAAAAGAGTGGTGAAACATCTAAAAAGTTGACATTGTATATGATTACAAAGTAAAGAGTACTCTTGTGAGAGAAGTTACATGTTCATTGTTAAGGAAATTATATGTAAATCACAAAGATCATGGTCTGTGAATAATGTGCCATATCTCACAAAATATGGTCATTGGAATCTTATTAAAATTATCTACAGGTGACTTCAGTTTCCATTCTCCACCCTCTGCCTTAAGATACGAAGCCTTGACATGACCACATCCCAGTCAGCATAAGCTCCTTCTAGATGGCGGGATATCTCAGTTCCTGCTTCATAGCTACGTCGGCCATGAAGTAAGCGCCAGTTATCAAAAGTAATCACATCACCTAAAGAAAAGATTTTTTCCAATATGAATAATTGTGTGTTTAAATGACTTACAGAGCTAGAAAATGTAACATGCAAAACACAGCTGCTGCTTGGTTCACATCAAGAATCATCGCTTATTTCTTTACATGAAACTGCACATTTACTTTTCCACACAAATCAGGCCACTGGATGCAAACTGCTTTAGACCTTATGACAATTAAACTACCTAGCCTGGTAGTCTCCTGAAGGTATTTTAATCATTCTTATTTAAAATATTATCTCTGTGTAAAACATCTGTATCGTTTTGACTGATCGATACCTCATTAGAAATGTTTCTTCTGCCGGGCGCGGTGGCTCACGCCTGTAATCCCGGCACTTTGGGAGGCCGAGGTGGGCGGATCACGAGGTCAGCAGATCTAGACCATCCTGGCTAACATGGTGAAACCCTGTCTCTACTAAAAATAGAAAAAATTAGCCAGGCGTGGTGGCAGTGCCTGTAGTCCCAGATACTCAGGAGGCTGAGGCAGGAGAATGGCGTGAACCCGGGAGGCGGAGCTTGCAGTGAGCCGAGATCACGCCACTGTACTCCAGCCTGGGCGACAGAGCAAGACTCCGTCTCAAAAAAAAAAAAAAAAGAAAAAAAAGAAATGTTTCTTCTCAGTTTAACAGCTTCAGAAAATAAAAAGGATAGTGAAATTCTTAGTTTGTCTTCTGTGTGCCTAGTATTTTATGCCACATTATTTCTAAGCCTCATAAGAATCCTGAAAAGAAAGTATTCTCTCATCTTTTCACACATGAAGAAACCGAAGCTTTAAAAAATTGAGGAATTTACCCAAAACTACACTGCCATTAAATAGTCGAAGCTTGGATTCTAACTTGTATTTTTTGTATTTTTTCCCCCTATAATGTTTTCATTTTACATGTTGCCATTTTTAAAATTAACCTGCTGTGACTGCATGGCAGTGGATTTATGGAGATTCCTATTAACTTATTATACCAAAGATCAATTAAAAATATATACAAAGGAAAAGAATCTTCCATCTGGCCAAACCGACAGCAGAGAGAAATTACACCTTTTATTGTAGATGCCAAAAGCCTCAGGTTTGATGGCACTTTACTGAGTAGAGATGGTCCAGAAAAAATATAATGCTTTCTGCTTTTTTTATCTCAAGTAACTGGAATACTTTAGGTACTACTTTATTTCAGGTAGTACTGTCTCCACTAGTAAAGCCTAATGAGTAAGCATCACTTGTGTGTGTTAGAGTAAGAATCATGAGGATATTTCTATTTGTTTATCAGGATAAAATAATTAAGCATAAACCTCAATGAGGGCCACGAGTCCACTACATAAGCAAGTCAGTTGCTCACCAAGATTCTGTTGTTGGTGTTCTACATGCCATACCTGAGAAAAACTGCTCTGGATATAATTCTAGGTGGTTAAGGTTGAAGAAAATCCATGCTTTTGGTTATTTGAGAAAATGTATTCACTGACCTGGATTCATCTTGAAGGTAAACTTGGATTCTTTGCTGTTCATGAGGTCAACAAACTCCTTCAGAGCAGCATAAAAAGGCTGAACTCTTTCAACAGGCACATCAAATATTGTGTCCCTAGTTGCGTTATTGAAGTTGATGCGAACCACTTGGCCTTTATCATCTAACCTGTTTTATTAAGAGAAAAAATTAATATATAATTCATGAAATATCTATTTACATTGATAAGAGTCAATTCCTCTTCAAATATATTTTTGAAACACCATATTAAAAAATCCAAATACATGTACAGAAGATATTAAGGCTACCTGTGGTGCAATGTATTCTCTTTTTTTTCATTCATTCATTTAGATTTTTTTTCTAAATCTTACTACCTCAGTACCAGGAGAACTCAACTTAAATTAAAATAAGTATTACTGAGAGATTCAAGTTAAAAATTTTGTTATGCTTAGTTAAAGTCATTCATTCTTTGTTATTTGAAACAGGTATTAAAATCCTTTCATGTTACAAATTTATAGGTCAATTGTTCTATGTGTTTCATTTATTAAGGTTCTAAGTATGATGGTTTTATTTGAGGGTATGATGGGAAGAAAATTCTATTTTTTAAATAGTTTGAAATGCATGATTCTAATTCAATCCTTAGTTTACAGGTGGGAAAACCAAAGCATGAGAAAAGAAGGGACTAGCCTGAGGTATATTCTTTCTATCTATTTACTCATCCTACCTATCTTAGTATTGAGTCTTCCAGAAGATGGTGCTGTATCTCATTTAATGTTGTATTCCTAGCACTCAACATAGAGCCTGGACATAACAGACAGTTAATAAATGTTTGTTGCACATATCACTCTCTATATTTTTTAGTACCTTGGGAGGGCACTAAGGTTTTTATTTTTAGTAATTTGAGAGCTCTTAATGTTGTGATCTCTATTCTCTTTCTCAAAATATGGATTATGACCATGCCAATGTAAGATAATACAGCATTTAATATAAAGAAAGAAGGCCGGGCACGGTGGCTCACACCTGTAATCCCTGCCTCCCTTGGGAGGCCAAGGTGGGCGAGGCAGTTGAGGTCAGGAGCTCGAGGACAGCCTGGCCAACATGGCAAAACCCTGTCTCTATTAAAAGTACAGAAAAAATAAAAAGCTGGGCATGGTGGCCCATGCTTGTAATCCCAGCTACTTGGGTGTGGTGGCAGGCACCTGCTTGAACCTAGGTGGCAGAGGTTGCAGTGAGCGGAGATCGCACCACGACACTCCAGCATGGAAAACAGAATATGACTCTGTCTCAAAAAAATAAATTAATAAATAAATAAGGAAAGCACATTATTTCTTAGATTTGAGCTTTGGTGGTTATAATTAGCAAGACATGAACATCACCCAGATACAGAGGCAAAAAGAGGAAACTCTTTTGTAGCTTATTGGGAAGGTGGACCTTCAGACGATCTTAAAGTGTCAGTCAACTTTATCTTTTCTTTAGGTAGAAACAGGATGAATGCATGCAAACTGAAGGTGACCAAGGATGGTGGCAAAGTACCTAGGATTACTCCTGGGAGCAGCATCCTAGAAGGACAAGTGCAGGAAGTGCTAATGAGAGCCAACAACTGACCAGGGCCAAGGCTTGGTCGGTCAGACCAAACACACATACACCTGGGTTTGGTGACCCTGGTTTGGGGTCTGGGTTACATTTAGTGAATATTATCAACAAATGGGGAAAGATGCCATTGACAGTGAAGTACAAATTGTGATGATCAGGGCCCCTTGTGCATGGTGGCTCTGAGCCAAACGGCAATTGTAATGGTAAACTCAACAGTTGGTGATTAGCACCAATTCTTTGCTTATTGGGTAAGGCCTTAAAACTACCTATTGAACCCACACTGGGAAAGAAGTAAAAGGAAGGAACAGGCTTTCAAAAAGGCTCTTAGACTCTTAAAACATAGATTTGCATGTATTAATAACAATACAAATGTGACTCACTAGGTAATGGAGTACCCTACCTGCTTCCACATGCTTTCACATAAATCAAGAATTCTGAGCCTTTTGGATACAGCTTTATGTACAAAGAATCAGATGGAAGGGAAGTCAGTAGAAAAGACTGTGTACCTCTAGGATTTAGTGGTACAGAGACTACACGACCTTTCAATTACCCCCTTAGAGTTCATGCTGCTGGTTTCAGACCTCTGTCACAGTGTCTGAGGCCATTTGCCTTTTGATATTAACTGCAAGATTCTAGCCCTACTGCTTCTGACCCACTTTCCTCTTTTTTTTTCTTGTTATGTGTTCTGTACATATAACATTATCCTCTGTGTCATCCGCCAAGGGATGTCATGACTTTGGAACTTCTGGGGGGGTCGTCTGTTTCAGTCACCCTCAAGATCTGCTTTACTTTTCTTCCACTATTACCATAGCTCCTTGATTTGAATGGTTATGCTAATTATGAGCTAACTATTCTAGAGTCCTTGGGTATATCCTCATGTATCAGTGAAATGAACTTTGTGATTAATAAATGTAATGAAAATCAGAATTGGATGCCTCATGGTATACTAGATTAGGCTTTCATTTTTAAGAGTTCACCTATATAGAAAAGTAATCAACTTTTTGTGTGTGTTATAGTGTAACACAGTCCCTGCTTTCTTTTACCTACTGTTTATCTGAGAAAACAAGACACAAATGTATTATTTAGCATTCTCAGCAATAATAGGGGAATGGAAAGCAAATTTTGTTGTAAGATATAGAGGGGACATTATTCTGAGGATTGAAGAATGTTAGAGGAGATGGGTAGCTGGTACCTTGAAGACCAACCTAAAATGAAAAATTGAAGGTTAGCAAGAAATTTGATGCCTTATAACAGAACAGCAGGGTCTAATGTAAGTTTGCATGCTGAGGAAAGGTAAAAAGCCACAAAAGATGGGAGTAACTGGCTATACATTCGCTATACATAAAGGACAAATTAATTAAACTTAAACCAACAACATAGTGGCAGTGAACCAGCAAAAGCAAAACATTATCAATGATGCCAACAACAACAAAAAAAAAACCAAAGAAAGGACTTTTAAAATGATCTTCCACAGTTTGTGTTGTGAATACTCCTCATTAGTGACAGCATTATGTCTCATTGATAGATACAATGTTTTATGGAACTTGTTGTATTTGTTGTGGGAATACTACTACAGTGTTGTCTACCATGTCATAATTTATGAGGATCTGCAGGAAAAATTTATTTCGGACTTCGAAAGCATCTTGTCTTATAACTGATTATAGTCTCTGTTTGCTTTGGTTTCTAGAAATTCAGACCTGAAATAGAAATCTCCCCCCAGTAAGTGTGTTGGACTTCATGCATATTATAACTAGCTAAAATGTATTCTGCATTTTCTAAACTAGGCACAATAGTAGGGGCTTCCATATATTAACTCTGCAATTCCTACTTCAATCATGTGTGGCAGTATTTTTTGTTTTCGTTTTTTTAACTGGAAAATATACTGTGGATCAGCAAGGGTAAATAATCACATGAGAGATTACACAGCTGGCAAGTAAAAGACTTGAATTTACGTGATTGAATGTGTAGTTGATAGGATAGCTGAGTCTCACCGTCATTAATTTTGCTTGTTTCTTTATTGATTTATTTTTCTTTGTACTGAATTATAAGTAATTCAGTCAGCAGCATAAAAGACATTTTTGTACTAGGACATAAAAATTTAAGGATTTAACCACAAAGAAAATTAAATTAACCCAAACACTTAGGAGATGGAGGCCCTCTGTTAACTGAGAACGCTCTGTTTCATTTCCTGTTGTTGAAAATATACTTTTAAGTGAATTAATGTTAACCACTTGATATTTATTCTCTAGGGGCTATTCCTGAGACCTCACACATGGCCAAATTTTGAAATTTTACTACAGAAAATATCAAAGCCAAGTCATGAGCCACATGGTGGACATTCAGTTAATCTTATCTATAGCTATGTTTCTTGCCTCTGTTCACTAGCCTTGCAGAATCTGTAATCGTATTGTGTCTTAACAAAATTTTGATTTGTCATGAATTTTTAAGTTAATATTTGACTAGTTAAAACTGTCACATTATAACTAAGGGTCTCAAGTTATTTCCTTTTCACCTTGATGAGTGAATTCTTAGAAAACGTCTCAGGTTTATTCTGGACTAGAATTTCATTCTTGACGTCTATCTTTTTCTCAGACACTTCCTCCAATCTTTCACGAAAACAATCTGTTTATACATGCAAAATGTAACCAAAAACTGATCCTTCTCCACACCACCACTGCTGTCACTCTAGCCACTCATGTTCAAGGCACCACCATTGCTAGCCTGGAGTCATGCAGTAGCTTCCTAGCTGGTCTTCCCGCTACTATCCTTGCTCTTTCTAGCAGTCAGGGTGACCCATTTAAAATATAACTAAATTTACATAAATATCAAAGTCTTTCCTTTGATCAGGATCTTGCAGCAACTTCTTACTTCACTCAGAGTAAATGTTACTGTTATAATTTGCTAACAAGACTCTACAGGAACTTGTCCCTACCTGACTTCCTCCCCTAATACTTGCATCCTTCACTCTGTTCCAGTCACACTGGTCTCCTTGATGTTCCTTGAACACTCCAGACATGTCCTTAGGACCCTTTTAGAACTTTTGGTCTAGCAGTTTCGGGAAACTGCTTCTCTTCTGAAAACTCCATCACTCGTTTAAGTGTTTGCTCAAATCTCAGTAAAGCTTTCCCTCACCACGCTCTTTAATAATGCAATTTCCGTCCTTGCTAAGCCCTACAGATTCCCCTTATCTTGCTATGCTCTTCCTTTTTTTCTTAAGCATTTAATAATTTTTAACTTTTATTATAATTTACTCATCTGTTTAAAAATCTTTAAAATTTCCCTTCCCCCATTAGAGTATAAGCTATATGAGGGGAGAGATCTTTGTTTTGTCCACTGATGTATTCCAAGTACCAAGAAAAGTGGCTGGCCTCAATAAATATTTGTTGAATGAATAAATGAATGTACTGGGGATTTAATTATTTTCTAAATGAGTTTATTTTCATACCATTTGGCTGTTTCTCTTAATAGAAAAATTTAAACTCAATTCTAAAATTCTAAAATTATACCCCCCTACCAAAATTAATCGAGGTATAATTAAATAAACTGTTGTAGAAACAAAATGTAAGTTAATTTGCAAATAAAAAGATGAATTTGTGGCCTTTGTAGGTACTTGGAAAAATTATAATAAAATAATATTAAATAAAAAGAAAGGGAGAATACAAAATGTTCTGTGTAGGTAATATATGATCTTTGTTGGCTTAGTATCTCTTTGGGGAGCCTCCCTGTTTCATTCTCAGTCCGTGTGATTCAGATGAGGCTGACCCTGCTCCAGAGTTGAACATGTGATCCAGGCATGGACAATCAGAATTCTCTAACCCACTGGCCATGATGATTGATTCAGGGATAGACTTGGACAGAAATTAGGGATTGAGTCATCTAGCTTTATTGGGAAGTAAAAGCATTGTTTGTGGTGTGATTACTAGCTGTAAGGAAAATGAAATCTTGGAGCTTCTGCTGATCATCTTTGAAAAATAAAGCTAACATAGAAGATGGCAAAGCTAAGAAGAAAAAAGAGACCAATATCACATGACATTGTTTAACTCTTGGGATCAACCTATTTTGAGTTATATTCTTTCACTTCTGGCCAAAAGCCTTCTAACTAGTATAATCACATTGATTATAGCTATGTAGAACTTATATTCTAAAAATGAAGTATACGTGAAATCTTAGTTACTTTTCCTCTAATACTGATTAGGGATAAATTTTATGTAATTTAATAAAAACTTTTATGGTGAAAATACTATCACTCTAAAATTGGGTGAAATGTTAATAAAAATAAAGCTCTGAAGTTCGTTGAAGTTTTGTGCTGTTTAAACTTTAGATTAGTGGATCTTTTGTTGTCAATTCTTTTATTGCTATGGGAAATTTATAAATAGTACTTACTCTATAATTTTATGTTTTGATTGTACAGAAAAATCACAGTAATCCACTCCAATGTCTGTAAAGTCCACAAAGGTAGAGGACAAAATCTGGAATGCCTGAGGATTATTTTTCTTTAGTTTTTGGCACACATTAAACCCATCTACAATTTCTGAATCACCCCCTGTGACTGTTTGCTTTATGCAGTGAAGAAGCTGAACCTATAAAAAGAAAATATGCATTATTAAATAAATATTAAATTACATTTTAATTATTAGAATTAATCTTCAATAAAATAAATAATAAAATAAAATAATATACATGCACCATTTTTTGATACTGTGTTAAAGATTCAAAAAGCTATGAATGAACCAAAGCCAATAAACTTTTTTTTTTGTCTTTCTTATGTCATCAGAAAAGAGTTGGGAAGAAAAAAGTTGCTTATAATCAATACTGTATAGTTCAAACATGTTACAGTTGAAGACATAGATGCAGGCATGATAATGCTCATTAGCAAACAAAAAGAACAGCTTGTAAGAGCTGCATAGATGGAGCACTTGATGTTGGAGTAGGCAGGGAAGGATTTCAAGGGGAAGAGGCGGGTAAGTTAGGCAAAGGGGAATGGATGAGATTTGGGTTATGCAGAATAGAACGAGAAAGCAAATCAGGTGACAGAAATAATGATGTGCAAAAATGCACAGTTCACTGGGTAATAAAAAGTCTGGCTACAGCAGAGGGCCATAAATAGAAAGAGTGAATCAGGTTGGAAGGGCAATTGGTGAGGCCTCATGATGGAGAGTCTTAAATATCAGATGAAGGGCTTTTGTATTTGTGCATAGAGGGAATTCACTGAAGGCTTTTGAATATGAAAGTAATGTAGTCGGAACTGAGCTGCAAAGTATTAGGCCAGTGGTGTTACATAGGATTATGTTTTTTTTTTTTTTTGAGGAAGGAACTGGTCAGAGTAGCAAAACAATAGCATAACTTTGTTTTTGGAGGATCACAGTGTTCTTTAAATCCTTTTAGATTTTGCCATCATGAACTGACAGAATATTTCAAGTGCTAATTTTTAAAAAGATCATTTTTTAATGTTATTTACATATGTCAAGGCCCCTTGATACTTTCTTTTGTACAGTTACACTTTTAATACAATCTTCAAATAGAAAAAAGATGATGGAGCCTGACAATACTTTTATTGCTAGGTTAAAACGCAAATACATGCCTGTCATGTATAAAACCCAATTTTACTTCATATGAGTCATTCAGAACCAAAAATATTTTCCTTCTGAATGTTACTTTATGCAGCATGTGACTTCTGCAAAAACAGTGAGTGAAGCAACATCTCTGTTTCATTAAAGATGTGGTGCCTTATCTCTGCCCCACATAATCCAAATCGATCAAACTGAACTCTCAACAGGTAACTCATTTTTCAGATTATTTCATCTATACAGAAAAATATATTGGTTTGTTCTGTTTGTTATAGAAAATCTCAAACCTTGGCACAACTCACCTGGAATAATTCAAAATGGAAGTTTGAACAACAGTACAAACAGGTTGCCTACATTTTATTATTCTAGTAGAATCTAGACATTTTAGGAATCATCTGCTATTTTAAAATCTCCTATCAAGTCACTTAGTTTGGATGTTTCATTTGCTGGAGACAGGTACAGGTTTGTTGCACTTCTTTGCCTCTTTATAGTGTATCTATGATGTCTCTATTACATGCAATGTGCGTGTAAATATTGAGATACAAAGTATTGAAATACAAAGAACTTTTTTCTTCCCAAGAGTCAATTCTTGTCTTTAAGAAGTTTGTAAAGTACGATAAAATCTATAAATATTCTATTTTACTACATAAATTATAATAGTTAGAAATTCCAGCTCAGGATCAGTGTGGTGTGACAGAAAACTAGATGGAGGCCTGGGTTCAAGTCCAAGTTCCTCCTTAATCAAATGTCACCCTATAAAAATATTGAATCTCGTGTTTCATTTTCTCATCTGACATAAAAAGACATGATCAATCTTGTCTACCTTAAAGGAATGTCAAGAAGAGTCAGATAAAATAATGAAAGCAAAACTGCTTTGAAGTAGTATAATGTGCTATGACTATGAAAAAGTCAAGCATTCTATTATACTTCAGGAACATTTATGAAGTCATTTGGTCACTTTTCCTTAGGCTTCAAATTTTAACCCAGAAACAAAACTTAAATTCTTAAAAGACAGAAGATAATTTAAAAATTCAAATAAAACTTTTAGTTTTCTAGTCTCATTCTTTAAGCCTTATTCCATCCAACTCCCTCAAGCTATGTTTGGAAGAAGAGCTGAGCTGATTAATTTGGCTCTTAACTCTAGGGTTTTAGAAAAATCTGAGCCACATTTAGAATAAAATCACACTGGGTGTCTCCTGCCCCCAACCCTTACCCAAAAGTGTGTCTACAGGGGTCATTTTACTGCCACTTAGTTCAAAGAAATCATGTGGTATTTTACAATCAACAAAATAATTTATAACATGTAAAGTTAAATACTAGACTAGCGTAGCTAATACTGGCAAGAAGAATGGGTAACAATAAGGGCACAGAGAAAACATGTACAGTGAAGATAATGAAAAAAAAATTGGGCTAATTGTGATTTTGGCCCATTCTCCTTTGTTAACTTAAGAATTGCCCAAATTTTCATTTGCCTTTGAAGATATAGGTTTCTATGTGGTTATTTCACATAGTCTAATTTAGCTGTAAAAATAGGGATGGCATATCTTTTAAAAGGTAGTTTCCTAACCACTTATTTTTGGTGTAATAAAATGATGATTTTGTAAAAATGTAGCTCATTTAGTAAAATGAAACTTTTGTAAAAATGTAGAGAAAGAATGTCCACCCAGAGATTCTCCTGGGGATTTGTGGCTTCACACTGAGCATTTCCCTCCTTGACAAGGAATCTGATAGATGGGATGTTGGATGGTTTCCAAAAATAGCCACTGTTATTATGTTCCTTGTAGTCACACAGTTTATAATGCATTTTTGCAGCTTCCTCCATAAGCGGTCTATTTCCTCACCTCCTGAATGTGGGCTAGATTTATTACTTCCTTAGACCAATATAACATTGCAGAGGTGACTAGCCCAGGCCTTGAGAAGTTGTGTAGCTGTCTGAAAATTCTTCTAGTTGCCATATGCATTAAACTTGGGCT
Source organism: Homo sapiens (assembly GCF_000001405.40). Taxonomy (NCBI): domain Eukaryota; kingdom Metazoa; phylum Chordata; class Mammalia; order Primates; family Hominidae; genus Homo; species Homo sapiens. Next base: position 27,116,688 of record NC_000011.10, on the reverse strand, counting down.
AGCCTACTGGTGGTGAATAGACCGAGTGGAGCAGAAACCAGCCATCTCAGTGAAAGTCAATCTGTCCCAAGCCAACTTAGCAACCAATTGCAGGTATATGACTGAAGACAGGAGCTGCCTAGCTGAATACAGCCCATATTGAAAAAACAAGGGCTAAGTAAATGGATGTTTTCTTAAGCCATCAAGTTAGGGAGTGAGTTATTATTTTTTTTTTTTGTTATACTTTAAGTTCTGGGATACATGTGCAGAATGTGCAGGTTTGTTACATATATATACACGTGCCATGGTGGTTTGCTGCATCTATCAACCCGTGATCTACATCAGGTATTTCTTCTAATGCTATCCCTCCCCTATCCTCCCAACCCCCCCAACAGGCCCCAGTGTGTGATGTTCCTCTCTCTGTGTCCATGTGTTCTCATTGTTCAACTCCCACTTATAGGCGAGAACATGCGGTGTTTGATTTTCTGTTCCTGTGTTAGTTTGCTGAGAATGATGGTTTCCATCTTCATCCATGTCCCTGCAAAAGACATGAACTCATCCTTTCTTATGGCTGCATAGTATTCTATGGCGTATATCTGCCACGTTTTCTTTATCCAGTCTGTCATTGATGGGCATTTGGATTGGTTCCAAATCTTTGCTATTGTGAACAGTGCTGCAGTAAACATACATGTGCATGTGTCTTTATAGTAGAATGAGTTTTAATGCAGCAGTAGTTAATGGATATGAATGATGCCCATGTGACTTTGAGGGAAACCCTACATTTTGTTTACTGATTTCATTTTCTCTCTTAACTTTCTTAGAAATATATGTGCAAAAAGACCTTAAGATTTACTCCTACCTTAAAATCTGTCTTGGCAAAGCAAAAAATGCTAATAGTAATTTCTAGGAAGAACAAAGAAATGTTTTTGTTGTTGTTGTTGTTGTTTTAAATGAATGAAATTATCCTCTCCTTTAGGAATGTGAAGATATTTAGGATTTAGGTACAGAGATTTTGTGAGCTTGGATTGTGTTTGGAGAAAAAATTTATAAAAGACAAACTACCTGGTGAAATGTGTAATCTTCTAGACTCAAAATACGAAAAGATACTGGTCATCATCATGCTTTGTGGAAAATATGTTGAAGCTCACTTACCCCAGGTGGATGATGGAGGGCTGGATAATCAGTGTGAAAGCTTAGCTTCCCAGTTGTGTAAGCCACATTGTTTGCATCGATTTTGTCTTGCACTTGCCAAGTATGTCTGTAAAATGCAAGAAACACATGTTTAAACAGGTTGTCACTAAGCCAGAGGAAATGCATTAGAATGAATTTGATATGTGGGGAGAAATGGAAACTTTTCATTTTTTGAAATAATTACCATAATGACTATGAGTGAGACAAGGAATCTGACCTTTCTCTGCCTAAAGTCACTATTTCAGAATTAACATCTCCTCATTTTTCCTCTCCTCTCAACAAAAGAGTACATCAGTCTATCCTACAGTTTATAAAGAAGTATATATGGAATTGTAGGTTATCTTTTTACTGGGTTAATGCATTTTAAAAAGTGATTTATTGAGGTGAAGTTCACATAACAGAAAATGAATCACTTTAAAGTGAACAATTCAGTGGCATTTAGTAAATTCGCACTGTTGGCAACCACCACCTCTACATAGCTAGTTTCAAAACGTTTATATTACTCCAGATCAAAACCTCTTATTTTAGTAAGCAGTTTCTTTCCATTCTACCCTTCTCCAAGACCTTGGCAATCACTAATTTGCTTTCTGTCTCTGTGGATTTACCTATTTTAGATATTTACCATAAATGGAATTATATAGTAAGCTCATGCTTTTAATGTTATATCTAAGAATCCACTGCCCAATCCAAAGCCATGAAGATTTACCTCTATGTTTTCTTCTAAGAGTTTTATGGCTTTAACTCTTATATTTAGATAATTTGTTCATTTTGAATTAATTTTTGCATATGATATGAGTTGTGGGTCCAATTTAATTCTTTGCATGGGGGTATTCAGTTGCCTCAGAACAATTTGTTAAAGAGGTTGTTCTTTCTCTATTGAATGATATTGGCATGCTTGTTGATAATTGATTGGCCATAGATGTGTGGGTTTATTTCTGGACTCTCAAAATTCTATTCCATTGATCTATTTGTCTATCCTTATGCCAATATCACACTACTTAGATTACTGTAGATTCGTAGTTAAATTTCAAAATCAGGAAGTATGAGTCTTTTAATTTCAGTCTTCTTTTTAAATATTGTTTTGCCCACTTGGAGGCCATCACAATTTCATATAAATTTGATACTGGCTTTTCCATTTCTAAAACAAGAAAATGATACTGAAATATTGGTAGGGATTGTAGACTGCTTTGGGGAGTATTGACATCTTAACAATTTTATGCCTTCCAATCCACGAATACAGGATGCCATTCTATTTCTTTAGGTTTTCTTTAACTTCTGTCAGCAATGTTTTATAGTATAAAGTACTATAAAAGTCTTTTACCCCTGTGATTAAATTTATTCCTAAGTATTTTATTCTTCTGGATGCTGTTGTAAATGGATCTGTTGATTTCCTTTTCAGATTGTTCATTGCTACTGTTTATAAAGACAACCAATTTTTGTGTTTGATCTTGCACCCTGCAACTTGCTAAATTCATTCATTAGCTTTAGTAGCTTTTTTTGGGTGGATTTTATGGGATTTATTATATGTAAGATCATACCATCTGTGAATAGAGATAGATTTACTTTTTTATTTCTCACTTGGATGCCTTTATTTCTATTGTCTAATCGCTCTGGCTGGAAATATTGGTGCGATGTTGAATCTCAATGGTGAAAGCTAGCATTTTTGTCTTGTTTCTGCTCTTAGGGAGAAACTTGATTTTTTTTTTTTTTACTTTTAGGTTCAGGGGTACATGTGCAAGTTTGTTATATAGGTAAATTGCATGTCACAGGGGTTTATGTACAGAGTATTTTTGTCACTCAGGTAATATATATAGTAGCCAGTAGGTGATTTTCTTGATCCTCACCGTCTTCCCAACCTCCACCCTCACAAAGGCCCAGGTGTCTAGTGTTCCCTTCTTTGTGCCCATGTGTACTCAATGTTTAGCTCTCACTTGTAAGTGAAAACATGCTGTATTGGGTTTTCTGTTCCTGTGTTAGTTTGCTTAGGATAATGGCATCTGGCTCCATCCATGGTGCTACAAAGGACATAATCTTGTTGTTTCATATAGCTGTATAGTATTCCATGGTGTATATGTACCATATTTTCTTTATTCATTATATCACTGATGGACATTTAGGTTGATTCTATGTCTTTGCTATTGAGAATAGTGTTGTGATGAACATATGCGTGCATACATGTTCTTTATAGTAGAACAATTTATATTCCTTTGGGTATACACTCAATAGTGGCATTGCTGGGTCAAATGATAATGTTTTTAAGGTCTTTGAGAAATTGCCAAACTGCTTTCCACAATGGCTGGACTGATTTACATTCCCACCAGCAGTGTATAAGTGCTCCCTTGTCTCCACAACCTCACCAGCATCTGTTATTTTTTAACTTTTTATAATAGCCATTCTGACTGGTATGAGATAGTATTTCATTGTGGTTTTGATTTGCATTTTTCTAATGATTAGTGGTGTTAAGCACTTTTTCATATGCTTGTTGGCTGTGTATACGTCTTCTTTTGAAAAGTGTCTGTTCATGTTTTTTGCCCACTTATTAATGGGGTTGTTTGTTTTTTGCTTGTAAATTTATGTTCCTTATAGATTCTGGATATTAGACTTTGGTCAGATATATACTTTGCAAATATTTTATTCCATTCTATATGTTGTCTGTTCACTTTGTTGTTAGTTTCTTTTGCTGTGTAGAAGCTCTTTAGTTGAATTAGGTCCTATTTGTCAATTTTTGTTTTTGTTGCAATTGTTTTTGTTATAGTCATCATGAAATCATTGCCAGGTCCTATGTCTAGAATGGTATTTCCTAGGTTATATTCCAAAGTTTGTATAGTTTTAGGTTTTACGTTTAAGTCTTTAATTCATCTTGAGTTGAATTTTGTATGTGGTTTAAGGAAGGTATCCCATTTCAATCTTCTTCTTATGGCTATCCAGTTATCCCAGAACCATTTATTGAATAAGGAGTCCTTTCCCCATTTCTTGTTTTTGTCCACTTTGTTGAAAATCAGAGGGTTGTAGGTGTGTGGCATTATTTCTGGGGTCCCTATTCTGTTCCATTTGTGTATTTATCTGAGAAACTCAATTTTTAAATTACACTCTTGAAACTATTGCTCAGGTCAATAAATAAAACTTTAGGCACCTACGTGTGCCCTGTCACAGTCACAGACACTTCTGTCTTCTCCAAAATAACTATGACTGTGACTTCTATAGCTATCATTTCCTTGCTTTTCTTTACAATTTTATCAACCAAATGTTCATCCAAGGACACTGTGTTTAAACTTGCTCATTAATAACAACTGCTATATGCTTTAAGTCTATTAATCTTCAAGTTTTTCCTTCAAGCTGTGCTCCTTACAATTGTTGAAGAACTAGGGAATTTGACCTATAGAGTTTCCCACAGTCTGGACTTCATTGAGTACATACTCATGGTGCAGTTTCTGGGAAACTGGCAGCAAAATGCAGAGGCTTAGACAGTGTCTATTCTTTCTCTTTGGCAAAGCCACAGATGGCATTATGTTCTTGTATTGCCAGACACATAACGCCTGGCTGTCTTTCTTTTTTGATGTTTGTACATGTTCATGTTCAATGGCTATATCCATTAATTCGTCAAGGATTTCAAACAATGAAATACCAAACTGATACTCTTTTTAAAAAGATTTATCACTCAGAATACTTTTAAAGGGAGCCACTTCCCCTCATCCACTATTTGATTACTCAGTATAACAGCTTACAGAGGGATGATGAGATAAACATTTGATTCTTTCTCTTTATTTACCATTTGTAATATAACAAATTTGTTTCCTATCATTCCAAATTGAATAGTTTAGAAAATATTATTTATGAAAAAGTATTAAACTAGATAAAGGTGGTATTTGCACAAAATTGTGAATGTACTAAATGACACACAACAGAATATAGTAGATAAAGGTGGTATTTGCACAAAATTGTGAATGTACTAAATGACACACAACAGAATATAGTAAATAAAACTAATTACACTTTAAAATGGTAATAAAAAATAATTTCAGCTTTTAATTTTTGGGGGTACATGTGCAGACTTGTTAGATGGATATATTGCATGATCCTGAGGTTTGGGGTAAGATTGATCCCATCCCCAGATACTGAGCATAGTACCCAATGGGTAATTTTTCAGCCCTTTCCCGTTCCCTCCTTCCCCACTCTAGTAGTTCCTAGTGTCTATTTTTGCCATCTTTATGTCCATGAGTACCCAATGTTTAGCTCCCACTTGTGAGAACATGTAGTATTTGGTTTTCTGTTCAGGTATTAATTTGCTGACAATAATGGCCTCCAGCTGCATCCATGTTGCTGCAAAGGCTGTGATTTTGTTCTTTTATATGGTTGTGTAGTATTCCATGGTGTCTATGTACCACAAAATGATTAATTTTATTGTTATGTAAATTTTACCTAAATTAAAAATACCTTAGCTTAAAAGTTAAAAAAAAGTGAATTAAAAAAAGAACTAAGGTTACTTGCAACTCTGTAGCAAGAAAATAAACCATTATTCAGACTTTGTAAGCTATTACCCTTGGAAGATCCAGACAATGGGTAATTGAAAGGAGGCCATGTTTAAAAATAAACCAAATATGGCTTGAAAAATGTTCACTATATATACATGCCATTTGATTGCTGTTATAATGTCTATTAATATATATTCATATACATCAAATTATCTTTGAATAAATAAACACTGAACACCTATTTCAGTCATTGATTTAGCATCAGAGATACAGCAGGGAACAAAAAGACAAAATAGTAATTATTAAATTTAATAGAGATAGGTTCTACAAAGAAAATGAAGCAAGGTAAAGAGATAAGGAATGGGGTCAGAGAAGTATTATTACAGAGATGATGCTGTGGGAAGTGCTCTATGAATAGGTGGCATTTTCCCCACAGAAACCCAAACAAAATAAGGGAAGGAGAAATGTGAATTTCTGGGAGATGTATTTTAGGCAGAACCCAAAGTGAAAAGGTTTTGAGTTCGGAGTATGTTTAGTGTATTTGTGGAAGAACAAGGGCAGAACAAGGTCAGCATGGTTGGGACAGAGCCACCAGGGGATCAAGAGTGGGAAATGCATCAGATGCACAGACAGAAGCCAGTTTCTGAAGGGCTTTGGGGACTAGGATGAAGATTTGAGATTTTGCTTTACATGTGATGGGAAGCCACTGAAGTTTTCCATTATGTAAATTATTCATTGGAATTGTAGTTTCAAAGAATTGCTCTAGCCACTGAGTAAGGGGTAGATGGTACTGGGAAAAAGGTAGGAGGAGGGAGAGATGATGGTAACCAATTCTCTCCTAAACATGAGAATCATGATGGTTCTCTCCTAACTATGGCTACATGCATAGGAGAGAATGATTGGATTTGAACTTGAAAGGTAGAGTTATCAGGATTCTCTGATAAATTGGATGTAGGATATGAGAGAAATGGAGTCCAGAATGATGCCAAGGTTTTCAGGTTCAGAAACCAGGTGGGGGAGGTCCTATTTATTAAGATTCACTATATAAAAATTTATTATCTGGTGGAGGAAGAAGTTTGCTTCACCTAATTTAAAAAACTTTTAAATAAGTGCTTTTTATAAAATCTCCATTCACATATGGACAAATGAGCACACAAAATAAGACCCTTGGTCTGGATATTTTAGCTTCCTAGAAAGTCACTCTAGTCTGGTATTCTACCCTGCCTCTGGTATTCCCCCATACACTATGTACTACAACCAGGAAAACCTCCCTAGTGTTTCATGTTCATTTTGCCATTTCTCTGTCAGAAGCTCTTACTGATTCTTCAGTCCCAGAAGGATAGAATTCAGCGCTGCTGATCTAGAATTCAAAGACCCAATGCAATTTTCTAACCTTGCCAACTATTGCCATATTTGAGTCATTTATTCTAATCATGTTAATTTTAGCACTACACACTTTCCTGCCTTTTTTTCTGGTTTCTTTTTTCTGTCAGTTTTTTCTGTTCTTTTCCCCATCTCTGTACCCATTAATGAAAATCTAGCTCAGGTTCCAACTATTTCATAATCTCAAATCTAGAAAAAGTCTTGGTCTTTAGGTTCAAACGGTACTGGCTTCAAAGCCTTGGTTTCTAATTCATAACTATATAATCTTGGACAATCTGTCTATTATTTCTAAGCCTCAATTTATATATTTGGAAAATAGAACAATAATGTATTTCAAAAACTTGTAACAAATAAGAAAGGTCTATGTCTGACACACAGGAGATGCCCCATAGGACTTTTCCTTCCTCTCATTCTCCTGATTACCCAATATTTACTCCTACAGTCAGAACTCTCATAAGCATGTTTTATTCATCTCATTTATTAGATTTGAATATGTTAGGTGTTTTATGAAGATGGTTATAATTTTTAAAGAGCTATTGTAAGTCTAAGCTCATTTAAATACACAAATACAGAATTCCGCTTCCTCTTCTGGACTGTAAACTCTCTTAGAGTACAACAAATACTTTTGATCTCCTACCATCAACGAAACCAGTGCCAATTCTAAAGCAGGGAACCAATAAATTTTGACTGAATGAGTGTAAACAGGGAAGGGGTGACTTTTATGAGCTTTCATTTTCATACGGTATACGGTAAAGGGTATTAGTAGGGTGGCAGTGGCAGGAGGAGAGTGGAAATACAATCTATAATCTCTTCTCACATGTGGGGATATTTTTCTTAATGAGAAAAAGAGTTTCTCACCTGTTCCCTGGGATTGAGGATAAAATTGGCTATTTTGCTCTATTTTTCTCATTTAAAATTAGGGTGGAACACTTGATATATCTTTCACTAAGGGTCAAGCAGCCATCCATATGTGGCCATGATGTGGAAACAGGCTGAGTGAAAAAAGATGGAGTATTATAGTCTGCTGCAACTCATTTCAAATATGTGTCAGACAATCCATTATATTGCAGTGAGAGTTGCCAAGAAATACATGTTCTCTATGAAGTTCATGTCACTCCATAGACCATACAAAATATGGATCCAGACGATTGTCAACACTGGCATTTGAAAAATAATCAACATATGAGAAGAGATTTAAGGAGATCAAAAAAGTAATTTCATCAAGGTGCAGAATGCATAATATCTTCTAAGAAAATGCTGCGGTTTGCACGATCAATAGGAAATGACTATTTGAATTATTTTTCAAGAGTGGTGATGGTTTTGCATTGATTCACCTACATTCTTTTTCCTGGTTCTTTCTATGATCAAGGGTAAACTGACAGAATTTTACTCTAGCCAAAAACTGGTTGAGATGCAAGGTGTAAGCATTAGCCAGAGAACAGATCTTTTCTTTGACATTCACTGGCCTCTACAGGGATGGGGGTCTGTGACTTGGCTTCATCAGAGCAGTTCTCTGGCCCTCTGAGCTAACTGGCAGGGAATAATAAAACATTTATTAGCCCTAGAGTGTCTTAGGCACAGTATGGGATGTGTAGCCTAAAAGTCTATCTTCACATATTATGATAAATCCCATGAAAGGAGCTCACCAATTCCAATCATAAAACATTCTCCTAATGGTCATAGCACAAGTCTGGAAAAATCTTAGAAATGTCATCTGCTTTACCTTTCTACCTTGTCATAGAAATGAATCATGCCAAGAAAGCTGCTACTTATTGTTGAGGACACTAAGTTCTTACTTATGCATCCCAAATCCAACTCTCCAAGAAAACACAGCAGAAATAAAATGCAAACATATTTGCAGCCATATAACCCTGGACTTGCCTGATCTTGCAGCTAAGCAGGATTAGGCCTGGTTAGTACTTGGATGGGAGAAACAGGTGCAAATGTGATTCATTGGTCATGAAGGAACTTTTTTAAAAGCCTAGTGGTGAGGCCTTGGTGAGATGAAGGTGTACTTACATGCACCCCTCATTAGAGACAGATTCTAATGCTATTCCAAGTAAGGCAACAACTCAAGCAGATTACTGAGAATGGCTGTGACTGAAGTAGAGGTATGGGACCAGATTATTTTAAAACTGAAGAGGCAAGCTCAACATAATATCTTAATCCAATGGTATAGACTTGTTTACTGTTGTGCTGGGGTGAGTGTCTGAAACTCTGCAAATTATCCTGCTTTTATCATAGATGCTGTTTTAAACAAATATAAGTATTTCCACTGAGCCATTTGTGTCATTCTCAACATTTCTTCTTTATTAGTCTTGCTAGCAGTCTATCAATTTTGTTAATCTTTTAAAAAAACCAGCTCCTGGATTCATTGATTTTTTGAACGGGTTTTTTGTGTCTCTATCTCTTTCAGTTCTGCTCTGATCTTAGTTACTTCTTGCCTTCTGCTAGCTTTTGAATGTGTTTGCTCTTGGTTCTCTAGTTCTTTTAATTGTGATGTTAGGGTGTCAATTTTAGATCTTTCCTGCTTTCTCTTGTGGGCATTTAGTGCTATAAATTTCCCTCTACACACTGCTTTAAATGTGTCACAGAGATTCTAGTATGTTGTGTCTTTGTTCTCGTTGGTTTCAAAGAACATCTTTATTTCTGCCTTCATTTCACTATGTACCCAGTAGTCATTCAGGAGCAGGTTGTTCAGTTTCCATGTAGTTGAGTGGTTTTGAGTGAGTTTCTTAATCCTGAATTCTAGTTTGATTGTACTGTGGTCTGAGAGACAGTTTGTTATAATTTCTGTTCTTTTATATTTGCTGAGGGGTGCTTTACTTCCAACCATGTGGTTAATTTTGGAGTAAGTGCGATGTGGTGCTGAGAAGAATGTATATTCTGTTGATTTGGGGGTGGAGAGTTCTGTAGATGTCTATTAGGTCCCCTTGGTGCAGAGCTGAGTTCAATTCCTGGATATCCTTGTTAACTTTCTGTCTCATTGATCTGTCTAATGTTGACAGTGGGGTGTTAAAGTCTCCCATTATTATTGTGTGGGAGACTAAGTCTCTTTGTAGGTCTCTAAGGACTTGCTTTATGAATCTGGGTGCTCCTGTATTGGGTACATATATATTTAGGATAGTTAGTTCTTGTTCAATTGATCCCTTTACCATTATGTAATGGGCTTCTTTGTCTCTTTTGATCTTTGCTGTTTTAAAGTCTGTTTTATCAGAGACTAGGATTGCAACCCCTACCTTTTTTTTGTTTTCCATTTGCTGGTAGATCTTCCTCCATCCCTTTATTTTGAGCCTATTTGTGTCTCTGCACATGAGATGGGTCTCCTGAATACAGCATGCTGATGGATCTTGACTCTATCCAATTTGCCAGTCTGTGCCTTTTAATTGGAGCATTTAGCCCATTTACATTTAAGGTTAGTATTGTTATGTGTGAATTTGATCCTGTCATTATGATGTTAGCTGGTTATTTTGCTTGTTAGTTGATGCAGTTTCTTCCTAACATCGATGGTCTTTACAATTGTGCATGTTTTTGCAGTGGCTGGTACCGGTTGTTCCTTTCCATGTTTAGTGCTTCCTTCAGGAGCTCTTTTAGGGCAGGCCTGGTGGTGACAAAATCTCTCAGCATTTGCTTGTCTGTAAATTATTTTATTTCTCCTTCACTTATGAAGCTTAGTTTGGCTAGATATGAAATTCTGGGTTGAAAATTCTTTTCTTTAAGAATGTTGAATATTTGCCCCCACTCTCTTCTGGCTTGTAGAGTTTCTGCCGAGAGACCCACTCTTAGTCTGATGGGCTTCCCTTTGTGGGTAACCCGACCTTTCTCTCTGGCTACCCTTAACATTTTTTCCTTCATTTCAACTTTGGTGAATCTGACAGTTATGTGTCTTGGAGCTGCTGTTCTCGAGGAGTATCTTTGTGGTGTTCTCTATATTTCCTGAATTTGAATGTTGGCCTGCCTTGCTAGATTGGGGAAGTTCTCCTGGATGATATCCTGCAGTGTTTTCCAACTTGTTTCCATTCTCCCCGTCACTTTCAGGTACCCCAATCAGAAGTAGATTTGGTCTTTTCACATAGTCCCATACTTCTTGGAGGCTTTGATAGTTTCTTTTTACTCTTTTTTCTCTAAACTTCTCTTCTCACTTCATTTCATTTATTTGATCTTCAATTACTGATACCCTTTCTTCCAGTTGATCGAATTTGCAACTGAAGCTTGTGCATTCGTCACGTAGTTCTCGTGCCATGGTTTTCAGCTCCATCAGGTCATTTAAGGATTTCCCTACAGTGGTTATTCTAGTTAGCCATTTGTCTAATCTTTTTTCAAGGTTTTTAGCTTCTTTGCGATGGGTTCGAACTTCCTCCTTTATTTAGCTCGGAGAAGTTTGATCGTCTGAAGCCATCTTCTCTCAATTCATCAGTCATTCTCCATCCAGCTTTGTTCCGTTGCTGGTGAGGAGCTGTGTTCCTTTGGAGGGGAAGAGGTGCTCTGATTTTTAGAATTTTCAGCTTTTCTGCTCTGTTTTCTCCTCATCTTTGTGGTTTGATCTACCTTTGGTCTTTGATGATGGTGACGTACAGATGGGGTTTTGGTGTGGATGTCCTTTCTGTTTGTTAGTTTTCCTTCTAACAGTCAGGACTCTCAGCTGCAGGTCTGTTGGAGTTTGCTGGAGGTCCACTCCAGACCCTGTTTTCCTAGGTATCAGCAGCAGAGGCTGCAGAACAGTGAATATTGCTGAACAGCAAATGTTGCTGCCTGATTCTTCCTCTGGAAGCTTTGTCTCAGAGGGGTACCAGGCTGTGTGAGGTGTCAGTCTGCCCCTAATGGGCGGTGTCTCCCAGTTAGGCTACTCAGGGGTCAGGGACCCACTTGAGGAGGCAGTCTGTCCGTTCTCAGATCTCAAACTCCATGCTGGGAGAACCACTACTCTCTTCAAAGCTGTCAGACAGGGACATTTAAGTCTGCAGAAGTTTCTGCTGCCTTTTGTTCTCATGCCATTTTTTTAAGGTGAAAATTAGTACCCCAAACACAAACTAGAGAAACGAAGATAACCTTTCCGATATCTAGAATAGCTCTTACTCAATCCATTAAACTAATACGAAAATCTCCACAAGACCTAAAGATATAAAGTAAAGAGAGAGGTTTAAATGATAGTGGTGAAATTATTTAAAAGAATCTCTCTGAATTCTCCCTATACAACATCTAGAGTGAAAATTCAAGAATTCAATGACAACATCTAAACAAAAATTCAGTGATAAGATATTCCCATGAACCAGGAAATAGGAGGGGATAGAGACAAACCTTTCAAAGCCAGAAGACCTATATGATATTGGCAACTGTGTAGGAGAAAGCAGAGAGAAGCAACTGGGTACATGATGGATCTAAAACATTCCCAAATCACTAACAGGTGTTTACTGGACAGTGCAGTGGGGCAATGTGAGAATGGCGGTTAAACTTCGGAGGGGATTTCTACATTCCAATATAGCTGAGTACATAAGGTCCATGATAAGGGATCTGAATAGTCTGGAATTCATGAATTCTAGAAACAAACCAGATAAATCTCCCTTCCATGACCTTCCTTCTGAGAAGAGTGCATATTGAGTAGTATAGGAAAAATGTAGACAAAGAAAAAAACAAGGTCCTGATAAAGTGAAGGAGACGAACTAGAAGGTCTTAGAAAGCTGTTAGCCAGTTTTGAAACATAGCTTAAAACCATGAATTTAAAAAGGTTTCTGAATCATGTCTCCTTTTAATAGTTAAGGAAAACAAGTTTAACGTAAAATTAGCAACAACAACAACAAAAACAACAACAACAAAATCAAGGTTTAAACTCAAAATTATTTTAAGAGAAAAACCCAGGATAAGTAGAAAAATAGCATACCTACAGACAGGCAGTACATGTCAGAAAGACAGGCCACCCCCAATAAAAAAGATAAAATATTATTTTTTCTACCTTCTGTTTTTTTTTATAACCACTTCTAATGAATCCAAAAGTCTTCATCAAAATGGTCCAATATGTAAAAGAATAACCTACATCAGAATTAGAAACTCAAAAATGGACTGATGTATTAAGAAAAGAAAAAAATTTAAAAACTCCTTAAACAAAGAATAAATTAGAAGGAATGCAAGATCAAATAAACGTAACTAGGAGATAAGAGGGAGAAGAATTTAAAAGAAATCAATAGAAACGATTTGAGAGAAAGTAACAAGAGGACCGGCAAAGAAGACTTAAGATATACTTAACAGGAGTCCTCAAAAGAAGAAGCCCAAAGCAAAGGAACAGAATAGATACTAAAAAATATGATTCCAGAAACATTTTCTGAAAAAAATTTAAAGCTGTTCCCTAAAACAAATCATATCCTCCCAGAAAAATCTGTCCCAGAACAATCAATATCAAGACATAGTCTATGAAATTACTAGACTTTAAACAACAACAACACAAATTCAAAATCCAGGTAAAAACATCAAATTACTTTTTTTTGTTGAGATGGAGTCTCACACTGTTGCCCGGGCTGGAGTGCAGTGGCATGATCACTGCAACCTCCGCCTCGTGGGTTCAAGAGATTCTCCTGCCTCGGCCTCCCAAGTAGCTGGAATTATAGGCACCCACCATCAGGCTCAGCTATTTTTTTGTATTTTTAGTAGAGACAGGTTTTCACTATGTTGGCCAGGCTAGTCTCAAACTCCTGACCTCGTGATCCACCTGCCTCAGCCTCCCAAAGTGCTGGGATTACAGGCGTGAGCCACCATGCCTGGCCATCAAATTATTTTTAAGGAAAAGAAAATCATATTGCCAGTAAAACTATAAGTGACATATTAAAGATGCTGTGACCCAATAATTTATATTTAGTCAAGCCAATTTTCAAGTATAAAGGCCTTAAAACTGCTGTCAACATGCAAGAATTCAGAGAATACTGTTCCTATGAGGCCTTCCTTAGGAATTTACGAGAGAATGGACTTCAGAAAACCAAAATGAATAGATACATTGAGCTAAGTTTGGTGCTGAGCAGTAAATTTATGTTTACGTGAGTTAAATTGTAGGGGAGGAAAAAAAGATATTGAAAAACTGAAAAGTAGAAGAATCAAACTGCAGTAGTAAGGATGCTTGTTGATGATAATACTCTAAACCAGGAAAGAAAGGAAGTGAACACCATAAAACTTAGGAAAGCCATTACACTTGGGGAAAAAGGCAAGGTTTATGCTTGGTTGGGATATGTCAATGGGTTTTGGGGTGGCTGGCAACGTTCCATTTTTTGACCTGGCTGGTGTTTAAGGGTGTTTGCCTTATGATAGTTCATTAAGCTATACATTTATTTTATGCGACTTTCTGTATCTGTATTATATTTTACCACAGGAAACCTATTTTAACAAACACAAACCTCACTTTTCTCCCCAAATGTAACAGCTTTCCTAAATTTTATGGTATTCACTTCCTTTCTTTCCTGGTTTAGAGTATTATCAACCACATGCATCCTTAGCACTGTACTTTGCTTTTTCTATTTTTTAGCTGTTCAATATCCTTTTTTTCCTCCCCTACAATTTAATTGACATAAACATAAATTTACTGCTCAGCACCAAGCTTATGTCAACGTATGTATTCATTTTGGTTGTCTGAAGTCCATTCTTAGTAACAGAGAATAGAACAGTGGTTACAAGGGATGGGAGTAGGAGAAAAGGGGAGATACTTGTCAAAATGGTAGAAACATTTGGTTATTATATGAATAAGTACTGGAGACCTAAAGAACAGCATGGTGACAATAGTTGATAATAATGTATCATATACTTGAAATTTCCTAACAAAGTAGATGTCAGGTCTTTTTGCCACAAAATATAAAGATAACTATGTGAAAGAATGGATATGTTAATAAGCTTGATTGTGGCAATCAAAATGTCATGTTGTACACTGTAAATATATACAATTTTTGTCTCTTGTACCTCAATAAAACTGCAAAAATAATTTAAAAATAAAATAAAAAAAGAAATCTTTGTTGTACATTTATTTTTAAAGGTTAATAATACTGCCATTAATAAAAATGAAGTCAGGTAGTGATAGAAGGATGAAAACTACCTGTAAAAACATAAAGAAAAAGTTATAGCAATTTGCTCCAAAGGAAGCCCCAAAGGCTTCATTATAAAAAACAAATAATGTAGTACATTGCAAAAATGTGAAATAATTAATGAGAATTCCACATTAAATATATTTAGTAGGGTTCTTTTTGAGTTGGAGGCAGTCAAATTTTGCTTAATGCATTTTATTAGAACAAGAATTGGGTATTAGTTTTGATTTTTTAATGTGAAATATTGAATAAAATGTTTTCTGATTCTGTATTAATTGCCATTTTCCCTTTATGTAAATGGTTGGTGATAATTTTAACTTAGGAGAAAGCAATGAATATTCTGGTGCTGTCATTCTACTTAATTTGATAAATTTCTATATAATGCTGTCTAATTATCTCCTTGCATCTGAGCAATTAACAGTTATTATGGCATTGGAAATTAGGAGGTAAATGTTAGATAACAATGAACCACCATAGTAGCATGGTATAAAGGAAAGACTGCAGGCTGTTGAGTCAAGCAAACCTGGGTTTGTAGCCTGATTCTTCTGCCTCATTTTTTTGGGGGATAATGGGTTAATGATTCTTCTCAGAATTGTGAAGATTCAAAATAATGAGTGTAAACTGCTGAGCTCAATACTTAGTACATAAAAGGGGCTTAATAAAAAATTATTTCTACCATCCCAATAACAGCCACCTGTCCTGGCTGCACAGAGTACAAGCAAGGAAGGAAGGTTGTATGTGTGTGTGCTGGGGGTGGGGTGGGGTGTCAGAGGACCTGTTGAAAAGCAATTGCCTTAATTGGTTATCTCATACATTTCCTCAAGTGATTTCTAAAAGAGCATGAGACACAGAAATTATTTTTCCTTTCATTCATGAGATGACTTCATACTCAAGTGGTTTTGTTGGCAGCAGTATTAATTACTATGAAACTTAATATTACAAAGGGAACCCTGGAGACTGGCTCTTGGCTGATAACATAAGCTGAGGTTCACAATGGCTCAAAGAACATAGCTTGTTACTCTGCTCAAGAAACCCTAATACTTACTAGAATACACATTTTAAAGAGTTTTTTTGTCCCTCTACCCAAGCATTATAATTAGCACATTAAGTTATTAAGGAGTCCCAGTGTAAATTTTTAAAAAGTAGAATGGGATTACAATTAAATTTAGAACTCAGGCAATTTTTCTTTGTCTTCTTCTCAAGTTTGAATTATTTCTAGGTTGATTTTTCATAACCCAGAAGACATTTTTATTCAAGAAGGGCTGGGTGGTTTTCTCAAGCAATTTCCTAATTAGAAACATCAACAAATGGGTAAACTTGTTTTTTCTTTCTCTAATCCCCATACTTCACAACTGTTTTCTGGTAACAAGTATTTCAAACAAGTAGCTGTTTCAAAGTCAGATTTGGAGGCTGTATTCATGGTAGGAGCAATTTCTTAGGGGTGAGATGCCGAGAAATAGTAATATTTTTCACTTGTACATCCTTGAATCCAATCTAATGTGTGAAATGCTGCTGGGCTGGCTTACAAGACAACTTTCAGAAATGCAAACAGGAGTCTAGTGGATACTGGAAAGCTATATATTATAGTTGTACTTCCCAGAGGCCATTTCAGTGTTGTGAATCCTTAACTGGTCTGGCTGGTGGATTAGATCAACAACTCACTAGACACATTTCTATTTGACCTTATTTTATTTATCCAATGAAGCCTGCCTGCAAGGAACTCATGAAGATATAACACTGGGCAGTAGTAGTAGCATTCTACATTTTTCAAGCAAACTTTCACCCAAGGACCTCAAAGGACATAGCAGGTATTAAAACACCCCTGCAGAAAGAGTGAGGCAAGTCCGCAGTAGAGGAGGATCAGAGAGATCTGGGAAATCACATGAAAAGCTCAGATCGACTTCTCGCTTACAAACAGCCCATGGTGAAGCCATGATTAGACTGCTTCCCTGTTGATCCTATGAGCAGCTGTCAAGGACGTAATCCAGTACAGATGCTGGGGGGCACTGGGTCCCCAATTCTTCCTAAACGTTTTGGGCGTAAAGTTTCCAAAGTATTTATTTATATTTTCTACTATAAACTTGTGGCCTTATAAGTTTTATTCAACAGTTATATAGCTTCCATGCAGTGCTATACAAGATAAAAGTTGACTACCACCAAGATCCACATTTATTTTATCTCCTTTTCCTATTGCCTCTTGCCTTCTTTATTTCATTCCCTGAAGTTGAATTTCATATTTCAGATTTTTGTTTCCAGTTTTACCCCATTATTCTTACCAGTGTAACCCTCATTACATGTATTAATGCAACTTGTTGGTGCCAGCAAATAAAACATTCTTAGAAAAAAAACAAATCTGAACTGCTGGGCTCAGTTCTGAAAAGAAGGATGTCTCGCTAGCTAAGGTTAGAAGTTTTATTCTCTTCTGCTTGACTTTTTGGGGAAGAAGAGTCACTCTGAGTTTCCCATGAGGTTAACTTTTAAATTATGGACTGATAAATTTTGACAATGTTGTCAAAGAGCTTTTGTTGTCTTGTTCAGATGGAAGTCTACAATATCTTACTTAGCACATATTCCCTTTCATTAAAATTTCCTGAGACGTAATTGTGTGTCAGGTGCTGAGTTAACAGTAAAGATACGACCTTGATTACGCCACCATTTATGCCTATAAGAAGCTCAACATGACAGTGGCAATGGCAATGATATAAGCCTTCTTAGTTTTCAAAGGTTAGACTGGTAGAGTTACAAGCAGGATAGTTAATTAATAATATAAAATATAGTTGACAAATATTTTTTAAAATGACACTGTACCCTTCCCACCAAGTCTTTCTTTCTCTCCCTTTCTCTGTGTCATGAACACAAACATACTCACAGATCAGCTTATGTAAATAATAATTCCCTGGACTCTCCAGTTTATTTAGTTGTCCAACTCATTAAAAAAGGAATTTTCAGGGTTTGAGTTTTGCCATTTTAGAGAAGATTGTCTGAATTTCTCAATATTATCTTACCAGAATTATAGTATGATAAAGCCATGCATTGCTACAGTCCAGCATAAAAAACAGTAGTGACATCTTACACAAGTGTTGTTCATTTTGTTTTATTAATATAATGCATGTATTACTACTAAAAATAGAATCTGCAACAAAAAGTAGAAATTGCCTTACTTTATGTTAAGAGTTTGTGGGAGAGAATTTCCACTTCTCTTTCCTGATGGGCCATCAAGAGTGCAAAACTCGTTCATTTGAGTGAGGAGCATATAATTATTTTGGTTTATTATAATGCCAGGGCTTGGGGATGAGGTACTGGTAGTGGTTTCACAGAACAGAGGCTGGGAGAGAATTTCTACTGTAGCGCTGCAGAGGATGCCAGATCAATGGGAGGATGTAGCAGGTGTGGTGGTTGGAAGGGAAGAGGAAAAATGTTAGTAAGTCAAGTGAAAAGGGCAAGAAAGGCCAAAAAGCAGCCAAAAAGACATGAAGACTTGGCACAGGTTGTCTGTAGTCAGAATAAAGGTCCAGGAGATATAAAAGCAAGAGAGATACATGCAGCAAACAAAAGGTTAAGCAGGAAGAGAAAGAAGCGGTCCTGAACAAACAAGTGAGAAAGGGACTGATTTAGGGGATGGCCAGGAATAGGGAAGAATGGCATGTCATAGAAATGGCATGTGTCTGAGTTGGATTAGCTTGAGGATGGGGAGGAAGGGCTGCACGACATTGCATAATCTTAATTAAATTTATATTATTTTGCCACACCTATTTACACAACGGTAGCCTGTGTAAATTTTGAGGAGTGGATTCATTTTGTCTGAAGATAATATTGGTAGATGAGTATTTCCCCATCTTGACCATGCTTTGCATCATCCTGGGGATCACCTTCCTGTTATCCACCCTCTTTGAACTGCTGTTGGCATATATTGACTGTCATGTTCCCTCAGTTGGAATGCCAAAAGTCCGGGGTTACTTTTCAGTCTGTTCCTTCGCTTTATGGAATTTTTATTGGCCTAGATTATTTAAAGGAAGCCAATTCAAGTATTTACATTTACCCACATACAGCAATTACAAAAGGTACTTTTTCATAAAGTAGAAACCCAAATCTAAACCCAACAAAATGCCTGGTACAGTGCCATGCACGTATTATTAGTATTCAAGAAAGATACTCTGTTTGATTGACAGAAATTGTACTTTCTTTGGGATTTACTTCGTAGGATACATTCTGAAAAAACATCCTAACTTGGTATAATCATTGAAAATGACAGTGTATGATAGAATGTAGTTTACAATAACTGTTTCCCAATGGATTAAGTCATGTCATAAAATTCATTTATTCAATAATATCACCTTTCCTAAAAGGGCTCCAGAAAATTATTTTCATTGATTTTCTTTTTTTTGGTGGGGGAGAAAGGACATGAGATGAGGCATTTTGGCCTAGTCTGTAAAAACTTTGTGCTAAATCAAAGCTTTAAATTCTCGAAAGGTTGTCTTTTTACATACTGCTCCATGTTTACATGTATTTGACAAAATTGACAATGAGAATTTCTTTACCTACTCTTATTCTTTTGTCCTAGGAAAGTATTCATCATTATCAAGTGAGTAAAGTTACTGAGCATTTCACATGGTTGCATAAAAAAATATTGTCTAGATGATGATGTGCTGACAAAATAATGACAAGCATCTGAGAAAATACAGATGTGGAAAATGACATGCACTTTTGTCCTGAAAGTTATTGCCATTTTGATTTAGTTGAACATAGTTTATAATGGTGAAAGATTCTAATAATTATTGTATTTATCTGCTGGTTTATAGTCCTTTACAAAGATTTAGGCATGATTTATTCATTAAACATTTATTCCTTGCCTTCTGTATATGAAGACTACATGAAATGCTGGAATCTACTGTTTTTTTGTTCATCCAACCAACCACCTAACAACTGAGATGACAGCCAAGAACCAAAAATAGCTATTCTCATTCTCATTTTAGACTCATGCATTTAACATTTTTGAAACTAATAACCCTACTTGAATGGCAAAGTGCGAGGTGGGTACTAGTTTCCCAAGGAAGGCATGTCTAACGTGGCACCATCAGCAAGCTATTATTGTTTTAGGCATCTAACCAAGAGCAGTCATAAGCTTCCTTGAAAAATCTGCATGGAGAGCAAAGTTTACTTTTAATCTGTTCCTACTTTCCTTTTTCTACCCCTCTTCTATTGTTTAATCTCTTTTCTCCATTATTTATTGTGTGCATTTATTCATTCCATTCACTCACTCACCAACTAATTATTTTTGAAACAAGAGTAAGATACTTTTCCAGTGGAGAAACAAAGATATGAAAGGGAGGGACATTGTTTAAGGCAGCTACTGAGTCTGTTCTGAAGATGTCATATCCAGGCACAAACAAAGTAGAAAGAATAACGTGGTAAATGCCATTTTGTGCACATCATTGTGAGAGTTCAGATGATATAAAGCACCCCAGTTCTATCCCAATGGAGACCTGACTTCTATTGAAGTCCCCTTTCCTTTCAGCCAGAGGTTCTCAACCTTGGCTGCACATGAGAATCACCTGCAGAGTTTTGAAGAGTCCTGATACTCAGGCCAAATACCAGTACTGTTAAAAAAATAAAAAAAGAAAAACAAGCTCTGGAGATGGGATGCAGATGTCAGTATTTTTTAAATTGGCTATTCCAATAAGCAGCTTAGGTTGAAAACCACTGTTCTAAGTATTCTTTCTTCTTTTAAATCTACGTTACCCAGACTTCAGTATCACTTTTGCACATTACTATGCAGAGAAATGGAAAAAGGGGACAATGTTAGAGAAAATATTTATTTTTCTTATTCTCTGAATATCAACAAAAACAAAAAAGCAAATAAAACAACAATAACAAAAACAACAAAACTGTTCTGTCAGTTCTTGAGGTAGAGAATTAAAAATTGTCAAAAAATATGTAGAGAGATCTTGATAACCAGTGGTAGAAGTAAGGGGTAAGCTGGAAAGAAAGGCGTTTTCTGGCATGCACATAATTTGAGAGATTCAGGTAAGAAATGTGATAATCTAAGGAAGGTGAGATGGGTAGGTTAACTTATCTGGTTAGGTGGCAAGGCCCATAAGGGACATGGAATGGTAGTAGGAGTTCTGATTTGTTTTGACAACAGACCTTTAGTATTTATTCCAATAATTTCACAATATTAGATCAGTGGCCAAATTATTAAGCCCTTTTATAGGACCTGCAAAAACAAAACAACACACGTAATAAATCAAGCTTAGATTGTGACCCCTAGTGTGATGGTTTTGCAGGGTAGTTTAGAGAACTCCAACAAAGATCCCCAAATTTGGCCACTCTTATGAAATTGTGAAATGCCTTGGAACAGATACAAAAAGTTTGTTGTCAGCAAATAAAAACTAAGTAAAACGACTTAGAAGAGATTTGTTTCAAAGTGTCCTGTTTAACACCAGTGGCTAAAAGCTCTTCTTTTCCATGTGCTTTCTTCATATTATTGACAGCAAGGTAGAGCAGAAAGTCCATAGATAGGACAGACTCTGGTTCCTTTATTACTATCTGTGGGCACTTGGGTTACAGATTAATTCTCTGCGCTTCAGTTTCCTTATCAGTGAACTGAAGGATAATATTTATTTCAGAAAGTTGTTGTGACAATTAAATGAACAATACATAATACAGTTAAGGCTCTTAATAATTTTGAGACTTTTCCCCCTCTTTCCTTTGTCTGTTGTTGTTGCTGTAATCTCTAGGGCAGCTCAAATTCTTGCAGGTGTAAGGGAGATACAAATTTTATACAACACAAATCCACTAATGGTAAATGTAAGTTTCGGAGTCAGAGTAGGTGCTGTGTTGTCTAAGTCTAAACATGGCAGAGATGGCAGAGTCTTTCAGTGATTGAATATTTTTGGTCTCCTGTTTATCTACAGACCAAGTCTTACTCTAGTTTAGGGGTGGCAAACGTAAAGAGTAGCAGGGCCCTTGCAGGTCTGGAGAGCGTGGAGGATTCTGGCAAACTGGAGAGTGAGTCTACCTCTCTTCAAGGGCAGCCTCTACTTGTATCCAGTAGATTGTTGGCATGCAAGGATTTAGGCTCTGTTGTTGCTAGATATGATTTTTCAAGAAAAGTCAGGTCCACATGTAATGTAAAATCTCCCAGTTTTCAAGTGGTAACGACTAATTCCATTTTCTTTCAACATCATGTGGGCCAAACCAAACATCTGAATACAGCTCGTGTGCTTCCAGTTGTAACCTTTGGAGTTGGAAGGTCCCTTTCACTTTCAATGCTCTCTACTCTATGAGCCCAAGAATAATTGCATTAATCCCACATAAGGGACTCACTCTAAAGAAATACAGTTATACTCCCACATCTACATAAGTGTTTCCTGTTGTTAGTGTTTAACCATCCATAATTAATGTTACCTCCCAGGAAATTCTTATGCAAACAGCCTCTTGTTCCAAAGTTAAAATCAATTATATCTCCCTGTTACTTACTAAACCACATAGGCCTAATTTTATGAATGTTAGTTTTATCTTTTAAACATGTCTGTGACTGATTTTAATTTCTCAGGGCCCAACTTTATTTTCAGCCAACTCTTGGGAGGTAAAAGTTTAATGAACTTTAACATAAAGTTTAATATGTTGTAAAGTCTTGGAGAAACACAGTCTTTCATCTCACCTGTTACGGAATAAATTATGTCCCCCCAAATTCATATGTTGAAGCCCTAACCCCCAATGCTTGGAGATGGAGCCCTGGGCCCTAAGCTAATAGGACTGGTGTCCATATCAGAAGAAGAAGAGACAGCAGGAGTGTGCTATGCACAGAAGAAAGGCTATGCGAGGACACAGTGAGAAGGCAGTCATCTGCATGCCACAAGACATAAGCCTCATCAGAAACCAACCCTGCCAGAACCTTGATCTTAGACTTCCAGTTTCCAGAACTGTAAAAAAACAAATAAATAATTTTCTGCTGTTTAAGTTATCTGATCTGTGATATTTCGTTATGGCAGCCCAAGCAGATTATATACACCACCTATAACTAGCCTGATGTCTTTGGTGCCTGGTGTCTTTGGGCTTTTGGTCTCTTAAAAAATTATCATTCTCAGCAAAATACTACTTTTAGACTCTTCTTTTTATCTGACTTCCTACTCAAGACATTATGAGAATTTCTGTATCTTCAATCAAGGCGGTCGTCCTCAGTTGGGAACTATTTCAAACCTTATCTGTGATGGCAGAATACAAACCATTTGGTGACTCACCCATAAAATGTGAGATAGAGGAAACCCATCCTTTTCCCAAGTTTTGAAACTTCTCCTGGTTTGTCAGATGCTCCGGTGAGTCTTACTATGCCTACTTTCTTGAGGGTGGAGAGCCACTTGTATGCGTGTTCATCATATCTTAAAACATCTTCAAAATCCAAAGTGGGTAGCTGGAGCTCTGAGCCCCAGTATTGGCATTCTGTGAATTGATAAAATGAAGAAATCAGATGGGATTACATTCTTTTTACATAAGACGATAACCTCAGAGAAGGGGCTAGTTCATTAAAGTTGATTGTTGATTTATAATGGACTTTATTAAATGTTATTCATATTAGAAATGCCCAAGTCACTAGGCCTTTCTTCCTTGGCACCACACCAGTCTGTTATATGCCTCCTGCTTATAACTGTGTCTGGCCCATAGCAGGTATTCAATATGCCCCATTTGTTAAGGGAATATTGTTTAGCTGATGAATGACTCTTGATCTGTATGTTCTTAGGGCTTCTCTTCATGGACACTGCTTAGAAATAACTCTGAGATACTGTATGTGTTAACAGCCAAGTTATATTGCTCAACTCCAAATAGATGATAAAATCAAAATGGTAGATTAGAACAGCATATGTCTACTCTTGGGAGCTGGGGGTTGAGGAGAGCTTTGATATGGTAGGTACAGCTCTTCTTTCCTCTTATTTCACCTGTTAAGAAGCAACCTCTGGGATCAAGTGATCCTTTGGGGTCAGCAAGAAAAGATGAAGGTATATTCCTGGAATGCATAGACCTTTTAGTGGGAGCGCCACACAGATAAGGTCAAATGCTTTCCGTTAGCTCTCTCATTCTTCATGATTAAATGCTCATAAAAATGCTTAATTGAGAAAACAGAAAGAAAAATGTAAAAAATAATTGGCTTGCAAACCGGGCTCTCCCAAAGGAAGTGGAACACAGAGGAAATGCAAATTTGCCAAGGAAACTAAAACAGATATTACCAACTGAATTCAGGAAAAGCCTGACTCTAGCTGATCCGTTTGATTTCTTCCTTCCTTGGTAAGAAAATTGCCCTAGGAAGGTAAGCCTTCCTAAAAAGTGACAGAATGAGAACTTGCGATCTCAATATCATTGTGAGCAATGCTCTTCTTTTCTAGCTGGGGAATGTGTCATTTTATAGAAACAAAATAAAGCCCCCTGTTTAAGAATGAAGAATGGTGCCTCTTGTAGTAGTTGTGGACTGGAAACCATTGCTTCTTTGATGTCAGCATAGCTGTTTCTGCAGAAATAGGAATTTTTGTAGGCGTCAGATAGTGGCTTTAGTAGTAAAAAGATACATGCAGGTGCACGGAGCCACTTCTTGCTCTTCCACCAGCTAGTTGCATAAGGACATTGGCATAGGTTAGTAGGTGTGTGTATGTATGAAAGCCTAATTAGGCTATAAATGCATATATTGTCAAAGTTTCTGGGTTATTAAGCACAGCAGTTTGCATAATGAGCCAGAATTTCCAGGACGAAAATTGCTAAGTGTAAATTAGGCCTCCCTAGAGCTGCATTAATTATTTTTTACTATGCTAATATTCGTTAGTACTGAACACATTCCACAGGCCTCGGTGACTTACTGTATCATCTCTGAAAGTTGAGGTGATATCCAGCCACTGGTTCTGAATCCCTAATTTTAACTCTTTTCTCTCTGTGAGGAGTAACCAGAACTGAAAGAACTACAGTCTTTCCAGTTCTTTAAGCATTGCTTTTCAAGTGCTTCTGATATTTGAGAAAACCTTAGAATTTAATATTAACCAAGTCACTTTGGCAAAGAGAAACAGGTCAGCACATGGGCCATGTTTTATTAGACCAGAGCAAGTTGGTTAAATCAATAACAGACAATGAGGCATGAAGGTTTCAGGATGATTATACATTTTGGGGGAGGGAGGAAGGATGGTTTGATACAGTTTATTGGTATTTCTTGATTATATGAGCTACCCAATCAATAGTCATTTGTTGGTTTATCTTTTCAATAAGGCTAATATTTTATCATGTCACAAGGCATGGTGATATGCAGTAGGTTTTGAAGAGTTCACAGTCTATAGGAGAATTTGACATGGAAGGTGGCAATTAAAACAAAATATAATCACTGCTATAGTTGAGATATGTTCAGGATACCAAGAAGTTGTCTGTTGCAGGAAGTCAGGGACCCTGAATGGAGGGACTGGCTGAAGCTGCGGCAGAGGAACATAAATTGTGAAGATTTCATGGACATTTATCAGTTCCCAAATAATACTTTTATAATTTCTTATGCCTGCCTTTACTTTAATCTCTTAATCCTGCTATCTTCATAAGCTGAGGATATACATCACCTCAGGGCCACTGTGATAATTGTGTTAACTGTATAAATTGATTGTAAAACAGAAGACAACCATAAGGTCTGACTGCCTGCGGGGTTGGGCAAAAAGAGCCATGTTTTTCTTCTTGCAGAGAGCCTATAAATGGACGTGCAAGTAGGGAAGAGATCGCTAAATTCTTTTCCTAGCAAGGAATATTAATATTAATACCCTGGGAAAGGAATGCATTCCTGGGGGAGGTCTATAAACGGCTGCTCTGGGAATGTCTGTTTTATGTGTTTGAGATAAGGACTGAGATATGCCCTGGTCTCCTGAAGTACCCTCAGGCTTACTAGTGTGGGGAAAAACTCTGCCCTGGTAAATTTGTGGTCAGACTGGCTCTCTGCTCTCAAACCCTGTTTTCTGTTGTTTAAGATGTTTATCCAGACAATACGTGCACCGCTGAAAATAGACCCTTATCAGTAGTTCTGCTTTTGCCCTTTGCCTTGTGATCTTTGTTAAACCCTTACCAGTAGTTCTGCTTTTGCCCTTTGTCCTATTCCCTCAGAAGCATGTGATCTTTGTTAGACCCTTACTAGTAGTTCTGCTTTTTGCCCTTTGAAGCATGTGATCTTTGTACCTACTCCCTGTTCTTACACCCCCACCCTTTTTGAAACCCTTAATAAAAACTTGCTGGTCTGAGACTCAGGCTGGCATCATGGTCCTACTGATATGCGATGTCACCCCCAGCAGCCCAGCTGTAAAGTTCCTCTCTTTGTACCGTCTCTCTATTTCTCAGCCAGCTGACACTTATGGAAAATAGAAAGAACCTACGTTGAAATATTGGGGGCAGTTTCCCCCAATAGGTATTCAATTTTCCGATCCCTTGTCTAGTGTTCTTTCTTGATGCCCAGCTACTCTTTCATGTTCGTGAAGTTCCCCAGGGCAGTCCCTCATACTTAAACTATTTCCAAAAGAAAACGGGATTGATTTCATATGGTAAGAGCCTCTTCTCAGAGAGGCAATAGATGTGGCTTTGTTTTGAATATTGGATTATGTGATTGTTTGCTTTGCCACTCCCATTTGCTCATTGTGTTTACAGTCCTCTGATTGTAATATCTGATACCAATTAAAAAGGTTGGCAGGAAGAGGATGATAAATGTTATACAAATTACATACTGACTGCCTAACTAGAAAGGTCATTTGGGTTTTAGTGAGAAGAAAAATTTACTGGCCAAAACATCAGTGTTAAGGGCATGAATAACAAATCACCATTTCCTCTTTCCAAAGCTCACACCTAAGTGGACCATGTCCAGAACATTAAAAGATTTATTGAAAACAGCTTTAAGCTTGTTAGAAATCAGGGGCTCATGGAGTATTAGAAGTGGATGGGATGTTAAAGACTCACTTGGCATTTTCATATTGATTTTTCGATTTCCCATCACCATTTGTTCTTATCACTGAATAAAACGTTTGCCTAAATAGCAGCTGAAAATTCTAGTTTTCTGGCACTGTGGTAATTGGTCCAAAAATGTATTTTCTATTCCTATGTAGACTGTTGTATGGAATTAGGTATTGTCTACATGATTATCTATAGTAAATGTGTTGCCTTTACTACAGCTGTTTAAGTAATTTATATATGAGCATTTATTAAGATTTTAAGAAAAATGTATTGTTTCCTATTGAGAGTAAAGCAGCCTAGAGAGATGATAGTGGTACAGACTATAGTACTGTCCAATAGGGCTTTCTGCAATAATGGAAATATTCCATATCTGTGCTGTCCAATATCATAGCTACTAGAAACACATGGTTATTGAGATTTGACATCTGGCTGGCGAAACAGAGGCACTAAAGTGTTTATTTAATTTTAATTAATTTAAATAAATAGCCATATGTATGTGACTGGTACTGCACTAGATAGGTCATGCATGAAGAAAAGAGCATGGAGGCAAGAGACTTGGGTTTGAATCATTGTCCAGCCTCTTACCAGGTGCTATCATTTCTTGGCTTCTTCTCTGTGTCTCACTCTTTTATAAAATAGAGACAGTTATGCTTACTCTGCAGATCTTTTATGACCATGTAATAATATTATGAAAGGAGTTTGGTACAGTACATGGCACATAGAAGATCCATAGTATCAATAATAATAGCTAATATTTGCTGAATAGGTCAGGCACAGTGCTAGTACCTTATTTCTTTTAATCTCCACAGCAAATATATGTAACAGATGTTTTCAGTGTTGCTGTGTTATAGAGAAGGGAACAGAGTTCCAAGTCATGCAGCTAATGATTTATAAGACTACTTAGTCAAATCCAAGTGACTGATTCAAAAATCTATAATTTTAACAACTGCATATAAAATAAACACTTGATGCCTTGAAGTACTATCATCATGGGTATTTTTATGTCCTGTGTCTGAATATCCATAGCTTAGTCTGTCCCTCATAAAGGAAATCTACTAGATAAAAATGAAAGCAGAGCAAGTTACAATTAGGAACATTTTGTCTGAACTTGTTCAAGCATGGGTGTTTAAAGATAAACCTTGGCTCCTAGTCAGAATTTTAAATGCAGGAAAAGCACTATGAGCAGGTTTCATTGCACAACACTGAAACAACATTGCTATTCACCTTTGGTGAAATGAACCAAGGCTTTGCACACTGAAAAATCAGCTAGCTTCTCTTCTTTAGTATGTGCCACTATATTTCAGTGATCCATGCCTTTTTGGTTTTACTTAAGGTCATTATCACTTTCCAGAGAGTTTCAGTGACCATGTGGCAGGGAAATATAATACACAGTGATTGAAAAATCATTTTCACAAGATGAATTTTCTTTAAACGTTGAGTTTATATTTTGACTACATTGTTCATTCAAGAAGTGAAGCATCTGATTAGGGCACACACTACATACTTCCATAGCATGTTTCGATGAATTTTTGTTTCTATATGAGCTTTTTTTTCCATTATAAAATAGCACCCACACACACTCACCTATAATATACTTTGTTTTAAAAATACAGAAAGATTTATATTCTTTAAAAAATATATTATCTTTTAGATGTGTAAAGTTAACCATATTCACACAAAGAGACTCTAGGATAATGCACAGCTGTCAATACAATAGGCAGCATAGTCTGTAGTATAAATAATTATGATTTTACAGGACTTTACCATCACAGTGTGGTTATAATGGTTTTTCAGTTCTTCAAAATGTATACTTTTTCAACCATAGCTCTCTGTTGGAGTGCTCTAGTTAGGAGTTTTGCTGAAATCAGAGACTAAGGGCCATAGCCCATTAGAACCTGTGTACCAATATGAGCCTCTCCTAAATTTGATTATGCTAAATATGACTTTCACAGACGCTGCTGTGACTAACCAGTTTTCAAATTCTTCATAGTGGCCTGAATGCAAAATGCTTTAATTTTCAGGGATATAGACATACCCTTGGAGTTACTGCGGGTTGGGTTCCAGACTGCCACAACAAAGTGAATAGCTAAAGAAAGTGAGTCATGCAGAATTTTTGGTTTCCTAATGCATATAAAATTTATGTTTACATTATACTGTAGTCTGTAAGTATGAAACAGCACTACATCTGAAAAATATGTATACCTTAATTAAAAAATGCTTTATTGCTAAAAATTGCTAATGATCATCTTAGTCTTCTGTGAGTCATAATCTTTTTGCTGGTGGAGGGTCTTGCCTCAAAGTTGATGGTTGCTGACTGATCAGAGTGGAAGTTGGTGAGGGCTGGGGTGGCTGTGGCAGTTTCTTAAGACAACAGTGAAGTCTGCTCCATTATTAATTCTTTCTTTCACAAAGTATTTCTTTGTAGTATGTGATGCTGTTTGATAGCATTTTTCCACAGTGGAACTTCTTTCAAAATTTGGGTAAATCTTCTCAGTCTCTGCCACTACTTTATAAACAGCATTTATGTAGTATTCTAAATCCTTCGTTTTCATTTCAACAATGTCCACATCATCTTCACCAGGAGTAGATTCCATCTCAAGAAACCACTTTCTTTGCCCATTCAAAAGAATCAACTCCTCATTCATTCAAGTTTTATTATGAGATTGTAGCAATTTAGTTACATCTTCAGGCTCTACTTCTAATTCTAGTTCTCTTGCTATTTCCACCACATCTTCAGTTACTTCCTCTGCTGAAGTCTTGAACCCCTCAAAGCCATCCATGAGGGCTGAAATCAACTTCTTCCAAACTCCTGTTAATGTTAGTATTTTTACCTCCTCCCATGAATCAAAAACGTTCATAATAGCATCTAGAATGGTGAATCCTTTCCAGAAGTTTTCCAATTTATTTTGCCCACAGCCATCAGAGGAAACACTATCTGTGGCAGCAATAACCTTATAAAATGTGTGTTTCTTAAATGATAAGACTGGAAGTCAAAATGACTCCTTGCTCCCTGGGCTGCAGAATGAATGTTGCGTTAGCAGGCATAAAAACAGCATCAATCTCCTTGTACATCTTAATAAGAGCTTTTGAATGACTAGTTACATTGTCAGTGAAAAGTAGTATTTTGAAAAGCATCTTCTCTTTCTGAGCAGTGAGTCTCAACAGCTATTGAACAAATATTCAGTAAGCCATGCTGTAAATAGACGTATGGTCATCCAGGTTTTGTTTTTCCATTGATAGAGCACAGGCAGAACAGATTCAGTATAATTCTTAATGGTCCTAGAATTTTCAGAATAGTAAATGATCATTGGTTTCAACTTAAAGTCAATAGCTGTATTGGTCCCTAACAAAAGGGTCAGTCTGTTTTTTGGAGTGTTGAAGCTAGGCATTGACCTCTCTTTTTTAGCTATGAAAATCCTGGATGGCATCTTTTCCAATATTAGGCATTTTATCTACATGGACAATCTGCTACTTAGTGTATCCACCTTCATCAATGATCTTAGCTAGATCTTCCAGATCACTTGCTGCAGCTTCTCCATCACAATTGCTACTTCACCTTGCACTTTCATGTTATAAAGAAAACTTCTTTCCTTAAACCTCATGAACCAACCTCTGCTACTGCCAGACTTTTCTTCTATAGCTTCTTTACCTCTCTCAGGCTTCACAGAATTAAACAGAGTTAGGGCCTTGCTCTGAATTAGGCTTTGGCTTAAGGAAATGTGGCTGGTTTGATCTTCTATTCAGACCCCTCAAACTTTCTCCACATCAGCAGTAAGGCTGTTTTGCTTTCTTATCATTTGTGTGTTTACTGGAGTAGCACTTTCAATTTCCTTCTGTAACTTTTCCTTTGCATTCTTCACAACTGGGCTGACAGTCTGGTGCAAGAGGCCTAGCTTTTGGCCTCCCTCAGCTTTCATGCCTTTCTCACTAAACGTAATAATTTCTAGCTCTTGATTTAAAGTGAGAGACATGCAACTCTTCCTTTCACTGAAAGACTTAGAGGTCATTGTGGGGTTATTAATTTGCCTAACTTAAATATTGTTGTCTCTCAGGGAACAGGGAGGCCCAGAGAGAGAGAGAGAGAGAGAGAGAGAGAGAGAGAGAGAGATGGGGGAATGTGGCTGGACAGTAAAGTGGTCAGAACACATACATTTATTAAATTATCTGTCATATATGAGTGCTGGTTATGGTACCCCAGAAAAATTACAGTAGTAAGCTCAAAGATCACTGATCACAGATCACTATAACAGATATGAAAATAATTAAACAGTTTGAGATACTAAGATAATTGCCAAAATGTGACACAGAGGCAAAAAGTGAGTACATGCTGTTGGAAAAATGTGCTGATAGACTTGCTTGCGTGTTGCTACAAGCCTTCAATTTGTAAAAAATGCAGTATCTGTGAAGCTCAGTAAAGTGAAGTGTAATAAAACAAAGTATGCCTGTACTAATATACCTGAAATCATACTACATTTTATTAAGTCCAGCAGGAAAATTATTCTATGATGTCTGCACAGAAATTTTAACTTTGTATGTGTTGAAAGAGTAATTTAAAAGGATTTTCTTATCTTCCCCCAACTGTAAAACATGACTATCCAGGGAACCAAAAGAAAATACATTTGACTAGAGTAAATCATTTATCAGGAGAATACATTAAAAACAAATTTAAGTTTCACACTTGGGTCTGGGTACATAAACATTACGAAAAATGATGGAATATTTAAGATATGAACCACCCTTCCTAATTTAACTTATGGTCTTACTAATAAATACTTCCTTGAACATGTGCTTCACACATCATAAAATTTATGAACAGGCTACATGCTGGTTTTCAAGGAACCATTTGCACAAGGTTTCCTTTTCAGGGTTAAGCATCACATTCCTGGATCCTGAGCTGTATTTCAAAAAAGGAAAAGACACAAAGAAGCTCTTTAGTTAAAGATTCATGAGCACAGCATGCTGGGTTGCAATGTGTTATTTCAAGAGTTTAGGACCTTCTGTCCACCTGCACTGAACTGAGCTGTTGGCTCTGAAATAGCTTATTGAATATGCAGGGGATCAGCCAATCTCTTACTGTCTCTTCCTGTAAATACCTTCTAGGGGCCCTGACAAAAACAAAGTCTGACCTGTCCTAGAGGAAAGGCAGCTTAGTGGAAAACAGAGCTTTGATTTTCTTCTCGTGCACTATGGAGATCCTGCCCTCTTCAGATTTTTTTTTTAACATGTAGAAAGAATTCTACATGTCTTTCAAGATTCTGATCACTTCTTTTATGTTGAGATTTTCCTGAAGCTGACCCTGTGATGAAGATTTGAATGCAAGAAATTTATTGAGGCAGTCTATCCAGAAACACTCATAGAAGATGGGGAATTAAGACAGGAAAGAAAACCTCTGGAACGTGTTGTAATGAACACGTTACTGCTTTGGCAACAGGGGTTCAGCATCACTGGACTTCATAGGGACACTGTAGGATATACCTTAGAGGTTTCCTACTTGGGGAAAAGACACTGAGGTGCTCAGGCTACCCATGCCTACCCCTTTTTGGTTGAGAGCTGCTCCTCTGGGCATCCACTCCTGGGTCTTTTTGTCCTTTCTTGTGTGCTGGCCAAGCATGCTGTCTCAGGCAGAGAGGGGAGATTAGCAGTCTTGCAACAAGAAGCTGCTGACATGTATGTGACAAGTGCTAAGGGGCTATGGCAGGGCACTGGCACCCTCTGCAATGCCCTTCTGGAAATCTCCTGCAACTGCTAAGGGTGCTCTGGTTGCCTGACTTCTCTGGCCCTCCAGCACCTCAGTCCCAGTCCTCATTATGTTATGTTGAAATCTTTCACTCATACAACACATTTGTTGAAATCCTTGCTATGCAAAGAGATTACATTTGTGAATAAAGATAGATATGATCACTTCTCTTGTTGGGGAAAAAGGGTGCAAAAGCAAGGAAGCAAACACATAAATATTAATACATAAGAATAAAAATTTTGGCAAGTGCTATGAGGGTAACAAATGGGGTGTATAACAATAATAAATGAATCTTGGGATTGGGATAGGGAATTCATTTAGACATGGTGATTAAGAAACACCAAGCTAAAGAGAAGCTATTTATGCCAAATTCTGAAGGATGAGAGAAGACTGTCATGCAAAGAGCAGGGGGAAGAGTGTTAGGTAGGAGGGACAGTGGGAAGATGGGAATTGTCTTGCTTGAAAAACTCAGTCACCAAGGCTAGAACTGGGGCAAGAGGGCGTGTACCAGATGAAGGTGGAAAAGTAGGCAAGGGCTGGCTCAGGCAAGGCTCTGTCTCTTCCGCTAGATTGTAAGTTCTTCATGACCTATGAGGATCATGTCACTTATCTTTATTTTTTCACCAATATTGCTCCTTTCCTTCCTCCCCAACTTGTGTAGCCCAACACTGAAGGTTTTCAGAAAACTTTTATGGTCTATATGCAAAACAAATCTTTGTTTATTTCCTAATGATGACTAGAGGCTCAAAGCAACCCCTGAAAAATGAGATTGTGTCTGAGTGCACTTTTCTATTTTAAAAGATGAAGAAATACATAAAATCTTTAGGTGGTAACCCCATAAAACTCTGAAAGTATTGCTGAGAATGTACAAGTGGGGCTTCTAAACAAGTGTAACCTGCTTGAAAGGAGAGACACACATTTTCATGTTGGACTGTTAGTAACCTGACATACTCTGTATGCTCAGTCCTATGACCAGAATGACCATCTAGCTGGAGAAAACAAAAATAACACAAAATGATGAAGAAACACTAATACTAACATAGTCTGTATACTCACGCTTATGACTGGAATGACCATCTATCTGAAGAAAACAAGAATTACACGTAAAATAATAAAGAAACCATAAATGGCAGTGTATGAAAAATAATTTAAAAAACAATGAACCTAACGTTTATTGAGCACTTATGATTTCATGCACCCTTCTAAGGACTTTATATGGATTAATTTATATAAATCTCACAACAATCCCATAACAGATACTCTATCATTGTTCTCATTTTATTGATGAGGAGAAAGGCACAAGGAGCTTAGATAATTTGTCCAGCATCAGACAATATGTGTCAGATTTAGGATTCCCACACAATTTGACTGAAGACAATGGGAAAAGGGTTGTATGGTGAAGGAAAACACGCACCAAAGGATATCAGAAAGAAAGATTATTATCCCAGACTTCCTTAGAGTTGGCAGGAAAGATAGATAATTGTTTTACTCTCTGTCCTTGTGACTCTCCTCTATGACATCCATAAAAAGATCACAGAAGGCCCTCTTCATCCCTTTCAATGACGTGCCACACACCTCCCCGTGGAACAGGTTTCAAACAGCTCCAATTGTCACAGCTTCTTTCTTCTGCTGAGGCACAATATACCTTTTAAACCCTAATTCTGTGTGCTCCAGAATTGCAGAATAGAGATATAGTTTGGATATTTGCCCCTACCCAAATCTCATGTTGAATTGTAATTCTCAGTATTGGAGGTGGGGCCTGCTGGGAGGTGATTGGATCATGGGGGTGAATTTCTCATAAATGGTTTAGCACCATCCACTTGGTGCTGTCCTCACAATAGTGAGTGAGTTCTCAAGAAATCTGGCCATTTAAAAGTCTGTGGCACCCAGCAAAAGAAACTATCATCAGAGTGAACAGGCAACCTACAGAATGGGAGAAAATTTTTGCAATCTATCCATCCGAAAAAGGGCTAATATCCAGAATCTACAAAGAACTTCAACAAATTTACAAGAAAAAAACAAACAACCCCATCAAAAAGTGGGCAAAGGATATGAACAGACACTTCTCAAAGGAAGACATGTATGCAGCCAACAGACATATGAAAAAATGCTCATCATCACTGGTCATTAGTGAAATGCAAATCAAAACCACAATGAAATACTATCTCACGCCAGTTAGAATGGCGATCATTAAAAAGTCAGGAAACAACAGATGCTAGAGAGGATGTGGAGAAATCAGAATGCTTTTACATTGTTGGTGGGAGTGTAAATTAGTTCAACCATTGTGGAAGACAGTGTGGTGATTCCTCAAGAATCTAGAACCAGAAATACCATTTGATCCAGCAATCCCATTACTATGTATATACCCAAGGGATTATAAATCACTCTACTATAAAGACACATGCACACGTATGTTTATTGTGGCACTATTCACAATAGCAAAGACTTGGAACCCACCCAAATGTCCATCAATAATAGACTGGATAAAGAAAATGTGGCACATATGCACTATAGAATACTATGCAGCCATAAAAAAGGATGAGTTCATGTCCATTGCAGGGACATGGATGAAGCTGGAAACCATCATTCT
Organism: Homo sapiens; assembly: GCF_000001405.40. NCBI lineage: Eukaryota > Metazoa > Chordata > Mammalia > Primates > Hominidae > Homo > Homo sapiens. The sequence goes on along the minus strand of NC_000011.10, from coordinate 27,081,336 downwards.
CAGCAATCTATCACAAGAACAGAAAACCAAATACTGCATGTTGTCACTCTGATGACTCATACTAACTTTTCAGCCTGCCAGAACATGTAAGAATTGCCTTTTAGCCAAGTATTTGTCTCCTGGATTCATGTACTTTATTTCTGAAGCTAGTTCATTGAAAAAGAACTTACTAAGCACATATAGAGATGAGAATAAAGGCTACATCTGATATGATCCTTTGTCAAATTTAACAACTCAAGGTTTGAAGGTGAAAAATCTGGATTCAAATCCTAGTTCCAACATTTCCTATCTGCATGACCTTTGGAAAGTGAGAAATTCTCTAAGTTCAGTTTCCTTATCTGGAAAATATAGGATGAGAACAACCTACGGAGCTGTAAAATTTGAATGAGATAATATCTATCAAGAATTTAACATCGTGTGCCTGCTGTCTGGTTAAATCTTCACTTGAACCAAAGCAGCTAAATGTGGAGGAAAACACATGAGGATGACTGATTTTATTGTAATCTCTAGTTAACTCTAACTTACATGTTCCTATCTGACTGTTTCTTATGTTTTCTATCCTCAAATCTTCCACACTTCATCCTCATATTTATGCTCTTCTGGTGACTTTGATTCTTACTTCAGTGAAAAGACAGAAGGACTCAGAAGAGAATTTCCATACAGTGCTACCACCACATCCATCAACCTGCCTGAGTCTGTGTCCTTATCATTACTTGATGTATTATAGGTATATTTGTACATTTATTTGTCTCTTTCTCTACCAAAATGTAAACTGCTAAGGGGCAGGATTTTTCTCTTATTTTGTTCACCACTGGTTCCCCAGTACCTAGAATAGTGCCTAGTACGTAGCAGACACTCATTGAGTATGATGAATGAATAAATGAACAATCCATGGAAAGTGCCCAATAATGACATATATTACTAATATTAGTTCTTTCTCTAGATTTTAACTGTCTAGTGTGAAAGAGAGTCAAATACTATAGAAAATGACCATTCAGTGTAGTAATGGTAGTGACAGAGAGAGGACCCATACAAATTGCTGTGAGCACATAGAAGAGGAGGAAAATAGAAGGCATTTAATAGTTCAGATACCCTTAAATCAAACTTTGGCTCTGATACTTCATGTCTCTTTGATTACAAACTAGTTATTTATTTCTATCAGCCTAATTTTTGTGTATAAAATGGTTACAATAATAATGCTGCCTGGGAGTTATTGCTAGGATTAAACAGTGCAGTAAATATTAAGTGCTGAGCTCAGTTGCTGCCATATGGAAAATGATTTTAAAGCATTTTTTAAAAAGAAAGAGCAGGATGGGAATAGGAAATAAGCTATAGGAGGAAGAAGAAGGGCATATGATGTTGGTAGTGCGGACAGCGGGTTAACAGTAGAAGCAGCAAGATATGGTTGGATTCTGATTTATTTTGATGATAGAGCAAATATAACTTTCTAATAAGTTGGATGAGTATCATGAGAGACAAACAGTAGTCAAGGGTAAGCCTGCTACTGGAGAGATGGAGTTGCCATCATCAGTTGAGATGGAAAATGCTGTATGTGGAGCAGAATTAATCTTAGAACATCTGCTCCCAGCAACGGTTAATTTTTCCTTTGGTTTTCCTCATTTTTTTCCTTATTGTTTCAAGTAAATAACTTCAATAATCCCCTCTATCATTGCCCATCATATATCTTGATTCATCAATTTATTCTGGGCTAGAATCTCCTATTATGCCTTACTGAAGTTTGAGCTTAAAGACTGTGATTCCTCATTACATGGGCATATTGTTTTCTTTAGATATTTTTCCTTTATATTCCCTATTGAGATCTGCTCTTCTATGATGATGAGATTGTACCAATTTTCAGTTTGGAATTTTTCTTTTTCAAGTATCTAGCACATATGTGACATATAATGTAGCCTATGATTGCTGGTATTTTCATCTGTAGCTATTCTTAACTAACTAATAGATAACACAGGATCACTTTCTTCCAAGTTTTCTGGTCATTCCAGCTTCACCAAACATTTCTATATTCTTGATTGGAATTAGGTTCATAATTGACCAGTCTTCACTGCCTTCTTTAATTCTATTGAAGTGAAACTATCTACCAGGTCGGTAAATTTTTGCTAGAAATCAAACCAATGTAAGACTAAAGTTTTTTTCATGGCAATTGTCCACCTTTGAGATACTCTCATGTGCTTAATCAGGAATAGAACATGATTGTTCTTCATGTAAGGGGAGCTCAAACATAAGATATTATAAGGCACTTTTCTTCTCTCCTGTCTTTTTCGCAAATGTTCTTTAACGTGCCTTTGCTCTTATGTTTATGGCGCTTTAACTAGAAGAAAAAGGGGAGACAGAAAGGATCTAACAAGTTTTGAGCATCCACAGTGTGCCAGACACTGTGCTAAGTACTTACAGTTTATCACTTATTCTTCATCTCCCAAGGCTAATAGGCATCGCCTCTTTTAAATATGGAAAAAGTGAGGCTCAGGTCATTTATGAAACTAAGTCAAGTTCACAGAAAAAGGTCAAAACCAGCTCTTCTGACTCCAAAGTGTATGCTCTTTCTGTTAACACCATGTTATTTCATGAGTGAAGCACTTTCTTGATATAGTGCACTCTTTTACCTTCTCTTCTAACAAATTCTAACAAAATTCTTTTTGAAAAATGTGTATGTGTGTGATGTTCCTCTCCCTGTGTCCACGTGTTCTTCTTGTTCAACTCCCACTTATGATTGAGAACATGTGGTGTTTGATTTTCTGTTCTTGTGATAGTTTGCTGAGAATGATGGTTTCCAGCTTCATCCATGTCCCTGCAAAGGACATGAACTCATCCTTTTTTATGGCTGCATAGTATTCCATGGTGGGGGGATAGGGGAAGGATAGCATTAGGAGAAATACCTAATGTAGGTGATGGGTTGATGGGTGCAGCAAACCACTATGGTACATGTATACATTGTAACAAAACTGCACGTTGTGCACATGTACCTCAAAACTTAAAGTATAATTAAAAAAAAGAAAAGAAAAATGTGTATGTTTTCATTTGTATATGAAAGACTTGCTGTTTCAATGTTACCAGTGAAGTGATGCCTATTTCCTAGGCTTACTTTCTTTCCTATTGATATTTGTGGCTTGGTTTAGGGATAAACATAAATATAGGGTGGAATAATTGATGAAGGTCTTCATTAGGATGTGAGTAAATCTTGTAGAATGGCTAGGTAAAGTTTGAGCAGTCAGAAAGAGAAGAATAAGTCATGCAGGAGGCAAGCAGAACTTGGACAATAAAAGAAGTCCACATGCTCGTGGAGGGGGTACCAGATTGTGGGAGGATTGGAAAGCCCCAGTGAAGAATTTTATTCTGTAGGCAATGAGACACATGAGCAAGGGGAACGAGAGATGATTGTGAGCCTCAGGGGGATTGCCCTTAGAATTGTGCATGCTGGGTATGGACAGAGAGGCCATGTTATGTCAGTAATACAGACATGGGATGATAAAAGGCTCCAACTAAGCTGTTGGCAAGAGAGACAATCTATATAATCTTTCCCTCCATAAGCCTAACTTAAATATAAGTCATCTCTGTACAAATAGCAAATATGCAATAAAATCGAAAGCCAATGGGAGACAATGAGAAAGCAATTTTAATAATAATATTCTACATTTTTCAAGAACAAATATTCTATTCAAGAGGGTCAAGAAAACTGTTTTTTTGGTTTTTTTTTTTTTTTTTTAGATGGTGGATTGGAGACATTGTTAGTATGCCTCTCCCTTTTGGAAAGACGAAATAGTGTGTAGAGATTCACACTGTGAACTTTTTTCCAAGAAGCAACACAGGAACTTAATAGGAAAACTGAAAGAAACCACAGGCCCTTTGAAAGAAGTGGCAGGCTGTAGTCTTCACTGTAAGCCAGGTGGAAAACTGTAAGTCCCCAGAGTGCGAGGGCAGATAAACTGCCTCTGGGATATACCCTTCCACTGGGGAACCTGGCAATGCAGCCGATGGGGAAAGGCCTTAATCCTACCCGGCACTGGAGCTGATTTAGGGAGTGGTAGGGAATATAAAAGTAGGAGCAGCAGTGGGAAGACTTTTGTGCATTCCCAGTCTCCAGCATGGATGGAGGGAAGCCATTTTTGGTCCTACTTCACAGGGTACCTGACAGAAGTCTGTCAGCTAACACAGGTGGCAGTCACAGGTTGAGAGAGGCTCCCAACTGAAATTCGGGATATAATCTCAAGTGCAGACAAACACCCTTGGCCAGAACTTAAGGGTGGGTGGGAAATGTGCTGCTGCCACAGGTGCAGGAGCTGGGTGTTCTGGCTTTGTGGGTGGACTGGAAGGGGTGAGATCTGAAAGTCATGGTAGCTGTCTTCTGGGGAGTTCTGAACATAGACTGCTTAGGACTTAGCTAGCTGCTGCTAGTGGAGAGCACTGCAAGTCTGAGACCTGCCTTGCCAAGTGAATGGGAGCTGAGTGGGGCTTATTGCCACCTGCTACTCCCCACTTTCTGCACAAACTCTTCAGTGCAGCAGAGACAGCTGTGCTTCTCTCTGGAACATTACCCTAGTGGCAAGAGAACTGCCCTCCAATTTCACAAAAACTGCTGCTTGCCCTGCATGTGGAGAGCCAGAGTGCGGCCCTGTCTGACCCAGCCCCTACCTGGCTTTGTCCCTCCACCCACTCTGGTAACTTAACACAATGGACAGAAAGTTTTGGGAGCTTTATGGCCCCACTCATTGTCTGAGAATACAGAATACCTCCCCTAGGTAACAAAGCAAGCACAAATCCCACTGCTACTAACACAGCTGGTGCTCTTTTGCAAGTACCACCTCCTGGCTGGAGGCCAACTGACACAGTCCATTACAGCATCTGCAGGTAGAATAACACAGTGCTCAAGAAGGAGAAAATGTGTGTGTTACCTCAGCTATCACCGTTGCCTGCAGCACCATGGCTAACCAGGAGGTCCTGAGTCTGCCCAAGTGACCAGTTCATTACTTCTTCAGCCAGCATTTGAGAAAGCCAACACACTAAGGTTATTTATAACCAAGGAACTTTATAGGGTCTACGTCACTCCCCTGACATCTCCACCAGAGCTAGTGCTGGTATCTGCTGCTAGGAGACTAGAGGACAGATCACATCACTGGATCCCTTGCAGACATTTCCCAGCACCAACCTGGAGTGTGGCAGCCCCACTAGGTGGCTAGACCCAGAGGAGCAGCAGCATTCACAGTAGTCTGGTTCTCAGAAAATCCTACTCCTAGGCGGAGAGTGAATGTACCACATTAAGAGAACACCTTGGGAGATAAACAAGTCTGGATGGCAGGCCTTGAGTCCCAGAACTTTCTGCTGGTGGGAAGTGTCTTTCAGTAGAGGCACAGATACAGTGCTGGGCTCAGTGGGGAAAGTCTGCAGCTCTGCCCCAACTGTCAGGCAGCCCTTGTGCTCACAAAGGGTCCTGGAGAAGAGGAATTCTTTTCCCTCCTGCCAATCACTGCAGACACAGCTAGGGCTTCTCCCATAGGAGTTCAGCATGAGTGCACCTATAGGCAGCCTTTCTGGAACACTTCAGGGTGACTGGATCCCCACAAGAGGAGTGCCCTCTGGGTTCAGGCTTGCCTGAGGGGTAGAGTCACAATTCGTCTCTACTTGGAATATCAAATATTCAACTCTACTTGGAATTTCATTCCTGCAGATGAAAAGAGATGCCTGTCTGATTTGAATAGCTGTAGCACTGGGTCAGGAGTGTGACTGGGAGGTGGATTGCTTTCCTGCTGGCCTGGCAAGGGAGAGGCCATCCTTCCCCCTGGTAAGATCTCAGTGCATTTCACTGAGAGCTCCCCCAGCCACCTCTGTCAAGATTGGGACCTCTGCCGATGATTGGGTGTTGCATTTACCCATCTGCTTCAGCCACAGCTGGTTTCTATGCAGGGATACCTCTCCTACTGGGGAAAAATAAACAAAAATGTGCATACCATTGGGGAATGAGATAAGCTTAAAGAGACCTCTGCTATTCCAACCTCATAAGAGACAGTGAACTTAGTCATACACCAAGCACATCATTACTACAGCCAGCATCTGAGAAAGTCATCATACAAAGACTATAATGAGAAACTCTTACAGAGTCTTCACCCCTGAAAGCACCAAGAGCTGAATAAGGCTGCAATAAACTATAAACATTAAAGTCACATCCTTCAGGGGAAAAAAGAAATAAAACAGTCAAATAAAAAGAAGTCAACAATAATTAAAAGAAATAGTCTATCCAAATGAGAAGGAAACAGAAAAATAATTCTGGCAAGTATAAAAAAACAGGGTTCTATAACATCCCCAAGGTACCACATTAGCCACGTCCTCCGGACCCCAGAATGGTAGATCCGCTGACAGCTTGCACCATGTACCTAGAAAAGCCACAGACACTCAATGCCAGCCTGTGAAAGCAGCTACAGGGGCTATACCCTGCAGACCCACAGAGGCAGAGCTGCCCAAGACCTTGGGAGTCCACCTCTTGTGGCCTGAATGGGAGATATGGAGTCAAAGGAGATCATTTTAAAGTGCTAAGATTTCATGACTGCAAAGTTTTCAAACTTTTTATGCTCTTCTTCCCTTTTAAATGTAACTATCAGTTTTAGCTAATCTCTTTGTTCACACATATGAGTATAGACTTTTATAAACAGCCAGGTCACATCTTGAATGCTTTGCTGCTTAGAAATTTCTTCTGCCAGATACCCTAAATCATCTTTCTCAATTTCAAAGTTACACAGATCTCTAGGGCAGGGGCAAAATGCTGCCTTTCTTCTTGCTGAAGAGTGACCTTTACTCCAGTTCCCAGTAAATTTCCCATCTCCATCTGAGACTACCTCAGCCTGGACTTCATTGTCCATATCACTATCAGCATTTTGGTTAAAACCATTCAACAAGCCTCTAGGAAGTTCCAAACTTTCCCACATCTTCCTGTCTTCTCCTGAGCCCTCCAGACTGTTCCAACTTCTGCTTGTTTCCAAAGTCATTTCCACATTTTTAGGTTTCTTTATAACAGTGCCCCACCCCCAGTACCAATTTTCTGTATTAGTGCATTCTCACACTGCTATAAAGAACTACCTCAGACAGGGTGATTTATGAAGGAAAGCGGGTTTAATTGATTCACAGTTCCACAGGCTTATAGGAAGCATGACTGGGAGGCCTCAGGAAAGTTACAGTCATGGTGGAAGGTGAAGGGGAAGCAAGCATCTTTTTCACATGGTGTCAGGAGAGAAAGAGCAATGGGGGAAGTGCCACACACTTTTTTTTATATTATACTTTAAGTTCTAGGGTACATGTGCACAACATGCAGGTTTGTTACACATGTATATATGTGCCATGTTGGTGTGCTGCACCCATTAACTCGTCATTTACATTAGGTATATCTCCTAATGCTATCCCTCCCCCTTACCCCCACCCCACAACAGGCCCCAGTGTGTGATGTTTCCCTTCCTGTGTCCAAGTGTTCTCATTGTTCAGTTCCCACCTATGAGTGAGAACATGCAAGTGTTTGGTTTTTTGTCCTTGTGATAGTTTGCTGAGAATGATGGTTTCCAGCTGCATCCATGTTCCTAAAAATGACATGAATTCATCCTTTTTTATGGCTGCATAGTATTCCATGGTGTATATGTGCCACATTTTCTTAATCCAGTCTATCATTGATGGACATTTGGGTTGGTTCCAAGTATTTGCTATTGTGAATAGTGCCGCAATAAACATACGTGTGCATTTATCTTTATAGCAGCATGATTTATAATCCTTTGGGTATATACCCAGTAATGGGATGGCTGGGTCAAATGGTATTTCTAGTTCTAGATCCCTGAGGAATTGCCACACTGTCTTCCACAATGATTGAACTAGTTTACAGTCCCACCAACAGTGTAAAAGTGTTCCTGTTTCTCTACATCCTCTCCAGCACCTGTTGTTTCCTGACTTTTTAATGATCGCCATTCTAACTGGTGTGAGATGGTATCTCATTGTGGTTTTGATTTGCATTTCTCTGATGGCCAGTGATGATGAGTATTTTTCATGTGACTGTTGGCTGCATAAATGTCTTCTTGAGAAGTGTCTGTTCATATCCTTCACCCACTTTTTGAGGGGGTTGTTTGCTTTTTTCTTGTAAATTTGTTTGAGTTCATTGTAGATTCTGGATATTAGCCCTTTGTCAGATGAGTAGATTGCAAAAATTTTCTCCCATTCTGTAGGTTGCCTGTTCACTCTGATGGTAGTTTCTTTTGCTGTGCAGAAGCTCTTTAGTTTAATTAGATCCTATTTGTCAATTTTGGCTTTTGTTGCCATTGCTTTTGGTGTTTTAGACATGACGTCCTTGCCCATGCCTATGTCCTGAATGGTATTGCCTAGGTTTTCTTCTAGGGTTTATATGGTTTTAGGTCTAACATTTAAGTCTTTAATCCGTCTTGAATTAATTTTTGTATAAAGTGTAAGGAAGAGATACAGTTTCAGCATATGGCTAGCCAGTTTTCCCAGCACCATTTATTGAATAGGGAATCCTTTCCCCATTTCTTATTTTTGTCAGGTTTGTCAAAGATCAGATGGTTGTAGATGTGTGGTATTATTTCTGAGGTCTCTGTTCTGTTCCATTGGTCTATTTCTCTGTTTGGGTACCAGTACCATGCTGTTTTGGTTACTGTAGCCTTGTAGTATAGTTTGAAATCAGGTAGCTTGATGCCTGCCACTTTGTTCTTTTGGCTTAGGATTGACTTGGCAATGTGGGCTCTTTTTTGTTTCCATATAAACTTTAAAGTAGTTTTTTCCAATTCTGTGACGAAGTCATTGGTAGCTTGATGGGGATGGCATTGAATCTATAAATTACCTTGGGCAGCATGGCCATTTTCACGATATTGATTCTTCCTGTCCATGAGCATGAAATGTTCTTCCATTTCTTTGTGTCCTCTTTTATTTCGTTGAGCAGTGGTTTGTAGTTCTCCTTGAAGAGGTCCTTCACGTCCCCTGTAAGTTGGATTCCTAGGTATTTTATTCTCTTTGAAGCAATTGTGAATGGGAGTTCACTCATGATTTGGCTCTCTCTTTGTCTGTTATTAGTGTATAAGAATGCTTATGATTTTTGCACATTGATTTTGTATCCTGAGATTTTGCTAAAGTTGCCTATCAGCTTAAGGAGATTTTGGGCTGAGATGATGGGGTTTTCTAAATATACAATCATGTCATCTGCAAACAGGGACAATTTGACTTCCTCTTTTCCTAATTGAATACCCTTTATTTCTTTCTCTTGACCGATGCCCTGGCCAGAACTTCCAACACTATGTTGAATAGGAGTAGTGAGAAAGGGCATCCTTGTCTTGTGACCAGTTTTCAAAGGGAATGTTTCCAGTTTTTGCCCATTCAGTATGATATTGGCTGTGGGTTTGTCATAAATAGCTCTTATTATTTTGAGATATGTCCCATCAATACCTAATTTATTGAGAGTTTTTAGCATGAAGGGCTGTTGAATTTTGTCAAAGGCCTTTTCTGCATCTATTGAGATAATCATGTGGTTTTTGTCTTTGGTTCTGTTTATATGCTGGATTATGCTTATTGATTTTTGTATGTTGAACCAGGCTTGCATCCCAGGGATGAAGCCCACTTGATCATGGTGGATAAGCTTTTTGATGTGCTGCTGGATTTGGTTTGCCAGTATTTTATTGAGGATTTTTGCATCGATGTTCATCAGGGATATTGGTCTAAAATTCTCTTTTTTTTGTTGGTGCCACACACTTTTAAACCATAGATCTTATGAGAACTCATTCACTATCATGGGAACAGCAAGGGGGAAGTCAGCCCCCATGATTCAATCGCCTCCCACCAGGCCTCTCCTCACACGTGTGGATTACAATTTGACATGAGATTTGGGTGAGGACGCAGAGCCAAACAATATCACCTTACAAGCCCAAAGGGATTGGGATCCTATCTTTAGCCCCCTTTTTTTTTTTTTGAGATGGAGTCTTGCTCTGTTGCCCAGGCTAGAGTGCAGTGGTACAATCTTGGCTCACTGCAAGCTCTGCCTCCCAGGTTCATGCCATTCTCCTGCCTCAGCCTCCCTAGTAGCTGGGACTACAGGTGCCTGCCACCATGCCTGGCTAATTTTTTGCATTTTTTTTGTTTTAGTAGAGATGGGGTTTCACTGTGTTAGCCAGGATGGTCTTGATTTCCTGACCTTGTGATCTGCCCTCCTTTGCCTCCTAAAGTGCTGGGATTATAGGCATGAGCCACCGCACCTGACCTCTTTAGTCTCTTTAAAGAGAATAATTGTCAGGCAAGAATTTTGTATCCTGCAAAACTAAGTTCCATAAATGAAGGAGAAATAAAGTCATTTTCAGACAAGCAAATGCTGAGGCAATTTGTTACTACTAGACAAGCCCTGCAAGAATGCTAGGAGTTCTAAAACTTGAAACAAAAGGTTGATGTGCACCAGAATAGAATCTCTTGAAAGCGTAAAACTCACAGGCCTATAAAACAGTAATACAATGAGAAAATAAAGTAGGTAACAATCAACATGATGACGGAGAAAGTATCTCACATCTCGACATGAACATTGAATGTAAACGGCCTAAATGCTCCACTTAAGATACAGATTGGCAGAATGGACCAAAAAAAAAAAAAAAAAAAATCAATCACAAACCAAATATCTTCTGTCTTCAAGAGACTCACCTAACACATAAGGATTCATACAAATTCAAGGTAAAGAAGTGGGAAAAGATACTCCATGCAAATAGAAACCAAAAGCGAGCAGAAGTAGCTATTTTTATATCAGATTAAACAGACTTTAAAGCAACTATATTAAAAACAAAAAAGAAAGAGGGTCATTATACAATGATGAAAGAATCAATCCAACAAGAAGATATTACAATCCTAAATATATATGCCTCTAACTCTGGAGCTCCCAAATTTATAAAACAATTACTGTTAGACCTAAGAAGTAAGACAGACAGCAACATAATAATAGTGGGGAACTTCGATACCCCACTGACAGCACTAAACAGATCACTGAGACAGAAAGTCAACAAAGCAACAATGGACTTAAACTACACTCTGTAACAAATGGACCTGATATTTATAGAACATTCTACCCAATAACTGCAGAACACACATTCTTACTAACACATGGAAGGTTTTCCAAGACAGACCATATAATAGTTCACAAAACATTTCTCAATAAATTTAAGAAAATCAAAATTATATCAAGTACCCTCTCAGAACACAGTGGAATAAAACTGGAAATTAACTCCAAAAGGAACCCTGAAAACAATACAAACCCATGGAAATTAAACAATCTTCTCTTAAATGATTTTGGGGTTAATAATGAAATCAAGATGGAAATTTAAAAATTCTTTGAAATGAATGATATTATTGACACAAGTTATGAAAACCTCTGTGATGCAGATGTTGACTACTATACATCACATAAACAGAATTAAAAACAAAAGTTCAACAGATGCAGAAAAAGCATTTGATAAAATTCAGCATCCCTTTAGGTAACCCCCACTAATGAACTAGGCATTGAAGGAACGTACCTCAAAATGCTAGGAGGTGAATAAAGGCCATATATAACAAACCATCAGCCAACATCATACTGAATGGAGAAAAGTTAAAGGCATAACTTAAAAGTTAAAAGCAAAAATTAAAAGTTAAAAGGTTAAAAATTAAAAGTTCCAGTTCCTGAGAACTGGAACAAGTTAAGGATGCCCGCTTTCACCAGTTCTATTCAACATAGTACTGCAAGTCATAGCTTGGGTAATTGGACAAGAGAAAGAAAAAAGGGCAACCAAATTGGAAAAGAGGAAGTCAAATTATCACTGTTCACCGATGATAAAATAGTATACCTACAAAACCCTAAAGGCTCCTCCAAAAGACTTCTAGATTTCATAAGCAAATTCAGTGAAGTCTCAGGTTACAAAATTAATGTACACAAATCAGTAGCACTACTATACCAACAATAACCAAACTGAAAATCAAACCATGAACTCAGTCCTTTTTACAATAGCTGCAAAACAAAATCCAGGAATATTTTTAACCAGGGAGATGAAAGATCTCTCTAAGGAGAACTACAAAACATTGCTGAAAGAAATCATACGTGACACAAACAAATGGAAACACATCCCATGCTCATGAATTAGAAGACTCAATATTTTAAGAATGACCACATTGCCCAAAGCAATCTACAGATTCAAGCCAATGCCTATCAAAATATCAACATTATTCTTCCCAGAATTAGAAAAAAAAATCCCAAAATTCATATGGAACCAAAAAAATAAAAAAGAGCCCAAATAGCCAAAGCAATCCTAAAAAAAAAGAGCAAATCTGAATGCATCATCTGAACTGATTTCAAATTTTACTATAATGCTATAGTTACCAAAACAGCATGGTACTATATAAAAGTAAACACATAGAACAATGGAACAGAATAGAGAACACAGAAATAAAGCTAAATATCTGCAACCAATGGATCTTTGACAAAACATACAAAACTATAAATTGGGGAAAAGATACCTTATTTAATAAATGGTGCTGGAAAAACTGAATAGCGACATATAGAAGAATGTAACTGGGTCCCTATCTCATACCTTATAAAAAATCAACTCAAGATGGATTAAAGACTTAAATTGAAGATCTGAAATAATAAAAATTCTAGAGGATAACCTAGGAAAAACTCTTCTGGACATTGGCCTATGCAAAGAATTTATGACTAACACCCCAAAAGCAAATGTAGCAAACAAAAATACATAAATAAATGGGGACTTATTAAACTAAAAAGCTCTGTATAGCAAAAAAGAAAAAAAAATTACCAGAGTAAACAACCCACAGAAAGGGAGAAAATATTTGCAAACTATCCATCCCAACAAAGGACTAATATCCAGAATCTACAAGGAACTCAAACAAATCAGCAAGAAAAAAACAACCCCATCAAAACGTGGGCAGATGACATGAATGGACATTTCTCAAAAGAAGATGTACAAATGGCCAACAAACATGAAAAAATGCTCAGCATCACTAGTCATCAGGGAAATGGAAATTAAAACCACCATGAGATGCCATTTTGCCCTCACCAGAATGGCTATTATTAAAAAGTCAAAAAACAACAGATATTTGCATGGATGTGGTGAAAAGGGAAGCGTTCACTGTGGGTAGGAATGTAAATTAGGACAATCTTTATGGAAAAGAGTATGGAGATTTCTTAAAGAATTAAAAGTAGAACTACTATTCAATCCAGGAATCCCACTACTGGGTATCTACCCCAAAGGAAAAAAGTCATGTAAAAAAGACACCTGAAAATGTATGCTTATTACAGCACAATTCACAATTGCAAAGTTATGGGACCAATCTAAGTGCCCATCGACTAATGAATGGATAAAGAAAATATGGTATATACACACCATGGAATACTACTCAACCATAAAAAGAATAAAATAATGTCTTTTGCAGCAACTTGAATGAAGCTGGAGGCCTTTATTCTAAATGAAGTAACTCAGAAATGGAAAACCAAATACTGTATGTCCTCACTTGCAAGCAGGAGCTCAACTATGTTTTTTAAAAATTTTTATTTTATTTTATTTTTGAGATGGAGTCTCGCTCTGTCGTACAGGCTGGAGTGCAGTGGCGCGATCTCGGCTCAGTGCAACTTCCACTTCCTGGGTTCAAGCAATTCTCCTGTCTCAGCCTCGGGGTTCAAGCAATTCTCCTGTCTCAGCCTCCAGAGTACCTGGGACTACAGTCGCATGCCACCACGCCTGGCTAATTTCTGTATTTTTAGTAGAAATGGGGTTTCACCATATTGGTCAGGCTCAAACTCCTGACCTCAGGTGATCCACCTGCCTTGGCCTCCCAAAATCCTGGGATTACAGATGTGAGCCACCGCGCCTGGCCCGGAGCTCAACTATGGGTATGCAAAAGCAAGCAGAGTGGTGGTATAATGGACTTTGGAGACTCAGAAGTGGGAGCGTGAGAAGAGGTAAGAAATAAAAAATGACATATTCGTTACAACGTACACTACTTGGGTGACGGGTGCGCTAAAACCTCAGACTCCACCACTGTGCTATTCATTTATGTAATAAAAAAACACTCTCCAAAAGCTATTGAAATAAAATTAAAAAAAGAAATAAACCTATTTTAAAACAAACAAAAAAGAAAACTCTCAGAGTTGCTGTCTATAATTACTTACAACCACTTTCAAGGAAATCTTTTGAAAAAAATAATGAGTTGATATGTATGGTGCAACACTACCCTTCACCCAACATTGCACTGCTTGAGAAGTTAAGTATATACTATTATTATATCTGTTGTGCAGATAAGGATATTGAAGCATAGAAAGGTTAAGTAAGTTGCTCAAAATCACAGACTTAGCAAGGCCTAGGGCCAAAAACCCTCTTAATTTCAGTGCCCTACTTTCTTATTGATTAATAACAAAGTTACTGATTGAGAAAAATATAAAATTTTAAGAAAAAAAGAAAGAAAAAGGAGATGATTTTTGGATAGAGTAGAACTTAAACATTTTTATTTAATTTGCTAAGCCAGAAATTAGGCAAATCAATAGTATGTATGAATGTAAACATCAACAAATTCTTAAAATTGGCAAATCAATAGTATGTATGAACGTAAACATCAACAAATTCTTAAAATGGTTTTTTTTCTTTTTTTTTTTTTTTTTCCCCTGAAGGGATAGCCCAGAGCTATTCCATGTATTCCATGGATGGGCACATTTGGAAGTTTGGTTCTAAAATCTAAAAGAAGAAATTTAAGTGTGCTGAAGATAACTGCAACTCCAAACCTAACGCTGTGTAATTCTATGTTCTGCCATTTTGAAGCAAAGTGGAACCAGAAGTGAGAGGTAATGGTTTTTGAATCAATTGTCCCCTTTTTTATTGTCTGGCGAATCTGCTGATATATAGGCACTAGCAAAATTGGCAGGACAAATTTATCCCTTATGTGTACATTTGGTAAACCTGAAGCCAGTGTAGAAAGTATTCCAACTTTACTTTTGGAAATTGGAACACTTTGGAATTTTCTAAATGTATAAGTTCTAAACTTGTAGCCCAACTGCCAATGTTATAAAACTTATTCCTGGGCTGCAACAAAACAAAACAAAACAAAACAAAAACCAAAAAACCACACACACAAAAACACAAAAAAGCCTAGCTTGTAGAAATGGAGCTCGTCATTCACTAAGGAAAGCCCATTCTATTTTGTTTTCCTTGTTTAAAAAGTAATAACTTTACTTTAATATAACTACAAAAAATTATTTTTCCAAGAGCAAAAACATTAGAATATTTTCCTTAATTCTCAATGTGGCAACTAAACTAAAAAGGTATAAAAAGGGAATGGACTGTAATAATTATTTCTGGAAATATATTTGCTTTAGGTTCTCAAAGATATCCTCAAACTTTGCCAAGGCTTTTTAAATATTTTAAGATACCAGCTTTTCAAGGTCCCGTCTAGCACTAACATTGTCTTATGAAGTTGTTAAGTAATGAGAAAATAATTTTTGAAGAAGAATATAATTAATATACCTCTTACTCAAGCATTTAAAAAGTAATAGATGTAGTAGTATACAGGCTTTTAAAAAATTTTATTTAATACATCAATACATCTAGTAAAATAGACTTATTTTTAATATTTATATCTGAACATGTGGTATGTGTTTTCTAGCTGGAAGTATGGATGGAGTTTAGAAAAGGAAAGAGGAAGATAAGTTTATCTGGAGCTTACAAATGAAGCCCAAAATTAGGCAGATTTTGCGGGAGCAACCTGCAGATTAGTGGCACCTGAGAAAAGCACAGGGCACTGCAGTGTGCTTCCCAGGTTCTGAGTCTCCCCTGGTAGGTTTACAGTCAGAACAAGGGCAGCCCCATCTTGCATAGGTACGTTAGACTCTTTAGATGTTATGCCTGATTTTACCAAGTGCAGTGCAGAAAATGAGAATAATAGATTACATATAATTCAGAAAAGAATAGGACACATTGAAAGACATCAATATGGCACAGAGGAAAAATGAAGCAAGGTACACATTCATAAATTGACATGCATTTGAGATAGCTGTATTCACTTAATCAAAACCCCAAAGATATTTCTCTGAAAGTCAATAGGTCCCTTTGCAAGAATTATACCAGTGAGAAAATTATGGCAATGAAAGAGATCTGATCTAACCCACCTCCTCCATCTTGCCTTTCCCTTAATCATTCCTGGGCTTAGGCTAAGCTGTCTTTGAGAGATATTTAATTTATAGTTTTAAATGGGAATAGGCCTTCCCCAAGAACTCAATGGCCTTTGCAAAACTAATGAAAGACCATCAGGTTAGGGGAAAGAGAGGAGCCTGATTCTGCTAAGGCATAGAAACAGATTGTCAGCCATTCCTGCAGGTAACACCACTATTGTATATGGGCCTTTGAGATGTTTTTTTTGTTGTTTTTTTTTTTCATGTCTGACACCTATGGCTCCACTGGACCCCATGGGTCTACCTAGACCCACCAATCCTGCCCCTGTGGCCCCACTCAGAAATGATTTAGCCCACAGGAGGATGGCTTTGACCCCCTATGATTTCATCTCTGCCCAAACAAATCAGCAGCAAGCCTAGTCGCTGCCACTCCTTTCCCAGAATGCCTTTGAAAAACTCCTAACCTATGAGCGTTGGATAGATTGATTTGAGGACTAACTCCATCTCCCCCATGGCATGGCTGGCCTCATGTCTATTAAACTCCTTTTTTACTGTAAAACCATGGTCTTTCTTTGAGCAGCAGGCAGGAAGAACCCCTCAGACAGTTATAATAAAGTCACATGCATTTGAGATAGCTATATTCATTTCACAGAAAACCTAGAGATATTTCTCTGCAAGTCAGTAGGTCCATTTTGCATATGACAGGCAAAACAGAACAAAGACATGCTTCTTAAACATATAAATCCAGTGAGCTATTCTCCCACCTGTGTATCTGAGTTATGAGTTTGGGTGACTTTAGGGAAGGAATCTTTATTAGTCTCTCTTGGGAATGGAATGCATTTCGGAAGATGATGTGGTGGCTTAATTGCTCTAAGGCAGCTGTTTTGACAGGGCTGTTTGGAAGCCATTCTGACCTGGCAGCCCTGATACTGTTGGGACATCCTAACGCAGCTTGAAAAAAAACAACAACCCACCAAGTCTTGCTAGTTCTTTTTATAATTACCAAACAATAGTGAAACAATACACTTACCCCATCCCTGATTTGCATTGCAGGCTCCCACCTCTGAGAATTCAAGAATGGATGTAGCAAGGCTTAGAGATGGGGGCAAAATATCACATGGGCGAGGCATATTTCTTTTGTACATTAATTGAATTAAGAAAAACACACAAGATTTTTGCTTTATGACAATGCTTTGTAAAAATGGCCTCTGCACCAAACCAAATCTGGTTTTTGCACTGTCATAAAGTCTCCATCTTCAAGTAAATATATGGTTCTCTGCAAGAAAGGAAGAACTCTCTACTTTTTCTTGCCATGTACAAGACGAATAGATTTTAGAGGGTCCTAACAGTTATTTGTGAGTTTTCACTTCCTCTTATGGAATGCTACTTTTGAAACAAAGGAGTGCGTTATAGCTATAGACTGAAGGGCTATAATCTGATTTAGTAGATGGTAAAGACTGCCATGAGAGAGGCATAAAGAATTGTGGGGAAATATTCTTTTTTTTTTTTTTTGACTGTGCAATGTACTCCATCCCTGGATTGCTGAGAAAACTGAGCAGCCTGTCTCCATGGAAATAAAATATTTTCTTCAAGTTATAGCTTTTTAAATCTCAATATTCTATAAAAAATATTATTAAAGTTAGAGATTAATACAAAAATACTTCAGTACCAATTCAGAGAGATAATCAAGCATCTATCATTCTGATATTGAGGATTAATAAAAAGAACAAATATTTAGCTTCATATGTATATCATACTATATAGTGATTTTTTTTTCCATTTTGGTCCTGCCAGTTATATGTTGGGAATGTTGCATCTCAAAGTTAGTGACAAAAATGAGCATATAATTATGCCAAAATTTCACGAGAGCTAAATTATAATTAGTACATAAAAACCTTGTCTCTAATATGATTTAAAGTCTTCCATTTTCACCCATATGTTTGGAAACATGTACTGCTGAGCTTCAAGTGTTAGGATTTCAGTTGAGAGAGACTAGAGAATATGGCCGGCAACTTGCTGTCCTACAGGTCATATATGTTCCTTTTGAATACAGATTCTACACCCTCCTCCATCCTCCCTGCCTCTCAAAATTTCTTTGTCTTTTACAGGACTATTTCTAGGTCATGCTACGGTTACCCTGACCCCAGTCACTCCCTATGCTGGTCCATCCAAACTCAGAGCCACGATCAAGGCCCTTCTACAACACAGATGTGATTACTTCACTCTCTTTTGTGGGGTAAATATAAGCCAAGAGCCAAGCAGGTGCACTGTGGAGGAAGGGAGAATGCAAGAAGAAAAAAAGAAAGCCCGCCAGGCGCGGTGGCTCACGCCTGCAATCCCAGCACTTTGGGAGGCCAAGGTGGGCGGATCATGAGGTCAAGAGATCAAGACCATCCTGGCCAACATGGTGAAACCCCATCTCTACTAAAAATACAAAAATTAGCTGGGTGTGATGCCGGTAGTCCTTGTAGCACCTGTAGCTACTCGGGAGGCTGAGGCAGGAGAATCACTTGAACCCGGGGGCAGAGGTTGCAGTGAGCCGAGATCGCTCCACTGCACTCTAGCCTGGTGACAGAGGAAGACTCCGTCTCAAAAAAAAAAGAAAAAGAAAGCCTAGGAGACATGTACAAACTTGTAGGCATTTGAGAAGTTATGTTCATTTGATTAAAATCAGAAAGACACAACTCGGAAAATGTAAAATACAGATGAAAAAATGAAAGCAATCATCTTCTTAAACTTATAAAGATCTTAAACTCATTTCTCTGGCTTTAAAAGAAGAGCATCAGTATGGAGAAGCTAAGGGGATGGCATATCTGAGCCCTTGTTGGGAAAACTCTTAATCGCCTGCAGGTTTAGGACCAAGCAGGGCATATAAGCCACTTCATGGTTTGGCCCCTTCCTTCTTCTCTGTTGCCTAACAATTTTAACTTCACCAATATTAAACTAATTGCAGTTTTCCAAACCTATCCTACTATTTTACCCTTTGATGATTTTCTGCCTGCCTTTTTCTTTGTTGAGAATTTCCTTACTTTCTATCTATCTTTGCCTGACAAACTGATTGATTCTCCAAAGTGCAACTCAAGTATTACCTCATTTCTGAGGATCATTCCTTCATCCCTTCAAGTTCCTTCTTCTGTGTCATCATTAACTTTCTATGTGTGGTTTTAATGTACTTCAAGTAATGTCTTATACTTATTTTCTCATGGCTATTGTTCCCTTTCAGACTTGATAAGTCCTCAAGGAGAGAATCTATGTCTTTTAAAAAAATCTTGATATTTCCTTACAGAGGTCCTGGCACAAAATAGATACCCAATATATGTGCAACTGAATAGAAATTTATGAGGGAGTGATAATTATCCGTGTCTTCCTTTCAGCTATGACTGTGTCCCATGATAAAAGTTTTTTGGATGATGATCATTTGTCTTGTCATTTTTGAGTTCAACAGCGAGTGCCAGGGGGAAGATCAAGGAAAAATTGTCTGCATCTTGATTCCAGATTTTAAAAGCTCTGTAACCCTCACTCCAAGGGTTATGCTTGCAGAAGAGAAAACATTACTACTGGGACTAAAAAACAAAATCCTTTCACAAATGTAACTGAGTTTGTTTGCATGCTCTGGAATATAAATGTTTGAAAATCTGCAATGGCAATGAAATAAGGTATCAAATTCTACAGGCAAAAAGCCATAGAACCAATATTCCAAAAATGGCTCATTAATTTCTTTTTTTTACCCACCAACTGCACAGCTTGAGAATGTATTTTAAAAATCTGATCTTGTTTTAAACTATTAAAATATTTTCCAGTGTCTAAATAGCAGCCAGTTCTTATATTATTCATGATTGCAGCCTGTCATTGTGACCAGTTTTTTCCACTACTTAATTGAGTGTAGTATCATTTCCATTTTGCTACTGCCCGATAGTACTGAAAAATGTAAGCTATAAAACTGCACTCATCAAGAAATATTAATGGAGGAGGATGTCCATATCCTTTTACAATGCTTAAAAGCTTAAGCTGTAATAATAAAAAGTTGGCATGTATTTCCTGAAAAAATCAAAAGGAGAACTTGAAGGAAATGAAAGTAAAATCCAATAGGATTATAAAATTAGAGCAGAGTTAAGGAAAAATATTTTGAGTACCAGAAGAAGTCTAAAATAAATTTAAAAAAATACATTTGTGACACTGCGATGTGACCCAGACAATCGGTACTAAATTATGTAATTGGAGACTCCTTGAAGAATTTAGCAATGCACTCATTGGAGGAAGGCAATAAAAACATCTTTCCCTGGATACCCATCTGGATTTAACCAGCTAGATACAGGGAAAAATGAACTGGTAGTTTAGAGAGAAAGCACTAGGACAAAACCTTGTCAGCCATCAGAATGGTGAGACTAAAGAAATGGAGGAACCAAATTCTTGACATGGCTGGTCTATGCTTAAAGAGAAAGGGGACAGTATCATGCTCTATTATTGATAACCAGAAGAAATGGTGAACCTATTTGGTTCAAGTTGATTAGTAACATCTTCATACCTAGTAAAGTGTCATAAGTCTCATTTAAAGCCACGGAGAGTTACCACACATGTTTAAGAATTTCAGATTTGAAAGGAGTTAAGGTAAAATCTCTCTCTTGGTATGTGGCTAAGAATTTCCAGGAGAGGTGTTACAAAACTCAACAAGGCTGGTATATTAGCCTGTTCTTGCATTGCTATAAATAAATACCTGAGACTGTGTAATTCATAAAGAAAAGGGATTTAATTGGATCACTGTTCTACAGGCTTTATAGGAAGCATGGTGCTGACATCTGCTTGGCTTTTGGGGAGGCTTCAGGAGACTTAAAATCATGATGGAAGCTGAAAGGGGGAGCAGGCAGATCACATAGCAAAAGCAGGAGAAACAGATAAGGGAGGTGTTGCTACACACCTTAAAACAACCAGATCTTCAAAGAACTCATTTGCTATTGTGAGGATAGTACCAACAGGATGGTGCTAAACAATTCATGAGAAATCATCCCTTGTGATCCAGTCACCTCCCACGAGGCCCCACCTCCAACATTGGAGATTACAGTTCAACATGAGATTTGGGTGGAACATGCAAACCATATCATTTTGCTCCTCGCCCCCCAAATCTCATGTACTTCTCACATTGCAAAATACAGTCATGCCTTCCCAGTAGTCCCTGAAAGTCTTAACTCATTCTAGCATTAACTCAAAAGTCTGAAGTTTAAAGTTTCATCTAAGACAGGGTAAGTCTCTGCCACCCATAAGCCTGTGAAATTAAAGACAATTTATGTACTTCCAAGATATAATGGGGTTATAAGCATTGGGTAATCATTCTCATTACAAAAGGGAGAAATCAACCAAAAGAAAGGGGAGTACAGGGCCCATGCAAGTCCAAAACCCAGCAGGGCAGTCACTAAATCTTAAGGCTCCAAAATTATCTCCTTTGACTCCATGTCTTGCCTCCAGGACACAATGGTACAAGGGATGGGTTCCCAATGCCTTGGGCAGCTCTGCCCCTATGGCTTTGCAAAGTTCGGCTCCAGAGGCTGCTGTCACAGGTCGTTGAGTGCCTGTGGCTTTTCCATGCTGAGTATGCATGCTGGCGGTGGATCTACCATTATGGAGTCTGCAGGACAGTGGCTTTCTTCCCACAGCTCCATTAGGTAGTGCCCCAGTGAGGACTCTAAGTGGGGCCTCCAACTCATTTTCCTCTGCATTTCCCTAGGGTTCTTTGTGAGGGCTCTGCCCCTGCAGCAGGCTTCTGCTTGGGCACCCAGGCTTTCTTATATTTACTATTACTTTTAATGGCAAAAACCGCAATTACTTTTGCACCAACATAATACATCCTCTGAAATCTAGACAGCGAACATCAAGCCTCATTCATTCTTGCACTGTGTGCGGCCACAGGCTTAAAGCCACATGGAAGCCACCAAGTCTTACAGTAGCTTATGCCCTCTGGAACTATGGCCCAACCTGTACCTGGGCCCCTTGGAGCCGAGGCTGGAGTGGGAGCAGCTGGGATGTGGGAGCTGCCTCCCGAGGCTACACACAGGGCAGTGGAGCCCTTGGCCCAGGAAAGCATTCTTCCTTCCTAGGCCTCTGGGTCTGTGATGGGAGAGGCTGCTGTGCAGGTCTATGAAATGCCTTCGAAGGCTTTTTCTTGTTGTCTTGGCTATTAGCACTGGCTTCTTCTTATATACAAATATCTCTAATAAGTGGTTGATCCACAGTCTGCTTGACTTCCTCTCCCAAAAAAGCTTTTTCTTTCTCTGCCTAGACATGAATAGGTTACAAAATTTTCAAACTTTTACACTCTGCTTTCCTTTTAAAGTTCCAACTTATTTGTTTGCTCTTGTATCTGATCATAGGCTGTTAGAAGCAGTCATGTTACTTCTTAAACACTTACTTTGCTGCTTAGAAATTTATTTCACTAGATACCGTAGGTCATCACTCTCAATTTCAAACTTCCACATATCCCTAGGGCATGGATACAATCCAGCCAAGCTCTTTTGCTAAGGCATAGCATATGTGACCTTTGCTTCACTTCCCAATAAGATCCTCATTTCCATCTGATAACTCATCAGCCAGGCATTCACTGTCCATATCACCATCAGCATTTTGGTCACAACCATCTAACCAGTCTCTACAAAGTTCCAAACTTACCCTGTCTTCTTCTGAGCTCTCCAAACTCTTCCAACATTTGCCTGTTACCCAGTTCCAAAGCTGCTTCTAAATTTTAGGTATCTTTATAGCAATGCCTCACTTCTCAGGACCAATTTTCTGTATTAGTTTGTTCTTGCATCATTATAAGGAAATACCTGAGACTGGGTAATTTATAAAGAAAAGAAGTTAAATTGGCTCATGGTTTTGCAGGCTATACAGGAAGCATGGCACTGACATCTGCTCAACTTCTGGAGAGGCTTCAGGAACTTACAATCATGATGGAAGGTGAAGGGAGAGCAGGCAGGTCACATGAGGAAAGCAGGAACAGGAGAGAGAGGGTAGTGCTACACACTTTTAAATGACCAGATCTTGCAAGAACTGTTTTTCAGTCTATCTTTGATTCACATAGTTTCATGTAATAAATCTTCAAAATAGGCAGAGAATGAATTGTAAACAGCCCTTACTCCTTACCAGTTCCTCTGCTTGAGTTCTATTACTGTGTATCTCCTAAAATTTATATTTAAAAATATTTCCACCTGTTTTAAGTATTTATTTTGCTTCTTTGCTCAGCAATAAAGTCCTCTTTATCCACTGAATCCACCCTTGCAGTTTTTCTGAACATTGTTCTGTTTATGGATCCCCTTGAAACCTATATAAATTCTTCCTAGACAAACGTGGCTTTGTGTGCATGTGTGTGTACATGCACACACACAAATTGTCCCACACTCACTGGCATTTGCAGTGCTATGCGTACCGTTTCATGGGTTCATCAATCCCATAATTCCATCTATGAATACCAGGTTAGGAATTCTTGCTTTGTTGATTTGTGTTGTTCTGGCCTTAGACAAAATTGTTATAAAGGGCCAGTCTGCCTCTAGTTCATCCTGCTTCTTTGTAGTGAACACTTACGGAGTGTCTGTGGTATGCTGTGCCAGGTTTTGCTTTAGATGACAAAGACACAAGTTTGCTGGACTTATTTTGTTTCTTTCTCTGTAGAATGTCTAGAATTACTCTATACTCCTTTTCATCTCTACCCAAATGATATTTGTCGGTAAAACTTTAAATACACCACATAATTTACATGTCACATATTTTAATCAAAGCACAAAGGTTTGAATTTTCTGTGAGCAAATTTCTTAATAAAAATCCTTTACTGTAAGGGTTTAAAAAGACATTGAAGACTTTGGCAAAGTTACCTGGAAAAAACAATTCTCTTTGGAGCTTTGCTCTGGCCTGCTTGGAAAAGCATCTTTTCTTCAGCCAATCAGCCTGGAATTCACTGTAATGCTCATCGGGCCATGTGATGTACACCTTATAACACAAAAAGCAAATTTCACCTATGTGGATTTTATTTCCGTTCTCCACTATTGCTCTGTTTTTGAATGCTGTTTAAGATAATCAGGGAATCCAATTATGCTTTGCTTAATTTTTTTTTTTTTTTTTTTTTAAGTCGGAGTCTTCCTCTGTTGCCAGGCTGGAGTGCAGTGGCGCAATCTCGGCTCACTGCAACCTCTGCCTCCCGGGTTCCAGCGATTCCCCTGCCTCAGCCTCCCAAGTAGCTGGGATTACAGGCACGCGACACCACGCCTGGCTAATTTTTTGTATTTTAGTTGAGACGGGGTTTCACCATGTTGGCTAAGACAGTCTCCATCTCCTGACCTTGTGATGCGCCCGCCTCAGCCTCCCAAAGTGCTGGGATTACAGGCGTGAGCCACCATGCCTGGCCAGCTTAATTTTTAAGACAGAGATTAAGCATACGCTTTTGGAAAACAAGGAAGCCAAAGTAATACATCTGAGGTCTGAGGCCCTTAAATAGCACTCAAGAAATAGAGCATGGATAGATCTACAGTTCTTGACCTACATCCTCTAAACCTGGGATCCCCAAACTTTCTGTGATAACTGAAGCTAGTTGTCAATTAAGATTCCTGCCAAGAGTATTAGAAATAGTAATGGTGCAGCTGGGTGTGGTGGCTTATGCCTGTAATCCCAGCACTTTGGGAGGCCGAGGCAGGCAGATCACAAGGTCAGGAGTTTGAGACCAGCCTGGTTAACATGGTGAAACCCCGTCTTTACTAAAAATACAAAAATTAGCCGGGCATGGTGGCCCATACCTGTAATTCCAGCTACTTGGGAGGCTGAGGCAGGAGAATTGCTTGAACCCGGGAGGCGGAAGTTGCAGTGAGCTGAGATCGCCCCACTGCATTCCAGCCTGGGCAACAGAGCAAGATTCCATCTCAAAAATAAATAAATAAAAGTAAGTAATAGTAGTGATGATAAGGAGTACAACAGCAATAATAAAAATAACACTATTTTGAGTATCCATAACAAGTACTATAGACATAACACATTTAATCTTTACAACTCTAGGGGGAAGGTACTACTATTATTCTCATTTTTTTCAGGTGAGAAATGTAAGAGTAAACAACATTTCTATCTAGCTAGCAAGCAGTGAAATCTGGGAGTAAAGTCCTCAAGTCGGGATGTGGACAAGAGCATAATAAGAATCCTAGTAAATTTGGAAGAGAGAAACATGGAATGGTGGCTGCCTCTGGTTTGTAGTTTTGAGAGCTGTGCTTTTGGGAATCCCAGAACAAGCCTTGTATCTCTACATACTAATTTGACTAAAAGACAAGTAACACTGCAAATTTTATTAAAAATAGTAGTAGTAATGATAATAGTAATAATAATAGCTGAAGCTTCCATTTACTGAATATACTTAATTCGCACCAAGTACTATACAAACGTGGGTTCATATGCGGTTATATATGCGTGACCAAATAAAAAAGAGTTATCTAAATTATTGTTGACTAGCCCCATTATTGAACTTGAGAAAGAAGGGAGACATAATTTAGAGATAATTACCTTTTTTCTGTCAAATATCAAGCCTTTAATTCCAATGTTCACATCAAGAGCTTCCACTAGAAGTTTCCGTGCTTTTGCAGAATCCAGGTAGCAATCAGAGCACGGACAGTTGTCTCTCAACCATACAGCTGGGTAGAGAGACTCTTCCTCATCATACCAGAGGATCTGCATCAAATGAGCCCCGTCAAGTGCTTCTGCCTTTTGGATGGTACAAGCCATGTTTCCGGTCTTCAGGAGTAGATGCTGTCAGCTACCTGCTATGACAAATCAGTGTTAAAAGGAATCTCAGGCAGATAAGATCTAAACTTGGCCTCTGAGAGTGTGAACACTTCAAGTGGACTCTGGCCTCTGCTATTCACTCAGCTGTCAGAGTCTGCGGTTTGACTTATTGACGCTGGGACCTTTGTTCTGGTGAGAGTATTTCACATACTGTAAGCAGAAACACAGTGACTAAAAGTAAATGGGATGTAAGTGCTGAGTCAGGATCCAAATGAAAAGAATTCCTTGTTTTTCTCACAGAAAATTCAGATATTAAGTTCAGAACCAATGACATATGCACTTTAATAATTATGTTTGCATAAAAGCTCTGGAATGTTTAAGGAAGAAAAATGTTCCACAAATTGAAAGTGTAACAATCACCCCTGTCCTATTTTAACTGGTGCCCACTTGGACATGGCTTTTGAAAAAAAATGTTTTTATGATACTAAATTAGTAAACTCGTCTTTATGAAGAGAATATTAATGCTTATTATTTACTTAAAGACCACTGTAATTCAGAATATTGCACTGTTTCTTCAATTCAGAATATTGCGCTGTTTCTGTTCTATCATTTGCTTTTTTACCTTTACAATACATTTTCTTAATGAAATATAGAAGTCCTTAGGTTCTGCAAGAAACTTGCTTGGTTTGTTGAGATTTTTTGTTTTAATGCATATCAATAGAGTGTGCCTTGTTACTTCAGTTACTTTATTCTGAACCTTTTTGGAGTACTTGTGTATACCTTCATATTACTTGGGATTACATGACTTACTTTTATTAAAAAAATCCAGCAAATTTAAGGACATGGACTATTTACAGGAGAGGAAACTTAGTGAAACAGAGACACCGTGGTATTATGCTTGAGCAACGGTGTTGATCCTGATTCCATTAGTGACTATATATTTGACCTTCAGAAACCATGCCAATGTTTTACATTTTACTTTCTTCATATGTTATTTTCCAGCACTCTAAACTTACGTGGATGAAGTAGAACTTACATAGGAAAAGTAGAATTTATATGCGAGAAGTAGAGCTCCTTAACTTCGTCCATGTAGTGATCTGCTCATCATTAACAGAAGGTGACATATGACAATGGAAACAATACTTCATTGCCTTGAGATGAAGGGGAAGTAGGAATGCATGTACACATGTGCACGCACACACACACACACACACACACACACACAGACACACACACACACAGCTTATAAAATCCCTTCCAGGCACTGCAATAGGCACTGGGGGATTTAGTGACAAGTAAGATAAAATTGCTCCCTGTCCTTCTTGAGATTATGGGAAGACTTTATGCAACATTAAGATAACTTAAAATATACCTTACACAACATGAAAGTAAAATACTTCTAGGTGGTTTCACATATGCTTCCTCAGATCATTGGCTTGGATAATTTAGTCAAGTTATGGAGCAGAGTCAATAGGAAAAATATTGCTTTGTCCCTTTAGCTTCACATATAGAGTTATCCAATAATTGCATGTGTGAAATACAATTAATTGGCTCTCATGCTTATTTCTGCTTTGGAACTATAATTTTTTTCTTTAAATTTGTATAGTGGTAGGAGAACACTATTACTTAAAAATAATCAAAAATTATAGTGTACTTTCAAACCTGGAAATTTAGCTCATAAGTCTGAGTGAGGAGCATTATGGAAGTCCTAACATCAGTTTCTCTGTGGAATGGGTAGGACATTTGAATTTCCTGACAAGAGAAAGGGTTGGCTGGCAAGTTTTCTCACATACATTGTTTCAAAAGACAAAGATGGCTCCAATGACCCTGGAATAATACAACTAGATCCTTAAATAACACTAAAAAAAAGAAATGTAGTACATTTTAACCGGTGTCAAGGGATGGCAAATATGTTCTGTAAAATGCCGGACGGCATATCTTTTAGGCTTTGCAGTTTATATACAGTCCCTGCTACATATTCCTGTTTTTATTTTTTAAAACCCTATAAGAATGTATCAACTATTCTTAGTTCATGGTGTGCACAAAAACAATGTAGGCGACATTTTGCCCCCAGGCAGTAGTTTGCTTACTCTTGATCAAGTTATCTAAGTTTATGCTTTCATTACGATGGAATACAATCATGCTTAAATGCAAAAATGGTTCTCTTTCCCTTGTCATTTATAAAGTTAAACTTACTCAAATATATAATAAGTATCTTCTTTGTGCATGCTGCACTAGAAGGTACAAAGATGACTTTGAAGTTCCAGACAACCAGGAGAAGACAATTATGAAAATAAACAAATATTAAGGCCAACATTGCTGAATGCATATCGGTTTCACCTTATTTTCCTTCCTCACTAGTACAACATTTTTTGACTAGGAAATATTTTGTCAGCTTTCTTTGTAGCTAAGATTAGTTATGATATAATTATGCCCAATGAAATATATTTGGAAGTTGCTGTGTAGGGAAATTTTAAAAAAGGTGATAAGACTTGGCTGCCATATGCTGTTTTCTCTATTTTTTTCCACTTCCTTTCTGGAATGTGAGTGTAGTATTGGGGGTGAAGCAGTAATTTTGCAACCATTAGGCAAGAAGCGGAAGTATAAAATCTAAAAGAAGTCAAGAGTTCCCCAGGGTTCTGTGAAAACACTTTACCAGCAATAGATGGTCATGTCTGGACCTCCTTTTTACATGATAAAAGCTAAATTCTTTACTTATTTAAACCTTTATTTGCTAGCTCATCTGGGTACAGATAAGTTGGATTTAAGAAGATTTGTGAAAGGTCATTCCACATTTAGGGTGCAGGCTGAGCCAACAACAAAGATATGAAAATACAGTGTTTGAGCAGTAGAAAACATGTTGTTTGGCTGGAACAAAAGGCTATGAGGGGAAATGGTGGTTGAGAGAGATTAAAAGGCATGTTGATACCAGATCATGAAGCACCATGCATAGCAAGATAAGGAGTTTGGGTTTCATTCTGTTATGAATGGGACTTTTTAAATATTTTTTTCAGGTAGCAGATTTGACAATGAAGGTGATGACAGTGTGTATGGTATATTGAAAGAAGGTTAAAGGGTTAGAATCAGATACATTGTATGGAGCTGTTGTAAAAATGTAGTCTAAAAGAAATAAGAACTGTGGGAGTAAAAGCATATATGGGAGGACACATGTAAGCAATGTTCCAAAGATATTCTTTAAATTGCCTGCAGTTTATATTCTCACAAAAAGTTTTATTATTCTCTTTGCAATTGTATGAAATATCATTTTATGAAAGATAATGACTTTGTCATCAAATCAATACCAGGGGAAAAACTGAAAAACTCCTGTGAATTTTCAGTTTTCACAAATATGTGAAAATTAAACAACAAACTCCTGAACAACTAATGGGTCAAGGAAAAAAATCAAAAGAGAAATTAAAAATATCTTGAGACAAATCAAAATAGCACACATCATAACAAACTTTTGAGATGCAGTAAAAGTAGTTTGAAGAAGGAAGTTAATAGTGATAAATGCCTTCATAAAAAATAAAAAAAGATCTTAAATAAACAATCTAGCTTTACACTTCAAGGAACTAGAAAAAAGAAGAACACATTAATCCCTAAGTTATCAGAAGGAAGGAAATAATAAAGATTAGAGCAGAAATAAATGAAATAGAGACAAGAAAAAAATTAAACTAAAACTTTTTTGAAAGGTAGAATTGACAAACCATTAGCTAACCTAAGAAACAAAGAGAGAAGACTCAAAATCAGAAATGAAAGAGGAGACATTACAGCTGATACCACAGAAATACAAAAGCTCATAAGAGACTACTATGAACAGTTACATGCCAATAATTGAATAATCTAGAAGAAATGAATTCATTCCTAGAAATGTACAACCTACCAGGACTGAATCATGAATAGAAAATCTGAACAGAATAAGTAGGAAGATTAAGTCGGTAATCAAAAACCTTCCAACCATGGAAACTCCAGGACCTGATGGCTTCACCAGTGAATTCCACCAAACATTAAAGAAGAATTAACACAAATTCTACTCAAATTTTCCCCAAAAATTGACAGAGAGGGAATACTTCCAAACTCATTTTATGAGGCCAGCACTACCCTCAAACCAAAGGCAGACTAGAATACTGAAATAATAGAATATTACAGACCAATATTCCTGGTAAACATAGATGCAAAATCTTTAACAAAATACTAGCAAAATGAATTCAATAGCACATTAAAAGGATCATACAGTATGATCAAGTGAGATTTATCTCTGGGATGCAAAGATGGTTTGACACACACAAATCAGTAAATATGACAACACATTAGCAGAATTCAGGATAAAAATTAGGTGGACATTTCAATAGATGCAGAAGTGGCATTTGATAAAATTCAACATCCTTTTATGATAATAATTATCAACAAAGATGTATAGAGGGAATGTATCTCAACATAATAAATGCCATCTGTGCCAAGCCCACAGCTAACATCATATTCACTGATGAAAAGTTGAAAGCTTTTCCTCTAAGATTGGGAACAAGACAAGAATGCCCACTCTAACCACTTCTAATAACATAGTACTGGAAGTCCTAGCCAGAACAATTAGGCAAGAAGATGAAATGAAAGGCATCCAAATCTGAAAGGAAGAACTAAAATTGTCCTTGTTTTCTGATGACATGATCTTATACACAGAAAACCCTAAAGACTGCAGAAAAAACTTTTAGAACTAATAAATTTAGTAAAGTTGCAGAATGCAAAATCAACATACAAATATTCGTAGCATTTATGTATAATAACAACTAACATTCTGAAAAAGGTATCGATAAGACAATTCAATTTCCAGGACCACTAAAAATACTTAGAATTACATTTAACCAAGGAGTAAAAGATCTATACACTGAAAGCTATAAGACGATGACAAAAAAATTAAATGAGACACAAATAAATGGAACAATACTCTGTGTTCTTGGATTTGAATGATTAATATTGGTAAAATATCCATACTACCAAAGTCATCTACAGATTCAGTGCAATTACTATCAAAACTCCAATGACATTTATCAAATAAATTTTAAAAGGCACTCTAAAATATGTATGGAACCACAAAAAATCTGAGTGGCCAAAGCAGTCTTGAGAAGGAAAAACAGAGTTGGAACTATCACATTATCAGATCCCAAAATATCATACAAAACTATAATAATCAAAACAGCATGGTATTGGAATAAAAATACATATAAATCAATAGAAAGTTATAGTCAGCCTACAAATAAATGTGTGCATATAAGGTCAATTAATCTTTGACAAAGATCCCAAGAACACTAAATGGGGAAAAGAAAGTCTCTTCAACAAATGGTGGAGTGTTACTAAATATCCAGATGAAGAAGTATAAAATTGGACCCTCATCTCACATCATACATAAAAATCAACTCAAAATGGATTACAGACTTAAACATAAAATCTGAAACTCTAAAACTACTAGAAGAAAACATATGGGAAAACTCCATGACATTTGTCTGGGCATGGATTTTTTTGGATATGAACCCAAATGAACAGGCAACAAAAGCAAAAATAAACAAATGAGATGGTATTGAATTAAATCCCTGCACAGCAAAGGAAATAATAAAGAGAGTGAGGAGACAGCCTAAAAAATGAGAGAAAATATTTGTAAATCATACATCTGAGGGCCATCTATGTTTTTACTTATTTTAATCAAGTAAGTGAAGCAATCATCCTATATCATTCTGTATGCTAAAGTCACTTTCAAATGGAGCCATGCTGACTCTTCTGTAAGCCACAGCAGGGCCCATACATCTGATAAGGGGTTAATTTCCAAAATATATGAGGAATTCAAACAACTCAACAGAAATAAAACAAGCTACTCAATTAAAAAATGGGCAGCTGGGTGCAGTGGTACATGCCTGTAATCCCAGCTATTTGAGGGGCTGAGGTAGGAGGATTGCTTGAACTCAGGAGTTTGAGGCCAACGTGGCCAACATAGAAAGACCCTACCTCTAAAACAATAAAAAATTAAAAATTTTAAAAATAGGCAAGGAAATGGAATAGACATTTCTCTAAAGAAGACATATAAATGGCCAGCAGGTATATAAAAATGCTATCAATTATCATCAGGTAAATACAAACCAAAACCACCTCATGAGATCATCTCACATCTGTTAGAATGACTATTGTCAAAAAGACAAAAGATAAGTCTTGGTGAGAATATGGAGAAAAGAAAACCCTTGTACACCGTTAGTGGGAATGTAAATTATTTTAGTCATTATAGAAAACAGTACAGAAGTTCCCCCCCCCCAAATAACTTATGTGGCACATATACACCATGGAATACTATGCAGCCATAAAAAATGATGAGTTCATGTCTTTTGTAGGGACATGGATGAAATTGGAAATCATCATTCTCAGTAAACTATCACAAGAACAAAAAACCAAACACCGCATATTCTCACTCATAGGTGGGAATTTAACAATGAGAATATATGGACACAGGAAGGGGAACATCACACTCTGGGGACTGTTGTGGGGTGGGGGGAGGGGGGAGGGATAGCATTGGGAGATATACCTAATGCTAGATGACGAGTTAGTGGGTGCAGCGCACCAGCATGGCACATGTATACATATGTAACCTGCACAATGGGCACATGTACCCTAAAACTTAAAGTATAAAAAAAAAAAAAAAAAGAACTACCATTCCAGCAGTATCATTACTGGCCATATAGTCTAAGGAAATGAAATCAGTATGTCAATGAGATATTTGCATTCTCATGTTCATAGCAGCATTATTCAGAACAGCCCAAACATGGAATCAACTAATTGTCCATTGATAAATGAGTGGATTAAAAATGTGGTATATATCAAACCCATATCTATCTATTATCTATCTATCTATCTATCTATCATCTATCTATCTGCCTATCATCTATCTATATCATCTGTCTACACACACACACACACACACACACACCTCAATATTATTCAACCTTAAAAAAGAAGGTAAATTCTGTCATTTTTGATAACACAGATCAACCTGAAGGGCATTATGCTAAGTGAAATAAGTCAGGCACAGAAAGACAAATGCAATATGATATCACTTATACATGGAATCTAAAAATGCCAAACTCATAGAAGTCATGAGTAGAACAGTGGGTGCCAGGGCCTGGGAGGTGGGAGAAATGGGGATATGTTGGTCAAAGCATACTACTTATTCAGGATAAATAAATTCTGGAGATCCGATGTACAATATAGTGACTATAGTTAATAATACTGTCTTGTGTATTCGAAATTTGCTGAAAGAGTAGATCTCAAGTGTTCTCACCCCCCCAACATACAATGATAACTATGTAAAGTTATGGATATATTAATTAGTTTGATTGTGGTAATTATTTCACAATGTATAGATAAGCATCACACTGACCATTATGTTTACAACTTTTATTTGTCAATTTACCTCAATAAAACAGGAAAAATAACAACATAAAGTGAAAAAAGATTATTAGTTTTAATTGTATGGACGGTAAGATTACAATAGTAGTAATAGTAGTAGAAGTAG
Source organism: Homo sapiens (assembly GCF_000001405.40). Lineage (NCBI taxonomy): Eukaryota > Metazoa > Chordata > Mammalia > Primates > Hominidae > Homo > Homo sapiens. The sequence continues at coordinate 27,047,881 of NC_000011.10, read as the reverse complement.
CAGTAGTAGTAAAAGTAATAATAGTTTACATTTATTGAATGCTTTCTTTATGCCACTTACTGTTTGAAGTTCTTTATGTATAATAACTCATTGAATCCTCATTTCAAGCCAAAGAAAAAATCTACTGTAATTACCCCAAAAAACAGAAGTAGAAAGAGGCTAGGAAATACTAGCATACGGATGATTTATCTTAGGTTCTTGTAGGAATAAGACCATTTAAAAATTATTCTTATTTATTTTTATGAAGTTCTTTGTGTGCTGATATATATATTAAACTCAATACATTTTAAAAAATATATTCATTCATGTGTTTGAAAATTTTTTGGCTGAAAGTATTTTTATATAACTTGAAATGTGAAACACTAATACTTAATGAATACCCAGTCCAGGGGTGCATTTTCTACCATGAGGAACATGGTTCCTCTGCTTAAAGATGGTGGTGTGCCCATGTCACACCAACTATTGAAGTGATCACTCCTATAGACATCTGTGCCAAGAAACATTAATTACATTTCAGACTGCTGTTTTGAGCTTTCTATCTGTTTTTTTCTTTTTCTTCTTCTACCTAGGTTTGAATGAGAGAGGCAGAAGCACATTTCCAATCACTGGGGGAACCTGAGACCATTCTTTCCAACCCATTTTGCCAAATGGATGTCCTGAGGAAGGTGTTCCAAGAGAGGCGATGTCAGGATAGTGTCTGATTGGAGGGTGCCCAAGGCACATGGGAGAATGTGGAAGAACTGGAAAGACTTGGGTGTTGCTGATGTTAAATTACTTAGGTATCTCTGTAGAAACTTAGTGGGTCATTCCTTCTCTTCACAATCCCTTTCTTAAATTTATGATAAACGTGAAAGGTAATCAAAACAAAAGCAGGGCAAAATGGGAAAATAAGTTCCCACTTTAACTTTTTCTGGATTATTTAAAGGTCTACTGGGGCAAATGTGATGAAAATTAAAAAAAAAATTGCAGATCATCAGTGTTTAAAAGCAAATGCTTTCTGAAAATTATAGCTTGTATGTTAACATGATTTGTTGAAATCTGTTTTTGTAATTTAACCAACTTGACTTGTTAGAATTGAGCTCAGTTGAAGCACCATAGCAATTTAGTTAGATGATAAGCTACTCTGTTTCTCTGAAGAAAAGAAAAATTTAGATATAGCTCCTATATATAGCTCCTAGCTATATAGGATGAATTTTTATCAGTGGGATGTCTTTGACAAATTAAAGAACACCTATAAAACAAAAATTCTTATTTTACACTTATTTTTCTTCTTACAATTGTAATTTAGTTTATGAAATATCAGATTGGTTTTGGTGGGAAACAGTAGTTTCACCTGTTCTGAAAAACAGCCTTTGGATTTTTGGCATATTCTTATCTGATGGGATAGGTTTCTTTTACTTCATATTAATACATGTGTGTAGTGTGTGTGTGTGTGTGTGTGTCTGTGGTGTGTTTCCCTCCTAATTTATTCACCTACCATATTTTTTCTCTTCAGAGTAATAGAAGTTTGTCTGGGACTTCTGTTGGGCACAAGTAAATTGCTTGTTTTTGAAATTACTTCAGTGATGGGTGTGGGTTTTCTCCTTTTTTTTCTTTTTCTTAATATTACAAATTCAAGTTTGTCTCCTGATTCTTCAGCACTGTTTGGAAAATCAAGAAAGTAGCTCTGAAATTTATTTTATGCATTGATCTTGGAAATAAAAGTAACTTAGAGCTAGAGCTTTTAGAGCCAGAAAGAAACAGCCTGTGCTATTGTTGGGTCACAGGGCCCTCATCAGACATGCAGGGAAAATGGAAGCTCAGAAATGTTGGGTGTGATTTGTCCAGGCTCACACTGCTCATTAGTGAGAAAGGTTGCCCCAAACCTGGATTTGCCAGCTAAGTTTATATGTATTAAGTGATACTCTTCAAGTTCTCATAAAAGAAATTGCAAAAGTTCTTCAAACATTACTTACAACTAATTTCAATCATAGGCTTTGGAGGGAATTCACAGGAAGCAGATGCAGAAACTTTATAGTTATTATACATAAAATTAAAATTGTAGTAGATTAATATGTACCTGAGAAGGCTGATTTATCTACTAAATTACTTATCCCTCAGAATAAAAGGCTGTTATTTCTTGAGTGTTTTTAGTAAATGGAAAACAAGACCAGCATAGACCTATGTTAGCAAACGTCAGTATCTGTTAATTTTCATCTCTTTCTCAGGAGAAGTATGATGCTTCGATAAAATTCAACAGCCCTTCATGCTAAAAACTCTCAATAAACTAGGTATTGAAGGAATATATATCAAAATAATAAGAGTTACTTATGACAAACCCACAGCCAATATCATACTGAATGGGCAAAAACTGGAAACATTCTCTTTGAAAACTGGCACAAGACAAGGATGCCCTCTGACACAACTACTATTCAACATAGTATTGGAAGTTCTGGCCAGGGTGATCAGTCAAGAGAAAGAAATAAAGCGTATTCAATTAGGAAAAGAAGAAGTCAAATTGTCTTTGTTTGCAGATGACATGAATTGTACATTTAGAAAACCCCATCTTCTCAGCCCAAAATCTCCTTAAGCTGATAAGCAACTTCAGCAAAGTCTCGGGATACAAAATCAATGTGCAAAAATCACAAGCATTCCTATACACCAATAACAGACAAACAGAGAGCCAAATCATGAGTGAACTCCCATTCACAATTGCTTCAAAGAGAATAAAATATCTAGGAATCCAAGTTAGAAGGGATGTGAAGGACCTTTTCAAGGAGAACTACAAACCATTGCTCAAGGAAATAAGAGAGGACACAAACAATGGAAAAACATTCCATGCTTATAGATAGGAAGAATCAATATCGTGAAAATGGCCATACTGCCCAAGGTAATTTATAGATTCAATGCTATCCCCATCAAGCTATAATTGACTTTCTTCACAGAATTGGAAAAAACTACTTTAAAGTTCATGTGGAACCAAAAAAGAGCCCACATAGCCAAGACAATCCTAAGCAAAAAGACAAAGCTGGAGGCATCATGCTACCTGACTTCAGACTATACTACAAGGCCACAGTAACCAAAACAGCATGGTACTGGTGCAAAAACAGATAGACCAATGGAACAAAACAGAGGCCTCAGAAATAATGCCATACATCTATAACCATCTGATCTTTGACAAACCTGACAAAAACAAGCAATGGGGAAAGGATTTCCTATTTAATAAATGGTGTTGGGAAAACTGGCTAGCCATATGTAGAAAGCTGAAACTGGATCCATTCCTTACACCTTATCCAAAAATTAACTAAAGATGGATTAAAGACTTAAACGCAAGACCTAAAACCATAAAAACCCTAGAAGAAAACCTAGGCAATATCATTCAGGACATAAGCATGGGCAAAGACTTCATGACTAAAACACCAAAAGCAAGGGCAACAAAAGCCCAAATTGACAAACTGGATCTAATTAAACTAAAGAGCTTCTGCACAGCAGAACTATCATCAGAGTGAATAGACAACCTACCGAATGGGAGAAAATTTTTGCAATCTATCCATCTGACAAAGGTCTAATATCCAGAATCTACAAAGAACTTCAACAAATTTACAAGAAAAAAAAACCCATCAAAAATGGGCAAAAGATATGAACAGACACTTCTCAAAAGAAGACATTTATGCAGCCAACAAACATATGAAGAAAAGCTCATCGTCACTAGTCATTAGACAAATGCAAATCAAAACCACAATGAGATACCATCTCATGTCAGTTAGAATGGTGATCATTAAAAAGTCAGGAAACAACAGATGCTAGAGAGGATGTGGAGAAATAGGAACACTTTTACACTGTTGGTGGGAATATAAAGTAGTTCAAACATTGTGGAAGACAGTGTGGCAATTCCTCAAGGATCTAGAACCAGGAATACCATTTGACCCAGCAATCCCATTACTGCGTATACACCCAAAGGATTATAAATCATTCTACTATAAAGACACGTGCACATGTATGTTTATTACAGCACTGTTCACAATGGCAAAGACTTGGAACCAACTCAAATGCTCATCAATGATAGACTGGATAAAGAAAATGTGGCATATATACACCATGGAATACTATGCAGCCATAAAAAAGGATGAGTTCATGTCCTCCGCAGGGACATGGAGGAAGCTGGAAGCCATCATTCTCAGCAAACTATCACAAGAACAGAAGACCAAATACTGCATGTTCTCACTCATAAGTGGGACTTGAACAATGAGAACACATGGACACAGGGAGGGGAACATCACATACCAGGGCCTGTGGCGGGGTAGGGGGCTAGGGGAGGGATACCATTAGGAGAAATGCTAGGGCAATTAGTCAAGAGAAAGAAATAAAGGGTATTCAATGTAGATGACGCGTTGATAGGTGCAGCAAACCACCATGGCATGTGTATACCTGCACATTCTGCACGTGTACCCCAAACCTGCACATTCTGCACATGTACCCCAAACGTGCACATTCTGCACATGTACCCCAGCACTTAAAAGTATAACTTAAAAAAAATTAGGACAGGGTGTGGTGGCTCATGCCTGTAATCCCAGCACTTTGGGAGGCTGAGGTGGGTGGATCACGAGGTCAGGAAATCGAGACCACCTTGGCTAACACGGTGAAACCCCGTCTCTACTAAAAATACAAAAAGTTAGCCGGGCGTGGTGGCGGGCGCCTGTAGTCCCAGCTACTCAGGAGGCTGAGGCAGGAGAATGGCGTGAACCCGGGAGGCGGAGCTTGCAGTGAGCCGAGATCGCGCCACTGCACTCCAGCCTGGGCGACAGAGTGAGACTCCGTCTCAAAAAAAAAATAAATAAATAAAAATAAAAAATTAGTAGCTAAATCTCAAGATTGTTGTGTGTTAATTAACCTCACCATCTGGCATTTCAGCTTTGGAGAGAAAGGGCAAGAAGTTTTCTAGACATTACACCATGAAGGCTTAACTACATTGTTATTATTTTATATTTTAACCTTTAAATAACAAAATCAATTAATTTTTACTTGGTAAGGTGGAGGTTGACCAGACAATATTTGTAGTGCCTGCAGTTTGACATCATTTGAGTACATACATACTCTACTCAAGACACCTGCTACCTAAGGTTCTTCAACTTGAAATCTTTTTAAAATTATAAAATGGTTATTATTATTATTTTTAAACTTGGTTTAATAAGTGGCTGAGATACTTAACAATTTGTGAATATATTCTCATGTGAATAATGAATTCTATAAAGCAATTAGAAGCCAGGTACAGTGGCCTGTAATCCCAGCACTTTGGGAGGCCGGAGCAGAAGGATTGTTTGAGGCCAGGAATTTGAGACCAGCCTGGACAATATAGTGAGACCCCCATATCTACAAAAGAAAATTAGGCAGGCATGGTGGTGCATACACATACTCTGAGTTACTTGGGAGGTTAAGACAGGAGAATCGCTTGAACCCAAGAGTTTGAGATTACAGTGGGCTGTGATTGCATCACTGCATTCCAGCCTGGATGACAGAGCAAGACCCCATCTCAGCAACAATAACAACAAAAATAATGCCATTAGAAAAACCAGTGCATTCTCTAAAATAGGTTCACAATTCTGCCTGTCTTGCTTAAGGCATTAAATTTCATGCAAACACTTCATTTGTAAATTATACAAAGGAAAACTTTAGCTTCACTTTAGTGGAATCACCATTTTCAGATTGGAAATCAAATTATCAAGGCTTTGTTTTCTGATGTAATGCAAAGTACTGGGTTTAGATTTTAGGAAAATTTCTAAATTATTTAAACCAGAACATATATTCATTATGAGAAACCTTACGTTTTTAATCAAATCCATACCTGTAATATACCTTCTTGAGCTTCGTTAAGGGAACAAAACAATTGAAGATGTGCATAGTGGCTTTAATTGGCCAGCATTTTAAAGAGGCATGTTATAGTCAGCTTTTTGAGCTTAACAAAGAGCTAGGGTATCATATGCAGTCACCATTCTTTGGGATGGGTTGTGGATTATTCAGGGAACATTTTGAAAATCCAACCAGAATCCTCCTTGCCCCATCCCCAGTCTCTTTTTAGACAGCGTTCTCTCTGTCTCTTCTGTTTACTTTCTGGATCAGCTTAGGGATTATAAAGTAATTTGACTATCAGACTAAGCCAAACATAATTGGGAAAGAGAAGCTGCCAAGAAGCAATCAGATCCACTGCATTCCAAAACCAAGCCTATTCTAAATGCTTGATGGACCATCCCCAGCACAGCCCACATGACTGTGAGCTACATGTGAATGGAGTTCTAATTGGATGCTCCCCACCACCTCAGTCCACAGACTTGAATTCACAAACCCTTGCAATAAGGAGAAAAGGAAGATGAGCTCAATCATACCTGTTCTCAGATATGCTTTACACAGCAAACCACCCAAAACTTACCAAGTAAAGAAACTGTCAGCTTTGGTCCTTAGATCCTTTGGAGAGGGAGCATTCTGGTGCCCGTCACATCCCAGGAATGATCTGTCCCCAGTTTCCAATCTGATGTGGTACTTTTTCTTGGAAGCCTTTTTGCTCCTGGCAGTTTCACTGTGGCCCTGCCCCCAGACACAGCTGAGGTTTGTAAATGAGGAAGGATGTCTCAATCTGAAGGTGTAGCAACTACTGAAGGGAGCTTGGAGGTTTTTTGTCTTTGTTTTTTTGTGCTGTGTTTTTTTTAAAAAAAAAAAAAAAAAAGAAAGAAAAGAGGCTTTATGGCCTAGAGGGGAAGCAGTTAGCAAGAGAAAATACTTTGAGTACTGTTGGTTCCCAAAACCACAAAACCCCAGGACTCAATGCAAAGCATTGCCTCAGTTTGGAATCTTTCTTGATAGAAGGAAAAGCAGTTCTCACCTGTCTTACCTTCTATTTCTGTACCAGCAGTGGCAACAGCAGCAAGTGAACAAGCAGTTCACTTCTTTCCCACCTGTTCAGAGTGACAGCTCATTTATTGCACAACTCACTTAGGGCAGAGGCATTGAGATGGGCATTTAACAGGGAGGAGCTACCAGCGCTCACCCTAGCAGAGGTGAAGTGGTATCTACTTGTCAACAGAGTATTCCAATATGAGCCTCTTTAAAGGGAGCTTGAGTAGTTATCAGGGACTGGTAGAAAGACAGGGATTGGTCCCCTAAGCTTGATGCCCTCCTTTCTCTGCAATTTTGGCTGGAATAGGAAGTAGTTTCCAGAGAGCTTGGGGCTGTTTTTGAAGGTACTTGGTTGCCCAGTGATTTGATTCACAACACACAGCCCTTAGGGCAACAAAAGGGAAAGGCCAGAATAGGCAGCATGCCAGCATTCAGAGCCTGACTGCCAGGCATACTCTTGGAGAGTGCCCAGTGTGGGGGAGACCCTGTTGGACTGGTCTCAGGTCCTAGGTCCTAACAGAGTCTAGATTACATTAAAAGAAAGTCTACAGGTGGAAACTAAGGTCCAGGAGAGAGACGCTTGAGTCATCTGCCCTCCTCCCACCTAACACCCTCTTCCTAGGCAGATGTAGAAGCAGCCTGCAACTTGTTGCTTCTTGCCCGAAGGATTCGCAGGGCTGTGAGTGAGACTCAGTCAAAAAAGAACAAGAGGTAGCCACACAGAGAGAAAATGCAGCCCAACTGTCTGGTGGCCTCCTTTATGGGAAATCTCCCCTTCCAGAATGTCAGCATCCCCTCCCTAAACGATGTTTTTTCAGATCCTTTAACAATAAAATTTAAACTGTTTCCCTGCATCTGAAGAAAGGAACCTCTTTTCCACTTTCCTCCTTTCTTCCCCCAAGTCTCCAGGTCAAATTACTGACACCCACTGGCCAGTGAAAACAACAGCAGGTTTTGTTTTCCATGTATGAGAGGAGGGTGTGTATATGTGGGTGCCGTCATAAATGTGACCAGCATCTTAAACCCACGGTAACTGAAGTTATAAGTATGCCAAAAGCAATCAGATAATTATATTTTAATAATTCATGACATCACAGAAATATACACAATGAATTTTTCCTTTACACTTTGTACTTTAGTAACAATTACTGGAATAAATTAGGTAAATTCTGTTTCAGCTTTAAGAAAGTTGCTGACAAGAATGTGCCAGATATAAATAGTTTCTAATGGAATGATTAAATAGAACAAACAATAAATAAACCGACAAGTAAATCTGTTAATAAAGTTTAAAGACTTGCACATAAAGAATTGATTCTCAGAAACAGGTAAATAATCAAAACTCTGCTCTCCACTGTAAGAAGCTTCTTAAATGAACATGGGAGTGCAGCTATCTCTTTGACATACTTATTCTATATCCTCTGGATATATATCCAGAGGTAGGATTGCAGGATTATATGAGAGCTCTATTTTCAATTTTCTGAGGAACCACCATACTGTTTTCCATAACGGTTGTACCAATTTACATTTCCAGCAACAGTGTATGTATTATTCTATTCTCACACTGCTATAAAGACATACCTGACTGGGTAATTTATCAAGTTTACTGACTCATCGTTCTGCATGTCTGGGGAGGCCTCAGGAAACTTACAATCATGGAAGAAGGCAAGAGAGAAGCAAAGGCACATCTTACATGGTGGCAGGCAAGAGAGAGCAAATGAATGAAGGAAGAGCCCCTTATAAAAGCATCACATCTCGTGAGAACTCACTCACTATGACAAGAACAGTATGGGGGAAACCACTCCCATGATCCAATCACCCACCACCAGATCCTTCCCTTGACATGTGGGGATTATGGGGATTACAATTTGAGATGAGATTTGGGTGGGGACACAGAGCCAAACCATATTAGTATACAAAGATTCCTTTTTCTCTACATTCTCTTCAATACTCATCTGTTGTCTTTTTGATGAAAGCCATTCCAACAGTGTAAGGTAGTTTCTCATTGTAGTTTGCGTTTTAATTTACATTTCCATGATGATTAGTGATTTGACCATTTTTTTTTATATATCTGTTGGACATTTGTATGTCTTCTTTTGAGAAATGTCTATTCAGATACTTTGTCTATTTTTTAATCAGATTTTTTTTCTATTGAGTTGTTTGCTGTTGAGTGTTTCTTATATATTTTGGATACTCCTTGTCAGATGGATAGTTTACAAATATTTTTTCCCATTCCATAGATTATCTTTTTACCCTGTTGACTGTTGCTTTGGTTGTGCAAAAGCTTTTTGTTTTGATGCCACCTCATTTATTTGTACTTTTGTTGCCTGTGTTTGGGGTCATATACAAAAAACCACTGCCTAGACCAATGTCATTACAGCATTGTTCACAATAATCAATAAGGGGAATCAACCTGGGCTCATCGATCGATGAATGGATAAAGAAAATATATTATGTGTGTGTCTCTGTGTGTGTGTGTGTGTGTGTTTGTGTGTATGTAATGGAATTCTATTCAGCCCTGAAAAAGAAGGAAATCTTATCATTTGTGACAACATGGATGAGCTTGCAAGACACGTACTAAGTGAATTAAGGCAGGCACAGAAATATGAGCACTGCATGATTTCACTTAGAAGTGGCAACTAAAAAAGTCAAACTCATAGAAGCATAGAGTAGTATGGTGGTTGTCAGGGCATGAGAGTGAGGACAGGGGAGTGGCTAGATGATGGCCAAAAGGTACAAAAATTTAGTCATATAGGATTAATAAGTTCAGGAGACCTACTGTGCTACAGTTAGTAATAATATCTCATATACTTGAAAATGGCTAAGAGGCTAGATAGTAAATGTCCTCACAACATAGAATGATAAGTATATGAGGTGATGGATATGTTAATTAGCTTGATTTCATGATTTCACAGTATATACATACATTAAAACATCAAGTTGTACACCATAAATGTATATAATTTTTACCTGCCAACTATACCTTAATTTTTTTTACTTTAAGTTCAAGGTTACAGATGCAGCTTTGTTATATAGGTAAACTCATGTCATGGGGGTTTGTTGTACAGATTATTTTGTTACTCAGGTATTAGATCTAATACCCATTAGTTATTTTTCCTGATCCCCTCTCTCCTCCCATTCTCTACCTTGCAATAGGATGCAGTGCCTGTTGTTCTCTTCTGTGTATCCATGTGTTCTCATCTTTTAACCCTCATTTATAAGTGAGAACATGCAATATTCGGTTTTCTATCCTGTATCAGTTTGCTAAGGGTAATGGCCTCCAGCTCCAGCCATGTCCCTGCAAAGAATATGATCTCATCCTTTTTTATGGCTGCATAGTATCCCATGGTGTATATGTATCACATTTTCTTTATCCAGTCTACCATTGATGGGCATTTCGGTTGATTCCATGTCTTTTCTATGTGAATAGTGCTGCAATGAACATATGCTTGCATTTGTCTTTATGATAGAATTATTCCTTTGGGTATATACTCAGTAATGAGATTGCTGAGTTGAATGGCATTTCTGTTTTGAGGTCTTTAAGGAATCACCAAACTGTTTTGCACTATGGTTGAACTAATTTACACTCCCACCAACAGTACATAAGCATTCCTTTTTCTCCGTAACCTCACCAGCATCTGTTTTTTTTTTTTTTTTAACTTTTTAACAATAGCCATTCTGACTGGATGTGAAATGATATCTCATTGTGGTTTTGATTTGCATTTCTCTAATGATCAGTGATGTTGAGCTTTTTTTCATATGCTTTTTGGCTGCATGTATGTCTTCTTATGAAAAGTGTTCATGTCATTTGCCTACTTTTTAATGTAGTTTGCTTTTTCTTATAAATTTGCTTAAGTTTTCTTATGGAAGCTGGGTATTAGACCTTTGTCAGATGCATAGTTTGCAAATATTTTCTCTCATTTGTATAGGTTGTCTGTTTACTCTGTTAATAGTTTCTATTGCTGTCCAGAAGCTTTTTAGTTTAATTAGATCCCATTTGTAATTTTTGCTTTCGTTGTAATTGCTTTTGGCATCTTCAGCATGAAATCTTTGCCCATTCCTATGTTCAGAATGGTATTGCCTAGGTTGTCTTCCAGGGTTTTTATAGTCTTGAGTTTTAAATTTTTGTCTTTAATCTTGAGTTAATTTTTGTATAAGGTGTAAAGAAGGCATCCATTTTCAATCTTGTGCTTATGACTAGCTAGTTATCCCAGCACTATTTATTGAATAGGGAGACCTTTTCCTATTGTTTCCAATCTTCTGCTTATGGCTAGCTAGTTATCCCAGCACCATTTATTGAATAGGGAATCCTTTTCCTATTGCTTATTTTTGTCAGCTTTGTTGAAGATCAGCTAGTTGTAGGTGTACCACTTTATTTCTGGGCTTTTATTCTGTTCCACTGGTCTATTTGTCTGTTTTTGTACTGGTACCATGCTGTTTTGGTTACTGCTGCCCTATAGTATAGTTTAAAGTTGTGTAGCATGATGCCTCCAGCTTTGGAGAAGAGGGAGTTCCTTCTCCTCAATTCTTCTTGCTTAGGATATTCGTGGCTGTTAGGGCTGTTTTTTGGTTCATATGAATTTTAAAGTATTTTCTATAGTTCTGTGAAGAATGCCATTAATAGTTTGATAGGCACAGCACTGAATCTATTAATTGCTTTGGACATTATGGCTATCTTAATGACATTTATTGTTTTTCTTCATGAGCATGGAATGTTTTTTCATTTGTTTCATCTCTGATTTCTTTGAGCAGTGTTTTGTAGTTCTCCTTGCAGATATCTTTTAGCTGTATTCATAGGTATTTTTTTCTTTTTGTGGCAATTGTGAATAGAATCGAGTTTCTGATTTGGCTCTCAGCTTGACTGTTGTTGATGTATAGGAGTGCTAGTGATTTTGGTATACTGATTATTTTTATCCTGAGATTTTGCTGAAGTTATTTATCAGCTTAAAGAGCTTTTGGGCTGAGACTATGAAGTTTTCTAGATATAAGATTATGTTGTCTGCAAAAAGGATAGTTTGACTTCTTCTCTTTCTGTATAGATACCTTTATTTCTTTCTGTTGCCTGATTGCCCTGGCCAGGATTTCCAGTACTATGAATAGGAGTGGTGAGAGAGGGCACACACGTCTTATGCCAGATTTCAAGGGAAATGTTTCCAAATTTGCCTATTCAATATGATGTTGGCTGTGGTTTTCATAGATGGCTCTTATTATTTTGAGGTATGTTCCTTCCATACTTAGATTATTGAGAGTTTATAAACATGATGGTGTGTTGAATTTTATCAAAAGCCTTTTCTGCATCTATTGAGATAATCATGTGGTTTTTGTCTTTTGTTAAGTTTATCACACTTATTGTTTTGTGTAAGTTGAACCAACCTTGAATTACAGGGATAAAGCCTACTTGATTGTGGTGAATAAGCTTTTTGATGTGTTGCTGTATTTGGTTTGCCAGTATTTTGCGAGGATTTTTACACTGATGTTCATCAAGGATATTGGCCTGAAGGTTTTTTTTTTTGTCATGTCTCTGCCAGGTTTAGGTATGATACTGGCTTCATAGAATGAGTAAGGGAGGAGTCCTTTCTCCTCATTTTTTAAACTTTTTGTTGAATCGCTTCAGTAGGAATGGTACCAGCTCTTCTTTGTACATTTGGTAGAATTTGGCTGTGGATCCTTCTGGCTTTTTATTTTTGATTGGTAGGCTATTTAATAATGATTCAATTTCAGAGATTGTTATTGGTCTGTTCAGGGACTCAATTTCTTCCTTCCTCCCAATTTCTTGGGATGGAGTATGTGTCCAATAATATATCCATTTTTCTAGCTTTTCTAATTTTTGTGCATAGGAGTATTTATAATGTTCTCTGATAGTTATTTGTGTTTCTGTGAAGTCCCCCAGTGGTAATATCTCCTTTGTTGTTTCTATTTGTGTTTGTTTGGATCTTTTCTCTTTTCTTGTTAGTCTAGCCAGTGGTCTATTTTATTAATTTTTTCAAGAAACCAATTCCTTGATTCACTGTTTTTTTTGTTGTTGTTGTTTCTAATGTTTTTTTGTGTCTCAGTCTCCTTCAGTTCAGCTCTGATTTTGGTTATTTCCTGTCTTCTGCTAGCTTTGAGGTTAGTTTGCTCTTGGTTCTTTAGTTGTGATGTTAGATTCTTAACTTGAGACCTTTCTAACTTTTTGATGTATTTAGTGCTATTAATTTCCCTCTTAACACTACCTTAGCTGTATACCAGAGATTCTGGTATGTTGTATCTTTATTCTCATTAATTTCACAGAACTTCTTGATTTCTGCCTTACTTTCATTATTTACGCAAAACTCGTTCAGGAGCAGATTACTCAATTTCCATGTAATTGTATAGTTTTGAGCAAATTTCTGATTTTCTGATTTCTAATTGCTTGTGCTGTGGTTTGAGAGAGTGGTTGTTATGATTTCAATTCTTTTGCATTTGCTGAGGAGGGTTTTGTGTTTGATTATGTGGTCGATTTTAGATTATGTGCCATAAAGTGATGAGAAGAATGTATATTCTGTTGCTTTTGGGTGGAGAGTTCTGTACATATCTACCAGGTTCATTTGATCCAGTGCTGAGTACATGTCCTAAATATCTTTGTCAATTTTCTGCCTCAGCAATCTGTCTAATACTGTCAGTGGGGTGTTGAAGTCTCACACTACTATTGTGTGAGTCTAAGTCTCTCTGAAGGCCTCTAAGAAGTTGCTTTATGAATCTGGGTTCTCCTGTATTGGATACATATATATATATTTAGGATAGTTAGGTCTTCTTGTTGAATTGAACCTTTTACCATTATGTAATGATCTTCTTTGTCTTTTTTGATCCTTGTTGGTTTAAAGTCGGTTTTGCCTGAAATTAGGATTCCAATGCCTACTTTTTTCTGTTTTCCATTTGCTTGATAGATTTTTCTCCACCTCTTTATTTTGAGCCCATGGGTGTCACTGCAGACACTGAAGACAGCATACCAATGGGTCTTGATTCTTTATTCCACTTGCCACTCTGTGTCTTCTAATTGGGGTATTTATACCATTTACATTGAAGGTTAGTATTGATATATGTGGGTTTGATTTTATCATCATGATATTACCTGGTTATTATGCAGATTTGTTTGTGTGTTTGCTTAAGAGTGTCACTGGTCTGTGTATTTAAGTGTGTTTTTGTAGTGCCTAGTAACTGTCTGTCCTTAGTGCTTCCTTCAGGAGCTCTTTTAAGGCAGATCTGGTGGTACTGAATTCCTTCAGCATTTGCTTGTCTGAAAAGGATCTTATTTCTCTTTTGCTTATGAAGCTTAGTTTGTTCAGATATGAAATATTGGGTTGGAATTTATTTTCTTTAAGAATGTTTAATATTGGCCCCCAATGTCTTCTGGTTTGTAGCATTTCTGCCGAGAGGTCCACTGTTAGTCTGATGGGCTTCCCTTTGTAGATGACCTGATATTTCTCTCTAGCTGGCTTTAACATTTTTCCTTTCATTTCAACCTCAGAGAATCTAATGATTATGTGTCTTGGAGATGATTTCCTTGTGAAGTAGAATCTTACTGGTATTCTCTGCATTTCCTGAACTTGAATGTTAACCTCTCTAGCTATGTTGGGGATGTTCTCATGGATGATATCCTGAAATATGTGTTTTCCGAGTAGCTTACACTCTCCCCATCTCTTTCAGGGGCATCAATGAGTCATAGATTTGGCATATTTACATTATCCCATATTTCTTGGAAGTTCGTTTCTCTTAATTATTTTTTCTCTATTTTTGTCTGACTGTCTTATTTCAGAAAGCCAGTCTTCAAGCTCTGAGATTCTTTGCTTTGCTTCGTCTATTCTGCTGTTAATACTTGTGATTGCATTACAGAATTCTTGTAGTGTGTTTTTCAGCTCTATCAGGTTGGTGACATTCTTTTCTATACTAGTTATTTTTCTGTCAGCTCCTGTTTTGTTTTATAGTGGTTCTTAGCTTCCTTGGATTAAGTTTCAAAGTACTCCTGCATCTCAATGATCTTTATTTCTATCGATAACCTGAATTCTATTTCTGTTATTTCAGCCATCTCAGCCTGGTTCAGTACCCTTGTTGGTGAGGTAGTGCGGTCATTTGAAGGAAAGAAGGCACTCTGGGTTTCTGAGTTGTCAGAGTTCTTGCATTTGTTCTTTCTCATCTTTGTGGGCTTATCTTCCTTTAATCTTTGAAGTTGCTGACATTTGGATGGTTTCTTTTTTCTTTTATCCTATTCGATGACCTTGAGGGTTCGGTTGTGGTCTAAGTTGGGTTCAGCCAACTGGCATTATTTCTAGAAGATTTTAGGGGGCAAAGAATTAGCTCCCAACTCCTGAACTGCATGCTCTAACTCTGGGGGACTTGTACTGGATCCTGACTTTGTTCTCTGGCTCCTCAAGGTTGGAAATCCACTGCACTGGAAGAGCCGAGGTGCTCCCAGACTGCTGGTCACTACATTCTGTTGGGTGGTGTCAGCCAAAGTGGCAGCAGCCATCCTGCGGTAGCAGCAGGATCCATTCTCATTTGCAGTGGCAGCAGCACGGTGGGGTACATACTCCTTGGCTGTGCCCAGGCCTCCCTCCATGCAGGCATTCACCACAGTGGTGAAGGCAGCATGGCTCATGGTGATAGTGGAGGGGGGTGCTGCTGGCAACTGTGCCTGTTGTGGCACTGGTGATGGTGTTAGCACGTGGGTGGAGTGCTTGTAGGTGCAAGACTGTGTGTTTTCTGTGTGCCACAAGTAGGGGTAGTCACTCAGGGTTGGGGAGGGTCCGCTGATCTCTGTGCATAGTTTCACTCTCTTGGTAGTGTTGGCACCAGGGGTAGGCAATGGTGGGGGCTGGTTGGCTCTGTGCCTGCCAAGGCTCTACTACAGTGACAGTCCAGGAGGGAGAGGGGAGTGCACTCCCACCCCATCAGTGACAGGGCAGGGTGCACACATACACGTGTGGGGCAAGGAAGGCAAAACCTGCCCAGGTACATATGTGCCAGCAAAGCCATATCAGGGGTTGCTGTGGGCCCAGGGTAAGCTGCAGCATGGGGAGGGAGCAGGCAGGATGGTGCATGGCAGTGAGGGCCGGGCACCATCAGCCAGTGCAGGATCTATGATGCAGCCCCCTGGGCACCCTCTAGCTGCCCTGCAAGCAGGTGTGGCTAGGTTTGGCCCTGGGAGAGGCCATCAATCCAATGGGTGCTTAGGTCTTATTGACAGTCTTACGGGCAAGACGTTGCTGCAGAGTTCAGGTCCGAGACAATTCCCCCAGAGCTAAAGTCTCCTATGGGAGCAAGTTGCGCCTAGGAAGATGGGCTTCCCTGGCTGTGTTCTGCTACAGATGCTCCCACACCAAACCCTGTAGGCCCTGCCTCCACTGGCATGATGCTCCTATCACTTCTCTAAGCAGCTCTGCCTGCCAACTCAAGTGTCTGTGGTGTTTGAGGGGTCTCCTCCCGCTGGGATTCCAGAGGCCTATGGCAAGAGTGAGTTTCTCCTCACTGGTTCCACTCACCCATTCCCTCGAGGTTCTTGGGGGCCAGGAATGAGTCCTGGTGCATGATAGCCCAATGCACGGTTCCCAGCTTCCTCCCACTTCAATCCAGCTTCTGTGTCTTCCCTCCGTCCACTCTTGGTGCCTTCCCTCCGAAGATCTGTTGGGAGTGCACCAGTCATCTTGGTCCCTTGGTGGCAGCTGGTTCACCTGGCTATGAAAGCCTCTTTAAGACTGGGAAAAAAAAAGAAAAAAAAAGAGAGAAAGCATTTCCCTGAGGACTCTCTCTTCTCTATGTTAACTTTTTACAGGCTTCAGCTTGTCTTCACATACAGCCTCTAAATGTACTATCCTAGAAGTAGCAAATAATGTTACTATTCTAGATTTCAGGTGGAGAAAATGAGACCATAGGGTTTCATGAGCTACAAAAGGTTGCAAAACATGTAAGAGGCAGCATTGGTATCAGAGCCAGTGTTGCTGACACTTTGCCTTCCAGGTTATTATGAAGGTATATTTCTAAATTCTTAGGTAAATAATGAAAGTGCTCTTATTACCCATGGTGACAGATGCCATGATCGGGGAGCAAAACTAATCCACAATTTGCAAAAGGATTCAGCTGGGAAGATAGAAAGAACATTTTTTTCATGGAATGCGAAGCTGCTCTGAGTCCTTCCAATGACAATTATTTTGTGATAAATAAATATCAGTAATTGTTTGCTTACTAAAATTAATACCCAGGCCATGAATTTTTAGTTATTCAGTCTCCAAGAACTTAGTAAGCTCTGAGTAAATAGTATGCTGCCAATAAATGGTAATTACTAATATTATTTTACTTGAGCTAAAAGAGGGGTGTTAATATAAACAATTAGATCTTTAAAATACTTTGATGATTTTATAACTTATCTAAGTGGAACAGGAATTCCATGAGGGCTTTGAAACTTCTGTATTTAGTAACAATCTTAGATCAGGCAATAGAGGCCTCTATCTTGAGCCCTGTGTCTTAGAGAGCTCTGTCTGAGCCCTCCTCCATCTGCACCACTCTCCAAGGGGTGATTTATGGGTAAGAAGAAGGGACTCACCCAGAGCCTACACCATCCTTCTTTTCTAGATAATGCTGAAATTTCAGACCTTTAAAGACTTGTGTCTGCTTCTAGAATCTGTGAGTATTCTCTCCCTTCATCCAGCCAACTGAGGTTGTTCTGCACCCCTGGTGTGTATGCCCCTAGGCCCAAAGGGGTGATCTACGGCAGCTCTTTCTGTGTGTGTGTGGTATACAGATAGACAAAGCTTCAATGTGTGTGCTGGAGCATCCACAGGGGTTCACATGAACTCCTTCCCAGTGCATGATGAAACTTGGGTTGTGATGAGAAGTGGAGAGAGCTAGGGCCTCATACTGCAGGTTAGGGGCCAGAGTTCTGGGGAATGGCTCTGTCTTCTCTGCCAAATTCTGGTGTGGAACAACAAGGAATCTGGGACTAAATTCAAACTTGGCCTTCCATGTAACTATGAAGGTATATTTTTAAAAATTAAGAGTAGAACATATTTTATTCAAAGGTTAGGTTGTTATAAGCAGTGCTGTGCTTGTAAATGCTTAAAAATAGGCTCTCTGAAGACAAACCAACAAGCAAAAAGACAATTTGTAGTGTCTGCCATTTACCATGGTCTACATATTCCCACCATGGCTGATTTCAAGCTACCAGTACAATATTAATAAATCTGAATTTGGGAAGAGAGGCCTATGGCCTGTAATACCTGGCTCCAGCACACCAGTGTTTATAATTTTAAATATTTAGACATCTGGTATAGGGACCTCAATTTGTATGCTCATCCTGGGTCCCCCAAATATTAGTGATGGGCTCTAGGGCACAGGAAAGTACCAGCATGGGAACAGGCATGGTGGCTCACACCTGTAATCCCAGCACTTTGGGAGGCTGAGGTGGGCGGATCACCTGAGGTTGGGAGTTCGAGACCAGCCTGACCAACATGGAGAAACCCTGTTTCTACTAAAAATACAAAATTAGCCAGGCATGGTGGTGCATGCCTGTAATCCCAGCTATTTGGGAGGCTGAGGCAGGAGAATTGCTTGAACCCGGGAGGCGGAGGTTGCAGTAAGCCGAGATGGTGCCACTGCATTCTAGCCTGGGCAACAAGAGTGAAACTCCATCTTGGAAAAAAAAAAAAAAAAGAAAGAAAAGAAAAGTGCCAGCATGTAGTAGAGTCCCTTAAATACTTCTCATATAAAAGACTCTGTTAGTTGTGTGACTTTGGGCAAGCCATTCATCTGTAAATTAATATGTACTTTACAGAGTTCTTGACTAAATGAGACAGTTCATGTGAAGGCATCTAGCATGGTTCTTGGCATCTTATATACAACCAATAAATGTTGAAAGAGTGAGTACTAGACATTCAATAAATTTTAAGTTCTTTTTTTATTATCATATTTAGGGAAAATTCAAGTTTTTTTTAGTTTAAATTATTCTTAGGTGTTTGTAATTTTCTGCAGTTCTTTCTAGGTCATGACAAATGCCCATTTTTGAAGGAATTTTTTTTCCTGGAGAACCCTTTGTGATAGATATCTCATTTTCATAAAGTTCCCAAAGGAACAGTGCTCACACAGTGTTACTCATTTTAGAAAGTTTGGTAAAATTCCATTTGGCTGCATGTCTGTTATCTGAGCCTAGGGGAAGAAAGTCTGTGTTTTATACTCTGACTTTGTTCTCAGCTGCATTTTGTATCCTGGGATAGTGGAAAGAAAAATGGCTTTGAATTAAACTTGAGATTTAGTCATTCCATATGTTGCCCTCAGTGAAGAATGTCTTGAGTTTTCAAGATGAACACATGAGAAATAAAGACATGTACAAGATTCAGTGGCATTCTCTCTCTCATTTGCTTGGCTAATTGAATAAAGCTTAATGATGAGTGATAATTTATATTTGAAACAGTTGTCACCCGTGAACATATTCCATTGGCTGGTAATTTATACACAGTATAAGCATTGCTCTTTTCTCAGTAATTTCTAATAGCAGATGGTTTAACTCTGGTGAGGACTTTTTCTTTCTCCCAAAGTATTTCAGTGTTGTTACATGCCCTAAATGAGCCATTTTCTCCCTCCTCAGTATTTTTTCAGCAGCTAGACTTCCTTTCTTTTCTTTTTTTTTTAATTTTTTACTTCATAGTGCTACAAATAGCTTTTTTTTAACCTACCAATTACTAAGAAAAAGTCACTTTTGCTGACTCCTGTTTCTATAAGCTCAAATCCCAAGGAAAATTAGCAAAGGTCTTCTCTACAGTTTTCCTTTGTACCAACAAAAAAAAGTCCTTTCTCAAAAAGATCTCCCAAAAGGAGAGTCCTATGATCAGATCACAAATATATTGAAAATGCACCAGAACAGGCTGCTGCGTGAAAACATAGATTTGTCAATATGGACATCAACTTAAAGTCAGAGCCTAGGGAAATAATCAGTAAATTTGGAAGTATATAGTAATTTGCAACTTGGAAGCCCTTACACACTTTCTTACACACTAATCTTATTTTATAGATGATGAACATGAGATAATTCTAAACTAAAATAAAAATGGATAACATCAGAGGATGGTCTAGAAGTTTTCATCTTTATATTAATTGTAATGAGTTAAGTCATGGTATGTAAATAAATAACTGCAAAAGCTTAGTGGCTTAAGACAAAGGAAAGGTATTTCTCAAATACATGACATGCTCGTCATGAGTTTCCAGGGGGATCTACTCCATGAGCTTGGGGATTAAAATTGATGAAGCCTCTTGTATTAGTTCCTTTTGTGTTGCTATAGAGGAATAACCGAGGCTGGGTAATTTATAAAGAAAAGAGGTCTATTTTGGCTCATGGTTCTACAGACTGTACAAGAAGCACAGTACCAGCACCTGCTTTTGGTGAAGACCTCAGCAAGCTTTTACTCATGGCAGAAGGTGAAGGGGGAGTGGGTTTGTCACATGGTGGTAGAGGAAGAAAGGGAAATGTCAGGCTTTTAAAAATAACCAGCTCTCATGTGAACTGATAGATCGAGAACTCATTCATTGCTGCAGAGATGGTACCAACACCCTCGTGGGGGATCTGCTCCCATGACCCAAGGACTTCCCACTAGAGCTCACTTACAACATTTGGGGATCACATTTTAACATGAGATTTGGAGGGGACAAACATCCAACCTATGTCACCTCTACTGCCTGGACCATCACCCGGTGCTGTGGCAGAGAGAAAGCAAGCATGGCCAATCATGCTTGGAATTTAAAGACTGCCACCTGCAAATGCCACATATCATTTCCACTCATTTCATTAGTCTAGCAAGTCAATGGTCATGCATCCCTTCAAGGAGGTAGGGACTGCAATCCTTCTGTGCTCTTGGGAGGAAGAAAACTGGAAGATTTTTGAACAGTCAAAATACTTGCAAATCCTTATTACCCTTACAGTTGTTGACAATTTTCAAATGTGTTAACACATAAACTTAGATAGTAAACATGGAATATACTAAGGCATAGTAAGACCTTAAAAAAGAGGTGGGTGAATCATGAGGTCAGGAGTTCAAGACCAGGCTGGCCAACATGGTGAAACCCCGTCTCTACTAAAAATACAAAAAATTAACTGGGCATAGTGATGAGCGCCTGTATTCCCAGCTACTCAGGAGGCTGAGGCAGGAGAATCACTTGAACTCGGGAGGCAGAAGTTGCAGTGAGCCGAGATCGTGCCACTGCACTCCAGCCTGGGCGACAGAGTGAGACTCCGTCAAAAAAAAAAAAAAGGAAAAAAATAGGATGTTTTGAGAATGCAACTGTGGAAAATGTAGAAAGTTATCTAGAAAATTATCATGTAACTGAGTGGCTGAAAAGTTTCTTCCATCCTAGAGAACATGCGATCACGTGGCTGAGTTAGTAAGACTCAAGCCACTGGAAGATAAATGATATTAAGATATCTAGGGAATGGATTAGTTGAAATATGAAGAAACATTGACAAACAAGAGTTAGGGGAAGAAAACTGATAGCATCCCTCCGGTGCCAGCTCGAGGATTTGCCAGTACAGATGGAAGTATTAGTCTCTACAGCACGTATCCAATAACATTTGAGACCTACAAATCATTTCCCTTGCCAAAACCATTTTTGCAACAAAATCTGATTTTCATGGTTTTTTTTTTTTGTTTCTTAGAAGAAAAGAATGGACTGCTCAGGATAGTATAGATATTTGACATTGGAAAATTAGGGTTTTTACTATAATTCAACAAATGGCCTTTTGTTCATATGCTTCAGTTTGGACATTGCGAGGCAGTCTCAGTAAGTGTTATCAGCCCTGGGAGACTGATATTTTCTCGACCTCCATGGCTAATATTTGACTGTGGTAAATTCATCCGGGAAATGCTACTGGTTAAGACCTTCTACTCACCAGCCAAGTGACCTTTTCTTGGCAAAATCTGACCTCTCTCACCATCTATCACCCTGCAACAGATAGTTCCTACTTGCTTCTCCATCAGTAATGTTATCCTCAAAGTGTAACATGAGGAGTGCTAGTTCTCTTCTTTTTTTTTTTTTTAATATACTTTAAGTTTTAGGGTACATGTGCACAACGTGCAGGTTTGTTACATATGTATACATGTGCCATGTTGGTGTGCTGCACCCATTAACTCATCATTTAGCATTAGGTATATCTCCTAATGCTATCCCTCCCCGCTCCCCCCACCCCTCAACAGGCCCCAGTGTGTGATGTTCCCCTTCCTGTGTCCATGTGTTCTCTCTGCCTAAACAAAGTACACCTATGGTAGCCAGGCACAGAATCTCCTGGTTAAAATTTAGCCTCTTCCTGAGATCTTTACAGATGCAAATATCCTTTGAGTGAAGGATTCTTTTGTCCCAATGTTTATCGAATATTTCTTGCAGGGCAGACATGTCAGTCAATGTTTTACGCTGTACTTTATTTAATATTCACAAAACCCAATGATACTATCATTTCTACTTTACGGATGATGAAACTAAAG
The DNA here is from genome assembly GCF_000001405.40 of Homo sapiens. Taxonomy (NCBI): domain Eukaryota; kingdom Metazoa; phylum Chordata; class Mammalia; order Primates; family Hominidae; genus Homo; species Homo sapiens. Next base: position 27,025,544 of record NC_000011.10, on the reverse strand, counting down.
CTTAGAGAAGTTAGGTAACTCGCCCAAGTTTACTCAGCTAATAATTAAAGAGGCTGGAATTCAAATGAACTTTGATTTTAAAGCCTGAGCTCTTCATTATTATGTAACAGTGAAGAGACTAAATTGACTGTAATATTCATTTACTCACTTATTCAATGAGCATGTCTAGTCTACTATAAATTCCTCAAGATGTTTCTTAAGGAGCTTTTATTCTGTTAAGGAATACAGACAATGAGTAAATTAATTGATAAGTTAATTTTAGTGGTATAATAGGATGGAGAGAAATTTGATAAAAATATATTAGTTATGTTGACCAGAGAAAGCTTTTTTCAAAATGAAGAAAATGCTCAAGCTGAGACTTGAATGATGTGGAAGTCAGCCTTTGGAAGAAGGTAAAAACATTCCAGGTAGAGAGAACAGTAGGGCTAGAGAGAGAATAAAATCATTCCATGCAGGGAAAAGGGCAATGGAAAAATGTTAGGGTCAAGGATCAGCTTGGTGCATCTGAGGAACAGGCAGGCCACTGTGAATGCACATAGTGATAAAGGGGCGAATGGGAGGAGAGGAAGTTGGAGAGATGGGCAGTTATCAAATCACGCAGGGGATAGTAGCACATGAAAAGAGGGGAACAACATCTACTCTTGGATTCGAGTAAAATGTATAAGAGGGAAAGTTGAGGAGTCTCAAAAGACAGTGACTTGCAGTGGCACATGCCTGTAATCCTGACACTTTGGGAAGCCGAGGCAAGAGGATTGCTTCAGGCCAGCAGTTCAAGACCAGCCTGGGCAAAAGAATGAGACCCTGTCTCTAAAAAAAAAAAAAAACAAGAAACAAACAAAAAAGAAGACAGAAAGTTTTTTTTTTTTCTTTATACTTCTTTCCAAGGGCTATCCCTGTCCTCAGTTAATTTTAACTTTTACCCTCCAGAATACCCAGTGATGTATAATACAGGTTTGGTTTTAGATATTCAAACCCTTGTATGCCTTCAAGCACTTGTTGAACACAAAGCAGGGAATTTTCTGTAGTGTTGACTAAAGTTATGTCAAGCATGTATTGTAACAAATAGCTTTATTAATGAATAATGATGTAAAGTAGAGTTCAGCCAATTCTAGCACCTCCAAAATTTAGTGTTTAGAATGTCTACATTCACAAAGATGTGTAACAGGCTGGGCATGGTGGCTCATGCCTATTATCCCAGCACTTTGGGAGGCTGAGGTGGGCAGATCACTTGAGGCCAGGAATTCAAGACCAGCCTGGACGACATGGTGAAACCCTGTCTCTACTAAAAATACAAAAAAAATTTTAGCCAGGCATGGTGGTGCATGTCTGTAATCCCAGTTACTCGGGAGGCTGAGGCAGGAGAATTGCTTGAACCTGAGAGGCAGAGGTTGCAGTGCAGTGAGCCGAGATCTTGCCACTGCACTCCAGCCTGGGTAACAGAGCAAGACTCTGAAAGAAAAAAAAGAAGATAAGAAAAGGAAAAAAAGAAAAACATGTGTAACAAACTGATGGTGGCTGAGGTTAACTCAAAATTTTGGAAATGGGACAGAATAAATTTTACCTAGAATTTGATGACATAAACTGATGCCTTCTTATGATTATCAAATGGTGCCCAAATCAACACTGTAACATTGGTCTGAATCCTACAGATTCATCTTGAAATTAACTAGTGTCTTCTGAGTCTCAAAGCAAAGGTTCAAGTGATCCAGAAGGTGAAACATGTCTCTCATTCTTTGAGGCAATTCTAGGAAACCTAGTGAGACCCAAGGGAACTTTCCTTGCTATCTTCTTCTATCTCCTATATGAATCTTTTCTGCATGTAAACAATCAAGTTACTTCTATAAAGTAACAGATAATTCTGTTGGCTGATTTGTTGTTTAGCAAGTGAAGCGTTCTCCAGGCTTTTTTCTACTTGTGAGGTATTTGTTAAATACCTCAGTCAAATACTTCAACACACAACTGGGCAAATGGATTTAATATTTGACAATATGCTGTAGAAAATGAATTCAGAATGTGACTGGAAGAAAATATATGCTACACTGAAATCTCTTCAACAACACAGTCCAATGCATGCAATTCTGTGGGCAAACTTCTATATATTTGGGAGAGTATATTAATGTCTTTTGCTTACTTGAAGCTGTATTCTAAATCTCACATTTCTTCCATATCCAGATGTATTTACAATCCTTTTTATTTGTTCCTAGTTGTAAAGGCTTCTATAACATTCTTTTTTTTTTTTTTTTTTTCATGATCATTTTTCAATTAGCTGCCCAGGCTCTGATTGCATTGTTGGCACAGAGATGGCAACTCCTGACTCTACTCACTGTGTGATTTGAACAGTGGGAGAAGAGAGTTAGCACACTCTATATAAAGCGTTTTAAAAACAATAATTTGTGGGTTCATTATTTGGCTAGCCAAATCTCAATTCCTTAAAATACTATTTATTTTTTCCTACTTGAAAGTATGTCATGTTGAATATCAAAAGCCACTAAAAAATGCTTCATCCAGACATGTGTACTTGATTTGCAAATGTGGAAGTGATTTTTAAATTTTGAGATGCTTTTAGATAGATAAGCTGAAGATATGAAAACATCTCAATGGAAAAGTTGTTTTGCTCTCCCAATAAATTACTTAAAAGCCTGGCCCATTAATGGCTTTAAAAAATGATAAATACAGATCTCTGAGACTTAACACCTTCTGAAATACAAATGGAAATCTGGAACTCATTTGTTTTATAGTACATTAACATTGCTTGGTTACTTCCATGAGCTCAGTCACAGATACATGCAGCATGAGGTTTTCTTTTTATTTCATCTCTCTTTAATTTGTAAGATGATTCTTGTTAGCTGCCTTATCAGTAAATGATGTTGATAATCTTTTAAATTTATAACTTGCTGCATTTGATATTATTAAGTTAAATAACAGTACTGATAAATGCTAGGTACACATGAATTGTGACACCTCGTGAATATAGCAATTTATTTATTTATCTCAATAAGGTTGGAAATAAGAGAAATTATTAAATGGAGATGATGGCTACATAATTCCAGATAATGAAGATCTTTGTTTTATACTTAAAGAAGTATTTCTATTTCTATCACTTTCCTTTGTTACAAAGTATTACATGATTATAAAATTTTAAACAATACAGAAGTATATAAAGTACACAATTAGTTTTCTCCTCAATCCTCTGTCCCCAAACTAACTTATCAGGGATAATTACAGTAACAATTTGGGGACTATCTTTTCAGATTTTTAATGTGTATATAGACTTACATAAAAGTATGTCTACATACACATACACACACATTTGTGCAAGAGCCATGTATAAATTTGTGTGTGTAATAAGAAATGAGATCATGATATGTACAGTTTTATGCCTGTTATTTTTCTTTTATTGTGGAAACCTTTTCATGTGTGCACATAGGAATACCTCACCGTTTTAAACTGCTGATATTAAAACAACGAGATTCTATTTTTTACTTGTCAGTTTGGTAAAATTTTAAAACACTGTTAAGGCCAGACTTAGATGGGCATTGTGAAAAAGTTGCTCTTATATCCAGTAGGTGGGGATGTAAATAGTGTTGATATAAAAAGTTATAATATTTTTTCCAAGGAATTTAGACAGTTTATTAGTCAGTATTCTTCAAAGAAACAGAGCCAATAAGGTATACAGATACATAAAATTTTGGCCCAGAAGTTGCTTTTCTAGTTTTCTGGTTTATAGAAATAATTTTTTATATGCATAATCGTGTATGCAAAATGATGTTTATTACAGCACTCTATGAGTTAAAAAAACTTGAAAAGGTAAGCAACCTAATGCCTACCTATATGGTGAATATATATATATGGAGATTTATTATGGAAATTGGCTCACGCAATCATGGAGGTTGAGACGTCTATAATATGCAATCTGCAACCTGGAGAAGCAGGAAAGCTAGTGGTATAATTCAGTCCAACTTTGAAGGTCTAAGAACCAGGGAAGTCAATGACATCCTCCCAGTCTGAGGCTGAAGATCTGAGAACTGGGGTGGCAGGGAGTGAGGGGTGGTGTTGGTGTAAGCTGAGTCTGAAGGCCCAAGAACCAGGAACTCTGATGTCCAAGAACAGCAGAAGAAGGATGCCCCAACTCAAGTAAGGAGAGAGAGACAGAGGGGGAGAGAAAGAGAGAATCTGCCTTTCTTCTGCCCTTTTGTTCTATTTGAACCCACGATGGACTAGATGATGTCCACCCTCATTCCTGAAGGTGGATCTTCTTTATTCAGTCTACTGGTTCAAAAATGCTAATTTCTTCTAGAAATACTCTTGGAGACACACCCAGAAATAATGTTTTGCCAGCCTTCTGAACATCCCTTAGCCTACGTAAGTTGACACATAAAATTAGCCATCTGTGAGGATTTCTGGTTTATAGGAATAATTTTTCATATGCATAATCGTATATGCAAAATGATGTTTATTACAGCACTCTATGAGTTAAAAAACTTGAAAAAGTAAACAACCTAATGCCTATCAATATGGTGAAATGGCTAAACTAACATATCTATCTACATATTTCTCACAAGTACACGAGTTGGCTGAGCTCCAGCTCTTCTTAAGTGAGCTTGGCTTCAGTGTTTGAGTTAGATTTATGTCTGCTCCACATGCCTCCCACTCTCCTTGAACCAGTGATGACCTGAAGCATGTTCTTTTCATGGCAAAAGGCAGGAGTGCTAGAGGGCCAGCCAATCCACATAGTGCTTTTTAAGTCCTTGCTTATATGGGATCTGCCAATATCCTATAGGTCAAAACAAGACATATGACCAAGTCCAACATAAATGGGCAGGGAAGTAAGTTCCTCTTTTTGGAGGAGGTCAAGAGGAAAGGAATGACTACTTGCAAATAATCTAATGACACCTAAATACCAACATCTAGTAATCTAAAACATCTTCAATTTCACAGGTTTCCAGTAAATTTCAGGTACAAAGAAGTCCAATCCAGTGTAGTTGAATTGAAAGCTTTGATGTCATATTCAACTTACTGCTCACGTCTCAGCCTTCTGCATCTAACTTGGGGTGGCCCCAGTGCTGGGGCTCCTGGAAAGATCTGCTTTTTCTTTTCATTTACTTGATCTTTCTAGAATTGAAGAAGATAGAATAGTACAAACACCTTTAATTCAGCAGGTCATGGCACTTGTAGATGTCTCTTGGCAGTCTCTGAATCTATGCCTAAGACTGACTCCTTATGCCCTTGTACAGCAAACATGTACATACTGGCTCTATTGTGAGAGGAAAGAGGGTCCTTCAAGGTTTTCTTACTGCCTGGTTTTCTACTGTGAGATTCTTCTTGGCTCAACTTTCTTGGACCCTTTCTTCTTGTGCTCCTGGAAGTCCACCCCGTGGACTCTTTATGCTCTTGATATCACACTGGGTGCCCAGCCCTTTTGGATGTGCTATCAGCAAGATGTTTCCTGTTTAAATATCTATTGCAATGGCCACTTAACTTTGAACATTTTGCACACCTTTGCTAAGCTTCACCGCTGGTGCTCCCACTTCCACATTGCCATATCTTTCCAAATCCTTTGCCCCCTTCTTAAATAGGCATAAAAGGCAGATTCGCATGCATGCTACCTAAACACAGGTCTAACCGGTGAATAAGATGACAATTCCACACAGGTGCAGGCACTCTCAGGCTCTTCAAGTGGTTCTCTGAGTGCCCTTCTCACTTGGTTTGGGATGAAGATAGGTGACATCTTTCTCTCTTCCACAGGAAGCAAGGGTTGAGAAGGAGTACAACACTTAACTCTAGGCCAATGACTCCCTCCTTCCACACACCTTTGTGTCTCTAACTTTCTCTTTATTTAGACTGGAAATTGTAGAGGGAGAGAGAGGAAGATGATTTAAGAGCTGAGACATGATCAGAATTGGAAGAGTCAGTTCCACGGCTTTGAAATAAGCTTTGGGGAGACTCTGGCCCATCTTTATTTTCTCCTGTTTTTAAAATGTGGGGGTATTTAATACCTCTTTGCCATCAGCATTGGGTCCCAACAGTCAATTCTAAGGAAAAGTCTTATTTCAGTTTCATATTACTTAGTGCAGAGAAGTCTGGGGTTTCCAGTCAAGAGAAGCCATGCCACTGGAGAAATTCTTATCTCTGCATGATGTAATTTGAGTGCTCTGGAAAGCTCCCATCCTGGATTAAAAATGCACACTCTTAAAATTCCAAAACAGATGGGAGTGTAGGGATAAGCAATGTTTCTACAAGGACTAAATTAAGAAAACATCTTAATCTCTTCTATTATTAGTCTAGCTGTCTGGCACTGTGTACCCTGGTGGGTCAGAACTGAGTGGGAAATTGGAACCATCCTGAGATGCAAGAATGTCACTTATACTCACCATTTATAGTACCAGCTGTAGCCTTCCTGGTAGAAATGCTCTAACCAAAAAAAGGAAACATCATTCTTTTTTGACACATTGTAATTAACATTATTGACTGAGCTAGAGTTCTTGCTCCTTATCATGATGGGGAAGAGTGAGGGTGCTGGAGTTGGAGATATCTGGACTGTAATCTTGATTCTGCTACTTTCTAGCTGAGTGACCTTAGGCAGTTTAAGCTCTCTAAGTTCAATATCTTTATCCTAAAACTGAGAATCATAACTTCCTCATAACATCATTGTGGTTAAATGATATAATGTATATAAAGGTCTTAGCACACAGTAAGTACTTACAAAGGGTTACTATTATTATTTTTAAAAACTGAAAGAGATAACTGATTAGGTCAGCATGGCATATGCTTGGGTAAGGAATATTTGCCAGTCCCTTAAAAACTTAATCGTACTATATGCAGAAACTTTTGATTTTGTTTGAATAATCCTGTGTTTTTACACATCATAGTTTTGAAGAATGTGGCTATCATATTGATTATTCCTGAATATTTTGGACTACTGTGACTATCTGGCCAAAATGAAATGTGACCCAGGAAAGGTGATATTGGACAGCAACAAAAATACACTGATTTTCAATGTTATGATTGTTTTTATGTTTCATTATTTCACTGTATTCATTCCAAAGCACACATATACTCACTACATCAATACATCCCCTTCTGTCCTTCATAGTTACTAATTGTAGGATGACCAGTTCTTTTTATAATGCAGTTGTTTAGTGGACATCCATGGATTTCAGCACAATGAGGAAGTATCTTACACAACTTTGCTTGAGATATGTTTTTTTATAGGCTAGCAAAATCAGTACATTAGTCCAGACAGCACATGTACCCCAGCAACACGGAACTTGTTACCCATGGCTTTCCAATATCATGTGATATTTCCATATCGTTTTTTACCTTTGCCATTTATCTTCATAAGAAGGCTACTGTGACATTTGGAAAGAGCTTGATATTTGGAGCCTGTGGTGGAAGTATCAGCTGTCCACTCAAATTCACTCTTCCCGCATTTCTGTGAGCCACCCTCCCAGGTAAGTGCACTGGTGTATGTGACTAAGTTCACTCTAATAACATGAGAGCAGCCGGGTGCAGTGGCTCATGCCTATAATTCCAGCACTTGGGGAGGCTGAGGCAGGAGGATCACTTGAGGTGGGAGGATCACTTGAGCCCAGGAGTTTGGGACCAGCCTGAGCAACATAGTGAGACCCACAATCTCTGCAAAAAAATGAAAAAATTAGCCGAGCATAGTGGCACATGCCTGTGGTCCCCAGCTAATTGGGGGCTGAGGTAGGAGGACCCAGAAGGTCACGGCTTCAGTGAGCCATGATTGTGTCCCTGCACTCTAGTCTGGGTGACAGAGCAAGAACCTATCTCAAAAAAGAAAAGAAAAGTAAAAAGAGAGTAGGAATAATGAGTATCATTCCAAACCGGCCTGTAGAAGTCACCACAGTGTACTCTTTCATACTCTTTCCTACAAACAGTGATGAGAATCTGGACAGCTATAGAGCCATAAAATAGGAGTTTGGGTCTTTACATGATCACATAGAGGAGAGCCACTCCGCTGACTCAGATAATGCTCTTTGGACCTTCAGATGAATAAGAAATAAATATCTATTTTGTTAAGCTGCAGAATGTTTGGGGCTTATTTGTTACTGTAACTCAGCTTAATGATAGTATATAATCAGACAGATTTAGGTCCAAATAGGATGTTTAATTCTTCTTAGATACTTAGTGCTGAGTGATTCTCTTATCTTCTCTGAGCCCGCTGTTTTACGTGAAATATAGATGTGATAATAGCTACATGTTCTGTGTTCTTTTATATGGTGGCCAGTCAGGTGTGTCCTGAGGGAAGCCACAGGAAAATAAAGTTTGTAATACTCACAGGTCCTTGAAACAGGAAGTATGGAATGCCACAGAGAGCCACATGGGTCAGGAGGCAGGAAGGGCAGGCACAGGGTGGAGGCCAGGGCAATGGCCTTGATTGGGGTTTCCATGGGAAAGGCTAGGCAGGGCAGGGTATATAGTTTAGGATGGGCTAATTTGAAGAAGTTCAGCAGGCTTTGAACTATAGGGATGGTCCCTAGTTGCCTGGTCCCTGGATCTGGGATGATGAAGGCAGGGGAATATTGCCTCCTGGGGTGTATAGCCCAGATAGAGGATGGGTCAGGTAGAGGCTCTGTATTGATTAGTTTGCACATAAAAGGCATGCTCCTGGCTGAGCCCTTTGCTATCTAAGAATTGGCTAGCCCAGGAGAGGCAAACTCTCCCCAGTCAAAAAACTTTTTAAGATGTCAAAACATTATAATATACAGAAAATTAAAAAGTGTATATAAACAGTACACTGCATCACAAATTACCATTGGGATTTATGTTAACTTAGGTGCTTCCTATACCTTATCTTAAATCCCAAGTTTTTGACATTTTTCTTTTTGTTTTTGACTCAGGAGTAGAGGATTGGATGAATCATTGACTCTAGTCATTACATACTCTCATCATTGGCTCATGAATAGTCTTGTTTTGTTGTCTATATGTTTATAGTTATTTATTTTCAACAATACAGAAACATTTGAAGACCCATCACCCAATGTAAGAAGTAGAATATTGCTTGAAAATCTCCTCTGCTCACCCTATTACAGGGTAGGTCACAGTTATCTCGCATCGTCACAGACTATGTCTTAAGTCTTTTAAACAATCTGGTTTCCATGGAGCTTTGTAGGAGGCCAGCTCCTTTTTTCAGAGATCAGCCCACAGTGGATTGGTCTTGAAAAGTTTGTCTTTACCTCTCAATCCCATTCATCTACCTTTTCTCCAACACTTGGTATTGTTAAACATTGTCATACCACTGTGGCCAATTAAAGAAGTCTAAAATAGTGTCATGTTATAATTTGTATTTTCCAGATATCTGTTGAAACTGAATATTTCCTTGTATGTGTATTAACCATATGTATTTTCTTTACCTTGAGGTGCTTGTTCATGTCTTTTAATAATTTTTATTGTGTTTTTGTCCTTATGATTTCCAAGAGTTTTTTTTACATATTCTTGTTACTAATTTTTTATTAGTTATACATGTTGAAAATATCTTCTTCCAGTTCGTAACATGTATTTTCACTTTCTTTAATGTGCCTTCTGATTAGCAAGTGGTCTTAAATTTAATATAGATTCACCAAATTTTTCTCTTCGTTGGTACATTTTGCACCTTAAGAAATTCTTTTCTACCTTAAGATCAGAAAGAAATTCACCTATATTTTCCATTAACACTTTTTCTTTTGACATTTAGGTCTTTAATTAATCTAGAATTTATTTTTGTAGGGCAAGAAGAAATCCAATTTTTTTATATAGATAACTAACTTGTGAGGACCTTTTTATTTCATCATTCATGATTTCTGAGATTTGAATTTAGCATTTTACCCAGATTAAAATCATGCATGGTATAGCATGAGCCACATCACTTCTTTCCTTAGACAGACTCTTCATATCATGACTGCTTTGCTCTGAATATTTGTGTGTCCCCAGAATTAACGTTTAAATCTAATCACCAATGTAATGGTTTTAGGAGGTAGGGTCTTTGAGGGGCTATTAGGTCATGAGGTTGGAGCCCTCATGAATGAGATTAGTGTCCTAATAAAAAGATCCCAGAGACCTCCCCTGTCCCTTCTGCCACATGAGGACACAGCAAGAAGATAGCATCTATGAACCAGGAAGCAGGCCCTCACCAGACACTGCATCTGTTGGTGCCTTGATTTTGGACATCCTAGCCTCTAGAACTGTGAGAGATAAATTTCTCTTGCTTGTAAGAAACCTACTTTATGATATTCTGTTAGAACAGCCCGAACAAACTAAGATAATTGCTTTGAGGTGAGAAAGGTACTCTCATTACTAATGCTATTTTATTTACTTAACTATTTATGCCTCAATGCCTCTGAACAGGATGAATTACATCTGCACTTTGTTTCTTACATTCTTCTTAGTGTCAAAACTCTTTATTTTGTTTTGCTTTAAGTTACCTCTCTTAAAAAAATTCTCTTAGTGTGATTTTCTTGGACTGGGTCATATACCATTGCCCCTAAAGCCTCCCTTCATAATCATAATCAGTGACTGAAGGTGAAACTTGTGTGCCTTGAGTGTCTCATCTCCTTCAGTAGACATTTTATCAAGGACATGCAAGGATCACTTTGAAGAAATTGATAGGTTTGAGTCTTCTGCAAGGTTGGGGAAGGACATACCAGGTCAAGAGTAAGAAGGCTGCTGAGATGGTATTGTCTGGGTGTCATATGTATACCCAGTAGAAGTGTGAGGTGGTGTTCAGTGAGTTCTGTGGCCTCACTGATGAAACCCAGATTTGCTATGGCTAGCAGTAACTAGTGGTTTCCAGTGATGTTTCTTCACAGGGATAGGTTTATTCTTAGGAACAAGTATAAATACTACTTGACAAAGTTAGCATATGGTCTTGCTTTGGTAAACTTTTGAGTCATTAATACTGACTATTTTTTAAAAATCAAAGTTTATTTGTATCCTTTTGAAAATGCATCTTATTGAACAGAGGAAGAGTTTCCCCAAAAGACAACTGCAATCTTTCATTTTTTATTCAACAGACTTTTGCACAACGCCAAATAGAATTGATCTAATGCTGGATAGAGGAGGGATTATAGAAACCAAGTAGCTTCAGAAGGAAAAAACCCAATTCGTACTGTTACCTGCAATTCTTATTCTGCATGCATTCCTCCATCTGAATCTGCAAACCAATTATGCTATTAATTCAGGGTCTGTGGTTAAACCAGAGGCTTGAGCTAACACTGCAGCATGTTACATCCACTTCTTGATGACACACCACCTACAAAGATAGGCAGTTGCTTTTGACTATTTCACTTGCAGATACTTGCCAGAGCTCCTAGTAACAGAGTGTGATACATAATTTGCCTAAGAAGTGTTTAAATAAGGAGTTGCTGAAATCTTATCTGTCAAGATTCCAAAATCTAATCTTGTGAGCCCAATTTTCTGAATGGTGGTGAAATATTCTAGTATTATAGTTGCTATGGGCTGGAGCAAGTGCTGCTCAGTTCATTTGAATTAAACTCAACTCTGCTACAGTTGCTGAATATACAACACAGAATTGTTCAATTATGTATACTTTATTGAGCACCCGTTATGTATGAGGCACTGCTCTGCGGGAGATGATGAAAAGCCATTTTCACTGCTTTCAATCTACTTGAGGAGACAAGAAAACTTCTTGGTAGCAAGCAATAAAAACGCCTCTGACTACTTTAAGCAAACAGACTTAATGGCAGGATTTCAGGGCCTCACAGAATCAAAAGGCAGTACAGAGACGAGTTTTAGGAATGAGAGGAATGAAAAACGAATCCGTCTGTTAATTTATCTGTTTGTCTGTCTGTGTCTGCTTGCCTGCTTTCTTTCTCTCTTTCTTTCTTTCTTCTTTCTTTCTTCTTTCTTTCTTTCTTTCTTTCTTTCTTTCTTTCTTTCTTTCTTTCTTTCTTCTTTCTTCTTTCTTTCTTTCTTTCTTTCTTCTTTCTTTCTTCTTTCTTTCTTTCTTTCTTCTTTCTTCTTTCTCTCTCTTTCTTTCTTCTTCTCTTGTCTTCTCTTCTTTCTCTTCTCTTCTCTTCATCATCCGTGTATCTATATTACACACACACACACACTCCAAGCTGGAGGCCCAAAGTGCATGAAACTGGGACCATTCAGAAAATATTTCTAGCAGGAGTCCACATTCTATATGCTGGTAAAATTGCCACTATTGCTACTTAATCTTCTTCTGTCATAAGAATGACTGCCACTCAAAGTTCCAGAAGAATCTGATTTCTAGTTACATGCCTGTCCTGGCAGAGCCAGAATTTGGTCTCCTAGCCTTCCCAAGTTAGAGATGGGCATTCACAAGCCAGGAACTACCCTTCAACCAAGGTTGAACACAATGGGAGAAGGCAATTCTCCAAAAGGAAATAGGGGGACTATTGAAGATAGAAAGGATTCTAGACATTGCTTACTGTAGGCAAGATCAATGTTGTCATGCTGAACAGACATGCAGGAGAATGAAGACCAAGAAGGGGATATAGAATTTGGAGATAAATTAGAAGTTCATTATTGTTGGTGACAAATGGAGCAATAATGAAGCACCCCCTAAGAATACAGGAAATAAGGAAGTAAAATGACCACATGAGAGTTAAACTGTAAACTGAACACTTTGGGTTTGGTAACTGAGAAATAGGCAAATATACATAAAAGGGACTGAATGTCCTCCAGGCCAGTAAGACTGAACTGGAACCTGATTGAAGGCATTACTTTATCTAAAGAAAGAATGCATCCTTAAGAAGAGATGCTGGCCAGCAAAGGAGAAGCAGAGACACATAAGCCAGAGAAGAGAGTGCCCTGATAAGATGATGTAAACAGCCATTTTTCTCAGGGAGACACATCCTTATCACGGAAGCAGACACACCGATGTCATTAAACATTCCAATCACCCGTGTTAACTACAAGAGAACCAATTCTTTGCCCACCAAGGTATCTTCTGATAAATTGGCTTTCATGTAGCTTTTCTGCAGGAAATATGCAACAGAAAAAGATGGTTTAACAGTTCTATTTCCTTTTTCTAACACATACCCTGGTTCATATACCCAAATCAGTATGAGTCATCATCCTGAATATAATCAACTCTGTAAAACTGCTAAGGCTGTTTCTGCAGCTGCCAGACTGAGGGTCACAGCCTGCATTTATTGAGCTCACAGAAGTAAATGGCCTCTTGGCAGCCAGCTAGCTGATCTTCCCCGGCAACAAAACTACTTTGTTTCTTGCTTTGTCTCAAATGACTTCAGTAAGCAACTTCTGAGAAAAGAGTCCCAGTGAAGAGATGGTCAGATGAAAGCAGACTACAGAGGGTTAAAGCATGAAAGTGTCTTAATAATACTACTCCTTTATACTTGTGTTGTGTCTTACAGTTTTGAGAACATTTCCACTTATATTATCTCATTTGACTATTTTGTGAGGGAAGCAAGGATTTCAGAACCGACTTGACAAGTGGAAATGCTGGCACTTAGAGATTATGGGATTTACAGGCGAGAAGTGGTAGAGAGAGAACTCTTTCTCCCACAAGTCCAGGGTTTTCCCATTGGTCTGCACTTTCTAGAGTTTCTTAGGCATTGTGCTGATCACCATGGGACTGTGAAAGGTGAGTGAGGCACTCTTCTGGGCCTTAAAGAGAAGGCAGTGCTACAAAGCTGCACGCTTAGATCGTTTATCTTGTTTTTAAGCTTTAAGAGGGATCAATTCACTCATTCACTAACTCAACCTAAGCATTAGAATTATAAAGGGGAATAGACAGATATGGTTTTTTTTCACTTATCAATCTTTCAGATCTGGAACATCTGGGATGTCCACTTTCTGTCTGCTTCAATGCCAAGAGGCTGGGAAATTCCACATTGTTGAAAGTATGATGTGCCAAGCATAGTTCCAGGGACTTTATATGCCTTATATCACAAAATTATCTCAACTACTTTATAAGGGAACTTTGCTAAATCAAAATCTTTTAAGGGGACTCTCAGCTGACTTATAATTTACTTTCTAGGTATCTTTTTCCCTAAATTTTAAACTCCATGAAAACAATTGCTTTCTGTCTTGCCATCTGCTATAGTTTCCGAACCTAGCAAAGAATGTTCGATAAATATTTCTTTATTTAAAGATAGAAAGAACCTATCTTTAAAGATAAATTATTAAATAAGTTTTCCAATATTTGGAGTATTGAATCAAAGATTCAAACAAACGTCTGAATTAATCCAGAGTCTGTGTTACTTGTTGACCTGAATTTTATTATCTTTCTGTATACTAACTGGTAGTATTTTTGTGTTAAAACTCATCTCAGAGATTTATAACCATGAATTTTCATTTCTTTCATGCCAACAATTTATCTGTCTTTCTATTAAGAGAGCCAAAACTAAGCTTTAATTAAATATCAAATTTAAACGCAGATAGAACTTAAGCTACAAATAGGTAGGTACAAAAGAAAGAAGATATTTTTCCTTTAATCTAGATTTCTAGCAGAGGAATAGAGTAGACTTCACATCTTCTTTTGTCGATCAGTTTTACTAAAATTAATGTTCTTATAATTCAGGAGATTCCTTACTTACTAAATTAATAAGTAGTTAGCAACTGGATTGTCAGCAAGTTGCTCTAAAAATATTTGGAAAAAAAAGTTTCACCCTGCCACCACAGAAAGTTTAAGGTGATAATGTCACTTATAAGAGAATGGTAAATTAATAAGTAATTAGAAATAAATGTTTTCTCACTCCCATCCAGGACATAACATGTGAAGATTTTATCAAAGCCAGCCTTCCTTTTCCTGACCTCCCTCACCAGGACTAATCCTCTTATAGTTATAGCAACATTAACTTCTCAGTTGCCGCATATATCATAGTTACAACTATCCATCTAGTCGTTTAATCTGTAAATATTTTCTGAGCTTCTGCTTTGTGACAGGCATTGTTGTGGACATAGGGGTTACAGCATGAAGCAAGGTGCCTGCTCTCACCAGGTTTTTCTCTTGTTTGGGAAGACAGACAACAGATAAAAATATAAAATAATTTTAGGTAGTAATAAGAATTACAATAAAAGTAAAACAGGATAATGTGATGAAAACGGGATGTGGTAGAGGCCTACTTTAGAAATTATGTGTTTTAGCTATCTATTGCTATATACAAATAATCCTCATATTTTGTGGCCTAAAACAATACAATTTAAAATTTCTACAATTTTTTAACTTGACTTGGTTTAGCTGGTTGGTTCTTCTGCTCCACATTGTGAAAACTGAGTTAACTCAAGTGGCTGCATTTAGCTAAGAGCTCTTTTGGCTCCAGCATGTTCAACATGGCATCTGCATTTTTGGACCTCTTTTCATTGTGGGTGCTTTCATTCAGATGTCTAGCCCAGCATTCTTTATACCTCAGTGGCTAGCATCTAAGTAGAAAAGGTGGAAGCTGCTGGGCCTTTTAAAGTTTGGGTCCCAAACTGTCACAAGTCATTTTTACCATATTCTATTGGTCAAAGCAAATACATAGGCCATCCAGATTCAAGGAGAGGGAAGAAAATGCTACCCTCTGTTGGATGAAGCACAATTTGTGGCTATCTTTAATTCATCAGAGGATATATGAGTATTTACTTAAAGACACTTTCCACTAGACTTTAAGCTCTGAGAAAGCAGGAATAATATTTAGTATTGCTCACTATTGTTACACCAGTGTCTAGCATTGGTACCAAATGAATGACAGTGTCAACAAATGCTAGGAAAGGGTGAAGAAAGCAAATACTTTGTTCTCATGTTACCTTCTCCCTTTCTTATGATCATGAAAGGCATTGCTAATGGATCACAGAACTCTTTCCTGTGGGATCCTAATACGACCTCAAAAATTTGCTTGGCACAGTGATCCAAGTAGTCCTTTGCCAGTGAAAATTGTCATGTATGTTACTCACCATGGGCAGTAGCCCCGGGGAAGCCTTTAGGAAGGTGGAAAGAACTAGGCTTAAAAATATGTGTAGGATTTAGAAGTGCAGAAAAAACGAACCTAGGCTTTCACTGGCTTTTATTGTTCCTTCAGATGAATTTATACAAGGAGTCTCCTCTTTGCAGATAAATTTAAAAAAATAACAAAACATATCACTCACTTTCTGGGTGAATGCATCCTCTTGAGGTACATGATTTTGTGAGTATACAACAACTAGTGTGTGAAGAAAAATGAGCTTCTCTCTCCAGGAAGGTACAGCCCTGGTCTAGGGAATGTGGCTTGACTTAATGCTTTGATGAATCACACAAACTCCCAGGCATATAAGACATATCTGACAGGGTATTTGAACATGAACAATGGCAAGTAAACATAAATGAAGGTTATGCTTGAGTTATTTATTTTTACCTCTAGAATCATTTTTCTTATAAGCTGTAATCTTTCAGGTTGAAGGTATGTACCTACAATACTTTATTTTAGGACTGTTGATTCTACCCTATGAACAGCTGGGCTTACAATGATAACTAGTTAGCATCCAACAATGATTGTTTCCTCCATGTCAAAACCACCAAGTGAAAAATGAAAGCACCAGCCAACCAGATGTTTTGTCTACATCATGCCAAACTATTAGTTAGAGTAAATCCACTCCACTCATCCCCTTTAATTGTCTTGCCAAATTGCAGAAGTCATAATCAATGGGAAAACCAGAAATCCAGGCTTTTGGTTTGTTGAAGTCAAGGAGATAAAATTAACCTGTTGATTAATGCTTTCACTTTTTTTTCTTTTTTCTTTCTTTCTTTTTTTTTTTTTTGAGATGGAGTCTTGCTCTGTCACCAGGCTGGAATGCAGTGGCTCGATCTCGGCTCACTGCAACCTCTGCCTCCCGAGTTCAAGTGATTCTCCTGCCTCAGCCTCCAAAGTAGCTGGGACTACAGGTATATGCCACCATGCCCAGCTAATTTTTGTATTTTTAGTAGATATGGGGTTTCACCTTGTTGGCCAGGATGGTTGATGCTTTCACTTTTCAACTAGATGTTGGGACACCATAACCACAATTCAATATAAAACGTGAATTTGTATCAGGCTACCTGGAACTCTCTGGTATCTCTAAGTTCCTATATTAGACACAACTTTGCAAAACAAATTAGATTATTCTAAAATTCTATTTTCTTCATGCCTTGAATCCAGTAATATACCCATTACTTTGGGAAAGAAATCTTAGCTATCTTAGCTTAGATATCCAAGATCCTCAATCTAACTGCCACCTCCATTTGTCCCACTACTCCCTTATGTTTTATATATTATAGCCCAGTGTTTCATCACCTTGATACTATTGACATTTTGGACTGGATAACTCTTCGTCATGGAGGGTTGTTATATGCACTGCAGGACGCTTAGCACCATCCCAGCCCTCTACCCTTTCCTTTCCATGTCATTCTCTTTTCCTAGTGCATGTGGTTCTTCTTCATGGATAAACTTTTTGTCAGGAAGAGAAGTGGATAATGTGTTTGTCCAGTTTCTTTCCTTTCTACCAAGAGCCAGGAGGGAGATAGGAAGAGAAGGAGAGGCCAAACAGGCAATGGGGAGAAGAAAAAGTGTGGACTCATTTTAATTATTTGATCCCTTCATGTTAATAGGACAAAGATTGTTTGCTATATATACATTACTTTACATCTAGTGAAATAGTTTAACATACGTGCCAGACAGTATACAAGCTAGACTCTCTTATTTGTTCCTCTTTAAATTCCTATGAAATAAGGGACATTATCTCCATTTTACAGAGGAGGAAACTGAGGCCCAGGGAGTTTCAGTTATTTGCCACAAACAGCCCATATAATGAGGGGAACCATGATTCAAGATATGACAAGCTGTGCCCCAAAGCCCCTGCTTTAAGCGATGTTTTAAGTTTATAATGGTTTAGGAGATGTTATCCTTGAGACAGTTTGCTTTGGTTTCATCTTCCTGTTATTGAAAGATGGATCACCTGAGAGGAAAAGCCAATGGAATTTCCATCTTCCCTGTGTATTTCCATTCCAGGGCCTTCACTTGCCTTTAATGACTTTCTCAGGCCTTCCTCTTGAGTGTGAGACCTTCCAGGGCTGAGCTCAGCCTGAACATGAAGCTTTTGGGAAAGAGTTAGGAAAGCCTGTTCAGCTATTTTTTAAGAAGAAGAAGAAAAAAGATATAAAGTACCATTTATCCCATTCCCCAAATAACTTAGCTTTTGGGATCTCAAATTCACAAGTGGTCAGACCTTTATGAGAAAGCTCAGAGTTAGTTGAAAAGGACTTGAATTTATGAGTCTTCCCTCCTTTCCCCTTTGTGAGCACAGGTGAGTGTGAAGCACGCTGCTGTCAGATGGTTGGCGAACTTGTTACAGAAAGGGCTGAGGTTTCCTTACATATAAAGTTCGTCAGCCATGGCAGCTTTGGGTTCTCATTAAGGCTGTTTCTCCTTCATTCTCCCTCTGATCCTTTCCCCTACACAAGGTCTTCTCCAGGTTTGCTTTTCATTCTACAAAACTCACTTATGAGTGCCAAGTTTAAACAAAGCATCCAACTAGGGGTTCATTTATTTATCCATTCAAATATATATGTTGAACTTCTACAAAATGCTAGGTAAGGTGCTAGGCATTTTACATATGTTATTTACTCGCCCCAAGAACCCTTCAAAGTGATTTAAATTAAAGAAACCCAAGTGTCAGGTTCACGACTATACCAAATGTCATACTGAGGTCCAAAGGGAGTGGTTGGATGAGCAGAAAGAACACTCGGGGGGCCGCAGGCAGGTGCAAGATGATTTTATTCAGCAGCAGCTCTCATCAACAGCTTTCTTACACTAGCTCTCTTTATCTCGGCTGTCTGCTCCAGCTCTGTGGCTCCTGCAGCCCCCATGCCTGCAGCTACATGGTGGGCTCTCCCTTTGCTTCAGAGTCAGCAGCTTAACCCTTTCTGTCTTTGGGCATGGACAAGCCTAGCAGTTCCCTGGCTCCCTCCTGTCCATCTGCAAAGATGGACAGCTCTGACTCTGTTTCTCTGGGCACCAGTGCGCCTACACAGTGTCCACAGGGCAGTTATACATTTTACAGACAACAGTGGCTTAAGGCCAAGGGGTGGCCTTCCCATGTTATGGCTACATGGCTGTGATAACAAGTGGAGTTAAACGCCTGCGCTCTGAACTCACTGAGTCATGCAGGTTGTAAACATCCTACTTCGGCCTATCCCTGACCAAAGCACAGCCATATTCCTTACACCAAGATATATTATATAAAGATATATTATATCTTTATATAGATATATTTATAAAGATATATCTTTATATATATCAAGATATATAAATTAAGTAAATTGTCCTTGGATATTAATATGAATGTAGAAATGAAATTCAACCTAGGGATTTGTCTTTCTGCAAAGCCCATGCTTTTAACTACTATACACCTTTTCTTCCTAGCAATAAACCAGAGCTGGGAGATCTGGGTTGTTGTTTATGTTACATAAGGAAGGGTAGTAGGAACTGGGGATATTGAGGCTGGCAAAAGGTGCCACCAGATATTTGATTAATTTGATGTGGAAAAGGGATAAATAATTGGGGGCTGTGGGTTTTTGAATGGTAGAAGATACATGGAGGAAGATTTTAGTTCAAAATGTAAAAGGGTTTTAGTTCAAAATGTAACAAAATTTTTATGAGTTAGAACTCTACCACAAATGAATGTACCCACCTCCCTACCCTCAACCTGACCCCAGCCAGAGAGAAAGGAGTACCCATAATTTGAAGAATTGAAGCACAGCCTGTATAATCACTTGTCAAGGCTGTTCTATTATAAGGATTCAGGCAGCTGGTGACCAGGTAAATAAGATGAGCTGGCTTTGTGATTCTGTGACTTCTTGACCTTAATACCAGGAGTCTATAGGACCTGGAATCAGTTTCTTCACCTGTTTAGGCTTCTCCATTTGTTAAGGTTATTTCTCACTCTGATGTTCTTACACTGTGTAGTTCTCAAGATTAAAACTATATCTACGGATATAATTACAAGTATGGTTTTTTACTATTTTAATCTGACAGAGGTTAGCATAATGTTGAAATCTTGAGTTTTGTTCTATGGCTTGCTGGCTCAATCCTGGCAAACTTGAGCCTGAAGTCAAGGTCTTCTCCTACTAATTTACTCTTATCTCTTTCTCAGTTTAACCCAAAGTTTGTTTTATTTAGCATTTGGGATCACCGAGGAAGGACTTGTTTTACATATTCCCAACTCCCAGTCTGAAGATGCTGTGGTCCTTCTAGAATTATGGTTCAACTATAAAGAAGGGTGAGCCAGATCAAGAGAGACTGTCAGCCAGAGAAGGGACTTGTGGCAGGGCTGGAGATCAAGGAGAGTGACAGAGGATGGCTGGCACAGGCATCAGGTGACATTCTATAGATAGTAGAACAGTTTATAAGCAACCTTCCTAAAGGGTTGTTGCAAGGATTACCTGTGTTAAATACATGTTACGTGCTCAGAATGGTGTTACATAATAATAGATATAGTAGGTAATACTATCTGTTTTGTTGTTATTGCCATTTTTATCCTCTATGTGCAGCAGCAACCGTACTTGGTAGGTGCTCAATAAATAGGTGGTGAATGAACAGAGGAATGAACAAATAGCCCTTTTGGAAGGTAGTTTTTTTTAAAAAAATAATGATTTAAAGGCAAAAGTGGTAGTTGCATCTTTTGGTAATGCAACTGTAATGCAAAATGCAACTGTAATGCAAAATGTAAAATTTTGGAATTTTACAGAGGAAATGGGAAAGCCCTGTAAAACCTGACATCCTGTTGATATCATACCACTATTGTGAACTGTCAGTCCAGATATTTCACTGTGATCCTTTTTATGGTGAAACTCTTGGAAATGAGGGCCTATAAAAATATGATTATGGGATGAGTATTTATCATTATTGCCTTTGCCAATTTCTAAGCCTGAATGAGTTTTTGTTTGAGCCAGTTAAAGATTTTTTCTTTTTCTGTTTTTTCTTCAAGTGACCCAAATGCCTTTAATTTAGAAAAGAAATATGCATATTTATTCTTTATATTTATAGCTAAATATATACATGTATTAATGTTCACTGGGTCAATTGTCTCCTCTTGTATTGTAAAGGGTGCAAATTCAAGCTTCTTCTAGGGATGTGTGAGAGGGGCCACCATATCCTATCTTGACTACTTGTTCAATTGAGCCAAGGCCTCTTTGCAGCCCAGGTAGAGGTTGCATGGGGAGAAGCAGGCAAGCTGGAGAATTGCCAAATTGCCTTCTCACTTCAACGAGCCATCAAAGTTTCATGCAAATGTACGCAGGTACTCTCAGTGAAACTCATGTACATCAGACCTGAAACAGGGCTTGAATCAGTCCAGTCTACCAGCTCTGCTAAGCTCCTGACCTGGCAGTTAGGGATACCAAATCATAGAGTCTGGGGTTATAGAAGGAAGTGTGTGCTGTCACCCTAAGGTTTTCCATACTGAGATTACTTGGGGTGTAGCCTTCAGTCTTGTAGGCCTAAAAACTGGAATTTTCCAGGCTACCCAGTATTTAATATATAGTTAATGGCTCAATAAATACTAGAAATTAATACTGTTATTTTCTCTAACTTGGTGGCCTATTGCCAAGTTTTGAGAGTTCTTTCACTGTTGCTGTCTATATCCTGAAATTCCCAAGTTACTTTCATGTGCATCACCTCCATGCACAAGGCATAAAGTAAAGGTCCTGTTAACATTTGGAAATAAAGGGTAAGAAAATTTTCTGTTATCTCCTGCTGCAGCATTCATTTTCTTGGCCCAAATAGGGAAGGGGTGTTTGGTGCAAACACACGTATAGGAACCTTTCTTATATGAATGGGAACAAGCACATATTTGGCTTCTGAGGAGCCTGCCAGGAAGAGGAGGTCAAGGCTGGCTCATAGAAAATACATGGAATCCCAAAGGCGTATTTGAAACACAACTTTTTCAGCCAAAGAACATATAAGGTATTCTTTCTTAAAAGAGGATCCTCAATGAGCTATATGTTGCCAGATTGTGTGAGAATAGTGACATTATTTCTCAGTCTTATGTTAAGCCCCTTCCATACATTGGCTTATCAAATCCTTACAAGAACCCTGCAAAGCATGTGTCATATTCCCCACTGTATATGGAGGAAACCGAGGTTCTAAGAGGTTGTAAAATTTGCCCAGATTCCCCAGCTAATATGTTGCAAAGGCACAATGTGAATCAGTTTCTGCCTTTACTTCTTTAGCCTCTAACAGTGAAATCTATACTGTCTGGAGGCAGAGAGGGAAAGAGGAAAAAGGAGGAGAGAACAGGAGAGAAGGGAACTGGGGCAGGAGAAAATGGATGTTTGAAGGGTAGGCAAAAATATAACTCAGAGCAATGCAAACTCACTAACTAGGTTTTCCACTCTGTATAATTTAATCTATAGTAGCATCTGGTGGAAATTGTTAGTGGTCAACTCGTGGAACTGCCAGCAAAGCTTACATTTTGGAAGTTGAGTGGAGCATACCCGTTCGCTTGGTCTTGGGATGAGAGTTGGGAAAAGATCAAAGTGAGAGAAGACATTCAGGAAACACATTTCTTTAACTGCCTGCAGGAGGAAACTTTTCACAACTGGAAAATGCAAGCCATTACTGCCAACCCTGGAGCACGGAGACTTTACCTTATTAATCATAGCTGTCAGGGTCCTTTCAGTAAACAGCAAGCTGTTGACATACAAAATATCTTCTGTATTTCATGGAAAAGCAAAAGGGGGAAATGGTAAAATATACAAGTCATCAAAGTAAATGCTTACTAGAGTCAAAATAGAATGTTGCATGGCCTTACTAAATTCAAGGCAATGTAGAATACTGAAGACATTGGAAATCCTCAAGAGAGCATTTTTATATTTAGATATAGCTTATATTTTTTATATTTAGATACAGCTCTTGTGAGGAAAAATGCAGAATAAGTACAGACGCAGTGATGACAAGAGATCACTGATAAAGGGAAGATGTGTAAACTCTAATGCAATGTTTATATGTAATTGTAAAATATGTGAGGTATGCATGTGGTTGACTCTTCACCTTTATAGATCTGTCGATTCTAGTCCATAAATAGGGTAAACAGGGCTTGGGCTGGTGGGCAGAGTTGGGACTTAGAGTCAGAGAGGTCGTCTGGAATCCATACATTACCTGATATAGTTGGGAAGAGAAGCTAAATCCCATTCATACATTTCTTTGAGAGTCAGGAGAGGAAGGTGGTCAAGAATCAGAAGGAGGCAATGCTAACATCAAACCCAAAAGGGGATAAATGGAATTAAAGATGGAAAATTGGATAAATGTAGGAGCAGGTTGGGAAGAATGTCACAGATTTTTTTTTTTGGGAAAAAGCCGTAGTAGGACATATCGGTGTAAGATAAACACCAGTTTCTGCCATTTTCACCGCTACTACCTTAGACCATCATCTACAATCAGCATATCTTAGGATATACCTGGCCAAGTGGCCTTCCTGCTTCCACTCTTGCCTCCCTGTAGACTAATCTTCCATAGTGGCCTTTTTGTGTAAATCAAGTAATACTACTCCTCTGCTTAGACACCCCAGTGCCTTTCCACTGAAGTCAGAATAATATCCAAATTTCTTATTATGGCCATCCAGTTCGTCTGTTACCAAACCCCAGTTGTTCTCTCAACCCAAATTCTTTTATTCTTTCTCTGATTTATTCTGCTATAATTCCACTGTTTTTTTTCTTCTTTTTTTATCATGCATATAAAGTTGTGTCTGCTTGAAGGACTTTTTAGTTGCTGTTCTGTTACCAGGAACAGTTTTTCCTCTGACATTCACATTCTTGGCTTCTACCTAAGATTTAAGATTCAATTCAGATATCTCCTACTTACTCAGAGGGGTCTTTTTAAACCTTCCTGTCTAAAATAGTACATAGCACTTCCTAATAGTATATATTTTTTAGTTTGGGAGACCTGTATGGACAAGAAATCATTTTTTTTTTTTAAGACAGAGCCTCACTCTGTTGCCCAGGCTGGAGTGCAGTGGCATGATCTCAGCTCACTACAACCTCTGCCTCCTGAATTAAAGTGATTCTCATGCCTCGGCCTTTCCCAAGTAGCTTGGATTACAGGCTTGCACCACCACACCCGGCTAATTTTTGTATTTTTTGTAGAGATGGGGTTTTGCCATGTTGGCCAGGCTGGCCTTGAACTCCTGACCTCAAATGATCCACCCACCTCAGCCTCCCAAAGTGCTGGGATTACAGGCATGAGTCACCGTGCCTGGCCTAAGAAATCGTTTTATATCTGGATTCAGATATAAAATATAACAGAATGACAGAAGAACTTGCTAGCTGTGAACACTGGACTGCAGCCTGCCAAATGGTGAATACCATAAACTGTCTATGCCAGTTCAGCATCTATAAAAAATTGTTATAGTCAATGTGATAATGCATGTGAAAGGGCCTGGAAAATGTAAAAGAAGCCAGTTGCTCTTAGGCAAAGAATCATGGAGTGATACATGCAGGTATCAGGAATTTATATTTTACCCAACATAAATTCAAGCAGAGAAAGAAAAAGTTTCTTCAAGAAAATGTGATTTTGAATTTTTTCAATTAATAAAATCATATAAGAGAAATATTCATTTTGGAGGCCATTTATCATCAATCCTAGAATAGGAAGACAGTTAGCAAATTATGTGTCCAGTCTACTGCCTTCAGAAAGGGAAAACATCATTCAGGGACTATCAGGAAAGCAAGGTGGTCAGACTGTGTTTGAATATTGACTCCATTCCTGTCTAGCTAGTTCAGGAAACGTAGTTATTTAACTGCCTGCAAGAGGGAACTTTTAAACACTTAAGCTCTTTGTGTCTTATTTTCTTTATCTGAAAAATTTATAAAATATAACATCAACCTGGAATATAATTCTAACCAGATTATATAAAATAATATGTGGAAAACACTTTGAGCAGTACCTGTTTAATAAACAGTAGCTATAATTATCTTCATCTTGCAAACAAAGTGACTGAGTTTCAGAACATTTCAGGGACTCATTCAAAGTTACGTAGCCAATACATTGTGAGGCAAGATCTAGAACCTAGAACTTCTGCCTCCTGAAACATTGTGGATAGATCTAAGCATTTTAAAAACATTTATGCAATTAAATATTCTTAACACCTGAAATAGACATTGGTACAAAACAATGTATTTATTATAATAATTTTTCTAAAGAGAAAATATATACATAGATATGCATGAAAAGTATGGAAAGAAGTATACCAAAATGCAAACAGTGAGTATATGGCAGAAGGAGTTTGAGAATATGAATAATTTTGTTTTTCTTATGCTACTGTGTTTTCTATATTATTACATTTGGTAGATAATGACTTTTTTTTTTTTTTTGAGACGGAGTTTTGCTCTGTCGCCCAGGCTAGAGTGCAGAGGCACGATCTTGGCTCCCTGCAAACTCTGCCTCCTGGGTTCAAGTGATTCTCTTGCCTCAACCTCCCGAGTAGCTGAGATTACAGGCACCTGACACTGTGCATGGCTAATTTTTGTATTTTTAGTAGAGGCGAGGTTTCACCATCTTGGCCAGGCTGGTCTCGAACTCCTGACCTTGTGATCCACTCACCTTGGCCTCCCAAAGTGCTGAGATTACAGGCTTGAGCCATCACGCCTGGCCGATAATGACTTTTGTAATCAGAAAATTGTTATTGAAAAGGCTAAACAACAATAATACTAGCAGCAAGAATAAAAATCCTGCATGTCTTGAATGTGTGTTTATGCCAAATCTTTGTTTTATTTGCACTGTGCTAAGGTTTGAATGTTTGGGACTTCCAAAACTCATGTTGAAATTTAATTGCCATTGTAGTAGCGTTAAGAAGTAGGACCTTAATGAGGTTATAAGGCCGTGAGGATTCCATGCTCATGGGTGTGGTTGGTGACAGTATAAAAGAATGAGTTTGGCCCCCTCTTGTTCTCTGTAGCCTTCTTTCTTTCCACCATGTTATGACATAACAAGAAGGCTCTCACAAGATGCTGATACCTTGATTTGGACTTCCCAGCCTTCAGAAATGTTAGCTAATAAATTTCTGTTCATTATAAATTACCCAGTCTCAGACATTCTATTATGGCAGCACAAATCAGACTAAGACACACTACTCTACATTTTCCAGACAATTCTAATTTAGATTCTTGCTGAGATCCCATAGAACCTTCTACATACTCCAATCTCCCACATTGCTGTACTTAAATTATTTGTTTAGGTGTCAGTTTCCTCACATATTTATAAACTATTATTATCCTGGGTACCTCATATAGTGGCATATTAAAATATTTAATGAATGATATATCCATCGAGATCCTGACTTTAGAAATAGTATTCCTAAGGACCACTTTAACTCCACAATTACTAAGATGACTGAAAGAATCTCATTTTCTATACTGGTTAGTTATTGTTGCAGCTTTTTGTATTCTATTTCAAACCAAATCTTCTTATGTCTCCAATTATTTTTTCTTTTATATTAAAATATTCATAAACCATATTTAGCATTTCTATTTTCTATCCAATATTATTATTCCATATAAAATGTTACATCCCAATTTTACATGGAATTTAATATTACATTCAATATCAAAAATAATTTAATAATCCTCCTCTGAAAAATGCATCAGAAATTTGACCACACTGCCCCTTAGTGTGATTTCATATCATTAGTGGGTTTCATGGACATTTTTATAACTCACTAAAATAGTTTATAATCTAAGTTTCAAGGCTCCTCCAGGGAAGTTTTGAGCCCATTTCCTTAGCAGAGTTGTAAATGAGAGTTTAAAAGGCAATGAAAAGTCTGTGAACTATTGGACACAGCTTCTTGGTACTGCTGTGCATAACACACCTGCTGGCTTCTTATAGCTTCTGATGGCTTCCAGGAGCCTGGCTTTGGTGGTTGCAGAGGCTAAAGTAGCCTGGTGTCTTTCATCAACGGCCTCCAGATAGATACCTGTAGAACACTTCAAAATAGTGATATAGATGTTTTCACGTGGTCCAATTGAGAGAAGAATTAGTGGTACTGAACAATGCATCTCCCAGAGAAAGTATTAATGAGTAATTCTATAAACAGGGAAGCCAACCAGCTTCTGACTGCCAGACATTATCAAGGATCTGAACTGCAGAGGACATTTAAAGTGGATAACTGGAGGCCCCTTTAATCCCCTATCTTCCACATTCTTCTTTTATTTGCTCTTATATCTCATTAGAGAATCATCAGTTAAAACTGACAGCATAGTAAGGTATATAAGATATCACACAATTTTAGTCTTGAAAATAGTACCTAGGCTTTCTAGGCCTGAGCAATAAAAATAATGATAATAATAAAAACAGTAATAATAGCAACTAACATTTATTGAGGATTCACTGTGTCTCAGGTACTATTCTAAGTGCTTGACATGTATTACTTCATTTTATAAAATGCTTTCCTCATGCAGTTTGTCGTAAGAATTAACAGAAATGACCCAGACAAAGTTCTTAGCACAGAGCCTTACCAATAATATTGACTTTTCTGAAAAGTTAGCTGTTTTTCAATTGTTGCTATACTTAACAACAACATCAACAACAATAATAAATGCCTCCTGTTCCAAATAAAACTCTAAGAGGCTTTTTAAATTTCTTGATTTACAGATGAAGCCCCAAGGCTTTTTAACATCCCAGAATGACCCACAGCCCAGCTTAGTGCCTGGCACAAATTAAGTAGTCAATAAATATAAAAATAATTAATATCCTAACTTATATAGATTCATTTGCAAGTAGATTTTGCAGAGAAGAGAGTGTGTAGTTTTCTTTCGATTCTCAAAATAGTCCATGGTCTAAGAAATAAAAAGAACCACTACTTGAAAAGGGAATTTGTCACTGCGTGAATAACAAGGTCTAATAAGAATCATGAGGAAGTGGGGAGGAAAGATGTGAGTGGGTCTGGCTCCCCACCCTAAGCAGGTTTGGAACAGCCTTGTGATGTTATTCTCTGGGCTAGCAGTTCAGGATTGTTTCCTCTCCCCACCTGGAAATTCCCATTTGCCCTCTGAGGCCATTTACATAAGACTGTGGGATTACTGGCTGTACATCTAGGCTTGAGTGGAGTGACTGGATGCCAGATAATTTCGTTCTGGTTTTGTAGGAATCATAGAATGTTAGCACTGGAAAGAACCTCATACATAATCTATTTCAGGGTTTTCAAATTTGTAGCAGATGTGTTACCATTCCCCTTCCTGCACCCATGGAAGATATCTCTAATTAGGGATGACACTCTTCACTTCTGTGTCTTTTGAATCCTTGATAACATAATATGGTATGGAAGCATTACCAATAGATTGAAATTAGCATGCACAGGGAAAACAGTTTTCCATCACTATCACATGCCCAATATCCTCCCATTACAGCTGGGAAAATCAAGGAGATGACATTTGTAAGTCTATGAATTACCAAATGATCACTATGAAGTGAGTGATATAAATGTTTTGAGGCATGAATGATTGTGACTTCAAACTACAAACATTTTAGTACCAAATATGATTTTATTTGCCACTGTTGTTATTTTTTCCTCATTTTTTCAGAATAAAGAAGGAAACTACTTTAAGTGATCATTAATCTTCTTTCTACACACAAGTCTAGAAAGCAACAAAAAGTGGGGCCCTGAGTAACAAAAAGAAGTTATAATTGATTTTAAGTACAGTAAGTTAAGCAAAATTTCAGGCATTCGACCACTCTCTCTCATTTTTCAGTATCCTTAAAAAAATTAGTTCGGGAAGTCCCGTGTTTAAATTTAAGAAGACCAGGGGCTGTTATAACTGATGGAGGATAAGTCATTTAGCCTTTCCCAGCCTCAGTTTCCCCTTCTGTAATAGAAAGATATTAGACAGTTCATAGGAATGGAAAACTTATTTTCTTATTCAAGGGAGAGGAGAAAATAAATGTCTGTTGAACAGAAGAATATGAACATTTATTTATTTTCGTGTGTGTGTGTGTGTGTATCTGTGCATATATGCAACAAGAAAGCATATTTAAGGTGAGAGTAAGAATTAGCTAGGGAAAGACATTAAATAAAGTGCATCTCCACCTTTTGAAGCCATTAATTAAATAATGTAGACCTGGCTTCAAAATTAAACATCACTGTAGTTTATAACTTAGGATGGAATGCTTGCTCTGCATAAGGGTACAGGGTATGAGCCTTGTCAGAAACTTTTGCAATTGAATTTATGAGAGAAACTGGAGAAAATTTGAGTCTTTAAGCAGACCTATAGAGATCAAATTTAAAGTTTGGGCAATGGCTAGATTTGTTTTCTTGTGAGGATGTCAGGGTGACTACAGAGAGGAGAATTGCCAAATATGTAGCTATTCCTCTGCCTTCTTTATCATATACTCTAAGTAAACTGGCTTAAATCCAGTCCTTCTCTCTCCTTTTGCATTGGCCCCTTTTAGAAATATGAAAGTTACAGATGTAAATTACAAAGTAAGCCAGTATTACATGAAAACATGTTTATTGCCTGAATAATAAAACTTAGCTAAGGAGTTATTAGAATTAGGATTCCCCCTACTTGAAGTACAAGTTTCCAATAAACAGACAGACAGAAGCAAAACCCCAAATGAGAAAGAATACATTGGTAACCTAAATCATAGGCATTTGTGGGTATGTTCATACAATCTACCTATTTCTTTGTAATTTACTATAGCACTGATGACAAAGCATAGACATACAATGAGAAAGAGCAAATCAGCATATCAGTGTGACTGTGCAACCACTACAAAGCTTGGCCTTCTTAAATGTGGCCACTTTAACTTACACACACCCACAGAGGCATCAGAAATCTCCCTGCAAACACGATTTGCCTATAGTTTTGTGGCAATACTGTTACATAGAACAAAAACAACTCTCAGACCATGGTTAATAAATAAGAGAGAAAAGAAGTAAGAAACAACTTCCATGGGTTGGCAGGCATGCAAAGCAGCACCTTGAACCTCATTTGAAAAACAGGCAACTGGGATAGCTTTTGGAGCCCAGGAGTGAAGGCTAGAGGCTGAAAGGAGCTATGCACTATTATCTTTGGGTATTTCCACATAATCTGCAGGATGGGGAAGTTTAATTCCGCACCACATAAACTGTGCTCTTTTAGATGTGGCTGAAACGGGTGTCTCTGCAGAATTAGAAACCCATCTAGAAATGACATTGCTTAAAATTGTTCTTTCCAGGTGACAATTCCATAACAATCACATAAATAATGTACAAAAACAAAACTAAAAACAAAGTCACTCAAGTGTCCAATTTTTCTCTTTTGAAAGATGACCTTAGATGTATTCTCAAAGTGCAAATCGGGATATAAAAAAATAGTAGGTATGGGGGAAATGTAGCCCCATCTTCTGTCCCCCACCCTCCAAAACGGGGCTGATTTGATTCCCTCTTTCTAGCATTTGTATCCTTCCACCTATACTTTAAGATAATCATTTTTCAGCCGACCTAGTCGGGTCCCATGGCTCCTAATGGTGAGGGCCAGCAGCTCGTATTTGTCCCTGAGCCCCACAGAGATGTCCAGTGTCTCCTTCAGCAGGGACCTGGTGTGGACCAGCATTCCCAGAAAGTCCTCGTTGAGCCTGCTCTCCTGCCGGCTGTCCTGTTCCTGGCCCTGCTTGAACTTGCTCTCCAGCTCAGTGAGGGATTTGTCCGAGTTGGAGTAGGCATCCCCGATCTGGTGGGACTCCCGCCGCAGGTACTTGCCATAGCTCTCTTCCCCGTCTAGGTCGTAGGAGATGCTTTTGCTGATGCCCTCCAGCACGCGCCCAGCATCCTCCACCTGGCGGCCCAGCACGGTGAACTCCTCCCGCAGGGTGAGGCTCAGCAGGCTGCCAACCTGGCTCCCCTCCCCCTGGGAGCAGCGCCTGTGGTCACTCACCCTGAAGAGCAGCTGGCACTTCTCGGGGTCATCGTTCTCCTCATAGTCCCCATCGGGCACGAAGTAGTGGTGCAGAGTCCCATTGGACATCTCTGGGTAGAGGGGGCCATCGAAGTAGCCTTGACACAGGTGGCAGAAGAAACTCATGCAGAAGAACTTCAGAAACACCATTCTGGATATTCAGGATGGCCAGGGACCCCAGGAGGAGACTTTTTACCCAGGCACAAGGAAGGGAGTGTCTTTGCGAGTCAGCGTCTCCCTGAGACAGCGTCCGCCTCAGTCCCAGCTGGCTTGCTGCTCCCTGGCCCCCAGTCCCCAGCAGGCTTCATGTGGCTCTGCACACCAGCGTCTGGGTAGCGCGCCCGCCGCAGCGCAGGATGCACCCACCCTTGCGCCCCTCGCTCGGTGACTGGAACTCCTCCGGCACAGGCGTAGCGGGGAACCCCTCCTCCGGGGCCCTGGCAAGATGCTGGCTCTGTTGCCCTCCTCTCGGAGTTTCCCCTTGCTCCCGGGAGATGGAGTGTGTAGCTGGAGAGAAAGGCTCTTGCCCCCTGATAGTATTTCAATTTCTGGACTGGGTGGGAATGCGGAGCTTTTCCTTTGGCTAAAGATATCCTGAGGATCTCTCTGCTCTCAAATTACAGCTGGTTTCGTCACTTGGAAGCCAGGGAACAAGTTTGGAAAAGAACCTCTCACCAGGTCTCCACTATTAAAGGTACAGGGTCGCTTTTTAAAGGTTGGAAGGGAAGACTCTACAATAGAATTTAGCTCGAAAGAGAAAATGAGAAGAGAATAAATGGAATTTCCACCACAAAAACCCTGGTTTGTTATTGACATATTGGGAGGGGGAAGGAATGATTACCCTGGAAAAATGCCATTTCACGTGTCTCAATAAATATCAGGTTGGATTTTCTGAGTATATCTATTTTTATCTTTAAAACTTTGTGACTTTGAAGGCAAATTTAAAGTGTCAGAAATTACAGTTTTGTTTGAAAATGATTGGTTAATTAAAATTTATATCAACAATACTTTGGATGAAATGAAAATACAGAAAGTTGCTTAATGTATAGTCTTTAGTATGTATAAGAACAGAAGCAGAAAAATGAAATTTTGCCAGCTTAGTGAGTTAAAGGACAATGAGATCCTTATTTAATTTTATGAAACAATGCTAAGCATCTGCATTGAATCTTGAACCTAATGCTTTTATAGTTGTTGCCTCTTTTGAGAGTCTTGAAAGCTTTTGAAGAATGTTTCTGGTACTATTATGCCCATTTTCCAGATGGAGAAATGAAGGAGCAGAATGTTAAGCAAATTGATTATAGTCACACAGTTAGACTTTAGTTGAGCCAGAACTAATTGTCACAAGGTCTTTTAATTTAACTTGGGGGGAGAAAAACAATGTTTTTTTTTTTTTTTTTAACCTGGCCATTTTAATTTCTAATTTATGAACTTATTGGCAAATGGCCATCCTAAAGGCCATTCATTTGTTTAATGAATATTTCTTGAGCATTTACTGCATGCCAAAATCTATTTGAGGTAGTGGGAATACAGCTGTGAACAAAAATAAAGACAAATCCTTGCCTTCCTGGCACTTATATTTTGGGAAATAGAAAACTTAAATTTTTGAAAATAGGTCAGGCGTGGTGGCTCACGTCTGTAATTCCAGCACTTTGGGAGGCAGAGGTGGGTGGATCACTTGAGGTCAGAAGTTCGAGACCAGCCTGACCAACATGGTGAAACTCCATCTCTACTGAAAATACAAAAAAAAAAAAAAAAAATAGCTGGACATGGTGGTGCATGCCTGTAATCCCAGTTACTCAGGGGGCTAAGACAGGAGTATTGCTTGAATCCAGGAGAGGGAGGTTGCTGTGAGCCTAGATCGCACCACTGCAGTCCAGCCTGGGTGACAGAGTAAGACCTTTTCTCAAAAAAAGAAAAATATGTAAATAAATAAGATGTAAGTTGGACATCAATAGGGCTGTGGAAGAAAAGAAACAGAGGAAGCATGGGAAAGCAGAAGCAGGCAGCACTCCTGTTTCTATGGGTATTTTCTCCTTCTTCCTTGAAATGTAACTGAAACATTCATGTTGACTTGCCAGTGTTCCATACCTATCTCCCTCCCCAAGTAATAAGGGACTGGCTTCATTCAGACTCACAGTGCCACACTGTTCTGGGACAGTTATACTCATTGTCATCACTTTCATGGATATAAACAACCCAGACTCCTGCAGAGAAAATGAGAAGTCTGGTTAAGTAACTTGATATTTTGCTGATGTGGTATCACATGCATGGAGTTTCTGAAGCATGTTGACTGCACATTTTCATTCTTATCCAGATACTTAGCATCATGGAAACATAGACCAAAGGAGTTTTCTTACTGTTTATGCCAAGTGGAAGACCAAGGCCTATTTTCACTCTATCCCAGAAGAAAACTACAACTTCCTTCAGTTGAAAGACTGGACTGTTGGACTCAAGAGCTACATTGCTTCATTCCTTTTTCTCTGGGACATTCAGAAATGACAACAGATGGATTCATATTGGCTGCTTGGCCAAAGAAGCGAAGAGGAATTTACTCTGATTCATTCCATTTCTTGCACAATCTCTCTCTGACTTACTAACCAATTCAATTAAGCAAACCTATATTAAGCACTTACTACTTGCTCCCCACTTGCAGGGTGCAGTATTAAGGTAACTACAGACACAAAGATGTGCAATAAGAAGTTTCAGCCTACAAAGAGCTTGCTCCCTGGTTGAAGAGTCGGGCATATACCCATATAAAGTTATCATACGAAGGGTGAAGAGTGTGAAGAGTGTTTACTTTCTTCCTGCAAAGACCTCATCTAAAGATACACACTCCATATTGTGTATTAGAAAGGAATCATTTTTGTACAAATAACTAAAAGTCCACTTCAGTCTAACTAAGGGCATTAACTTACAGGAAGCCTAAGATTAGATATTCAGAGAAGGCCTAGTCCAACCTAGTTTTTCTCTCACTATTTCTTGGTTTATGTCCTCAGCTTATATTCATGCATGGGCAGTCTCTTTCGTTTGTGTTCTAAGATGATTACCAGTGTCTTCCAGAGCTTTGTGCTTCTTTATTCATATGTAACAGGAATGACAGATTGAATTTCCTGGTAGCTCAAATGCAGCTCCCTCAAATCAGCCTCAGTGGTCATGGGTGGCCTGATTTGGATCATGAATATGTCTTCAAACCAGGCTTACTGTAGTGAGATTTGGGATTAAACCACTTTGCTTAAGACAATAAGGGCCCCATTCTGTAGCTGAAGGCAAGGTATCAAGCAAACTATATGGCTGGGTTATTTAGTGTTCTGTTAAGGAAAGGAACAGTATGGGAGTACATTCTGGGGAAGTAACCATGAATAATTCCCCTACCTTATGGTTTTGTCTTCATTAACCACATCGAAGAGAAACTGCCACCCTTGCTGATAAGTGTTGATCAGTTGGGTATATGGAGGAAAACACCCTGATTTGTAGTATTTGTTGATTTCCTTAGTCTAAATACTCTCACAATGGCTAATGTCATTGAACTCAAAGTTGGGAAGACATGCACAGTGGTATACCATTATATAATCATCATACAGATACATTAGATGCAAATAACCCCAAGAGAATAGAAAATAGTAAAAATCTAGTAAAATAATTAAGAAGTGATTAGTTTTGCGTATATATTCCCTTTATTTTAACATAGCTTAGTTAAAAGTTTAGTTTATTTATTTATTTATTTAATTTATTTTTTATGTATTTATTTTGAGACATGGCCTTGCTGTGTTGCCTAGGCTGGAGTGCAGTAGCAAGATCACAGCTCACTGCAGCCTCAACCTCCCAGGCTCAAGTGATCCTCGTGCCTCAGCCTCCTGTGTAGTTGGGAGTACAGGTGTGCACCACCATGCCTGGCTAGTTTTTGTATTTTCTTTTGTAGACACAGGGTTTCACAATGTTGCCCAGGTTGGTCTGGAACTCCTGGGCTTAGGGAATCTGCCTGCCTTGGTCCACAAAGTGTTAGGATAACAGGCATGAGCCACTGCACCCGGCCAGTTTATTTTTAATAATGTCCATGTTTAACAACTGACTTGGAAAGTAGCACAACATGGCCTTCTGGTTAAATGCTTCATGTTCACTTTTAAAATGTTTTTAGTTCTGTTGTTCATATGTGCCCAAGTCCATCTTGGGCTGCTAAGGTTAGAACTGAGGTGGGTTTCTGAGGGTTGACCTAGAATGAATAAAGCCAGAGGAAATGTCTAAACACAGAGATGCCAGACAGAGGACTTTGAAGAGTAAAATCAAGAAGCACCATCTGTAGATAAGGGCAGTAGTTGAGTTGCATCTACGGCTGAAGACCAGGAACCAAATTAAAGGACAGAAACTGGGTGCATGTAAGCATAAAGGAGTACCTCAGGAGTAATGGCCAGAGTCGTATAAGTAAATAGATGAGCATCATTGCCCAATTCCAGCCGCTTATATACACAGTGCCAGCAAAATTTGCTAGCTCAAGAATTACTTATGCTTTATCATTTTCAGTGCATTTTAAAATTTTCTTTAGATCATTTATCACTTTAGAGAAGAAAGTAGAAATTTACATTGGAATTATGAGCCTAAAGATCTATGTGACAGATCTTTAAATTCTGTGACTTCTCCTTGTCAAAGGTTTTTGTGATCTTCTTACTATTTCTGATTATTTTGATAGAATAACTTTTATAGAAAGGAGTATAAGGAGGTTTTGGGGAGATTAGGTTCCACTATGCAGCCTAGAAACCCAAAGGGGAGATGGAAACCCTCATTCTCAAGATTCCCTCAAACTGTCAGGTTGAGTCCCTGAACCGTGTCAAAGGAGAAAACAAAACAAAACAAAAAAACACAACAAAAACGTGTTATTCTAAACCAGAGTAGGGGTCTCAAGGTGGAAGGAGAGGGGAAAGCAAGAATAGAGGGGGAGATAAGGGGAAGGACATAGAACTTAGCGCTTTAGGGATTAAAAAAAATCAATTAATAGGTAATCAGTAGCATTTACTGAGCAGACATTGTTTGCAGAAGGTGAAAAGGACAGAGGGGGAGAAATGGATAAAAGAAAGAAAGAAAAGCAAGAAGGGAAGAAAAGGTAGCGAGGAAGGAAGGATAAAAGGAAAGAAGAAAAGAAAGGTGAGAGTGAAACAAATTTTGATTATTTAGTCTGTGCTTTCTGTTATGTTAACTCAATGAAGTGAATATGATTATTTACTACAAGAACATTGGTTAGAGGCAGAGGGAGAATTAATTAAAAAGAATAATCACAAACAAACTTCCTATCAAATATAGAGAATAAAACACACCTATGAAGACAATGAGAATGCTTGCAAGGAAATAAGTATAATGTGGGAAGGGAGTCTGATCAATTCTCACAACCTTTCTGTATTAGTGAGAATATCAGAATATGCTTTGATATGCTATGATAACAGATGTCACAAAAATGCTAACATCAAATTCAAGTTCACTGCAGGTCAAGGTAACTCAGCAACTTTCCTCTATATAGCAACTCTGATGCACCTTCTGCAACGTGGGACCTCCTCGGTTGGTGCAGCAGGGGACCAGGGCTCTGGAGAGTCTTGTGCTGTACTTGAATGCACTGGCTCAGAAGTGACACATGTCACTTTGGCATTACAGCCCTTTGGCTAGTGACATGGCCCTGCCTCAGTGCAAAGAGAAAGGGAGTCTTACCCTTTTATGTGCCCAGAAGGAGAGAAAAACCAGATGTAAATGCTCAGTAGGTGTCTCTACCACACTTTTCTGCAGGAAAAATACCTATTAGAAATGCTCTAAAACTGCCAAGCAGGGAGTATGTAAATTGTGACATACATTCTACAGTAATGCAAATATTTCATATTTTCAGTCAAGATAGAAAACACAAGCAAAGAAAAAGACTACAAACAATTTATTATCATTATCAGATTCAATGAATCTGAACCTTTCTGCTCACTTCACCCACGAACACAGTACACACCAAATCATAGAAGAGAGGAGCTAGGGAGAGTCAGAGAAGTGGAAGTAAGAATCTGAAGGAAGGGAAGGAGGTTGAAGGGATTGGTGCTACAGGAAGCTAGAGGAGAGAAAACATCCTAAGAAGTTGGAAGACTACAGATCAGCTTGGCTAAAGGGGATTCTGGGGACACAGGTACTAGATGTAAGGTATGTGGGGACAGTCAGAGAGGGGAGACAGGAGACAGTTAAATCCTCAATAAGGAGATGTAATCACTGAAAATGAGTGCAGGAGTTCATTCAGAAGAGGAGAGTGCTACAAAGTGGTAGGGTCTTGCACCAGAGGATCAAATAGTGTTTATCAGTACAGTACTGTACCATGCTCATTTAAACATGCGAGAAGGACTCAGAGATATTTGGGAGAAATTTGACTACCAATTTACACACTTTAATGGCCTCCCAGTGCACTTAGACAAAAATATAATCTCTTTAGCTGGCCTACCAGAACTTGAGTTGTCTGGTCCCAGCCTCTAAATTTCCATCTCCTGGGACTCCCAACTTAGTTTCCTATATTCAAGCTATACAGGCTTCTGTAAATACTTACATCTCATCTGAAGATCTTCACTCATGCTATCTCTCTGCTAGGATCCCCCTTTTGTAATTTCTTTCCTAGCTAATTCCAGCTCACCTCTCATATCTTGGTTGTAATTTCATTTCCTCTAAAAGCCCCTCCTTGATTTCTGAACATTAGTTAGTTCTTTTCATCATTCCCTTGTAACTGGATCACAGGAGGTACTCAGTGAATACATGTTGGCATTCCAGGTTAAGTTGATCACTTCCTATTTAATATTTCAACAAGATGATTTTGTAGTTAGTGTTTCAATGGCACTTTTTCTTTGTTCTTTTATAGTATGTATTGCATTGTACTGGAATATTTGTTAACTTGTCTATCTCTCCCACTAGACTGAGAGTTCCTCAAGGGTATGGATAAGGGTATATTTTATTTGCTTTTATATTCCCTGTGATTAGCACAGAGCCAAGCATATAGCAAGGGCCAAACATTTGTTAGTTGTTGTGATAGCTAAACTGTAGAATTTAAGGAATTCTGTTATTTAATAATGGTCAGATAATTTGTCTGTTTGAATACATGTTTTGTCTGGCCAACAGTCAGCCAGTGATGGTCTCACTCAATCCTAATAATCTTGGCAAGAAAGAAAGGAGAGAGCCCTATGAATTCCAATGTTCAAAACATTCAGAAGGGAGTATCACTCAGAAAGGAGACTTTTGACCCATTCTAAGTAAAGTATGCAGCAATCTGTACATGTAGTCCTAGTGCACTGTGGTCTGTAAAGTAGAGAAGTATCAGACCACCCTGCAGGGTAATGCGCGGTTTGCCCAGTAAATATTTTCACTTTTCTTCTGTTGAAAGTGCATATCCTGGATTATGATCCACGCAGGTCTGGAGAAAACTCAGACCTTGTTTATTTTCCCTCTGTAAGCAGTGTTTTATTTTTCCTTGTCTTAGCCTGTTTGGGCTACTATAACAGAATTCCATAGGCTGGATGGCGTACGAACAATAAAAATTTATTTCTCACAGTTCTGGAGGTTGGGAAGTCCAAAATCAAGGTACCAGCAGATTTGGTGTCTGTGAGGGCCCACTTCATAACTCACAGGTGGTGGTCTTCTCACTATGTCCTCACATGGTACAAGGGGTAAAGGAGCTCTCTGAGATCCTTTTTATAAGGACAGTAATCCCATTCATGAGGGCTCCACCCTCATGACCTAATCACCTCCCAAACATTCCACATCATAATATCATCACATTGGTGATTACATTTTAACAGGTGAATTTACGGGGACACAAATATTCAGCCAATTATATTTCTCATCATTTTAATTTTCAGGCTCAAAAGAACTGGGGAAATGACAAAAGGCAGAGATAGAGTATAAGAAAGAGACTCTGCCAGTCTCACTTCAATTCTGCAAGCACTTTGTTCAGCAACCACAAAAGGAAACAAGAAGTATATGCATCGATACAATCTGTTGGGAGGGAGAAGAGTAGCATACAAAGAGTCTGCAAATGAATGCCATGGTTGGAAGTATAGTCATACGCTGCATAACAATGTTTGGTCAATGCCACACCACATATATGATGGTGGTCTCATATGATTATAATAGTATACTTTGACTGTTCATTTATAAATGCTTAGATAAGTTTAGATACACAAATATCATTGTAGTATAATTGCCCACAGTATTCAGTACAGTACCACGATGCTGTACAAGTTTGTAGCATAGGAGCAATAGGCTATAGTGTATAGCCTAGGTGTGTAGTAGTCTATACTATCTTAGGTTTGTGTTAGTACACTCTATGACATGTGCATGATGATTACATTGCCCAAGAACACATTTATCTGAATGTATCTGCATCATTAAGCAATGCATGACTGTATACAGTGAGTGTCGTACAATATGCACCTACCAGCATGTGCAAAGAAGGATGATTTGGGAAAGTAAAAGCTCATATCTACTTGGGAAGAGAAAAAGCGTCATGAGACTTTTAGGCCAAGAGCCACTGACTGAGGTTATTAAAGAAGAATGGGACTGAGTCAGTCTGTCTCCTTACTCAGTGTAGTATGCTGTTTTCGGTCTGAACAAAACTTGTAAAGGAGGCCATAAAATGGTCAAACTAATGACATTCAGAAATCAGCTGGGGTAGGGAGTGGAGGATATGGCAAGGTTAGTAACAGCATCTTTCTTCGCTTTGTCAGAAAACAAGAACATCTTCCACTGTTATGTTTCATGGTTCTTGGCTGCCTTTCTTCCAGATCTTGAAGATTTAAAAATTGTCCTGCAGTGAACAAGTCCTTGATTAGCTTTTTAATCCTAATCCAAATACAATTTTAATTCTAAAGAAATGCTGTTGGAAGAGGATAACAGAGGCTATTTTGGAGATGAATCAAAATGGGCTTGGCATTATTGCCTTTGGGAGCAGAAGTCTGATTATGCTTCAGAAAGTTTATTTCCAGATTTTAGTTCCAGGGTGGAACCAACTTACTCCACTTCTTATTTTGCAGCTTCGTTTGTCATGCATAGTAAATATGCACACTTTACTTCTCACTTCCTTTACTTACTCCTTATTTGACCTTTATTGCTGATGAACCTGATGACTTCAAATGTCAAACAGATGGAGGTGGAAGAGTAAGCTCATCCAGATGTTTGCTATGTAAGAAATCACTTAAATATACTTTTTAGGCATAGAATCTCAATTAAGAGAATAATTTTTGTTACAACTGTGATGCTTTTCAATCTGACCAACTTCAAGTAGGTGCTCAGTAAATATATGTTGATAGAAATATTAAGCAAATATTTTTTTTAATTTGGTGTTTTTTATTTTATTTTATGTATTTATTTATTTTTAAATTATACGTTAAGTTCTGGGATAATGTGCAGAACATGCAGGTTTGTTACATAGGTATACATGTGCAATGGTGGTTTGCTGCACCCATCAACCCATCATCTACGTTAGGTATTTCTCCTAATGCTGTCCCTCCCCTAGCCCCCCATACCTGGGCAGATCCCAGTGTGTGATGCTCCCCTCCCTGTGTCCATGTGTTCTCATTGCTAAACTCCCACTTATGAGTGAGAACATGCGGTGTTTGTGTTTGGTTTTTCTGTTCCTGTGTTAGTTTGCTGACTTAAGAGGATACAGACTTGAGGTATAATTTGTCTTAGTCAGTTTTGTGTTGCTATAACAGAATACCTGAGACTAGGTAATTTATAAAAATAAAGTTTATTTGGCTCATGATTCTGGAGCTGGAAAGTCCAAGATTGGGCAGCCCATATGATGAGGGTTGCACACTTCTTCAATTTATGGCAGAAAGTGGAAAGGGAAGCAGGTGTGTCCAAAGAGACATGCAGGAGAGGTTGGAGTCACTGCTCTCTCAGGAACTAATTCATTCTCTAGAGAGTGAGAACTCACTTAACTCTTGCAAGAGGGCATTAATCTATTCACCCATGAAACAAACACCCTCCAGTAGACTCCACCATTTAACACTGCCATATTGGGAATCAAATTTCAACATGAGTTTTGGCAGGGGAAAACCACTCCAAATCATGGCACAATTCATTCACATGGTCAACACTATCCGATAGGGGTTACGTATGGTGTAATTAAGGATTATTTAGACAGAGGAGACATATTCGTTCACTGATGACCTTTTCCTGCAATCTTTCTGTTTATGACAAATGAATCTTGATGTGTTGGTAGAGAGTCTGGGTCACAGCTAATCATATGTTTAGCATGCTATGGCAGCTGTGTAAAGAATGAAAAGCAAACAAAACAATGTAAAGAGCTATAGAAGACAAGTATAATATATATTATTTCATTAAAAATGTATGTAAAAATCATTACAGTCACAATGAAAAAAACTGGGACAAGATTTGCAACAAGTTTTGATAAGAAATGGTTAATCTGCAATAATAAGATGGCCCACTAGAAGCAATGGTGCTCGGAGTCTCCCATTGAAAAAACTGTAACAATCATGTGACTCCTTCACCAGCAACAAAGGGATCAAGGTTCTCTGAACAAAATTGACTAGAAGGCTGGCATGACCCACTGAAAGAAGGAAGACCAGTGTGGTACAGCAGCCCACCTGAGAGCCACACAGGGCAGGGATGCCCTTTTCCCCCAGCCAAGGAAGGAGGTAAGTGAGCCCACTACACAGCCAAAGAAACTGCTTTTTCCATGGAACTGTGCAACCCACAGATTGGAAGATTCCACTCACGAACTCACGCCACTGAAGCCTAGTGTTCCAACCCTGGAACATGCAGATTCTTACAGCCTCTCAGCTGGAATCTGCTTAAGCCTACTGAACTCCCAGAGGGAGGGGCGACCAGCACCAGCTTTGGCTGCCTGCTGTCTAAGCCATTTGAGCTGTTTAGGGGAGGGGCAGCAGCCAGCAAAAAACAACCTGATGGAGCTGAAAAACACAGCATGAGAACTTCGTGAAGCATACACAAGTATCAACAGCTGAATCGACCAAGTGGAAAAAAAATCAGAGTTTGAAGACAACGTTACTGACATAAGACATGCAGACAAGAATAGAGAAAAAAGAATGAAAAGGAATGAACAAAACCTCCAAGAAATATGAAACTTCATAAAAAGACTGAATCTATGATTGATTGGAGTACAAGAAGGAGACAGGGAGAATGGAAACAAGCTAGAAAACACACTTCAGGATATTATCCGGAACTTCCTCAACCTAGCAAGGCAGGCCAACACACAAATTCAGGAAATACAGAGAACATCATTAAGATACTCCACGAGATCAATCACAAGATACATAATCATCAGATTCTCCAAGGTTGAAATGAAGGAAAAACTGTTCAGGGCAGCCAGAGAGAAAGGCAGGTCACCTACAAAGGGAAGCCCATTAGACTAACAGTAGACTCTTGGCAAAAACTCTACAAGCCAGAAGAGATTGGGGACCAATATTCAACATTCTTAAAGAAAAGAATTTTCAACCCAGAATTTCATGTCCAGCCAAACTAAGCTTCATAAGAGAAGGAGAAATAAAATCCTTTATAGACAAGCAAATGCTGAGGGATTTTTTTTTTCCACCAGGCCTGCCCTGCAAGAGGTCCTGAAAGAAGCACTAAATATAGAAAGGAAAAACCGGTACCAGCCACTGCAAAAACACACCAAAATATAATGACAAATGACACTCTGAAGGAACTGCATCAATTAGTGTGCAAAATAACCAAATAGCATCATGATGACAGGATCAAATTTACACATAACAATACTAAACTTAAACGTAAATGGGCTAAATGCCCCAATTAAAAGGCACAGACTGGCAAACTGGATAAAGAGTCAAGACCCATTGGTGTGCTGTATTCAGGAGACCCATCTTATGTGTAAAGACACTCACAGGCTCAAAATAAAGGGATAGAGGAAAAATTACAAAGCAAATGGAAGGCAAAAAAAAAAAAAAAAGCAGAGGTTGCAATACTAGTCTCTGACAAAACATACTTTAAACCAGCAAAGATCAAAAAAGACAAAGAAGGGCATTACATAATGGTAAAGGGAAAAATTCAACAAGAAGACCTAACTATTCTGAATATACATGCACCCAATACAGGAGCACTCAGATTCATAAAACAAGTTCTTAGAGATGTACAAAGAGACTTAGACTCCCACACAATAATAGTGGTAACCCACTGTCAGTATTAACACCCACTGTCAATATTAGACAGATCAATGAGACAGAAAATTAACAAGGATATTCAGGACTTGAGCTCAGCTCTGCACCAAGTGGACCAGTAGACATCTACAGAATGCTCTACTTCAAATCAACAGAATATGCATTCTTCTCTGTGCCACATGGCACTTATTCTAAAATTGACCATATAATTGGAAGTAAAACACTCCTCAGCAACTGCAAAAGAACTGAAATCGTAACAGTCTCTCAGACCACAGTCCAATCAAACTAAAACTCAGGATTAAGAAACTCACTCAAAACCACACAATTTCATGGAAATTGAACAACCTGCTTTGGAATGACTCCTGGGTAAATAAAGAAATTAAGGCAGAAATGAAGAAGTTCTTTGAAAGCAATGAGAACAAAGAAACAACATACCAGAATCACTGAAACACAGCTAAAGCAGTGTTAAGAGGGAAATTTACGGGACTAAATGCCCACATCAGACAGCTAGAAAGATCTCAGATTGATACCGTAACATCACAGTTAAAAGAGCTAGAGAGGCAAGAGGAAGCTAATCCAAAAGCTAGCAGAAGACAAGAAGTAATTAAGATCAGAAAAGAATTGAAGGAGATAGAGAAATGAAAAACTCTCAAAAAAATCAATGAATCCAGGAGCTTGGTATT
Source organism: Homo sapiens (assembly GCF_000001405.40). NCBI lineage: Eukaryota > Metazoa > Chordata > Mammalia > Primates > Hominidae > Homo > Homo sapiens. The sequence goes on along the minus strand of NC_000011.10, from coordinate 26,981,838 downwards.
AAAAAAATTAACAACATAGATAGACCACTAGCTAAACTAATAAAAGAGAAAAGAGAGAAGAATCAAATAAACACAGTAAAAAAATTATAAATGGTACATCACAACTGACCCCAAAGAAATACAAACTACCATCAGAGAATACTATAAACACCTCTACAAAAATAAACTAGAAAATCTAGAAGAAATGTATCAATTCCTGGACACATACATCCTTGATAGACTAAACCAGGAAGAAGTTGAATCCCCGAATAGACAAACAACAAGCTCTGAAGTTGAGGCAGTAATTAATGGCCTACCAACCAAAAAAAGCCCAGGACCAGACAGATTCAGAGCCGAATTCTACCAGAAATACAAAGAGGAGCTGGTACCATTGCTTCTATTCCAAACCATTAAAAAGGAGGGACTCCTCCCTAACTCATTTTATGAAGCCAGCATCATTCTGATACCAAAACTGGGAAGAGAAACAACAATAAAAGAAAACTTCAGGCCAATATCCGTGATGAACATTGATGTGAAAATCTTCAATAAAATACTGGCAAACCAAGTCCAGCTGCACATCAAAAAACTTATCCACCACGATCAAGTCAGCTTCATTCCTGGGATGCAAGACTGGTTCAACATACACAAATCAATAAATGTAATCCATCACATAAAAAGAACCAAAGACAAAAACAACATTATTATCTCAATAGATGCAGAAAAGGCCTTTGATAAAATTCAACATCCCTTCATATTAAAAACTCTCCATAAACTAGGTATTGATGGAATGTATCTCAAAATAATAAGAGCTATTTATGACAAAACCACAGCCAATATCATACTGAATAGGCAAAAGCTGGAAGCATTCCCTTTGAAAACTGGTACAAGACAAGGGTGCCCTCTCTCACCATTGCCATTCAACACAGTACTGGATGTTGTGGCCAGGGCAATCAGGCAAGAGAAAGAAATAAAGGATATTCAAATAAGAAGAGAGGAAGTCAAATTTTCTCTGTTTGCAGATGACAAGATTTTATATTCAGAAAACCCCATCATCTCAGCCCAAAAACTTCTTGAGCTGATAAGCAACTTCAGCAAAGTCTCAGGATACAAAATCAATGTGCAAAAATCACAAGCATTCCTTTACATCAACAATAGGCAAGCACAGAACCAAATCATGAATGAACTCCCATTCACGATTGCTACAAAAAGAATAAAATACCTAGGAATACAGCTAACAAGGGATGTGAAGGACTTCTTCAAGGAGATCTATAAACCACTGCTCAAGGAAATAAGAGAGGACACAAACAAACGGAAAAACATTCCATCCTCATGGGTAAGAAGAATCAATATTGTGAAAATGGCCATACTGCCCAAAGTAATTTATGGATCCAGTGCTATTCCCATCAAACTACCATTGACTTTCTTCACAGAATTAGAAAAAAAAACTTTTTAAAATTTCATATGGAATCAAAGAAGACCCCATACAGCCAAGATAATCCTAATCAAAAAGAACAAAGCTGGAGGCATCATGCTACCTGACTTCAAACTATACTACAAGGCTACAGTAATCAAAACAGCATGGTACTGGTACCAAAGCACACATATAGACCAATGGAGCAGAACAGAGAGCTCAGAAATAACACCACATATCTACAGCCATCTGATCTTTGACAAACCTGACAAAAGCAAGCAATGGGGAAAAGATCTCCTATTCAGTAAATGGTACTGGGAAAATTTGCTAGCCATATGCAGAAAACTGAAACCAGACCCCTTCCTTACATCTTATACAAAAATTAACTCAAGATGAATTAAAGTCTTAAATGTAAAACCCAAAACCATAAAATCCCTAGAAGAAAACCTAGGCAATACCATTCAGGACATAGGCATGGGCAAAGTCTTCATGACAAAAATGCCAAAACCAATAGCAACAAAAGCCAAAATTAACAAATGGGATCTAATTAAGCTAAAGAGCTTCTTCACAGCAAAAGAAACTATTGTCAGAGTGGACAGGAAACCTACAGAATGGGAGAAAATTTTTGCAATCAACCCATGTGACAAAGGTCTAATATCACGAATTTACAAGGAAGTTAAACATATTTATAAGAAAAAACAACCCTATCAAAAAATGGTCAAAGGATATGAACAGACACTTCTCAAAAGAAGACATTTATGTGGCCAACAAACATATGAAAAAAATCTCAACATTGCTGATCATCAGAGAAATGCAAATCAAAACCACAATAAGATACCATCTCATGCCACTCAGAATGGTGATTATTAAAAAGTCGGGAAACAACAGATGCTGGTGAGGATATGGAGAAATAGGAATGCTTTAACACTGTCGATGGGAATATAAGTCAGTTCAACCATTGTGGAAGACAGTATGGCAATTCCTTAAAGATCTAGAATCAGAAATACCATCTGATCCAGCAATCTCCTTACCAGGTATATATACCTAAAGGAATATAAGTCATTCTTTTATAAAGACACATCTACATGTAGGTTTACTGCAGCACTATTCACAACAGCAAAGACATGGAACCAACCAAAATGCCCATTAATGTTAGACTGGATAAAGAAAATGTGGTACATATACACCATGGAATACTATGCAGCCATAAAAAGGAATGAGATTTTGTCCTTTGCAGGGACATGGATAAAGCTGGAAGCCATCATCCTCAGCAAACTAATACAGGAACAGAAAACCAAACACTGCATGTTCTCACTCATAAGTGGGAGTTTAACAATAAGAACACATGGACACAGGAGAGGGCAACAACACACACCAAGGCCTCTTTGGGGGTTGGGGTGACGGGAGGGAACTTAAAGGATGGGTTAATAGGTGCAGCAAACCACCATGGCCCACATATACCTGTGCAACAAACCAGCATGTTCTGCACATATATCGTGTTTTTTTTTTTTTCTTTTGAAAGAAATAAAGGAAAAACAAATCCGGAAAAACAAATCCAAAAAAAACCAGAAATGGTTAATCTGCTTAGAGTAAACTGCTCACTGAAACTGGTAAGAAAAGCATAGCACCTCAAAAGATAAATGAGCAAGAAACATAAATAAGCAGATTTCAGTAGAGAAAATTACATACCTATTTAACATATAGCTTTAAAAGTAATAAAAAGCCAAAAATAAAAAAAAAAGATTTTTTTTCTTATATTTTAGTGACAAGAAATATATATCCTAACACCATATGGACACAGAGAAACAAACATTCTTATGTATTGGAGGTGAGGCTATAAATCTGTTTGATCTTTCTGCAAAGCAATATGGTTATTTGTGTCAGGAGATTTTAAAATGTTCATATCATGGAATATTATGCAGCCATAAAAAGAATGAGCTCATGTTCTTTGCAGGGACATGGATGAAGCTGGAAACCATCATTGTCAGCAAACTAACACAGGAACAGAAAACCGAGCACCGCATGTTCTCACTCATTCAGTGGGAGCTGAGGAATAAGAACACATGGACACAGGAAGGGGAACATCACACACTGGGCCTGTCGTGGGGTGGGGGGAAAGGGGAGGAAGAGCATTAGGACAAATACCTAATGCATGCGGGGCTTAAAACCTAGACGACAGGTTGATAGGTGCAGCAAAGCACCATGACACATGTTTATCTATGTAACAAACCTGCACGTTCAGCACATGTATCCCAGAACTTGAAGTAAATTTTTTTAATAAGTTCATTTCCTTTGGCCCAGTAATTTTACTTCTAGAATATATGCCAGAGAAATAAACAGAAATGCATGAAAAATATTGTGAGCAAAGATGTTCATTGCTGCATTGTTTCTCAGAATAGAAACCTGGAAACAAGCAAGATGCCTCAAATAGAAAACAAACAAACAAACAAACAAACCAAAACTTAATTACAGGGTTCCATGTGTTACAAATATTTTGCAAATTTTGAAAATTAAATTTAAAAATGTTTTTAGCAAGATGAGAAATGATTATGATACAATACTGTATGAAATACGCTTAATACAGGAAACAACAACAAAAGCAAGAATACAAAGCCAAGACAGCAGTATGACAAAATGTAGTATGCTTACTTCTATGGAGAGATTATAGGCAATACGGATATTCTTCTTTGATCTGGTCTTTAATTTGGTGTGCATTCCCCATATTTTCCACAATGGGATATATTATAAATTTTAGGAAGAAAAAAGAAACAACACAAAAGGAAATAGGGCCGGGCCCGGTGGCTCACGCCTGTAGTCCCAGCACTTTGGGAGGCCGAGGCGGGCGGATCACGAGGTCAGGGGATCGAGACCATCCTGGCTAACACACTGAAACCCCATCTCTACTAAAAATACAAAAAAAAAAAAAAAAAAAAGAAAAAGAAAAAGAAAAAAAAATTAGCCGGGCGCCTGTAGTCCCAGCTACTGGAGAGGCTGAAGCAGGAGAATGGAGTGAACCCGGGAGGCGGAGCTTGACGTGAGCGGAGATAGCGCCACAGCCTGGGCGGAGAGAAAACGTCTCAGTTCAGGTCCTCTGTAGGGACATGGATGAAGCTGGAAACTATCATTCTCAGCAAACTATCGCAAGGACAAAAAACAAAACACCGCATGTTCTTACTCATAGGTGGGAACTGAACAATGAGAACACTTGGACACAGGAAGGGGAACATCACACACCGGAGACTGTTGTGGGGTGGGGGTAAGGGGGAGGGATAGCATTAGGAGATATACCTAATGTAAATGACGAGTTAATGGGTACAGCACACCAACATGGCACATGTATACATATGTAACAAACCTGCACATTGTGCACATGTACCCTAGAACTTAAAGTAGAATAATAATAATAGTAATAATAAAAGGAAATGGTACAGAGGGGCAGAAAAATTTTGGCCACATTCTAAAAGCATTCTCCTCTTCTGGCTTCTGACTTCACATTGTTTAGGCAGAAACTCCCCTGACATCCTGGTCCTGGGACTGCAAACTGCAGACTGTCATTTGTATTAGTCTTCTAAACCATTTCGCTCTGTAGACAATACACAAGCTCTTTGGATTCAGGAGACTCATAAATTCATTCTGTAGTCGAAATACAATTAGCATGTTCCATTACTGTGGACTTGGAAGTTAAGTTTCTGGTTTTTCATGAGCTGGGATTTTTATTACTAGCAATGGAGTTTGGTTGGAAGGCCAGGTGAGGAAAGATGTAATCATTATGCGTTGTAGCATGTTATTTTGTGATAAAGCCTCTCTATATGAAGCTAGCTGTGTCAGAGGCGTTCGAACTAGCGTGACTCCATGTTGAATAGGGACTGGGTAAGCTGACCTGCTGGCTGCATTCCCAGGAGGCTAGGCATTCGTAGCCACAAGATGTTTATGGTTAAGGGAGCAGATTAGTAATGTTTGCTAAAGAGACCCAGGACTTCATAGACCCAGGAAATATCCTGATGTCCTGATACCTCAAGAACAAAAGCATTTTTAGTTTAAGAATAAGTTTTGCTTAAAGATAATGTAGATTCTTGCAAAAGTCAGCAGTTACACAAAGGTTAACAATCCTATGTCGGGAGGCCTTGTACTAGATGACATCTCCCCCATTTTTTTTTTTTTGCGTTGTTATCTTATATATAAACAAGCATCGTACCTAAGGGGGGCTTGTTCCTCCTTTTGCTGTAAGGAACACCCTGCTCTGTCTATGGAGTAGCCATTCTTTTGTTTTCTTTACTTCTTTAATAAACTTGCTTTCACTTTACTCTGTGGACTTAACCTTGAATTCTTTCTTGTGTGAGATCCAAGAACCCTTTTTGGGGTCTGGATTGGGCGCCCCTTTCTGGTAACAGAGAGCTAACCAGAAACTCTAAAATCCAGGAAGTATAGTCGACTGAAATGATCCAGAACAATTGGATTTAAATTTATTTTCCTTTCTCATTTTCAAGTCCCTTGTATATTTATTAAGACAATTACTGCTTCCCCAGATTTTGCCTCACACCATCACATATATGGAGGGGATTTCTATTAGGTAGTGTGAAAGGAAGATAAAATCTTGGGACCCTAAACTCACTATGCCAAGGGAAAAGTTAAGCTTGGGGACTGAGTCATGGAAGAAAAACTACCTTCCTTTTGTTCCGAAATAGATAGCAGCAAAATATTAATAGATGGCTACATAGCTCCTCAGGTGGCCTCTTTCACCCTGACAATGTTAGTTAACAGCTTACGTTCACAGGGGAGGGACAAAGATGAGACTAGAAATCATCCCTCCACCCACCCTAAGATGGACGCACATTTAACTTCTACTACTGTGTGTTTGCTTTATCTTATGTTAAATGCAGATTTGCTGAGCATGGGACAAATGGATAATTGACTCTTCCTCTTTCCCTTTCTGGACACCTTTTCCCCTTTAAATATTGAAGTCTTCAAAATCCTCTTTTGAAAAATCACAAGCCACAGATCCCACTGTAACTTATGTCTCTTTTTCTTAGGTGTGTCCTCAACCTTGGCAAAATAAACCTCTAATTTATTATAAATACATATATGTAAAATAAATCTTTAATTGATTGAGACCTGTCTCAGACATTTTTTGGTTTACAGTAGCTTCATAGCCTAATTTGTATCTGGCAATGTACATGAGAAAAAATTTTAAGATCCACATCTCTAGATACTTACCACATTTTTTCCATTCATTTCTTTTAATATAAATAAAGTTTTCCCTCAGGGCTGTTTAAACCACGTTTGAAGATGTAAGATTGTCCACATGCTAATGTTATTGTAAAGAAAATAGAGGAAACGGTATAATTTCCCTTTCTCAAAAATGAAAAATAAAGAGGACAGGTTTTAATAGAATTTAATGACAGAATGTTCCTTGGTCCTAACATTAATCATGGAATATAACTTTTGAAATTTTGTTTTCAAAGCTGTAGAAAAAATAAAAATGAAGTTTGGATTTTTAAAATGTTTGAAAACAGAGCATGTACTACTGGGGCAGTCTGCCTAGTAGCCAAGTAACTGATGGTGTTTAGAAAGACTCAATAATCTCTAAGATAGAGAACACTGTTTTTAGTTTTTCCCCAAAGTAGATCAGTGTCTTGCACAAACTGACAACAAATTATAATTTATGAATAGTGGAAAGACTGGTAATTTATAATAACACTGTTGTGGCAGTATAGTAATATAATAGGTCTGCAAATATTTGATATAGAGAGAACACAAGATAAAAGTGTTCTCAGTTTTTCTTAGATTCTATTAGTATAAGGAATAGCAGCCACTTCACTGCTGGGTATGTGGTAGAGGTCCATGCACATGTTTGGTTAAGATGAAATGGGGCTTTCTGCCCAGGATATAATCTTTCTTTTGTCTCTTCCTCAAATGGTTTATTGATGATAGCTTTATCTCCGAAATGGAAGCCAAATGGAAAAGGACAAAATGATCTCAAGAGAAAAAAGAACTCTGTCAAGGATAATATAAGCAAGTTTAAAAACAATCATATATGACTTGTCATTAAAAAATTTGCTTTCCACTTGTAGAATAATTTTTTAATGATCCCTAATTAGAGGAAAATAGTTCTTATTTTTAACCTTGTGAGCTCTCCTTGACTCAGCTATGGCTGCATTCCAAAGCTGCTTGAAGGGAAGAAAGGGATTAGCTGTGGAATGGTGAATTCACTGTAGTTTCCACTCATGGATATAAACTTTAATAGCTGTCAGGAAAAACAAAAAGTAAGCATTCTGGTGTTACATGTATATGAAACCAAACATCAGGCTTTTTGGATTCATCGGAATTGTAAGTGCTTCGCAATGTTTAGGTTAATATTTCTGTGTTTTGTTCTTACTTTAGATATTTTAATATGTTAAAATTCTGGCCTTAGAATCCTAAATAAGAAGAGGTTTCTAAGTATTTTAATTTGGGGAAGAACACCTGTTGATTGAGAAATGTCATCCCAAATAACCAAAACCAAAATACCATGAGAATATATGAACCCAAATATTATAGTTAAGACATTAAAAAATCATATTGATGCACTTCTGGAAAAGATGAATAACAGACATTGACTGTACCTTCCAACCTGAAATAACTAAAATACCAGACACAATATATTAAACAACAGTTTTCAAGTCATTGGCATTAGACAATGGAGGACAGTGACTCCTGGGAGATAGGAAACCAGCCCTGTGTAGGGAAGGGGAGCCCAGGTGGAGTCCAGTGGCCTCCTTGAATTGAGAAAATGGGGTTGAAAATCAAAATACCAGCAAACATTTTTGTAAACTGACAAGCTGTTTCTAAAATTCATGTGGAAATGCAAAAGATCTAGTATAGTTAAAATAACTTTGAGAAAGATGAATACATTTGGATAACTTGTACTATGTCACTTGAAGATGCATTAAAAGCTTCAGTTATCTAAACAGTGCTATATTGGCATCAAAATAGAGAAAAAGATCAATGAAAAAGAACAGAGAATCCAGAAGTAGACCTGCACATTCATCATTAATTGATTTTTAACAAAGTTGCAAAAGTAATTCAATGGAAAAATAAGTTTTTCAACAAGTGGAATTGCAATACAAGTTGAGCATCCTTAATCATAAAATCCAAAATCTGAAATGCTCCAAAATCAGAAAGTTTTTTAGTTCTCACATGATGCCACAGGTGGAAAATTCTACACATAAGTACTTAACACAAATGTTTCATGCACAAAATTATTTAAAATATTGTATAAAATCATAGAAAAGACAAAATTGATAAAGGTGACTTGATCAAATTTAAGAACCTTTCTTTGAAAGTCTTTGTTAAGAAAACAAAAAGTTATGGTAAAAATTATTAGCATATCACATATCTGGCAAAGAATTTGCTATCAATATATATGAAGAACACCCAAAATTTGATAATAAGACAGCAAATAATCCAATAAAAATGAGCAAAAGATTTAAACAGACCTGTAATCTAAGAAAATATATGCATATATTGGGAAATATGCATACGAAAAATTTATCAACAATATTAGTCTTATGGATTTGCTCCCTCCAAAACTCATGTGGAAATTCATTCCCCAATGTGCCAATATCGAGAGGTGGTACCTTTGGGCGGTGATTAGGTCATGAGGCCTCTGCCCTCATAAATAGATTATCCATTCATGAATTAATGGAATTATGGGTTAATGAATTAATATGCTTACATAGGAGCAGTACTGGTGGCTTTATAAGAAGAGGATGAGATCAAAGCCTACTTGAGGTAAATTTAAGGAAAAAAAAAAGAGGAAGAGAAATCTGAGCTAACATGCTTAGCTTCTTCACCAAGGGATGGATCCCAAAGACATGGAGAGTCTTCCACCAGCATGAAGGCCCTCACCAGATGTCCCCCCTTGACCTTGGACAGCCTCTGGAACTGTAAAATGTACATTTTGTTTGTTAATGAATTACCCAGTTTTAGGTATTCTGCTATAAGCAATAGAAAATGGACCAAGACAATTAGTCATCTGCAAAATGCAAATTAAAACCATAATGTAATACTACTGTATTACACACTTATAAGCACTTCTAAAATTTTAATATGACAATACTGTCCTTAGAAGGAGTACAGCATTGGAGCAGCTTGAACTCTCATATACTGTGAGCAAAAACGTAAAACTGTACAACCATGTTGGAAAATAGTTTGGTAGTTTAATAAAACTTTAAACATAAATCTACCATATGGTTCTGTCATTGTATTCCTAGATGTGTACCCAAGATAAATGGAAAAGTATGCTCATACATACTGACACACGGATAGTCATAGCAGCTTTATTAGTAATAGCTATAAACAGGAAATAACCCAAATGTTCACCAAGAGGTGCAAAAACAATTGCAGTATGTTTAAAATAGGGAATACTATTCAGCAACAAAAAGAAATGAACTACTGATAATGTCAACAACATGGAAGAATTTTAAAATAATTACACTGAATGAAAGAAGCCAGATAAACAAGAGTACATATTGTATGATTTCATTTATATTTAATTCTAGGAAATTCAAATTAATTTATAGTGATTGCAGGAGGAAACTTCTGGGGATTATGAACATGTTCATTATCTTGATTGTGGTGATGGTTGCACAGATATATAAAATGTGAACCCATATGTCTGTCAAATAACCATATTTTATACTTGAACTGTAGCTTATCACATGTCAATTAAACCTGAATAAAGCTATTAAAATATTATTTCCCCTAGCGTAATATTGTAAATATTTGTTAAGCAATCTTTCTTTTTGTAGTGTAGATGGAAAATCCAGACTTGAAAGACATAGTTTCCCACACTTTGCCTTGGCAAAGCAACTTTCACTTTCTTTTTTAAAAAATTATATATATATATATATTTTTATTATACTTTAAGTTCTAGGGTACATGTGCACAATGTGCAGGTTTGTTACATATGTATACATGTGCCATGTTGGTGTGCTGCACCCATTAACTTGTCATTTACATTAGGTATATCTCCTAATGTTATCCCTCCCCCTTCCCCCCACCCCACAACAGGCCCCGGTGTGTGATGTTCCCCTTCCTGTGTCCAAGTGTTCTCATTGTTCGGTTCCCACCTATGATTGAGAACATGCGGTGTTTGGTTTTTTGTTCTTGCGATAGTTTGCTGAGAATGATGCTTTCCAGCTTCATCCATGTCCCTACAAAGGACATGAACTCATCATTTTTATGGCTGCATAGTATTCCATGGTGTATATGTGCCACATTTTCTTAATCCAGTCTATCATTGTTGGACATTTGGGTTTGCATCGCAAGTCTTTTTTTTTTTTTATTATACTTTAAGTTTTAGGGTACATGTGCACATTGTGCAGGTTAGTTACATATGTATGTGCCATGCTGGTGCGCTGCACCCACTAATGCATCATCTAGCATTAGGTATATCTCCCGATGCTATCCCTCCCCCCTCCCCCCACCCCACAACAGTCCCCAGAGTGTGATATTCCCCTTCCTGTGTCCATGTGATCTCATTGTTCCATTCCCACCTATGAGTGAGAATATGCGGTGTTTGGTTTTTTGTTCTTGCGATAGTTTACTGAGAATGATGATTTCCAATTTCATCCATGTCCCTACAAAGGACATGAACTCATCATTTTTTATGGCTGCATAGTATTCCATGGTGTATATGTGCCACATTTTCTTAATCCAATCTATCATTGTTGGACATTTGGGTTGGTTCAAAGTCTTTGCTATTGTGAATAATGCCGCATAAACATACGTGTGCATGTGTCTTTATAGCAGCATGATTTATAGTCCTTTGGGTATATACCCAGTAATGGGATGGCTGGGTCAAATGGTATTTCCAGTTCTAGATCCCTGAGGCATCGCCACACTGACTTCCACAATGGTTGAACTAGTTTACAGTCCCACCAACAGTGTAAAAGTGTTCCTATTTCTCCACATCCTCTCCAGCACCTGTTGTTTCCTGACTTTTTAATGATTGCCATTCTAACTGGTGTGAGATGGTATCTCATTGTGGTTTTGATTTGCATTTCTCTGATGGCCAGTGATGATGAGAATTTTTTCATGTGTTTTTTGGCTGCATAAATGTCTTCTTTTGAGAAGTGTCTGTTCATGTCCTTCACCCACTTTTTGATGGGGTTGTTTTTTTCTTGTAAATTTGTTTGAGTTCATTGTAGATTCCGGATATTAGCCCTTTGTCAGATGAGTAGGTTGCGAAAATTTTCTCCCATTTCGTAGGTTGCCTGTTCACTCTGATGGTAGTGTCTTTTGCTGTGCAGAAGCTCTTTAGTTTAATTAGATCCCATTTGTCAATTTTGGCTTTTGTTGCCATTGCTTTTGGTGTTTTAGACATGAAGTCCTTGCCCATGCCTATGTCCTGAATGGTAATGCCTAGGTTTTCTTCTAGGGTTTTTATGGTTTTAGGTCTAACATTTAAGTCTTTAATCCATCTTGAATTGAGTTTTGTATAAGGTGTAAAGAAGGGATCCAGTTTCAGCTTTCTACATATGGCTAGCCAGTTTTCCCAGCACCATTTATTAAATAGGGAACCCTTTCCCCATTGCTTGTTTTTCTCAGGTTTGTCAAAGATCAGATAGTTGTAGATATGCGGCATTATTTCTGAGGGCTCTGTTCTGTTCCATTGATCTATATCTCTGTTTTGGTACCAGTACCATGCTGTTTTGGTTACTGTAGCCTTGTAGTATAGTTTGAAGTCAGGTAGTGTGATGCCTCCAGCTTTGTTCTTTCGGCTTAGGATTGACTTGGTGATGCGGGCTCTTTTTTGGTTCCATATGCACTTTAAAGTAGTTTTTTCCAATTCTGTGAAGAAAGTCATTGGTAGCTTGATGGGGATGGCATTGAATCTGTAAATTACCTTGGGCAGTATGGCCATTTTCACGATATTGATTCTTCCTACCCATGAGCATGGAATGTTCTTCCATTTGTTTGTATCCTCTTTTATTTCCTTGAGCAGTGGTTTGTAGTTCTCCTTGAAGAGGTCCTTCACATCCCTTGTAAGTTGGATTCCTAGGTATTTTATTCTCTTTGAAGCAATTGTGAATGGGAGTTCACTCATGATTTGGCTCTCTGTTTGTCTGTTGTTGGTGTATAAGAATGCTTGTGATTTTTGTACATTGATTTTGTATCCTGAGACTTTGCTGAAGTTGCTTATCAGCTTAAGGAGATTTTGGGCTGAGACAATGGGGTTTTCTAGATATACAATCATGTCGTCTGCAAACAGGGACAATTTGACTTCCTCTTTTCCTAATTGAATACCCTTTATTTCCTTCTCCTGCCTAATTGCCCTGGCCAGAACTTCCAACACTATGTTGAATAGGAGTGGTGAGAGAGGGCATCCCTGTCTTGTGCCAGTTTTCAAAGGGAATGCTTCCAGTTTTTGCCCATTCGGTATGATATTGGCTGTGGGTTTGTCATAGATAGCTCTTATTATTTTGAAATACATCCCATCAATACCTAATTTACTGAGAGTTTTTAGCATGAAGGGTTGTTGAATTTTGTCAAAGGCTTTTTCTGCATCTATTGAGATAATCATGTGGTTTTTGTCTTTGGCTCTGTTTATATGCTGGATTACATTTATTGATTTGTGTATATTGAACCAGCCTTGCATCCCAGGGATGAAGCCCACTTGATCATGGTGGATAAGCTTTTTGATGTGCTGCTGGATTCGTTTTGCCAGTATTTTATTGAGGATTTTTGCATCAATGTTCATCAAGGATATTGGTCTAAAATTCTCTTTTTTTGTTGTGTCTCTGCCTGGCTTTGGTATCAGAATGATGCTGGCCTCATAAAATGAGTTAGGGAGGATTCCCTCTTTTTCTATTGAGTGTAATAGTTTCAGAAGGAATGGTACCAGTTCCTCCTTGTACCTCTGGTAGAATTCAGCTGTGAGTCCGTCTGGTCCTGGACTCTTTTTGGTTGGTAAGCTATTGATTATTGCCACAATTTCAGCTCCTGTTATTGGTCTATTCAGAGATTCAACTTCTTCCTGGTTTAGTCTTGGGAGAGTGTATGTGTCGAGGAATTTATCCATTTCTTCTAGATTTTCTGGTTTATTTGCGTAGAGGTGTTTGTAGTATTCTCTGATGGTAGTTTGTATTTCTGTGGGATCGGTGGTGATATCCCCTATATCATTTTTTATTGCGTCTATTTGATTCTTCTCTCTTTTTTTCTTTATTAGTCTTGCTAGCGGTCTATCAATTTTGTTGATCCTTTCAAAAAACCAGCTCCTGGATTCATTAATTTTTTGAAGGGTTTTTTGTGTCTGTATTTCCTTCAGTTCTGCTCTGATTTTAGTTATTTCTTGCCTTCTGCTAGCTTTTGAATGTGTTTGCTCTCGCTTTTCTAGTTCTTTTAATTGTGATGTTAGGGTGTCAATTTTAGATCTTTCCTGCTTTCTCTTGTGGGCACTTAGTGCTATAAATTTCCCTCTACACACTGCTTTGAATGCATCCCAGAGATTCTGGTATGTTGTGTCTTTGTTCTCGTTGGTTTCAAAGAACATCTTTATTTCTGCCTTCATTTTGTTATGTACCCAGTAGTCATTCAGGAGCAGGTTGTTCAGTTTCCATGTAGTTGAGCGGTTTTGAGTGAGATTCTTAATCCTGAGTTCCAGTTTGATTGCACTGTGGTCTGAGAGATAGTTTGTTATAATTTCTGTTCTTTTACTTTTGCTGAGGAGAGCTTTACTTCCCAGTATGTGGTCAATTTTGGAATAGGTGTGGTGTGGTGCTGAAAAAAATGTATATTCTGTTGATTTGGGGTGGAGAGTTCTGTAGATGTCTATGAGGTCCGCTTGGTGCAGAGCTGAGTTCAATTCCTGGGTATCCTTGTTGACTTTCTGTCTCGTTGATCTGTCTAATGTTGACAGTGGGGTGTTAAAGTCTCCCATTATTAATGTGTGGGAGTCTAAGTCTCTTTGTAGGTCTCTCAGGACTTGCTTTATGAATCTTGGTGCTCCTGTATTGGGTGCGTATATATTTAGGATAGTTAGCTCTTCTTGTTGAATTGATCCCTTTACCATTATGTAATGGCCTTCTTTGTCTCTTTTGATCTGTGTTGGTTTAAAGTCTGTTTTATCAGAGACTAGGATTGCAACCCCTGCCTTTTTTTGTTTTCCATTGGCTTGGTAGATCTTCCTCCATCCTTTTATTTTGAGCCTATGTGTGTCTCTGCACGTGAGATGGGTTTCCTGAATACAGCACACTGATGGGTCTTGACTCTTTATCCAATTTGCCAGTCTGTGTCTTTTAATTGGAGCATTTAGCCCATTTACATTTAAAGTTAATATTGTTATGTGTGAATTTGATCCCATCATTATGATGTTAGCTGGTTATTTTGCTCGTTAGTTGATGCAGTTTCTTCCTAGTCTTGATGGTCTTTACATTTTGGCATGATTTTGCAGCGGCTGGTACCGGTTGTTCCTTTCCATGTTTAGTGCTTCCTTCAGGAGCTCTTGTAAGGCAGGCCTGGTGGTGACAAAATCTCTCAGCATTTGCTTGTCTGTAAAGTATTTTATTTCTCCTTCACTTTTGAAGCTTAGTTTGGCTGGATATGAAATTCTGGGTTGAAAATTCTTTTCTTTAAGAATGTTGAATATTGGCCCCCACTCTCTTCTGGCTTGTAGGGTTTCTGCCGAGAGATCCGCTGTTAGTCTGATGGGCTTCCCTTTGAGGGTAACCCAACCTTTCTCTCTGGCTACCCTTAACATTTTTTCCTTCATTTCAACTTTGGTGAATCTGACAATTATGTGTCTTGGAGTTGCTCTTCTCGAGGAGTATCTTTGTGGCGTTCTCTGTATTTCCTGAATCTGAACGTTGGCCTGCCTTGCTAGGTTGGGGAAGTTCTCCTGGATAATATCCTGCAGAGTGTTTTCCAACTTGGTTCCATTCTCCCCATCACTTTCAGTGACACCAATCAGATGTAGATTTGGTCTTTTCACATAGTCCCATATTTCTTGGAGGCTTTGCTCATTTCTTTTTATTCTTTTTTCTCTAAACTTCCCTTCTCGCTTCATTTCATTCATTTCATCTTCCATTGCTGATACCCTTACTTCCAGTTGATCGCATTGGCTCCTGAGGCTTCTGCATTCTTCACGTAGTTCTCGAGCCTTGGTTTTCAGCTCCATCAGCTCCTTTAAGCACTTCTCTGTATTGGTTATTCTAGTTATACATTCTTCCAAATTTATTTCAAAGTTTTCAACTTCTTTGCCTTTGGTTTGAATGTCCTCCCGTAGCTCAGAGTAATTTGATCGTCTGAAGCCATCTTCTCTCAGCTCGTCAAAGTCATTCTCCATCCAGCTTTGTTCCGTTGCTGGTGAGGAACTGCGTTCCTTTGGAGGAGGAGAGGCGCTCTGCTTTTTAGAGTTTCCAGTTTTTCTGTTCTGTTTTTTCCCCATCTTTGTGGTTTTATCTACTTTTGGTCTTTGATGATGGTGATGTACTGATGGGTTTTTGGTGTGGATGTCCTTTCTGTTTGTTAGTTTTCCTTCTAACAGAGAGGACTCTCAGCTGCAGGTCTGTTGGAGTACCCTGCCGTGTGAGGTGTCAGTGTGCACCTGCTGGGGGGTGCCTCCCAGTTAGGCTGCTTGGGGGTCAGGGGTCAGGGACCCACTTGAGGAGGCAGTCTGCCCGTTCTCAGATCTCCAGCTGCGTGCTGGGAGAACCACTGCTCTCTTTAAAGCTGTCAGACAGGGACATTTAAGTCTGCAGAGGTTACTGCTGTCTTTTTGTTTGGCTGTGCCCTGCCCCCAGAGGTGGAGCCTACAGAGGCAGGCAGGCCTCCTTGAGCTGTGGTGGGCTCCACCCAGTTCGAGCTTCCCCGCTGCTTTGTTTACCTAATCAAGCCTGGGCAATGGCGGGCGCCCCTCCCCCAGCCTCGCTGCCGCCTTGCAGTTTGATCTCAGACTGCTGTGCTAGCAATCAGCGAGACTCCGTGGGCGTAGGACCCTCCGAGCCAGGTGCAGGATATAATCTCGTGGTGCGCCGCTTTTTAAGCCCGTCAGAAAAGCGCAGTGTTCGGGTGGGAGTGACCCGATTTTCCAGGTGCCGCCCGTCACCCCTTTCTTTGACTCAGAAAGGGAACTCCCTGACCCCTTGCGCTTCCCAAGTGAGGCAATGCCTCGCCCTGCTTCGGCTCGCGCACGGTGCGCGCACCCGCTGACCTGCGCCCACTGTCTGGCACTCCGTAGTGAGATGAACCCGGTACCTCAGATGGAAATGCAGAAATCACCCGTCTTCTGCGTCGCTCACGCTGGGAGCTGTAGACTGGAGCTGTTCCTATTCGGCCATCTTGGCTCCTGTGCATCACAAGTCTTTGCTATTGTGAGTAGTGCCGCAACTTTCACTTTCTTATACGTTCAAAATAAGCCATGAAAGAGGCAGCCAGGCAATGAGATGGTAGTGGCTCTGATTCAGTAAGATCACTCCTGGCATGATGGTGTAAGTTGCTCAATTCAAAATATACCACATGATAAATCCAGCAAAAGGATGCCACTAGAGCAGAAACCAGATATGATGAGGACACCAGAAGTTACAGCCAGCAAACGATTGATAATTTATGTAGTAATCTTTACTCTTTCTTCATATGGTATGGTAACATAAAAAATTCTGAGAGTCTCGCTGACCTCCAACACCTTCAGACGCAACAGGTCCCTGTGCCCTATCTGCTACTGCTAGATCTTGGAAGTGTGGGACATTTCTTTTAGTTGCCTATCATTTTGCAGAGCTTCACCCAGGAAAAAAGGCCTATGGATTTTCTACTTTTGAATTTGAGTTTGTATTAGGAGTTCTATTACTTTCTCCTACTCCCACTCCAGGACTTGGAGCAAAAAAGATATAGGCTTACCACATTCTGCCCAGCTGTTTTATTTCAAACGTTTTCTTCCTGTTTCTTGTAGCTCATAGAAGTTCTATGTGTTCTCGCTGTATTAGGAAATGCCGGCTAGCTAAATATTTCTGCAAACCTGTTGTTAATGCCAGGATCTGAGTTTCTGGGAGCTTTAAAGTCATAAATTACATTATTTTTATTTTTATTTCTTCCATTGTATCCTTTCACAAATAGATTGCAGGGGACAAAAACATCGCCTTTCAGGTTATCATCCCACTAGAATTGCAAATATTTTCTCCTAGAATATTGCTTGTGTTTAACTTTCTGTATTCTGGTATTTGACAGCCAGCTGAAAGCCTAGAAAGTACTGTGTATGTATGCTTGCATTGTGTGTATGCATGTGTATACATGCACATGTGTAACTCAAGCCTACAATGAGTTACTGATGGGGAAGGAGGGTAACACTCAAGACAAATTTAGATGACAGGCAACATTTCTCAAGGGCTGTCTTGGTTATGACCTTCAGAACTGTCTCCAGTATCTTTCTTGTTTGCAGACTATTAATAAGGTTGGGTTCTTACAGCCCTGGCTGGAAGATCACTGAAGAAAAAATTCATTGAATCACTTCTTGGACTAAACAGACAGATTGAGTCAATCATAAGGGTTAGCTGACGTGTTAACTCCATTTGTCTGAAACTTGCAAAAGTGTTACCAAAAGCTACCCAGGAGAAAATTTCCAGGAAATTATACAACTGTACTTGAGATGAAGAAAGTAGGTAAATGGCTAATTTTTTTTGGTCTAATAGCTTGGCTATTGTTGTACCTACTGTAAATTGGACTCCAGCAGCTATAGTGCAACTTTGAAAGTGAAAAGTGACTCTGTTTTTCTTCAATAAATATTTTGTGAGAGAAATCTTGCTAATACTATGGAGATACAGCTATATTGCAATAGCTAACACTTAGATATTTTATCCGTTCTAAGACCTTATCAATTTTGAGATGCACCATTATTTTGTTGGCCATAACAACAAAAAGGTTATTAGATTAGAACAGAATATTATCTTACTCAAATCTTTATTTTATTCTTATTTTAAAAATCTTTTAGATTTAAATTCAGGCTTTTATCATTTATCATTTTGGGGGAAGGTATTGAAAGAAAAACATAAAATAAATTAATTTTGTTGTACACTTCCTAGAATTTTCCATTCATAGGCTACCACTTCTAAATCACTTCTGAACTCATCATTAATACCCACAAATGGTAAAAATTCATAACACAATGTTCCATTATTGTCTCTAGGATTTTCTTCTAAGCCAATTATACCTATTCTACTAGTTTTAATGATGGTACTTTCCCTTCCTCCCTCTCTCCCTCCTGCCCTCCTTTCCTCCTTTCCTTCCTTTCTTCCTCTCTTCCTCCCTTCCTCTCTTTTTTCTCCCTCTCTCTCTTTTTCCTTCCTCTTTTTCTCCCTTCCTCTCTTTTTTCTCTCTCTCTCTTTCTCTCTCCTTCTCTTCCTCCCTCCCTCCCTCCCTTTCTTTCTTCCTTTGTTTCTTTTTCTTTTTTTCTTCATTGATCTTATATCTTTGGAATTTAAGCTCAAAGTCAGATGTAGATTTTTCACAAATTTCTGTTTAATACTTTATCAGTTGTTCTCTGCAAAATATGAATTGGTCACATTAGCCTCTCATTGCTTTACTGCTTTACTAGTTACTGCTCTCTTTAATTCCAAAGCTAGGTGTGTAATAGGTAATTTTAGTAGCTATTTAGGTTACAAAAGATAACAGCATCATTTATTTGTGGGTACCTTTCTTTCTTAGATCCTGTTAAGCACTTGATTGTTGCTTTGCCAGAAAATATGGAATTTTGGTGATTTTTGCAACAATGATATTTGTGTGCCTAAAATTAAATGTTTCAGTACTCTTTCTCTGTGACCTCTAGAATATACAGTAATTTTTATTTTAATGTGGAATCATAGTGTAACCTTCTTTAAGACACTTAAAATGTAGCAGATATAGAAACAACTATGTACATATACCAATTTAAATGAAAATAATATAACCATCCACAAGCATAGAAAATAACATCTAACAATTGGTACATGGTCAACAATGAGTATAAGTTGTCATTATTATAAAACACATCCTAATTAGAGAAATATTAAAGTGTCATAAAAGGCGTGTCTTAGAGCCAAAGAAATGCAACATTGAACATTTTGCATTGGGCAAGTGCTTTTCATACTTTATTTAATTCTTGTGACAGTCATAGGAAATCAGAATTATCATTTTTTTAATTCCTATTTTGCAGATGAAGTAATTGAGGCTCATAGAGGTAAATGCACTTGCCTAAGGTCATACAACCGGTAAAGTGAGGAGCTGTGAATTTAATGCAACTGTGCCTAATATAAGCACCCAAGCTCTTTACCACTGTGTTAACCTTTCCCTAAGACCTTTCCCTAAGAATGAAGGAATCTAAGGCTTCTCAAAATTAGTGTGGATCTCCATAACCACTCTGACATTATCTTTGCTCTAAATTTTCTGTTTTCTCTCTAAGGAAACTTCATTGTGTGATTGAGAATAGATGTTCAATATACATTTGTAGAATGAATAAAAGTTGCTTTAATCTGTTCTGTTTTTGAAATGTCATAATACACCAAAATAATGTTTTAGAAAAACATATTTTTTTTCAGAAAAACTTGTAATGGGAACTTATTTTCATAAGAATGCATGGAAAAGTCCAGAAAGTTCTAATACCCCTGGTGTCCAACAATGTTATCCGTACGGTTATTCATACTTACATCCCTATCCAACCACACAACATCCATTTCTGGGAGGCCAGGCCCAGATATGATACAAGAAGCTGATGTTTGTTAAAGATCTAAGGGTTCTGCCACCTCTTTCACTTCTTTGAGTCAGTGTCAAATAAGTGAAGCATCAGCTGCTTTTCAATGCACGTCTTTGTATTGAGAATCACATATGATAGTACTCTTCGTTTTCTCCCAGCCAAGTCACCATCCATTGATAGAGCCCAGGGATGTGACTGCAAATTAATGCTCTGTTATCATTTGTCTGCTTTTTCTTTCTGGGGAATCTCGTATATAGTATCTATTCTGGATATGCACAGCACAGGTTGTATTGGAAGATACATTGTGAGGCATGGCGTGACTTGCTTCCCTATGAAAAGCATAGTGAAATACCTGGATTTTATATGTGATATAATACTAATCAACTTGATTTTTCTTATGTTTTGCTATAGAGTCAACAAATCATGGAGTCTATTGGCAAGGAGGTTTCTTAGATATTGTCTAATCTAACTCTTAGCAATACAGGCATATTCTCAATCACATCACTAGCAAGTGGTCACTGAGGTCTGTTTGAACTCCTCCAGTGATGGAGAAAAAAGCAGTTTACTCAGTTATTGGAAATCATTTGTTTATTCTGCGCTGAGATTTATATCCTGTCTTCATGTATTTGTTTGTATTGGTGCTACCCTCTAAAGACGTGAGATTGTATTGTCTTCTTCTTGCTATGACATATTCATGCTGGACATTTCAGTCAACTTTTCCTTTTAGTTTAACCTGTCCTGTCCACTGCCCCACTGGCAAAAGAGGAATGAGCCAAGAACAAACACCTGGCCTACGAATTGCTCTCCCTTGAAAATTTGAACCCAGGGATGCTGAGGCTGTGACTGATCATAGAACCCTTCACAGTAGATCCCCCCAAATTTAGAGTCTGAATGGCACTGGGGCCTGCCATGGTGAAAACAAAGGGACCAAATGGAAAGACTGGCTGTATCTTGAATTATCATGAGCAAAATGTAGAATTTATTCTTCCTTGTCTTTATATAAGGCTGTATATATGAATGTCAGATTATTCATGTATTTACTCTGAGAAGTCTTCATACTCAGTTACTTTAGTTAGCACACCCTAGATGCAAAATGATTTAAGTAAAAATATTTTAAATATGTAACCGTACCAACATTAATTAAGCTGAGACATTCATCTCCAGATAGGGATTTGCCTGCCACAGGGATTGAAGAGGCCACACCCTTAACCATGACACTATCTTGAACTGGGCTTTGCTTGCACTTTTAAGAACAGCCATTCTGACTCACAGTTTTTCTAAGTTCTTTGTGCATCAGCCTTCAATCTTCTACCTCCTCTCACTGAAATATTGAGGTTGAGACTATGAGTAAGTTACCATCACGTCTAATTTTTATGCAAGCCAGTGCTTGCATATTTTAATCTCAGATCTTCTCTTGTGTCTTTATTTTAAAATCAGACTCCCAGAAGCCAATGAATTTACACTGTTTTCACATTTTATTACTGCATTTTCTCCCATATATTGTCTACAGTATGAAGCTATGAGATTTAAGGCTAAATCAATTTTACCCTCCAGGGCTTATGTCTTAGTGCAAGTAAGGCAATTATGTGACATAGACCACACCACAGCCATAGCATAGATTACAATCAATCACAACATACTTTCTCTTTTTTTTATTTTTTGAGACAGGATCTCCCTCTGTCACCCAGGCTGGAGTGCAGTGGTGCCATCTCAGCTCACTGCAATCTCTGCCTCTCAGGTTTAAGTGATTCTCCCACCTCAGCCTCCCAAGTAGCTGGGACTACAGGTGTGCACCACCACACCCAGCTAATATTTTTATTCTTAGTACAGACGGGGTTTCACCATGTTGGCCAGGCTGGTCTCGAACTCCTGACCATGATCTACCCGCCTTGGCCTTCCAAAGTGTGGGATTAGAGGCGTGAGCCACTGTGCCCAGCCACAACATGCTTTCTATCTTAGCTGTGCATCTTTCTCAGCAAGGGCTCTAAGGGCTCTAGGCAATAAATTCATTCATTTGTACTTATGTTCATTACCTCAGCAAGGATTTACTGAACACCTGTTATGTGTCAGGCATTATTCTAAGCATTGATTTAAACTGGAAATTAAAATAATGGAATGCTTGAGTCTTAAAGATGAAGTGAGACAATGCATATAACCACCTTTTGTGAACTCTAAAGTTGTATTCAAATAGGGATAAAAATTAAAAAGTGTTTTTCATGTTCTTCAATTTCCAATTTTTCCTTTCAGTAATATTATTTTGGTAAAAGTATGATGCCTGATTTCTCATGGATATTGTATTTTTCAGTAAACCAGAGGCAGAAAGTTGTACAAACTATAGACTCCCATATGTTTTTAAAACCTGGCTTTATATTTACAAGACCTCAGCCAAGTTATTTAACTTCTTTTGTTCTCTGGTTCCTTAATGTGGAAATGCTATGAAGAAATACCAGAGACTGGGTAATTTGTAAGGGAATGAGGCTTAATTGACTCACAGTTTTGCAGGGCTGGGGAGGCCTCGGGAAACTTAACAATCATGGTGGAAGGGGAAGCAAACACGTCCTTCTTCAAATGGCAGCAGGAAGGGGAAGAGCTGAGCAAAGGCGGATATGCCCCTTATGAAGCCATCAGATTTTGTGAGCACTCACTAGGTATCATGAGAACAGCATGGAGGTAACTTTCTCCATTATTCAATTACCTCCCACCAGGTCCTTCCCACAATACATGGGGATTGTGAGAACTACAATTCAAGATGAGATTTGGATGGGGACACGACCAAACCACATTAAGTTGTCATCCATTTTATTTATTGTCAAGGCCCAACTATATGACAGACATATGTATTCTTTATCTTCTTAAGCTTATTTGTTCTACATGACAGTTATGCAAGGTAGGCATTATTAGCTTCATGTTACAGGAAATGAAACTGAGCCTCAGTGAGATTACAAATGCTTTAAAAGAACACAGAGTGAAAATGTAGAAAAGCTGGTCTTGAATCTAGGTTTGTTTCTCTCCAAATTATATGTGTTTTCCAATATATCAGTGCATTATTACTTCAGAGGCATTGCATTTCTGCTCTGTACATAATTAATCAAAGAGGCGGCTTTTCCTCCTTTCCAATAGATTGGAAACACAGGGTTCCATCTGTCCAAGAGTATTTATCTTGCTACATTAGTCCCTCCCCTTTTTATTGGCTCTTGAAATGGTGAGCATTTTGCAATTGAGAATAATTGAGCCAACATATGGTTTCAATTGGATAATTTCAATGTATTATAAAAAAGAAGTAAAAAAGAAAAACATAACCAACCTCTGTACTTTTGCAAATGTCTTTGAATAAAAATTTGTGAAGTGAAAGGTTAGAGTTAAGTAGAGACATATTTTTATATTTGTTTATTTTTACCTTCACTGTTGGTCATGCCTAATGTCCAGAGAGCATCAGACACAGCTTTCATTCAGCTGCTTTTATGATTTCCTGCAGTTTGAGGCACTGTTTACTAGAATTTCAATCTATAGCTTACTGTGTTTGCCTATGGCCTTGTGGTGGCTCAGTAGCTGCCAGCTTGAGTTGGTTCTTTGTCCCAGAAAAATTGTAAGGATTTAACACACCACTCCCATTCTACTGAAAGAGAGATTCATATACTCGGTTAGGTCTGCCTCTGAAATGCTTCAGGCTGGGAATCACTGAATTTCAATTAGACTGATTTTCCACACCCAAACTAGTTTGGTAAAATCTGATATGTTAAGTTGGAGGCAATGGTTAAGGTAGGTTACGGGAGAATTCTAACTCTTCAGGGAAGTTTGGCACAGAGTAGAGGTGCCTCTGTCATGTGACTGCAATGATACTTATTATCATAATTCCTGTAGGAATTATAGTACTTTCAAATACATAGTTGCCTTTCATCTTCATATTGGATCTTTTGAAGTAGATATTATCAATATATTATTATACAGGTGTGAAAAATTCAGTTCAAGGGAATTTTGAATTGTCTTAGTCACACTTAATACTTAGTAATTGATATCACAGACTATAACTCTCTCTTTTCATTTTGAGACTTTGTTGGGCTTTTGTGATATCAAAGTCTCCTGGTTTTCCTTCTCTTCTGGCTGTCATTCTCAAAAGCCTTCTACATTTATTTTCCTCTTTCTGACTGGGCAGCTATATATCAAGGTGTGTTGGCGTATGTTCCTTGAGTGATTTTCCTCTTCTCATTCTATTTTCTTTGTATATGATCTCATTCATTACCATGTCATTAAATATTATCCTATTCTTGTGACTCCCAAATATGATCACAAGTGATACATCACTTCCATTCCAACCTAGATACACAGTTGTGAATTTTTCTTATTCTCTCCCTTTCAAATAAAAGTGTGAAAATAAAGAACTCCAAAATGACAGAATTGCAAGATGAAAGATGCCTGGATCCCTGTGTCACCACTGGAGGAGGGCATGAAGAATTGCAGGAGCCACGTTAGGCTGAGCCATGAGCAGTAAATAAACCCCTCTTGTATTAAACCATTGACATTTCAGGGTTCATTTTAGCGCAGCATAGTTTATCTTGACCTGGGATTGGTAAACTTTTTCTGTAAAGGAACAGATAGTAAATATTTTAGACTTTGTTGTGGCAAACAGTCAAGAGGCAAAAATGGGAATTTCATAGATACTTATAATAAGAAAGAAGCCAAATTTCCCTAAATGTAATAATAATATAATGTTATACGTAATAATATAAGTCACATTATATATAATAATATGTTATTTGTGATACAGATCCACTAATGAGAAAACTGAATTTTTTTTGGGAGGATAATATTTTTCTTAATTGAAGTTCAAAGGTGGTGTTCTCACTTTACAAAATCAACTGCAAATTTGCTTCTGTTAATGCTTACCTGTAATATTATATGTAAAACACATTTCATCTTTAAAACATTTTTCCCCACAAAGATACTGCCAAATATTGATATTAATACATGTCAGTTGATCATTTATGGAATTCTGTTAGATTCTTCTCTTGATAGTTGCTTTTTAGCATGTCATTACGTTGCAGATTAATTACTTTAAATTGAAGGTGAGGTGGACTCTCTTTAATAATAAAGTTACATATATTTTGAAATATAAACATCTCCTTTGCACTTACATTGAAGGTAATAAAATCTTCTGGAACTCTGGTTTAAACTCAGAAATCTATTCATTGCAAATTTGTAAGGGAAGAGACATCTTAAGTTTTGTTTTAATTTTTGGCAGCACAGAAAGTTTACAAGGCAGCTTGACATTTGTCCTTATCTGTTAGGGCTACTATAAGAAAATACCCAAGACTGGGTAATTTGTAAACAATGGAAATTTATTTCTTACAGTTCTGGAGGCTAAGAAGTCCAAGATGAAGGCACTGGCAGGTTAAGCATCAGAGGAGGTCCTAGACTGACCCAGTCCCTCAACCCTTTATATACAGGCCTAGTTCCATCATGAGGGATCTATATAGGTACCGTGGCAAACCCTATGCTATGGTCTGATGTTTGTGTCTCCCTAAACTTCATAAGTAACTTAATCACCAGTGTGATCATTTTAGGAGGTGAGGATGTTGGGAGGTGATCAGATCATTAGGGCAAAGCCTTCATAAAAGAGGCCCCAGAGAGCTGCCTTGTCTCTTCCACCATGTGAAGAACTATCATATGAGGGGCCATTTATGAATCAGAAAGTGAGCAGGCCCTCAACAAACAACAAATGTGCAGGCATTTTGAGCTCAGACTTCCAGCCTTCCAGACTGTGAGAAATAAATGACTGCTGTTTATATCTACTCAGTTTCTGATATTTTGTTATAGCAGCCCAAAAGAACTAAGTCATCTTAATAACTGACATTATAGAATTTTATATACCTAGATGGTGAAAAAGTCCCTGGGTCTTTCATATTTTTTCCATTTACTGTTTAATTTCAGAGAACTGCAACCTGGATTAAAGTCTAGAGAACTAAAAGAACAAAGGAAATCCAATAGGTAGCTGTATAGTCCTTCAAAATAGTCCTGCCTTGAGAAGCATCTTAGTATTAAATGGGGGAGAAAAAAACATTGAGAAGCTTTTCTGTCCCATAACTGTTCATGCTAGTTGTATTATTAATATTAGACTTGAATACAAAACATAATATAAGTCTACTTTTCTTGCTTTCTCAGAGGCGCTTGTACTCCAGAACTAAGAGACTACTTGTAGCTCCTCAAGTATGCTGTATTGCTTCCTTGAGAGTTTGCAATTCATTGCATCATTTGCAAAATGTTGATGGAACATCTAACTTAAAGATTTTTGGGACATACCTTGAGGGAATGCATATAAATTATTAAGCATGGTACTTAGCATAATCACATAGTAAATGCACATTATTATTATTAGTATTACTACTGCTTTCTGCCTGTTCAAATGCTCTTCCTTTTTACCTGAAAGTATCTTCATCTCATCCTTTTTTAGAATCTGTCCCCAATCTGGGTGACTTCTTTTCTGTGTTAGATAGAACTTTGATTATTTTATTTGCAATGACAGTAAAAATTCAGATCATAAAAATTAACCAAAGGGTTTCACACCCTCATTATTGCCCAAATAAATACAACAATCAAACATTATTAGATACTATCCTTATTACCTGTAGCCTTTGGAAGGTGGGAGACTTTACTCTCTCCAAGTGCCCCTTGTCCTGGAGTAGGAATGCCCTGAGGATGAACAAACACAGACATTTTTTCTGAGCTTTATACTGGAGTTTCTGCAGGCTTCTGACCTCCTTCATAGCACCAGCCTCTTTATAATATTTTGAAGTATGGGGTTTGTGGCTCCTCAAGGCTAGCTTACAATGGACATCCCATAGGCAATTATGTTAGACCCTAACAAAGGAATGAACCTCTTCCCAAATGCATTTGATAGAGTGAGTATGCAAGGCCATTTAAGTTATGCAGTTTGCAAATGTTATATATTTTTTCCTGAGTGCAAACTTGGAGATAACCTCCTTAAAAATGTGTAGCTCCCTTTGGTACAACTTGATTAACAATAGTCAGTAATATTAATATTTTATGATATTACAAAAAGGAGAAATTGTACACATGATTTGTACCAGAATTTCATAAAGTTATTTTTCCTCAGACTCTAATGCACACACAGTCTTCTACTATTTATGTACTCCACCAGTATGTCAGGACACATCTGTTACCTCTATAATTATACAATTTTAATTTATTCTGGAAGATTGAACCATTTATATATTTGTTCTTTGAAGGTGCCATATCTATATATGTGGGTAAATATACACGTATTTCACCTCTGTGAATCTTGCTTATGGCACAGACATTGAAATAATGTTGGAACATCCCTATTTGACCAAAGAATGAAAATCCGAGGCTTGCTGGCAGTTCAGTTCAGAAGCTGCCCCGTTGCATCTGTGCAAAACTGAATTCATATCTTGAGGCCCTGGATTTGGCATTTTTTTGGCGTGTGTATATTTGGGCTGAATCCCCAGGGTGACCTCCTCTATGTATTTTTCACTAGCCATTGAATCCTTCCCAGGGAGAACAGGAAGTCTGGCACTGCTTTTGATGACACATCAATGACGTGATGTCTGGTTTCTATTAAAAATCAAAAAGCAAAAGTTTTTATGCCAGAAATAAAGTATAGATAATGCCATATATAATCATTAGTATATTGCTTAATATACTAAGCAACCAGGCTCAAGGGCTGCCAGTAGATCCTGCATCACAGTGAACAGCTTGAGTAGAGGCCTAGTCAAGGGTGAGATAGGCAAATGCCACAGGCAATCACAGACTTCTATGACAGTCTCTGCATTTTTTGTTAAATGGCCCCCATTAGAATAGAACGGCAGTAGCTGTTCAGTTAGAAGCAAAGTAGTATACCAGTAGAGTGTCAGGTTTTAAAGCAAAGTAGATCCAACTGCTTAAATTGTGCACATATATATAACGTACCTGATTTTGCCACTTGTAAGGGGTACGACTTGGTTCCCTTATAGACTCAAGATGTAGCTATCTTTGTGCCAGGATTTAAACTTGGTCCCAAGGAGTTGTTCTATCTAAAAATGTAAATAAGCATATTATACCTACTTTATGAGATTTTGGAAAAAAAATAGATAAATAAGATTAATGTTTTTCCCTTAAGAAGCACATAATCCAGTGGGAGAGAGAGAGACATGGAACGTACAACAGCAATTAGGTATAAGAAGAGCTATGATGGGGGATATACAGACAAGATATCGAATAAATTGGGGCAAGAGTCACATGTGACTTCAGGAGGAGGCCATAATGGTCAGATTCCCAGTGCTCACCATTAGTCATTCATCCTTTTGTGGTCCAAGAATTGGAGTTGTTTAAAATGTCATATACTGGCTGGGCGCGGTGGCTCACACCTGTAATCCCAGCACTTTGGGAGGCCGAGGCAGGTGGATCATGAGGTCAGGAGATCCAGACCATCCTGTCTAAGACAGTGAAACCCCGTCTCTACTAAAAAATAGAAAAAATTAGCTGGGTGTGGTGGCGGGCGCCTGTAATCCCAGCTACCCAGGAGGCTAAGGCAGGAGAATGGCGTGAACCCAGGAGGCAGAGCTTGCAGTGAGCCGAGATCATGCCACTGCACTCCAGCCTGAGCAACAGAGCGAGACTCCGTCTCAAAAACAAAAAAAGTCATATACTGCATGAGCAGGATAACCTACTGATATAACAGAGAGTAAGTAGAAGGGCCATGAGGCCACACAGATAAAGGAGTTTTGTTTTTGTCAAGGGGAAAGGAGGAGTATTAATATTAGACATTAATAGCTGACACTTAGTCTTACTATGTGCCAGCAACTACTCTAAGAACTTTACATGTATCATCTCATTGAATCTTCTCATAATTCCTGTATTATCTTGAGAATGAGAACCTTTTACAGAAAGAGGAATTACAGTTGCAGGTCAAGGAAGGGTCTTTATCGTGGAAGGCAGAGCAAGAGGTAGAAGTTGAGCTGTCTCTGGAGAAAACATTCATGGGAGTATCCCACCCAGAGGGCATGTATCTTGGACTGGAATCTGAGGCACATGGAAATTTTGAGTATCTTAAAAGGACAAGTTGGAAGAGATGATGGGCACAGGAAGGTGGGGTGGAAAATTAACTTTTTCTGAAACTTATGTAACTTTATTTACAAGTTTGGCCCTCAACAGTTTGATACGTGGTCTATCCTCAGATTTTGACTTCCTTAGAAAAATAACCTCTTTCTTTCACATGGACAGAAGGGGACGAAAAATGATAGTCACTGCTAATTTTTTTAAAAAAATGTACTAAGTGCTGGGATCTGTTTCAAGCACTTAGCATACATTATTTCATTTACTCCAAGTAACAGCTGTATAAGGAATGAGCTACTATCATCTCTATTTACAGATGAGGAAATGGAGATTTAGCATGGTGAAGTAACTTATCTAAGGGTCACATCTCTAAATTAGGTATTTGAACCAACATTAAAAACCAGAGCAGTCTGATTCCAGAGCCTACAGTCTCAACCCCAAAAAGAGGAAAGTGTTAGATTATAACTCAAGGCGAAACATTTCTGTTAGGGTGGAAAAATAAAAAAAGTAAATTGCAGCAAGATGTGTCTTTTCAAAATTAAAATATAGTTTAAGCAGTTAAAGATTTTTTGCTGCGAGGCATTACAGACCACTGATAAATGTGTGCTGTCTCAGGCGGAGATTGGAAACAATGCAGCGGTAGCTTTTAGCCATCAGCCTGCGGTTTGCTGCAGCTGTGATTTTCCATGGATGCAGTTTTGGGCTATCTTGTCACTGGCTTTTTGGTGCCAGAGGCTTCAGAATGCTGAAGTTTTTCTCCTTTTTTATTTTTATTTTCTGCAGACTTGACTATGCCTGTATCACCTAAAATTATTACCAGTCATGAGCCCTTTGTCATACTAATGTCTTGCTCCCAGTGCTATTTTTTCTTATTTTAATTTCCTTGTTGTTCCCCAATGTGATTTTTACTCTGAGGCGGGGAAAAAAAACAGTCTGTCTTTTGATGACTTTGTTAGTTTTTCATTGGAAGAAACCTGCAAAAATGCTTTTCAAAACATTTTAAATGGCAGCAAACAGTCTGGGAGGTGTTTAAATGTAATGGAAAAATAAAGGATTCATGAGGAAAGGATTTTCAGAGAACGTGGACAGAAAAAAAGTAAAAGCTGTTTAAAACACAACTTTATCTACCAAAATGACCCATCTAGTGTCTTTACATGTGGCTTTTCTTTCACAGGTGCTCAGGCTCCAAAATTTTGAGTTCAGAACAACAGGCAAATGCAGAATATTTGAGGCAGCAGAGCAGAGCACTGGCTTTAGCAGGCAGTCAATTATTGACATTTACTAGCTGGGAACCTTGGGCAAGGTTCTGTGATTTACCTCTGCCGGTCTCAGTTTTCTCTTTTGTGAATTGACAATAATGATAATAATTAACTCATAGTTGTTATGAAGACTAAATTTTATATATATATATATATATATATATCTGGCTATTTGCCAAGTGCTTGGTACATATTAAAAGCTGAATACTGGTGGATATTTCCATTATTTTATAAGTATCTTTTCTTCTCCTGCATTGATGTTAAAATGACATCAGTAAAAGTGTGTTGGTATTGATTCTGGAAAACTTCTGGCTTCATCTAGTTCAATCTTCACCAGAGCAAAGAATCCTGCTTTTCTCCCAGAGAAATCCACAATGTACTCATTAGTGCCATCCGTGGGCACCTTACTTTCTCTCCTGATTGTTGGAAAACT
Organism: Homo sapiens; assembly: GCF_000001405.40. Classification (NCBI taxonomy): domain Eukaryota; kingdom Metazoa; phylum Chordata; class Mammalia; order Primates; family Hominidae; genus Homo; species Homo sapiens. The sequence goes on along the minus strand of NC_000011.10, from coordinate 26,950,987 downwards.
GGCTCAGACTCTTAGAAAGTTCCTATTCTCAGTACTGGTTTCTAGTAATTTCTACTCATTGGCCTCAGTTCTGTTCCCTGGGGCCACCTAGGAGGGATTTGGTCTCTTTTCCACATGCCCCAAATAAGTGAAAGTATCTGAACAAGTTACTTAACTACTCTGGGCCTGGGTTTACTCATATGTAAAGTGCAGACTAGTGTTTCGCCCTCATGGTGGTATCCTGAGGATTAAAAATATATAGACGTCTGAAGATAGCCTAGCTATAGCAGGTGCTCAATAAGGTGCTCAATAGCAGTCGCTGTAATGTGCTGGCCTTAGTTTAAGAGCCTCTGCAGATTCTGTGAGTGTTTGTCTATGTGGCTGATGACTCTCAATGAAGATTGCCCAATGTCAAATGTTTTCCTGCAGGCCACAGAAGGGATGTTTGGATTTCGATTAATCCACATGGCAGCTCTCCATGGTGGGGGCTGTGTCTTTTTGGTACTCTATTACTTGGCCAAACAGCCCCACTGTGAGGAAGTTTCTTGCTGCCTTGTGTCGCTGGCTTTCATGACCTGGCGGTGGCTTGCCTCACTTTGTACTTCCCATGCCAGTGCTTCCCTGTTGCCCCTGAGGCTCAACAGACCTTGAGAGGTGCCCACATTGGTGCCTTGGTTTACTCAGCCAGGCCAGCAAGACTGCCAGTTGCAGGCTGCAGATGAGGCTCACGGGCACCTATGGGCTCACCCCTCATGCCGTGACTTGTGCCGTGGATGTCACTGCTGCTGCCTCAGGTTCTGGCTTCCCCAGGTGGAAAGGTGCAATTCTGAGATGAGGTGGACTCAATATCCTGTGAACACTTTGAGTAACAGGAGCTCAGAGCTGGGCTTTCTTTTTGCTCCCTGACAGCTCTAGAGTGCAGTAGTTTCAGGCAGTTCTCTCAAGATGCCCTGTGGGACTGAGCATTCAGCAGTGCTTGCTATGAGCATGCTATTGAGCCTTTCCATGACTCATTCCTCCCTTTATTTTACTTCTGTTTTCAGGGATTTCAGTCTCAATAATTTGGGGGGCGTTAGCATATAGCCTTTGTCTCAATCTCTGTGTTCTTGGGAATTCTGGTAAAGATGGGTAACTAGTATTACTATTGCCACTGCTCTTCCTCTTACTCAGATTTCATTTCTTTGGGTTCACCAACCATTGCTTTCATGGCTGATTATCAGCTCTTCACTCCCCTACTCACAAAACAAAGCTTATTTCTCTATTTTGTGAGTCAACATCTTTGGCCCAGTACTTCCCTTCTTTTATTGCCACTGCCAGAGTTTCTCCCTTAATTCTTACTATTTGCTTTCAGATCTCATCTGGTAATTTGATCTAAGGTAATATGACAACAAGTGCAAGTGACTTGACACATCACCTATTGGAGATACTATATTTGAATATTCATAGAAGTTTTCTGAAAAAAGAGCCCCAACTTAACTAGAAACCATGGGTTGGCAAACTTTTCTTGCAAAAGGCTAGGGATTAGGGGATTAAGTATTTTAGGCATTGCCAGCCATGGCCATAAGATCTCTGTTGCAGCTATTGAACTTTACAGGTGTATTGTGAAAGAAGTCATAGCAAATATGTAAATGAATGTGCACAGTGAGTTTCAGTAAACTTCATTTGCAAAAACAAGTGTTTGACCAGATTTGGCCCATAGGTTTTGACTACAGACACTTGCTCTAAACAACGGAATTACAAAAAAAAAAGTGAAGTAGAATTTTGGGAAAATGTGGGTTATTCAATATCTTTCAAATTCAGTTTCCTTAGTTTCAATTCATTTTTAATTCAATAAATGATATTGAGAAGAAAAGGTAACAAACACTTATAGAATTCCCCAATGAACCATATTCTAGGCTAGGGATTTCCATATGACACATCATTTGCTGCTCCTAGCAACCCTATAAAGTCACTGTTGTTATTCTACTTTTTGATGAGATGAATAAGCAGGTCCAGAGATAAGTGAATTGTCTCCTTGTAAAAGGCAGTGTCAAGATTCAAAAATAAGCTTACTTTAACTTGAAGATCTATATTAAAGTATTCTAATTAAGTACATACTGTATGTAAAGTTTTGTACCACTGGCTGCATAGAATACAGAGATGAATGAGATAGTTTCATTTTAGTTAGAAGCAAAATAAAATATCAGCAAAATAAAATAAGACAGGCTCTGATATCCCAACAGAACTACAAAGTACTAAGGGAGTTTAAAGGAGCTGCCTATCAGGCATGTGGGAAGCAGGAAAATCCCATAGAAAGGGTGACAATTAAGGTGGTATTTGAAGAACTAATATGATTTTGAAAGCTAGAGATAAGGAAAAAGGTTGTTTTAAGCGAAGAAAGAAAGAAAAAAAGGAACAGGAAGAAATAGTGCCTACTGAGGAAGTGTGGGTCATCAAAGAGAAGGCTTGCCTTCATAATTGGCCAAAGGCTTTGCTCAGCCCTATCCCTAAAGGCACCCTCTGAGTCTAGCTCTGTCCTGGGACTGACCATTAGTTAAGTGAAGTCATCCTTGTCTAATCTTCTCCTAGAAGGGTGTTTCATTGTGCATGATGGATGCAAAAACAGAATTCTCATCAGTAAAAACAAAAGCACACAGAATGGGAACTAATGAGTCAGAAGTTGAGTAGATATTGGATGAAGGGAAGGCAGAAAATTGTCACAGGTAGTACCAAAGCGGGAGGGCCTAAGATAATGTTCTAATTTAAAAAATGGAAGTTGAAGGCTCATTTTTAGTAGATTCTGGTTTTACTGGATTCTGCAACATAATGACCAACACTTTGCACACATGCAGAACAGCCTAAAGCTATAAAAACTATGACATGACTAAATTCATTGGTCAGCTGTCTTTTGCAATATTTATGACAATTGCAATTTAAATTCTTACTTGAGCAATCATATTTTCCCTGGACTATGAGGACAAATAAGGGCAGGAAATTTGTCTGTCCCGTTCCATGCTGTCCTTGAATTTGGCACATTGCCTTATACATTGTATGTGCTCAATAAATATTTGTCCATTGATTACTTGAATACATGGTTGGATTCAACCAGGTTACTCTACAAGTAGAGAGCTAGAGTCTGAATTTTGTAGTAACTTGTACAACCTTTCTCAGCAGAAGCAGCCTCTTTCATGGAAGTATTCCTGTAATTCACTGGAGCTTCCCACATGCTCCTCCCCGTCTTTGAAGGCTCATAGCCAGAAGGAAGTGCTCAACCACCTAGTGTAACCAAGTCTTGCATCATTCACATAGAGAGGGAGATTTTCCAAGTTCTTATTGCGGTGGAAAGATGAGGTCAAACTGTAAGGGGTCAGCAGTGCTCTTAACACTGCCTTTGTGTTGTTTTCATATAAATATTTTTACTAGGACATTTTTTGGCAAACAAGTCTAGCTCCCAGGACTGTGGAGAGCAGGGAAGCTTTGCTCACCACATGCCCATGGTATGCACTTGAGTCAACTTAGGGCCAGTGCAATTTGAAATCATGTCCTTTTTCACTTTTGTCTTGATGCCTTCTCACTGACTCAGTGTCTATCCTTTATCCTTTCTCCAAATGAGAAACATCTGGGCTAAAGTGAAGTCCATGTCCCAATTCCCCACCTCCTTCTCCTACCAAGAAAGCAGCAGCTGTTTCTGACACACTAATCCTATTACAGATGTTTTGATAATTACCAAAAAGCTCAATTTGGCAGCTTATTGGTGGAGCAGCTAAACCAGATTCACACATTTAAACATCTTCTGCCATTCACCTAAGGTAGTTCTCTTCAAAGATCTATTATATAATTTGGTTGGAGAAACTCTGAGAGGGTGCTTCTTTACTGAAATAGGTAAGTTTCTTAAAGCAAATGTAAACAATAACCTTTGATGCTTCCGCAGAGAGTGTGGTTGGTTCATCTCTCTGTTTCTCCCACTTTGCAAAGCCTAATCCATAATGTTGCCAATGACTATTGGAGGAGCAAATGGATAAATCCAACGCCATACATTGCACTTTTCCTTTTGCCATGTTTCTTTGTTCAAAATGCATTTGACCCATGTCTTTGTGCCAAAGAGCAAACCAACATAGTATTTGATAATAAGATCTTGTGATAATAAAAATGCCTTACATATTAAAGAGCTTTGCGTATTGTTGTTTTTGTCCCCAAGTACTTTCTTATCCACAACCTTATTTCATTTGTAATATCCTATAAGATAAACATAATGCATTATTTTCATTTATTGGTTATTTTCTCTCCCTTAGCTCTTGTATCCAACATAAATCAAGGCCATTGATTATAACTCTGCAATGGTCTTTGAGTCAGTTCTCTACACATTCCTACAGCATTACTAGCTTTACGGAGGCTGCCATTTTCTCTCATATAGTCCCCAGCAATTTTTTCCTAGCTGGTCTCCTAAGCTTCTGATTCTTCTGTTCACAATATTATCATTATCTTTCCAAAGCAAGGAATTGATCCTGCCCCTCTCTTTTTTCTGCTATGCTAATGACTCATCACTGCTTTCCTAGGTCAAGTCTGAATCATTTAGTGTCATGCACAAGATCTTTTGTACCTTTCTTTAGTTTCCAGATGACTCGTGGTTGTTAAGCTATGTCATGCCTCTTCATATTTCTGTGCCTTTTCTCATGTGGTACTATTTATCTGGAATGCCCTGGCCCACTCTGTATTCTTATGAAACTCCTATTTATACTTTAAGACTCAACAAAACATTCACCCTATTTGTGAATGTTGTCATGACTCAGGAAGAGTTCAGTGCTCCTTCCCTCTCTTTATGTGACACTTTACACCTTTACACAAACCTTTTTTTGGCACTCATCAAACTGTAAGAAAAGTATTTGAACAACCAGTTCCCCTACTAAACCACGAGCTTACCCTTATATCCCCCCTGACAATGGCCCAATGCATGTCACATACCAGGTACCCAATGAACTCTTATTTAATAAATAGATTTTACAAATAAGAAAGGACACTGTGAAGGAGTATCAGGGACAAGACTTTGGAAATATGTTCTAATCCTAGCTTTTCTACTAATTCATGGAAACCTCTCTGGACCCATTTTCTCACCTACAGAATGAGTGCATTGATTGGGCTATCCTTGTGGTCTCTTCTAGGACTTACTACTGTAAGAAATTCTAATAGGTTGCTCATCTTTTTAGTTACCAAAGCCAGGACCAAATTCAAGATCATCTGACTTAGGGTCTAGGATTAATTTTTCTGAAGCAAAGGTTGAAATTAAAAAGGAAGATATGTAGGAAGGCAGAAGGACCTATTGATCCCAGTGTTGGTAATATGTTGCACCAGCTGTGTGACCTCGGGGAAGGTATTGTCTCTCTGGTCCTAGTTTTTCCATTTGTATAATGAGGGCATTAAACGAAATTGCAAATATGTGGCACTATTTTCCCAACTTATTCCTTCTATGCCAAAGGCAGTCATAGCTAATCAATTACTAAACATTCCACTGAATCCATCTGCAGGGTCAGACTTCATCTCAACACGATGCTACAAGAAGCCACTTCTGTTCTTTGGAGTACTTTCAATGCCAAGAATGTACATGAGATTAAAACAAAAGAAAGCTACTGCTCTTTTTGGCACTAGATATTTTCTGAAATCTCTCTCAGTTCTGTTATATTCTAATAGATCCATGGTGGACTTTTTCTATATTTGGACTTAGTTTCTAGTCTCTGAGGGTGACCATGAGGAGGAGACCATGCACAGATCCCTGCAATGGGTGGGTTCTTTCATGATGAGCCCAGGCATAATCACCATCCTGTGAGTGACCAGTGTCTTTTATTTTTTTCAGGTCTAATGCCAATGACTCAGTCACATAAGCCAACAAGGGTATCCACATTAAATGCATCTGAGCAGAGTGAAAATCAGTCATAATTGGGGACAGATGTGGATGCAAAGTTCTCATGTGTCTTTTTTCTTCTCAGTGGACTACTGCAAAGGAAGTGTTAACTGATTTTGGCACTCTCATCTGCTTTCCAGAAGGCCTGTTTAGAAAAGCGTATGAGCACTTGGGGAATCCTTGATGCTTCTAGAAAATAGGTTACATGAGGACATTCTCTGAGTCCTAATTAAATTGATTTTCCCTTTTAGTTCCTGGAATGTAATAAGGTAAAAATAAATATTTGTGGAATGAATGAATTGTTAGGCTTCTCTCTAGCTAGCAATTCTATTGCCAAGTGCCATGTTCTCTCTAGAACGATCCCTGCTTACCTTAGCATATTATAGAATCTTCCCTCTATGAGCTGCCTTATTCCTCTGACTTTGGAAATAGCTGACTTGGAGGATAATTAGATGCTTTTACTTTGTGTCTCAGACTAGCCTCTAAGTCTCTCAGGCAGGGAAGCACCTTACTTCTCTTCATTATATTATATATGTTATAATATTTATGTTACATAGCTCTCATAAATTTATATAATAAATTATATATTATATATGTTATTATAGGTTATACTTTATACTCAACATTTAGTAACTAGATAGCTGTCAACTCTCATCCATACTCATGGAAAGATAATCTTTTAAAATGAGAGTACCAAGGAAAGAGAGGAAGGTTTATTCAAATATGGCAGAATATAAGCTTAAGCCACATAAGCAGAATCATAACCTCAAGGATATGGGGTGGGGCAGTCCCCTGGATTGATAGCATGTTATATTTAGTTCTAGCTGATATTAGCTCTGGAGAAATAGGAATAACCTGGAGTACATTCAGAGAAGAGGGACAAGGTTGGTATCTTGGTCAGCTTAGGCTACAATAACAAATACTTCAGACTGGATGGCTTAAACCAAAAGACTTATTTCTCAAAGTTTAGGAAGCTGAAAGTCTGAGATCAGGGTGCCAACATGGTTAGAGTTTCGGTGAGGGCTCCCATTCTCACATGGCCTTTCCATGGTGCATGCACACAGAGAGCAAGTTCTGATCTCTTCATCTTCTAAGGGCACTAATCTCATCACAGGGGCTACGCCTTCCTGAGTCCACCTAAACTTAATTATCTCCTAAGGCCCCATCTCTAAATGCTATCACATTGAAGATTAGGGCTTCAACAAAGGGATTTGGAGGAGACACAGACATTTAGTCTATAGCAGTGAGTGACTTGGAAAGCATGTTATGCAAGGACTGGTTCAGCGCTCTGGAGGCATTTACTCAGGGAAGAAAGGGTTTAGTGCTGGCATGATAGCTGTCTAAATTTATCTGAAAGCCTGCCTTGTAGCCACAGGATTAAGCTTATTGTGTGTACTTTCATAGGGCAGAACTAAGATTGGTGGATAGAAAATATTGGAGCGTGAAGGTAAGGGCCCTCCTGAATATGCTTCATGGCTCCCACTCACCTCTTTTGGGTGGATGTCTAAAATTACAAAATTCTCGAACTGCAGGATGCTTAGCAGATTGAAGGATGAGTATTTATTACACATGACTCAACATTATTTTTTGGATAAAATACACAGGGACTTATTGCCACATGGGGACATTTGGTGCCTATTTTCTGCTTGGAAATATTCAGCCATAAAATGAATTTGAGAAAAGAAGCACTTCCCACAGCAAATAAGCATCAGTAATTACCTAAAATCTAAACTTCGGGAATTGGGGCCTCAAATCCAGCAGATTTTTGGTACCATCTTATGAAGCATCTGAATTCATCTGGCTGATTTCTATCACCATTACTTATTCCTAATAGAGACAATGAAAGTGGGCTCTGAAGTTCATGGAATGAGTCTGAGCCTGCCTGGTTTTCTAGGAGAGATTTCTCCCTGATTTCTTCAGGTCAGTTCAGGAAGGAGATGTCTTCTTTCACCAAACCACTTGGGAGGCTGAGTTCTTACAGTTGGCATTAATCTTAGGGTTTTCAGGCACAGAACAGAGAAGTTGCTAAAATAGGCAATAAAACTGGGTGTGCTTCTCTACCCCAACATCTGTGTTTCCTTCACTGAACCATGCTTTGTACCATGCAGCCTAATTAAAAGACTTTTACACACAGCAACATACTCGGTTTTATATATCTTCTCAAGGAAAAAGGCAAAACTAGGCAATAAAGAAAAATGATCCGTGTCAACAAAAGCATATGAGCTATTTTGCAACTATTCTATTTAGACTTCCTTGTTGGTAAAACAATGCGTTCTCAAATTTTCTTCACTAACTTCCCTTCCAAGACTACGTTAATGACATAGAATAATGACTATCTGGATATAATTTTTTTAAAAAAACTTTCCATGTGTCTACTTCATGTGACATCTTGTATTTCTCATCCACACTTTACCCCTAGAAAACTGGTCTTCGATGTGTCAGTGCAATTAACAGAAATGTTTCAGCTCAGAAATCCTTTTGAGAATAATTCTTTATAATCAAACATGAACAAGCAGCGCATTTTAAAAAATGTATTTCTCTTTGGAGAGTAGCCAGACCATGACCAAATTATCTGGAACTTGGAGCATGAGAGTGAAGCCGAAAATGTAAAAATGGAAATGGAAAATGGTGTCACACACCAAAAATGGAGACCAAAGGGTGTGTCTCTATGAATTCATCTGAGCCAGACCTTTGGATAGAAAAAGAGAATGAAAAGTTAAAATAATCCCTTTTTTTTCTCATTTGACTGGCATTGATTGGTTATACCAATGATTCTTAACCTTTTTGGGGTCCTGGGCTTCTTTGAGAATTTGATGAAAACCTCAGATGTCCACCTCAGAAAAAGACTAATTCTTAAATGAGCAGTTTGAGTTATGCAGAGATCAAACAAGAACCTCAGGCCAGGGGATTAACAGGTTAGACACACTGATGTGGTTTAGCTATGTCCCCACCCAAATCTCATCTTGTAATTTCCATGTGTTGTGAGAGGGACCTGGTGGGAGGTAATTGAATTATTGGGTGGGTCTTTTCCGTGATGTTCTTGTGATAGTGAATAAGTTTCATGAGATCTGATGGTTTTTAAAAAATAGGAGTTTCCTTACACAAGCTCTCTCTTTGCCTGCTGCCATCCACATAAGATGTAACTAGCTCCTCCTTGCCTTCTGCCATGATTGTGAGGTTTCCCCACCCATATGGAATTGTGAGTTCTCCATTAAACCTCTTTTCTTTGTAAATTGCTCAGTGTAAGCTATGTCTTTATCAGCAGTATGAAAACAGACTAATACAGTAAATTGGTATCAGTAGAGTGGGGCATTGCTGAAAAGATACCAGAAAATGTAGAAGTGACTTTGAAACTGGGTAACAAGCAGAGGTTGGAACAGTTTGGAGGTCTCAGAAGAAGACAGGAAAATGTGGGAAAGTTTGGAACTTCCTAGAGACTTGTTGAATGGCTTTGAACAAAATGCTGATAGCGATATGGACAATTAAATTCAGGCTTAGGTGGTCTCAGATGGAGATGAGGAACTTGTTGGGAACTGGAGCAAAGGTGACTCTTGCTATGTTTTAGCAAAAACACTGGTGGCATTTTGACTCTCCCCTAGAGATTTGTGGAACTTTGAACTTGAGAGAGATGATTTAGGGTATCTGGCAGAAGAAATTTCTAAGCAGCAAAGCATTCAATAGGTGACTTGGGTGCTGTTAAAGGCATTCAGTTTTAAAAAGATAACAGAGCATAAAAGTTCAGAAAAGTTGCAGCCTGATAATCTGATAGAAAAGAAAATCCCATTTTCTGAGGAGAAATCCAAGCTGGCTGCAGAAATTTGCATAAGTAATGAGAAGCCAAATGTTAATCCCCAAGACAATGGAATAAGTATCTCAAGGGCATGTCAGGTTGTCACAGCAAGCCCACCCATTAGAGACCTAGGAGGAAAAAGTGGTTTTGTGGGCTCTGCCAAGGGTCCTCGTGCTGTGTGCAGCCTATGCACCTGATGCCCTGCATACCAGATGCTCCAGCCATGGCTGAAAGGCATTAACATAGAGCTTGGGCCGTGGCTTCAGAGGATGCAAGCCTAAAGCCTCAGCAGCTTCCATGTAGTGTTGAGCCTGTGAGTGCACAGAAGTCAAGAACTGGGGTTTGGGAACCTCCATCTAGATTTCAGAGGATGTTTGGAAACAACTCGATGTCCAGGTAGAAGTTTGCTACAGGGGCAGGGCTCTCATGAAGAGCCTCTGCTAGCACAGGAAGGGAAATGTTGGGTCAGAGCACCCACACAGACTCCCTACTGGGGCACCACCTAATGGAGCTGTGAGAAGAGGGCCACCGTCCTCCAGACCTCAGAATGGTAGATGCACTGACAGCTTGCACTGTGTGCCTGGAAAAGCCACAGACACTCAACACCAGCCCATGAAAACAGGTGGGAGGGAGGCTGTACCCTGGAAAGCCACACGGGCAGAGCTGCCTAAGACCATGGGAGCCCACATCTTACATCAGCATGACCTGGATATGAGACATGGAGTCAAAAGAGATTTGGAGCTTTAAGATTTAACTGTCCCACTGGATTTCAGACTTGCATGGGGCCTGTAGCTTCTTTGTTTTGGCCAATTTCTCCCATTTGCAATGGCTGTATTTACCCAATGTCTGTAACCCCACTGTATCTAGGAAGTAACTAACTTGCTTTTGATTTTACAGCCTCATAGGCAGAAGGGACTTGCCTTGTCTCAGATGAGACTTTGGACTCTGAACTTTTGAGTAAATGTTGAAATGTTGGGAAGACATGACTGGTTTTGAAATATGAGGACTTGAGATTTGGGAGGAGTCAGTAGCGGAATGATATGGTTTGATTTTGTTCCCACCCAAATCTCATCTTGAATTCCCACATGTTGTGGGAGGGACCTGGTGGGAGGTAACTGAATCATGGGGGTGGGTCTTTCCCGTACTGTCTCACGAGATCTGATGGTTTTAAAAATGGGAGTTTCCCTATACAAGCTCTCTGTTTGCCTGCCACCATCTACATAAGATGTGACTTGTTCCTCCTTGCCTTCCACCATGATTGTGAGGCTTCCCCAGCCACGTGGAACTGTGAGTTCTCCATTAAACTTCTTTCATTTGTAAATTGCCCAGTCTCAGGTATGTCTTCATATAACAGCAGCGCGAAAGCGGAATAATACACACACAATACAAACTTAAGGTCTAATTTGCAGCTCAGAGCTCAAGTTAGTTGAGCTATTTTTCAAGTGAGTTATCATCTCTGGCTACAGAGGTTTAGACTCATAATTTATCAATGTACTAAACATCCCTACTGAATACCCATCCATATGTACCATCATTAATTCAAATTCAGTCTACTAAAAATTTAACATCCAAGTTCAAAACCTAAGTCATTTTGATTTTTCTTTCTTCTGCATTCCTCTAGTTAGTCAACACGTTCCAAAATTTTCATCCTCCCTACCCACTGTGATCTCTTATATCTAATCCCTCTTTGCTGCTCCCTCTCTTCCTGTGGTCCTTATTTCTTCTGATGTGGCTTGGCTGTAGATTTCTAACTGGCCTTTTGTCCATATTAATAAAGCACAGGTCCAGTTTTTTCACATTTGGCTTGGAAGCATTTAAATTCTTCACTATCTCGTGGATTGTATCCGAATTTTTTTGGAAAATATTCAAGACTCACCACCAGAAACTGTAATTCCTATGTTTTGACCAAAATCCTTCCCTACACCTGGTGACTTCATGGCTGCTTGCAGAGCTCTTACCCTTTCTTAACAATCTCTTCATACCTCCTCTACTTGCCTTTATTTCCTCTATCCTTTTTCCTTTTGGAGAAGTATTTTTTCTTTTGAACTTCCGTATCATTATACATAAATCTCTTTTCAAGCCTTTTTGAGGTATAATTTATTATAAAATTTATCCATTGTAAGTGTGTGATGTAAAATAGATTTACAGAATTGTGGAACTATTCCCACAATTCAGCTCTGCATATATTTTTGACCTAATAATATCAGCACTGTCAGGCACCGTGATTAACACATTACTTTCACAATTATAACCATTGCGATGGTAGTAATTATTGCTATTTTATGAACTTAAGACTTAAAGATATTAAGTAATTGTCTGAAGTCACATAACCATTTTGAGGCCAAATCAGGATTGGAGTCCAGATATGCTTGATTGCAAAGATTATATTTTGAGGCAATATGACATAATGTTTCTCCATTTAAAAATCTTACTTTAGAACTGTAATTCCCTAACTAGAAGTGAATTCATTTGGTCCATTGTTGTATCCATAATGCCTAGCACACATGTAAACAAGCTGCCAGTAAACATTTAAATTACTTCATGAATGCATAACTATGTTTCATGATGGGGTTATTTTGGAATTATTCCACTATTATTTTTATTCAAATAGTAAGCCATTGATTGTCTTAGGTGTTGGAATAATTTGGGTAATAGTCACCTGGGTGGGGTTGAGGGGACATAAATGTTTGTTAATCCTATTTTCACAAGAGAGAGGTAAGTAGAGCTAAAAAATTATGCCACTTTGATAGTAATTCTTGATAAATAATCCCTCAGCATTTTAATTTTCTAATCTATAGCATGTGGTGGCAGTAACTGATATACTCATCTTGAGGAATAAGTATAGTGAGAAAAATGTGAGAATAATAGTAGAAAAAAACTAAAGGAGGAAGGAAGAAAGGAAAGGAAAAGGAAGACAGGAATATAGGAGGTCAGAAAGGCAGAAAGGAAGAGAGGAAGAAAAAATCACTGACTATATTTAAGGAAGCATGCACAACTTCTTTCTCTATTTCTCATGTCTCAGTGGCATATTCATCCCATTTACAACTTGCAAAAAGTGAAGAATATATACTCTCAAAATTTTTTTTGATTATCCTGAAATTTTAAGATTTTCTAGATAATGCAGATCTAGTGTAATTATAATTAAATGAAAATTTTCTGTTGGTGACTTTAACTTCATTTTACCAACAATTAAACTTCACTAAATATGAGGGAAGGAAAGTAGAGAAGAAGTAAATGAAGAAAAGAAAAAATAATGAGAAGAAAAGAATGAAGGAAGGAAAAGAAAAGTGGTTGAAGGAATACAAGATAAAAAATAAAGAGAAAAAAGAAGACAGAAAAAGGAGGGAGAAGATAAAAGGAAATTTTAAAATAATGGAACAATAGGAGCATAGAAAAATTTGAAAGGAAGAAAAGAGAGAAACTTAGCTCATACCATTTCAGCCAAGCCTATACATTTTGGAGCAAAATTTTCTGAATCTATGCTTTAAGCACAAGCATTGAAGCATAGTTTAAGCTGGAAACAGTCTCCACCCTGACATTTCTCCAAATGTTTTACTGCTGAAAAGACTGCCTTATGCATGAGATCCTCTCCCAGTTCCAGACTGCATTTGAAGGCAAACACTGGAAGCACTGGTTTTCCATTTCCACAAGAAATGAAAGGTTCTTGCCTTTTGTTAGCCAGACATGGAAGGGCTTGATTCACAAGTAGACACTGCCAAGGGTACAGGAGTTTTACATTGCTGCCTGGAGGCCAGATTGTTTATGTCTTTCCTGATCCTATTCCAGTGTGATCTCACACATCATGACAAGGATTCTGTATCACTCCATTGGAAGTGGTCCTCATTAAGTGAACTCTAGAAGCCTCTTCAAGGCAAAATAAAGAAGGCTTTGGCCAGAGTTGGAGACTCTGCAAAGGGAAAGAATGTTGGACTTTTCTATCTAAAGTTTAATGTCCAGCTCTCAAGATAATTCATGAATCATGCAAGTTCTCTTGAATCCTTGCAAATGGACTATATACGCTGTTTATCTGGAAAAATCTCCATAGCCATTTCTGCCCAACTGCTATATTTTTCAAGACATTGATATGCTACCTGTTTTATATTGAAGCAAATTGATAGGTCACATGTATAGCTCACTGAAAGGGTTGGTTATAGTGTCAACATTTCTATCATACTCTTTACCATGTTACAGGGAGACACTGGTCTGCTTATTCATATTTGTCACAGCTTCATTATTTGTGAAATTAAGTTAAAACCAGCCATAGGCGATGTTTGATTTAATTGTGATTATACTAGAGTCATATTAACTAGAAATACTAGCATTTTGAGACACTCAAAAGGTGATTATGAGGGCATATATTCTTTACTTTTTGCAAGGAGAAAAGGTGATGGAGATACTATTGAGACATCACCAAGGAAAAAGTTAATCATATTTCCTTAACTGTAAAGTCTGTGATATCTTCTTATTTCTGAACCTAATACCTGGGATTAAGTAAATATTCCCAGAACATTTTGACACTAATCTACTGATGCTGCAATCATATCTAAATGTATAAGATGAAATATTCCAGATACCATGTTGTCTCTTTTTCTTAGAGATAGTAGAGGCCTTGCACTCAATGATTGTCATCAGAGACAAAAAGCAAATTCTATGAGAAGGGAATATTCATGTTTTCTTCAGCTTATGTGATTGAAGTTATTCATTTATAGAAGTTCTGATAGTCATATGACTGTGATATTTGCTAAGTATTTCCAATTTGATCAAATTGGTTGGTTTACATTTTCAGAGGAATTTTTTTAAGACATTAAGTAGTAGGACCCTTCAACAGATCCTCTCTCTAAAGGAATTTATGACCTAGCCCTGGTGGATCCACATTTCTCCCGGGAGATAGCATTCATCCTGGACTCTCCACCTACCCCACCTCCTCTCCTCTCCAGTCTTTCTTCCATTCACATGTCTATTGTCCTAAACAAACTGCATGACCTGCATGTCCCTGAAGGTCTCAGACTTGCTCATGTCCCCGGCCTTTGTACTTGCTAATCTCTCCCTGGAAAGTGCTTTCCCACTGGGATAATCCTATTTACCCATTATGATTTTATCGATTAATTAACACTTGGTGAGAGCTTACAATTGGGCAGATTATGTTCTCAGTGCTTCACAGATGTTGATTCACTTAACCCTCATAATACTCTTATTTTCACAGTGTTGATTATGGAAGTAGGGTTTTAGTAACTTGCCCACCTCTTTCTTGTATGTACAACACAAAATATTTGAACCCAGGGAAATGAACTTCAGTTTGTGATCTTAATGGCGTGCCACACCCTCAGTAACCCCCACAGATGTCACATCCTCTGAGAATCCTTCTTAGTTTTTTCTGAGTTTAGGTTTGCTGTTTTGTCTTCCCATGTGCTCTAACAGTTCTTTGTGTTCACTCTTTATTACTGTACTTACTACTATGATGTAATTACCTATTTATTTATTTTTTATTTTTTTGCAAGTTAATGATGAGCTACTTGAGAGAAGCCACTGTTTTTTTTTAATTTATCTTTTTCTTCCACTTAGTAACTAACACATAGTTGACCATCAACAAATGTTGAAAGAATGAATGAAGTAGTTGGCTGAATCATATGCTGCCTCTACAATTCTGCTTATTTGGGTTGGCTGGTTCATAGTAAAAGCCACAGAAAGACACTTGTTTGGAAATTTTACCCTGCTATTAGAAGTATCTTATTTTCTTCCTAAATATTGTACACCATGTAGATGAAGCCTTAGTTAATCATAAAATATTTACTAGGCATATATTATTTGGCAGATATTGTCCTAGACACTGGGGATACATTAGCATTTGTGAACAAGATAGACAAAGATCCCTGCCCTCCAGAAGCTTATATTCTAGTGGAAAGTCTCAGGTTAACTTCTCTGGGAAGCACACTCTGATGTAAAGTTTAAGCACATTCCGGTGTTATGAGTGCTCTTGGGATCAACCAGTGGAGGGAAGGGAAGGAAAGCAGAATTGGACAGAGGAGAAAGTCGAGCTGCAGTGTAGGCTTCTCAACTGTCTCAGCCACCCCACAAGGAGGTTTGGAGTGAAAACAGCCTATCACAGTCATCAAGCTGAAATAGTTAGGCTTTTATCCCTCACTTTGATCAATCATTGTATCTAAGCTCTCCCAAGAAGAGAATGATCTTGGAAAAGGTGCTTTCTGCAGTTAAGACAATCCTTGAAAGGATAGATAGTTAAAACATCTCTGATGAGAGTATGGGGATTTGACAGCACATCACCATACCCACCACGTCACATGTTACATACTGCATATCATAGAGTTCCAATATAAGTGTATTTAAAAAATATAAGCCCAACTTCAAAATCCCTGAGTGTTTTGCTTATTTTTTGGTTTGTTTTTAAGCAACAAACTATGTCAAATAAAAGAGTCAGTTGATAACCTTTGTATGCTTTGGGAAACAAGGAAACATTATAATGTTCATTATGCTGTAGGAAACTCCAAATAGTATAGAAACATGATTATTTCAATTTCATTTAATTTTATTGTTTTCAATACTTGCAATTAAAAAATAAATATGTGCTTTAAATTCTTTTATAAAGGTGGTGTGAAAATTACATACATACATGCATATATACATATACATAAAATACAATGCTTAGTGTGACTCAATGTTTATAACTTTGTAGACTTCAAAAATATTAATTCACCAAGAATAGCAAAAATTTTTGCCAAAATACCTGTACCAGACCTTGGTTTAAAAAACATAGTCACTGTAAAATTTGGGTCCACTCCAATGTTTGAGAATGAGAAAGCTAATGAAGATGGTGAGACCCATCAAAGAAAGGCCTCTTCTTGTGGGGCATCCAGTATCTGATTATGCTTTTGCCTCATCCCTTAAGGGTTGAAAAGGCTTGGTTAATTATAGAGGCATGCTTTTGTCCATTCACTCATTGTCTCTGCATTCTCTTTTCCCCTCCTTATCTCCATGATTATAGGGAATGATTCTGGCTATCACTGTGCAGCATGATGGACACTTTCAACCTTCACTTTCATAAACTTCTCTATCCCAACCTTGAGGGATAGACTTGAATTTTAGGTATGTCCACCATCTTTACAATAACATTTGGCCATCTCCCAGGTCCAATTAAGGTAATCAAGAGAAATTGAGATTGAATATCATCCTAGTTAACAAAAGAGTATGTAAGTCAAATATATTTGATTATAATTTCAAATTTCTATCTTCCTAGCTGTATGATCTTGAGAGAGTAACCTAACCTCTTTGAGCCTTAGTTTCTGTCTGTAAAATGGAAAAAAGTGGTAACTACTCAAGGAATGAATTAAATAGTGCACCTGATATGGTGTTTAGCAAATAATAAACATTCAAGAAATAGAATCTCTCATTTTTTTTTACCATTTTTATTATTACAATTATTAACATCAACATGAAGAGATTGCAATTGAAGTAAACAAAATGGTAAGCCATTTAGCTGGGTTATATTGTCCACAAAAGGCCATTAAATTAAAAGAACAGCTGGTATGGTATATAAAATAGAATCAAGGTATAAAAATATACCAATACATCACCACTTTCTTCAAGAAAGTGGCACAGTAGTTTCTAGGCACTGTACCTTTGGCTTTGAGAACAGCAACTTATCAGGATCCTATAGCTTAATGGAATAACTGCTTTAAAAATAGTCAACACCTCCTTTTCTAAGTTTTTCTTTCCTAAAAATGAGAATTTGTAGATGTTTGTGGAAATGGTGTTTTTATGGCCGAGTGCATTTGGAAATGTATGTATTAGTCCATTCTCACGCTGCTATAAGGACATACCTGAGATTGCATAATTTATAAAGGAAAGAGGTTTAATTGACTCACAGTTCAGCATGGCTGGGGAAACCTCAAGAAACTTACAATCATGGCAGAAGGGGAAGTAAACATGTCCTTCTTCACATTGCAGCAGCAAGGAGAAGTTCAGAGCTAAGACGGGGATGATAATGTCAATTTCGCACTTATAAACCCATCAGATCTTGTGAAAGCTCACTATCATGGAGACAATTGCCCCCATGATTCAACTACCTCCCACTGCATCCCTCCTACAACATGTGGGGATTATAGTAACTACAGTTCAAAATGAGATTTGGGTGAGGACACAGCCAAACCATATTAGTTACAAATGCTTTACTCCTATAGAAGTAACATTAGCATATTAAAAGTTCTGAATAATCTTATGGTTAAAGAGTCTCATTCAAATTAAAACCAGAATTTTCCAACCTTACTGGCCACGTTCACACAGACTGCCGCACTGCCTCTGATTTTTGTTTTGTCTGGAAACCTAAACGTAGTCTGAGGAGTTAGTTTTTTTTCAGATAACTAGCATTTCCTGAGCAGATATGTGTCCCTCATTCTGGAACCAAGTATTTCTTCTCCACCTCCCAGTGGAAATTAGTTTTTTGTGAGTGGGGTTAGCAAATCCATTTTCCAGAACCCAATTGTCTGAGTGAACTGTTAAAATCTAGTTTCTGAGCCTGTAAAACTAACTCCTTAAACTATCCATGAGTGAAAGATACGGTGGAGCAGAAAGGCAGGGCTTTTGACATTAAAGAAAAAATGGGAGTTTGGGTCACAGAATAACTGTCTTTAGAAAGTCACTTATTAAACTTCCTATTCTCCATTTTCTCCTTCATTTAGTAAGCGGATAATAATGTCAATTTCACATTTTGTAGTTGCAACATGCTGTGTTGATATGTTACCATTAAGACACAGAAACTCTGAAATATTTATCCCTATAGCTGGAAAGTATTTGAGAGATTTTTCTCTTCAAGATCCTATCTTTAGAAAAGTGATATCTTAATCACCATTGAGAGGGCCCCTGGTCAATTTAATTTCAAAGTCAAAGCAAGAAAATTTTACACATGATAGGAATATGGCTTTTCAGATATCATATTGGGCTCTCAACAAATACTTGACCAAATGAATTAAATGGAAAGCACTTTGTGGAGCATGTAGCTTATGTTAAAACTTCAAGTATGCGAAAACTGGCTTTACTTTTCCTATAACCGACTTTCTATCCTGACTCTCCATTCTTCTAGCCACAGATCACTTGATCTAGCCACTTCCAGGTAATTTCAGTCAATTCAGGTATAAGGCTGAGGCCCATTCAGGACTTTTCTTCTTGTTCTACAGCCCTGTACTCCACAGTTCCTGGGACTCATGTGTATACAATGGTCATCTGTCTTGATAGCCTCTGAAAGCTGCAGCTGTCCACTTGTTCTTTAATCATCTGCTGAGGAGGCTGAAACTTTCCCCTGTTGCCATCTATTGAAAAGTTTGTGCTTCTACCTGGCTTCTGTTTTCATGCTCTGTTCTGCCTTCTTCATTCCTTTGCTCCCTCCTTCTTCTATGTCCCATACCCTTCTTGCCCTCTTCTCCACTTTCCCTTCTCCTTCATTTGTTTTGTTGTTTCTCTCTCTCGTCAATACACACACACACAAACACACACACACACACACACACACACCATCTGTTGAACACATAGCAAGTGTCAGCCCTACAAAAGTGACTAAGACAGGGTGCTTGGCCTTAAGGAACTCTAAAATAAGGGAGTCTGCATCATGAAGGTAAGGCCAACAATTGCGGCCTTGAAAAAAAGTGTAAGTCTCCTAAAAAATGTTTCCTTTATGTAAACCAAATCTTCATAGATGAAAACCTTTGAATCCTAATATCATCTTGTCTTTGAGTTATGTTGTCATTGAAGACAACTCATCACCTGGCTTAGTGCCAGAAATAGGAGCACTACAGGGAATCCACAGGTTTTTTGTTGTTGTTGCTGTTGTTTGAGGATAAGAAGTAGGAGGCTCATCTTCATATTCAAAATCACTTTGACTGTGGTTACTGATGAGGTAAATTCCCTCAGCAGGCTGAGGCAATATTTTCCAAAGGAAAGCAAGTTTTGTTTTTGTATTTTCTTCTCTTTCTCATCACAAGCCATGCTTAGTTTCCCAGCTCTATCTGCCCACAAATGACCATCTGGCCTGCAGCTGCCATTTCCAAGTGGAAACGCTTTAGCACAAGTAGTCCAAGAGCTCTTTTTACTTCTTCTAAATGACAATGTCTTTGTTGTAGTTTACCCCATCCTTTCCAGTGGAAAGTCAACAACTGTCATTTTCTTTCTTTCTCTTTTCATGCACAGTTGTTTACAGTGGAAACACATATGTCAGGTATGTTGCAAGGAGCTAGTAGGCTTAAACTGTAAGCATGACCAGTTGCATTTTATTGACTCTGAGAGTAAGCTCTCAGAGAGAAGCTTAGAAGCTAAAGTGGCAGTGTCAGAGTTGTGGAATGTAGTCAGATGCATGTTCATTTGCCTTCTGGTTGAGTACTAACAGTGGTCTCAGCCCTAGAAAATAACCTATCCCTTCCTTTTCTTTACCCTGAACAAGCCTGGTGATGCAATGAAGAATACAGTAATAATAGTTAATATTATAGAGTGCGTATTATGTGACTGGCACAGTGCTGAGTGCTTTATAAACATTATTTTATTAAATACTCTTAACCACCCTGTGAAGTGGTTATAAATATTACCCCATTTGAAAATTTTGAAATCTGTGGCTCCAAGGTGAGTCACTTGTCCAAGGTCACAAAGCTTGTCTGACCTACTTTTCTGTGCTTTTAAAATGGCAAGACTGTTGTAAACTGCTGGAGGACAGGAATTGTGATTTGTCCAGCAATGAGTCCTCAATACTTAGCACAGAGCCTCACTCAGCAGAAGATCCTAAAAGCAAAACAAAACAAAAACAAAAACTTCTAGAATGAATAGATTTTGACTGAATGGATAACAAGTTTGTGCATTTACAGTAGAAGGCTATTTGTTTTCTCTTCTAAAAACCATGAATCTCTCCAACCAACTTTATTAGAAGTCATCTACACTCAGGAATGTGGTAGAGAAAAATGCTACTGTTATATTGACCTCTCTGGGAACTGCTTTTACCCCTGTATAATCTGACCCTTCTTGCCTGAAAATAGATTACAGTTAAAGTTGTCTTATTTCTGTCTTCAGTTTTCCCATGAGTCATGCTATTTGCTCCATTAAAATGTCCTCTTCGTTTTGCCTGTTCAATCCCGTCTACCTTGAAGGTTCAACCGAGACCTCATCTCCTTCAGAAAGCAGTCATCTAGGTTCCCTGATCTCTTTTTGCTCCTAGAGTGATTATAGTCTCATGAATGCCAGTTACAATGTAATGATTGCTAGGAACCCAGTAGACTATGTATAGAGGCTGAAGGATTAGGTTCACTGGGTAAAAAGAGCTTTAGGCAGACACAGTCTTGAAACATGGACAGTCTCTAAGATAGTGGTTAATAATGACTCAATGATCCAGTATTTGTGGCCAGAGCTTTGGTCTCATATTCTTAATGGCTAACCCACCCTACTTTAGCTGCTTTTTTTTTTTTATCTGTAGGGTTTAAACTGCACCTATGAACATAGACACACAGACTTATAATGAGACTATTTCTTCATATTGAGAAATTAGACAGTATTCTAATGGGCATTTAAGTGTTTACTGTGTTCCAGGCAGTTTACTTACATCATAGCATGAGTTTAGTAGTCAAAGAACAGGGCTAGCCTAAACTGAAATGAAATATATGAGTTTCTTGAGTGGGGATTTTAGGGGGATCATGGAGGTCTTGTGGATTCCTTTTTCCTGAATCTTCTTATCTTTTTTGCTGCTTGCTAAAGTTCTACTCTTGGAATTTCATGTGCTTATAGCTAGTCCAATACAGAGGCAGGCATTTAGAATTTGATGACCATAGTATTATGTCTTAAAGATTTTTTTCTTCTGGAAAAGTTGGCCATCCAGTGACTCTAGTTGTCAGGCTGGCTACGAGTTTTGCTTAGCTCTTTTGATTGACCCTTCTGTGTTTTAGAACTAGAGTCAGAATAACCTCACAGCTGACATTTGATCAGAACATCATAATTTATGAAGTGTTTTCAGAGAAACTCTCCTGAGCCTTAAACTTCCATATAAGGGATAACAAGATTTTTATCCTTGTTTTGCAAATGAATAAATTGAGACTTAAAGATAAAATTTCTCACTCAAGTCTATTCAGCCTGTAAATGGAGGGCTAATATGTTCACATTCCCCAGTTTTTTTTCATCATACAATGTTTCCCATTTTTAACATGGTTTCAGACACTGCTAACCACATTAGAACTATCTGGGATACTTCCTTTAAAAATACCAATGCCAAAGTCTCATCTCAACTGATTCTAGTTTCAGCATGGGTAGGGCCTGGCTATCAGTATTTTTTATGTTCCCCATTTCTTATGTGAGAACCACTGATCTGTAGTATTTATTTCCACCACACTTGGTGAACTACAAAGGACTCTACAAACTGAAAGCAATGTAAATATTAGTGGTTTCTTCTTTATAGCAGTTGTGAAAATCAGGCTGTTAAACCATTAAATTCCTGGAGAAATAAATTTTCTGTGGATATACAAGCTTCAAAATCCAGGTCTTCTGTCTTCTACCAGACAGTTTTCCATTCCAGGCTGTATGCCGCCCCAAGCAAAATAACAGGCGAAGTTTATCTCCTTTAACCGGCTAGCTGTTAGTGTTTAAAGTTGTTTGTGCTTCTGCAATTTCTCTGCCACAGACATAGTATTTACAAGAGCTATCACCAGCTTACTTTTGTATCTGACCAGCTGCCTTAAAAAATGTTAACTAGTTTACAGTTTATACTTTCTCAGAAATTTTATGGTGAAAACATATTTTCCAATGAGTACATTCATCTATTTTTCTGGGTTTCAAGCATAACACTTTAGATGTGATCAGTGGCTTGGACCCAGAAGCACAGTCTGCTCACTCCTGGCGGGTGAGACCATTTTGCTGAGCAACAGCAGGCAAGCTGCAGAGTCACCTTCAGGCTGATTCCTCCAGGCTCACCTGGAGTTGAATTCAACTGCTTTCTCGTGGGGTCCTCATTTTCAGTAAAACGACAGAGTCGGTTCTCCCTTCTGTGCCTCTGGTAGAAGGTGAGTCTGAAGTGCTGGGAAAGTTACACAGAAAAGTGAAGGGAGGCAAAAGTGGAGGCTGAATTTCTCCTGAGTAAATAAAACCTAGCTAATGAGAAAATTCAATTAGACTTTGGAGTGGAGCAAAATGGCAGAATAGAAAGCTCCACCAACCATCTCGCCTGCAAGGATGCCAATTTAACAACTATCTACACCAAAAAAATCACCTTCATAAGAACTAAAAAAAGATGAGCACACAGTAGATGGTGTTAACTTTATATTGCTGAAAAAGACATTGAAGAGGTAGAAAAAACACTCTTAAATCAATGATGCCACCTCTCCCCCATCCTCCAGCAGCCCTGACATGGTATGGAAAGCATTTTAGTGTGCTGGGGAGAGGGAGATTATAGCATTTGTGAGGCTTTGAACTCGGTTCTGGGGGAACATGCCACCCTGAAGGGAAGAACACAGGCATAGCTGACTTTGCCACCTGCTGATTGTAGAGCCCCAGGGCCTTGAGAAAACATAGGCTGTAGCCAGGGAATGATTAAAACAAACCTTGAGCAAGACCCAGTGCTGCACTGGCTTCAGGTATGAACCAGCAGAGTCCTAATCATGCTTGTGTCACACCACCACCAGCTCCAGGTGGCTCAGAACAGAGAGAGAGAGAGAAAATCCATTTATTTGGGAGAAAGTAAGGGAAGAACACAAGTGTCTCTGCCTGGTAATCAGATAATTCTTCACATCTTGTCCAAGACCATCAAGGAGGTGCCTCTAGAGTCTGTAAGAACCACAGCATTACAGGGCTTAGGGTACCCCCTAAAGCAGATATAGCTTAAATCACAATGCCCAAGTCCTTTCGACAATCTAGAAAGCCTTCCCAAGGATGACTGGTACAAACAAGCCCAGACTGAGAAGATTACAATAAATACCTAACTCCTCAATGCCCAGACACCAAAGGACATCTACTAGTGGGAGAAATCAACATCATCCAGGGAAGCATAACCTCACCAAATGAGCTAAATAAGGCACCAGGGACCAAACCTGGAGAAATAGGAGATGACTTTTTAGACAGAGAATTCAAAATAGCTGTTTTGAGGAAACAAAGAAATTCAAGATAACACAGAGAAAAAAATTCAGAATTCTATCAGATGAATTTAACAGAGAGATTGAAATAATTAAAAAGAATCAAGCAGAAATTCTGGAGCTGAAAAATACAATTAGCGTGCTGAAGAGTGCATCAAAGCTTTCTAATAGCAGAATTGATCAACCAGAAGAAAGAATTAGTGAGCTTGAAGACAGGCTATTTGAAAATACATGGTCAGAGGAGAAAAAAAAGAATAAAAGACAATGAAGCATACCTATGGAATCTATAAAATAGCTTTAAAAGCACAAATCTAGGAATTACTGCTTTTATAGAGGAAGTACAGAAAGAGATAGGCATAGAAAGTTTATTCAAAGGAATAATAACAGAGAACTCCCCAAACCTAGAGGGAGATATCAATATCCAAGTACAAGAAGGTTATAGAACACCAAGCAGATTCAACCCAAAGAAAATTACTTCAAAGCATTTAATAATCAACCCCCTCAGGTCAAGGATAAAGAAAGGATCCTAAAAGTAGCAAGAGAAAATAAACAAATACAATGAAGCTCCAATACATCTGGAAGCAGACTTTTCAGTGGAAACCTTACAGGCCAGGAGAAAGTGGCATGACATATTTAAAGTGCAAAGAGAAAAAACAAAACAAAAAAAAACCCAACACCTTTTACCCTGGAACAGTATATTCAGTAAAAGCGTTCTTCAAACTTGAAGGAGACATAAAGACTTTCCCCAACAAACAAAAGCTGAGGGATTTCATCAACAACAGACCTGTCCTGTAAGAAATGCTTACAGATCAGAATGCTTACAATCAGAAAGAAAGAGACATTAATTAGCAATAAGAAATCAAGAAGAAATCATGAACGTTCAAAAATCACTGAGAATAGTAAGTACATAGAAAATCACAGATATTATAACACTGTAGCTGTGGTGTGTAAACTGCACTTATCTTAAGTAGAAAGACTAAGTGATGAACCAAAAACATAACAACTACAACAACTTTTCAAGACATAGACAGTACAATAAGATATGAAAATAAATAAGAAAATGTTAAAAAGCAGAGGGGGATGAAGTTAAGGTGTAGAGTCTATTAGTTTTCTTTTTGTTCATTTATTTATGTGAATGCTGTTAAGTTGATATTAATTTAAAATAATAGGTTGAGATACTATTTGCAAGCTCCATGGTAACCTCCAACCAAAAAACAATACACTGCGAATATACAAATAATAAAAAGCAGAAGACTAAATCACATCACCTGAGAAAATCACCCTCACTAAAATGAAGACATGGAGAAAAGAAGGAAGAGAAGACCAGAAAACAATCAGATATTAAATAACAAAATGGCAAGAGTAAGTCCTTACTTATCAATAACAACATTGAATGTAAATGGACTAAATTATTCAATCAAAAGACATAGAGTGGCTGAATGGATAAAAAAATCAAGACGGAAATATCTGTCGCCTACAAAAAGCACACTTCACCTATAAACACACACATAGACTGAAAATAAAGAAATTGTAAAAGATTTCCCATGCCAATAGAAGCAAAAAAAGAACAGGAGTTGCTATATTATATCAGACAAAATAGATTTCAAGACAAAAACTGTAAGGACAGACAAAGAAGGTCACTATACAATGATAAAGGGGGCAATTCAGCAAGATGATATAACAATTTTAAATATATATGCACTGAATACTGGAGCACCCAGATGTATAAAGCAAATATTAGAGCTAAAGAGAGAGCTAGGCCCCAATACAATAATAGCTGGAGATTTCAACACCCCACTTGCAGCACTGGATAGACCTTCCAAACAGAAAATCTACAAAGAAACATCAGACATAATCTGCACTATATGGAGCTAATAGATATTTACAGAATATTTTATCCAAATGGCTTCAGGATGCACATTCCTTTCTTCAGTAAATGAAACATTTTCAAGGATAAAGCATATGTTAGGTCACAAAACAAATCTTAAAACATTCAGAAAATTGAAATAATTTCAAGCATATTCTCTGACCACAATGGAATAAAACTAGAAACCAATAACAAGAGGAATTTTGGAAGCTTTACAAATATATAGAAATTAAACAATATGCTCTTGAAGGACCAGTGAGTCAATGAACAAATTGAGAAGAAAATAGCAAAATTTATTGAAATAGGTAATAATGGAAACACAACATTCTGAAACCTGTGGAATACAGCAAAACAGTACTTAAGGAGGAAGTTATAGCTATAAGTGTCTACATCAGAAAATAAGAAAAACTTCAAATAAACAATTTAATAATGCATCTTAAGGAACTAGAAAATCAAAAACAAACAAACCCAAAATTAGTGGAAGAGAAGGTATGATAAAGATCAGAGCAGAAGTAAATAAAGCTGAAGAAAACAATACAAAAGATCAGTGAAACAAAATGTTAGTTTTTTTGAAAAGTTAAACAAAATTGAGAAACCTTTAGACAAAGAAAAAAAGAGAGAAGATTCAAATAAATAAAATTACAAATGAAAAAGGAGACATTACAACTGATACTGTAAGACTCCAAAGGATTATTAGTGACTGATATGAGCATCTATATGACAATAAGTTGGAAGATTTAGAAGACATGGACAAATTTTTAGACACACACGACCTACCAATATTGCACCATTAAAGAATTGAAGAATTCTGGCCAGGCACAGTGGCTCACATCTGTAATCCTAGCACTTTGGGAGGCCAAGGTGGGCAGATTGCCTGAGCTCAGGAGTTTGAGACCAGCCTGGACAACATGGTGAAACTCCATCTCTACTAAAGTACAAAGAATTAGCTGGACATGATGGTGTGCAATCCCTATTAAAATGCCAATGACATTCTTCACAGGAATAGGAAGAGCAATCCTAAAATTTATATGGAACCACAAAAGACCAGAATTGATAAGTTATCCTAAGCAGAAACAACAAAACAGGAGGAATCACATTACCTAACTTCAAATTATATGACAGAGCTATAGTAACCAAAAAAGCATGGTACTGGCATAAAAACAGATACATAGGCAATGGAACAGATCAGAGAACCTGAAACAAATCCACACACCTACAGTGAACTTATTTTTGACAAAGGTGCCAAGAACATACAGTGCGGAAAAGACAGTCTCTTCAATAAATGGTGTTGGGAAAACTGGATATCTATATACAGAAGAATGAAACTAGAACCCTGCCTTTCACCATATACAAAGATCAAATTAAAATGGATTAAAGACTCAAATCTAAGACTTCAAAGTATGAAATTACTGTAAGAAAACTTTGGGGAAACTCTCAAGGACATTGGTCTCAGCAAAGATTTCTTGAGCAATACCCCACAAGCACAGGCAACTAAAGCAAAAATGGACAAATGGGAATCATATAAAGTTAAAAAGTTTCTGTACAGCAAAGGAAACAATCAACAAAGTCAAGAGACAACACACAGAATGGAAAAAAATATTTACAAACTACCCTGACAAGAGATTAATAACCAGATTAATATTTACAAACTGACAAGAGATTAGTAACCAGAATATATGAGGACCTCAAACAGCTCTATAGGAAAACATCTCTAATTATCCAATTGAGAAATGGGCAAAAGATTTGAATAGACATTTCTCAAAAGAAGACATACAAATGGCATTCAGGTATATGTATGAATGAAAAGGTGCTCAACATCACCAATCATCAGAGAAATGCAAATCAAATCTAAAATGAGATATAATCTTACCCCAGTTAAAATGGCTTATATTCAAAAGCCAGGCAATAACAAATGCTGAAGAGGATGTAGAGAAAAGGGAACCCTTGTACACTGTTGGTGGGAATGTAAATTAGTACAACCACTATGGAGAATATGTTGGATATTCCTCAAAAAACTGAAAATTGAGCTACTATCTGATCCAGCAATCCCACTTCTGGGTATATACCCCAAAGAAAAGAAATTAGTATATCGAAGAGATATCTGCGCTCTTATATTTGTGCAGGACTGTTCACAATAGTCAAAATTTGGAAGCCACCTAAATGTTCATCAATGGATGAATGAATAAATAAAATGTGGCACTTATATACAACGGAGTACTATTCACTGTAAAAATAATGAGATCCTGTCATTTGCAACAACATGAATGGAACTAAAGATTATTATGTTAAGTAAAATAAGCCAGGCACAAGAAGACAAACATTGCATATTCTCACTTATATGTGGGGTCTAAAAATCAAAACAATTGAAACCATGGAGATACATAGTAGAAGGATGGTTATCAGAGAAGGGTAGTTGGGGCCTGGGGGGAACATGGGGATGGTTAATGCATCCAAAAATACAGTTAGAAAAAAATGAGTAAGACCTAGTATTTGATAGCACAACAGGGTGACTATAGTTGATAATAATTTAATTATATATTTAAAATAACTAAAAGTATAATTGGATTGTCTGTAACACAAAAGATAAATACTCGAGAGAATGAATACCCAATTTTACATGATGTGATTATTACACATTACATGCCTGTATCAAAACATCTAATGTACCCCTATAAATATATACACCTACTATGTACCCACACAAATTAAAATAAAAATACTTTGGAATAAAAGAAAATTCAGTTAGTCAGAACTCCTTTCTATTTTCCTGGAAAGAGATAAACACTAACAAGCAATTAAAAAGCAATTAAAAAAATCTTCCTGGCTATGTCCTATGTTGTATTAGACTGTAATATTTTTAAGTTGGAGATGGTCTTTATTCATCTTTGTATTCCTCTCACCTAAGGCACTGACTAAGGAATATTTTTACTTGATATATTTGTTTTTAAACTTATCTTTATTTTTATCAAATTAACATATGTTCATAGTTTAAATTTTTATAAAATAAAGCAAATGATATTTTCAAGCCGTATAATGAAAAACAGCAGCTTTCTGTTCTCTCGCATCATATTCTAATTCTGTTCTCTAGTAACTTTCAAATACTTTGACATTTTTTCTGACATTTTATTTCTTATTTATAAATAATACATTAATGCTGATTTTTCTTGATTTATAGATTTTAGAAATTACTTGTTAACCTGATGTCAACTTTAGAAATTATTTATTACCCTTTTATGGTAGACAAGAATTTAGTTCATGTGTAACCTTCATTTCCCCTGACTTTTTTTTAATCTCCAGTCTCCCTTTGAACATAGTTACATCACAGTTTTGTTAAATAAAATGTCAGTAGTCCTTTCTTATCTGAGGTTTTACTTTTCATAGTTTCAGTTACCTCAGGTCAATGAGGTAACTTTGAAAATATAATATTTTGAGAGAGAGTGAGGGAGACTGGATAACTTTTATTACAGTGTATTGTTATAATTGTTGGACTTTATTGTTAGTTATTGTTGTTAATCTCTTACTGTGCCTAATTTATAAATTAAACTTAATCATTGGTATGTATGACTAGGACAAGACATAGTACGGTATATATAGGATTTATTATTATTTTTGGTTTTAGGTATCCATTTTAGGTTTTAGGTATCCACTGGGGATCTTGGAATGTTTTCCCTGCAGATAAGGGGGGGACTACTGTACATTACTTTCTCCATGTAAATATTGCCCATGTAAATACTGCTGAGACCAGTAGTATATTATGATTCTATTTACTTTCTTATATGCTTTGTTTTCCTTCTCAAGTTAATTGCCTGATTTTATGTTTATTTCTTTTTATTTTCTAAAATTGTGTATAATTTTTAATTGCTTTTAAAGGCAACACAATTTTAATAGGCTTCTCAATACTATTTATGTAAATTGATACATGTGCACATGTGTCAAATTATCAATCCCATTTTTATCAATCCCATTTTTAGAACGGGCGCGGTGGCTCACGCCTGTAATCTCAGCACTTCAGGAGGCCGAGGTGGGCGGATCATGAGGTCAGGAGATCGAGACCATCCTGGCTAACACGGTGAAGCCCCGTCTCTACTAAAAATACAAAAAATTAGCCTGGCGTGGTGGCTGGCGCCTGTAGTCCCAGCTACTCAGGAGGCTGAGGCAGGAGAATGGCGTGAACCTGGGAGGCGGAGCTTGCAGTGAGCCGAGATCGCGCCACTGCACTCCAGCCTGGGTGACAGAGCGAGTCTCCATCTCAAAAAAAAAAAAAAAAAATTATCAATCCCATTTTTATATTTTTCTCTTAAAGACTTCATTTCCTGTTTTCAATCAAATCTTGATGGGCTGTTCTATGTAAATACTGAGCAACTGTCATTCTATCTGTAATAAGCAGCCTCTGAAATGGTCCCTAAAGATCTGCTCTTGTTATTTACGTCCTTGTATAATCCTCTTTCCCCGAGTATGGATTGAAATTCTTTATTTCTTCTAACAAAAAATATGTAACAGAAGTGATAGAAAGTTACTTTTTGAATAGAAAGCCTATGGTTTTCAGGTAGGCACTTGGTCTATTTCTCTTGTTTTATCTACAGTTACCTACTTTATTTTTTATTTATGTATTTTTTTTTTTGAGACAAAGTTTGGCTCTTGTTGCCCAGGCCGGAGTGCAATGGCGTTATCTGGGCTCAGTGCACCCCCCACCTTCCGAGTTCAAGCGATTCTCCTGCCTCAGCCTCCCAAGTAGCTGAGATTACAGGCGCCCACCACTACGCCTGGCTAATTTTTGCATTTTTAGTAGAGACGGGGTTTCACCACGTTGGCCAGGCTGGTCTTGAACTCCTTACCTCAGGTGATCCACCCACCTTGGCTTCCCAAAGTGCTGGGATGACAGGCGTGAGCCACCACGCCTGGCCACAGTTGCCCACTTCTAAGGAAATCAGATGCCATATTGTGAGGCCATCCTGCGAACAGGCTCATGTAGCAAAGACCAGCCAACATGAGTGAGTTTGGAAGCAGGTTCTCCCTTGCGCACCTCAGTTGAATCTTCAGATAAGACTGCAGCCCTGACTGCAGTGTTTGGAGTGATGGAGTACTTCTCTTTTAACTGTTAGTATACTTACCTTTTCTTCTTTTGATGGAGGGTGTGGTGGGGGTCCCTTACTCTGTTTTGTGCTGCTATAAGAGAATACCTGAGACTGGGTAATTTATAAAGAACAGAGATTTATTTCTTATAGTTCTGGAAGATGAGAATTCCAAGGTTGAGAAGCCTCATCTGGCAAGGGTCTTATTGTGTCATTCCATGGTGGATGGGCAAGAGAAAGAGGAGATAAGGGGACTTAATTCTTCCTTTTATCAGGAACCCACTTCTGTGATCACTAACCCACTATAGCAATAACAGCATTAATCAACTCATGAGGGGAGAACCCTCATGTCCTAATCATCTCTTAAAGATCCCACCTCTCAACACTGCTGCATTAAGGATTACATTTCCAACACATAAAATTGGGAGACACATTCAAATCACAGCAAGGGAGAGTTCATGTTTCCTGAATACCATCTTTCTTGTCTTGATATGCTTTTTCAATTGTTAGAGAACATTCTTTAGTATTTTCCTAAAACAAGAGGGAAGGGAAGTAACATTTTTGAGTTTTTGCATGTCCGAATATATCTTTACATAATCCACACACTTGCTTGATAATCTGACTTTGCATTAAGTCTAGGTTGAAAATAATTTTGCCCATAGAATTTGAAGGCATTGACCTACTGTCTTTCAGTTTCCAGTGTTGTTGTTGAAAAGTCTGGTGCCACTCTGTTTCCTGTTGAAGTCTATGTGATATATTGTTTTTGCTTTTCTGGGAGCATGTGGGAATACTGATGTTCTAAAATTGCCAATACTGTCCCTTAGTATGGCTTTTAAATTATTGCTTGTCAATTCAATATGACAGGCAACATCCAGCCAATGCACAAAAATGCAGTATATAAGTCAAAGTCCATTATTATGATTGTGTGGTGCCTATAACACTGCTGTAGTGTGCAACCAAGGTTTCCCTTCAGGAATGAAATATTTATTCCTCCAGCTGCTGGGAGTACTGCTAGATGACAGCCCTCAGCTGAGATCTCTCTTGCCTGAGCTAATGAAAACTGCCATATTTGTAGTCATTTCCCCTTCCAGGAATAATGTATATTCAATCAATGATCAATGCTGAGTACAAAGTCCTATTCTTCTCCCAATAAGGGAGACTTCTGAAGGGCCATTTCAATTCCCAGATTTCCAGTCATGTGGGACTTCACTGGGACACAGCACAATTTGCCTTTCTCCCCAGTCCTGCCTCCTTCATTTCTTTTTCACAAATACTGAATCCAAGAGCACCCCATAAAAAAATCCTGCATGTTAATCTGTCTGACAATAGCTTTCCTGTGACAACTTGAAACAGTGCCCATGCTTCACAGATGTTGAATAGTTTTAGTATCAGCTATGACTGGGCAGACAGTGGGTGCTAGATTATATCAACCTGGTGTTAAATGCCCTTCAGTTTGAGGATATTTTCTTAAATAATTTATATGGTAATTTCCTTCCCACTATTTTTTTTCCTCTTTCTGGATACCTTTAGTGGAATTTGGACATCCTTGATTGATCCTTTCACTGTCTTATCTTTTTTCCCTTATTTTAAAAATATTTTTTGATCTTTTACTTCTACTGTCTTAATGATTTCTTTGACTTACCTTTGAATATTTTAATTAATTTTTATTTGGCTATTACATACAAATTTCCAAATGATCTTTATTATTGATTGTTTTCTTTCTCTTCCCTCTGTCCTTTTCTCCTCTCTCCCTGTCTCTCTGTGTCTTCTTCCTGGCACCTTTTTATTTCATGAATACAAAATCTTTTCTTATCTCCATGAGTTTACTCTAGTTGATCACTCCAGGTGTGAGGGTAGAGTTATTTGTAAGTAAACACTGAACCTAGACTGTAAACACACTATAAAGCTCTATTCCTTCCCTTTTCTCCCTCCCTCCCTCCTTCCCTCCCTCCATCCCTTCCTTCCTTCCTTCTTTCCCTCCTTCTTTTCTTTTTGTAATTCAATTATCCCTCTCTCCTTTTCCTCCTTCCCTTATTTCTTCTTTTCTTTCTTTCTTCCTTCCTTCCTCTAGTCTCCTCTCCCCTATCACTCTTCATTAATTAATTGAGTACCTACTATGTTCCATCTGTTAGATAAGACACAATAAGGAAGATGAAGCCTCTGTCCCATTAGCTTTAGACCTAAAGCCACTAATCAGGCTTTATAGACTAAATTTAAAAGCAGTATCTCTCACAATCTGAAAGAGAGTTCTTCATGAGGACCTGCAGGTTGATGAGTTCCATGTTTAGCCTGCCGGGTTTTTCATGCAAGCCCTTGTGTTATTATGTTTTGTCTGCTTCCTCTCCATTGACCTCCTCAAACTCTACTTGGCTATAAACTTCTGGTAAATTAAGAGACTAACTTCCGTTTGTATATCTTTCCCCTAGCTTCTGTTTCTCAGCTTCTGACCCCTCTCATTGCCAGAAATCTTATTCTTCACATTGCAGGAGCTCCATAAAGATTGTTAAAATATAAAGTTTAAATAAACAAAGCATGCCACCAGAGAGGGGCAGATAAATTGTGATGGCTATTTAAAGAGGAAATTTCACAAAATTGCACAAATTAGTGCAAAATAAAAAATGAGTAGGTAGAGCCTCGTATTGGGTGAGGTAGAAGCATGATTATAAAATCTGTTTTCTCTGTGGACCAAAAAATTATGCACCCTCTCTGAGCATTGCACTCTGCTCTTAGTAAAATAGGCGTATTTTTTTCTTTGTCTATGTCCCTGGACTGCAGGAGCATAAACTGGATAACATGTGTGAAAACAATCTGAACTCCTTGGAAGTCAGGAGTGACAGACCCAAGGCATGGTATTATGCTTTTCTTACTGAAATTTGGCGTTTAAAATAGTGGCCTAAATAACACTATTTGAAGTTAAAAGGATTAATATATTTTATTTATGATAATCTTTTAATTGCAAGAACCAAAAGGCATATAAAACATTGGTCCCGATGAATGTTAACAATGGGAGTCAATGTTTTTTGAATTAAAGTAGTTGCCTTACTTTATTAGTCAGGAGAGGCTAGACTAATGCTGTGGTAACAAACAACCCCCAAATCCCAATGATTTAACACCTCAAGTTATTTCTCACTAACACAAAAATCGCTGGAAATCCAGACAACTCTCCAGGGCAGCTGCCAGGGCAGTGATTCAGCAATCCATACCACCTCGGTCTTGTGGCTCCACCATCTCAATGTGAGGCTTTCTCCATGATTGCTGGAACACTGGGGAGAAAGAATGGAAAATCATGCAGTGCTTTTCGCTGACTCAGCCTGGAAGTGCCGCATCCCATTCCATTATTATTAGCCGTATATTATTGTCAGAACAAGACACATGACTCCCCCAGTCTCCAAAATGCTGGGAAGCATAGTCTCCCATATACAGAGGAAGGAAAGAAGGTCTGGGTATTGGCGAGATGCAGCAATGTCTACCATACTACCATAGTTACAAATACTGTTAGAGCATGCTCCCAGTTTCATGGATCATAAGGCATGACAGTGATAAAGATGAAAGGAAATCTAGCATTAGCAACTCATTTCAGAGATAGGGAAACTATGGCTTTAATGTCCAAGGACATGAGGTCAGTAATGATGAGTCACCACAAGAACCTAGAGTTCTTGACTCCTAGTTCAGAGCTTCTACCCCATAGCATTGCCCCAGTGCTTTCCTTGGGAGGATAATAGGTATCTCTCACACACAAAATTGATTCCATGATTAAATTAATTCATCAGTAACAGGGTTGAAAATTAGGACAAACAAGGTTTATTTGTAGTAGAACTTCTCAGAGCCTTTAACATAATACAGTATACTGTGAATCTCAGAGTGCTAGAGTGTTAAGAAATTACTGACCAATTTTGAAGAAAGAAACCATCCTCTTACCCTGAGTATTTCTTTTCTTCAGAGTCCTTTCTAAGTGAGGATCATACCTCAGAAAATGCTACATTATCACACTGCCCTTGTAGAATTGTTATGCAGGCAAAGTCAATCTTTGGAAGTTAACATCATAAATATTGGTTAATAAATACATACTCCTTCTCTCCATCCCTACTTAGGCAACCGTTTCTTTCATACCTTGATTTTGAGGACCTTATCCCGTTGATGTATACCATTATTCTTACATTCACACATATTTCAACTCATAGAACAAATCTTTACTGAGAATACACTCTGTGCCAGATCTGATATTAATATTGGATATTTAAAGAAAAACAAGACATAATCTCATTTTTATATTACACATATACTAAAAAGGAGACAGATTCTCAAAGAATGATGCAGCAAAATATTCTACATGCTATTGTAGTCTATGATAGGTATGATATTCTATGGAAGCACAAAATAGATGTGAGAAAATTCTGTTCTTCCTAGTGAGTTAAAACTCTTAGGAGACTTTTACAGGAACTATTTATTAAGTCCCTTCTATTTTTTATTTGCTAAAATACTGTGCAGGATCCCAGCACTGGGCTTTACTCTTACGCCAGTTTCATTGCATCTTATTCACTTTGACCTACCAGGATAATTAGTCAAGGTCTTTTGGAGGCTCTCGTGATAAGTTACGCAGTAGCTCTCCCTTCCTGATCCTGTCATTTGCAGATTTGATCAGCCTCCCTTACATATTTTCATCCAACTCCTTACAACTATTTTGCTGTAAGCAGAGCCAATGACCCACATAGTGAACTACTCTCAGTATTAAAAAATGTCCTGTCACTAGAGAATTATCTTCT
Source organism: Homo sapiens (assembly GCF_000001405.40). NCBI lineage: Eukaryota > Metazoa > Chordata > Mammalia > Primates > Hominidae > Homo > Homo sapiens. The sequence goes on along the minus strand of NC_000011.10, from coordinate 26,915,542 downwards.
GTCCTTAAACCAATTTTGGCCTAAATAAAAACTCTGAAAAATGAAAGTGTTTAAATTGTTCTAAGTGGGCCACTACCTTCCAAATATTCTTCTTACAGAAATTAGAAAAAAAATTCTTATAGAAATTGGAGAAGAGATATTGTACTTGTTACTGATCTTTACTTTTTACATCTCCTTTTCTAAATGTTAATGGAGTTTCTACTGGGGTGCCAGACGTTGTGAAAGGAATGGGAGGGGCGAGGGACAGGAAGTTCAATGTAATTTCCACAGCGACCTCCTAAAGTGAGGTGCTTGTATCATTATTTCACAGGTGCAGAAACTGAGACAATAAGAATTTGCATGTGTTTCCCAGGGACACACGGCCAGTAAGTAGATGAGCTGAAACCGAATCTGGTTTTAGCTGAATCCCACATCAAAACAGGTTTTACTTACAACATATGTGCCTTCTCCTGAGGCCTCACTAGTCTCTAAATGCAAATATGACCACCATTCTGTTGACAATTGAATCCTCTTGCCTTATCACCTGCCAGGTGTCCTCCCATTACCACTGGGAGTCCACATGTATATCTTACGTATATTCTATGCCACTGGTTCCTAAACCCATTATGATTAGAATGCTCTGGGAAGATTTAAAAATTATATTTCTGGGCCTTACCTTTAGAGAATTTTGATTCAGTTGGTCTAGAGTAGAGCCCAGGAGCCTGTATTTTTAAGAAAACTTCTCAGGGGATGTAATGACCATCTAGGTCTGGAACCTGGATGGTCATTAGTATTGTTACATTAAGTTACTCAACTAAGCACAAGAGTTTCTGGTTGATGGCCACCATTTCCTGGTTGATGAAATGGTGGACACTGCCACTGCTTTGCTAGCAGGCACCCTAAGACACTGCTTTGCTAGCAAGCACCCTAAGACCCCAAGATTCTACAGTTGCAGGGTATTCTTTCCATTAGGTTAGGCTTTTAGTTTTAAAAGTGATGGTGCTTGAGCTCTAATATGTTATTGGGTCTGGTTCTCAACTTCAACTTACAGTCTTCTCTCTGTTCAGGAAGCAGGCATACATCTAGAAGTCTGGGCCTGAGGAAAAGTCAAATAATCTTGTCTCAACTTGGATTCCCCGTGAAGTAGATCCTGAGATATTAGTGTATGGAATGGGCAGTTAGTGCATGAGATGAGTTAGTTAATGTATGAGTGTAGAGTTAGTGTATGGGATGTTTATTAAGAATGTCATTGAGATCCATGTTATATTAGTTTGCCAGTGCTACTGCCATACAAAATATCACAGACTAGATGGGTTAAACATCATAAATGTATTTTCTCACAATTCTGGAGACTGGAAGTCCAAGATCAAGGTTGTGGTAGGGCTGCTTTCCTCTGAGGCCTCTCTCCTTGGCCTTCAAATGGCCATCTTCTCCCTGCACCTTCACATGGCTTTTCCTTTGTGCATATGCATGTCTGTGTTTGAATCTCCACTTCTTACAAGAACACCAGTGAGGCTGGATTGAATTCCATTGTAACAGCCTCATTTAAACTTAATTACCTCTTTAAAGGTCCTATCTCCATACACAAACATTTTCTGAGATATTGGGGGTTAGGGTTTCAACATGTGAATTTGGGTAGAAAGAAAATTCAACTCCTAAGACATGTAATATCCAGGACCCTAGATACCCTGGGAGGAGGAGGATGCCCCAAAGAATAGAGAAAGCATTTCACAACCTTGTGGGATATGGTTGCAACATATTGACAATGGATATTGATAACAGGATGTGGGGGTGGTTATGGGTAAATTAAATTATGTCTTAGACTGTTTTCTGTAGCTTATAAAAGAATGCCTAAAACTGGGTAATTTCTAAGTAACAAAATTTATTTCTTAGAGTTCAGGAGTCTGGGCAGTTCAAGGTAGACAGGATACATCTGGTGGGAGCCTTCTTGCTGATGGGGACTCTGTGCAGAGCCCTGCAGTGGCACAGGGAATCACATGGAGAGGGATGAGTGTGCTAGCTCAACTCTCTCTTCCTCTTCTTATAAAGCCAACAGTCCCATTCCCATGATAAACCATTAATCTCTTAAACCATGAATCAATTAATCTATTCATGGATGCAAAGCCCTCATGATCTCATCACCTCTTAAAGCCTCCGCCTCTCAATACCGGCACATTGGAGATTCAATTTCCCCATGAGTTTTGGAGGGGACAGATATTCAAACCAGAGCAGATTAAATTCATTTATTGGAAATAAAGTGTTTATTGCACTCCCAAGTCCATACATACTGTACGATGGAAATACACAGGGTGCTATGAGAATCTTCACACTCAGAGTCAGGTTGGTTGATAGCGAAGACTTTCTGGGAAAATGCCCCAGAGACACCCATACACAATGCTGTTTTGCTTGTCAATATGCCTGTCAAATATTCCATGATGTCAGGCAAACTAATTTGTTGATAATAGTACAGACCAGGAATAAGTTATCTATGAAGTGTCACTTCTAATTTTAAATATTATGAGAAAGGCATTATCTGTCAAAATTTTATTTAAGTGATATTTATGAGTAAGTGCAGTCTTAAACTTGAATGTAGTACACTGGTGTGCTGTAACTGGTGAAAACGTGTTTCATGCTTTCTCATTTTCGGCAAGAGATTGTGACCTCCTTGAGTGCAAATCTGCAAATTTTTAAAATTTAATTTAATATTTTTGCATTGCATAGAACAGTGCCTGACATTAAAGGGCTACTGGCAAAACTGAAAAAAGAGTGGAAGAAAAATAAATACCAAAAAAGTAGAGAAGAAAGAGGTAGATGAAAGAGATATAGGTAAAGGAAGAAGATGGTAGAGAAAGAACAAGAGAAAAACAGTAGAGGGAGAAGGCAAGAAATAAGAGAAGGGACAAGAAGGTTACAAAGGTAGAGTGAGCACTTGGTAAGGAGGAAAAAGTAGAAAGAGGCCAGAGGGGTTAACTAATTTCTCCCATTTCCCCATCACAGAACAGCAGGTTGTGGCTTCCAGGAACCTTCAACCTATACACAAGGTCTCTTCTGCTTCTTTTAGAGAGCCAAACTATGCAATGAGCAATTCCATAAAGCTTGGAGAGCCACCCATAGCTCTTTACTGACAGATTTGAAACCCCTCCTGTAGAGTACACAAGATTCAGGAGAAGATTCTCACTTCCTATGTGAATGTTGTGATATTGGGCAAGGTCATATTGTATTCAGAAAGGGAGATAGGGTAAAACTCACACACTCCTTAAGAGCCAAAGCACAGAGGTGAATTCTAGGTGTTCCAACAGAAGGATCTTCTATTCATATCATTGTATATCATTGTCACCAAAGTTGAATGGAAACATTAAAGATATGACAAGTTTTCCCTTCCTAGAAATATGAAAGTAGGCCGGGTGTGGTGGCTCATGCCTATAATCCCAGCACTTTGGGAAGCTGAAGCAGGCAGATCATGAGATCAGGAGTTCGAGACCATCCTGCCAACATGCTGAAACCCCGTCTCTACTGAAATACAAAAAAAAAAAAAAAAAAAAAAAAAATTAGCCAGGTGTGGTGGCATGCACCTGTAGTTGTAGCTGCTCAGGAGGCTGAGGCAGGGGAATTGCTTGAACCTGGGATGCAGAGGTTGCAGTGAGCCGAGATCGAGCCACTGCACTCTAGCCTGGTGACAGAGTGAGACTTCGTCTCAAGGAAAAAATAAATAAATAAATAAAAATAAAAGTAAGTCTTTCTTTTTGCTTCCTGGGAAAATTGCCTTTTCTCTAACCACATTATTGATTTTCCTCTGTTTTTCAAGCATAAACCCAAACAATTGTATCTTGTTTACATTTCTCTTTTTATGCTTATCATCTACACTAACAGAGAACCTTAACAAATTGGATTCATTAGGAGGTTTGTGCTGTTACAGTGGCTACTTCCGTGCTAACACACTTAAACATAGGAATTGTCTCACATGGCCTTGGCAAAGTCATTATGGAAAGAAAAGGGAGAAATTATAGGTATTTATTTGGGTAGAGGTGCCTAATAGTCTCTTGGAAATGAAATGTGTATCACTTTACAGATCCAGTATGTCAGTGCATTAAGCTTCTTTAGAAATGTACAGCAGTCTTTTTAAGGTTAGGCACCTTTATGAAAGCCATTCTTCTTTGTAAATGAATTATTTTCATAATTGAAACTGCTCATTTCAAGTCCCAGACTGAAAAATGTAAACAAATATTAGTGTCCAAAAATGTATTCTCTGCACCTTTGCTTTCTTGAACAGGGAATACAGAACTTGAGACAACAATTTTTTCTGATGAAACTGAATCAATCTTATAGACTTCTGTGATTTGATTTGATAGCAATAAAATTTGTGTGGCATTGCAGTTTCTGTCTTCTCTTATGTTAAACAATAAATAGTGATTTTCACATTTTTTCTCTCTCTTTCACCTAAGTGTCAAAGCACAAAGTTCTGCTGGTAGGTTTTTGGAATGTGATGGCTATTTCATGAGTTAAGAAACATTTTTTTTTCTTAAATCAAAGGCATATTTGAAGGACTGAGTTTGTTAGAACTGTGAAGGGAGGAAAATAGAGCATTGCTTTCTCTCTCAATTCATACACTGATTCTTAACCACTGCAAGAAACTCTCCTAATAGTCATTCATTGCTTTTAATTACATAGGATTTTTATAGTTTAAACTGCTCACCAAACAACTTCTTTAACTTTCTGCCAAATTAGTACCTTGTGCCAGTACAAGCTGTACATTCCAGAAAAACAAACTTGTCAAGTACTAAGCTACTCTGTGTGTGTGTGTGTGTGTGTGTGTGTGTGTGTGTGTGTGTGAGAGAGAGAGAGAGAGAGAGGGAGAGAGAGAGAGAGAGACAGTGGTGTTTATCTCTAAATCTATTCTACTTTTAACACAAATTTTGCAGAAGTAAATTGAAATCATTGGAATCTTTGTGACTTCAGCTTATTTTGTAAAGCCACCATTTAGAAAGAATGTGGGATATAACCAATTTTGCTTTTGTATTAGATATAACATGAACTCTTTCTATATGTCAGTTTCAGACATTCTGATGACAAAGGCTTACGTTTAGCAAGAAGAGATTGAAATTACATTCACTGCAAGCTGAATTTCTGCCACTCGTCATCAATGACTTTACCCTGAGACTCCGTTGATTCTGTCCCACAAACACATGTAATTATAGTTGTAGAATTCACAGGGCTGTCATATTCATAGTCTCTTAATGTCAGCTTTTCTTATATATTGACGTTGACTGAACAGTAGTTGAAAAAATATATTCCTGTATTCCAAATGTCTCACATGATCTCTCCTACTCAGCCATGTTGCAGCATAACATGATACTTGGCTGCCATGTGTGTTTCCAGTATAAGACCACCACACCTTGGCTCCAGTTTGACCAAATTGAGTTGCTTCCAGAACGCACTATAACAAATTGGAGAAAGCCTATAATCAGTGGAGGACTTTCGTGGCTTGCAAATGCACCCCAAATTGCCAATAATGAATATTCCATAAGCAAGAAAACTTTTTTCCAAATATCATTAGAAAAGTACAAATTCTGTTAAAAATACTTATTTTGCTAAATACTTTTGACCTTAGCAGATGACTTCAGAGATTAAGCAGAAAGACTCCAAGCAAGAGTACCATTAACATTTAAAGTGAGATTTTCATGTACAAGCTGACTTCAGATGAAACATTTCAAAATCATGCTCATCTTCCAAAGGAGATGAGAGATTTGCTCATTTTTTCCGAAAGCTCAATCTCCAGGTTCAGTCAATTTTGTTTATGTTACCAAAGGATTTCTATTTATAAAAGATTGGAAATGCTTCTGCCAGTGATTAAGAAATATATTGTTTACTGATTGGAAGATAATTGACTTTCTCAGGTGGCTGGAGGACTTTGTCTGCTTTGGGGCTTTGCTGAAAAAGTAGAACAACATTAACACTATTCAATTTCAAACAGAAATGTTTGGAAACTTTCAGAGCTGAATCGCCCTTTGAGAGTATCTAGTTAAGAGGCATGATTTTAAAAACGAGAAAACCAAAGCTTGGAAGTGAAAGAAACTTATCCAAATTTATGCTGTAAGTTAGGTTAATCTGATTCTTCTGAGTTTCAGTCCCTCGGGCATTTTATCACATTAATATTTCATTTTTTCCCATTTCTTATCAGTTAGTTATTTAGGACACATAATGTGGCGAGCACTGAGGTAGATCCTGGAGATATAAAGATATACATATAAATACATACATATATATATATATATATATATATATATATATATATATATATATATGAAAGTTTCTATATCCAAGGAGGTAAATAATGTAATGAGAGAAAAGCATCAAATACAACCTCAGTAGTACATTTAAAAAGTTGCTGTATTCAGGGTACTATGAGTGCATACAGTAGAGTGTGACTAGCTTGGTCGGGTAGGTAAGAGGAACTAATAAAGACCCAGAAGAGGCAGTGAGAGGTGAGTCTTAACGGCTAATTAGAATGAAGGATATTTCAAGCAGAGAGGAAAGCATGTACATGGAGCATTTTAAGGAAAGCAAGTAGTTTAGTGCACACTAGGATAAAAAGGAGAAGCTAATTAGATGGCCTGTAGTCTGATAATGAAAGGTTATGCATCTTGTGTGATGAGTTTGGACTCTATCAGTAGATTATTGGAAGATACTGAAAGTTTTAAGTTAGGGGTTATGTGATACTATATGTTTTCAATTTAGAATCACATGGATTCAATTTAGAATCACTGTGGAGGTTGTATTGGAGAATAAAAAGACCAGAGGCAAAGAGAACATGTTGGAGGCAATTGCAGCAAGGCGGCAAGAAACGATGATGGTATGAAATAAGAGTGACAGTGAGGATGGCGAGAAGAGAAATGAAGGGGATCGACTTGATAGGTGTTCGTTTTTTTTTTTTTTCTGCAGGGAAGGTTTCTTCTCAAGGTTCCTTCCTGATTTTCTCCCTTGCTTTGTTCAAGCTTTTGCTCAAATATATTTTCAGAGTGGTTTTACCTGATCACTCAATTTAAAGAGTAACCCTCTCCCTGTATTACTCCTTATACTCTTCTTGTGCTTTATTTCTTTTCTTCTTGGACCACTTATCACCCATAATATATTATATATTTATTTTTCAAATTATTGTCAATCAGATACAATACAATGTAAGCTCCATGTCAGTTTTGGTCCTTGCCTGGCATATATGATTGGCACCTATATTTATTGTAAGGACCTAGAAGGCACCAGCAATGTTACTACTCTATATAAAATAAGCTATTCAAGTGTACCCTGCTGAAAATGAACAGCACGCGTTTCTCCTTTAATCTATACCAGGGGATAAGCTATGTATGTTTAGCAGAATAGTGTGATGAGATTATTTCTGTTGTCATGTTGGCTGATACTCCAAAGGCCGATAATGACACAAGAAGTTTTAAGTGCCTCTACATGTGTGAGATGTTGATTGCCTATGAAGATTTACATAGGAAATAATTGAAAATAAGTTTTGTAATTCTCAGTTCAACAAATTCCTCAATGGTAACTCAGATGTTGGAGAGACCAAGAGGGAGGAGAACTCTTTTTGAGGTAATTCCTAAGAAGAGAGTTTTTGGACATTAGCAATGTTCTATGTTGCCCTATGTATTCCAGTGCCTTCTGAACTGGTTGGATCGGGTAAACTTATCTTATATCTTAAGCCAAGTAGCAATGGCTCCAAAAAAAATCATTCAGGGACTTCCACCTGTGTGCTGAAATTTGTGGGGTACAGAGATGTTGCTAGACTCATATTTATACAACTCCACAGTTAATAGATGACGGCTTTCTAGCATCTTAGAATAGCTGTGTTGCCAGTAGCAAAGACATGGAATCAACCTAAATGCCCAGCAATGGTGAAAATGTGATACATATACACCATGAAATACTATGCATAAAAACGAATGAGATTATGTCTTTTGCAGCAACATGGATGCAACTGGAGGTCATTACCTACAGCGAACTAGCACAGAAACGGAAAACCAAATACCACATGTGCCCACTTATAAGTGGGAGCTAAACACTGAGTACATATGGACCCAAAGAAGGAAACAATAGACACCAGGGCTTACTCAAGGGTGGAGTGTGGAAGGATGGTGATGTTCAAAAAGCTACCAATCAAGTGCCGTGCTTATTAACTGGGTGATGAAATAATATGTATATCAAACCCCTGTGATGTGCAATTTACCTATATAACAAACCTGCACATGTTCCCCTGAATAAAAGTAAAAAGAAAAAAAAAACTTTTTACTTTTTTTTTTACTTAAAATAAAAATTAAAAATAAAACAAAAAGAATGGCTGTGTTGGGAAGTAATTTCACTTCTACCAGTACTGAATTCATGATGTATATTTTATTAATGTATCATTTTGGACTGCAGATGATGCCAACTTGGGATCATTTTGGATTCGTCTCTGAGGAAATTCTAGAGGGATAATAAAACACTTATCCCTGCCTCAGTTGAAAAAACCATTTACTTATAGTTTATATTTGGGGCTTCCACAAATGTTCATTGAATAATTTTGAATGGCTTAAAACAATAGCTTGAAATCCTCTGATGTGTTGGCAAAAAAAAAAAAACCCAAATAATCACTGTACAATGTGATAAATGTTACATATCTAGTTGTTATAAGGTGTTGAAGCCAGCAGAGAGGTGGAAAATGAGCTCTTCCTAGGGAAAGCGGTCAAGGTCTTCTTAAGGAGGTAAGCTTTCAGGCAGGTTTTAAAGAAAGAAGAAGAGAAAAGAGAGTGTCATTCTGAGAAGAATAAACATTATGTAAAAACTCAGAGAAAGAAAAGATGTGACATTCATTGAAGAATAAGTATACAGTGTATGGTTGTGGAGTTGAGACTGTGGTTAGAGATGAGATTAATAAAAAGAAGGGGCTTGGCATGGTGGCTCATGCCTGTAATCGCAGGACTTTGGGAGGCCTAAGAGGGAGGATTGCTTAAGCCCAGGAGTACAAGATCAGCCTGGGCAACATAGGGAGACTCCATCTCTACAAAAATATACAAAAATTTGCCAGGTGTGGTGGCACACACCTATAGTTCTAGCTACTCGAGAGGCTGAGGCTGGAGGGTTGCTTGAGAGCAGGAGGTAGAGGCTGCAGTGAGCTGTGATTGTGCCACTGCACTCCACTGGATAACAGAGTAAGACACTGTCTCAAAAAAAAAAAAAAAGAGGTTGTCTAGAAGGGGTCACATATGAACATCTCATACACTGATTTTTTCTGGTAGTTAAATTCTAGAGTATTCATTGGTACTATTGTACATTAGCCTCTTAAGGACTCTTCTCTCATTTACTTCTAATCTTTTTTCTAATCTATCAATGCAAATATGACTTTTTTTTCTTAAGTCAAGCTTGCTGTAATGTTGCGGATGGAATAGTAAAATCTTACCATGGCTCACCACATCCAGGCTGGTCTCACCTCCATTTGATGCGCCAACCTTGGGTATTCCAGGCTGCTCTCTATTTCATTTTTTTGTTTGTTTGTTTTTATTTTTTGTTTTGAGATGGAGTTTCACTCTTGTCACCCAGGCTGGAGTGCAGTGGTGTAATCTCGGCTCACTGCAACCTCTGCCTCCTGGGTTTAAGCGATTCTCCTGCCTCAACTTCCTGAGTAGCTGGAACTACAGGCGAGCGCCATCATGCCCAGCTAATTTTCTGTATTTTTAGTAGAGACAGCGTTCCACCATGTTAGCCAGGCTGGTCTTGAACTCCTGACCTCAGGTGATCCACCCACCTTCATCTCCCAAAATGCTGGGATTACAGGCATGAGCCACCACGCCCAGCAGCTGTTCTCAATTTCTGTACTCCTGCCACATGCTGGCCTTCTTTTATCTCCCTTAGGGTGCCATACCACAGGGCCTCTTGTTTCTTGTGCCTGGAACTCACTGTATTTGGCTGCTTCCTCCTCCCTGAGCTCTCTTTCTAATACCCTTTGCATCTAAATTTGCAGCTGCCCTCTTTCTGTCTCTTAATGGTACTGTCATTTTCTCAGGGCAGCACCTCCGTAAAATCTCACACGCCTATGACTCACAGTCTCACTGCATCATGCATCTGTTTCACTGTTTTAATTGTACATTATTTGTTTGATTTCTGTAAGATCTTTTAGGGAAATTACCATGTATTTTCCTGCTCACCACTGTCTTTTTAGTGCCCAGCACACAGGTTGTAACACCCTCACATGTAGTATGTGTTTAATAAATATCTGTTGAATGAATTAATAAGGAGTTCAGTTATATATGAGATGAACGTGGGTAATGATTTTTATTTAAAACAAAAATTTGAAATGATAAATACAGTTAATCTGATATGTCCCCCCAAAATCCAATTCTCACTTTCAGTATCCACATTTTAAAAATTTATATTCTCCTTATGATGAAGGAAAGATATTTAACTGTTTCTAAAGTAATTTTTACAAATCAAAATTGAATGCATTCCAAAATATGTAATGGAGACAATCTACTGTGATAATAAAAATAGATATTTCCACTATGACTTTGAGTAATACCAGATGTTTTTGTGTGGCATATTTATGAAAGCTTCCTCGAAATTACCACTGTCAAAAATAATTTGTTTTATATAAAGTGCTAATATATATTACACCTGAAGCATACAAAAGAAAACTGCATGGGTTTACAAGGGCAAGTTTGCTAAATAAAATATAAGATATGGTTTGAGTAATTGAAGAGTTTTTGTTTCAAAACCTGAATATAACACTAAGTTAGCCAAGCTAACTTCTTTTTTGAAGGAAAATGCTATCACTTTGTGATAATTTTTATCATTTTATGGAATTTAAACAAGTCAATATTTTACTTCCACAGTTGTTTTATTTCAAACAATATAACATTTCTGTGTGTGTTTTCTTTCCCAGACATATAAAGGGCCTGCAAAGTTAAAATGGAACAAAATGAGGCAGAGTGAGGCTACGTTATATAATTCTTTAATGTATTCATGTGGTCAACAAACACAATAAAATTCCTTTAATCAGATTACAGTCTAAAGAGTAAACAATTGAGATTCAGTCATCTAATTAACTGACATCCCCTTTTCCAGCCCCCACTGTCCTCTAGCAACTTTTGTGCATACTAATCACCTTGGACTCCTGTTAAAATGCAAATTCTGATTCAGTTGGTTTGCAGAGAAGCCTGAGATTCTGCATTTCTCACAAGCTCCTTGGGGGCTCCTAGGGGACTCCAGTGCTGCTAGTCTGTGATCCCAATTTTGAGAAGCAAGGAGCTGGAGAGTGCTGAGACCAGAAGGCCACAAAACAGCTGGGGTGCTACATTTTTACTGGGGCTCTGGGTTCAGCTGGATGGACTAAGTGGCGCTAAATTTCTGTTTGGGAGAAGTGAGATCATGTCCTCTTAAAGTTTCCACAGTTGTTTTCTTTTCTCTTTCAAACCTGAATTCAACACTAGCTGACAACCTTGATCTATTAATGGCACAACCATTCTCCCAACTATAAATACTTGAATATTCTAAGTTATTTTTGACTGCTTCTGCAGCCTTTTTTTCCTATTCCATACATTCAATCATCTGGCAAGTCATATGGCTAACCCAGCCCTGTGCCTGCTGCTTCTATCTCCTTTTCTCCCCTCACCCCATCATTAATCATCATCACCGGTGATTACTGAGAACTTCCAATATGGTGGGCTTTATATGCATTGTGTAATTTAAATCTTAAAGTATGCATGAGTTAGCTATTTTTAAACCCATGAAGAAACTGAGGCTGAGAGCACCACTTGCCAATTCACATAAGTAGTAAGTAACGAAGTGGGGATGTACACCCAAGTCTGACTGACTACAGATGTTGTTCCTAACGAGTATACTTTGCTACTTTTCCACTCCTATCTCCTTCTTCAAGCCTGCATTAATTCTTACTAGATCTAAGCAGATTTATTATGTGACAACCTTTTATGACCTTAATCGTATTATAAATATTTGTCATTGTCACTTAATCTATTGCAGAGTAGTGCCAGAGTTTTCTTTCCTGCATTCATGTCTGATAATGTCTATACTGCGTCCCAAATGTTTCAGTTGTATTTGAGCTCCTACATCATATGGTTGCATCTTACCTTTCTTCAAAATCTCAGTGCCTTCCTTCCACATCTCAATACCTATTACCAGGGCTGTCATTTCTCATATAAACAATTAAGATTGTATCACAGAGCCAAAGCTAAAGTATTAACTATTATCTTCTTCATGAAGTGTTTTCTGGTTATTGTACTAAACACATTCTTTTACTTCCAGAATATCTGTACCACTTTGTATCATCTTTTGGCACTTATTATAAAGAATCAATGAAGGGTCATAATTTAATGTCTAGTTAAAAGGCTGAATTCAAGACAGGACACTGTTAAATTAAACAATTCCTTGGGTCACTGTATTTTTAAATCAAATTGCTATAAAAATTACCTTGACTTGGAACCTAAACTTTCCTCACTTTTACACACTGACCCTAGTTCTGTATTTGAAAGCAATTTCCTATCCCACAAGCTATTACTTCAAATAATATTACTTCAGATGGTTGAAGAAAATTATAGTCCTTCACTTACTTTAATCAAAATAAAATGTTTTAGTTCTTTCTGCTGTTTTTCATATAATTCAGTCTTCACACTTGTTATCAAAATTATTGCCTTCTAGTTACAGGCTCTAGAATTGGTCTACCTAGGTCAAATCCCAGCTCTACCATCTAGTATCCGTATAATCTCATGAAAGTTGTTTAATGTTTTAGCGTCTATTTCTTTGTATGTAAAATGGGAGTAAAAAATAACATTTACCTAATAGTTTTTATGGGCATTGAGGATGTATGTAAAATGTTTGATTAAAAGATCAACTCAATGCACAAGGTATAGGTTTAGACAAGTTCAGGAATAAGAGTGGAATTATCATTTCTGATGTAGAATCTTATTTATACTCGATAAGTAAAGATTTCATTGGCTATTTTAGGTGTTTCACTACATTATTAGTTATTGCTTTTGTAGTAAACTGAAAGTCCAAGCTGTGGTTGGGCAATTGTCTTTTAAGACCCAAATACATGACTTTCCATTGATTCTTACTACATTTAACATATTTTGGTCTTTTGTTTCAGAGTTTTGAATTCTCTTTGATTTTTTTATAACCATCCAAAATATGTACTACCATTGTTAATTATGGCTAGTCACTTTAAACTAATAATAGCTCACAGTTTGGTTTATTGTTTTCCTTAGTGTTTATTATTATTATTATTATTGCACTTTAAGATCTGGGATACATGTGCAGAATGTGCAGGTTTGTTACATAGGTATACACGTGCCATGGTGGTTTGCTGCACCCATCAACCCATCATCTACATTGGCATTTCTCCTAATGCTATCCCTCCCCAAGCCCCCAACCCCCTGGCAGGTGCTGGTGTGTGATGCCCCCTGCCCCCACCCTCCCATGTCCATGTGTTCTCATTGTTCAACTCCCACTTATGAGTGAGAACATGCGGTGTTTGGTTTTCTGTTCTTGTGTTACTTTTGCTGAGAATGATGGTTTCCAGCTTCATCCATGTTCCTGTAAAAGACATGAACTCATCCTTTTTTATGGCTGCTTAGTATTCCATGGTGTATATGTGCCACATTTTCTTTATCCAGTCTATCATTGATGGGCATTTTGGTTGGTTCCAAGTCTTTGCTATTGTGAACAGTGTTTCTAACCTGCAAATTGAGATGCAAGAAACCTCTACAAGAGGGTCTCTGTTTTCCTTGGAGGCAATGAGGAGGTTTATCATTGTAGAGCTCATAAATAGCATATGCAGGTCTATTTTCTGCTGAATTTCTCCTCTTACAAACTGTTTTTTAAGAGTGTAAGTAATTGTTCTTTCCAAAAGCAAGAAGCAGGATGTTTTTAAATGATGACAGTGTTTGGAATAATTGATCATTTCTAGCTGGTCCAAATATCTGCTTCATATGACTGCTGCAGTAAATTTGATAGACATTACATAGTTCTACATTACAGTCCATTGCAGGTACTGCTCTTAGCAGTTTTTAAAATGGGAGTTATAAAAGCAATAACTTGATTTCTCATGTCTAGACGTTCTTTCCCACATGACTCCATCTAGGAAGGCTGAGACTTAGGCTGTCCCAACCTGCATAATTTATATAGTTGAGGCCTATTTTCACTGTCAAGAAGCCAAATCCCTCAGGCAGCCTTGCCAAGAACTGTTCCACTCATTTTATTTTCATCCCTGAGGCCTTCATTCTAACATTGGCTTCCCTTATTAACAAAAAGCAGGAAACAAGCTCCTATTTGTGAGATAATGTATTTTCCACTAGGAGAAGTTGGGTCCTTAGAGGAAATCATCTCTTTTCAAGTTGTTAGCTTTTCCAGGAAGTTGACTGTTTATATATCTAATGCTCATGACTTGATTTTGAAGTATGCCTTCAAACATATTTGTTGGACTTAAATAACTAAATGGATAATACTGTATTTCTGGTAAAATGGCATCTTTCTGGGTCAGATCTTTCTAAATATCAATGAATAATGGGGGTGTCTTTTCTAATTATTTCATACTAGCTTTGTAGGTCAGAGATGAGAGACAGGAAGTGAGATACTCAAATCCCAATTTACGAAATTATAAAGTCATAATTAAAAATTACTTTTATATGATAGGTCATATGTTAAGTCATTTTTTTTCTTTGTTTCTGTACAACAAGGCATGAGGGGAATAGAAAGGAGACTTGGCTGAAAATTAGAAGACCCAGAATGTAGTGCTATTGTGGCCAAAGTATGGTTGTGTTAACTTGGTCTAATGACTTTTTCTTTCTGGTCTACAATTTACTCACAGGTAAAAAGAGGAATCTGGACTTGAGTAAGCACTATAGCTTTTATCAGCTCCAATACTTTAGAAGATATAGCCCGAGGCTCCACCTTGAACAAATACAGTGCAGGGAGTGTAGAGAGTGAGAAAGGAAAAAAGAGGGAATTTGGGGTCAGGGAAATGTGTCAGATCCTGAGGATCAAGAATGAAGAAGTAGAAGAAAGAGGTAGGTTATATAAGATCAGCTTTGCTTGTAGCACCTACTTCTACACAACAGAAGAGCAAGAAGACCTTTCATGATTAGAGACATGGGGGAAGTGTGTATCACCAAAATGTGGCCTTTCTATCTTTCCTTGTTTCCCACCCATGGAAGCTATGATTTCTGTACCTGAATAATAAAACATAACTAAGAATCAGAGACCAAAATTTGGTGAAATGTTGGAGGCCTAGTGAGGGTTCTGTGGTGTACTTGATTTTAAGAGCAGCAAAGAACATGGAATGTGCTGATACTTTTTGCCCCATGATTTAATGGGGACTGGATGATTGATTCAGTGACATCATGCTTTTACTGCCAACAGGAGCCCTGCTATACGCCATCTTTTATGTGATCCCATGACATCAAAGAAAAGATGGACCAACGTGACTTAAGAAATCTTAGGATGTTTTTACATGGCAGTTTCACTGGAGAAGGCAAAGAATTGTAGCAAATTTAGTGTAAAGGTTTTTTTTTTGTGGGGGGAGGGTAAAGCTTTATTTAGTTTTATTTAGTTAACATTTATGACTAAATTATATACTAACTTATAACCTTTTCCTTTCAATTGCTGCAATGATCCAAATCCCACAACAAATAATGATGGGGCATGCCCAGGAGAAATAGGAATAATGAAAACTCAAAATGTGTCTCTTTTTAGGCCCTGTCTGGTACTCTTGTCACCTTTTTGTGGGCTCTCCGCATTTTGTGACATAATGCACTTGTTCATAAATACTAAAAATGTCTCCAGATAAATTCTAGCACAACCAACATTATGTTGCCAAACATATTACTTATATTTAAATGTACTTATATAAGTTTCTTCCATTATGTTCCTCATTGGATGAAAGATATTAGACTACTTAACTTCTACATATCAAAAAGGATCCCAGTTTGATTTTTCAAAACACCTTAAAACAAACAAAATGAAGTAATGTATAAAATTATATGGCCTTTTCCAAAGAAAGGAAATCACAGAACAGTGAAAAATATAGCCATATGATGCCTGATTATAAAATTGAAGGAAAAAGGAACTTATTTGGGGCAATTCCATGGATTTCTGAATGTTGACCCTTCATTGGGTAATTCTCAGTCAACTTGCAACTTCTTAAGATGCTGTAAATCTATTAAAGTTGTACTTATTATGCTTGAAAGCAATCATTGATGAAATTTGACTTGGGACCTTGAGTTGAAATGTGTTTCATGAATAATGACAAAGCTATATAAACTGGCTCTACTCAGGAATCTATTCATCCCAAAATAATCTATCAGATCTCATAAATCCTAGAATCCTACAGATCTTGGAAAGCATCATTGCAAGTTCTGAATCTCAAATTTTCTGTGGAATGTTACTATTCCATAATCTTGGGGCTCTTTGAGTGTACTATGTGCTATACTCATTGTATGCTATTTAGTAGTCATCATTTTAGGTAGGTTGTGCTCAACAAGAAATAATACATCATGTTAAGTCTATGTGCATGTCCTGAGGCACAACACCGTACTAAAGCCATGCATCTATCCAATCTAATTGGTGTGACTAATAGTCAGACAAGTTGGGCATCAAGGGCTTCCACTGATCAGCTCATGGCCTTTACAAAGTTTTTACTTTTGAGTCCACTGCTGCTGGTCCAAAGACCACACTTTTAGTAGCAAGAGCTGGTCAGTTAAACAGGTGTTTTTTTTTTATTTCTTCTCCTCCTGACAATGGAAGAGTGTCAGCCTTTGCCAGCTATTGCCAGTATTATTATTTTAGGAGATGATAAAACAGAAAAAGTTTATTCTCATGATAGCTGTTTGACGTGGATCTCATGTGTGGAGACTTCTGTGCTTCTTGACAATCAAAGACTGCTGTCACTTAAGGTACCCCAACAACTGTACCTAAAATCTACTGATCAGGCAAATGAACCCAACAAACAGGGAAAAAAAATAGAAGACAGAGAAAAGACATGTTCAAGAGGAATGGTAGTGCTAGAGGAGATAACATGATTTTAAAATGTAAAAGATTACCTATAATGAATCAATTTTTTTTAAGCAATCTTTTTCTGTTTATAAACATGAATTGGGACCTTAAAAAGCATGTAGACAAGTAGAAGAAGGCAAGGGTTATGGTTGAGACCTGTTAGGACCTGGAATAAATATCTCAGAACAAATAAAAATACCAAGAAATGGAAATGATTATGGAAATGTTTCCTGGAGAAGAGATCCAGGATACTTACCATGTTAAAATAATAAAATTTCCAAAGAACGGAAAGAGAATAGTTGAAGAAAAACAACAAATAAATTAGTAACGTATCATGAATATGAAAAAGTACCAACTGAATGTTAGATTGTGAAGATGTTAGATGTTAGAAGAAACATATCTAGGCTTATTCTGGTAAAATTCCACAGCTCCAAGAATAAAGAGAACTCATGAACTTTTGATGCGAAAACAATTTATCTACAAAAATAAAAATCAAATAAGCATTTGATTTTCATATGCAACACTGGAAGCTAAAAAATGGTAGAGTAACTTGTAGAGAATATTAGCAAGAAGGACTGCAACCCAAGTATCACATTTGCTTTCCATGATGAGAGAAAGATATGTCCAGATATTCAAGATGCTAAAGAGTACCTACCACTCAGTTATCCCGTCTGAGGGAATATTTCTCTATAAACTAAAAAACAGCAAACAGATCCGAATTGAGACTTCCATATAGTAGAATAAGAATCAGAGAGAAAAGAAGGGTGATAAATTTTGCAATAGTTATAGTCAAAATCTAAGTGGATAATTGGAGTGTAACTGGGAATGTGGAATTTAAGCACAAAACAGGAATTGTTAAACTAGAAAAGACAAACTGCAAGCGAAAAGCTAATAATAACCTCAAACCAAAAGTACCAAAGGAATAGCAAACTGGAGAGTTTCATGAGAAAGAGGGATAAAATAAATGCCTTTCGCAGATCTCCCAGAGTGAGGGAATTTGGGAAAGGAAACCTCTTTAATGGACTAGCTGCATTGGAGAAAGGCAAATCAATAGAACACCTTGGACAAGGGATTAGCCTCCAACATTTAAAAAATAATTTAGAATGTGTCTTGTTACTGTGTTTAGAAAGAAAAGTTAACTCTAAATAGGGTGTAAAAGTACAGTGGAAATCTCAAATTACAAGGGGAAATGAATAGCCTTTTCACCAAACGAATGGAAATAGGAAAGAGGAACAAGACGAAAAAGGTGAAAAATAATAATAGATTAATTTACATGGAGGCAGGGATCACAGTCTAATTTATTTTTGTAATACTAGAGTCTATTACATGGTATACTTTCATGAAATATTTATTGGTTGAGTGAATAAATCATAAATGTGAGTTTCACCTTCTTGGCCAGATCAGTTACATTCCAGGTTAACAGCGTTTTAAATAAAAAATCCTAAGTGAAAATTATGATTATTCAGCAGAAGATATTTCCCTTGGCCACCCTGTCCCTCAGTCTTCATGCTCAGCACTAAACAACATCTGTAGAATTGCTATAAAAGTGTATTGGAACAGCAATTCCAGATTCCCAAACTGGGTGGAGTTGCACACTTCATTTTTTGCATTCTGATGCTGGTATTCCATCACCCCAAGCTTTCTAAACAGGCAGAAGAGAAAAAGCCTTGGGAGTTAAATAGATTAGAATACAAAGATAAGCTGGAATTCTTTTCTAGTTGGGTGGCCTTGAGCAAGTCATTTAATCTCTTTGAGCTTCAATTTGATGATAATAATTAATGATGATAAAGTGACGATAATTTAAAAATGTCTATCAGTTATTGCTCACTTTGTGGCAAGTACAGTGCTAAGTATTTTATATATGACATCTCATTTAATTCTCTAATAAGTCTATAAATGTAGTTATTATAATCATATTATAAGACTCACTGTACATTCTGAAATAGTAAATGTAACCCTAAGGTTTCCAAGGGATTACAGCCAATTGACAAGAATTTTTGGGAAAACCTGCAATTAACACAGAAGCCCCACTTACTTTCTTCTGTGTACATCCTTCCTGTTAGTTGTGTTTCCTCGTCATACACATCAGTTATCAAGTAAAAGGATATCCTGTTGGATGCTCTCCAGTCATGGACCAGTTCTGAATGACTCTAATCCACCTACCCCATACCCTCATTATGTCCTTTCTTAACTCACCCAGCATAAATTTTGCTCTTTATTCTCCATTTTCCAACTGGGTTTGCCCTAAAATTTCTGTGTTCTCTTTTCTTTCTTCCTGCAACATTCTATTACTTTTAAATTAAAAAAATAAAAGTTAATTTTTTACAGGAAAACAAAATGTAAGAAATAAAGGAAAAAACTATTTTAACATTAAGCATTTCACCTTTTAAAGTATAAATATTTTCCACATTATTAGTTTTTGTTTTGCAATGTCATTTAAAAAGTTGACTTTATTTTTTAGAGCAGTTTTGGTTTCAAAGCAAAATTGAGCAGAAGGTACAGAGATTTTCTCTATGCACCCCCCTGTAATTCTTCATGCATGATGTTAGGCTGTTTTTGCATTGCTATAAAGAAATATTTTAGAATGGGTAACTTATAAATAAAACAGGTTTAATTAGCTCATGATCCTGTAGGCTTTACAGGAAGCATGGTGCTGCTATCTGCTTGGCTTCTGGGGAGTCCCCAGGATGCTTACAATCATGACAGAAAGTGAAGGGGGAGAAAGCATGCCACAGGGCCAGAGCAGGAGAAAGAGAGGGGTTGTAAAATCCCACGCTTTTTTTTTTTTTTGAGACAGTGTCTCACTCTGTCACCAAGGCTGGAGTGCAGTGGCATCATCGTGGCTCACTACAGCCTTGACCTCCCAGGCTCAAGTGATCCTCCCACCTCAGCCTCCTGAGTAGCCGGAACTACAGGTGTGTGCCACCATGCCCAGCTGCCACACATTTTTAAATGACCAGATCTAATGGGAACTCACTATCACAAAGACAGCACCAAGCCATAAGGAATCTGCCTCCATGATCCAAACACCTGTCACCAGCCCCTATCTCCAGCATTGGAGATTACATTTCACATGAGATTTGGGTGAGACAAGTCTCCAAACTATATTCTGCCACTTACCCCTCCAAAATCTGATGTCCTTCTCACATTGCAAAGTATAATCATGCCTTCCTTACACTGCCCCAAAGTCTTAACTCATTCTAGCATTAATTCAAAACTCCAAGGTCTCATTTGAGACAAGCCAAATCCCTTCTACCCAGTGTCTTGGATATTACAACTTTGCTCCCTTTTCGTTATGCAAATATCTCTAACAAGTGGTTGCTCCACAGCCCACTTGAATTCCTCTTCCAAGAAAGCTTTTTCTTTCTCTTCCACATGGCCAGGCTGCAAATTTTCCAAACGTGTAAATTCTGCTTTTCTTTTAAATACAGCTTCCAACTTTAAGTCAGTCTCTTGCTCCTGCATCTGAGCTTTGGCTGTTACAATCAACCAGGCCACATCTTCAACATTTTGCTGCTTATAAGTTTATTCTGCCAGATGCCCTAAATCATCATGGAAGTTCAAACTTCTACAGATCTCTAGGGAATGAACAAATGTAGCCAAGCACTTTGCTGAGGTATAACACACATGACTTGCTCCAGTTCTCCATAAGTTCCTCATTTCCATCTGAGACCTCATCAGCCTGGACTTCACTGTCCAAATCACTATTGGTACTTTGGTAACAACCATTTAACAAGTCTCTAAGAAGTTCCAAACTTTCATCCTCCTATCTTCTTCTGAGCCCTTCAAACTCTTACAATCTCTGCCTGTTACCCAGTTCATAAGTTGCTTCCACATTTTTAGGTATCTTTATAGCAATACCTCACTTGTGGTACCAATTTTCTGTGTTAGGCTGTTCTTGCATTGCTATAAAGAAATACCTCATACTGGGTAATTTACAAAGAAGAGAGGTTTAATAAGCTCACAGTTCTGTATGTTGTACAGCAATCATGGTGCTGACATCTGCTTGGCTTCTGAGGAGGCCTCAGGAAGCCTACAGTCATAGAGGAAGGTGAAGGAGGAGAAGGAATGTCACATGGCTGGAACAGGAGAAAAGTGGGGAGATGCCACACACTTTTAAATGACCAGATCTCATGAGAACTCACTATTGTGAAAACAGCAACAAGCCATGAGGGATCTGCCCCCATGATCCAAATAGGTCCCATCAGGCCCCACCCACCTTCAACATTGGAATTACATTTCAACATGAGGTTTGGGCAAGAAAAAATATCCAGACTATATCAGGTATCTTCCTCCATTATCAACATCCCCCACCAGTAGGATGGAGGTTATAATTTGTTACAATTGATGAACCTACACTCAAAGTCCATAGCTTACATTATGGTTCACTCTTTGTACTGTATATTCTTTGGGTTTGGAAAAATCTATATGACTTGTACCACCAATATAGTTTCATATAGAGTAGATTCACTGCCCTAAAAAATATACCATTTTCTGCCTATTCATGCAATGTCATTTTTAAATGATTGTCTAGTAGCATAGTTTGACTATGTCCCCACCCAAATCTCATCTTGAATTCCCACATGTTATGAGAGGGACCTAGTGGGAGGTAATTGAATCATGGGGGCGGGTCTTTCCCATGCTGTTTTTGTGATAGTGAATAAGCCTCACAACATCTGATGGTTTTACAAACAGGAATTTCCCTGCACAATCTCCCTTCTCTTGTCTGCTGCCATGTGAGACATGGCTTTCATCTTCCACCATGATTGTGAGGCCTCCCCAGCCACTTAGAACTGTAAGTCCAATAAACCTCTTTCCTTTGTAAATTGCCTAGTCTCAGGTATGTCTTTATCAGCAGTGTGAAAATGGCCTAATACACTTAGTTTTCCATTTTAGAACCCAGATTTATTTGATCAGTCTCATGTTAGAAGCAATTTCGAAGCTGTTTCCAATTTTTGCTTTTATAAAAATCAATGTTGCTTTATTGTGGCAAAGCTTTGTGTTCGTTGACAATTATTGCCTTCAGATAAATCTCTCAAATAATCAAGACTTGTATACATATTTCAAAATTGATCTTAGAAAAATATTAATTTCTTCTTCCACTAGAAGAACAAGATTTTATAGTCCCTTAACTCCTTAATAAGAGCAGATATTGAGATTTTATTTTATTTTAGTTTTTTAAATTTTTATTTCAATAGCTTTTTGGGTACAAGTGTTTCTCTGTTACATAAATGAATTATACAGTGGCAAATTCTGAGATTTTAGTGGACTTGTCACCCAAGTAGTGTACACTGTATCTAATCTTTAAAGATATTAAGATTTTAAAAAATCTTTGTCGCATAGAATCAATAGTATATTGAATAAAGAAAATGTGGTACATATATACACCAGAGAATACTATGCAACCATAAGAAAGAATGAAATCATGTCCTTTGCAGCAAGATGGATGCAGTAGGAGGCCATATTACTCAGTTAATTAACGTAGGAACAGGAAACTGAATATTGTGTTTTCTCACTTACTATAAGTGGAAGTTAAATACTGAGCACATATGGAAGTAGACATGGGAACAATAGGTCCTGCAGATGACTAGAAGGAGGAGGCAGGGAGAGGGGCAAGGGTTGCAAAACTACATGTTGGGTACTATGCTCAGGGTAAAGAGATCTGTACCCCAAACCTTAGCATCATGCAATATTCCCTTGTAACAAACCTGAACATGTACCACCTACATCTAAAATAGAAGTTGAAATTACAACGAAAAAGCATTATGCTAAGGATAGAAGCCAGACTGAAAAGGCTACATACTATATTATTATTTTGATATAACATTTTGAAAAACACAAAACTACATATCGGAAGAACAAAGATTGGTGATTGCAAGGGGCTGGAAATGATGGGAGGAAGGGGGTTGACTACAGAGTGGTACAGGGGAAATTTTCGTGGTAATCACAATATTCTACACATCTTAATTGTGATGTGATCACATGACTAGATGCCTTGGGAAAAAAGATGAGTATATAAATTATATCTCAATAAATTTGACTTAAAAAAGAAAAACATCTTTGCCAATTTTATGGAAGAAAATGACATCTTTATAATGTACTTTGCTTTGCTTTATTAATGAGATTGAAAATTTTAATGTATTTATTATTCATTTTTGTGAATTGCCTATTGGTAAAACTAAACCAGTCTTTCTTTTTCCTAGTTTTATTTTAGGTTCAGGGAATACGTGTGCAGGTTTGTTACATGGGTAAATTGTGTGTTACTGAGGCTTTGTGTACAAATGATACTGTCACCAAGGTAGTGGCATAGAATCCTATAGGTAGCCTTCCAACCCATGACCTGTCCCATCTTCTCCCTCAAGAAAGATCCAGTGTCCATTTTCGCATATATGTGTCCATGTGTACTCAGTGTTTAGCTACCACTTATAAGTGAGAACATGCTGTATTTGGTTTATGTTCTTTGTTAGTTTGTCTAAGATAATGGCCTCCAGCTGCATTGATGTTGCTGCAAAAAACATGACTGTATAGTTTTTTGCACGTCGTGTATGTGTTGCATGTTCTTTATTCAGTCCACCATTGATGGGCATCTTGGCTGATTCCACATCTTTGCTATTGTGACTAGCACTTTGAAGAACATGTGAGAACATGTGTATTTTTAGGAGAATACTATTTTCCTTTCTGTATATACCTAATAGAGAGACTGTCAGGTTGAATGGTAGTTCCATTTTCAATTTTTTCGAGAATTCTCTAAACTGCTTTCCACAGTGGCTGAACTAATTTACATTCCAACCAGCTGTGTAAAAGTGTTCCCTTTTCTCTGCAACCTTGGCAGCATCTGGTTCTTTTTGACTTTTTTTATAATAGCCATTCTGACTGGTGTGAGACGGTATTTCATTGAGGTTTTGATTTGCATTTCTCTAATGATTAGTGATACTGAGCATTTTTTCATGTATTTGTTGGCCACATGTATATCTTCTTTTGAGAAGTGTCTGTTTATGTCCTTTGCTTATTTTTAATGGAGCTGTTTTTTGCTTGCTGATTTAAGTTCCTTATAGATTCTGGACATTAGGCCTTTATTTCATGCAAAGTTTGCAAATATTTTCTCTCATTCTGTAGGTTGCCTGCTTACTCTGTTGATAGTTTCTCTTTCCATGCAGAAGCTCTGTAGTATAATAGGTCCTTCTTGTCAATTTTTGTTTTTGTTGCAATTGCTTTTGGGGACTTAGTCATAAATTCTTTGCCAAGACCATTGTCTAGAATGGTATTTCCTAGGTTTTCTTCTAAAGTTGTTATCATTTTAAGTTTTAAATGTAAGTCTCCAATCTGTCTTGCGTTAATTGTAGATAGTAAAAGGAAGGGGTCCAGTTTCAATCTTTTGCATATGGCTAGTCAGTTATTCCAGCATCATTTATTTAGTAAGGAGTTCTTCCCCCATTGTTTGTTATTTTCAGCTTTGTTGAAGATAAGGTAATTGTCAGTGTGTGGCTTAATTTCTGGATTTGCTACCTGTTCCATTGGTCTATGTGTCTGTTTTTGTACCAGCACTATGCTGTTTTGGTTGCTGTAACCTTGTAGTAGACTTTGAAGCTGGATAGTGTGATGACTCCAGCTTTGTTCTTTTTGCTTAGGATTGGTTTGGTGATTCAGATCCGTTTTTGATCCCAAATAAATTTTAGAATAGTTATTTCTAATTCTGTGAAGAGTGTCATTGGTAGTTTGAGAGAAACAGCATTGAATCTGTAGATTGCTTTGGGCAATATGGCCATTTTAATAATATTGATTCTTCCTATCTATAAGCGTGGATGTTTTTCCTCTTGTTTGTGTTGTCTCTTATTTGAGCAGTGTTTTGTAATTCTTGTTGTAGAGATTTTTCACCTCCTTGGTAAGCTGTATCCCAGGTATTTTATTGTTTTTGTGGCTATTGTAAATAGGATTGCATTCTTGATTTGGCCCTGAGCTTGGATGTTATTGGTGTATAGAAATGCTTTTGATTTTGGTACATTTATTTTGTATCTTGAAACTTTGCTGAAGTTGTTTGTAAAATCAAAAAGCTTTTGGGCAGAGACTATGGGGTTTTCTGGATATAGTATCATGTCATCCACAAATATGGTGTTTTTGTCCATCCTCATGTTGCTAATAAGACATACCTGAGACTGGGTAATATATAAAGAAAATTAGGTTTAATGAACTCACATTTCCACATGGCTGGGGAGACCTCACAATCATGGTAGAAGGTGAAGGAGGAGCAAAGGCACATCTCACACGGCAGCAGGCAAGAGAGCATGTGCAGGAAAACTGTCCTATATAAAACCATCAGATATCATGAGGCTTATTCACTATCACAAGAACAGTATGGGAAAAACTCGCCCCCATGATTCAATTACCTCTCACTGGGTCCCTCCCATGACATGTGGGCATTATGAGAACTATGATTCAAGGTGAGATTTGGGTGAGGACACAGCCAAACCATATCATTCTACCCCTGTATCCTCCCAAATGCATGTCCTCATATTTCAAAACCAATCATCCCTTCCCAACAGTCCCCCCAAATCTTAACTCATTTCACCATTAACTCAAAAGTCCACAGTCCAAAGTCTCATCTGAGACAAGGCAAGTCCCTTCCACCTATGAGACTGTAAAATCAAAAACCAGTTAGTTACTTCCTAGATACAATGACAGTACAGGCATTAGATAAATGCATCAATTTCTTTTTTTTATCCTTAGCTTCTTCATCTTTATTATTATTATTACACTTTAAGTTTTAGGGTACATGTACACAAGGTGCAGGTTTGTTACATATGTATACATGTGCCATGTTGGTGTGCTGCACCCAATAACTCGTCATTTAGCATTAGGTATATCTCCTAATGCTATCCCTCCCCCCACCCCACAACAGTCCCCGGTGTGTGATGTTCCCTGTCCTGTGTCCATGTGTTCTCATTGTTCAATTCCCACCTATGAGTGAGAACACGTGGTGTTTGGTTTTCTGTTCTTGTGATAGTTTGCTGAGAATGATGGTTTCCAGCTTAATCCATGTCCCTGAAAAGGACATGAACTCATCATTTTTTATGGCTGCCTAGTATTCCATGGTGTATATGTGCCACATTTTCTTAATCCAGTCTATCATTGATGGACATTTGGATTGGTTCCAAGTCTTTGTTATTGTGAATAGTGCCACAATAAACATACATGTGCATGTGTCTTTATAGTAGCATGATTTATAATCCTTTGGGTATATACCCAGTAACGGGATTGTTGGGTCAAATGGTAATTCTAGTTCTAGATCCTTGAGGAATCACCACACTGTCTTCCACAATGGTTGAACTAATTTACACTCCCACCAACAGTGCAAAAGCGCTCCTATTTCTCCACATCCTCTCCAGCAACTGTTGTTTCCTGACTTTTTAATGATTGCCATTCTAACTGACATGAGATGGTATCTCATTGTGGTTTTGATTTGCATTTCTCTGATGACCAGTGATGATGAACATTTTTTCCTCTGTCTGTTGGCTGCATAAATGTCTTCTTTTGAGAAGTGTCTATTCATATCCTTCGCCCACTTTTTGATGGGGTTGTTTGTTTTTTTCTTGTAAATTTGTTTGAGTTCTTTGTGGATTCTGGATATTAGCTCTTTGTAAGGTGGGTAGATTGCAAAAATTTTCTCTCATTCTGTAGGTTGCCTGTTCACTCTGATGGTAGTTTCTTTTGCCGTGAAGAAGCTCTTTAGTTTAATTAGATCCCATTTGTCTATTTTGGCTTCAGTTGCCATTGCTTTTGGTGTTTTAGTCATGAAGTCCTTGCCCATGCCTATGTTCTGAATGGTATTGCCTAGGTTTTCTTCTAGAGTTTTTATGGTTTTAGTCTATTTTTTTTATTTTATTATTATTATTATACTTTAAGTTTTAGGGTACATGTGCACAATGTGCAGGTTAGTTACATATGTATACATGTGACATGCTGGTGTGCTGCACCCATTAACTCGTCATTTAGCATTAGGTATATCTCCTAATGCTATCCCTCCCCCCTCCCCCTACCCCACAACAGTCCCCAGAGTGTGATGTTCCCCTACCTGTGTCCATGTGTTCTCATTGTTCAGTTCCCACCTATGAGTGAGAACATGCGGTGTTTGGTTTTTTGTCCTTGCCATAGTTTACTGGGAATGATGATTTCCAATTTCATCCATGTCCCTACAAAGGACATGAACTCATCATTTTTTATGGCTGCATAGTATTCCATGGTGTATATGTGCCACATTTTCTTAATCCAGTCTATCATTGTTGGGTTGGTTCCAAGTCTTTGCTATTGTGAATAGTGCCACAATAAACATACCTGTGCATGTGTCTCTATAGCATCATGATTTATAGTTCTTTGGATATATACCCAGTAATGGGATGGCTGGGTCAAATGGTATTTCTAGTTCTAGATCCCTGAGGAATTGCCACACTGACTTCCACAATGGTTGAACTAGTTTACAGTCCCACCAACAGTGTAAAAGTGTTCCTATTTCTCCACATCCTCTCCAGCACCTGTTGTTTCCTGACTTTTTAATGATTGCCATTCTAACTGGTGTGAGATGGTATCTCATTGTGGTTTTGATTTGCATTTCTCTGATGGCCAGTGATGGTGAGCATTTTTTCATGTGTTTTTTGGCTGCATAAATGTCTTCTTTTGAGAAGTGTCTGTTCATGTCCTTCGCCCACTTTTTGATGGGGTTGTTTGTTTTTATTCTTGTAAATTTGTTTGAGTTCATTGTAGATTCTGGATATTAGACCTTTGTCAGATGAGTAGGTTGCGAAAATTTTCTCCCATTTTGTAGGTTGCCTGTTCACTCTGATGGTAGTTTCTTTTGCTGTGCAGAAGCTCTTTAGTTTAATTAGATCCCATTTGTCAATTTTGGCTTTTGTTGCCATTGCTTTTGGTGTTTTAGACATGAAGTCCTTGTCCATGCCTATGTCCTGAATGGTAATGCCTAGGTTTTCTTCTAGGGTTTTTATGGTTTTAGGTCTAACATTTAAGTCTTTAATCCATCTTGAATTAATTTTTGTATAAAGTGTAAGGAAGGGATCCAGTTTCAGCTTTCTACATATGGCTAGCCAGTTTTCCCAGCACCATTTATTAAATAGGGAATGCTTTCCCCATTGCGTGTTTTTGTCAGGTTTGTCAAAGATCAGATAGTTATAGATATGCAGCATTATTCCTGAGGGCTCTGTTCTGTTCCATTGATCTATATCTCTGCTTTGGTACCAGTACCATGCTGTTTTGGTTACTGTAGCCTTGTAGTATAGCTTGAAGTCAGGTAGCGTGATGCCTCCAGCTTTGTTCTTTTGGCTTAGGATTGACTTGGCGATGCGGGCTCTTTTTTGGTTCCATATGCACTTTAAAGTAGTTTTTTCCAATTCTGTGAAGAAAGTCATTGGTAGCTTGATGGGGATGGCATTGAATCTATAAATTACCTTGGGCAGTATGGCCATTTTCATGATATTAATTCTTCCTACCCATGAGCATGGAATGTTCTTCCATTTCTTTGTATCCTCTTTTATTTCATTGAGCAGTGGTTTGTAGTTCTCCTTGAAGAGGTCCTTCACGTCCCTTGTAAGTTGGATTCCTAGGTATTTTATTCTCTTTGAAGCAATTGTGAATGGGAGTTCACTCATGATTTGGCTCTCTGTCTGTTATTGGTGTATAAGAATGCTTGTGATTTTTGTACATTGATTTTGTATCCTGAGACTTTGCTGAAGTTGCTTATCAGCTTAAGGAGATTTTGGGCTGAGACAATGGGGTTTTCTAGATATATAATCATGTCATCTGCAAACAGGGACAATTTGACTTCCTCTTTTCCTAATTGAATACCCTTTATTTCCTTCTCCTGCCTAATTGCCCTGGCCAGAACTTCCAACACTATGTTGAATAGGAGTGGTGAGAGAGGGCATCCCTGTCTTGTGCCAGTTTTCAAAGGGAATGGTTCCAGTTTTGTCCACTCAGTATGATATTGGCTGTGGGTTTGTCATAGATAGCTCTTATTATTTTGAGATATGTCCCATCAATACCTAATTTATTGAGAGTTTTTAGCATGAATGTTGTTGAATTTTGTCAAAGGCCTTTTCTGCATCTATTGAGATAATCATGTTGTTTTTGTCTTTGGTTCTGTTTATATGCTGGATTACATTTATTGATTTGCGTATATTGAACCAGCCTTGCATCCCAGAGATGAAGCCCACTTGATCATGGTGGATGAGCTTTTTGATGTGCTGCTGGATTCGTTTTGCCAGTATTTTATTGAGGATTTTTGCATCAATGTTCATCAAGGATATTGGTCTACAATTCTCTTTTTTGGTGTGTCTCTGCCCGGCTTTGGTATCAGGATGATGCTGGCCTCATAAAATGAGTTAGGGAGGATTCCCTCTTTTTCTATTGATTGGAATAGTTTCAGAAGGAATGGTACCAGTTCCTCCTTGTACCTCTGGTAGAATTCGGCTGTGAATCCATCTGGTCCTCGACTCTTTATGGTTGGTAAGCTATTGATTATTGCCACAATTTCAGAGCTTTTTATTGGTCTATTCAGAGATTCAACTTCTTCCTGGTTTTGTCTTGGGAGGGTGTATGTGTTGAGGAATTTATCCATTTCTTCCAGATTTTCTAGTTTATTTGTGTAGAGGTATTTTTACTTTTCTCTGATGGTAGTTTTTATTTCTGTGGGATCGGTGGTGTTACCCCTTTATCATTTTTTGTGGTGTCTATTTGATTTTTCTCTCTTTTCTTCTTTGCTAGTCTTGCTAGCAGTCTATCAATTTTGTTAATCTTTAAAAAAACAGCTCCTGGATTCATTGATTTTTTGAAGGGTTTTTTGTGTCTCTATTTCCTTCAGTTCTGCTCTGATCTTAGTTATTTCTTGCCTTCTGCTAGCTTTTGAATGTGTTTGCCTTTCCTTCTCGAGTTCTTTTAATTGTGATGCTAGGGTGTCAATTTTTGATCTTTCCTGCTTTCTCTTGTGGGCATTTAGTGCTATAAATTTCCCTCTACACATTGCTTTAAATGTGTCCCAGAGATTCTGATATGTTGTGTCTTTGTTCTCATTGGTTTCAAAGAACATCTTTATTTCTGCCTTCATTTCATTATTTACCCAGTAGTCATTCAGGAGCAGGTTGTTCAATTTCCATGTAGTTGTGCAGTTTTGAGTGAGTTTCTTTATCCTGAGTTCTAATTTGATCGCACTGTGGTCTGAGAGACAGTTTGTTGTGATTTCTGTTCTTTTACATTTGCTGAGGAGTGCTTTACTTCCAACTATGTGGTCAATTTTAGAATAAGTGCGATGTAGACCTGAGAAGAATGTATATTCCATGGATTTGGGGTGGAGAGTTCTGTAGATGTCTATTAGGTCTGCTTGTTGCAGAGCTGAGTTCAGGTCCTGGATATCCTTGTTAACCTTCCATCTTGTTGATCTGTCTCATATTGACAGTGGGGTGTTAAAGTCTCCCATTATTATTGTGTGGGAGTCTAAGTCTCTTTGTAGGTCTCTAAGGACTTGCTTTATGAATCTGGATGCTCCTGTATTGGGTGCATATATATTTAGGATAGTTAGCTCTTCTTGTTGAATTGATTCCTTTGCCATTATGTAATGGCCTTCTTTGTCTCTTTTGATCTTTTTTGTTTAAACTCTGTTTAATCAGAGACTAGGATTGCAACCCCTTCTTTTCTTTTTTCTTTCCATTTGCTTTGTAGATCTTCCTCCATCCCTTTATTTTGAGCCTATGTGTGTCTTTGCACATGAGATGGGTCTCCTGAATACAGCACACTGATAGGTCTTGACTCTTCATCCAATTTGCCAGTCTGTTTCTTTTAATTGGGGCATTTAGCCCAATTACATTTAATGTTAATATTCTTATGTGTGAATTTGATCCTGTCATTATGATGTTTGCTGGTTATTTTGCCCATTAATTGATGTAGTTTCTTCATAGCATCGATGGTCTTTACAGTTTGGCATGCTTTTGCAGTGCCTGGTACCAGTTATTTCTTTCCACATTCAGTGCTTCCTTCAGGAGCTCTTGTAAGGCAGGTCTGGTGATGACAAAAATCTCTCAGTATTTGCTTGTCTGTAAAGGATTTTTTTTTCCTTCACTTATGAAGATTAGTTTGACTGGATACGAAATTCTGGGTTGAAAATTCTTTTCTTTAAGAGTTCTGAATATTGGCCCCCATCCTCTTCTGGCTTGTAGGGTTTCTGCCAAGGGATCCACTCTTAGTCTGATGGGCTTCCCTTTGTGGGTAACTCGACCTTCCTCTCTGGCTGCCATTAACACTTTTTCCTTCATTTTCTTTTTTTTTTTTTTTTTTTTTTTTTTTGAGACGGAGTCTCGCTCTGTCGCCCAGGCTGGAGTGCAGTGGCGGGATCTCGGCTCACTGCAAGCTCCACCTCCCGGGTTCACGCCATTCTCCTGCCTCAGCCTCCCAAGTAGCTGGGACTACAGGCGCCCGCCACTACGCCCGGCTAACTTTTTGTATTTTTAGTAGAGACGGGGTTTCACCGTTTTAGCCGGGATGGTCTCGATCTCCTGACCTCGTGATCCGCCAGCCTCGGCCTCCCAAAGTGTCCTTCATTTTCATCCTTGGTGAATCTGACAATTATGTGTCTTGGGGTTGCTCTTCTAGAGTAGTATCTTTGTGGCATTCTCTGAATTTCCTGAATTTGAATGTTGGCCTGCCTTGCTAGATTGGGGAAGTTCTCCTGTATAATATCCTGCAGAATGTTTTCCAACTTGGTTCCATTCTCCCCATCACTTTCCTGTACACCAATCAGATGTAGATTTGGTCTTTTCACATAGTCCCATATTTCTTGGAGGCTTTGTTCATTTCTTTTTACTCTTTTTCTGTAACCTTGTCTTCTCACTTTATTTCATTAATTTGATCTTCAATCACTGATACCCTTTCTTCCACTTGATCATGTTGGCTATTGAAGCTTCTGCATGCATCACCCATTTCTTGTGCCACGGTTTTCAGTTCCATCATGTCATTTAAGGTCTTCTCTACACTGTTTATTCTAGTTATTCAAGGTCTTCTCTACACTGTTCATTCCTGTTATCGTTTTTCAAGGTTTTTAGCTTCCTTGCGATGAGTTCAAACATCCTCCTTTAGCTTGGAGAAATTTGTTATTACCGACCTTCTGAAGCCTACTTCTGTCAACTCATCAAGTCATTCTCTGTCCAGCTTTGTTTCATTGCTGGCAAGGAGCTGCAATCCTTTGGAGGAGAAGAGGCACTTTTATTTTTAGATTTTTCAGCTTTTCTGCTCTGGTTTCTCCCCATCTTTGTGGTTTTATCTATCTTTGGTCTTTGATGTTGGTGAGCTACAGATTGGGTTTGGTGTAGATTTTTTTTTGTTGATGTTGATGCTATTCCTTTCTGTTTGTTAGTTTTCCTTCTAACAGTCAGGTCCCTTAGCTACAGGTCTGTTGGAGTTTGCTGGAGTTCCACTCCAAACCCCGTTTAGCTGGGTATCACCAGCAGAGGCTGCAGAACAGCAACTATTGCAGAACAGCAAATATTACTGCCTGATCCTTCCTCTGGAAGCTTCATCCCAGAGGGGCAGCTTCCTTTATGAGTTGTCTGTCAGTCCCTACTGGGAGATGTCTCCCAGTTAGGCTACACGGGGGTCAGGGACCCACATGAGGAGGCAGTCTGTCCATTCTCAGAGCTCAAATGCCATGCTGGGAGAACCACTGCTCTCTTCAGAGCTGTCAGACAGGGACATTTAAATCTGTAGAAGTTGTCTGCTGCCTTTTGCACAGCTATGCCCTGCCCATAGAGGTGGAGTCTAGAGGCAGTAGGCCTTGTTGAGCTGCAGTGGGATCCACCCACTCCGAGCTTCCTGGCTGCTTTGTTTACCTACTCAAGCCTCAGCAATGGCAGATGCCCCTCCCCCAGCCAGGCTGCCACCTTGCAGATCTATCTCAGTCTGCTGTGCTAGCAGTGAGCAATGCTCTGTGGGTGTGGGACCTACCGAGCAAGGCACTGGAGAAAATCACCTTGTCTGCCAGTTGCTAAGACCTTGGGAAAAGTGCAGTATTTGTGCAGGAGTGCCCGTTTTTCCACGTAGTTTATCATGGCTTCCCTTGGCTAGGAAAGGGAAATTCCCTGACCCCCTGCACTTCCCAGGTGAGGTGATGCCCTGTCCTGCTTCAGCTTGCCCTCCATGGGCTGCACCCACTGTCCAACCAGTCCCAACAAGATGAACCAGGTACCTCAGTTGGAAATGCAGAAATTACCCATCTTCTGCATTGATCACGCTGGGAGCTGCAGACTGGAGCTGTTCCAATTTGGCCATCTTGGAACATCCCCCAAACGCACCCATTTCGAATGGGAGAAATTGGCCAAAAAAAGGGTCTACAGGCCCTATGCAAGTCAAAAATCCAGCAGAGCACTCAAATCTTAAAGCTCTGAAATGATTTTCTTTGACTCCATGTCTCACGTCCGGGTCACACTGATACAAGAGGTGGGTTCCCATGGTCTTGGGTAGCTCCACCCCTGTGGCTTTGCAGGGTATGACTCTCACTCCCAGATGCTTTAATGGGCTAGTGTAGAGTGCCTGCAGCATTTCCAGGTGCACAGTGCAAGCTCTTGGTGGATCTTCCATTCTGGGGTCTGGAGGATGGTGGCCCTCTTATCACAGCTCCATGAGGAGCCCTCTGAAGCAATGGCCTGAGCAGTATGTCGGCCCATCTCAACCATGGCAGGGATGCAGAGCACCAAGTCCTGAAACTGCGCAAAGCAGCAAGGCCCTGGGCCTGGCCCACAAAGTCATTTCTTCCTTCCAGTCCTTCAGGCCTGTGATGGGAGGGGCTACCATGAAGACCTCAGACATGTCCTGGAGACATTTTCACCATTGTCTTGGTGATTAACATTTGGCTCCTCATAAGTTATGCAGATTTCTGCAGCAGGCTTGAATTGAACCTCAGAAAATTTATGCTCTGTTTATCTTTTAAATATAAGTTCCAATTCCAAACCATATCTTTGTGAATGTATAAAGCTGGGTGCTTTTAGGAGCACCCAAGTCACCTCTTGAATGCTTTGCTGCTTGGAAATTTCCTCCACCAGACATGCTAAATCATTTCTCTCAAGTTCAAAGCTCCACAGATCTCTAGGGCAGGGGCCAAATGCCACACAGTGTCCCACACAGTGTCCCACTATTCCTGACCCACTATGTTGGTCAGGAATAGTGGCCTAAAGTTTTCTTTTGTCATTGTGTCCCTGCCAGGATTTGGTATCACAATGGTGCTAGCTTCATAGATCAAGTTAGGGAGAAGTCCCTACTCCTGGATTTCTTAGAATAATTTCAGTAGGATTGGCACTAGCTCTTCTTTGTACATCTGGTAGAATTCAGCTGTGAATCCATCTGGCCCAGGATTTTATTTGGGTTGTAGGCCTTTTATTACTGGAACTCATTATTAGTCTGTTTGGGATTTTAATTTCTTCCTAGTTCAATCTTCAGAGGCTTTGTATTTCCAGGATTTTACCCATTTCTTCTAGGTTTTCTAGTTTGTGCACAATAGGTGTTTGTAATAGTGTCTGATGATTTTTTGTATTTCTGTTGGGTCAGTTGTAATGCTGCTTTTGTCATTTCTGGTTGTAATTATTTGAATCTTCTTCTTTTTTTCTATATTAATCTAGCTAGCAGTCTATCAATCTTGTTTCATCTTTTGAATAATCAAAATCATCTTTTGGTTGCATTAATTATTGTATGGATTTTAGTGTCTCAATTTTGTTTATGTCAGGTTTGATTTTAGATATTTCTTTTCTTCTCTTAGCTTTGGGGTTGGTTTGTTTTTTTTCTAGTTCCTTGAGGAGCAACATAGGTTGTTAATTTATGACCTTTCTAATTTTTTGATGTAGGCCTTTAGTGCTAAAACTATTCTTAACACTGATTTAGCTGTGTCACAAAGATTTTACTAGGTTATATCTCTGTTTTCATTAGTTTCCCAGAACCCTTTAAATTTCTGTCTTAATTTCTTTTTTTCTTTTTTACTGAAAAGTCATTCAGGACCAGGTAGTTTAACTTCCATGTTACTGTATGGTTTTAATTGATCTTCTTGATATTGATTTCTATTTTTATTGCACTGTTGTCCATGATATGGTTGGATGTTTGTCCTCTTTAAATATCCTGTAAAAATGTGATCCTCAATGTTGGACCAGGAGCCTGGTGGGAAGTAATTGGATCATGGGGTCAGATCCCACATGGAGGTTTAGCACTATCCCCTTGGTGATAGGTGAGTTCTAGCTCAGTTAGTTCATGTGATATCTAGTTGTTTAAAAGAGTCTGGGAACTTCCCCTTCTCCCTCTCTTACTCCCTCACTTGCCATGTGATATGTTGGCTCTGATTTGCCTTCCATCATGATTGTAAATTTCCTGAGGCACTCACCAGAAGCAGATGCCAGCACTATGCTTCCTGTACAGCCTACAGTACCATGAGCCAATTAAACTTTTAAAAAAATAAATTACTTAGTCTCAATTATTTCTTTACAGTGACACAAAATAGATGAATAAAGAAAATTGGTACTGAGGAGGGGGGCATTGCTATAAAGATACTCGAAGATGTGGAAGTGGCTTTGATACTGAGTAATAAGAAGATGTTGGAAGAGTTTGGAGGGCTTAAAGGAAGACAGGAAGATTAGGGAAATTTGGAACTTCTTAGAGACTGGTTAAAACATTGTGACCAAAATGTTGATAGTAATAAGTTCAGTGAAGTCCAGGCTGATGAGGTCTCAGATGGAAATAAGAAATTTATTGGAAGCTAGAGAAAAGATCACCTGTGTTATGCCTTTGCAAAGAGTTTGGCTGCATTGTGTCCATATCCTAGAGATGTGTGGAAGTTTGAAATTAAGAGTAATTATTTAGAATGACTTGTGGAAGGAATTTCCAAAGTATTCAAAACGTGATCTGGCTATTTCTAACAGTCTATGCTCAGATGCAGGAGCAAATGAATGACTTAAAGTTAAAACTTATATTTAAAGGGAAGCAGAGAGTAAAAGTTTGGAAAATTTGCAACCTAGCCACATGCCACAATAACGAAAAGCAAGAGAGAAATTCAAATGGGCTGTGGAGCAACCACTTGCTAAGGAGATTAGCATGACTAAAAGGGAGTGAAGTGCTAAAATCCAAGACAACGGGGGAAAAGTACTCAAAGGCATTTTAGAGACTTCATGGCAGCCCCTTCCATTTCTTGCCCAGAGGCCTAAGAGGAAGAGGAAAAAATGATTTGTTGTCCAGGCCAAGTGCCCAGCTGCCTGGCATAGCCTCAGGACACTGCTCCCTGTATTCCAGCCACTCTGGCTTCAGCCTCAGCTCAAATAGTCCCAGGTCCAACTTGGGCCACAACTCAGGAGGGTGCAACCCATAAGCCTTGGTGGTTTCCATGTAGTGTTAAGTCTGTAGATGCTCAGAATGTGAGTGTGAAGAAGCCTTAGCAGCTTCCATCTGCATTTCAGAGGAGGTACGGAAAAGCCGAGGCAGAAGCCTGCCACAGGGGTGGGGTCCTAACAGAGAAGCTCTACCAGGGCAAAGGCTCAGGGTAATGTGGGATTGGAGCCCCCACACAGATTCCCTGTCAGGACACTGCCTAGTGGAGCTGTGGGAAGGAGGTCACCATCCTCCAGAATCTAGAAGGGTAGATTCACTGGCAGCTTGTATTCTCTCCCTAGAAAAGCCATAAGCATTTAACTCCAACCCATGAGAGTAGCCTGTACCACACTGCAAAGCCACAAGGCTTTTAGAGCCTACTCCTCATACTGGGATGTGGAAAATTGTATCAAGACATATTATTTTGGAGATCTAAGATTTAATGAAGACCCTGTTGGATTTCAAACTTGTGTGGGGCCTATTGCCCCTTCCTTTAGGTCAATTTCTCCTTTTTGGAATGGGAATGTTTCCTCAATGCCTGCACCACCATTTCAGCTTGAAAGTAAATAACTTGTTTGGGTTACACAGGCTCATGCGTGGAAGAAAGAAACTCATTTCCAGATGATTCTTGAGACTTCGGACTTTTGAGTTAATGCTGAGGAGATATTAACTTTGAGGAACTATTGCAAAGACATAATTTTATTTTGAAATTTGAGAAGGACATGAGGTTTGGGGTGCCAGAGGTGGAATGATATGGTTTGGATGTTTGTACCCTCCAAATGTCATGTTAAAATGTGATTCCCAATGTAGGAGGAGGGACCTTGTGGGAGGTAATTGGATCATAGTATTGGATTCCACACGGATAGTTTAGCACCAGCCTTTTGGTGATAAGTGAGTTTTCTCTCAGTTAACATGAAATCTGGTTGTTTCAAAGTGACCTCCCCCTTTTCCTTCTCTTGCTCCCTCTTTCACCATTTGATACACTGGCTCCCCTTTGCTTTCTGCCATGACTGCAATCTTCCTGGAACCCTCACCAGAAGCAGTCGCTGCCACTATGCTTCCAGTAAGTCTGCAGAATCATAAGACAATTAAACTTTTATTTAAATAAAATACCCAGTCTCAGATATACTTTATAGTGATGAAAATGGACTAATACAGTCTGAGACTGTGGTTGGTACAATTTTGTTTTTCTTTTTAATTTGTTGGTACATTCTTCCTGGCAGAGCATGTGGTTGATCTTGGAGTATGTGCTTCTTCCAGATGAGAAAAGTATTTATTCTGTTATTGTTGGTTGAATATTCCTTAGGTGTCTCTTAGGTTCAATTGGTCAAGTGTAAAGTTTAAGTCCAGAATATCCTTGCTAGTTTTCTGCCTTGACTATTTGTGTAAAACTGTCAGTGGGGTGTTGAAGTCCCCAGTATTATCTTGTGGTTGTCTAAATCTCTTCATAGATTTCTAAGAATTTGCTTCACAAATCTTGGTGCTCCAGTGTTGAGTGGGCATTTATTTAGGATAGTGAAGTTTTCTTGTTGGATGAAGATCTTTATCATTACAGAATGCCCTTCTTTGCCTTTTTAAATCATTGTTGGTTTAAAGCCTGTTTTATCTGATATAAGAATAGCAACACCTGCTCTTTTTTGCTTTCCATTTGCCTGATAGACCTTCCTCTATGCCTTTATTTTGAGCCTATGAGTATCATTACTTGTGACATGTGTCTCTTGAAGACAGCAGACAGTTGGGTCTTGTTTCTTTATGCAATTTGCCACTCTATCTATGCCTTTTAATGAGACATTTTTAGCCCAATTATATTCAGGGTCAATAATGATTTGTGAGGCTTTAATCAGGTCAACATGCTGTTAGCTGGTTGTTTTGTAAACTTGATTGGTATAGTTGCTTTATAGTGTCAGTGAGGTATGTGCTTAAGTGCATTTTTGTAGTGGCAGGTATTCTTTCATTTCCATGTTTAGCACTTCCTTTCAGACCTCTTGTAAGTAAGGTCTAGTGGTAATGAATTTCCTTAACATTTACTTGTCTGAAAAGGATTTCATTTCTGCTTTGCTTATGAAGCTTAGTTTGGTGGTATATGAAATTCTTGGTTGGAATATCTTTTTTAAAAAAGACATTAAAAATAGGCGTCCAATTTCTTCCTTGTCAGGTTTTCACTGAAAGGTCTTCTTTTAACCTAATTGGGTTCTATTTTTAAGTGACCTGTCCCTTCCCTGTAGCTGCCTTTAAGATTTTTCCTTTCACATTAACCTTGGAAAATCTGATGGCTATGTGTCTTGGAGATTGTGTGGTCCTCTAAATCTCTTTGAAGATCTCTAAAAACTGAGTGCTCTAATGTTGGGTGCATATATATTTTGGATAGTTAAGTCTTCTTGTTGGTTTGAGTCCATTATGATTACATAATATTATCTTTTATAATATCTCACAGGGGTTTTTTGATTTTCTTAGATTTGCATGTCAACCTGTCTAGTGAGATTGGGAAAATGTGAACTATATCGTTAAATGTTTTCCAAGTTGCTTGCTCTCTTGCCTTCTCTTTCAGGAATGCCATTGAGTCATAGATTTGGTCTCCCTACATAATTTCATATTTCTCAGAGGTTTTATTTCTTTTTCAAATTTTTTCTTCATTCTTTTTATCAAATTTCTTTTCTTTTTTGTTTTTGAGATGGATTCTTGTCCTGTTGCCCAGGCTGGAGTGCAATGTCATGATCCCCACTCACTGAAACCTCTGCCTCCCGGGTTCAAGCAGTTCCCCTGCCTCAGCCTCCTGAGTAGCTGTGATTACAGGTGCCCACCACCACGCCTGGCTAATTTTTGTATTTTTAGTAGAGATGAGGTTTCACCATGTTGGCCAGGCTGGTCTTGAACTTTTAACCTCAAGTGATCCACCCATCTTGGCCTCCCAAAGTGCCAGGATTACAGGTGTGAGCCACAGTGCCAGGCCTTCTTTTTATTAAATTTCAATAGTTTTGAGAAAACAGGTGGTTTTTGGTTACATGAATAATTTATTTAGTCATAATTTCTGAGATTTTGGTGCACCTATCATCTGAGCAGTGTACACTGTACCTAAGATGTAGTCTTTTATCCCTCACCTTCCAAACACACTCTCCCCTGAGTCCCAAAGTCCATTATATCATTCTTATGCCTTTGAATCCTCATAGCTTACCTCCCACTTATAAATAAGAACATACGAAATTTGTTTTTCAATTTCCTGTTAACTTCACTTAGAATAATGGTCTCCAACTCCATCCAGGTTGTTTTGAGTGCCATTATTTTGTTTCTTTTTATGGCTGAGTTGTATTCCATGGTATATATATAACACATTTTCTCTATCCACTTGTTGGTTGATGGACATTTAGGCTGGTTCCATTTATTTGCAATTGCAAATTGTGCTGCAATAAACATGTGTGTGCAAGTGTCTTTTTCATATAATAACTTTTTTTCCTCTGGGTAGGTATCCAGTAGTGGGACTGCTGGATCAAATGGTAGTTCTACTCTTAGTTCTTTAAGGAATCTTCATACTGTTTTCTATGAAGTTGTACTAGTTTACATTCCCACCAGCAGTGTAAAAGTGTTCCTTTTCACCACATCCATGCCACCATTTAATATTGTTTGATTTTTTTTCTTTTTGAGACAGAGTCTCACTCTGTTACCCAGGCTGGAGTGCACTATCATGATCTCATCACTGCAACCTCCACCTTTTGGGCTCAAGTCATCCCCCAATCTCAGCCTCCCAAGTTCCTGGGACCACAGCTGTATGGCATCACACCAGGTAATTTTTTGTAGAGATGGGGTATCGCCATGCTTCTCAGGCTTGTCTTGAACTCCTGAGCTCAAGTGATCCAC
Source organism: Homo sapiens (assembly GCF_000001405.40). Classification (NCBI taxonomy): domain Eukaryota; kingdom Metazoa; phylum Chordata; class Mammalia; order Primates; family Hominidae; genus Homo; species Homo sapiens. Next base: position 26,875,288 of record NC_000011.10, on the reverse strand, counting down.
CCACCTTAGTCTCCCAAAGTTCAGGGATTATAGGCATGAGCCACCATGCCTGGCCTTGATTTTTAAATTATGGCCATTTTTGCAGGAATAAGGTAATATCTCACTGTGGTTTTAATTTGCATTTTCTTGATTAGTGATGTTGAGCATTTTTTCATATGTTTGTTGACCATTTGTATATCTGCTTTGATAATTGTCTATTCATGAACTTTGTCCACATTTTGATGGAATTATTTTTTTTTCTTGCTGATTTGAGTTCCTTATTACTTCTCAATATTAGTCCTTTGTTGGATGCATAGTTTGAAAATATTTTCTTCTACTCTGTGGGTTGTCTATATTTACTCTGCTGATTATTTCTTTTGCTGTGCAGACACTTTCTAATTTAATTCAATCCCATCTATTTTTGTTTTTGTTGCATTTGCTTTTGGGTTCTTGGTCATGAAATCTTTACCTAAGCCAACGTCTAGAAAAGTTTTTCCAATGCTATGTTCTATAATTTTTATGGTTTCAGGTCTTAGATTTAAGTCTTTGGTCCATTTTGAGTTAATTTTTGCATAAGGTTGGAGATGAGGATTCAGTTTTATTCTTCTACGTGTGACTTGCCAATTATCTCAGCACCATTTGTTGAATAGGGTGTCCTTTTCCCAATTTATGTTTTTGTTTGCTTTGTTGAAGATCAGTTTGCTGTAGGCATTTGGCTTCATTTCTCGGTTCTCTATTCCATTGGTCTATGTGCCTATTTTTATACCAGTACCATGCTGTTTTGGTAACTATAGCCTTGTAGTATAGTTTGAAGTGGGGTAATGTGACACCTCCAGATTTGTTTTTGCTTAGTCTTGCCTTGGCTATGTGTGCTTTTTTTTGGTTCCATATGAATTTTAGAATTTTTTCTACTTCTGTGAAGAACGATGACAGTACTTTGATGGGAATTACGTTAAACCTGTAGATTGCTTTTGGCAGTAAGGTCATTTTAACAACATTGATTCTACCCATTCATGAACATGAGATGTGTTTCCATCTGTGTTGTACATTCATTGTTTCTTTCTTTCTTTCTTTCTTTCTTTCTTTCTTTCTCTTTCTTTCTTTCTTTCTTTCTTTCTTTCTTTCTTTCTTTCTTTCTTTCTTTCTTTCTTTCTTTTTTTTGAGATGGAATCTCACTCTGTCACCCAGGCTGGAGTGCAGTGGCTCACTGCAACCTCTGCCTCCTGGGTTCAAGTGATTCTCCTGCCTCAGTCTCCCAAGTAGCTGGGACTACAGACGTATGCCACCATGCCCGGCTAATTTTTGTATTTTTAATAGAGATGGGGTTTCACTTTCCTAGCCAGGATGGTCTCGATCTCTTGACCTCGTGATCTGCCTGCCTTGGCCTCCCAAAGTGCTGGGATTACAGGTGTGAACCACCATGCCCAGCTGTAAATTATTTCTTTCAGCAGTGTTTTGTAGTTTTTCTTGTAGAGATCTTTCACTTCCTTGGTTAGGTATATTCTTAGGTATTTATTTATTTATTTATTTTATTTTGCCATTGTTGTAAAAGGGATTGAGTTATTGATTTGTTTCTCAGCTTGATGTATTTTTTCTCAGCTTGGTGTCTCAGCTGTTTGTGTATAGCTGTTTCTACTAATTTGTGAACATTGATTTTGTATCCTGAAACTTTACTGAGTTAATTTATCAGATCTAGGAGCTTTTTGAATGAGTCTTTAGGGTTTCCTAAGTATATAATTATATAATTGGCAAACAGTGACAGTTTTACTTCTCTTTACTGATGTGGATGCCCCTTATTTCTTTCTCTTGTTGACTGCTCTGGCTAGGACTCAGTACTATGGTGAATAGAAATGGTAAAAATGGACATTCTTGTCTTGTTTCAGTTTTCAGGGAGAATGTTTTCAACTTTTCCCTGTTTAGTATAATGTTGGCTGTGGGTTTCTTTTTATTCATTTATTTTTTTGAGACAGAGTTTTGCTCTTGTTGCCCAGGCTGGAATGCAATAGTGTGATCTCAGCTCACCGCAATCTCCGCCTCCCGGGTTCAAGCTATTCTCCCTCCTCAGCCTCCCGAGTAGCTGAGATTACAGACATGCATCACCACGCCCAGCTAATTTTGTGTTTTTAGTAGAAATGGGGTTTCTCCACGTTGGTCAGGCCAGTTTTGAACTTCTGACCTCAGATGATCTGCCCACCTCGGCCTCCCAAAGTGCTGGGATTACAGGTGTGAGCCACTGCACCCAGCTTGCTGTGGGTTTCTAATAGATGGCTTTTATTATCCTAAGGTAAGTCCCTTGTATGCCAATTTTGCTGAAGGTTTTAATCATAAAGGGATACTGGATTTTGCCAAATGCTTTCTCTACATCTATTGAGATGACTGTAAATTTTTTAAAAAAATTCTGCTTATATGATGTATCAAATTTATTGACTTGCATATGTCATACCATCCCTGCATTCCTGGTACAAAATTCACTTGATCATGGTGGATTATCTTTTTGATATGCTCTTGGATTCTGTTAGCTAGTATTTTGTCCAGGATTTCCGCATCCATGTTCATCAGAGATATTGGTCTGTAGATTTATTTTTATTATGTCCTTTCCAGTTTTTGGTATTGGGGTGACTTATACCACCCTAGTGGCTGGTGACATAGAATGATTTTGGGAGGGTTCACTCTTTATTTTTGAATAGTTTCAGTAAAATTGGTACCAACTCTACTTAGCATGTCTGATAGAATTCAGCTGTGAATCTATCTTGTCCTGGACTTTATTTTGTTGGCAATTTTTAAAATTACTGTTTCAGTCTTGCTACTTGTTATTGATATGTTCAGAGTTTCTATTTCTTCCTGGTTTAATTTAAGAGAATTGTATATTTCCAGAAATTTAGCCATCTCTTCTAGATGTTTTAGTTTGTGTGCATATAGATGTTCATAGTAGCCTGGAATAATCTTTTGTATGTCTGTAATATCAATTGCAACAGCTCTCATTTCATTTCTAATTGAGTTCTCTCTTCTTTTCTTGGTTAATTTCACTAATGGTCTATCAATTTTGTTGATCTTTTCAAGAACCAGCTTTTTGTTTCATTTATCTTTTGTGTTTTTTGTTTCAATTTCATTTAATTCTACTCTAATCTTTGTTATGTTTTGTCTTCTGCTATGTTTCAGTTTGTTTTGTTCTTGTTTCTCTAGTTCCTTGAGGTGTGACCTTAGATTGTCTCTTTGCACTCTTTCAGACTTTTTGATGTAGGCATTTAATGCTGTGAACTTTCCTCTTAGCACCACCTTCGCTGTATCCCAGAGGTTTTGATAAGTTTTGTCATTATTATTATTCAGCACAAATAATTTTTAAATTTCTATCTTGATTTTATTGTTAACTCAATGATCATTTAAGAATAGATCATTTAATTTTCATGTATTTTTATAGTTTTAAGGGCTCCTTTGGAATTAATTTCCAGTTTTATTCCACTGTGGTCTGAGAGGGTACTTGAAATTTCAATTTTCTTGAATTTAATGATTTTAGGCATTGTTCTTGGTCTTAAGTTTAATAGCAAACACAAAGCATGTATATTATCACTATACTAATTTTCAAAGGTTTTTCTTTAACATTTAGAACCATAACAACAAATACACACATTTAGTGTTTATAAAAACTTAACTATGTCTTTATTAATAACTTTATTATAAAATTTAATAATCCATGTTTTTCAAAATAAGTTTGTAGCAAATCCAGCTTCCCAAAAACACTAACAGTTAAGTGTGTTAATGTACTAAATAAATCATTCCCTTGTACCCATAAAAAATTTAGTGTTATTGCCCTTCACCGTAAAAAAAAAGACTTTCATTTTTAAAATGAAATTAAAAAATATTACACACTTAGCCCTTTTGTAGTGTATACACTAACATTAGTTTATACACTACTTTTGCCACTAAAAAGTGCAAGTTAAAATGTCCCTCAGTCATATGGCTCTAAAATATATCTTTCATTCATAAGTTCTGCTCAAATAATTAAATAGTTTGCCATCTAGGTTATTTTTATTTATACTATAAAACAAAAGCAAACAGTTCCAGTTTAATTTTTATACTTAAAATATTGCACATTTTCTGTGTATAAGTCATTCAAATTAGTATCTATATAAATTCAGTCAAATCCAACCATAAATTCAAGTTATTATGCTATATAACCCTATAAAATACATAAAAACATTATTACTTTGCTTTTATAACAAAACCCAAAAGTCTGTTTCAATTTTCAAATTCAGCATTTAAACAAAAAATTTTAATTCCCGAAGTTAAAAAAAGACAAAACAATAAAAAATCAGGCCTTAATGCCACATATTTTTCACTTAAAGTTATAAAATAAAGTTTCCTGCTTTCCAAAACACTTTATTATATTTCCCTTATAAACCTAATTTTCTGTGTCAAAGTATAATTCTCATGCTAAAGCTCTAGCCTAAAAAGGCAAAAAAAAAGTTGTCTTTATTTTTCAAACATATTCATCACTTTAACAAAATAATAAAAAAATTTAAATTTAGGCTAAGTAAAAATACTGTTTCAATAAGCATGTACCTAAAATAAACCAAAATTAGTAGTTAATTCAGGCATCTAAAAAATCTCAGTTCCCACCAGTGAAAATATCCTAAGTGGCTAGTGCACCTTAAAAAAAAATCTAGCAGCTGGGCGCGGTGGCTCACGCCTGTAATCCCAGCACTTTGGGAGCTGAGACGAGCGGATCATGAGGTCAGGAGATCAAGACCATTCTGGCTAACACGATGAAACCTCGTCTCCACTAAAAATACAAAAAATTAGCTGGGCGTAGTGGTGGGCACCTGTAGTCCCAGCTACTCAGGAGGCTAAGGCAGGAGAATGGCGTGAACCCAGGAGGCAGAGCTTGCAATGAGCTGAGATCGCGTCACTGCATTCCAGCCTGGGAGACAGAGCGAAACTCTCCCAGAGCGAAACTCTGTCAAAAACAAACAAACAAACAAAAAAACAAAAAAAAAACTAGCTTACTAAATAAATAATGTTTATGTAAAATCCAAAAGCTAAGTAAGCCTTGCCTTTACACCACTCTGTAACTACAAAAATAAAGCCAGCACTTTTAAAACTAATAAGCCTTCACTTATCAGTATCATAAAAAGTATTCCCCAACTAAACTTGGCTTCCACTGGTTCAGTAATTACTTATTTGTACCTTCCAATTTTACCCAAGTATTTACATCATCTATCTTAGAGAATGTTCCATGTGCTGATTAATACAATGTGTACTCTGCAGTTGTTGGGTAGAATGTTCTGTAAATATCTGTTAAGTCCATTTGTTCTAGAATATACTTTAAGTCCATTGTTTCTTTGTTGACTTTCTGTCTTAATGACTGTCATGTGCTGTCAGTGGAGTATTGACATCCCCACTATTATTGTGTTGCCATCTATCTCATTTCTTAGGTCTAGTAGTAATTATTTTATAAATTTGGGGGCTCCAGTGTTAGGTGCATATGTATTTAGAATTGTTATATTTTCCTGTTGGACTAATTTATTTATCATTATATTATGCCCCTCTTTGTCTTTTCTTTTTTTTTTTTTTTAACTGTTGTTGCTTTAAAGTGTTTTGCCTGATATAAGGATAGCTATTTCTGACTGCTTTTGGTTTCTACTTGTGTGGAATATCTTTTTCCACCCCTTTATCTTAAGTTTGTATGAGTTCTTATGTGTTAGGTGAGTCTCTTGAAAACAGCAGATACTTGGTTGGTGAATTTTTATGCATTCTGCAATTCTGTATCTTTTAAGTGGAGCATTTAGGCTGTGAAATTCAATCTCTACTAAAAATGCAAAAATTGGCTGGGTGAGGTGGCAGGTACCTGTAATCTCAACTACTTGGGAGGCTGAGGCAGGAGATTCATCTGAACCCCGGAGGCAGAGGTTGCAGTGAGCTGACATCGTGCCATTGCACTCCAGCCTGGGTCACAAGAACAAAACTCTGTCTAAAAAAAAAAACAAAAAAAAAAAAAAGAAAAAGAAAAAAAAGAAAATACATTCAATGTTAGTAATATGGAGATGGGAGGTACTGTTCTATTCATCATGTTAGATGTAGTGGCAAATTCTCACAGCATTTGTTTTTTTATCTGAAAAAGCCTTTTTCTCTCCTTCATTTATAAAGCTTAGTTTTGCTGGCTACAAAATTCTCAGCTGACAATTTTTGTTGTTGTTAAGGACGCTAAAGATGGGACCCCAATCCCTTCTGGTTTGTAGGGTTTCTGCTGATAAATCTGCTATTAATCGGATATGTTTTTCATGTATAGGTTACCTGATGCTTTTGCCTCACAGCTTTTATGACTCTTTCCTTAATCTTGAATTTAGATAGTCTGATGACTGTGGGTGTTGGTAATAATCTTTTTGTGATGAATTTCTTAGGAGTCATTTGAGCTTCTTGTGTTCTGATGTCTAGATCTCTAGCAAGGCCAGGAAAGTTTCCCTCAATTATTCCCTCAAATAAGTTTTCCAAACTTTAATATTTTTCTTCTTCCTTAGGAACATCAATTATTCTTAGGCTTGGCTGTTTAACATAATCCCAAATTTCTTGAAAGCTTTCTTCATTTCTTTTTGTCTTTGTCTGATTGGGTTAACTCAAAAGCCTTGTCTTTGAGCTCTGCTGTTCTTTCTTCTATTTCTTTTAGTCTATTGTTGAAACTTTCCACTGAATTTTGTATTTCTCTAAGTGTGTCTGTCGTTTCCAGAAGCTGTGATTATTTTTTCCTTATGATATCTATCCTCTGGAGAATTTTTCATCCATATACTATATTTTTAAAATTTCTTTAAGTTGGTTTGTTAGTAAAGAAACACCATAGGACATCATTATCTGCTTTGTAATATACACAAAATGTGTTGAAACTATATTATATTCTTAAGATAGAATTTCATGAAGTCATTATAATTATCTTTCAAAAGAGTTTATAGCCATGGAAACAGTGCTTATGACATACTATTGCAGGTCTTAGGTGGTTAATAAGGAAGAAAAATTGTAATTTCAAGTAAATGATTGACTAATCCATTTAGATTTAACTTAACTAAATAGGACTTGGTCAGAAGGGGTAGTCACAAAAGAGGCTTACATCCAATATTCAAAAAAATCAAGATACAGAACAAACCTTTGTAAAATAACCTCTACTAGGCTATAATACCAAGTACCCATAACAGCTGTCAGATTGATGATAAAACTTGTGCCTCCTACCCCCACAAATTAAAAGCTATAAGATTGGTCAGATTTAATAATAACAATCTTTACATAATGGACAAAGTGTACGAATGTAACCACCTTAGATGGATAATAAACTTAGGAAGAATCTTCTTGGATGTCACACTCATGACTTGGTCTCAGCTCCAATCTTCACTCATCAGTCTCTGCCCCCAGAGAAACCCTCTGTGTAGGTTGGAGAAGTAAAAGTATAGCTCTGGGAAGGAATAGGAAAGAATAAGATCAAAATAAGAAAGAAGATTATAGAGAAACAAATGGAAATTACAGTGTTTAACACTTTTTAAATGGTTTTAACATGTGTGTTGGTTGGCTTTATTATTAATTATAACCACTAGTGAGAATTTTGTGTGATGGCAAAGGTGGTTAACAAATTTAAAATAGTAGATTTAATTTGCAGTTCTTATAATTTGAAGCATTTGATTGAATTTGTAGTCAATGGCTAAAGATTAAAAAAGCTTATTAGTCTGCTAAATATATATTTTGTTGATTATGCAAGTGTTATGTTTACATTTTATAAAATATTTATGAAACATTAGATGTTTGTTTTAGTATTTATAAAACATTAGATGTTTGCCAAAAGTTACACAATACTGGATTCCTTTCTATTAGGAAACCATTCAGGCACAAATGGACTTATTAGCACACTATAGTGTGCTTTCAACTATTTTTTTAAATGCATAGGAATTTTAAAATAATGTATAGGGTAATGACTGGAAGAAAATACACTGAAATATGTACTTTTTTCAGTGTTATATCTCTGAAATTAATCCATGCTGTATATATATCATGGGTTTGCTCCTTCTTACTGTTGTGCAACATTTCGTTATATGAATATACCACAATTTATTTGCTCATTTTACTCTTGATGGGTTTGGGGGATATTTTCAGTTTTTGGAGATTGTGATTAAAACTGCTATGAACATTCTTGTTCATGTCTTTTGGTGGAAATAAGACTCCTTTTTGCTAGGGATACTCAAGAGTAAAACTGTTGGGCCATGGTGAATGTGTAGGTTTAGTTTTAGTAGGTACTAATAAACATTTTTCTTAAATGGTTATACCAATTTATGTTCTTGACTTTGTTCAAGAATGGTGTAGTTGTTCCACATCCTTCTCAAAACCTGATGTTGTCAACTTTTAAAAATTTTGTCATTTTGGCACATGTGACTTTAACTTGCTTTTCCTGATTTCTGATGATATTCAGCATATTTTTATATGGGGACTGGCCATTTGGCTATCCTATTTTATGAAGTGCCTGTTCAAGTTGTTTTCATGTTTTCAATTTGAGTTGTCTTTTTTCTCACTAGTTTTTAGTAATTGCTTGTATATTCTGGGGTATGTTATATTTTTGCTATGTAAATAACTACCCTAAATCCTTGTGACTTGAACATTTTGTTCTGCTCATAAAACCTTGTGGATTCAGAATTTTAGAAGTGTTCATCAGGGAAGTTTGTACCTGATCCTCATGGCATCAGCTTTAGGGGCTGGGGCTGAAAATCTACTTCCACATTGGCTTCTTTATCCATCTGGAACTTCAGTCCTCTGGCTTTTCCCAAGATGGTGGGCTGAACATGGTAAGCTTCTTAAATGGCTGTTGTGTCCAAGAGGCAGAAAGAAGAAGCTACCAGGTATATTAAGAATTTTTTCATAAACTGGCATTGACAGCATTAATTCTGCCATATTCTATTGGCCAAAGCAGTCATAGGGTTGGGCCAGACTCAAGGACGTTAGAGAAATAAACTTTGACTTCTCATGGAGGAGCTAAGTGATTTTGCAGAAGAGCATGTGTAACAAGAGATATTGTCATGGTTATCTTTGGAAAATACAAGTTCTTTCAGGGAAGAACAAGGCTTTTTAAGTAGAGATTTAAATGTGACTTTATGTTTGTTGACCAAATCAGCAAATTGTTTGACTGTATCATTATAACACTGACAAGTTACATAAATCAAGCCTCATCGCTCATACCTGCTTCTCTTTGGTCCTTCCGTCTTCCCTCCCTTCCTTCCTTTTTCTGTTTTTGTTTCCACTGTCCAACTTCCAAAACTCTTACATGCAGTTTTTGATAAACTTTCTTCATTAAGTCCAGAAGCTTAAGATTAATTGAAAATAAACATTGCCTCATCTTCATTCCCAACCTCAAGCAACAGACCTCTTTTTTCAAGGAATGAATAAAGGCTTACAAGAATTTTAATTTTTCAGAGTCAGAATCATTGCACAACTCCCTTGTTAATTTTGAAATTTCCACGATTTTCTTGGAGGATTGAAAGTGCAAGTAGCTATATAATCATGGCCTAATTTCAAACTTGAGACTTTTTTGTGTTAATTCTGAAACTAGTATTTATAAGAATAATTTAAATTTTCATAACAGAGATTATAATGTAGAATAATGGATTGAGAATAAAACAGTGTTAAGATTTTGCTTTGTCTCATTAAAGCTGTAATAACCCCATGAGGTTGTTTCACACAAGTAAATAGGATGATTGAGAGTTGGTAGTTATATTCAAACTACAGAGCTAGTAAGGACTGTACAGGGACTTGAAAACAGTACATCAGATTCTATGCTGTTTTTACTACCTAAATCTTCTGTATTAAAATGCAATATAAAACTGTTATTACAATGACAGGAAGATCCCTTCTTTCCAGTAAAAATATATGAGACACATCATCATGAGAAATGCATATTTGATGATGATGATAATAATAAATCATTTGGTTCTCTGTTATATTCAGTGAGAATATAATTGTTCAAAGTGGTGGCTAGGTGTGGTGGCTCATGCCTGTAATCCTAGCACTTTGTGACACTGAGGTGGGAGGATTGCCTGGATCCCAGGAGATCAAGAAGAGTCTGGGTAACATGGCGAGACCCTGTCTCTTAAGTTTTTTTTTTAATTAGATGGGCATGGTGGCTGAGGTGGGAGGATCGTTTGGGCTCAGGAAGTCAAGGCTGCCGTGAGCTAATATGGCACCACTGCACTCCAGCCTGAGTGACAGAGAAAGCCCCTGTCTCAAAACAAACAAACAAACAAACAAACAAAAAATATCTGCATTCTGAGGCCCTGAAAGTTCTTCAGTCATCAAAGAAATATTTAAACATTTCCTAATTAAGACAGAGGACTTAACTGGAAGCCACAATGTGTCAAGTACTGTGCTAGCCTCTATGAGACCCAGAAACATCGCTGGTGTGATCCCTGCCCTTCAGAACACATAAAATTAATTGGGGAGACAAGAACATTTGTTTGAAATAATTAAGGAATACTTATGTGGCATAAGTTGAGTAAGAACATGAGGTTAATAATTTTACAGATCATCAAAGTATGGACAATAGTGAGACACAGTGTAAGAGAAGAAATATGATATGTGTGCTGGACCCTTAAATGTTCAAATGTATCTGTGGAAACACTTGGTAGTTATAGTTATAGCAATCTTCCAAGGCTGAATCAAATTTCTTGCTTAGTCTCTGACAATATAACTTTTTGATGTCCCAAAGAGGGAACAGGGATGGGAAAGAAGGTCAGTCCTTCATTCCTGGGTCCTGGAGACTTGCCTATGTGAAAGGGTGGTGATTTGCATGTTGTCATGGGACAAGGGAAGAACCTGGGTTTGGTTGAGCATTGAGTTAGAAAAAGGTAAAAATTTCATTTAGAGTAAAAAGAGTGATCCCTCCAGTTCCATGGAATGAAGGTAGGAAAGGGGTGTCTTCTAGGACATGCTTCTTAAACCCAAAGGTGTATGAAATGCTTCTAAAGATCTTGTTTAAAAAATACTAACTCAGTGGACTTGATGTGGGAACTGGAGATTCTGAATTAAAAAAAAAATATCTCCTGTTGAGAAGAGCCAATGCAGGGAGAAGGTTCAGGAAATTTAGGGGAGGAAGAGGTTGGATTGGAAAGTGGGCTTGGAAAGAGGCATAGGGATGAAAGTTTTTGTAGTAGAATGAAGCATATATGTGGCAGGGAGAACAGAGAGTAGAGGTAGGAGCAGAGATGTTGTGGCTGTGAATCTAATGGCCCTAAGCTTCAGGGCTTCTTGCTTAATACAGTTGACATAGTAAGATATTTTTGAGCATCACTGCTTAAGATTATTGTCTTTTTCCATTCTCACTTGCGTTTTTGTCTGGCGATGCTAGAGTGGCTATGGGTATTTTGGGGATTCAAGTAGCGGAAAATTGATAGGGGATGCATTTGGTTTATTTTTATCAGGATATATTTATATGGTTTATCAGGATATATTTATATGGTTCACCTCCAGGCATAATTTATTGCTAGCCATCTCAGTGCAGTAGAAACTTGCAGAAATAATCATAGTTCCCACTGTGCCATCTTACACAGCAGTGTGACTAAAGATGCAGGGCCAGATGTCATATCATGATGTCAACTTTCCTAGTGCACTTGGGTACTAATAACTCTTAATTTCTGGTGAGATAGAAAAGAACAATTTCTGGTGAGATAGAAAAGAACAATCAAGCCTGGCCTAAATTATAGAAGACATCATGAAGGAAATGATTCAAACTGACACCTGCAGGATAAACCAGCATTTAGATAAGCAATTAAAACAAGCAAATCATGTGATGTGGGTGGAAAGACATGCACAATTCACTGTTACCACTTGTGGGACCAGACCTCAGAAATTAAAAGAAACAAAGCCTTGCCCTAGCAAATGTTTTGACTTAAGTTAGAAGTAGGCATGAGCATGCTATTCAAGCTTCTCTCTTAAAAGAAATGGAATGTCATGATTGAAGTCATAAGTTTTACTGGCTAGACTTTCAAGAGTAATAGCAATAGGTTATTGTATATGCACATTTAAAGGACAAATGATTCTCCTTCAATGGGAAATTATTTTAAAATTATACAATAAAGTGAAGGAAGAATTTGAGTCACTTTTTGCCAAATCAAACTACAAGGAATGTTCCAATATCAAAGTTTACCTGTACTTTCCCTGGCAGAAAAGCTGTTATTGAGATATATGAGCCTGGTTGTACAAGAAATAGTTCTACCAGTTCTGGGGAAATCATAACTCACAGTAATTCAGTCCTCCTGAGATCTTGGCAGAAATCAAATGTTACTTCACAACAGCTGTGCAATCTTCATGGGTTACCTCTGTAAATGGTCAATGATGAATGGCAAAAGGGAACATGGGGTTTTGATTTAGTTGAAAAGGTCCTAACTGACATAGCACACCTGTGAGTACAGCTCTGTATTTTGGGAATAGCAACAAATGTTTTTGATTCTTTGGTCCCTGAACATCTAGTTAAATTTATTGACTGGATAACTGAAACAAGACGACTGTGGCATCTCAAAACATTGTTGAAATTTTGGGATTTTTTTTTTTTTTCAAATCTCAGAGCCAAAATCATCACTTCATTTTGAGCACCAAATGATCTCAGTATGACATTTAGCCTGACATTGATCTTTAAATGTAAAAGCTTAAATTATCTCAGTTCATGTTAACTCTACTGTCTTGCCAAATACTGCTACCTTCTTGGGATGACTTGAGCCTGGAGGAGGAGTAATTTGTGTAATAGAGTGGCACTAGGGGCATGTGATTTGCTTTTAAACTACCTTACTGGGATCTCAAGAGTAGAGTTTGATTCAAATTGTTATTATATCTGTCTGTCTTCAGGGCATCTTCCTAAATAAATTTGTTTAGCAATTAATGAGGATATATGGGTCTTTGGCTCTTGAATTTAGAACTTTAAGACAAAACATTTCAAGTCTATTTTTTTCCCCAGTGCCGTTTTCCTTCACCTAAGGTGATAGTTAAAATATTTAACAACTAGGATGGCTGGACATTGACCAATAAAAGGGGCACAAGGGTAGGGGCATGGTGGCCACAAAGCAGAAACTTAGAAACTTTAGTGCCTGAACAAATTGGTCCATTGTTCTATTTAAAATCATTACAACCATTTACAGTCAGAAAAACTTACATACATAACCAAGTTCACATTACCAGCTGTTAGCAAATGAGGATAGGAAGCATGGACTTACAACTCACTAAGGCTGAGGTCCAGTGGAGAGAACCTTGGTTTGATCAGGGTTTGCATCTGAGGTCTACCACTTAGTATAATACTAACATACGAGCCAATGAGAACAGTGATTGTGTCTATATTAATCCATTCACTAAATATTTATTAATCACCAACATGTACCTGACTTTTAAACTAAACCTTGAAGGACAAGTCAATAAGCATATTTCAGATACTTAATATATATTTGTTGGGTGACTTGAATTTTGAATGACAATGTTATCTGTATCATAAGGAGAAGGTAGATTAAATGACAGGACATTTTGGTACCTGGAAGATAGTAAGCACTCAATACATGTTCAAAGCATATTTATTAATTTATTTGATTTTTTCCATGTTACTGCATTCTTTCTTAATATTTATACATATTTACAATGCATTAAACATATATTTCTCTAGCTTGTACAGATTTTTGATAGTCTCTCTCTTTCTTTCCCTCTCTCTTGGATTCAATAAACTGGTTTGTGGTTACAATAAACTGACATCTATACATCTAAACCTCTATTTATGAATACCCATATCATAAATTTTCACTCAGGCAATAAATCTTTATTGAGCTCCTACTCTTAGCTCTAGCATTTTCCAGACCTTGTGAGAAATAAAATTTATAGGGCATAGTCAATGTGCTTGAGTTATATTCAGTCCTGAGACCAAGTAAAACTTATATGTATACCTTAGTGCAGCATTTTCTAAATTATTTACTTTGCAATACTAGTGAGTTTGCAAGATATTCACGGACAAATACGCTGATAAAACTCTATGTTAAACATTTTTTAAATTATAGGACTTTAGTGACCTTTCAATATCTTATGACTTGTGAAAGTCTAGAGGTGATTATGCAGTGACCTTGAAACATACATTTTACCAGAATGCCTATTCACATTTATCAGGATGCTAGTATTCCACAGAACTCACTTTGTGAAATGATGTAAGAGCTGGAAATAAAAAACACCTGGGCACTCATCATTTCTCTGCCACCACACAATTACGTGACATTAGGTAAGTTGCTTAACTTTTCTGTGACTCTCATTCAACTTTTAAACAGGGATTGTAAAGTGATACAACACAGAAGAGAAAGTAAGAAGACAAATGTGAAAGTAATTTTGAAAAGCTAAATTGGTATATAATTGTATGTCTTTTATAAGTGAACTGGAAGAAAATAATAGATGATTTCTAGAATCGTACTAGAAACTAGTTTATTGTGTGGTTTCTGCTGAACCATTTCCTGTGATGATCATGAAAACTCTTTAAAACATTGCTTTTGGTAAAACGTATAAGAATAGCTATAAATTGTCAGGCAAGGGTTATAATGATTGTAAATTCATCAGTATCTGCATAAAAATGATTCTGGTTTCTGCACTATTAATCTGGCAACTTGGTAGAAAACCTTCAGAAGCAGATGGGCCATAGTCTCTAAATAGTTTCACATAAAATTGGACTCATATGTAGAAACAGGCAGCATGATGTAATTCCTGGCTAGTCTTCATAAAACAATAACGTGTTTCACTTAACTCCCAATGCATATTCAATTATAGGGTTTTTTTCCTATCAAAAGACAATATGTAATAGTTTTGAAGTTCTTTATAGAATCATTGAATAAGACCAAAATAATTATTTCTCCGTTCTGTGAGATACGTATGGAAACATGTTTTAGATGAACAGTTTCAGGAGAACAGAAATTTTTCTTACAGCACGTCACAGAAAAATCTTTACTGTTATGATGGGTGGAAAGATTCCCCAAAACATTACTGGTGTCTTGACTTGGATTTTTAATTATCTCTGTGGTTTTCCTAAAATGCAATCATAGCCAGCAAGGCAAACAATTACAGGGATGATATACTAATCCCCAGAAAGCGAGAAGTAAGGCACATAAAGAAAGCAATGGAAGCGTCACAGATGCTCAATAACTAGAATGAATAAGATGAGTAGGCACAAAAGGCAATGCTTGCCTATGCGAGGAAGATAGAATGCTGCATTAAGAAATTCAGGATGAGTTAGATAAGAATTTTAGCTTTCTCACTTTCAAGCTATATGGTCTTTGGGGAAAGCCACATGGTATCTGAACCCTAGTTTTCTATCCTATAATATGGGGATACTATTATCTACTTCAGAGGTTGAAATGAGAAATGAGAAAACAAATCAATAATAGTGGCTGGCATATAGTAGGCCATATGTTCATTTCAGAAGATGTGTTTGGAGGAGAAACTCTTGCTCTTTCAGTAAGAGTAGCAATACTCTCATTAATTGTACCATTCATTTTACATGCACAATTTTAATGAGAAATTAAGCCCTTTGAAATCTTTGGGAGTGACAATAAAGTAACATAAGAGTGCAGTGTTTACTGTGAATATGCCAAACTCTCCCTTCTCTTGCACGTGTGGGACTTCTAGATTGGACCAGGAAACTATAATGTTTTGTTCTACCTTTTGAGACCACCCAGGAGATCAAGCTGGAACAGGAGACTGTGGCTCATTTCTCTGGATTGGGAGCCAAGAGGAACCTATTACACATCTGCTCTGCTGTCTGTCCTGAGTACCTAGTCTTTCTGTATAGTGTAGTTCCAAGAAGTGGACCCAAAGTCTGAGCCACATGATTTTAAGATTGTCTGTCTTCGTGAAGTTTCTCTTCATTATTCGGAACCAGGGACTCCTGGCCCTCTCAAAGCTATAAGAACCACTTTCTTACATTTTGCCTATAAGCAATGTCTGCTTAAAGGTTTTTCATTAAATGGACCACTCCAGAAGTTAATTAATACATGTTTTCATGATTTTTTTTAAAAAAAGATCCTCCAAATCTTTGTTATCTAACATATTAAAGACTCTACCCTTGGGCATAGGGTCATATTTAGTGGAATGCTATCCTTCTGGTTTACTGAAGGCAATAGCACCTCACAGGTAACAATCGGAAGACAACGTCGTACACTTAACCAGGTACTCTGGAGTATTACAGATCTGAGCTCAAATTGCAGATCCACTAGTTACTGTTTCTATTACACTGAAGAAGATGCTTTACTTCTCTGAATGTCACTTTCCTAATGAATAACATGAAGATAGTAGTATCTTGTATATGACTGTTGTGAAATTTAAACAGGAAAATACATATTAGATTGGAAAGCAAAATGCCTTGGTCGTACTCTCTTCAATTACTGTTAGCTATTCTGATGATTATAATAATAATTCTTATATTTTTGTTAATAATAAAATTAGGCATAGCGAGAGAAATATAAAAATGCTTTTGGATAAGTTGAGTTTGGGAAAGGAGAAGGTGTGAGCATGATTAGAAATTAGTGAAATAATTTTAGTTTCTGAAAATAGATGAAAAAATTCCAGAAAATGTAAATAAATATATAATGAGAAGTCTGATATTTCCCCAAAAAGTTCCCTAGCTCTCCTTTATATTTCCTATAGGAAATATATATGTATATATATACAATAACCTTATATATATTTAATATATCTATTAAAAACACTTCGGAACAAAGGATAGTTCTCCAACTCAGCTACTTGATATAGTTCATGAGCAATTGTATCAAAGATAATTTAGATTTTCATTTTGTTGCATTTTTAGGTTAAAAATGATTTCAGCAATGTTCTTAGAACCCCTCTTTCTTGTATTTGTATACAAGGTGTTTTTTTCAAATTATTTGGTATTTTTCAAGGATTTAAGAAAATTATTCTTTGTATTGGTGAATTTTAGAAAGTGAAATGAAGTGACTATTTTGTCTTCTAAGGTTTACAAAATTTGCTAACATAAGCAGAAAAGTCTCTAATTTCTATTATAGTTGATTTCTTTCAAAATATGCTAATTCTGAAGTTACATTTTGGTCTAATTGCTAGATTGAAAATATCTGTTAATGTGTCTGAAATGTCATTTTTGATAAACTTTTGTACTTTACTGCATCTGAAAATGAAAAACTCCATAAAACTTAGAGATTTTCATATATAGTATCTTTCTTCAAATCCCACAACTATTTGACTAAATATATGATTTCATAAATATAAACATAATATTTTCAAGTTTTCCATGATTAAGTTACACTGTAGATACATGATCCCATAATCTCAGTTTCTGAATCTCTAGTTACATAATGATTACAGTTAGTGGAATAGACACTAAAACATTTTTTTATTTTTAGATTGCAGTTTAGAAATAGGATGATTTTTGTGGGCATTCAGTATTGTAGTATTTTCAAGAGTAGAGAAAGCTACTTGGATATTATATACTGAGACTGAGGTTTCACCTAATATATTCAGATAATTGCAGTAAGTTTTTTTCTGCACCTAATTTGCTTTAATCATCCAGTTTGCTGTTCTTAGAGCTACAATCCAATACTGAATTTTGCTGAAATTGCTCTTGTGTGACAATCACAGGCATGTCAGACCAACTTAGCCCATGTTAAATTCATTAGTCTTATTATTTGCTTTATATTTCGTGAAAAATATAATGCCTATCTTGGATGTCTAGTAGAGGTTTCCTTTCTTTTCTACCCTATTTCCTTTTTCACTCTACTTTACCATGTCAATATTCACCATGAAGAAAACTTAGGGTGTAATAAAATCTGAAAAATAAGACCTACTCTTTTCTGATTTTATATGCCATTTGTGGAAAGTAGACAATAATCAGTGTAGTCATGAAGTCATAAATATAATGCCACCTCTATAATAAAACTTGCCTAAAACTATGATCTATCTCACTTTTGAATGATTTTAAGAATGGTCTCTCATTATCATTCTTAATCACAACCTCTGTGAAAAGTGATTTGATGTATCTATTAGGCACCATACAATTTTGCATTTTTGTGAGCCAGTTTTTTGGTCTGCTGGAAATTTATACCCTATGTGAGAGCAAATGATACCTGCTCAAACATATTTACTGTAGTATTTAAACTAGCAAAACTTGTAAACAATAAAATTGCCTACAGTGGAGTGGTTTCGGTGGCTCATGCTTTTTCAATTTGATGACATTAAAGAGCCATTAAAAATGGTAGTCATGCAAATTATAATACAATGCCTGTATCTATGATAAAATGCTTAATGTTTGATATAGAATCAAAACAGAATTTATTCCTGTTCACAACTATGAAACTATTCATATAGGGAAGAGAATATGAAAATTGAAGACTGCTACAGATGGATGATAGGTAGCTTTTCTCTCTTTTGTCCCTCTTCTCCCTTTTTCCCTCTTGCTCCCCCTCCCTTCCTTCCTTCTCTTGTTTTTATCTCTAGAATTATTAAATATTATTTGTGAAATACATAAAATTAGAGGAAAATGGATATATCATATTTCTCTCTTTAAGATATGTTATCCAAAAAAATTTCTGTTTTGTCTACATATGAATAGATAATAGATTTGCTTTATAATATCAGATAGTGGCAATCTTTTACCTGAAATATTGAATATTAAGATAAACATGCAAATATTTTTGTTTTAATTACTCATATAGTTGCCTTTATTTTTTATGCCAGTATCTTTGGATTAAAATAAAGGAAACAATCAGGCAACTGTATAAACATTCAGAACAAGCAATTGATCAAATTTTCTAAATTAACTGTTTCAAAGACTACATAATACCAAATTAAACTGGATAATATAGTAAATCCAATTAGCAAAAATTGGTTTCAGAGACCATATTTAACATCAATACATATTTTCCAGGTCAAGCAGAATGTTTTTGATCCAGGAACTGTCAAAAAAATATTTTGAAGGCTAGATTCCAAACATCTGTATCGTGTCTTATGTTAAAATCTTCTAATTCTCTTTGGCTATTTTGTAATCTTGTTAGAAATCTCCAATTTAGAGACAGGGATGGTACAAAAGGGATGCTTGACAAGACAGCCAAAGTCCTGAGTTCCAAATCCAGTCGGGCACACACTCTGTCACTGACCTTGGACAACTTATCACATCTCTCTGAAACTTGTGTTCTTCAATCGTGAAATCAAAGAGATAGTCTATAATCTCTTTTAGGATTTGAGATCACAATATTCACCAATAGGACTTCAAAATTAAAGGCCATATTTGGACCTGCTCTTTCCCATAAACGGAGTAGATGGTGACCTACTTAGTTCACAGAAAGGACTCTGGGCCAAAAAATATCTGTCTTTATAGTCTTAGAAACTAAAAGCTTCTTAAGGACGTCAGCTGAATTAAGGTATATTATTTTCTGAGAATATTCATTTGCTAAATTTTAGCAGATATGAGGTTCCTGGTTAACCTCTCATCTTTTTTCCTCAGTAGGAATTGGGGGATCTGAGATCCCAATAGATTTGGATGGTAAACAGAGTCTCAAAATATAGAACATTGGCAGGCTGATGGCAGTCCTTGTATGTTTGGGGAAATGGAATTTAATAGGAAATATGATTGGAAAGAAATAGAAACAACAAGACAACACAATTATTTCAAAATATTGCATTCTACTAGCCCTTTCTGGTCCAAGAGAAAAGTGAGCAAGGAAGCCTAGTGGTTTTGAGGGATAGCCTCTGAGAGGATCATATTAACAGAAGTGAATCATAAATTTTGTAAACATTAAAGCAATCTCAGACTTTCAAAGAAAGAAAGATATACTTAATTAGGTAAATCGTCTCCAAAATAAAGTCACATTGTTCTGTTCTGGGCCAGAGTATTTTTCCTTGTTTGTTTGTTTTCCCCGGCCCAAGATCATATATCTCTTTCAATCCTTCTGAACACATTTTATTTCCAAATTGCATGAAATTTTGTTGTAGAAACATTCCCACAATTTGCTTTCTTCCAGCTTGGCTTCCTTGTAAAGCAAACAGCCCATTTTACCTCAAATGACTGTAATAGTAAATGCCTGGTTGGCAATGAAGAACAGCTTGTTAATATGAGAAGGTAGCAATTATTTCCCAAGTGAAAAGGGGCCTTACTATGTTCTTTTTGTAATCATCACTGGTAAAGTTCCTTAGAACTCTGGTAGAAATAACACATTATCAGAAATTTTTCTTGCTTTTCCCAACATATGCACATGAAAGTATTACCTGGGCATGCTGGAATAAAAAAACTCACTAAGCTTTTAGAAATTAATTCTCTCCACTCATGCTTTCATTTTCTATGGATAATCTATCTCTAATTTTAAGTTCAACTGAAAACCAAACGGCAAAGTCAACTGAAAACTGGAATTTCCATTCACTAGGAAAGGTTGCACAAGAAAATATGAATTGCCTTTCATTTTCCCAGCACTATTAACATTTATTGGGAGAGATAAAATGCTAATAAAGTGAAATTCTATCACCCACCAGCTATTCTGTCTAAATAGAGGCATAGAGGTTAAATTTTGTCAAGTAAACTTTATTGGCTTTCCTCATAGTTGATTCAAATAATTCAGCAAGACTTGTGAAGTTTATAAATTTTAACAGGTAGTTGTATTATCTTCTAAGTTTTCATCTTCATATACAACAGCTCAAATAATAATTTACACAGAAGAAAATAAATAGTAATAGACTGTAACAGTTAAGAATTGCATCCAGGTGTTTGAAGGATTACATTTTATAGAAAGCTATTTGTATCAAGTTTATAAAAGGCAAGTTTCAAAACTGTATAATGCAATAATTTCATATTTTTAAATATATATGCACACCAAATATGCATAAATATATAAAATAAAACTACCAGTAATTTCATCTGATATATATGCACAAAATATCCATTCTAAAATTTTGTATTCTAAAATTTCTGTATTAAAAATGTATCAGTGTTATAATAAAAATGAACAGTAAAAATTATATTCTTAAAACTAAAATCATTACAATGGTTGTGAATTTTTACAGGTATTTTATATTTCGATATATATAGTATAATCTTGAATAAATTAATCGAACACATTTAAAAAGAAAAAAATTTTCACTCACAAATCAAAATGGTGTTTATTACTCCTGTAACTTTCTAACATGCACTATTGCATGTACTTCTTTTTAAATAAATTTTGCATTTAAATTCTAATAAAAATTATTCCTTTTTTTAAAAAGGTATTTTAGTTGGAAATAATTTCAAACTTGTAGAAACATTGCAAGAATAAGAATAGTATATTGAATACTCAAATACCCTTTACCCAGATTTACCTGTTGATAACATATAGCCCTATTTGCTTTAAAATTTTCTCTCTATCCTCCTCTCCTTTCCCCCTGAACTACATGAAACTAGGCTGCATACACTATGTCCCTTTACTTCTAAATATTTCAGTGTATATTTCATCAGGATAAAAATATTCTCTTACGTAACCACAGAATAGCTATTAACTTTAGTTAGTTTAACTTTGATCCAGTACTTTTCATCTACAGCCTGAATTCAAATTTTGTTGATTGGCTCAACGATGATCTTTATACACACTGAACTGTGGTATCTCAGTGAAACAATCAGATGAAACGTTCTGTGGTATCTACAATGAAGTTGTTGAAGATGGTGCCCGCCGTATTCCAGGGTGTTGCCTTTATGAGGATCCACAGTAGAAATATCCGTGCACACTGAGAAGCTTTGATGTTTATTTTGGCTACCAAGGAATTAAAGCCAGAATTAGATGACAAGTCTGACAGGGATGCGTGGTTTGTTTTTCTCTGTGCTATCACCATAACTTGTTTTCTTTCTTTTTGTTACAGTTTTCCTATCTAATTACTTTACCCTTTAATACCGGTTTTACAGTTGCTTCAAAACCGGAATAAAATTGGATGTAAGTAAACAAATAAATAAACCAAATACATACATATATACATACACATGTACCTAACTGGATGAAGGAAATGCCACACATGTAATTCTAGACCTAAGACGAATACGTCTCCATGTCCTAACCACGTTTGTGGGGGTAGCATCTTGTCACATACTGCTTTCCCCATCAGCTGCTCACATTTCCAGCAGAGAATCAAGCATCATAATCACATTTTCTCTGAAGGCTGTCTCTCTGACTCTCTTAGCAACTTCAAGATTCCCAGGATCCCAATTAAGTATCTCATTTCAGCAGACTGTTGCCAACTCTAAGAAGGCACACACAGGTGACACTTAGATGTGTGGGCATAGCAAATCCTCTCCACAGTTTGAGAGTAAAGAAGGTTTTATGGCATTGGTTTTGCTAAATATAATTCCCTTTCATGTCTCAGGCCCCTTCTAAGCTATTCCATGAAGACTAAAGTACTCATATGTAAGCCAATTGCAGGAAGTGGAGACATTTCAGGCTTTCATAACAATGGCTTTTGTTTTCCATTTGGAAATCTTTTGGTCAAAATCCTAAATGGAGCTGATTCAATCCAGAACACTCTGGCAATGAAAAATCACAGACTGCTAGATCAGGTAAAGAAAAATGATATTTGGGCTGGGCATGGTGGCTCACGCCTGTAATCCCAGCACTTTGGAAGGCCAAAGCAGGCGGATCACGAGGTCAGGAGATCGAGACCATCCTGGCTAACACCATGAAACCTCATCTCTACTAAAAATACAAAAAATTAGCTGGGTGTGGTGGTAGGCACCTGTAGTCCCAGCTACTTGGGAGGCTGAGGCAGGAGAATGGTGTGAACCCGGGAGGCGGAGCTTGCAGTGAGCCGAGATAGCGCCACTGCACTCCAGCCTGGGCGACAGAGCGAGACTCCATCTCAAAAAAAAAAAAAAAAATTTAGAAAAGATTTCCTTTCTAAACAACCAATCTCCTTACAGGTGAGGGATTGTTCTATGTGTGGGAAGTTCCATGCTGTCCTACATAGTGTTGTCTCTATGGAAAAAGTAAGAGATTTGAATGGTTTCATTGATTTTTTACTTGTGACTGAATTTGATGGCTTAGAAAATATAGCCACACTCATGACCTTCCCCCATTTTCACAGCAACCCTGTGAGTAAACTACAACATGAATTATGATTCCTACTTTGTAGACGAGAAAATTGTGACCCAGTGAGTTTAAAGCTGTCCAAGATTAGGAAAGGTCTGCCTGCACTTAATTTCTTCTATTGCGAGCCCCAAACCAATCACATAACTTACTTATTTTGCTGACGACATTATTACATTTTTGGTCTTCCAGGAAAAAAACCAAAAAACAAAAAACAAAACTTTAGATTAACCTTCCTTTTTCTTCTTCGGCACTCTCTACACTTCGCGAAGAAGCCAAGCACTGTTGTCTCTGCCTCCCAAATGTCCCTCCATCTGTTCCTGCCTTCTGTTACTTCATTACCCTCTGACTACTATTGCCTTGTTACAGTGGCCCTAAATTATAGTAACCATTTTCTATCTAGTCATCCTGCTACCAGCTTTTCTGATTCCAATGCAAATCTGCTGTCAGAGTGGTCTTTTTAACACAACAAATAATCATGACCTTTCCTGCTTTAGAATTCCTAATAGATTTTTACTGCAAGTAAAAAGCAGATTTCTTAAGCTGCCAAGCAGAGCCATCAACTAATTTTATTGATTTATAATTTTATTTTTCACGATGCATATATTCTCAACCTGTAACTTTTATTACAAAAAACATATTCAACTTACTATTCCAAAATCATTATGCATTCTTTAGCTGTTGGATCTTTACTCAAGTTATTCATGCCATTCCCAAACCCCATCCTTAAGGATTTAGCCCAAACATGCCTCCCGCATAGTAGCTCCTATATTTCTCCAGCTGGAATTCATCTCCTTCTTTCATATACTCCCATGACTCTTAGTTCAACTCCTATTTTAACATTCTCTGGAATCCAAACTTTTAATAATTATTTCTATATGTCTGTCTTTCATACCAGACTACAAATTCTGTAAGGACCCGAGACCTGAGTCTATTTTTCATCTTTCCCTACATCCACTTCAGTGCTTTGCATTAATTAGTGTTCAATAAATATTTGCCAAGGTAATTTACTTCAGGATGTTAGGATTTGGATTAAGCCATTGCCTCCATTTATATTAAAGTGAGGATGTCACCTGAAAGAAGCAATATATTCACCAAGTGCATCCAATTTTCTCTAACTAAGGTTAGGCTGTCAGAACAACAAAAGGCAGAACAATGTTCTGAGAGACTGGAAGAGGAAACAGGCAAATTAGAGATGGGAAGGTTTCGTGTCAGCGGCATTTTTGGATGGCTCAGGATGAGAAAAGAGGGCCTAAAAAGAGATACAGAAGCCCACAGGGGAAGTACTATGTAAAGAAGTGCGGGAGGGAAGGACAGAAGGAAGCTAGCATTTTTTTTGTAAGTGTCAATCTTTTATCAGACACTTTAGCATAGGTTTGTATTCGACCCTCACATTGCCATGAAGAAAAGGTATTCTTATGCCAACTACAGATTTATGTATTAATAGAGAGACTGAAACTCAAAGAGGTTTAGTGAATATGAACCCAAGTACATTTGCTCCTACAGCCTTTGTTCTCTGCCATGTTGACTTGGATAAAACAGATGCTTGGCAGAGGAAGAGCAGAGGTGCTCAAAAGGCACAAACAGAGGATGGTGGAAAGGACTACCAGGTGTCAGTGGGAAATTCTTTTTCATTTATGACTCTACCTTTGATTTTTTTTTTTTGGAAGAATAAAAGAAAGTGTATTCTGACAAAAAGAAATAAACCTTAAATCAGATTTCAAACACGCAGCTCATTAAGGCTCTGCCCTTTTCCCCAAACAAAGCTTTTGCATTTCCACTTATACATTCTACAGCTTGTCCTGGATATGGGGAGCATGGGGTGGAGAGGAGGTGGACATGGTGAGAGAGGAGGGATTTTTTTTTTTATGCAACCACATTCTTTTATGGAATGAACTATGATGTGAAAATTAGTCTTGCATCTTTTAGATCATAAATCTGAGTGGGGCATGTTGTCTTGGCAAAAACCAGTAGCAACGTGCTAAGTGTTTATTGCCAAAAGCAATAGCATCATGACAGCAGATAATTATGAACAGTGCTGGTGAGCAGGGCTGGGAGGAGATGGCTTTGAGAGAGTGAGAGTAGGGGCTCTGGCTGAAACCAATCCAGACTCTCAAATCCTTCCCACTGATCTGCCTTGAAGCTCAATCCGCTTTCTTCTTTATAAAGAGCAAGGATTTGGGCCGAGCGCGGTGGCTCACGCCTGTAATCCCAGCACTTTGGCAGGCCGAGGCGGGCGGATCACGAGGTCAGGAGATCGAGACCATCCTGGCTAACACGGTGAAACCCCATCTCTACTAAAAATGCAAAAAACAAAACAAAACAAAACAAAAACAGCCGGGCGTGGTGCCGGGTGCCTGTAGTCCCAGCTACTCAGGAGGCTGAGGCAGGAAAATGGCGTAAACCCAGGAGGCGGAGCTTGCAGTGAGCGGAGATCGTGCCACTGCAACTCCAGCCTGGGCCACAGAGCGAGACTCCGTAAAAAAAAAAAAAAAAAAAAGAGAGAGAGAGAAAAAAATGATTTCTTCTCTGGAGAGAAGAAATCTCTTGAGAATCATCAGAAACCAGAGATGAACTGGTGATCAAGGGTGAGGGGGTATTTTATTTTTAATGCTTAGCTCAAAGCATCTTTATACTCCCAAACCTGTAAAACGTGTTGGCATTCCAGTGCAGGTTCCTGAGGACCCTTATTATTTAGAATCGTTCATCCAATTTTCTCTCATGATTTCCAGTGGACACATTTTATTAGGTGCAATAGCTGGATCCTGCTGTCTCTTTCTTTTGGTCTGGAGTCAGCTTATGAATGAGGGCAATTCAACCTCCACAGCATAGTTGGGAGAAAAAAAATCTAATAAATTCAGGCTGTGAGGGAAAATTCTGCTCTGGGTCTCCCTTTCATGGGGAAGAGAGAAGAAAAGAGGCAGTCAGCCTGCTACCTGGCAGTCGTCTGGAAGCAGGGTGTCGTCTGGACGTAGCGTTTCCTGCTGGAGTTAAACAGGCCCTCTGTTACATAAGACCCTGCTGGCATTGCTCTCAGGCCACACCCCAGCCCTGCTCTCAGGAGCTCTTGCCTTGATGCTTCAATGCTTACTTCATTTCAACAAACCCAAGACTGCTTTTTATCTGAACCTATGCCTTTCCTGGAGCATATTCCTTTAAGAGTAAATGAGGCATAGCCACCACCAGAACATTCGTTGATGTAGCCTCATCAGGGATTTCAACGTTCTAGCAAGTGAATTGCCCACATAAATCATGATTAACTATTTGATCTGTAGGGGAAAATATTCATTCAGAGAAGACCAACATCTTCCTTTAAAGGCATTACCTACTTTCTTCTTAGAACATTTGGAATGTAATTCATTGCTCTCCTTCATGACCTGAGGTCATAGTTAAAAGGTATTGATTTATTGCCCTGTGTGATATAATGATTTCCTAAGGCAGAAATGAGAGGCAAAATATTTAGTAATGGCGAGTAATAGAACTAACCAGTCAAATTGGATGATGGCCATGAACAACCCATTTGGTCTAATTAGTGAGCCCTTGGAGATGATCAGCTCTGTCCTTGGGGCTTAGTGGCCTCAAACTTAATGTTCCCTTCTCACTAACATTTATCAAATATCTACTTGTCTTAGCTAATTTAATCCTCAAATGACATTATGATACAGGTGAAAATGTTTACATTTTATAGAAGAAAAAAAGGCTTAGAAAGACCAAGCATCTTGCCTAATGTCATACCACAGCTAAGGTGCAAGACCAATATTTGGACATTCCTTACTTGCTTGAATCAATGTCACCTACAATACACTGCCTCATTCATTCCTCTTGCTCCTAGTTTGCTGTAGAGAAACTGCCTGTCAAGCATATTAAATAGGTAGTCTCCTTTGCATACCACACAGTTCTGTTTCCTATATTGTTTCAATAAATAAGCATTCATTGAATGCCTACAATGTGCTAGGCACAGAAAAATCAAATGGCCCATACAGTGAATAAACCCTGACCTCTGGCTTAATTAGCACCATATTTAACGTCCAACCTAGTCATATAATCTTTAACACTGTTGCCAAATATGAATGGTGCAATCTCTTCTACAAGGCAAAATTGTTAACTTTTGGCCTAACAAAGATCTTTCAACTTTCATTTTTAATTTCATGTTTGGTGGATGAGACATTTGGAAGTCTAATCTTAGGGTAACAGATTATTGGTAAATGTTCTCCTTTGCTTCTGCCCACCTGCCTGATACCTCTCCCCAACCTATAACACATGGTTAAGGAGAACCTGCGGAGCAATTTATAGCCACTGGTACCAGTACAGGGATGAGGAAAGAGTCTCTTTTCATCTTCATTCATTCCAAGTATATTAATTGAATGCCTACTACATGTCAGAAACTCTTCTGGGAACTTATCTTAATGCTTGTTTCAAGTCTTTCTGTGCTACCCAATCACAGATCTGAAGCAGCCTTCGTGCTTTTGTACTTCATATGCCTGGCTCAAGCCTTTCCCCAGCGATAGCCAAGAGCAACATGAAGTCTTTGAAACAGGGTTTACAGCCTTGTTTTTCTGTTACTAATATAGCATGCTGTTCTCATCATCGGTCTGATTTGGCTACTGACATGGTGACATGCTGGAATGTTTCCTCAGAGATCCAGCAGTAAAAAGGAAGCAACAACAACAAAAAAGCACAAAGAGTTCAGAACAAGTAGGTGCCTTCCAGTAAAGTCTTCATGAAAGAATTGACTTCCTTGAGTTCCTTAAAAAAAACAAGTGTTTGCACTATAGGACAGGTAAGGATATTTTCTCAAAAATATCAGGAAAGAATCCTGGAAAGAACATGAAGCTGACTCTGTTACTCCTTCCCTTAGCACTTCGAGGATTCCTCACCATTTTGGGGGGTAGATACAAATGCCTGAGTATGACATGTGAGGCCTTTATAATTCCATAATTGTTTATCCTTTCATAATCAGCTCAAGAATTACCTTTTCCAAGCAAGTTTTCTGGATAACCCTGCTCCAGTAAAACTAGCCAGCCTTTATTTGTGATCTTACTCTTCCATACAATAACATTATTCATAGTGAAATTCAATATTGATTCAGCATGGTCAGATTGCCTAGGATTGAAACCTGACTTCTATACTTCATTTTCTGACTTTCAGCAAATTTTTTAACATCTTTGTGTCTCAGTTTATCAGTAGAATGGGAATAATCATCATCATCACATCTTTCTAAAGGCATTTTTAAAATGAGAATCAAATGAAATAATATGGTAAAGTGACTATCACAGTATGTGAAACACAGCCCTCAAAAATGTAATTCCTTATTATAATTGCGTGTCTACTACTCAGTGAGTTCTTCCAATGCAAAATCCATGGCACTTAAACTTGTATTTAATGCCTAATGATATTCTTATTTATTTAATGTACAAAAGCTTCACAGAGTAAGAAACAATTAATTATGGCCTATATTAGTTAGGCTAACACTAAACAATAACAAAACTAGAAAAAAATACGTGTTAATTTCTTGGCTCTGTAACATTCTTAACAAGTGTTTCTGATCCTCATGTACCTCTCCTCAAAAGTGTGATACAGAAACGCAGAATCCTTTCATCCTGTCGGTTCCCCATCTTCAACATAGTTTCCAAGATCATCATGCTTGTCTGTCTGTAGATAATAAAAGAGGACAAAAAGTGGAGAAGGCATACTTATTCTTGACCACCCTGGCCCAGAAAGAAAATACCTCACTTCTGTTGTCATTCCACTGTAAAAACCATGATCTTTGCCACACAACTCTATGACATGCGATAGGTAAGCAAGCATCCATTTCTAATAGCCCTTGAAGAATGTTAGGAATTTGATGGAAAGAAGATGACAGGGAAGGATACTCCTGGGAAAAGAAAAGAAAGTGAATAATGGGCAAAGGGAAGTTTAGGATTATAGAATCAACACATTTCACATTTCAACGGAAATGCAGGGTACATGATAGGGAAGATAAGAGATAAGAGTGGGAGGTTGAACTCAGTCTGCACACCTTATTATGATTGTTCACTTCACATCATACACAGCCTAGGGCTCTATACTTCCTGAGCTTGACATTACATACTGCCTCACACTTAAGTGTAAAATTAGCAAATGGGAAAATACCTGAGCTCATTAGATAATGACTAATCATGATCATTTTAAGCACAGTTGTCAGATTTGACAAATAAAAACATAGGACATTAGTTAAATTTGTATTTAGGACAAAAATATTTTCATAGTAGGAATAAGCCCCATGAGATATTTGGGACATATGTATATTAAATAAGTATGTATTGTTTATCTAAAATTAAAATTCAACTGGGCTCCCTGTATGTTATTGGGGCAACACTATTTTTTTAAGGGCAAGAAACGTATCTAAATAATTTCTCTCCTAGTAATAACTGTAATTCTCTGTACTTTAGGTAAAATTATAGAAATTTTCCCTTTCCTTGTCACATTTTTTTCTTTCAAGTTCTGCACCAAAAAATTATTCTCTGGCAATAATCGTTCTTTCAAGTTGCTTCAAATGGTAAAAAATAGAAATTCATTATGCAGAATCACAGTTGGTTCTGTGATGGGACCATCATATGATGGGACTGCAAGCAGAGACTACACATTTATCGACAGTTATTTCCTATGGTATCTACCCTTTTAACAGTTAATACTGATGACTAGTTATAGAGGTTCTTCAACCATGTAGCCCATCAACTAGATAAACTTGTTATTGATTCCAAACCATTTTTTTAAGGAAGGTTCTGTTTTGCTTTTAGACCAGACTGTACCTCTAATACTAGCCAGTTGTCTTGTAAATATATAGTGATAATAAAGCAATGTTAGTGTAGTAATAGCACCTTTATTGATCACTTCCTTTAGGGTAGCCATTTTTACAATTGTTTCATATGAATTATTTAATCTTAATAAACTTTGCTACACAGAGGTTAACTAACTTGCTCAAGTCTGAACAGCTAGTAAATGGTGATGCCAGAACCACTGGATTGAGGATTGGTGTTAACCATCATAGTAGTTGGCTGCATTAGTGAAAACCATCTTCCCATTGGGACAATGACTCAAAGCATTAACACCTCCATACTGAAGCACCATCCTGGAATGAGTCAAGTGGCACGGGCTCAAAATAATGCCTTTGCCATTTCTTAGCTGGTACTTTGGGTAGCCTGTTTAACTTCTCTGTACTTTAGTTTCCTTATCTGTGAAAGGAAATGATAACGTCTACTTTATAGGGTTATAGTATAAAATTAAGTGCATCTTATGCAATGAATAAATAAATAGTAATTGATATTGTTATTATGAATATTCATTCCATTCAAACTGGTTTACACAGAATTCTCTTGTCCTTATAGAAATGAGGTCCCAGTGTTCACATGTAGATAAGAAAACACAACAAACCTCTACTATTTCTCTACCTCCTGTTCATCCTATTGGTGTAATTAATATCTTAAATGTGTGCTTTGAACAAGTGATAGATGAAGAGCAACAGCCATCACTGAGAAATATAAAAATATAGAAAATTAAAAGCTAAGTACTTGTCAATGGTTTGTTAGTCCCCAACCATCATGATTTTTTTAAATTTTATTTTCTAATGGAAGGGTTATATCTGTCTTTTCTCATAATGACTTAGGTACTTGCTCCTACCAAACAAGCTAAAAAAAGAATGCCATTGAAAATAAAATACTGAAATGTTGACATCACACTCAAAATATTACTTAGCTTCTATTCTTTGCTCTTGGAACAAAGGCTGTATACACACTGGTCTTTTCACTTTTAGTTATGCTATTCTCCTTGTGTCTCCTCTTTCTACTTATCCACCCTTTAGCCTAGTTCCTGCTTCAAGTTTCACTCCATAGACCTAAGGATAAAGATGAAGACCATCTCTGAATGCCCAGTCTTTTCTGACCAATCCCTTTTCCATACTCAGGTAGACTTAGAGTCCATCCAATAATTTGAAAGTTGGCATCCTATTATTGTGTAAAATCCATAAAAATAAAGCTTATCAGAAGAAATAACATAAAATTGAGAATCTGAGTTTCTGTTGTTCCACTTCCTGAGAATTGAATGAGGTCTATCGTATTGATCTTCCTCACAACTAGTATTGATAGATTGGAGACATTTCATAAATGTTTGTTTGACTAATGATTATAATTTAGGTAACTAATGTATGACAGTGGCTGACACATAGTAGATGCCCAAAGATCTTAATTTATTTCCCATTTTTATTATAACCATATTATAACCATGCTTCTTACATGCCACACAAGTTCATGGATTCCTAATTAATTGTTGAGAGCTTGCCTCTGTATAGGCTTCCAATTAGAGTAGCTCTGCAATAAAAAAACTGAATATCTAAAATTCTACTTTTAACTGATTTAACAAGTTGTAGTCAGACAACTAGGTCTGTTAGATATTAAAAATCTGACATAATGAGTAGCATGTTGTTTTTTTTCAGGGATATTGTTTCTTAAGGGATGTGGCATACTGTGGCATTTTTTCAAAGATAACCATCTCAAACATTCTTCTTACAATATAATATCGATAGACCTCCATCATGAGGCAGGATTTTTACCCTCTCTCTCCACGCCTCCCCTCAAGCCTGGATGGACCTTCATAACTGTCTCAACTAATAGTGGATGCCAGAAGTGACACTATGTCTTCCTAGCCTGGCTGTGACCTTTCTGGGACATTTATCTTCAGAACTTTAAGTCAACATGTAAAAATTCAGCTACCCTGAAGCCCCCATACGGGGGAGAACATGTGAAGACACCCCATAGCGTTACAGATGCCCAAGGAGTCCCAGATAAGTCAGCCTACAGTCCTCTCAGATCAGACATCAGAACATGTGAGGGAGGAAGTCTTCAGTATGATCCTGGCCCTCGCCATTGTCTGACTGCAACCTCATCAGAGACCCCAAGTCAGAAGGCCCATATTGGCTTCTCTTAGATTCCTGACCCATAAAATTGTGAGAGATAGAAAACGATTATTATTGTTTCAAGCCACCAAGTTTTAGAATGATTGTTGCACTGCCATGGAAACAAGCAGGGCAATTGGGGGGAAAAAAGTTAGTCTAATTAGGTTTAAATTGCAAGACAGATGAGCCATGTGTTAGAACATTCCATCCTTGAATCTCAGTGATCACTGTGAGGGTAAGGCAGAGACTCTGCCCAGTCTGTGAGGTTTCCATTGATTCCTGGGGTTGTGGTAACTGAAGTGGTCTAAGACAACTTTGCTCTGAAAAACTCATGGCTCTGGAAGAATAAAATATACTTCTTCTTAATAGTTTTTCCAGTAATTAAAGTTTTATTTCCACATCCGTTTTAGTAAGTGTAAAAATACATTTCAAGTCACTCTTTCCTTCAAAGTGGGAAAAGAAGGTGGGGGTTGGGGGGAAGCAGAGCCCACATGTCTCCAAATAAAAGCAATTACAAGCCCTGCCTTCACCGAGGTCATACACCTATATTGTGGAAGGCATAGGATGGTGGAGGGAGATTTTCACATCTGGATTTCATCAACTCATATTGGTTATAACTTGCAGACTGCAATTTCTTTGCCAATTTTTTTGTCATTAATCCCTTGGTAGCATAAAAAGAAAAAAAAAAGGTTCTAGACTCTCCATAAACTGCAATTGGGCAATAGCTGTTGTGCACAATAGGCAGCCCAGACTTGCTAAATGTGAACAAAACTCCCCCCTCACTGCCACTAAGGTGAAACAAAATGTGAGGTCTACATAAGTGGAAAGAGGTAAATAGCATATTTTTACTTCTGTCCATGAGTGATGGGCATGAAAACAAAATGTGCAAATCCTACAGGGGCTGAGAGCAAGAAACCCATACAGTCCATCAGTGTAAAAGGTATTGAGTGCTCACTGAGCCCTTCTGGAATTGCTCCAGAGGAAATGGTTTCCTGAGGCCTTGTTCTGGCAGGGTAGAAACAGCATTGCTGATAGATGATTGTTAGGTTTATAAACAAGAGAAAGTATTTAAGAAGGCAAATGGAGGAACACTTTTTTTCTACATATTTTACCCTGCCAGTAAGTAGAATCAGAAAAAGAGAAATTATAATTCCCAAACGTAACTTGGGCTTTTCCATCAGGAGGTGGCATGGGCTCTTTTGAGTCCAAGGGCAGAGTGAAATGATGAATAAATGAAAACTGGAACTTACTTTCTGCCTCTTGGCTCCAGTGAATAAAGATCTTTGGTGTATGACTGATGCTTAAAAGCCTTTTAAGCACCCTAAACTATTTTCGGATTAGATGACCAAGTACTTTAGAATGTGTTAGTGCCTGATGCTACCAATTAGGTAATACAATATTTTCCTTTATCCTTACTTAATTTAGAGTCATGTTTAAGAGGATGGGTCCCAGGCTTATACTCAGATTCCCTACCCCCTGACTGCTTGAGCAGGGGTCTCCATTTCTCTGTGCCTCAATTTCCCCATATTTAAAACATAAGTAATATTTTGTGAGGATTAAGAGTGTTTTGTGAGGAACAAGTATAATCAAATATCTAAGTGCCTGGGACTTAGTTAGAGCTCGATAACTTTTAGTTGTTATCCGCATCTTCAACTATACCTGCCTGACTTATTATGAACCTACACACAATTTTCTATGTTGGTTTTAGTCTCTTTTTAAAATTTTTCTCCCTATTGAGTAGTGAGTTGACTATTACCCCTTGCAGTATATAATCCCACAAGTTGTAGGTAACAATTAACCCTCTCCTTTTCTCCTCCTAAGTCTTAGATGATTTGTCTGGAGTTTAAACAGATCTTTCACATTTGATCTTACTAACAGCATTTAAAAACTGGTTCTTTTAGCTATTTTGAAATAGACAATACACTGCTGTAATTAATTATAGTCACTGCTGTGCAGTAGAACACCAGAACTTATTCCTCCTATCTAACTGAAACTTTGTGCCTGTTGACCAATATCTCTCCTTCCTTGTTCACCCCAGCCTCAAAGCCTCTGGCATACCCTCTGCTTCTGTGAGTTTGATTTTTTTTTTTATTCCACATGTAAGTCAGATCATATGGTGTTTGTCCCCTTGAGCCTGGAAGTTTAAATGTTCTCCCCACAAATGGTACATATTTGAGGTGATGAATATGCTAATTAGCCTGATTTGCTCATTTCATAATGTCACATATATCAAAACATCACATTGTACCCCATAAATATATACAATGACTAGTTGTCGGTTAAAAATACAATTAAAACCCCGAATCTGAAAAAAAAAAAACAAATACAAACCTCTGGATATGATTGAAGAGATGACTATTAGACCACAAGCTCTGTGAGGCCAGGGACAATTTTTATTTTGTTTACTACTTTGAAATACATAGAATGCAGCAACATCAGTTTTTCTCTCCATTATTTTTGCTATTATTATTCCAGAATAGGCTGGCTCTCTATAGGAACTCTCAGTCAGGGTTCAGTCAGGAAACAGGTGGCTCTACTCAAAGTGGACACTTTGAGTAGAAATGAATAAAAGCACTATTTTGAAAGATGTGGGCGAGGTTTAGGGAGCATAGCAAAGTCTAGTGTCTTCCCTAAGGGCCAGTGACAGTGGGGGTGCTGGGACTGCCACTGAGCTAAAGAGACCAGGGCAGAGTAGAGTTACCAGGAGCCAGAAAGAGGGAAGCTGTACGGAGGAAGAGGCCTGAAGCGAGCTGTGTGGAAAACTGGCAGGTAACCATCCAGCGAAATGAATACCTTGCTACACTATGTTCCTGCCTCTGGTTTCTGGCTGGTGTCCCCCATTGGCAGAGTATAACTAGAAGCCAGAGGGCTAGGGAGCCTATGCTATAGTTGCTTGGGTTTAGGCTCCTAGAGCACAGAAGAGGGAGGAAGAAATGTGGAGCCTGGACCTGGAGAGCAAATGAAAGACTTCTAGCACAGGATTGAATATTCAGCCACTTCTATGCTGTGCTCTTTCATATTCTCTAGCCCTAATATTTCCCACTTAACCTTTAGATACTCAGTATTCTCACTCAGTCTGTCCTCCAAGGACTACCCAGTGATCTGGAATTTACAGCTTCATTAATTCAGTAAATACTCATGGAGCAAGAGCAAGCCAAGTGAGTGGTGGTGCTTGCCCTCATAACCTCTCACATACTTGGGGGAGAGACAGGCATGTCAACAAATTATGATCCACTGTAATAGGTACCAGGATAGAATTGGCACTAAGCACTGTAGGAAACAGAACTAATGACTTACTTTTCTCTTATGGTGAGAAGCATGGGAGGTCAAGACAGTTTTACAGATGAGGTAACAGTTAAAGTGAATCTTGAACAAGAAGGAAGTTCCATGGTTATTCCTCTCAGGGACTTTATTTTAAACTTATTTCTAACTATTTTCTTAAAAGTTCTCTCCCCTTTTGTACTAGTTTCTCAGTTGGTTTCAATGATCCTCATCTCCTGGTATTCATGCCCTTCGGTAACCCTCCCTAAGTGTAGGATGAACCTAGTGACTTGCTTCTAAGAAAGAGAATACTGTAAAAGTTATGGGATTTACATTCTGAGATTAAATGACTGGCTTCTGCCTTGCTCTTGTCTGTTTATTCTCTCCTCTCCCTCAGTTTCTCTGAGAGAAGCTAGCTACCATGTTGTAAGTAACTTGTCTCAACTCATTCCTGCTGCTATAACAAAATACCTTAGACTGAGTAATTTAAAAGTAATAGAAATTTATTTCTCACAGTTCTGGCCAGGTGCGCACCATCATGCTGGCTAATTTTTTTTTTCACCATGTTGCCCAGGCTGGTTTTGAACTCCTGTGCTCAAGTGATCCAGCTGTCTTGGCCTCCCAAAGTGAGGGGATTACAGGTGTGAATCACTGTGCCCAGCCTCTTTTATCTTTTGGGTTATATTTGTGCTTCCATTTAAAATACACTGTTGAATTATTAGCTATTTCTCCTTTTCATTGTTTTAGTGGTTACTAGAGGGTTTACAATGTACATCTTTAATTTACCAGTCTAATTTCAAATAATATGCCACTTCTCATATGGTGCAATTATTTTGCAGTAGAATAATTCCAATTCCTTTCTCACATCCTTTGTGTCATACATTGTACTATATATATATGCTATAATACATTATTACTATTTTGCTTTAGGCATTCAAATACAGTTTCAATTCTGAAACATACAGAGAATGTCTTTGATATCATATTTACCTTTATTTTTGCCGTTTCAGGCACATTTTATTCCTTTGTATAGATATACATTTCTGTCTTGTATCGTAATTCTTCTGACTAAAGAACTTTCTATAACATGTCTTGAAGCACAAGACTCCTGGCAATAAATCCTCTCATCTTTGGTATGTCTGAAAAATTACTTATTTTGCCTTATTTTTGAAGGATAGTTTTGCTGAATATTATATTTGGAGTTTTTAAGCTTCTTGTAGTTTAAATGTTACTTTATTGTCTTGTAGTTTGCATATGCTCGAGATGTCCTTTGTAAATCATATCTTTGTTGTTCTATATGTGCTGCATTTCTTTTCTGACTGCCTTCAAATTTTTTCTTTGTCTTTAGTTTTCAGTTGTTAAATTATGATGTATTTACGTGTGTGTGTATGTGTGCGTGTGTGTCTGTGTTATTTATTGTGTAAATAGATTTAAGCTTCTTGGATATATGGTTTGATGTCATTCATTATTTCTGAAAAATTCTCAGCCATTATCACAAAATATCTATTTGTCCAGTTTTCTCTTTTGTCTCTTTCTGGCACACCAATTACACTTACCTTAGAATATTAACATTAAGTGCTCTGGGTTTTGTTGTTGTTGTTGTTGTTGTTTGAATTCACTCTTTTTCCCAATGTTTTGGCTTGGACAATTTCTATTTATTCATTTTTACTCAAAATCAGTCCTTTCAGGTCCATCTGAGTTGTTGAGTATATCAATAGTTTATTCCTTTTTATGGCTAAATATTGACCCAGTTAGAGTTTAGTGATTTTTTTTCCCTTAGCTATCTTAAGTCTACTGATGAGCTCTATAAAGAATTTCTTCATCTATGATATAATGTCTTTTATTTCAACTTTTCCATTTGACTTTTCTTAAGTTTCATTCCCTCAACTAAAATTCCCCATCTGTTCATTCATGTTGTTAAGGTTTTCCACTAGATTCTTTAACATGTTAATCATAGCTACATTAAAGTTCTCATCTGATAGTGTCAATATCTCTGAGTCTGGATTCATTAATTTTTGTCTTTCAAAATTTTTTTGTGTATTTCAAAATTTTTTACTGAATTGTGGACCTCATGATAGAGACAGAGAGAATATTTTTACTGGGAAATGGCTACACTTCTACTTTTGGGCCAATAATATGATGGTTCAGTCATTCTAGAGAGGAGTTGATTTAGGTTTGGGTTTTATTATTGCTAAAGTTAACTTCTTGCACTACACACTTCACATTTCTCTGCCAAAAGGCTGACTTTGTGATTAGGGTAAACCTGTGAGTGTACCTCTTGTCCTCAATTATAAACAATTATATACCTCTTGTCCTCAATTATAAACAATTATTATCTGAGCATGATCAGAAATTATTTTGTTGAATTTCAGGTATAACCTAGGGTTATTGTATTCAAAATGTGGTCCTATAGGATGACTACACATCCCATTTTGCCTAGAACCATTCCAGGTTTAGCTAAAAACTCCATATCCTAGGAAAAACCCTCATAGTTCCCAGGCAAACTGGGTAGGTTGGCCACCCCATGACAAGAGACTAGCGTCATTGATATTATCTGGGAGACTGTTATCACATTGGTGCAAAAAGTAATTGTGCCATTAATGGCAAAACCAATTACTTTTTGCACCAACCTAAAAGTAATAAAGAATCTTGGCTCTACTTCAAACCTACTGAAGCAGAAACTGTATTTTAATAAGATGCACAGGTGATTCATAGGCACATGAAAGTTTGAGAGGAATTGCTATGGAAATAGGAGTCGAGAATCTACATACCTGAAATTTAGATTCCCAAGACATTTTGGATTTTGTTCTTAAATGTTTCTATTTTCCACTCTCTTTGCTCTACTACCAGTGTTACTCAACTTATGGGAAAATCTTCATTTGTCTCCCACCAGGACTTAGTTTATTATAATTATCCTGTGGAAGCACAATGTCAATTGCCCTCTAATGAGTATCAGCTGTTTTAGTTCCATTACTCTGTGTGTGTGTGTGTGTGTGTGTGTGTGTGTGTGTGTTCATGTACTTTCTAATTAAGTTCACTTTTTGAAGAAAAATTTTTAATTCAGATACACTCAGGTCTCTGGAGAGTGATTATGAGACTCGCTAAAATGCACAATAAGCAACTCACTATATTAAAAAATAGCTAATGAATAAAA
This sequence comes from Homo sapiens, assembly GCF_000001405.40. Classification (NCBI taxonomy): domain Eukaryota; kingdom Metazoa; phylum Chordata; class Mammalia; order Primates; family Hominidae; genus Homo; species Homo sapiens. The sequence goes on along the minus strand of NC_000011.10, from coordinate 26,836,887 downwards.
CTTTAGTAATTTTCTTCTATATTCTGATAATTTGGGGTTTGAAAACTATATCAATGAACTTCTCTGGAAAAATGGATGAAATTTTTCTCATCCATGTCTGGCTTCTTTGGGGATAGAAATGCCTTTAATTTCATTTTTGTGCAAATGATTATCTGATAATTTTATTTAAACAGTCATAAAACCAGTAGTCAAAGTTATAAAGTAGATCTTTTATATATAATGAAAGACCTTTGTAGATCCTCTGAGCTCTATATGTAATCTAACCATAAGGATTTCTTTCTTTCCCTTTTGGAAGGCAACTTCCATTCTATAGAGTAGTATAAAATGTAACTTTTATGTTTTGGTTGTGTCTTTTCTAAAACACATTTCTTTAGCATTGTAGGTTTTCACACTCTGCTTTCAAGCCCATGGAATACTCTCTTGAACCTCCAATGTTTAAGTTGGCATAAAAATCCTAGAAAAATTCCAGCAAGGCTCCCCATGGCCACCACCATCCAGAAACAAAGCCCAGATTCACTACTGGCCCATAATCTGAAGCCTTGACTGCTAACTGGAATGGCAGGGTTGACTTCAGATCAGGAATGAATGTATGGCTTTGTGGAGTAATTAGGTTTTCCTGGCCTTTGCTTCATGGCATATGTATTCCAGTTTAACTAAAGTATTAAACAACATAACTTCATCAGACAAAACACCCAAATTTACCTCCAAGGAAAATGATATTGTTAATAATACAAGATTTAAATTAAGACTCTGCTTTTTCTCCACCATTGAGAGTTGAAAGACTTAGGAAACAATCACAGGGATTCTATGAGCTTCAGTGTCCCTATCCATAAAATGAGTAATAATAGGCAATATCTTGCAGTGTTATTGTGAGAATTCATTGAATAAGTAATCAAAAACAGAATTCAATGCCTCAGCATGTTAGTTTCCCACTCTGAAGTGTCACCATGGTAGGTCTCCATGGTATTTGTAAAATGATACTGTTTGCTGTCCTGAAAATACAAATTTAAAAACGCTATAATTCTGTACGTATGGCTAGGCATATGTATTCAAATATGTTCATGTGTTTTCCACAACTATAATTTATTTGCATAATCTTTTCCTAGTCTACTGCCCAAAATTTTAAGTGTCTTTTGGGGAAAGGACATAAAACAGCACATGCTCTGACTTGTCGCAGGCCAATTCCTTATTTTTTAGATGGACAATATCAAAATAACATTGTTTTCATGGACTATATATGCATCCACATGAAAGCTTAAACCAGAGCCTTGCTAGTCTTGAGTACTGGCCTACATTCTTTTTATTTATAGCATATGGTGAGTTTCTCCTTGACACCATTTAAGATAGTACAAGTGTTCCAATTTTTACAAAGGTTTAAATATCTATTCTACCCTCTTGACATAAGAAACCATATGATGAAGGGATTTGGAGCCAGAATACCTGCCCTTTATTAATCCTAGGCAAGTCATTGAATCTTCCTCAGCTTTAGTTTTCACATATTTGAAGTAACAATAGTGATAAATTATTATTACAATAATAAATATATCAATGATTAAAATTGCCATGAACATTTATTGAGTGCTTACTATGCTTTAACCCTCTTATATTTGTAATCCATCATAATATGCAGCATGATGAAGTAAGTACTTGCATTCACTCCACTTCATAGATGATAAAACTGAGGCTCAGAGAGGATAAGTGGTGTGGCCATGATTAGCCAAATCATAGGCCCCAGAACTGGGGTTCATAGTTTATGCTTCTATGTACTGCTCTCTACTACCCTCCACAAAGTGAGCACAATAGCTTATATTTGCTTCTCAGGGATGTTTTTGGAGGTAATTTGTTCATGCAGAAAGATAGTGGTTTCTAAACTATAAACTTATATAAATGTTGGTTATTATTAGTATTTTCACAGGACTCTGGCCTTTGAAGTCAAAATAAAATCTACTCTAGTATCAGGGAAATTTTAAGGAGGAAAAAGTTTTGCAAATCTACAATTTCAGGATCTTAAACCATTGAATATTTCAGACATGTTAGTTTCCTTGCCACAGGCCATTTCCAAAGCTATTTTTCATTATAGACTGAGCTCATTTCCTCTAGTAGGATCAAATTGCTAGGTACATATTTCTATCTTGCTTTCATTTTACATAGGGATGATTATATTAGTTTCCTAGGGCTGCTGCAACAAATTAGAGTAAACTTGTTGGCTTAAAATAACAGAATTCTTTCTTATAAAACTAAACATACTCTTAACATATGATCTAGTATTTGCACTCCTTGGTGTTTACTCAAATGAATTTAACACATTTGTCCACACAAAAACCTTTACATAGATGTTTGTAGCAGCTTTATTCATGATTACTAAAACTTGGAAGCAACCATGATGTCCTTTTGTAAGTTAATGGGTAAATAAATTGTTGCATATCCAGACCACGGAATATTATTCGATGAACAAAATGAGCTTTCAAGCCATGATAAAACATGGAGGAAACTCAAATGCGTATTACCAGGTGAAAGAAGCCAATCTAGAAAGGCTGTATATTTGTGATATTTGTGATGGTTAACTTTGTGTTAACTTGACTAGGCCATGAGGAGCCCAGATATTTGGTCGTACACTATTCTGAGTATTTCTGTAAATGTGTTTCTGGATATGATTAACATTTAAATTGATAGACTGAGTAAAGCAGATTGCCCTCCATTAAAGTGGATGGAATGGGACTAATTTAATCAGTTGAAGTTCTGAATAGAAAACAAAGGCTGACCCTCTGCAAAATAGAATAGAATCTTCCTGCCTGACAGCCTTCAAACTGAAACGCAATAATTTTCCTGTCTTTGGACTAAAAACAGAAACATTGTTTATTGTTTTCTCCTGGGTCTCCAGCTTGCCAATTTACCCTGCAGATCTTGGGACTTGCCAGCCTTCATAATTGCATAAGCCAATTCCTTATAATAAACTTCTCTCTCTCTCTCTCTCTCTTTCCCTCCCTCTCTCTCTGTGTGTACACACACACACACACACACACACACACACACACACACACACAATTGATTCTATTTCCCTGGAGAACCCTCCCTAATAAAAACGTGTGTGATTTTAACCTTATGATATTCTGGCAAAGGCAAAATTGAGACGGTAAAATGATCAGTGATTGCCAGGGCTTAGTGGGATAGAGGGTTAAATAAGCAGATCACAGATAATTTTTAAGGCAGTGAAACAATTCTGTCCAATATTCTAATAGTGGATGCATGTTATCATGCATTTGTCAAGACCAGTAGAATGTACACCACTAAGAATGAACCCTAAGGCAAAGCGTGGACTTTGAGTGATGTATCAATGTAGGTTCATCCATTGTAACAAATAAGGCACCACTATGGTGTGGGATGTTGATAGTGGGGAAGGTTGTTATTTGGGAATGATGGGTATAGGGGAATTCTCTGTACTTTCCATTCAATTTTGCTATGAACCTGAAATTGCTCTAAAAAATAAAGTCTATTAAAAACAAACAAGACAAAGTCTATTAAAAACAAAAACATTAAAAACAAACAAACAAAAACATAAATTTATTCTCCCACAGTTCTGGAGGCCAGAAGTCTGAAATCCAGTTTGTCAGCAGGGCTGCATTTCACCTGGTGTCTCTAGGGAATAATTCTTTGCATCTTCTAGCCTCTGTAGCTGTGGGCTGTGGGCATTCCTTGAAGTGTGGCTGCATCACTCCAATCTCAATCACTCCTATGATCATATTGTCCTCTCTCTTTTCCTCTCTTTGCTTCTTTGTTTTTTTTTTTTTTTGTTTTTTTTTTGAGACGGAGTCTCGCACTGTCACTGGGGCTGGAGTGCAGTGATGCAATCTTGGCTCACTGCAACATCCACCTCCCAGGTTCATGCGATTCTCCTGCCTCAACCTCCCAAGTAGCTGGGATTATAGGCACCCACCACCAAGTCCGGCTAGTGTTTTTTATTTTTAGTAGAGACAGGGTTTCACTATGTTGGCGAGGCTGGTCTCAAACTCCTGACCTCAAGTGATCTGCCTGCCTCAGCCTCCCAAAGTGCTCTTTGTTTCTTATAAAGATACTTGTTATTGGATTTAGGGCTCATCTGGGCAAACTGGGATGCTATCTTCATCTGAAGTTGCTTAAGATACTTTTTCTGCATAAGGTAAGATTCACAAGTTTCAGAGCTGAGGGCATGGACATATATTTTTGAAGGTTATCATTCTGACAACTACAATGGTCAGTTACCCAACCCTGGTCAAAAGACCTAAGAGAAAGTCTACTCAATGACGTGTAGAAAAGACTTTCTCCTTTATTTCTCCTCTATTTATGTGTGTTTTCTCTATGCATAAGAAGAAACTAACTTTTCTTTCTAACTTTCTACACAGTTTAAGAGGACAAGAGGGCTGGAATAGCAGCAACCATCTTGGGTCCAAGTGGTGAAAAGCCTAAAGACTTGGTTGAGCTACTGAAACAAACCTGAATTTTATTCCATCTGAGGTTATGAATGTTCTGATAGTTTAAATTGTTGATCATTATGATTATTTTTGTTACTTGTAGTTCAAAGTATACTAACTACCAAAATGGGAAAATATAACTATCACATAAGGAAAAGGAGACCTTATGTAACTTATGTGGTAATTAAAATATAACAGATTTAGAATTCGGGAAAATAAACAACCTTCTTAATGCTCAAGTAGGCTGAAGAGAGGGTAGCTCGGCGGTTATTCCAAGAACACAGACAGAAAGAGCCTTATTTATCCTTAGGAATAGGAGTCAAGAGAAACAGCCTAGCTTGAGGGTAAGAAAAGGTGGAACCAACTGCTAGACTGTCAATTCTGTGAAGTCAATCAGAACTATATAAAGCTTTACATAACACATACGTGGAGGGTGACACCTAGAGTGGGCATCAAAGCTTCAAGGTCAAAGTCTCAGGAAAAGCTTTGGGCATCATCTGTGGTGAAAGTTAGAAAGCATCCTGGTGAGTGAAAACTTGACGGTCTATCACAGCTTAGCTCTTGAACAGAAGTTCAAATTCTAGGTACTTCAGGAGACAAAACAATGAATTAAATGTTATAACTATCTTACGCTCAAGACAGTTACCATTTCTTGAAGAGAAAATACATATATACAAATGGTAATAAAGTAGGAAAGTTCCTAAGAGCTGTGGATGTAAGAATTTAGGTCTGGGTAAGAGAAGGAAGTGAGAATTCTGATATGGAAGGAGAAAACTGTGCGAAGACCTAAAAGCAATTTGGGTTATCATCAATTTGTCTAGTTAGAGGCTCTACTCTGAGTTATTACTCTGGTACCCTAGCCACTAAAATCACAAACTCCTTGAACTTTTTCTAGATTCAAAGTCTGGGCTTCTGTGTTACTGAATTATGCTACATCCTACATCCTTAAAATGGACACAGCAGATATAGCTGCACTTGATATAACTTTTCATATTTGTTTCACAAAATATAAGCTAGTATTGAATGTAACTAGCCCATAACAACAAGCAACAACAATAATTCTTCATAAGACAACTTACTCCTTCATCAATCACTAACATTCACAAAGGTTTTCTAATGTATTGTCTTTTTGTATCCTTTCAGAAATCCAGGGAGTAGAATACTTCAATTTTAAAATTAAAAAAGAAAGCATATAACATGGCCAGATTATAAATATACACATGAATTATATCAAGCCTAAAGTATCTACTTGTCTTGCTTCTAAACCTCACAGATCTCATGGGTAAACTTTGAGAACATACTGGTTTTGTAGTAAAGACATGTAATCATCAAAGGAAAAGCTCAGATTTTTATATGTGGCCACATGTGAAAACTATTGTAAAGTGGACAGATCCTGAAATAGTATTGAGTAACTGGAGCTGGATTTGACACAAATCTTATGTAATAAAATGCCAGTCTACTTCTGCTCATACTCCAACCACCACTGGCTCCCTTGGCAGTAATCAAAGCAATAATGACCCAGACAAGTCCTTTTATGCACAGCTTGACAGGCAGCCAGGGGGAGTTTCTGAAAATTATGAAATATAACCCTCCATTATGAAGATCATGGAGTCATCCCCTCAATGTGGCTAAGTAGCTTTAATTTTGATTGCTGTCAGATTTTACAGCTCTCAACACTTGCAGCTCCTTGGCTGACTTAAGATAGGTGTCTTGCAAAATTCTTTTTTATTTTCCACATCTATTGAACAGAACTTCATTTCACTGGAGCCATGAAATATCTTCCATTCTGCAACCAGTGGGTCTTTGACTTAAGCAGATGAGTTAGTTCACTGATCTGACAGCCAGGTTGTCTTTTTTTTTTCTGCCCCACTGTTAAATCTCTGTCTCCCAAAGGTATCTGTCTATCTTTACTACTACACACATCTCAAATATTTTTTCTGCCCTATTTCAGAATCCTGACACATTCTCAGAGTCTCAGTCTTAGTGTCATGAAAACCATGCCATTTAAAGGAAGTCCCCATGCCATATCTAACAACCCTTATCACTACCCGTCCAATCACCAAAAATATATCCTTGTAGTTTTCTTTGTACCTGAAGAACAGTCCCTGACCAGTTTCAACTTTCAAGTTTCAGGCAGCCTCTATTTTAGAAAGATATTATAATACTTAACCAAGTCTATTGCCTTTCCTTAATAATTGCTGGCATCTACTAAGAATTTACCATGTGGTATCCACATCTCCTTTAATCTTCACAATTACCTTATGCAGCAAGGACCTCAATTATCCATTTTTTCCAGCTGAAAAAGTCCTGCTTAAAGGACAGATCACTTAAACAGCATTACATAGCGTGTAAGTGATGGAGATGGGGTCAAATTCAAACTTGCCTGTGCTCTTAACTTCTGTGTCTCCTTACACTATTGAGGTATTTACTAGAGCTACATTTAAACCATAACTCTGCCAACCTGTGCTCTAACAGCGATTACTCCGGAAAAGTTCCTACCTAGCCCACCTTTATAAGAAGTAGAGAACATTTTCTGATAGGGACTGTTGAGCTACAAATCTGTAAAGTCGAGTTGGGAAAGGTAACCAGCTACAGTTAAGCAGTTTAACTTTAGACTCTGTCAATGTCATAATTTTACATGTTTCCAAAAGAATACGACCAGAAGTACAACATGTAGGCAGTTTGGGTTAGGTTGAAGACAGTCCCTTTAGTCTGCAAGACTCTGCATAACTGCAGAGGAAAATGTGAGTTTGAAGTTCTGGATGTGAGGCCAAAATTAGAGAGATAAAGCAAAGATAAAGTCCATGAAAAGAGGCAACATGTGGATAATAAAAGTGGACTCTGCAGAGGACACAGACTTCTGTGTCCCCATATGCAAGCAATATGAGGATCTAAGATGATCCTTGGGCCTCAACAGGACAGCTGAGTAATATAATCAAGATGGGGAGACCCTACACAGCTATCTTCATGACAGTAAAACATAGTCCAGCCCTTTTGTTCTAATAAAATGGCTGCATCTTTCGGGTGCACTGATATGTTATGTTCTATGCTAAGCAAATTACATGTCATCTTATTTCATTCTCATAAAATAAAATTATATATTTTATTTTTCAAGAAGTTGAAGCTTAAAGAAATTAAGTTCCTTGACCCTCTATAATGCTCACATTTGGATTTTTATTCTGATTTAAAAGATGAGAGAAAATTTTACTCTTAAATGATATATGGTCTATCTTAATTCATGTTTACTAATCATGTACAACACTCACAAAGAAATGAAGAGTTGAGCTCTAACACATATTCCAGAATGTTGGTCCACGAATGTTGATAATTTAAGTGTATTAAGTTTGCCTGGTTAGCTTTTTTTTTTTTTCAATAGCTTAAAAAAAAAAAAATCCTGCCCTCCCAGGATATTGGAGAATGTGACCTACTATGCATTATCTAAACATAGCTTGGAATGGGCAAAGATAGCTTGAGAGTAACCCATGTAAAAAAAAAAAATCTTAACTTAAGAAATCACCAATTGAGTCTATGTTATAAATAAGCTTGCAAAATGAACTAATTAAATGTAGGCTTCCTAAATAAATGGAACATTATTTTTTAAAAATTCTCCCCAAAATACGCTTTAAAAAAAATCCCTAAAAGGCATTTTTGTTCCTTGTAACTTCTCAAAGCCTAGACTTAGTCCAAAATTAAAACTTTAGTAAAAACATTTTTTTTTTCTTTGAGTCCTAAACATTGAACTGCACCACAATGTTTGGTCCAAATATCACAGAATGACCCTATATGACCCTTATGATTTCCGTGATGCTCTATTCACTAAACAATCAGAGAATATTCCCTGGAGTTCTCTGGTGCCTCAGGAACAGATTCTATCTTACCTCAAGTTCAAAGGTCAATGTCCTTTGTTGAGACTTTCCTATAACATCAGCCATGCCCTCTGTCCAGTCATGAATATTCATTCCTCCAAGGTCTGGAGTGCTCTGGTACTTCTCAGGATGTCAGAAGAACCTAGTTGAATGAAGTTTTTTGAGAAGGGCTGTAATTTCCCCATCTTCACTGCTTTTGTATGAATCTTAGCATCTGGGAACTACTCACTGTTTAATTATATTAAACTGTGTGTGTCAGATTTGGATAAAGACGTTGTTTGAGCATGACACTTAGCACTGCTAATTGGCTTGAAGAAACAAAACTTATTCTACTGAAATTTTTTTATGACAAAATGTATCCCAGTTTACCCAATGTATTCCATGCCTTTTAGTTAGTAAAATGTTTACAGTTTTAAGTTGGGTAAGACAGAATTTTCCAGGAATATGTCAGTGTTTCCATTATGCCCTTTTTTTTCACCCCAAAGTAGCACAAGTTTATTACTATGTCCATAAAAATTAATATTCCACCGAAACTTGGCACCAAACCGTAAAGTAAATGTTTACATATGCCTTCGAATATTAGTTGAGTTGTTTCTACTAAATGCTAGACCTGCCAGGCGTGAAAATTGTTAATCTGTAGCCTAATGTCCACTAATTCATTTGGGTTATTCTTTCAATGATTAAACTTAGCTAAGAAACAGCACATGAAATTGACAGGAAACGAGAAAAGGGCTGACAGAGAAGGAGTTTATTAATTATCCAGAAGCTTCTAACATGAGGTCATCCTGAAAAGTGAAAACTATCAAACAAGGCAAATATAGCCAAGCAGGCAGGATGACTTGCACCAAAATATACATCCCTGTTCTCTGTCAACTGCATGTCAGCTGTCAGGAAATGGCCTAAAGGCGAACCCACATGCGGCATCTGCGGGGAACGTGCTCAGGAATGTGTTGCAGATGGAGGGCCGATTGAGCTCCCAATATATTTGGCTGACCCAATGGTGGGGAAGCCAGGCCTTCATAAGAGTTTAAAACTTTATGTCCATTATAGGAAGGCTGAAAATTCTTTGGATGATTAAGGAGCCAGTGAGTAGAGGAAAGGAAAGTGTGGTGAGCTCAAGGATACAGAAACAAAAGAACCAATGAACTGAGCTAGTCTCTTCTTTTGTCAGCTCCTATCCTGGTTCTGCATAGGATGAATTATTGTTCTAAGTTGTCTGCCTTCCTGCCTCCTTCCATGCCTTTCTCTATACATTTATATTGAAAAGACTGTGAGAATTAGAAGACTTATTTGATTCAAGACTTGCCTTCACCACTCACTAGCTGTGTGATTTCCAGCAAGATAATTTATTACCTAAATATTCATTTATTTATTATTTATTTATTTATTTATTTTTATTTATTTTTTTTTGAGATGGAGTCTCACTTTGTCACCCAGGCTGGAGTGCAGTGGCATGATCTTGGCTCACTGCAACCTCTGCCTCCTGGGTTCAAGTGATTCTCCTGCCTCAGCCTCCCGAGTAGCTGGGACTACAGGCACATGCCACCACACCTGGCTAATTTTTGTATTTTTAGTAGAGACAGGGTTTCACCATGTTGGCCAGGCCGGTCTCAAACTTTTGACCTCAGGTGATCCACCCGCCTTGGCCTCCCAAAGTGCTGGGATTGCAGGTGTGAGCCACTGTGCCCAGTCCATTTCTTTATTTATAAAGTAAATATCTCGTGAGGAGTTCTCAATAAATGCTTGATGGTAATAAGTCCTGCTCCATTCACATGGCTAGGGTCAGAAACACATAAGCTGACACAGGTGAAACCATTTGGTTAACAATAATAGTAATAGAAATAATGGTAGGGATTTATTATGTGCCAGGCAAGGTTAAGAATTCGGCATAAAATATCTTACCTATCTATCCAACACACATCTAAAGTATTTTTTGACTTTGCAGATTAAAAAATCAGAGGCTCTGAAAGTTTCAGCATCTTTCCCAAGATGTTTATGCTCCCTAAATCGACCTATAGATTTAACCATCAAAATTCCAGATAAATTACATTATTTGTACATATTGATAAGTTGATTCTAAAGTTGATATGGAAATGCAGAGGGCACAGAATAGCCAAAACTAACTTTGAAAAAGGAAAAAAAAAACAAGCAAAAAATTGGGGGATGTACATTACCTGATTTTAAAATTTATGATAAAGATCTAGTAATCAAGACAGTTTGGTATTAGCATAAAGATAGATATACAAATCAATGAATCAGAAAGGGAGTGTAATAATAGATCCACATGTATGATCATTGGTTTTATGTAAAGGCAATAGGGTAATTCATTAGGGAAGAATAGGTTTTTTTAAAAAATGTAATGTGACAATAACTTTATCCACATGGAACAAAACATACTTTAGTCCCTACCTCACACTATACAAAAACATTTCAACATGCATTATTGATCTAAACATAAAAATTTAAACTCTAAAACTTCCTGGAGATAATCTTTGTGACCTGGGAGTAGGCAAAGAGTATTTTTTTTAATAGAACACAAAGCACACTAACCATAATGGAAAAAATATACATAACATAAACTTAATCTAAGTTAAAAAGTTACACTCTTCAGAACAAGTTAAAATAATGAAATGCAAGGTACAGGTAAAAAGAAATTTTTGCAATGCATACACCCAACAAAGAATTTGTACTAAAAGTATATAACCTTCCACTTCAATAATAAGACAAACACATTATGTAAGTATTTAAATGAGGTTATTGAACAGCCAAAACTAATCTATAACATTAGAGACTAGACCAATGGTCACCTGGGCCTGGAGGGTGACTACCTGAAAAAGGAGAAAGAAGAAACTTTCTACATTGATGAAAGTTGATCATTTTGTGAATGTGTGTTGGTTATACAAGCGTACATGTTTCTTATCATTCCTCCAAATATCTACTTAAAATATGTGAATTTTATTATATGTAAATGAGATTTAAGTAAAGATGACTTTAAAAATTTACTAAAGTGGTCATCAATTGATTTTGTGTCTATTCTTGTATGTTGATTGAAATAAGAATTGCTCATAAGAGATGCCAAAATAACTTTGAGTGTACAGTTTGTTCTAGTATGATGCTGTCACTAATGATAGTATCATTCATGAGAGCAGAATAGTCAAGAGAGAGAGAAGGTTTTGAAAAAAATTAGTTAAAATTTTAAAAGATTTAGTATCACTTGTCTATGAAATATTAATAAAACAGGCCCGCAAATAGGTAAGCATGGGGGTCAGTATGTTATCAGATAACTTGTAGATATATGTATACAATATATGTATATGTATATGATATGGTTTGGCTCTTCGTCCCCACTCAAATCTCATGTTGAGTTATAATTCCCAGTGATGGGGAAGAGACCTGGTAGAAGGTGATTGGATTATGGAAGCGGATTTTCCCCAACCTGTTCTCATGATAGTGAATGAGTTTTCATGATATCTGATGATTTAAAAGAGTGTGGCACTTCCCCCTTTGCTCTCACTCTTGCTTTGCCATGTGAAGATTGTGCCTACTTCCCCTTCACCTTCCATCATGATTGTAAGTTTCCTGAGGTCTTCCCAGACATGCCTCCTTTACAACCTATGGAACTGTGAGTCAACAAACCTCTTTTCTTCATAAATTACCCAGTTTTGGTATGTCTTTACAGCAATGTGAGAATGGACTCATACAGAAAATTGGTACCAAAGAAGTGGGGCTTTGCTATAAATATATCTGAATATGTGGAAGTGACTTTGGAACTGGGTAATGGGCAGAGGTTGGAACACTTTTGAAGGCTCAGAATAAGACAGCAAGATGAGGGAAGGTTTGGAACTTCCTAGAGATTTGTTGAATTGTTGTTACCAAAATGCTGATAATGATTTGGACAGTGAAGTCCAAGCTGAGGTGGTCTCAGATAGAGATAAGAAACTTATTGGGAACTAAGGTAAAGGTCACTCTTGACATGCTTTAGTAAAGAAACTGGCCGTGTTGTGCCTCTGCTCTAGACATCTGTGGAATTTTAGACTTGAGAGACTTGATTTAGGGTATCTGGTGGAAGATATTGCTAAGAAGCAAAGTGTTCAAGATGTGGCCTGGCTGCTTCTAAAAGCCTGCACTTATTTGCATAAACGAAGAAATGACCTGAAACTAGAACTTATATTTAAAAGAGAAGCAGAGCATAAAAGTTTGGAAAATTTGCATAAAAGTTTGGAAAATTTGTGGTGGAAAAGGAAAACCCATTTTGGGGGGAGAAATTCAAGGCTTCAGAAATTTGCATAAATAAAGAAAAGCCAAACGTGAATAGCCAAGACAATGGGAAAAGTGCCTCCAGAACATTTTAGAGGCCTTCACAGCAGCCCCTTGCATCACAGGCTTGGAGGCCCAGGAGGAAAAAATGGTTTTATGTGCCAGACTTTCAGCCCTGCTGCTCTGTGCAGCCTTAGAACATGGTGCCCTGCATCCCAGCTGCTCCAGCTCCAGCCATGGCTAAAGGGGACCAAGGTACAGCTTGGGCCATTGCTTCAGAGGGTGTAAGCCCGAAGCCTTGACAGCTTCCATGTGGTGTTGGGCCTGCAGGTACACAGAAGGCAAGAATTGAGTTTTGGGAACCTCCGCCTAGATTTCAGAGGATGTATGGAAATGCCTGGATGTCCAGGCAGAAGTCTGCTGCAGGAGAGGAGCCCTCATGGAGAACCTCTACTATAGCAGTGCAGAGAGGAATTGTGGGGTTGGAGTGCCCACACAGAGTCCCCACTGGGGCACTGCTTAGTGGAGCTGTGAGAAGAGGGCCACTGTTCTCCAGACCCCAGAATGGTAGAGCCACCAACAGCTTGCACCATGCACTTGGAAAAACTGCAGGCACTCAAAGCCAGCCTGTGAAAGCAGCTGCAGGGGCTGTATCCAGCAGAGCCACGGCGGGGAGATGCCCAAGGCCTTGGGAGCCACCCCTTGTATCAGCGTGTCCTCCATGTGAGACATGGAGTCAAAGAGATTATTTTGGAGCTTTAACATTTAATGACTGCTCTGCTAGGTTTCAGACTTGCATGGGGCCTGTAGTCCCTTAGTTTTGGCTGATTCTCCATTTTGGGATGGGAACATTTACCCAATGTCTGTGCCCTCACTGTATCTTGGAAATAATTAACTTGACTTTTATTTTTACAGGTTAATAGGCAGAGGGACTTGCTTTGTCTCAGATGAGACATTGGACTTGGACTTTTGAGTTAATGCTAGAATGAGTTAAGACTCTTGGGGGCTGTTTTGTAAGCATGATTCTGTGTTGAAATGTGAGAAGGAAATGAGATTTCAGGGAGGCTAGGTGTGGAATAATATATTTTGGCTCTGTATCTCCACCCAGAACTCATGTTGAATTATAATTCCCAGTGTTGACAGGGTACTTGGTGGGAGGTGATTGAATCATGGGGGTGGATTTTCCCCATACTATTCTCAAGATAGTGAGTAAATTCTCATAAGATCTGATGGTTTAAAAGTGTGTGGCACTTCCCTCTTTGCTCTCTCTCTCCTGCTCTGCATGTGAAGATTGTGCCTGCTTCCCCTTTGCCTTCCACCATGATTGTAAGTTTCCTCAGGCCTCCCCAGCCATGTCTTCTGTATAGCTGGCAGAACTGTGAGTCAATTAAACCTCTTTTCTTCATAAGTTATCCAGCCTCAGGTATGTCTTTATAGCAGTGTGAGAATGAACTAATACAGTATATTTGAGAGTCAGAAGTGCGGATAGTAATTAAGACTTAGAATAAATGAGATTATCTGTGGAGAATCTGCAGTGATAAAATAAGAAGCTTAGGGCAGAACTACAAAGAATACAGGATTTAGGGTATGAGCAGGAAAGGGATGGCTGCTAAAGAGAGTAAGTTTTTGTAGCTTGACAGTGAGAATAAAACCAAGAGAGTAGAGTGCCACAGAAGTGAAAGTTGAGTAAATTGTCATGGATGTTAAAGGAAGTGCCACATATTACTTTCACTAACATTTAATTAAACAAATCAAGTCACTTGGCATCTCTGACTTCAGGGGGACAGGGCAGTATAATCTTACCTTGTACTGAGAAGAAATAAAACAAAAAATATGAGTGAGAGCCATGACATCTATCACACTTTGTAATAAATTATTCCTTCTGTTTTCAGCCCCACATTTCATTCCTGTCCTCCATTTCTATACCAATGTTTTTGCTGAATTCCCTGGCTCTCTATGGTTCTTTGTGACAAATTTGTTTATTTCTTCCCTATATTCTTTTTGTGCTAGTATTCTAACCTCTGTTCTGTTCCCACAGTAACCACTGCTTTTGTCCAACAGAATTTAACTGAGTTTGCTTATTTACTGATGACATTTCATGTCCCCTTCATTACCTAGAATGAAAAAAATTAAAGTTTATATATATAAATTTTAGTAGGATCTTCAGTGAGACAGGCTATAAATATGTAAGTCTAGTTTATTATCTTTCAATAAATATTAAGTAATATTTATAATTTTAAAAATTTTACACTGGGCCAGGCACGGTGACTCAGACCTGTAATCCCAGCACTTTGGAAGGCCAAGGCAGATCTTGACCTCATGATCTGAGGTCAAGAGATCAAGACCATCCTGGCCAACATGGTGAAACCCCATCTCTATAAAAAAAAATACAAAAATTAGCCAAGCGTGGTCGTGGGCGCCTGTAGTCCCAGCTACCTGGGAGGCTGAGGCAGGAGAATCAGTTGAACCCAGGAGGCAGAGGTTGCAGTGAGCTGAGATTGCACCATTGCACTCCAGCCTGGTAACAGAGCAAGACTCTGTCTAAAAAAAAAAAAACAAATTTTTACACATCGCTTTTTGTGCTCTAAATAAGAAATATTTGCCGGCCTCCAAGGTGTGAAGATATTTTCCTTAAAATTTTATGGTTTTGACTTTTATGTTCGGGTCAAAACATAAAAGATGGACAAGATGATTTTGAAGATGAAGCCTGTAGTGGCAGACCATCCACATTAATTTGTGAGGAAAAAAACTCATCTAGTCCATGCCCTGAATAAAGACGACCAACAATTAACAGTAGAAATAATAGCCAACATCACTGACATCTCAACTGGTTCAGCTTATACAATTCTGACTAAAAAATTAAATTATAAAACTTTTCCCTCAATGGGTGCCAAAACCAGCTCAGCTGCAGACAAGAGTGGAGCTTTCAATGGAAATTTTAAACAAGTAGAATCAAGATCCCGAAGCATTTCTTCAAAGAATTGTCATGAGATAAAACATGACTTTACTTGAATGATCATGAAGACAAAGCATAATCAAACCAATGGTTCCTAAGAGGTGGGCATGGTCCAGCTAAAGCAAATCAGACTAATAAAGAGTAAAGGTAATGACAACAGCGTTTTTAGGATTCGCAAGTCGTTTTGCTTGTTGACTTACTGGAGGGCTAAAGAATGATAACATCTGCTTATTATGAGAGTGTTTTGAAAAAGTTAGACAAAACTTTAGCAGAAAAATACCAAGGAAAGTTTCACCAGAGTTATTCTCCACCACAACCATGCCCCTGCTCATTCCTTTTATCAAACAAGGGCAGTTTTGGAAGTATTTCAAAATTATTAAGCAATTGTTAGGCAACTACCTTACAGTCATGATTTGGCTTCTGACTTCATTTCCTAATCTTAAAAAAAAATCTGTAAAAGGCATTTATTTTTCTTCAGTTACTAATTAAAAATGACAGCTGGGTGTGGTGGCTCACCCCTGTAATCTCAGCACTTTGGCAGGCTGAGGTGAGTGGATCATTTGAGGTTAGGAGTTTGAGACCAGCCTGACCAACACGGTGAAACTCCATCTCTACTAAAAATACAAAAATTAGCTGGGCATGATGGCACACGCCTGTAATCCCAGCTACTCAGGAGGCTGAGGCAGGGGAATCGCTTGAACCCGGGAGGCAGAGTTTGCAGTGAGCCAAGATCGCACCACTGCACTCCAGCCTGGGTGACAGAGCAAGACTCCATCTCAAAATAATAATAATAATAATAATAATAATAATAATTGTAATTTAAAATAACTGCATTGAGGTGGTTAAATTTCCACAACCTTCAGTTTTCAGGAATGGACTAAATGGCCAGTATCATTGCTTACAAAAGTGTCCTGAATTTGGTAGAGCTTATGGTAAGAAATAAAATTTATATTTTTATTTTTATATTTTAATTCAATTTTTCACAAACTTTTCAAAATCACTTCATAGATGTCTATTGTGAAGTATAGTAATTTGACCCAGACACATTATTTCATCCTTAATTTCTTTCTTTTTCAAAATTCTTTTGAGTAAAAATCTATTTGTCCATGAATATCAAGAAATAGGGTATCACACGGTTGTTTGGAAGTCTAACTAGAAATTACTTATCAAGAACTGTAAAGGGTCTGAGATTTCACCCTACTTGCAAGCTAATAAGTTAGCCTCTCATAGTTTCATGAATGCTGGCAGAAGACATGATATTTTAGGTCAAAAATTGCATTATCTTGTCAACCAGCACCTTGGAGGAGGCCAAGCCAGGGCCACAGTTGGAGACAGTGTCCTGACCAAGAGAGATTGTGGGAGAATCATGGTGGACAGAAAGCAGGAGTAGATTGCAGCTCCCACTCAGACGGACAGAGCAGTATGTGGAGGCGTGCATCATGATCTTTTGTTCCAGAATGACTGCAGGAATATATTAGGAAAGCCAAGAGAACCCACAGACCCTCTGAAGAAAGCAGATTGCTCCCGCGGGGCTTGGGAAACACCTGGAACACACACCCCCACTAGGGAACCTGAAGGTCTAGATTATGAGAAAAGATTCTGACCTTACCTGGAGCTGAGTCAATTTAGAGAGACAAGCTAAATACAGGGGTAGAGGAAGCAGCAGGAAAAGCCTTATGGTCTCACTGGGTCCTCTAGCAAGCCATTTCTGCCCTGCCTCACAGGGATCCTTGGGGAGGATGGTCAGAGGCACTGGGTAAAGGCCACAGAGAGAAGCAAACCTCCAGCTGAACTTTGTTAACAATTTCAACCAATCGAGAAGTCTCCTGGCCAGAACTCAAGGGAGGGAGTGAATCCATTGCGCAGACTCCACAGGTGGGGAAAGAAGGAAAGCCCTAATTTCTTTTGCAGCTGGGAGGTGGGTAGCCTGGGGCAAGTTCTCGGTCCTGCTCACCCACTACCTGGAAGTAGACTTGGTGCTGTTGGTGGGGGACGTGGTGGGAATGAGACCGGCCCTTTGGGTTGTGTGGATATTGGATGAGGCCTGTCACTGCTGGCTTTCTCCCACTTCCCTGACAACCTGCATGATGCAATAGAGGCAGCCATAATCCTACTAGGAACATAACTCCATTAGTCTGAGAACTTCACCGTCATCCCCAGCAGAAGCTGCAGCAAGACCTGCCCAAGGAGAGTCTGAGCTCAGACACACCTAGCCTTGCCCCCACCTAATGGTCCTCCCCTACCCACTCTGGTAACTGAAAACAAATGGCATATACTCTTGGGAGTTCTAGGGCCCTGGCCACCACCTCTTCCTCCCCATACTACTACAGCTGATGCTCTCTTGAAAGCGCCACCTCTGGACAGGAGATCAACCAGCACAAAAATAGTGCATTAAGCAACCAAAGCCAAGGACTCTTACAGAGTCCATCTTACCCACCTGCCACCTCCACCAGAGCAGGTGCTGGTATCCATGGCTGAAAGACCCACAGATGGTTCACATCACAGGACTCTGTGCAAACAACCCCAAGTGCCAGCTCAGAGCCTGGTAGACTTGCAGGGTGACTAGATCTAGAAAAGAGATAACAATCACTACAGCTCCATTCTCAGGAAACCACATTCCTAGGAAAAGGGGAAGAGTACTACATCAAGGGAACACCCTGTGGGACAAAAGAATCTGAACAACAGCCTTGAGCCCTAGACATTCCCTCTGACAGAGCCTACTCAAATGAGAAGGAACCAGAAAACCAACTCTGGTAATATGACAAAACAAGGTTCTGTAACACACCCCCAAAAATCACACTAACTCACCACCAATGGATCCAAATCAAGAAGAAAGCCCTGATATACCTGAAAAAGAATGCAGAAGGTTGGTTATTAAGCTAATCAGGGAGGCACCAGAGAAAGACAAAGCCCAGTCTAAGGAAATAAAAAAAAATGATACAAGAAGTGAAGGGAGAAATATTCAATGAAGTAGATAGCATAAATAAAAAACAATCAAAACTTCAGGAAACAATGGACACAGTTATAAAAATGCAAAGTGCTCTGGAAAGTCTCAGCAATAGAATTGAACAAACAGAAGAAAGGACTTCAGAGCTCAAAAACAAGGTCTTCAAATTAATCCAATCTAACAAAGACAAAGAAAAAAGAATAAGAAAGTATGAGCAAAGCCTCCAAGAAGTCTGGGACTATGTTAAATGACCAAACCTAAAAATAGTTGGTGTTCCTGAGGAAAAAGAAAAATCTGAAAGTTAGGAAAACAAATTTCGGGGAATAATCCATGAAAACTTCCCTGGTCTTGCTACAGACCTAGATATTCAAATACAATAAGCTCAAATAACACCTGGGAAATTTATCACAAAAACATCATCTCTTAGGTATACTGTCATCAGGTTATCTAAAGTTAAGAGGAAGGAAAGAATCTTAAGAGCTGTGAGGCAAAAGCACCATAAAGGTTTTCCTATAAAGGAAAACCTATCAGATTAACAGCAGATTTCTCAGCAGAAACCCTATAAGCTATAGTGAATTGGGGCCTTATCTTCAGCCTCCTCAAACAACAGAATTATCAGCAAAGAATTTAGTATTCAGAAAAATTAAGCTTTATAAATAAAGGAAAGATACACTCTTTTTCAGGCAAACAAATGCTGACAGAATTCACCACTACCCAGCCACCGCAAGAACTGCTAAAAAGAGCTCCAAATCTTGAAACAATTATGGAAACACATCAAAACAAAACCTTTTTAAGGTGTAATCTCACAGGACATATAAGGCAAAAATACAATTTAAAAAAAAGATATACAGACCACAAATAGCACAATGAGTGGAATAATGGAATGGTATCTCACATCTTAATACTAATGTTGAATGTAAATGGCCTAAACGCTCTGCTTAAAAGATACAGAACAGCAGAATGGATAAGAACTCACCAATCAACTACCTACTGCCTTGAAGAGCCTCACCTAACACATAAGGACTCACATAAAATTAAGGGAAAGGGGTAGAAAAAGACATTCCATGCAAATGGACACCAAAAGCAAGCAGGAGTAGCTATTCCTCTATCAGACAAAACAAACTTTAAAACAACAGCAGTTAAAAAAGACAAAGAGGGACAT
The DNA here is from genome assembly GCF_000001405.40 of Homo sapiens. NCBI lineage: Eukaryota > Metazoa > Chordata > Mammalia > Primates > Hominidae > Homo > Homo sapiens. The sequence goes on along the minus strand of NC_000011.10, from coordinate 26,817,251 downwards.
TATATAATGATAAAAGGCCTTGTCCAACAGGAAAACATCACAGTCCTAAATATGTATGCATCTAACACTGGAGCTCCCAAATTTATAAAATAATTACTAATAGAGCTAAGAAATGACATAGCAACACAGTAATAGTGGAGGACTTCAATATTCCATTGACAGCACTAGATAGGTCATAAAGATGTAAAGTCAACAAAGAAACAATGAACTTAAACTATGCCCTGGAACAAATGAACTTAACAGACATATACAGAGCATTCTACCCAACAACTCAGAATATACATTCTATTCAACAATGCTTGGAACTTTGTTCAAGATAGACCATATGATAGGCCACAAAACAAGTCTCAATAAATTTAAGAAAATTGAAATTATATCAAGCACTCTCTCAGACCACAGTGGAATAAAACTGGAAATCAACTCCAAAAGGAACCTTCAAAACCATGCAAATACATGGAAATTAAATAACCTGCTCCTGAATGATCATTGAGTCAAAAATTAAATCAAGATAGAAATTTAAAAATTCTTCGAACTGAACGGCAATAGCGACATGACCTATCAAAACCTCTGGTATACAGCAAAGGCCGTGCTAAGAGGAAAGTTCACAGCCCTAAATGCCTATATCAAAAAGTCTGAAAGAGCACAAACAGGCAATCGAAGGTCACACCTCAAGGAACTAGAGAAACAAGAACAAACCAAACCCAAACCCAGCAGAAGAAAGGAAATAACCAAGATCAGAGCAGAAACAAATAAAACTGAAACAAAAAAATACAAAAGATAAATGAAACAAAAGTTGGTTCTTTGAAAAGGTAAATAAATTTGATAGACCATTCGCAAGGTTAACCAAGAAAAGAAGAGAAAATCCAAATAAGCTCAATTAGAAATGAAACAGGAGATATTGCAACTGACACCACTGAAATACAAAAGATCATTCAAGGCTACTATGAACACCTTTATGCTCATAAACTAGAAAACCTAGAGGAGATGGATAAATTCATGGAAAGATACAAGCCTCCTAGCTTAAATCAGGGAGAGCTAGATATCCTGAACAGACCAATAAGAAGCAGCAAGATTGAAATGGTAATACAAAAATTACCAACAAAAAAAACATTCAGGACCAGATAGATTCACAGCAGAATTCTATCAGACATTCATAGAAAAATTGGTACCAATCCTATTGACACTATTCCACAAGACAGATAAAGAGGGAACCCTCTCTAAATCATTCTGTGAGGCCAGTATCACCCTAATACCAGAACCAGGACATAACCAAAAGAGAAAACTACAGATAATATCACTGATGAATATAGATGCTAAAATCCTTAACAAAGTACTAGCTAACCAAATCCAACAACATATCAAAAAGTTAATTCATCATGATTAAGTGGGTTTCATATCAGGAATATAGGGATGGTTTAACATACACAAATCAATAAATGTGATACACCACATAAACAGAATTAAAAGCAAAAGTTACATGACCATCTCAATAGATGCAGAAAAAGCATTCAACAAAACCCTGCATCCCTTTATGATTAAAACTGTCAGCAAAATCAGCATACAAGGGACATACCTCAATGTAATAAAAGCCATCTATGATAAACCCACAGCTAACATAATATTGAATGAGGAAAAGTTTAATGTATTCCCTCTGAGAACTAGAACAGACAGGGATGCCCAATCTCACCACTTCTCTTCAACATAGTACTGGAAGTTCTAGCCAGAGCAATCAGACAGAAATAAATAAAGGCCATCCAAATTGGTAAACAGGAAGTCAAACTGTCACTGTTTGCTGATCTGATTGTTTACCTAGAAAACCCTAAAGACTCCTCCAGAAAGCTCCTAGAACTGTTAAATGGATTCAGCAAAGTTTCCAGATACAAGATTAATGTACACAAATCAGTAGTTCTTCAATATACCAACAGTGACCAAGCTGAGAATCAAATCAAGAACTCAATTCCTTTTATAACAGCTGCAAAAAAAAAAAAAAAAAAAAAAAAAAACAACTTAGGAATATACCTAACCAAGGAGGTAAAAGACCTCTACAAGGAAAACTACAAAACACTGCTGAAAAATATCATAGATGGCACAAACAAACGGAATCACATCTCATGCTCATGGACAGGTAGAATCAATATTGTGAAAATGACCATACTGCCAAAAGCAATCTACAAATTCAATGCAATTCCTATCAAAATACTAGCATCATTCTTCACAGAACTAGAAAAAAAAATCCTAAAATTCATATGGAACCAAAAAAGAGCCTGCATATCCAAAGCAAGACTAAGCAAAAAGAACAAATCTGGAGGCATCACACTACCTGATTTCAAACTATAGTATAAGGCTATAGTCACCAAAATAGCATAGCACTGGTATAAAAATAGGCACATAGACCAATGGAAGAGAACAGAGAACCCAGAAATAAACACAAATACTTACAGCCAACTGATCTTTGACAAAGCAAACAAAAACATAAAGTAGGGGAAAGGACACCCTTTCAACAAATTGTTCTGGGATAATTGGCAAGCCATATGTAAGAGAGTAAAACTGGATCCTCATCTCTCACCTTATACAAAAATCAATGCAAGATGGACCAAGCACTTAAATCTGAGAACTGAAACTATAAAAATTTTAGAAGATAACATTGAAAAAAAAGCCTTCTAGACATTGGATTAGGCAAGGAATTCATGACCAAGAACCCCAAAGCAAATGCAATATAAACAAAGATAAATAGCTGGGACTTAATTAAACTAAAGATCTTTTACATGGCAAAAGGAACAGTCAGCAGAGGAAACAGACAACCCACAGAATGGGAGAAAATCTTCACAATCTACATCTGACAAAGGACTAATATCCAGAATCTGCAATAAAGTCAAACAAATTAGCAAGAAAAAAAATCCCAACAAAAAGTGGGCCAAGGACATGAATAGACAATTCTCAAAAGAAGATATACAAATGGCCAACAAACATGAAAAAATGCTCAACATCACTAATGATCAGGGAAATGCAAATCAAAACCACAATGCAATACCACCTTACTCCTGCAAGAATGGCCATAATAAAAAAAAAATAGATGTTGGTGTAGATGCAGTGAACAAGGAACACTTATACCCTGCTGGTGGGAATGTAAACTGGTACAACCAGTATAGAAAACAGTGTGGATATCACTTAAGGAACTAATAGTAGAACTATCATTTGATCCATCAACTCCACTACTGGGTGTCTATCCACAGGAAAAGAAGTCATTATATGGAAAAGATACTTGCACACACATGTTTGTAGCAGCACAATTCACAATTGCAAAAACGTGTAACCAACCCAAATGCTCATCAGTCAATGAATGGATAACAAGAACTGTGGTATGTATATATGATGGAATACTACTCAGCCATAAAAAGGAATGAATTAATGGCATTTGCAGTGACCTGGATGAGATTGGAGATTATTATTCTAAGTGAAGTAACCAGGAATGGAAAATCGAATGTCATATGTTCTCACTTATAACTGGGAGCTAAATTATGAGCATGCAAAGACATAAGAATGACACAGTGGACTTTGGGGACTCAGGGGAAAAGGGTGGGAAGGGGGTGAGGAATAAAAGATGACAAATTAAGTGTAGTGTATACTGCTCAGGTGATGGGTGCACCAAAATCTCACAAATCACCACTGAAGAACTTATGTAACCAAACACCATTTGTTCCCCAGTAACCTATGGAACTATGAAAAATTTAATAAGAAAAAAACAGCATTATTCTTGTCATAGCATGTAGCATAAACTTTATGTTTGTATTGGTTCCCCTTGCCCTCAAACTTCCATGAGAATATAATAGAATAGCCTAGGTTGATCCTGTGTATGTAGTGGGTTTGCATCACAGTTGAGAAGTCTTGAGTTTAGGAAACCTCATATACTGGACTCCAAGCAAATCTGCCTGACCTGTGCCTTAGAGAAAGACATTATCTTTATTGTACGTGACAGTGAATAAACTTGCCATTTGCTCTGGAGAAAAACATTATTTTATCTAAGGCTGTAGCAATACCCTTGAAAAAAATAATCCAAAGTAAAGGCAAGATGTGGAGAAGCATGGGAAATTGTATCTCAACATTAGTATATTCTCTTCTTTCACATTTTGATATAAAATAATATAAAATACAAGGGATATTAATAGACTGAATTATTGAGACTCAAATTGTTGTAGTGGAACCTCCCTCATGCTACCTCAGTCTCCACCATTGACAATAAAGTCAGATACAGATTTTACATTAATTTTAGCATTTTTCAGAAGTTTATACTCTCTATTCTTATTCCTTCAACACAGTTAAACCAAATTTTTGCTCTAGATCAAGGGAAAGACTAATTATGTAGCTAAGACCATTGCTGTAGGTCCCAAGGACATTCTCATTTAAGTAGACGTTGATGCATTGATTTGTAGTGTCATTCCATTTGAAAGCTCAGACATCAAATGAGGAAGAGATTTGCCAAACGCCCTTCAACTGAACTCTGTATTTTTTTTTCTAATCCACTTCAGCCAAAGGATAAATTGACATCCTTTTTGATGTAAGCACGGAGTAGAAAGTACATCAGCCTGAGATCCAGGAGACTCATGCTGTAATCTCATTTCTTCCATTAGTTTGCTGTATAAGTTTGGACAAGGACGTAGGGCTTTAGGTAGCACAGAGTAAGAATCACTTACAAACAAATCAAGCCAAAGAAAATAAAAGAAGTTTTGCCAATTTCAAATTAAATATCTGACTTCAAATTGCAACATAGATTTTTTCTTTAATAAGCAGAATAATATTCTTCCATGAGAGAAGTAGACCACTTTACTATAGTCCTTTTTTAAAACAGAGAGAGACCACAGTGATAATTGTAGATATTCCAAGATGTTTTCTAAACTTGCAACTTACATTGCAATGATTCAATCTTTTATGCCGTAAATATTAAGCCACAAAGAAAATGTCACAGAAGTTTTGAATCAGAAAAATTCTCAAATTTTGTATTTTCTATAATGTGTTTGATTTTTTTCTTCAATTTGAAAATATGATACTTCTTATTTCAAAATGAGGTTGTTTATTTTGAGCATCTGTTTTTCCTTCTCATTGTTACAGTCACCATGCTGGATTGGCCTAGAAGATTAAACCATTAATCTCTTAATTGACCTCTAAGTTTCTGGCTTGCTTTCACCCTCAATCTTCTTAAAACTTAAACTACTTCTTCCTATTGGATCAGGTTTAATCTTCTTAAAACTTAAACCACCTCTGCCTATTGGATCAAGTTTAAACTATCCATCCTAGAATTTCTGACCCAGGATTACCTTGCCTACTCAAGTTTTACCTTTCTCTATGCAAAAAGGGAAGTCTCATTCCAGTCCATTCACTTATTTATGCTTTGAATATAACATTTTCATTGCAACCTCCATGCTTTTGTTTAATTAAAACTCTCCTCTGTTATTTCCATCTATCTGACTTCAACCTTTTTCTTAAGGCTCAGATCTATAACTATTTCCTCTATGAAGCATTCCTTGATTTTTTTTCATATTTTAGCAAAAATCTTTTAACCCTTTTATTAATGTTTATAAGACTAGGACCCTAATCTAAGCAACAAGTGTTTCTATTTTTTGTTTTCTTATTTCTCCACCAGCTAGATTTTTTTTGAAAGCACGAACTTAATTGATTTATTTATCACTCCTCAAAGGCTTTGACTCATCTAGTTTTTCTTGATTTGATTGGTTGAATTGTGACTTGATGTGCCTGTTCTTTCATGCTTTCATCATTCTTCACCATAACCAAGTTGAAATATTCCTTTGTTGTTCTTCTACATCGTGGAAGTGGTGCAGAGTGATGCAGCTTTAGTGAGCTGGACCAGGAGTTGTATCTGAAGTTTACACTGATATATTCACTTATAGTATCAATCACCTAGATGAGAATTCAGCAGAGTGTTTTAGATTTAGCAGTTTGAGAGTTATTAATTAGCTTTAAAATTGCAATTTCAGTGGAGCGGTAGGGGCTAAATTCAGATTTGGTTAACCAGAAAACTAGTAGAATATCTATTAATCTCTTCATACATTATTCCATTCAGTGAACTCATTTTTCAACTGAACTATTATAATAGTCTCTGTTCTTCTGATCTCAAGTCCTGTCTCTTATTGAACCTTTCACAACATTATTTGGATAGTATTTATAAAACAAAAATTCACCATGTCACTTTTATGCTTGAAACCAATTGATGGCCTCTTACCGGGTGCAGGAGAAGATCTTAGCTTGATTTAAAGAGATTTAAGATTTATAATTTAATTGTAATATATGGAACTTATTTGAATCCTCATTCAAGCAAAGAAAATATTTAAAATAAAATAATTTCTTGACAAATTGGGGGGCATTTGAACACTGACCAGGTATTGGGCAATAAGAAATTGATTTTAGTTTTCTGAAATCTGCAGATGCTATTTCAGATTTTTTGAGTCCTTGACTTTTAGAAACATTTACTAAAATGTGTACAAATAAAATGATATGTCAAGGACTGGCTTCATTTTAATTTGTTTTTTTGGGAAGGGTAAGCAAATGCAGATAAAGATGAAACAAGATTGTCCAGGTAATTATTGAACCTGGGAAATGGGAACACATACTTTTCCCAGTGTTGAATATATTCAAAATTTTCCTAAATTTTCAAATCCCAGATGAAAAAAAACTAAAACTGTTGTCAAAATAAGGACTGATTTTCTTAAAAGTAAATTTTAAAAACAAATGGATAAAAAGATATAATTACTTGGATGTGAAAAGTTTTAAAGAGTTTTACTATTTAAAGAGATTGAGCCCTCTAGTCTACAGTCCACTCTAGAGTAGAGCAGAATGGGTCAGAGAGGCGACCTGGCTGGTGGATAGCCACTTTCATTGAGACACCCAAGTATATGACCCTCCCAGGTCTCTGGCATCCTATATGTATCTTCTTTTTTCTTTCTTTTTTTTTTTTTTTTTGGCAGAATAGTGAATATTTATTTATAAAGAGAAAGTAAATTATAAAAACTAAAGAAATGGAAAAGCTGGCAATTATTGCCAACATCACAAAATCCGTTCGCTCTTATTGTGCAAGCTGGAGTGAGATGGTGCTATCTCGGCTTACTGCAACCTCCACCTCCAGATTCAAGTGATTCTCCTACCTCGGCCTCTCTAGTAGCTGGGATTGCAGGCATGCACCACCACACCAGGCTAATTTTCTGTATTTTTAGTAGAGATGGGGTTTCTCCATGTTGGCCAGGCTGGTCTCAAACTACTGACCTCAGGTGATCTGCCCACCTTGGCCTCCCAAAGTGCTGGGATTACAGGCATAAGCCACTGTGCCTGACCGAAAAAAGAATGCTTTTACACTGTTGGTGAGAATGTATATTACCTCAACCATCGTGAAAGACAGCGTGGCGATTCCTTAAAGATTTAGAACCCAAAATACCATTTGACCCAGCAATCTCATCACTGGGTATATACCCAAAGGAGTATAAATCATTCTGTTATAAAGATACATACATGTGTATGTTCATTGCAGCACTATTCACAATAGCAAAGACGTGGAATCAACCCGAATGCTCATCAAAGATAGACTGGATAAAGAAAACGTGGTACATATACATCATGGAATACTATGAAGCCATAAAAAGAAAAAAGATAATGTCCTTTGCAGGGACATGGATGAAGCTGGAAGCCATTATTCTCAGCAAACTAATGCAGGAACAGAAAACCAAACACTGCATGTTCTCACTTATAAGTGGGAGCTGAACAATGAGAACACATGGACACAGAGAGGGGAACAACACTTACTGGGGCCTGTCATGGGAGTGTGGGGGGTGGAGAGCATTAGGGAAAAGAGCTAATGCATGCTGGGCTTAATACCTAGGTATCTTCTTTTTTCAATGGAATCATAGCCTAGCCCTGTCCAGAATTACTTCAGAATGCTAGCCAAAGACCTGTAAGCTACAACTTAGAAGGCCTCAAGGCTTCAAAATCTCCCTCTTACAACGAATTGAGCATTTTCATACCTTGGTTGTGTGAATGCATATTGGTAAAATTACTTTAAATGTATACATCTTTTGACCAAGGAATTACACTTCTTATAATTTATACTAATTAAATGATAGCACATGTTCCACCAGGCGTATATAGAAGATGTTCATCAAGGCATTATTTGTACTATTGAGTAACGGTCAACTAGTTAAATGACCAATGCATTATGAAGAATAAAAAGTAGATGATTACAGTATTTATAGGTAAGACATATGTTAAAATAGATTTGTGTGCAGTATGAGTGTGCATGTGTATATCTGTTTCCATACATGATAGAACTACATTTTAAAATGTGGGTCAGTGGGTTTCCATTCCCCTCTTCCTACACACACACACACAGAAACACACACACACACACACACACACACTTTCTTGTACCCAATTGTCTTCTCCTAGACCAAAAAATTAACATTGCCTTTCTCTAAACAGACTTTCAGACCCACAAGACTTAGGATCAATTATTTTTTTAAACTCAGGACAGATTTAAATCTCCCTTACAAATAGTAATTATAAATAGTAACAAAATACTTTTCACTGGTTGACTTAGGTTGCCCAAAGAAGATCCCTATCATTGGCAGCTTGTATGTTCACTGGAAGCTTAGAACTACTAGAAGTGGTTCTGGTAGATCCTCAGAAACATGGGTCAGCAATTTCTGTGTGGACAAGAGTAGAGAAGAGATCTGAAGAAACTGCGAAAAAGATGCTGCTTTTATATCCCATTTTAACTTCAGAGTTGAGAGTTGATAGTAGAGTGCCCTACCCAGATGGGAAAAGAGGTGAAAAAACACATCATGACCAGAATGCTTCTTTGGTGTGCAAAACAACTAGCTTGGGGAAGATGTTGTGATGTAAGGGGTTTCCAGGACTTGGCTAAGCTGAAAAGAGATTATTATTTTAGAAATCTTGAAGGACAGGAAGGGAGAGTAAGGGAATGGGCCCCAGTAGTCAGGGAGTTAACAAATAACAGAATAGAGCACTGTGTTTGAAAGACAAGTTAAGACTTTACGTGAGTAAGAAAATAGAGTTTCTGATCCAGAAGAATCAGAAGCATGATTCTTGATGGAGCTGGTCAAGTCAGGCAGAGTAGGTAGGATAGTAGCCAAAAGAATAATGCCAGGATGGGAAAGCAGGGCTTGCTTGGAAGGGGTGGTTTTATGAAGGGGAAGATAGGAAGGGAGATTTTAAAAGCTCTACCTTAATTCATAGGTGATTGATTCCTCTTTTCTACTGTTTAGGTCATGACCTATGTTTCAGTCATGGTAATTGGATTTTTGCTTGGGTCTCAAGATTGTATTTTTACAACTTCTTTTGGTATTTGTGACATTGACTTGTTTTTGTATCCTTTAGTATCATTCTTGATAAGCTAGTGAGCCTCTCAGCCTCTTTAGAACCCTGACCTGATCTTTTTCAAGGGGCCAAAATTCTATCCTTGAGTCTCAATCTCAGGGCCTGAATATGCAAGGAATAATAATAAATGAAAAAAAAAAACTTGAGAGAAAATTATTTTCCTGCTAAGGGAAATAATAGGCATCTGCTGCCGGAAACTTTCCATATTATTTAATTTTAAAATGTCTATTGTGACTCTTCACCATCAGTCTTTCTTTCTGGACCGCTTGGGCTATGTTAGGTCTTGATGCCTGGCTAACACTTTATAAATGCCATCATATATCTTGGATACTATATGTTATGGGTTAAATTGTGAACTCCAAAAGTTATATTTTGAAGTCCTAACTGCCAGTACCTCAGAACCTGACTTTACTTGGAAATAGGGTAGTTGTAAATACAATTAGTTAGAATGAGGCCATACTGGACTAAGGTGGGTTCCTAATCCAGTATAACTGATATTCTTACATAAAAAAAGGAAACTTGGACAGAGAGACACACATACACAGAGAATGACATATGATGATTGGAGTTATGCTTTCACAAGTCAAGCAACCACCAGAAGCTAGGAGAGAGATCTGGAAATCATTCCCCAGTGCCTTCAGTGCGATCTTGGCCTTGATGACAACTTGATCTCAGACTTCTACCTTCCAGAACTGTGAGAAAATAAATTTCTGTTATTTAAGCCAATCGTTTTGTGGTACTTTGTTATGGCAGCCCCAGCAAACTAATACACTATCTTCCAAGTGCCTGCCTGGAATTCTTCCTTGTGTTATATACACATTTGCACTTTTCTCTAGTCCGGTGTTATGTAACAAAATTTTTGGTCATGACTAAATGTTCTATGTCTTCTATCCAGCTAGTAATCGCTAGTCAAACATCACTATCGACCACTTGAAATGTGGCTACTGCACCTGAGGAACTAAACGTTTTGTTTTATTTAATTTTAATTAGTTTAAATTTACATTAAATGGCTACACATGACTAGCAGTTACCATATAGGATACCACAGCTCTAGAACTTGTCCTAGCCCACTAGGAGTGTCTACTTCTACGTCCTGATCTTACCCAATTTGCATTTAGCCTTCTGTGATCAGCAGTATTTTAAGATCAAATAAGCCATGAATCCCCAAATTTATCATTCAGGCTGCTAAACCCTATTGGTAAGTCTTTACTGAGTGGTTGGATTTCAACCAAACTGAAGGAAACAGCTAGCTTTTGGAGGATGTTGGATTCTAGTCCATACCCTATTTTCTTTCACTAGTCACTTTGATTCTGGTGAATCTGCTATCAATTTTTCCAGTTGTGCTAGTGGTTTTAATATAAATTATGACTATGGATTAAGAACTAGACAGTAATTACTGATGAATTTCAGCTTGGTCATGTGACCAGCCATAGAAGAGATTACTCATTACTTCAGTGACCTTAGTTAACACTGAACTGGTGCCCAGAATATACAAGGCTCTAACTCATATTTCCAATTATGTATGACTTTCACGACTCAAGCAAGCAGTATAAAGACTTTTACTCTTCCTTTATACTCTTATTTTTCTGATTCTTGTCACTAGCAAGTTAAGTTGTTTTTGTTTTCCTATGGCTTTTTTTATTTTGTACTAAAGCTTTCCCTAACATTTTCACTGGCTGAGACATTTATTCCTATTATTTGAAAAGTTTGCTCAATTAAGTTTTGTATTATAATGACAAATATGCACACATCTTTTTAATGAGACTGGGAATTTGTGCAACTGTATCATAATTTCAAAAGAAATCAGGCTTTTAATCATTGATGCCTGAACTAGAGTATCTATCAAAAAGTCTTAGGAAATTATTTCTTGACCCTTTACTCTGTTTTTTAACTTTTACATTGTTTTACATTTATAATCTTATTTTTTCCATGTTACATAATTTTGAAAATTTGTTTTTCATTTGAGACATCCTGGGTGCATTTGATTTCTTTGTGAGGAAATTGTTTAATATTTTATTTTAAAAGAATGAAACGGATTTCATTCTTGGAATGGATTAAAAGAAATTTGAAATGAATGTGCTGCATGAATGTACTTTTTTATCAGCTTAAAATAATATAACTAAAATGAAAAATAATGATAACATCAAATGCTGGTGAGGATGCAGAGAAACCAGATCACTTATACATTACTGGTGGGAATGGAAGATAGTGTGGCTACTCTGGAAAACAGTTTGGCAGTTCATTTCAAAACTAAAAATAAACTTACCCTGTGGATACTCAGTTGCACTCTTGCGCATTTATCAGATAAAATGTTAGACTTAATGTCACACAGGAATTTATACACAATGCTTATAGTAACTTCATGATAGACCTTAACTAGAAACCACTGTTAAATAAACTATGGTATATTAGTACCATGAAATACAACTCAGCAATAAAAAGGAACAAACTATTGATATGTGCAACAACATGGAAGAACCTCCAGAAAATTATACTGACTGAAAAAAGCCAATGTTAAAAGGATGTATACTGCACAATTCTATTTATGTTTTATTTATGAAATAACACAAAGATAAAGAACAGATGGTTCTTAGTGATTGCAAGCATTAGTGGTTAGGAAGTGAGGGACAGGGGGCAGGGAAGGAATGCACACAATGGGGGATGGGGAGCCACATAGTGGGAGAGAGGAGATGGGTGTGGCTATAAAGGGTACTAGGAGGGTGTTAATGGAACAATTTACTATGTTGATTGTTGTGGTGGCTTCACAGGCTATACTTGCAATACAATTGCATAGAGCTATACTCTCCCCCTGACAGACACACACTTATAAGTTTATGTATAACTGATGAAATCTGAATGCACGCTATGGATTGTAGCAATGTTTATTTCTTGGTTTTGAAATAATATTATAGTTGTGCAAGTTGTTAACACTGTACAAATATGGAACAAGAGTGTGGGGACTTCTGTGTACATTTATTTGCAACCTCCTATGAATTTATAATTTTTTCAAAATAAAAAGATCTGAAACCATTCTATTGTAACAATTTTTCTTCATTCCCCATAATACTTATGCTCATATCCTTGACCCTATCTAAAATAAGGTAGGGTCTTATTTTACTCCTTTTTTGATCTAAAGAATAGAAAACAAGCAAGTACTATTGCATTTGGTGTATGTGATTTTATTTATTTATTAACATTTAATTATTATATAAACAATACATAGTATAGTAAAAATAAATTCAGACATTGTAAAACAGTAAAGTATAACTTTTTCTCTCAAGAATTTAGCTTAATTTTCTAAAAATTACACTCTAAACAATTTCTTATTTGTTATTGAATACCTAGTATACATGGTTTTCTAAACCTGGACAATCCATGGGGAGTAAGGCAATCTGTCTTTGCTGAAAAACAGGAACTTAACAGTAAACAAAGAAATAAATAAGGTAATTTTAGATCATGAAAAAACATGTAAAGAAAATAAGAAAATATAATACAGAGTAATATGTGAAGCCAGGGGAGAAGCACTGAGTAGAATGGCTGAGGAGAGCCTCTTTCAGGAGATGACATTTGTCCAAGATCTGAATGACAAAAGGAGCCAGCCACGTGAAGATCTGGAATTAGCTGTGTTTCCAGTAGCAAAAATAGCAAGTATGAAGGCCTGAGATGGGATTGAACCTGGCATGTTAGAAAAGGGAAGAAGTCCATGTGGTTATTGTATCATGAAGGGTAGGTTTGGGAGATGAGGAATCAATGACAAGATCACTCAAGTCTGTGCAGACATGATAAACAGTGTGGATTCTTATAAGTGAAATGGAAAGCTGCCAGAGAGTTGTAAGAAGGAGAATATCATGAGATTTTCACTGTTAAAAGATCAATTTGGTTACTGTGTGAAGAATGGATAATACAGAGGTGAGAAAAAAGGAGCATGGTGGAAGCAGGGTGACAAGTTCTGTCTAATAGTAAAGATAATGGCAGTTTAGACCAGAGAGACAGCAGTCATAAAATTATTGTGGTAATTGTAACAGTCCAGGCAAGAAACATTAAAGGTGGATTTAAGGCAGTAGCAGTGGACTTTAGTTGGAGAAATATATAATTATATATATCCAACTTTTAACTAATTAGATATGGAAAGTGGGTGAGAGAGAGTCAAGTTTAGGATGACTCTCAAGTGATTGACTTGGATGACTGGGTAAAGGATAATATTATTAACCACTGTCGAAAATATAGAAAAAAGAGCATTTTGTAATCTGAGAGGGCTAATTGCAAGTTTCATCTTGGATATGTGAATTGAGGTCCCTGGAGGACAAGCAGATAGCAGTGGATGGTTGGCAATAGATACATAGATCTGAAATGCAAGAAGAGATAAAGACTTAAAATATAAATTTGAAAATTATTACATAAGAACATGTCTGTGTGTCCAAGAAGAGATCACCATCCTTGATACTGTGGCATATATACATTGAGAGTAATGAAAATATGGGTAATATTTAAATTATATTCTTACTACAACTACAGAAGTTATACATATACACACATGTACATTCTGTTTTCATTCAGGGCTTTTTAATTTACCCTGGACTTGAGACTAGCAACTTTTTGTGATCAAAATGCCAATAAAATTCTGAGATTTCTTGGGCCATACTGGCCAAAGTAATCTACATATTCAGTGCAATCATTATCAAAATACCAATGACATTCTTCACAGAAATAGGAAAAATAATCCTAAAATTTATATGGAACCAAAAAAGGCCCAGAATAGCCAAAACAATCCTAAACGAAAAGAACAAAGTTGGAGGCATATTATCAGACTTCAAATTATACTACAAAGCTATAATAAGCAAAACAGCATGGTACTGGCATAAAAACAGACATATAGACCAATGGAACAGAATAAAGAACTTTTAATGCACTTTCAAGCATCCTATTCTTTCTTTCATAGCACTTATCAGAGTCTTAAATTGTTTAATTACTTGTATAATTATCTATTTTTTCCTGTAATTCTTAGTAGTCTATAATATTCATGTAATTAGGAATCAAATCTGCTTTGCTGTTCCCTGAACAGTAAACTAGCATAATCTGTGGTGGTGTAGATAGATGGATAGATAGATAGATAGATAGATAGATAGATAGATAGATAGATAGATATTATTTATATTTGAATAAATAAATGAACAACTTTGTAGAGTTTCTTGCATTACTGGCCTAAAGTCAAGACCACTGGTATATAGTCCTTGTTGTGAAACCAATGGGCCATTTGAACTAGAGCAAATATTCCCCATTTTGGTTTTCTTATATGCACAAAGAGTAAGTGAGAATGTGTGTTTTCCGTTTCTTTTTATCTCCAAAAAGCCAAACTCTATCCAGCAATCATGATTGAAGCCTCAAAATATATTGAATAGGTCTGTAATGATGGAGGCATGTGTTTATTCGTATCATTGTGATGTTTGTTTAAGTTGTTACTATTTTTGTATATTTAGAAGCAAATTTAGGATTATATCTTCTGTCTCTGTGTCTCTCTTCTGCAAGACGATTTAATAAGATAAAACTCATACCTATTCATCACAAACAAACTGGATTTGTATGTGTGTGTGTTTGTATATCATCTAGGCCCCCATCTTGAAGGGCACCTTTGCCAACAGGATAAATTTTACCATGAGATTTAAATGTAACACCTCTCTAGTCTGTGTAATTCATTCTTTGCATATAAAGTCAGAGGCTATTGATTTTATTGGGATCATAAAAATTATAAAATAATCCAAATGGTTATTTTATAGGCCATTAGTGGTCCCAGCAATGAGAAATCTGTCATGTCTATTAATCTCTCTAAAAGATGATATAATAAAATGTACCCCCTAGTCTTTATAAGTAAACATTCAAACAGGTCAACACCAGTCAGAAGAGAACACACTTCTTATAAATTACTAATGTTTTTCTTCCACTACATTTCCATTTCTATGTGTCGTATCTTCTATCTTACCAAAGTCTTGCTTTCTTCCTTTCTGTTATAGATCACAGATGTTGGGCTAATAGTTTTATAAACTTGTCCTTACTTCTTGCTTTAAAATTGGTTCCACATTTACAGGACATTTTTGGAAACATGTTTGAACTCAAATATTTAGAATTGTTGCTAATCTCAGAACCAAACAGGGCTCTCCCATTAAAGGACTAGGAGACTTTTTTTTTTTCATTAGGTTCTGGAACCTGGTTGGATCTACTCCCCAAGAAGCTTGAGATCATTTATCCTAAAATTGTCCAGTAATTAAGAAAACTAGACATGGGGAAGTCAGACTTCCCACAGAAAGGGGCATTAGCAATAAATGGTGGGTCTCTGGCTTTGCAACTGAACCACTTAGGCTCAGCTACCAGAATTCGAGGTAAACACATGGCATTTTTCCTCTCTCTCTTCCACTTCGGACCTGAGTAGGGGAGCAGGTTAACCAGCAAAATGTAGGATAAAGAGCGTGCATTTTGAAGCCAGGTAGAACAACTTCAAATCTTGGTTCCCCATTTTCTGCTGTGAGCTTTAATGTCCTTATCCACATATTGAGGACAATGTTATATACCTTCACCAGGATGTTGTAAGATTAAACAGGATGATGTCCTATATACTGCTCCTTGGACAATAATAAATGTTTACTAAAGTGTTGCTGTTACTATTATTACTATGTATGGACCCCAAGATGCAACTTTATAAAGAAAATCATAGTTTGATGACATGTATGTAGTAAGGAGAAACAAAGGGTTTTTTTTTTCCAACTGTAGGGTCATTGCTTCTTTGTTCTATGTTCTTTGTTCTATCCTTGCCAGGTGTTATGCCATCTCTTTCTCTCAACTACTTGCTTAATAAGTAATATGCATGCAGTCATGCCATTAGTAAAGGAGTGAAGTCAGGAATTAATCTAGACTTCTTAAGTTATAGTTCTATGCCCTTTCCACTTTGACATAGACTTCTTTTCCTGCTAACTAAAGAGAACAATTGTAGCTATCCACAATTTCAAATGTAATGCTTCACAGTATATACTGAATAAACATTTGCAACACAGAAGATGATAGAGGCATTATCTAAGGAAGGGGAAAAAAGATGAGTAAATTTAGGGAGACTGATAACAAGTTCAGTGTTGGAAATCAGTATGAGATTCTCTGAGCTATATGCGTGGAGATAGCTATAGTTTGTTTGCAATATGAAATTAAAAGTCAGGTCAGTGAAAGGGACTTCATATTCAAATTAGGTTGTCACTGAAGCTGCATTGGTTGTTGAGACAATAAAGAGAGGCACCTGCAATATGTAGATTCTGAATTAGTTTGCATGTGGACACACATATATATCACTGTAGGTAAATAGAAATTACAGAGGAACATAGGTGATACATAACTATCAGGCTTGCTTTGCATAGCAAATGAGTTTTCTAAAAAAAATTAAATTTGCTATGTGCTAAGAAGCAATATGTATAATAGTTCTCAGTTTCAACTCTGAAGCCAATCTGCTGGGTGAGCATTCTGTCACTTACTAGCTTGATCAAGTTACTCAGGTTTGATGTGCTTCAGTTTCCTTATCCATTAAATGGGGCTAATAATAGGGCCTATCTGACAGATGGCTGGGAGGATTTAATTAAATATTTTATCTTTACAAACTGTTTAAACAATTTCTGACACATTATAAGATCTCAGTAAATATTAACTGTGATTGTATGGGAATGTGAACAAAATGCTTTGGGTGGATCGCAGAGAGAAAATTAATTTCATCCTGGAAAAGTGAAGACAGGCTTTTCTTTTTCTGGACTCCCCTTTTTTGACCATTGTATCTGCCTGCCGCACTCACATTTGTACCTGAAAATCTACCCAGATGGCATCCTTTTCTGTAAGGCCTCCTTTTCTTTATCAGAATGAATCACTCTATTCCCTAAGCTGCCTCTGGATTCTGTATCTTACCACCATCTGTTGAATGGATGTTATCTGCTTGCCTGCTTGTTTCCTCTATTAGACTGAAATGGACTTTCTTGAGTTATCAACTTTGTATCTGTAAAACCTACCCCAGTACTTGGTGTGGAGTAGCTGATTATTTCTGCACATTGAACTGTTAAAATTACATTTATACTAAACCTTAAAAATCCAAAACCCTGGCAAATTTATAATTCTTAATTATAATAAAAGTAGTGATGACTACTTACTATGATCAGACATTATGCTAAGGATTTTGCATGCAATATTGTTTTTCAACCTTGTGGAGGATATTTCTTCCTTTCCCTTTCATTCTTAATATTGGTATAAATGCCACTTATGTTGAATATTGAAGATTAGTCTTTGAACATGTTAGGAGCATATAGTATAATAAATGTAGAGAAAACTACAGAGGAAAAGTAGAAAAAAATTACCTGAGGACTTATCCTGTTGCCTATTCAAGCATATTTCATTATAAACTATTAGGCCAGAATTATGCCAAAATAGATATGTAGATCAATAGAATAGAAGAGAATGTCCAAAAAAGAAAGTTTTTTTTCAAACAATTAAATTCAGACAACTGGATAATTATGTGAAACAAATAAATAAAAGCTAGAATCTTATAGCATTTCTTACAGTAAAATAAATCTCAGATAATTTGAAGACTGAAATCTTCTTATTGAAAAATAAAATATATGTGAATATATTACTATTTAGGGCTTGAAAAAGGCCTTTTTTCTAAGCTTATGACAAAGGCAGAAATTGTATTTTAAAATTGAAATTGATAGAATAAAATGCATCACTTCCATATAACACCATATAACAGAAACACGGAATACAAAGATGTCAAAACTATATTAGCAATATAAAGTTGGAAAAAATGTTTGCAGCAGCTACAATAAGAAAAGGATTAATAACCTTAACTTACAATAAACTCTTTAAAATAAATAAGAAAAAGACCAGCAGTTAGGGAGGCAGAGGTGGGAGGATTGCTTGAGCCCAGAAGTTGAGACCTGCCAGGGCAACATAATGAGACCCTGTCTCCACAAGAAGAAAAAAGAAAAAGAAAAAGAGTCACGCAAACAAACAAAAACAAAATCAATTAATGACATAACTAGGCAGCTCTCAAAAGAAGCAATATCAATCACTAATAAAGATATTTAACTAACAGGTAATGAAATATGTGAAATTAACTCATATTGAGATACCAATTTAAAATTATCAGATTGAGCATAATTTTTTAACAGAAAACAAGTACAATCTATTGTTATTAATAGTAGATGTATAGGAAAATAGGTTGTAACATAAATTGCAAATGAGTTGTAACATAAAAAATGTAACCTTATGCACCTTTTTGGAGAGTCGTTTGGCAACAGTTTATGTAACGGAAACTTACAAAAATATCTATTCACTTAAATACAGCAACTCTACACCTAGAAGTTTATACTAAGAAAGGAATCGGACTTGTGTGAAAATGTAAATGTACAAAGATTACAGCCCAGCAGTCTTTATTTACAATACTGCTATCTATCAGGGGCTTTGGAATAAATTCTAGAGTACCATTATATTGGTTAGTTATCAGCCATTAAAAATGAAGGCCTGTATTCGCTGACATGAGGATGACCATAATATACTGTAAATTATGAAAGCTGTTCTTAAAATATCACACTTACCATGATCTGAGTAAGAAATATATGTGTACATTAGGGAGAAGTAGGGAGTTCATATCAAAGTGTAAAATATGTATATAAAGATTATGTCTAGGGGTCATTTTAGGTGATTTTGATTTCTCTCATACAGGTAGATGATAGGTAGATAGATAATAGATAGATGATATAGATAGCTATAGATAGATACATACATACATAGATACATAGATAGATACATAGAAAGATAAGATAGATAGAGAGACAAGAGAGAAAGACTAAGCAGCTTATGTCGCCTCTGTTTCCTGTTTCTAAAAACAACTAGACAGGTTTGCTCTCTCTTCTACAGGTAATTAGAGGGGAAACCTGACATATATGTATATATGTATATATGCATATATGTATAAATGACTATGTTGTCTAGAATAAATTAATTGTACATTTATAATTGCAACATTATTGTTATTGTGAGAGAAGAAATAAATTACCCAATAACCAAACAGATTTTAAAAATACACTCTTGTAGTTTCCAGTGGCATTAGCTAAGTACTTGGAAATGGTCATTTTTAAGGCCTCCCTGTGTGTAATTAGAAACACAGCTGCTAAGCCTTGCACATGAATAAGTCTAAACTCTAGATTTTGTTTTCCTATTTTTTTCTTCTGTTAATTTTCCAGAGTCTAGAGAAAATAAAACACCATGAAGTATTAGCCCATGGAAAAATGTTCAGGGGAAAAGGCCATTTTCAAAACCTTCTTTTTAAATATAATTTGTTTTGTTCTACAACCTAGTCATTCAAAACACCCATGATTTGCAGTCTAGAATTCCAGATTTATTTCACATGGAATGCCAGATACCTTTTCCAGATGTGTTGTTTTTGAGGCTGTATTATTTATCACAGGTGTAAGGTTTTCCATCTCTAATTAGCCGAAGGGGAGAGAGTAAACCTGTCTAATTCATTTTAGAAACAAGATACAGAAGCTACATAAGCTGCTTAGTCTCAAAATAGACGTGCTAGCAGGTGCCTATAATTGACCTGTTACATTGACACATGTCATTTGGGCAGAATTTTGTTAGGATGGTTTTTCCTGATAAAAGTATATATTTATAAGTAAAGTATGAAATAGCATTTTGGAGATTATACTTTTTAAAATTGTTTTAATTCATGTAGAGTGTGAAAACCCAATAAACAAATGATAGCAGAGATCTAGCTGATATTGAGACACTGCCTTTCCAGTTCTTTACAATATTGATCAAATATTAATTGCCCTTTAAATATTTCTATCATGTCTTTTCTATGTTTCTTCATTGAAAGATGATTTTCTATACCTTCTTAGGAATTTTCCTTTAGATAATGATGTTGATTTTTGCTACTGCTTCTAATAATGACAACCATGGCAATGGAAATTTTTGTATTTGTTAGATACGAGAAGCACAACTCTGTTATTATTATTGCCATTTTATAGATAAGGAAACTTGGATGTGAAAAATGACTAACTAGTAACTTGGTGGAGCTGGAAATCAAGACATTCTGAAGTGGAAAAAATATATTTCTTTTAAGTGGAGATAGAATGTACATTTAAAACACCGTTTTGCACCAGCTACTATCTTCTGGTTTATCAATCCCCTTTTCTTCAAGGTGTTCTATAAATTCTTAAAGACCTGCACAGATCAGCAGTAGTCAGAAGTATAGAAAAATAATAAAAAAGGTGACAGCTGCACTTAAGACAGTAAAACACCGGCCTAGCAGTAAATAAAAATGATGCCTGACTACTTCAAATCTTCTGACTACAAGATAGTACTTTACTCCATTGCTTTTCTCTTATGGCTTTCCTGAAGCCTATTTGGTATGCCATTCTCAAATATGTTTGATTTTTGCTTCTGCCCCACATTATATTAGGAGAACAACTAGAAATAGATAAGCAAACAAATAACTAACAATTGTTGGATGAATAAATGAATGAATCAGTGGATTAACCTTATTTTGTAAAGATTTTTCTAAATATATGTAAAGACATAGAAAAATATATATTGCTATTCAGATTTTTAAAAGTGTTTGCTAACTAAAATAACCACATAGATTCATACCATTGTTTTCATTTAATGCTTTTGAGAAGCACTAGACTATGCAATACACCATACACATTTGTAACATTAAGCATCAATTATGTACATAGACATGAGTTGGTTAAATTTTCTTCTGTAAAATAATGTTTCAAGCTTTGGCAAGAATTTTTCATTTGCACTTCTTGGGATTGAAAGCTTCAGAGTTCACAGAAGTGCCAGATATTTATGCAGAAATTTGTGTTGTAAGTAAATTGGTGAACTTTTTTCTTTGCCATGTTATTTCGAATACCCTTTACCAGTCCTAGTTTTACTGTTATTTTTGTCCTACCGTAAGTTATGGCCCCACTTATTTCAATGGCCAGCAAAAGAAATTATCTTTTGATCATTTTTGCTCCGTTATCTTAATATAGAAATATGTTATATTCTTCTTTTTTTTCCTTCCCCTTTCCTCCCCTTATTTCTTCCCTTGTTTTCTTTAACAGATAATTGTGAGTGTATATCTATGAAAGGTAACTACAAGAAGTGAGACAGATATTCATGCATATATCATAGAATAGTATAATTGCTAGAATATAATGTCTTAATATGTGCTTGATACTAAAATTGTATATGAAATAATTAAATTTTTCTTTTGCATGCCAAGATAGTATTTGTGTCTTGGGAACTGTGATGGACAGAACTTAGAGTGACCCCATGTTCACAGTCTGTATGGGGAGACTTGCTTCTCACAAATAAAATATGACAAAACATATTGGGATGTCATTGTGACTATCACTCTGTGTGTGTGTGTGTGTGTGTGTGTGTGTGTGTGTGTGTGTGTGTTTTGCTAACACACATAGGAAATGCTTTTCAATTTTTCTCACTTCTTAAAAAGTAAACTTCCATGTTGTGAACTGCCTATAAGAAGGGCAAGGTGGGGAGAAACTTCAATTCTAGCAGTTGAGAGCAGCCTCCAGCCAACAGCCAGAAAACAAAAATAGGAACCTCAGTCCTACAGCCACGAGAAGATGAATTCTGCCAACAACCTGAGGGAGCCTGAAAGTGGATCTAAGCCGTGCCTGGGCTTCTGACTCATGAAACTGTGAGATAATAAATGGGTATTCTTCTAAATAATTGAGTTTGTGGTAATTTTTTAAAAAGCATTGAAAACTAATTCAGACCCTAAACATCAGTTATCATTTTACTTATTCATGTGTGCAAATGGTGGGCCATAAAACTCCAGTTGAGAATCTGCTGGATAAAACAGAGTATATCAGAGTTATTTTCTGTCATTTGACTTGAATCTATAAGAAGTTTGTTTGAGTCAAGAAAAGTCAGCTTGAATGTTTAAAATAGGAAGAGGGATGCCTTTGATTTCATGACTTGATTTATGGATATAATAATTATACATCTGCATTTCATCTTATGACATGGTCTCAAAAATGTTGCAGTCACCTATCAAGAGTTTTAAAATTATATTATGCAGAAAAATCTATTATGTAAGAACTTTGAATGGGAAAAAAGGAACACTACTGCCAGTTTTAAAAGACCCTTGTTTAGATTAAATAACTTCTATATAAAATTATACAGATAATAAATATTTTTGAATATTCTATAACCATGAAATGAAAATATTTTGATGAATCAAGTCATAGAGATGGAGGATTCATAACTCTTATCTTTTGAATTTATAGTAAAGAAATTCTTTAGGAACGCTGTTTGCACAGCTTTAAGAATTCCAGGCTTCTCACAGGGCATTCACATTGTGATGTCATAAAAACCCCAAAAGTGTATTCAGGAAGTCCGGGAGAGTGTCAGTAATCACGTGTTGAGTGAAAGCAAAGAAAAGTAAACAGCCAAGACAGAAAGGTGCTAAATGGCTACATTTCGAAGCATTCTTGCTTTCATCCAGCTAATGCCAGAAGTTCCTACTTTTGTTCACAAAAATATGCTTTTTCCCATGATCTGGATCTTAGAACCTCCTATGTATTTGACCTGCTTGATTGACCACTTACAACCTCTTGCCTCCTCTTGCCTGGATCGTCAGCATCTTTATTTATTTTTTTTTTTTCTGTTGGCTCTTCTCCTTTGGCACACAATCCCACCACTCCATAATCTTTTATTTTCTGAAAATCGTTTTCCAGCTCTGACCCCATCTTCTTCATCATCTGTTATCTACATACTTCCAGTTTCAGTCCAATTTTCTCTTATTTCCTGTTTAAACTGTTCCTTAAAATATCTTCCTGGTCTCCACTTTCTAATCCATATTTCACCCTGCTAAAAGAGTAACCTCTCCAGTACACAAGTCGTCTTATACTATTTTCCTACTTCAGGAGTTCAGTGGCTCCCCTTCACCTTTATTCTAAAAGAAATTCCTCTACATGCCATGGAGAATCCTTTGCTCCATCACCTACCAATTCTGCAGCTCTTTCCCTGTCTGCCATTCTCCTACGCACTCTCTTAGAGTTTGCGTTCCAGGCATCTGTGTACTTATCTCATCTTACTCTTATCTCATTGTGCCTATAAAACCATATGTTACTTGAGAATAGGACATGAGCCTGGTAATAAATGCTTATCAAAAAATGAACGACTCCAATTCTGAATCTATGATTGGCCTGCCAACAAAAGGTCAATATGGTTGGTTGTTGTAGCCAGTGAGTCTGAGTAAGATCATGATGCACAGATGTGGGATTTATTTGCAAAATAACCACTCCAAGACTTTTTCAAGACAGCAGCATACATGCAACCTCCACAATATCAGTGTGATAAATGTTCTGTCTTTGGGTTGTATTTCTATCCCCTTTCCTGCACACTGAGGCTAAACACCTAATCTCAGAGCTCTTCTCCCCCTCAAGCCTGGGCTCCTTTCTTGGCCTCATGGACCATTAAAAGTTTCATATTTTAATGTTTTTCTTAGGGTCTAAGTAGCTTCTCTTCTGATTAAAGAGGACATGAGTGAATAATATTTGCATAAGGGAAAGAAGCTGTCTTGGGTCTTTGCTAAACAACCCAGGAGGTAGACAAAGCATGCCTGAGAAGTGAAATACCAGGATCTGAGAAACTCAGTGCATATGTGGACTACACAGTGAGTCAAAACAGACCCTCATGTGGCAGCTGCTTTTTATTATATGCTGCAATCTCTGAAGTTTATTTCTTGTTTTTATCCCCTCAGGATCAAAATCTTTTCCATTGGCCTTACACATACAGAATTTCAGTGTGGAAGGGTTAGAATTTGACTACAAGTACTATAATCAGTTCTATGAGTACTAGAGCCAGTGTGCTTACAAAGTTCCTAGAAGACGTGATGCTTGACATCGGGGTGTTGTGGAATGATCCAGCTGAAAGATACCCCAGATATATGATAAACATACAGCCTATATTTACTAGGGTAGTTTTCAAAGTGCTAGTTCTGTCGTGACTATAAACACATTAATATCTGTTAGAAAATAAGATTATTAGGCCGGGTGCGATGGCTCAGGCCTTGTTTTCTCTTGAAAACGAATGTAAGTTCAAGACCCTAGAAAACTGTATAGAGTTTCCATAACCAAGACTGTTTTTTATGTTTCCATTTATTTTCATTTTGTATATATCCTAAAGCATATCATTATTCAACAGTTCACATTTGGTTATGCTTCTTCTCTTACTCGGGTTTAAGTTGAATTTATAGTTTTCTATCAGGTCTTGTGTCATAATGATTAGAATAAAATTTTTGTTTATTTTATTATTATGTTAGTCTATATGTTAGTGTCTTGTAGCATATTGCTTGAATCAACATCATAAGTCTGTTGTGTTTTAAATAAGAGCTCATGTAAAACACATTGCAAACTGGCTGGCATCCATTATTTATTAATATATTTTACTTTTAAAAGTAGACTTCTAGGTTTAGTTTAGGAAAAGAAGGGAGAGTATCCTCAGGTATCCCTTCAGCTAATGGCAAAGATCTCTGCACGTATTTTAGAGGAGTACCCTTGGATCTCTGATTCTAGAAGTCACCCTGTGATGCCACCTCTGTTTGTGCAAATTGTGCACATGTCTGGGGGCACAATTCACACATATATGAGGCTTAAAGAAGCTTCTGTTTAGAAGCCACTGATGACCAGATGTGGGAATCTCATAGTTCCCTTCTAATCTCAGGCTTTTTGGAAAGATGCTGTAAAGAATTTTCATTGGCTACATTCGAGTTCTTTCTTTCCTCTTGAGCTATGCTCTCCATCTTGCTGTCTCTACGTTGCCTCTTATTTGACTTTTATGACTCTGGACTTTTGAATTGACCCTTATTTGGACGATGTACTTGTTTTGCATTGGACTCCATCTTTCAAATTCTCTTGATGCCACATCTGGTGCTATAACTTATCCCTTCTCACTCATATAATCTGATTTAGCTGCTGGTACCTGGATTTTCTTCTTGCCTGGAAATGAAATCCACACACCTGACTATTCCTTTTTATCCCAAGTCCCTGTAGAGGACCACACTCCTTAGAATTTGTGGATCTTATGTTTCTCCTGCCTAGAGGAGGGTATCTCCCATTGCCTCATTTCATTCTTATTAACTCAAAGTTTCTCCAAGTGTGATCCATAACTGCTGCAGTCTCACTCATGAGTAGGCCACAGGAATCTGAATATTAAGCTACTAGGTTATTTTTTTGACTTTAAATTATGAGAATGACTATTTTAAAACTTATTCTTCTCTACCCCTCATCTTGCAGCTTCCTCCTGTTTTATACCATTGCCTCTCTTTTTAACACTCCAACATTCTCTTATTACTTTGTCTTCTCACCACCTGATCTATTATCCTACCTTCCTTGGTGTCCATAGCTCCATTTTCTTTCTGCTACTTAGAATGAACTCTTCCTGCTCCTACTGAAAGCCAATCATGCTACAAGTGCCCTGGATACCATTTCTTCTTATTTGCTCAAGGATTTTGTCCTACAATTATTCCCTCTCCCACAGCATTCATTTTTCCTTCTCAAAATAAAACCACCAAAACCAGTAAGCAAACAAAAACCTTTCTAAACCTCACATTGTATTCACCCCCACTCTTCTTCTGTCCCATTAACCTCCTTGGCTTTGCAGCAGAAGTTCTTCAGAGAGTTGTCCATGCTCACTCTTTCTACTTCTTTGCCTCTCATTTTCTTTTTAATTCATTCTAACAGATTTTTCTCCCACTGCTCTACTTAAATTCCACTTGGCATTGTCACAAAAGACCTTCATGGTGACAAATGCATTAGCTCTCCCTTGAAGCATTGTTCTATTATGGTTTCTGGAATATCACTATCTTTTGGCTTGCCCCTACTGTCAACGCCCTCTTCCTCTCCCTCTCCTTTGCTGATCCCTCCACTGGATTTGACCATTAATACTACAGTGCTCAAACTGTGGATGCTTATTCTACTAATTACATTTACTCCCTGGACGACCTTGTCCAGGCTCATGATTTTAAAAACCGTCTATGTCTGATAACTTCCAAATCCCTGTGTCCAACTCCCAGTATTCCACTGAGCTCCTGAATGCTGTATTAACTGCCTTCTTAGCATCTCCACTGGAATGGAAAACAGGCATCACATTCTTCAGATACCAAAAACTAAATTATGATATACTATGTGAAATGTTCACCCAAATGCCTGGCACATGGCAGGTGCTCACCAGAACTGAGGCTTTCCCCAGGAAAATATGAATGTTCATGTTAGAAAAAACTGGCAAAGACAAAGTAATAAAAACTAAAACAGAATTATTAATTTTTATCTCCCATTGTCTCCTCCCTTAATCATTCCCTTCTCACTAAATGGTCCTACCTATAGCACAGATTAGAAATACAGGAGTTGTCCTTATTCCCACCCTTTCTCTCAGACACCTCTTCCTATTTAGTAGTAATTCTTGTGACTTTACAGTCTAACTATATCTTGAATCTTAGCATTCTTCCCTACCATCACCATAACCTCCTTAGTTCAAGATGCCATCTTCTTTCTACCTAGACTTTGGCAATCACCTCCTAGTTTCACAATTTCTAGCCTTGTCTTACCTCTATCCTTTTCTTATACAGTAAAGTGATCTTTTAAAAATGTAAATCACATTACTTTACTCTTCTCTTCAGATCTTCCAGTGACTTCCCATCACGCTGAGGACAAATCCAAGGTGTTCACTATGGCTAATTCCTTCCAGCCCCTGCTCCCTCAACCAAAGTCTTTTCCACTTTTTGCCATACTTAGTTGTTCTGCCAAATAGGCTAGTTGTTTCTCAAATGTGCTAAACTTACTTCTACCTCCATAGCTATCTCCTATGGCATTAAACTCTTTACTCAAATATCTCTGGAGTTTTTATTCCTCTCAATCTTATGAAATTACTTTTGGAATATAACCTCCTGAGAAAGATCTTTCCTGTGCACCTTAGCTAACATATTTCACTCCTTCGGTATTTACACCCTTACTCTGTTTTATTTTCTCACACCACTATATATTATCTATTGATGTTAATATTTTTTATCACATACTAACCACTAGTTTGTAAGTTCCATGATGACAAAAGGTTTGTCTGTTTTGTTCACTGCTACATCCCCAGCTTCATGAATAGTACCAGATATATAATAGCTGTTCATTAATACTTGACATATTGATGAATACATAACATCTTCAAATATGATAGAGTTTCAGAACTGCAATGTTATTGCAATTTTTATTATTTTAAAGATGATAAATATCTGAGGCTTATACTTATTTAGTGACTTACCCAAGGTTACAATATAAAGGGCTAGTTTAATCCAAATGACATAAACTCTATCATTCTCTATTTTACTTGATATTTAGTGCCTTATCAGCTAGTACACTTGTTTTCAAGAAAAGCATGGAACCATTTATTTTGAGATATTTCCCAAAAACAAATGTTTCTTCAAATTCATGGCATGGCTTATATAAAAGTCTTATTTTCAGCTGGTAAGATAGTTGGTTGTTTTTAAAATATTCTCCACTGTTCCTAGTGAAGACTAAAAGAAAACTAAGAGTCTTCCCTAACAACGTCATGCAATGTGGATATATGCACCTTAAAGAGGGTCTGTCCATGATATACATTTGCACTGAAGGTATGCAGGAGAAAGGATTTACAATTACATACAGTGCTTTATTGAGTAGCTAGACAAAGCCACAATCCCTGCCAAGTTTAAACTTCATTTTTGTATGAATAATCAACCTGAAATTATAGATTTATGTCAGTTGTATATTAATAGTCATATTAGTTTGTTTTGAAACTCCTAGGATATTGGCACACCTGAAGAGGTTTTTAAATATGTAGATGGTTCAAATAAGGCACAGGTTTTATAGGGTTTTTACAAGTAATTTAAGAATAAGATTTATAAAAGTATGACAACATCTGTCTTTTCCAGTTGAAAATTTCAGGGTAATACAGATGAAGGAAGTGGGAGTGTTATTCTGAGGGAGTTGTTATTACAGAAAGAAAATAAATTGCTGGCTCTTAACATTTATAATAGAGATATATAGCCCACTAAACACTTTGATAAAATTAGTAGCTATCTGGCAAAACATAAAATAGCAAAACTGGAACAAAAAATAGAAAACCAATATTTTAACAATTCATTAAATAAATAGAAATATTGATCTCAAACAACCCCTTTCCATCCCCCTTCCCAAAGAGCTCATGAGTAAGTGCTTTTAAAGATGAGTTCTACTTAACTCTCAAGAGACAGATAATCATTCTTATAGAAATGGCTGGAAAAATGGAAACAAAATTCTTACATCATTTTGTAACCATACTGGAAACTTGATTCCAAAAGTTGATAAAGACCATTTTAAAAAGAATATATAGTCTGATTATGCTAATGAATGCATATTGAATAACCAGATAAAAATCTTGGCTAACCTAATTCAATAGTATATTAAAAATGAGTATAATATTATTATCAAGGAGAATTAATCCCAGACAAATAAGGACATTTTAACATTAGAGAAACTTGCAAATACCATTAATCATCTTAATAGTACAAAGAAAAAATCATGTAACAATATATTATATTACAATTTAATTATTTATCATTTTTTAAAGTTCTTAAAAAATTTAGAAAGGGAAGCCACATAAAAATTTTCTTTCATTTGTGATTTTGAAAAACTAAAAGAGTAGGAATTTTATATGATTTAGTTAAAAACCAAAAAAATTATAATAACCACACTTCTTAATAGAAAATCATCAAACACATTGTGTTTAATAAAGTCAGAAACAAAATAAGTTTAGCAACTATTTAAACCCCTAATCAACAGAGTATTGGATATCCTAGATAACACATTCCAAGAGGAAAAATAATAATGAAATGGTATATATCTTGGCAGAGAAAAGTAAGCTATGATTATTCATCTGCTTATAAACTCAACAAATTAGTAGGAAAATTATCAGAATTAAAATGAAAATTTAACAAGGCTGCTGAAGAGAAAATAAATTCTAAGAAAATCGGCCAAATTTCTTTATTAAGGATATACAGAAAATAAAAATACTATTTTAATAAGAACATTAAAAATGTATAAGCTCTCTAGGATTTACCTTATTAAAAATGCAAAATGACTCTATAGAAACAATTTAAAAAATTATTAAACTTATAAAAAGAAGTATCAGAACAAAGGGAGAACAATACTGTCTTTGTCAATTAAATTATGAAACATTGTAAAGATGTTAATTTTTTTCCAGAAGAATTAAAAATTCAAAACAATTCTGCTCAAAATATAGCAAACCTTTGAAGGCAGACTTGAAAACTGATTCTAAAATGTTTATGAGAGACAAAGTTTCATGAATAGCAAAGGCTACTTAAGAAATAATAAAATAGAAGTTAAAGACTAACCAGATACTAATACAAGCTATAAAAATATATTAATAAAAAATGTAGTACTGATCTGTTTATAGGCAAATAGATTAATAAAACAGAAAGCAATGAAACAAATATCACACACACAGACACAATATGCGTATGTACATTTTCAAATGATACAAGAGGCATAAACATCACAGGGAAAAGAGTAAATGTTTAATTCATATTGCTGAGAAAAAAAGACTTACTATATGGAGAAAAATAAAGTTAGATTTCTACCTTATACAAATATAAACCATAAGTAATCTGAAACTTAAATATAAAAATAAACTGCAGCGAGCTGAGATCGCGCCACTGCACTCCAGCCTGGGTGACAGAGCAAGACTCCGTCTCAAAAATAAAATAAAATAAAAAGTCAAAACCAATGGGAAAATGTCTCTTCAAACTTCAAGTGAGAAAGTATTTTTTAAATAACACTCACAAAAGCACATACCTTAAGGAGGAAAATAGATTGATGTGACTTTATCAAAGTTTAGACATCTCTTCAAGAGAGGATGTTACAGACAAAGTTAGCAGATGAGTGATGACTGATAAGAGAAAAATGTTTGAATACAGTACAAAATCAACTGGAAAAGGATAAAAATAAATCAAAAAAGGAAATAAAAATCACTATGTTTATGAGTTATTCAAATTTATAGTAATCTGAAAAGTAAAAATTAAAATAACTTTATACTCAGCAGGTTAACAACAATATAAAATTGGATTATGCCGTGTTCCTAAGATTGTGAGGAATGCTTATGCACTGCTAGTAAATGTTTAACCAGTTACTGCCTTTCTGGAGAGTAATTTGGAAAGACTGGATGGAATAAGTTATGGTATCTCTCACAAACAAATAATCCTACTCTTATATGTATATGCCAGAGAAACTTTCCCACAATTCCATGAAAAGGTAGGTATGAGAAAGTTTAGTACATCATTGTTTAAGGAAATAGCAAATTGGGGGAAGTTGGATGTCCATCACAGAAGATATAGATGAACAAAATGCAGTGGGTGAATTTGCAGTGATAAAATATTATGCAGAAGTTTCCAGTAGTAAATTAGATTGCTAACAGCAAGATGGATAGATTTAAGGAAAAGGGGGCCAAGTATGTTGGCTCATGCCTGTAATCTCAGTTTTGGGAGGCCACATCAGGATTCCTTGAGACCAGTAATTTTGAACCAGCCTGGGTAACACAGATCTCATCTTTTAGAAAAACTTAGCCAGGCATGGTGGTGCACCCCTATAGTCTTAGCTATTTATGAGGCTGAGGTGGGAGGATCCCTGGAGCCTAGGAGCTTGAGGCTTCAGTTAGCTATGACTGTACCACTGCATTCCAGCCTGGGCAACAGCATGAGACTGTGAAGAGAGAAAGAAAGTAAAAGAAAAGAAAGAAAAAGAGAGATAGAGACAAAAAAGAAAGAAAGAGAGAAAGAGAAAGAAGGAAAGAGAGAGAAAGGAGGGAGAGAGGGAAAGAATGAGGGAGGGAGGAAGGAAGGAAGGAAGGGAGGAAGGAAGGAAGGGAGGAAGGAAGGAAGCAAGGAAGGAAACATGCTGAGTTTTTTAAAAAGTAAAAATTGGAGCAAGAAAGTTTCTTTCAGGGATATATACTGTATTAGTCTGTTCTCAGCCGCTACAAAGAACTGCCTGAGACTGGGTAATTTATAAAGAACAGTGGTTTTATTGACTCACAGTTCTGCATGGCTGGGGAAGCCTCAGAAAATTTACAATCATGGCAGAAGGCACCTCTTCACAGGGCAACAGAAGAGAGAATGAGCACCAGCTGGTGAAATGCTGGACAATCATAAAACCATCATATCTTGTGAGAACTCACTCACTATTACAAGAACAGCATGAGGGAACTGTCCCCATCATTCAATTACATCCACCTGGTCCCACCCTTGACTTGTGGGGATTATTACAATTCAGGGTGAGATTTGGATGGGTACATAGAGCCACACCACATCAGTCCACCCCTCAACCCTCCCACATCTCATGTCCTCACTTTTCAAAACACAATCATGCCCTTCCAACAGTTCCCCAAAGTCTTAACTAATTTCAGTATTAGCCCAAAAGTCCAAATCCAAAGTCTCATCTGAGACAAGGCAAGTCCCTTCCATCTATGAGCCTGTAAAATCACAAGCAAATTAGTTACTTCCTAGACACAATATGAGTACAGGCATTGAGTAAATACACCTGTTCAAATGGGAGAAATTGGCCAAAACAAAGAGGCTACAGAATCCATGCAAGTCCAAAATCCAATAGGACAATCATTAAATCTTTTTCTTTTTCTTTTTTCTTTTTTTTTGTTTTTGAGTCTCACTCTGTCACCTAGGCTGGAGTGCAGTGGTGCACTCTCAGCTCACTGCAACCTCTGCCTCCCAGGTTCAAGTGACTCTCCTGCCTCAGCCTACTGAGTAGCTGGGATTATAGGTGCACACCACCATGCCTGGCTAATTTTTGTATTTTTAGTAGAGAGGGGGTTTCACCATGTTGGTCAGGCTGGTCTCGAACTCCTGACCTCATGATCTGCCCACCTCGGCCTCCCAAAGTGCTGGGATTACAGCACTGTGATTGTGAGCCACTGTGCCCAGCTGGCAATCATTAAACCTTAAAGTTTCAAAATTATCTCCTTTGACTTCATGTCTCATATCCAGGTCATGCTGATACAAGAGGTGGGCTCCCACAGCCCTGGGAAGCTCTGACTCTGTGGCTTTGCATGGTACAGCCCCCGCTCCTG
The DNA here is from genome assembly GCF_000001405.40 of Homo sapiens. NCBI lineage: Eukaryota > Metazoa > Chordata > Mammalia > Primates > Hominidae > Homo > Homo sapiens. Next base: position 26,784,653 of record NC_000011.10, on the reverse strand, counting down.
GCTGCTTTCATGAGCTGGCATTGAGTGCCTATGGCTTTTCCAGGCATATGGTGCAAGCTGTAGGTGGATCTACCATTCTGGGGTCTGGAGGATGGTGGCCCTCTTCTCATACCTCCACTATGAGGTCCCCACTGGCAGTGCCTCAGTGGGGACTCCGTGTGGGGGCTCTAACACCGCATTTCCCTTCTGCACTCCCCTAGCAGAAGTTCTCCTGAGGGCTCTTCCCCTGCAGCAAACTTCTGCCTGGACATCCAGACATTTCCATACATCTCCTGAAATCTAGGTGGAGGTTCCCAAACCTTAAGTCTTGGCTTCTGTGTACCTGCAGGCCCAAGAACACATTTAAGCCACCAAGGCTTGAGGCCTGCACCCTCTGAAGCAATAGCCTGAGATGTACGTTGGCCCCTTTTAGCCATGGTGGGACACAGGGCAACAAGTCCCGAGACTGTACAAAGCAGCAAGGCCCTGGGCCAGTCCCATGAAATCATTTTTTCCTCCTAGGCCTCCAGGCTTGTGATGGGAGGGGCTAACATGAAGAACCCTGACATGCCCTGGAGACATTTTCCCCATTGTCTTGGCGATTAACATTTGGATCCTCATTACATATACAAATATCTATAGCCAGCTTGAATTTCTCCTCAGAAAATTGTTTTTTTTTTCTTTTCTGTTGCATCATTAGGCTGCAAATTTTCCAACCTTTTATGGTCTGCTTCCTTTATAAACATAACTTCCAATTCCAAACCATAACTTTGTGAATGCATAAAGCTGAATGCTTTTAACAGCACCCAAGTCAACTCTTCAATGCTTTGCTGCTTAGAAATTTCTTCTGCCAGATACCCTAAGTTATCTCTCTCAAGTTCAAAGTTCCACACATCTCTAGGGCAGTGAGACTGGGTAATTTATGAAGAGCTACCAGTCTCTTTGCTAAAGCATAGCAAGAGTCATATTTATTCCAGTTCCCAAAAAATTCCTCATCTCCAGCTGGGATCACCTCAAGCTGGACTTCATTGTCCACATCACTATCAGCACTTTGGTCAAAGCCATTCAACAAGTCTCTAGGAAGTTTCAAACTTACCCACAGCTTCCTGTCTTCTGAGCCCTCCAAGTTTCTAGGAAGCTCCAAACTTTCCCACATTTTTCTGTTCTTCTGAGACCTCCAAACTGTTCCAACCTCAGCTTGCTACCCAGTTACAAAGTCCCTTCCAAATTTTTGGGTATTTTAATAGCAGTGCCCCACCCCTCAATACCAATTTACTGTATTAGTCTGTTCTCATGCTGCTATAAAGAACTGCCCAAGACTGGGTAATTTATAAAGGAAAGATAAATGAAAGAAGTTTAATTGACTCACAGTCCTGCATGGCTGGGGAGGTCTCAGGAAACTTACAATTATGGTGGAAGGCACCTCTTCACAGGGCAACAGGAGAGGGAATGAGTGCCAGCAGGAGAAATGCCAGATCCTTATAAAACCATCAGATCTTGTGAGAATTCACTCACTATCGCAAGGACAGCATGGGGAAAACTGCCCCCATGATTTAATTACCTCCACCTGGTCCTGCCCTTGACATGTGGGGATTATTATAAGTCAAAGTGAGATTTGGGTAGGGAAACAAAGCCAAACCCTATTACATACATATCAAAGAACATATTGAATAATTTATGGTGAATTCAGCATAAAGGAATCAGTGGTAGGGAAATGACAATGGGGTGGGAGGGATGAAGGAGAGAATAAAAATAAATAGAATAAAATAAGGAAAGGAACATGCTGGAATAATTGAGTATGATGTACAATGAAGTGAGGAGCACGGGTTACTCAATTCTCTGTACCTGCTGTCCAAGAAATAAAATTGTCTAAGAAACCTAGTAGGACATTTGCCCAGAATTATTTAATTGTGAAACTGTGCTCTGCTTTTATTCTTTGCCATCACAATTTCTCAGGAGTCCAGTCTCTTAGAAACTTAATGTTTCTCTTATCCTAAAAAACATACTATTTTTCTCCTAAAACATGTGGAACATCTATTAGCATTAATAGTACTTGAGGATACACTTGATAGAAATCAATAAATACCTGGTAAAATACCGAAAATGCCTATCTTAACGTACTGTATATGGCTACTTCCCAATTGTTGCACATTTAAAGGTGCTTACTTATTCACATGGCTCAAAAATTCTTGCTGATTGCTAAGAAAGTATATTTGAACTGTTCTCACAACAAAACAATTATAAATATATGACGTAATGCATATGTTAACTAGCTCAATTTAGCCATTCCACACTGTATATGTATTTCAAAACAACATGTTGCACATGATAAATATATACAATTTTGTAATTGAAAACAAAAACAAAAGCAAACTCTGGCCCATGAAAACTACATACTACTATCTGGAAGACACCAATAAGGATACATATCTCTAGCATACTAGTGGCATATATATAGATTAATATAGATCTCTATCTATCTAGCTAATCAAGAGAGATATCCCACACCTTGAGATGTATAGAACAAATGCAGAGGAAGTCTTAATTGTTTGAATTTAGACATGAATATGTCAAGTAATTTAAAAGATGATTGAAACATAGAATAGAAAAGTAATGTTTGTACTTTTCTCTAAGCTCTTACAAGGCCTGCAGTGCCCCAAGAATTAAGTACTGAATTGTGTATTACAAGATGAAACCTGTGCTAAATTTATAGAAGGTCCCTGGTCAAGTACTCTAGATGATGGAAACAGGAGATTTTCAAGGCAATCTTCTACAGTGGAAAGAAATCTGAACTAAAATTATGAAGATTTGCCTTAGATTTCCCATGCTGCTACTCTCTAACAACTTGAAAAATCATGATATTCCTGAACTCAGTTTCCCCTCTTTAAAATGGCAAATAAATAGTTCTTAGTTACAAGATTATTGGGGAACTCTAATGACATAATACTTGTGAAACAGATTAGCACATTTTAGCTGTGACAATATAAGGGATTCTGTTAGGGAAACTAGGAGCAAGCCTGATTGTTTATCCTTCCCTAACCATGTCACCTCACCTTACTTATTTGAAGGTGAAAAATAAAACAAAACAATGTACAAATGAGAGAAAATTACTTTGAAAGTACAAAGAAAGCAAAAGAAGTTCTGAAGAACTTTGCATCCAGTCAGAGGTTGAAAAGAATGTTATATCAGCCCAAGATAAATTTAGCATCAATCTCCATGTTTTTTTTTCCTTCTTCCCTCCCTTCTAATCTTAAGCTTTGGTTAGTCAAAAGCGCTGAAGTTGAAGCTCACCTCCAGGCCCTGTCAGTTTGAGGTCTTTAGCCAGGTCAGAGTTGCATATCTCTTATCTCAAGAGATAAAAATTATAGTATGGAAAAACTCTACAAATAGTGGGGTGACTATTTTTTTTCCATACTGGGGCACTTTTAAGTGCATACATACTAGTGTTATTCTTTGTTGTAGGAAGTGCATACATTCTAGTGTTATTCTTTGCAACTGGGGCATATAATGACTCTAGGTAAACCTCACTTTTGTGTTTCCAGGCTTTTTGGCTCATGGATTAAATCAATTCACCAACATAATAGCAAAGTTGAATTTTTCTAATTCTATTCTCACAAGCACAATTATGAGAATCATGGTAATTTGAGTGCTCTTTAGGTTTTGCCCCTTTCCAGCTAGTTTATGAAGTCCCCTTAGAGTAACTCCAGTGCTTGTGAATTCATTCCTTTTAGCTAACATAGGAATTTTTACCATTTCCTTCAGCAAATGCAGTGAATGTGGGGAATGTAACCATTTCCACTGTCATGGTATGGTACTAGACATTTTTACTTTACTCGGACATATTGAGTCATGATCTTCTGGTTGTCAAGGAGGCTCTGATATTCTTACCCCTTATGTTTTATCGGTTTCTCATCTTTTCCTGATGTGAGTTTATCAAGTTTATGAACTCCCCTTGTGTGCATTCACAATGTCCTCGTCCTCCTTTCTTATGTTTATGCTTTATATTCCCCTGTCTTCTACAGATTATAAAACATTGCTTTCAAGGTCTCAGTCAAAATTTTAGCTGAATCACTTTTATTTTCAACCACTGTTTCCACTCAAACTTTGGCACTAGTTTCTGGAGAAAAGCATTGAATAAGTGGATAATATGAGTTGCTCCACCACTATTGCACTGACATTAATTTCTCTATAACTGACTGGCTTTGTAACAGTTTAGGTGCTTATTTTTCTAGATGGATTTCTTTAGAATTATCCTTAATAGATTGATTTTTTTTTTTTTAGAATTAACCTTGATTTTTCATAAAAATACAAACCGGGTAGGCAATCACCGTCAGCCTCAGATATGTGTAAATACACTTTTCTTGGTCTAAGATGCACACAATTTAGAAGCTTAATCTAGTATGTCTCACAGGCTATCAAAGATACCACTAGAGGCTGGGCACAGTGGCTCATGTCTGTAATCCCAGCACTCTGCGAGGCCGAGGCAGGCAGTTCACTTGGGGCCTGGAATTCGAGACTAGCCTGGCCAACATGGCAAAACCCCGTCTCTACCAAAAATACCAAAAAAAAAAAAAAAAATGCACCGGATGTGGTGGTGCATGCCTGTAATTTCAGCTACTTTTGAGGCCGAGACAGGAGAATCGCTGGAACCTGGGAGGCGGAGGTGAAGGCTACAGTGAGCCAAGATCGTACCACTGCACTCCAGCCTGGGCAACAGAGCAAGGCTCTGTCTCAGAACAAACAAACAAACAAACAAAGAACATTAGGCAACAGCATGAGATAGTTGCTTATAATATACTAAATTTTGTGCAATAGACTATAAAAGCCGTTTTAGAATGGGGAAGAAAATGGGTGAAACTTGACCTGGACATTAAAGAATCAATTGGTCTAGGGAAGGGATTACATTCTCTAAGGGAGAAAAGGCCTGAATAAAGACGTAGCAGAAGGAATGATTGTGCTTATTTTATAAGAATCCTAGACTGCTTGCACTGAATGATGCATTTGGGGATGTAATTAAAACCAGAGTTGTCTCAGCTAACAGTTACTCAGTTTATGCAGGGGCTTGGAGTTCACTCAACGGAAGGAAGCCATTGTAGGTTTTAGATAAATAGATAGCCATGGATAATCATATTTATAGGATGTCTTAAAATAGGTAATAATGTTAAACAGAGAAAACAGCTAGAATATATTAATAAAAGTTATGTGTGAGATGATACAAATTAAGACTCTAGCAGTGGTGGGGACAGCATGTGGGTTGGGAAGGAAAATGAAATATATTTTAAAGAAACAGCTGACATGACTTGTGAATGGATACAGAAAAATTATTTTTCAATGGCACACTTCAGAGTGCCAAGATTTATGCCTTGGAGGTTACCTCAGAGCATGGGAGAGAGAGGGAGCGTGTGTGTGTGTGAGAGAGAGACAGAGAGGAAGAAAGAGACAGAGAGGAAGAAAGAGACAGAGAGAGAGCACTGGGCTTACAGAAGTCCCTCACACTCACTTTAATTAGAGCAGCACCACTTATCTGTTTTATCTAATAAATTTATTGGATTTTTATGTAGCTCAGATTTGTAAGTTGTCCTATGTATTTGTTTGGTTCTTCTGGTTGCAAATAAGAAAAACAAAAAACAAAAATAAAAGCAAAAACCTCCAGGTTAATTTCAGCTCCCTCACCCTTCCTTATTCAACCTCTTCGAAAGGAGAAATTAATTGGAGAAATCATCACAGAACTGAAAGAAGAGTTGAAGGGCTGTTCAAAAGAAAAAACAAACCCCAGGCCTATTTCAGGGATTTCAGCCAATTGAAATTCATAAATTTTCTCCTCCTTAGGTTGCTTCCATTAAGGTGATTTCATCTGAGGAATCTCACCTTGGTTTTGCTCTCTTACAACTTTACTGTCCTAGGACAGAGAATCAAGCCCTGTGGAATCCAGGCTACTACTTCAGTATACTCTTAGCATGCTTCAGTTTAAGCATACAACCTCTAGGCACTCCTAGCTCAAGGCTGACATGTGGTACTGGTGGGTTTCACGTAAGCAATGAAGCATACAAACCACCAGTAACTTCCCAATTTTGACTCCCAAAACCGGAAAAGAAAAGCAGCCAGGTGCAAAAATGAGAAGACAGGAGATGACATCAACAGTGAGAGTCGTGTCAAGGACCTGATTTTAAATGTGTGGTTGGATTTTGGATACGTGCCTATACAGTGAAACATCCAACAGACAAACATGAAGAATATTAACTTCCAGGAAGGCCAGGATTGGACATAAATATTTGAGTCATCACCACAGGGGCAATAACTAAAACTCTGAGAGTAAATTTCCTTTTGTGAAGGAGAGGGTAACATAGAGAAGAATGAAAGTATAGTTTCCCAATAGAGAAGAATGAAAGGAAGCCTAAGATAAACTGCCTCATCATCTATGTGCAGGGAAAGTATCTATGGTTCCCCCTATGATATCTAGCCATGAACACAGGCTCTTTCGACTGCAAGGCTATAAATCAGAGATGTGACTTATGAATCAAATCGTGGGTTGCTTAATTATCTTAGTCACCCAGCTGATTTGTGTCATGCGAACCCAGCATGTAGCTTCTCCTTCATGCTCTCCCTCTGCATCTGAGCTAGTGCTTCCACATGAACGTCTGCACTGTGATACTGACACATGTACTCCTTTAAAGTTTGCCCAATTACTTCTTTGTAAAAGCTCACTCCAGACAGGAGGTGATGTAGGTATTACCATCCAACTTTTGGAAATAAAAAGAAATTCCATAATTCTGTGAAATCATGCTTATAGTTTTTCACATTTACTACACAGATGTCATTTCATTTTTTGCCTCTGAGCCCTTCACGAGCGTCTTGGGGAGTGGAGAATAAGAGAACCCTTTCAGTGAGAACTACCACTGTCTTCAGTAGCTCACAGCAGTTTTACAGAACGCTAGCTCAGCAAAAGGCACATGCTTCAGAGATCACAGCGCACGACGTAATATTTGCAACCACAGTGAAATTGGCTCAAATAATTTACTTTGAAAAATTCCAGACTGGGGCCAAGATATAGAAAACTAGCTACACAATTTATAGGTACCCTTTAAATCTTCTTTCAGTAAAATTAAATTCCACTCTTTTTCCTATTTCTTGCAACAGCAGCAGTTTCCTGGCACTGCTGACAAGGATTGCTCCTGAGAGTTCCACTCCTTAGAGCAACGGAAGGCTGTTTGCAAACTCTGGATTAACCTGCCAACTAACTGAATGTAAAGCCATCACTCAGGAAGATTCAAAACAATCTCCACTCTGTTTTCCAGGTGGATTATTCCAAGGGCCAGAGCACAACTGGCCTAAGAGAAATCTGTTGAGGTTTGTGAGAAGGAGAGTGCAGCATGGGCTTTGGGATGATACAATTCTGGAATCTAGTGTAAGCTTTTTACACTGCCTCGGCCTCTTTACATTGCCATCCCCTGTGACTGTTCCCTTAGCTTGCTGCATTGCTGACACCTTCTTAATCTTCTCATCTCAGCTTAACTGTCACCTCCCTAAGGAGGCCTTCTCTGAACAGTCCAGTGAAAAATTAGCCCACTTCCTATTCTCCCTCTAATTATTATCATCACAGTCCTGGAGTCATTTATTTCAAAGCATTTTTCTCCAACTGTATGTATTTTGTTTACTTATTTTTTAGTTTCCCCTTTCCTCTAAAAGGCAAGTTACTTGAAGGAAGAACCATACTACATTTGTTTTATGTTTGAGAAGCAGAATATTGCCATGATTCTCAAACATTTTTGGTCTCTGCATCCCTTTATACTCTTAAAAGTTATTAAGGAACCCCAAGAGCTTGTATTTATGTAATTTTTATGATTGATATTTACTATCTTAATAATTAAAAGTGAGAAATTTAAAATATATGTTCATTAAATAATTTAAAAATATTAATAATAAAATTACACGTTAAAATAATGTTTTTAATAAAAATAACTCTTTTTCAAAACATACAAAAGCAATTAGTGTGATGAGTGCCATTGTCTTACTTTTTATAAATCTCTTTAATAGTTGGCTTAGTATATATGCTTCTGAATTCAATTTGTTGTGATAATTTTGGTTGAACATTAAGAATAGTCAAAATATTTCATATATTCTTTTTGATACTGCACTGAAAATTTTGACAATTAGTAATTTCTTAAAGGTTAGTTGCAAAGTGGACTCTGAAACCATAATTATGAACTTCTTGCACTTACATTATAACCCATGGTTTAGCACTTTGAATCATTTACTTGTGAGCAATTTTGTAATATAGATCGATCACTTAAAAAACACTGGTTAACTGAATTATGCATATCTTCCAAATGCTGACACTTTTCATTTTTAATATCATCATTGATACCATGAGAAGAGTCTATTTTTTGTTTTGTTTTGAGACAGAGTCTTGCTCTATTGCCCAGGCTGGAGTGCAGTGGTGCAAGCTTGTTTCACTACAACCTCTGCCTCCCGGGTTCAAGCAATTCTACTGCCTCAGCCTCCCAAGTAGCTGGGACTATAGGTGTGTGCCACCACACCCAGCTAATTTTTGTATTTTTAGTAGAGACAGGGTTTCATCATGTTGGCCAGGATTGTCTCAAACACCTGACCTCAAGTGATCCACCTACCTCGGCCTCCCAAAGTGCTGGGATTACAGGTGTGATCCACCATGCCTCGCTGAGAAGAGTCTTTATTAGGAAGTTATTAAGTGCACAGTGCTAAATATAAGTTTTCAAAAATTCTAGTTTTTGCTTAAAAGCTCAAGTTTTATGAATGGCAATAAATATTGTCATCTTTTTGACTTTGTAGTGACAGGCTCACTTCATTCATTTTTGAGAAATTATCTACAAAATATCCAAGTGTGAGTAACCCTAATTTGTCTCTCATTCTTTGTTCTATTTAAAAAAAAAAATGCCGGGCATGGTGGCTCATGCCTGTAATCCTAGTACTGTGGGAGGTCGAGGTAGGTGGAACACTTAAGGTCAGGAGTTCGAGACCAGCCTGACCAACATGGTGAAACTCCATCACTACCAAAACATACAAAAATTAGCTGGGCGTGGTGGTGTGCAACTGTAATCTCAGCTACTTGGGAGGCTGAGGCACGAGAATTGTTTGAACCCAGGAGGCGGAGGTTGCAGTGAGCTGAGATCACGCCATTGCACTCTACCCTGGGTGACACAGTGAGGTCTTTTCTCAAAAAAAAAAAAAAAATAGTGGCTAGTTCATCTCTCAATTCAAGTAAGCACACCTGTGCTTTTCCTTCAGACAACCATCATAGTTTACAAGCAATATAAAGGGCTTATGTGTACTTGTCATTTCATCATACACAGAATACTGAAAAGACATACATGCAAGTGTTGAGAAGTTAATATGATGAATAATTTTACTGCTTTATCAAGTATAACGTTGACGTCCTTGGCATTAAGAGTTTTATTGTTTTCTGAGTGTGTGAAGAACACAATGACTACCAGTACAGTTCGATGCCACTGCATTCATCTTTGCAATGGCACCAGCAGTTTATCCACAAATATTTTGCCTCATGAGTGTAAATGTTGCTATGAAAAAGGCAAATCATGCCTTAGTGTTATTAGGAAAATAATGTTGGCCTGATGGATCTCATGGAAAGATCTCAAGAGCACTCAGGAGATGGCACTTTGAGGACCACTAAAGCAGTGGTTAGTGGAACAGGTCTATGGCTCTAGATTCTCTGGGTTCATACCTATGCTGTATTCTTTGCCATTGTATTGATAGGCAGGTTGCTCTTTTCTTTGCCTCAGCTTCCTCATCTCTACAAATTTTAGCAAGTTGGGTAAAATAACTACTTCACGAATTGTGAGGATGAAACAAAGTCAAACATGTGGAAAAGCTCTTTTCGTTTTAGGTTCTCTAGAAATATTTTTTCCTAATAATAGAATTTTTTACTTATGGGCTTGCAGTCACATTTTGGTACCTGCTTTATTCTGGCTGTTACTTTTTCCTAGTCTCTGCACTCTTCATGCAAAATGCTCCATCTTATATCTCAATCTCATCAGGCATGAATCTGAATAGCTACTCAGATATGTCAGTGACAGATTAACAGCCAACACATAAGAGTTGTATTATGCTTGGTCTAGTAAAATTTGCAGAGGAGAAAATGTGCAACTTTGATCTAGAAAAGTACTCATAAAAGACAATGCAAACCTGAGTTTATGTAAGTTTCCAAGTTTAATAATCAGTGACGCCTCAGACTTAATTTATAATAACAGCTGCTGAATTAGTTAGGACTATTGTTTACTAGTGATCAAACTCAATTAAAACTGTATAAGGACAAAAATCCTAGTCAAGTAGGTAGACATCAGATCACACATCTGAAGACATATTCACATTTTGTTATCATTAAATATCTGTTTCTCTCCACTTCTCAACTTTGCTCTTCTTGGTATTGACCCACTTCTTAGGTTCACACTCATGATGGTTAATATTGTGTCAACTTGATTGAACTGAAGGATGCAAAGTATTGTTCCTGGGTGTGTTTGTGAGGGTGATGCCAAAGGAGATTAACAGTTGAGTAAGTGGACTGGGAGAGGCAGACCCACCCTCAATCTGGGTGGGCACCATCTAATCAGCTGCCAGCATGGCTAGAATAAAGCAGGCAGAAGTTGAAAGGACTAGACTTGGTGAGTCTTCCGGTCATCATCTTTCTCCCTTGCTGAATGCTTCCTGCCCTCAAACATCAGACTCCAAGTTCTTCAGCTTTTGGACTCTTGGACTTACACCAGTGATCTGCCAGGGGCTCCCAGGCCTTTGGCCAGAGACTGAAGGCTGCACTGTCAGCTCCCCTACTTTTGAGGTCTTGGGACTCGGACTGGCTTCCTTGCTCTTCCGTTTGCAGATGGCCTATTGTGGGACTTCACCTTGTGATCTTGTGAGTCAATACTCCTTAATAAGCTTTCCTTCGTATACACATCTATGCTATCAATTCTGTTCCCCTAGAGAACCCTGACTAACATAGCACCAAAGATATAGTAACAGAACTAACCACAAACAGGTTCAAGCTTACAACACACACATGCTTAGAAACTGGTGGAAGGAGAACAACACTTTCCCAGCTATTGCAGCAAAGTCCTGGATAGAATTCTCACTGATATGCCCATTTCTTCACCACTCAGAGGACTAGGTTCTCTAATGATTACCAATTAGTTATCACACATCTAGAAGCAAAAAGTAAGTCAGTCCTGCTGTAATTATGTAGGCTGAAAATGAAAAAGGGATGGTTTCCCCATGAAAATTTGATATACTATTACCAAAAGTGGGGAGAGAATTGTGACAGGCAAAAACAACAGGTATTTACTTAGGGCAGTATTAGACAAAGATTGTCATGTTGCCATTATAGACTGAGTATATATAATATGGGTCCTATATTTTAATAGGACTGTTTCTTGCCGCAGGAGTGACTCTGATAGAGCAAATCCCAGGCAATGAGGCAGGTTAAAGAGAGGGGCTTTGTATACCATAAGATCTCATTAGTGAGTGGCCATTTGTCTCTTCTATGCAAAAGGAAGGTCTTCACATGAAAGAATCAAACTGGTTTTTTCATTTCTCTCACTAAGTGTCATGTCCTCACATGAGCCATTTTGTTTTCTTCTGTTCCTAATTGTTCCCTTTCATCCAGCTCAGAGAACACTCTCTAGACTTTTTATTACAGTGGCCATTCTTCCCCTAAACTCTTGAGTTGATATTTTTTTTCTGTTGAAAGAAAGCGTAGTTTAATGATGTGAGCATTGGTATATACATGGAGTTGTGAATTCTTTACTCACTATGTCATCTTAGTGTTCAACATCTGTGAGCATCAGTTTTTCTGGCTGTAAAATGGAACAAGATATTATCAGTTATGAATATTCAATAAGTTAATATATGAAAAACTTCACATATAAAGTCTGGCCAGGAACAGATATTTTCCTCCTCTGACTCTACATTTTCCGAGTGTGTATTGTTTCTAATTCTTTCATTTGAAATGCCTCAACACTGCTTCATTATGCTGAACTATCACCCTCTTCCAATTTAATTGGTGTTTCTAGTTCTAAGTATCCTTAAAGTATACTTAATCCCCATTTTCAACATGTGTTCAGGAACAAAAAAATCTAAGGCCAAATTTATATGTATAAGCAGAGCAGGTGATCATTTACAAGGCAGGCAATGACTTAGAGAATGAAAATGAGAGGGCCTCTTGTCCTAAGCTTTCTTCCCCAACCACTTGTCAATTGTAAGAAATTTCCATTTAGAATAACTTTCCCATTGAATCAATAAATCTTCATTATGACATTGCTTAGATGTATTCTTCTTTATAATGTAATTTATTGCCATTAGTAACCAAGAGCAGCAAGAATTTGTTAATCAGATGAACCTAGAAAGCAGAAAGATTTAAAATAAAAGGAAGTAAGAACAGGACTAGAGCCTGTGGTACTACTCTCTAGAGATGGCAGGAGGTGGTAGTGACGGTAGGGAAATTAGGGCCGATGTATAAATTTCTTCATTTATCTGTTTAGCCAGCATTTATTAAATACTTGTTTTGTACCTGGCCGAGGTCTAGTTAAAGTACACATTGATTTAAAATGATAGACAAATGCAGGGCTCTCATGAAGCTCACAGTATAACAAGAACAATTGACATTAAGTAAGTAGTTTCAATAAAGCCTGGTATGTTTTATAATAAGCTTAATCCAGGTACTTTAGGAGAGCATAGCTGTAATACCTCACCTCCCTCACCGAAGGGATTCAGGTAAAGCTTCATGAAAGATGTGCCTTTTAAGCAGAGACCTGTAGAGGGCTAAGATGTGCCCAAAAAAGAAAAGGGAGGAAAATCTTATAGAAAGAGGGAATAAAAGATACACAAACCTGGAGGTTAAAAACAAAAACAAAACACTGCATGGTATAGTTAAGTAAATAAATAAATTTTGTATCCCTGAAATATAGAATATATGAAAAAATAACTAGAGATAAGGCCAGGGAAATAGGCAAGGATCAAAATCCTGTGAAACTGGATAAGGAGTAGGAAAAGGAGCATATGAGCCTTGCTAAGGGGGTTGTACTTTATGCTGAATTAATGCAGGGCCATTCCAAGATTTTAAGCAGAACAGTAGTATAATTACATTTGCTTTTATCAAGGTCATTCTGGTTGTAGTACGTTGGAAGGGAACATGAATGAAAGCAGACAGGTGATTAAAGAAATTAATTACTGCAGCTTTCCAGTGAGAAGATATTTGTAAGAGCTAATGTGGCAGTGATGATAATGATGATGATTATGGTGATGATCATGACTGCAATGATGCTTACATTGACAATGGTGGTGGTGGTGACAATGGTGCTGTCTTTAGGTACTATCAGGCTTATTTGCCTCCAAGTCTCTATAGCTGCACTGTAGAATCCTGTAGCCAGTAGCCACATGTGGCTTCTGTGAAACTGTGTTCAACTTAAACAAATGAAATAAAACAAAAAATATAGTACCTCAGCTGCACTAATCACATTACAAGTACTCTTGAACCACATGCACCTAGTGGCTCTCATATTAGATTGTGCAGGTATGAAACATTTCCATCATTGCAGAAAGTTCCATTGGACAGTCCTGCTCTATTGTTTTTCTCTCATCACAGCTAGAACTGCTTAACTTCCAGCTATATTTGTACCCAACCCTAGATTTTAGGACTAGTCTTATCTTTAGAAGGTGTAATTAGAGCATAGCACAATACTTGAAATGCAGTAAGGACATTTTAATGCCCTAACAGTAAAATTTAATTTAATGATGCTTGCTTTGACTTGCTCTTATGGGACTTCCAGATTTCCTCAAATTGTCTCTCAGTTATTTCAGGGATCCCCTAGGGGACTTTTCACATGCATACATAAGTATACCATTTATATTTAGTGAATAATTCCTTCTACTTCTTTTTCTCTTCCAATAAATTTTCTTATCAATTTCCTTGTTCCTGTAGGTCTGTCAAAGAATCTCACTGACTTCTCTACCTCTGACCATTTCCACAAAAATCCCTGCTATCTATCTGGTCTCCTAGTACTCCTAGAATTACCAGTATCAGCTGGGCATGGTGGCTCACAAGGTCAGGAGTTTGAGACCAGCCTGGCCAACATGGTGAAACCCCATCTCTACTAAAAATACAAAAATTAGCTGGGCGTGGTGGGGGGCGCCTGTAATCCCAGCTACTTGGGAGGCTGAGGTAAGAGAATTACTTGAACCTGGGAGGCAGAGGTTGCAGTGGGCTGAGATCGCACCACTGAACTCCAGCCTGGGCAACAGAGGAAGACTCCGACTCTGGGGAAAAAAGGAAAATTACTGACATCAAGGCACTAAAGAAACACTGTTCCCCCTGTCATTCTCGCCATGTCCAAACGGTGTCCTGCCCCAAAGAGAGAGTGGGTGTACATTTTCTGCATTCAGTACTACATAATTTCATAAAAGCACAGAAGCAGCACTGCTTGGCCTCCATATTTCACAGGGTCAACCATATAAATAGTTCTTGAGGATGTGTGGGTAGAGGAAACTAGACGGATACCTTGATGTCTGGTTAAGGAGGGTGCCAAGGTCATACAAAAACAATGTCAAAGAGAGATTGAGGTTGAGTGGAGTTGGAAACCGCTTGTGATGGATTATGTGGAATAAGTCAGGATAAGTGGCTTGGGTCTGAGTCTGTGAAATGCAAGACACCTGAGGGCTTACTTTAGTGAAGTAAGTTTTTCTACTGGCTTCAGGAATACAACCCCTTATATTTTTTAATTAATTGTCATTTCAATAGGGTCATAATTCCAAAAACCTTGGAGCCCACATTCATAGAGAACACACCGGACCCTTGGCATGTGAAATGAGGAGAGATGTTACATGTAATTTGAACAAAATCCTTGAGTGTTTCTTTGTACTTTTCTCCCATCCATAGAAACACTCTACTAGTGTAGCCTACATGGCCCATTGGATGGCTATATAAAAGAACTCCACTGCTGAACATTAATGAAATTCAGTCACTAACTAGTAGTCAGTTTCCAAAGTGGCCTCCATGATATTTGCCTCCTGGTATTTATGTCCTTGTATAGTCCTCTCCCAAAATGAATGATAGCTGGTCTATGTGACTGTAGGAGCCAAGGAAAAACTTCCCCTTTGCTCTCTGAAGATTCACTGAAAAATCAAATCATAAAAGGCAAATTAAATTGAGAAAATGCATACAAAATATATTAATGTGTGCACGAGAAGGATCACAGAGTGATTATCCTATCCCTAATGGGGTGCAGAAGATTATATACCAACTTGAGGTTACAGAAAGAATGGGGGCTTAAAGCATGGTCAAAATCAGGTTATGGTGGTAAATCAGCTGTTGGTGGCAAAACAGATCATGAGAGGTAGAGAAGAGGAGGCTTGGCTAGCAAAGGTGATCTTGTTATGTAGATTAAACCTCACAGGTAGCAACCCTCAGAGAGAATAGATGACAAATGTTCCTTTCAGACCTATAAAGGTATCAGATTCACAGTTATTTTTTTCTAGATCTGGACAAGGGGAGGCCTGGATGCATCAATGCAGATTCTCTTCACATGCAAATCTCCCCAACAAAAACAGCTTTGCAAGTTACTTCTGTTTGCTGACTCTGTGACAGCCATCTTAAAACATGTCAAAGAAATATATTTTGGCGTAAGACATTTTTATTTTCTTTATAACCAATGACGTATGATGGAGGAGGCAATGTGTGAGTCACAAGACTAGGTCATAAAGGCATTGCAACTTCCTCTGGCTCTCTTGCATCTGCTCTGGGAGAAGCTACTGCCATTCCATGAGGATGCTCAAGTAGTCCTGTGGAGAGGCCTTTGTGGAAGGTAGCTACAACTTCCCACCAATACCAACACTAACTTGCAAGCCCCTGAATGAGTCACCTTGAAAATAGATTCTCCAGCCTCAGTCAAGTCTTTAGGTAACTTCAGCCCTGGCCAATAGATGACTGCAACTTCATGAGATACCTTAGGGCCAGGTCTCACTAATGCAGGCCTACATAACAACTGTTCAGTACTGACTGAGTGGTTAAATTAAATATTAAAAGCTGAAAGAGCCAGTGTCCTTATACAAAGGCTGGAATGTACAAAAGCCCACCAAGAGTTTTGCCTAGGCCTTTCCTGGGCCTTAAATCATCACAAAGTATTGAAGGAATACTTAACAGGACCCATTTAGGATTAAACAAGTTTTATTGGGGGGCTGAAGGAACTCCCCAAACCTCTGTGATTTAGCAGGACACAGGATAAGGATAGTCACCTCAGCACCTGGACCCATTTAGATTAAGTAAATTTGCTGAGGCTCCAGAGGAAGATCTTCAAGACTCAGACCTTAGTTATGGATTAAAAGAAGTTAATCACTTATGTCTTTAGGTGAATGCATGCTTACATGTAGACATAGAGCTTAGAAGGTATATAAGCTCTGGAGAACTTTGCAATTTTGAATTGGCCTGGCCATAATTTCCAGGCCTTTTTCCTGTAACTGGTTACAGAAATAAAAACTCCCTTTTCTCCCAGTTCATTTGCATCTTGTTATTCAGCCACAAGAATAGCAACCTGACCCTGAGTTTGGTCCAGGAACAAGACTACTTAGTCAAGCCACTCTTTAAATTCCTGACTCACAGAATATATTATAATTAACAAATATTTATTATTGATTTAAGTCACTAGGCTTTTAGTTTGTTTGTAATGCACAAATAGATAACTAGTACAATAACTAAAAATAACTCTCTGTAATTTTTTTTTTTTTTTTTGAGACGGAGTCTTGCTCTGTCGCCCAGGCTGGAGGGCAGTGGCGCAATCTCGGCTCACTGCAAGCTCTGCCTCCCAGGTTCACGCCATTCTCCTGCCTCAGCCTCCCCAGCAGCTGGAACTACAGGTGCCCGCCACCACGCTGGGCTAATTTTTTTGTATTTTTAGTAGAGACGGGGTTTCACCCTGTTAGCGAAGATGGTCTCGATCTTCTGACCTTGTGATCTGCCAGCCTCGGCCTCCCAAAGTGTTGGGATTACAGGCGTGAGCCACTGCACCGAGCCTTGTAATTTCATTATTGACACTTTGAGTCAAATGTACTTTCTTTTCCACATTGTGTTACCAGAAAGGAGTCCTGATCCAGAACCCAAAAGAGGGTTCTTGGAACTCACATAAAAAAGATTTTGGACTAAGTCCAAAGAGTAAAGTAAAAGCAAGTTTATTAACAAAGTAAGGGGATAAAGAATGGCTACTCCATAGGCAGAGCAGCAGCATGGGCTGCTCAACTGCTTATAGATCACTACTTCTTGATTATATGCTAAACAAGGGGTGGATTATTCATGAGTTTTCCAGGAAAGGGTGAGCAATTCCTGGAACTGAGTGTTCCTCCCCCTTTCAGAGCATATAAGGTAATATCCTGATGCTGCCATAGCATCTGTAAACTGTCATGACACTGGTGGGAGTGCTTTTTAGCATGCTAGTGCATTATAATAAGTATGTAATGAGCAGTCAGGCTTACCACAAGTCACTTTCATTGCCGTTTTGGTTTTGGTGGGTTTTGGCCTGCTTCTTTACCGCATCTTTTTAGCAGCAAGGTCTTTGTGACCTGCACCTTTTGCTGACCTCCTGTCCCGTCCTGTGACTTAGAATGCCTAACCTCCTGGGTGTGCAGCCCAGTAGGTCTCAGCCTTATTTTACCCTGCCCCATTCAAGATGGAGTTGCTCTGCTTCAAACACCTCTAACATATTTCCTCCCTCCCTTTTATAAGGGAACCCTTAATCTTAAGGATTGTAGAGAGATGAAGATCCATCTTCTGTAACTTCTTCAGGCTGAATAGGGGTGATAATATTCCTGCCTAACTTTTAGGGCCTCTTGTATTTGGGGTAGAGAGGAGCTCAGTCAGAAAGCATCAGTCTGGTAATGGCCATTTGTAACTCTGAGTTCTAACAAAAGGTGGTATCTGAAAGGTTAATAAGTGTTCAATTTAAGAAAACATTCATTAAGCTTATACTGCGTTCCTACACGAAGAGTATAACAGCAATATATTCCATAACAGTAAAGCAAAATAAGTAAAACTATCCCAAGTAAACTAAATAAGGTTTTCCATGAACTGGGCAGTTGTTGGAACCAAGCTGACACGGGGTTGCTAGCCAATTCCAGTACGTGCCTAGAATTAGAATAATGACCCCAATTTTTACATTACCCAACCCTCTTGTATCTTTTGAACAGAGATCACTGGTTGGTTCACCAGAATAAGCAGGGTTACTCAAAATTGCAGGAAAAAGACTAAAAAAAAACAACTGATGAAACTGGAATCTAATAACAGGTGTACCACAGTTCTTGAAACGTATTTTTTCTCTTTCCAGTCTTCCATTTTTACTGAAGACAAATCATGCTAAGAATGATTTACTTTATTATAGTTGGCCTGATTATTTATAAAATGTGCAGCAAGAATAATTATTTTTCACATAGGTTTTTTAAATTGGCTTTGAGGGAACTCTGTTCCAGAGAAGGAATCTCAGATAATGATTTTTTTTTTGAAGCTGAGCCCAGCCATGTGTTTTTACCCTCAAATATCTATGAGTTGGGTAAATTTCTCGCCTGTTGAGGTTGCAAGATAACTTGGGGCTCCTGGGCCTGTCTGAAAGTGACATTTTTTTTACTTACACAGGTTAGGAACCCTGCACAAGGACTGTGCAGACAATGTATGAGGCCAGTTTTCCCAAAAAGGTTTTATTGGCTCTATAAGTCAAATTTGATTCCTTACAGGAAAGCACATCATTGATTTAAGCACTTATTATTTTTAAGCCAATTAATTGGAGCACTTCATATATAAACATCACACACACAACATATATAAATACACAGACAGACAGAAGATCCGGTAGTTGTAAGGTTTTTTCATTTGCCATTTTATAAGTTTCTCTTTAAAGCATGCAATTTCTACCACTTAATTAGCAGGCACTACTGGAAGGCAAAACAAATCCCCAAAAGCTAAGGGTCCCATTTTTACACCAAATCTTAGATCCCAAAAAGAAAAACAGTATGGAATAAGAAAGTGCAATGATTTTACTGTGCATTTTATTGCAAAGCAATCCAAAGCCAATCAGCCCATTCTGTGATTATGCCATGCCCCATGGGAGTCTCATCTCTCAGTGCGGTGGCGGGTGCTAGGGTTTGCGACATCTTCATAGTTTTCCAGATGGCCAAGAGCATGCTTCTCTGATCCAAACATGAAAAGAGCTGAGTATCCCCCCATAACTGCCAGTAGCTATTCCCAAAACTGTATTTTCTACCTAATTATTGCACACCAAAACTCTCTTACAATGCAAAGTAATTTCTAATACCCCCCAAAGTCAAAACCATCAGATATTGCAATGCAAAACAGAACAGTCTTAGATTTTTAGATGGATCTATCCAGTTTCACTTCCTAGGGTTTCATGAGGAAAATAGAGGTTTTCTCCAAAATGGGTGTGTGGTATCTCCTCTGTTTTTCCCAAAGAGTCCCAGACTGTTGGGGCTTGAATATCCAGTTTTAACCCGAATTTACCCATGTTAAAGTCAATATTTCTGGCTTTTGAACTTTACTAAAGGTAACCTCTCAGGTGCTCAGAGAAAGGAAAATTCCAGACAGTTGGTGGAGGGAAAGAATCAACAAATAGTAAAGGTCATGCAGATATCAAATCAGGAAAGACTCATTCTCTAAGCCAGGAATTGAATTCTGAACCCAGGCCACAAAGTCTTAGCCACTAAACGATGGCGCAGGGCAGTTTCCATTGCTCTTCCCAGAAGGTTCCTAGAGCAGCCAATTTTGACCTTGCAAATGCTTTTAAATACTCAGGGTAATGTTAGAGATAACTGTGATGGGAACTCCAAAATTCTTGTCTGCTGGGTGGTGAAAATCAAGATAAAGTACCACCCTGTGGTTACAAGGTTAAGTTCCCAAGGACATAAAGGGAGGGAAATTTCATCCAGGTTTTTTTTTTTTTCAGGGGCCTGCAGCAAAGTTTGTAACTGACCACTTTGCCAGGTTGGCTGGAACAGCGGGGTTATGGGGTCCTAGGCCCACATTCTATGCTAAGGTACCCCTCTCTATTGCAGAACAACACCAAAAGACAAATTCATAACCACAGTCAAAAGTCTCTCAATTTGCAAGTTGCCACCCACCTGGCTGCGTGGGGGTACAAAATTAACATTTTCCATTCCAGCCAGAGCAAAATACATGTGAGAAAACCTTGACAATTAGCCGCTCTGCTTAGCACCCAACATAGAACTGGCAGGGCTCAAACTTGCCTCCGGTTGGGCACTGTCGTCTTCAGTCCACTCAAAGTGAAATAAAGGAGTTTCAACATGTGGTCTCTGGGAAAGATGGTTGCCCTGGGTAACAGAAAATATAGGAAAGGGAAAGGAGAGAAAGGGAGAAAAACATTGCCTGCAACAGGGTGGGGAAACAAAGAGCTCAGGGACGTCTGGGAAAGACCCACCCATTGCGGTGATACTGATTCAAAAGTTCAGGTGGCTGCTTGTTGATAGTGAATGGATGATTTTCCCACAGTCCCATCAGCTCTTGTGGCCCACTTTGGGAAGGAAAAATCTCCCCGTGTCCTATGATCCTGTACATGCCTAACCCTGCCATCCACAGACATCAGCAAAGACTGCAAGGCAGATTAGTCCAGAGAGACTAATCTTAGCTTAAAGAGTCCCTTAGCTGTGAAGGACTTTACTGAGAGAGGCCTGGAACCCTCCTAACTCTTAGGAAGGACTCTAACCTTCCTAAATTGGGCCTTGAACCGAAGTTCAGTCAAGCATCCTTGCCTTTTATTAAGAGGAGCCTTCAACTCTCTTTATCTGGTAAAAATTGGACCAAACAGGCATTTTAAATTTTTAGAGATCCATTAAGGAGGGTAGAAAACAAATACCATCAATTGAAGAGTGTGTGTAAAAAACATTTATTCTTTTAAATTACACATGAACTGTTTGTCCACATAAGGTCACAAAAAAGTCTTTAAAATTATAAGAAAGGAAAAGATATTCTTTACAGATAGAAATATATTTATCAGTGATTTGATGACAATATTATGCATATTCACTATGTCTGTACATACAAAGAAACAGAATCAGTTAGGGAATAAGTTATTTGACAGAGGTCATATAAAAATATCTAGATAGTATAGTGCAATAGGTAACATATAAATATATATTATATATACATATAAAAAAGAAAAATGTTCTTTATACACATTGAGGTTCAAGTGTGTATCATTTAGGTTTTCTTGGATTACAGGCTACAGAATATAACCCTGGTTGTTCTTAATAAAAAATAATAATAATTTATTGGAAAGATGACTGTTTCCACAATGTATGAGAAACTTGGAGAACCTGCCTCAAAAGGGAAGTAAACAAGTCCAGTCTAATAATCTAGATAACAAGAGAGTCTGACACTTTTAAAGGTCTGAAAGACACAGTTACCATCTATTCTCTCAGAGGGCTGCTACCTGTGAGGTTTCATCTGTATAGCAAGACCACCTTTGTTAGCCAAGCCTTCTCTCCCTCCCATAACCTGTTTTGCCATGATCCAAGTTCCTATTGCTTTTGTACCTTCAAGATGGTATAAAAGCATCACCCATTTTGCTTTTTTTTGAGTTTTTATATTTTATGTGACTCCTGTGCACTCATGTGCACATAATAAAATATGTATGCCTTTTTTCCTGTTACTCTGTCTGTTATCAATTTGTTTTATAAATTAAAATTATCAAACCTTCAGAGGGAAAATTTAAATTTCCCTACACCTTGATTCATTTCAAGGTGTAATTTTCCAAATAAAATTTAAGTTACTGTTGTTACCAATAAGAGGGAGAATATATGCTTGGCACTATAAGATAGCAAATATTATCCACCAAAAGCCAGTGGTGCAATCATAAAATAGCAAATATATAGAGTACATGTGAGAAGAAGATTCAAGATTTTAGATACCATTAGGTACCAAAATGAGAAGAGTTTTTATATATATATATAACATTTATATATAAAAAACATTTATATAGAGATTATATGTATATACATATAGGTACACACACACAACACGCAAACACTAATTGTATTAATCAGACCACATTAGGAAAATTGGCCTTCATACTTTGAGATTAGCATAGATAATTCCAGTATGTTTATAAACACACCTGCACTCTTACACACACCCACCCCCCACATACACACTTCTAACTGATATGGCTCACTTCACCAGCTTACAGCATAAGTAAGTTCATAAAATATACTATTTAAATAAATTACTCAAGCCCTCATTTGTCTAACTTGGCTGGATGTCTCATTTGTTTTGCTTTCTACTTTCTAGTTTCTGAAAACCCTGCGAGCTTACTCGGCTCAAAGGGCCCAGTTACATCTGGTTTCCAAACATGAGGCAAAGAGAAACCTAAGAGCTAGAATGAGATCTTGGCTAGTTTTAGTATGCTATCACTTCCGTCATTTCTAATTAAGTCACTAATAAAAACTGACGTTTAAAGTTATGGTACATGCTTGTCACTACTGTGGTTACACTCTTGCTGTTCCAGATCTTTCCAGAAGCTAACGTGCTGCTCCCAACCCCGCTCAATACCCACATGTAAGTGAAGGGAGTATGACCAGGACCGAGCAGATATTAAACAATATTTTTTTTTCTTCCTGGGTACATATTACATCTATGTTTCCTAGCTTCATTTGGAGTTAGTTTGAGAGTCTATAAGCAGATTCTGACCAATGCAAATGAGAGGAAGTAATGAATGCCAATTTCAGGCCTGACTATAATACCCTGACTGATTGCCTGTGTTATTCCTTTCCTTTCCATGACAGATGTGGAGGTTATACATTAAAGATGATGATATCACAAGATGGAAGGAGCCTGAATCCCTGAGTGATAAATTGGAGGAGAGTTGCACAGGGGAGCTCCCTAGGAAAGCTATCCATCAGGCTGGGAGTGATACATAAGCCTTTATCCTGTTAAGCCACAGAGGTTTGAGGTAATTGTTACTACATCATAATCTATGACTAAAACAGAAAGCCCCTTTGAGGATTACAACTCTCCAAGAATATATTCACACCCTTAGTCATTAATTCCAAGGCATAATCTTTTTAGTAGACCAGCTTAGTTAGTCATGAGCTATGTAAAAGTCAGTTCTCTTCTCCAGCCATTTAAGAGTCGACGCCAATAATCCAGATGTCTGTTAGTCTCTTAGCTAGTTCTACTTTGCAGCCTTCGGCATGCTTTCCAGTTGTCACACCTCAGCTGGGAACGTCTCAACCCATTAAAGGGAGTCTAATAAAATTACACCTCAAAAAGCTAGTATTTGATGTTTCTATTTCTTTCTTCCCAGGGGGCTCATTGATTGCTATGCAAATTTACCTAAGACATCCCCAGAGATGAACTCTATATATCAAGGAGTTTCGTGGGGGCTGCCTAGGTTAGTAATTGAGAAACTATTAAATCCTTCCTCTAGAATAGGGGTGAGCAGACTTTAGTCTTTGGTAAATTCTGGTCAGTGCCCTGCTTCTTTACAGCCTGTAAGCTAAGAATGGTATTACCATTTTTTAAAAGTTTATAAGTTTGTAAATCAACAAGAAGAAAATGGAGGAGGAGGAGGAAGAGCAGCAGCAACAAAGACCTCGTGTGGCCCCCAAAGACTTAAACCTTTACTTCCTGGCTTTACGGTAAAAATTTGCTGGCCTCTCTTTAGAGCAGTGGGTGACAGCAAACCTTAAATTGGCATAATTATAAGGACTCAGTTAAGTGATACTTCCTAGAAAAAGAAAATTTACTCCAAGGTGATTTTTGGTGCCCATTCTTAGAAATAGACATACATGGAATTACTTTTTAAGCTTACCCTCACTTAAGTATCTTGCTAAAATTTAGCAGTGTCTGTATGAATGTGAATAATTTTGGAAAGTTATATGCCAAAATATCAAAAGCATCCCTTTTTGCATATAAATTATTCATGTCATTTAAAATATATATTTTTTGCCATCTGTGGTTTTCTAATTTTTCACTCGTAAATATATATTACTTGTATTATTTTTCAAAATATTCTCAAAAAAGAACTGTGTATAGTTGTGGGTGAAATGAGAAACAGGAACTTTAACACATGAAATGTATGTAGAGGTTAAGTCTTAAGAACAATAATTTAATGAACCAGGGGAATTTCTCCTGGAGATAAGAAAATTCAAAGGAGCTGTGATCACATCTCTGAAATATCAGAAACAGCCGTCAGGGAAAAAGTAATTTAACTTATTCTATGTGATAAGAAGGAGTAGGAATAGAACAAATTGGGCAGTTCGTAGGGAGACCAATTTCTGTTTATTATAAGAAAGCTCTTTCCAAAAGTCAGAGCAGGCCAATATATGTGATTGTCATGAAAGGTATTGAGAAGTACACTGGATAAATATTTGACAGGGAAGTTGTAAAAGAGATTTGATCATACACAACAGGACTAGAGAGGGGTCTTTGAATCTATTTCTAATCCTGTGTACAAGCACACAACCCTGATTCTCTGAAAATATTGCTGATCTCAATAACACATCCTGTATCTACTCAGGTCACATGCAGTCTGCACATCGACCTAATGCCCAGTCATTACTCATCTTTTTCTAGTCACTAATATATAACATTTCTGGAACCAAATTCATAGGGGAAGAATTAAACAATCTGATTGTATTCTATCTTTGCACTGACAAGAAATCTTCAGTAGAAACCTGGTACCTGACATGCCTCAGGTCCTACCCAGATAGCAGGAAGAAAGAGAGGGCAGGCAGACAGTAAAGGAGTAGGAAAGAAATTAGAGGAAGGGCACAGGTGGGGTTGTGATACAACCAGGGCTCTTTTCCCAGAACTAAGACAAAATTACCAGGTGACTATATTTTCCCTCCAGGAAAATCAACCCTGTCTTGCTTCTTTCCATTGTTTCTGGGCTTTGTGTGGATTTTTTTTTTTTTTGTCTTTCTGATTTTTTTATTATTTTAAAAATATTTTTATTGTCATGGTTATTTAAAAGTGATCTAAAGAAAAGAGTAATGTGTCCAGATGGCAATGTTAAAGCAACCTGGAGAAATTAGCAAGCAAGTTGTGTGATCAAAGACAGCTGCTTTTTTTGGTATAATTAAACACTTTTAGGGGGAAAAAAACTACATACAAGAGCAGAGCTAAAGGTGCAGCCATTGGCCTTCTACCTAAAAGTCAGAAGCCAGAACAGCATGTAATCAGCCTCACAGACCAGGGACACAAGAAACCACTGCAGCAAATCTTAAGATTGTTTTTTTTTTCCTTGCCCCAAAAGCTGCTTAAGATTAAATTATAGGATGTTGATGATACTTATATGTCCTTGGAAGTCACTTCCCATCTCTGTGCCTCATTTTCATTTGGAATAAGATTAGAACTACTGTTCCTAACCCAAAGTCCCCGGGATCATTAAGGATTTAGGAATATACGATAATAACAAGAATTATTAAATTGTTTTTAATTATCTCTAAAAGCTTAATGGAAAACATAAGCCATAAAAGTAATCAAACTATTGAGTGTCTGCTTTTGTTTAAAATTTATCAATGCATTTAGATCATATTGGTTTATAAAGGTGATGAATAGTGCTAACTGGCTACTAATCATTTAACTTATACTTTATAAGTCTATTTATTTATTGAACTTTATAGGACTTGCTGGGATATAAATGGTGAACAATGTTGGTAACCAAACATGGTCACCCTGGTCATGACCTGTGTGAAGCTCTCTATTAAGTGAAAAAATAAATGAAGAGTCTGGGCTGATAAAAAGATAGAGAACTCCAGAGTAGGTAATTTCTAATTGTCCCTCAAGTCCTTATGTTCTTCAGTTTTAGGTTTTTAATTTCTGACGCCTAAATTTTCCATGATCATATTTCATATTGTTCATTCAAAATTAGCTTCTTGGGATAAACTTGGTAAATCTAAATCCACTCTCCTGCAAAGGAGAAAATGGGTGACATTTATCATTACAGAAGCAGTAAAATTGACAACCAGCCTTCTTTGACTATATCATAGGTACCATTTAAAGGATAAAACAGCTTTTGAAAATGTAAACACCAATCCTTTACTTTGCCAAGGTTTTCCCTCTTTAGGAGGGCCAGGGCTGATGTTCTTAAGCACACAACTATTTCCTTATGAGTGTTTCCATAAAGCTCTTTTTAAAATAGAAACATTTACTTTGGATCTTCCTTGTGAGCAATGACAAGAATGGAGTTGACAACTACACAGAGAATCTCAGTGCCCACCTTTTCAAACTCTAGATGTTTAAGTGGCCAAAGTGTAGTCTCTTTCTTTCTGTAATGTACTATTTCAAGTCTTTCACATCTGCCATTGGTGTTATTTTAATAATTGGTTTTTTTGGCTTTCAATCTTACCATCTGACTATAGCAGTAAGATAACTCATTCTAAGGCATAGTTCTAAAAATACTTCCACTTAAAATCCTTCAAGGGCTTTTCACGGAATACAGAAAGAAATGAAATCTTCTTAGCCTGGGATTCAGGGCACTGTATGTTCTGGTCTGGGAATTATTTTTAGACTTTCTCCCCATTACAATCTCCTCTGTCTTTAATTCTAGCAATAATTCTGTACTTATTTTCCTCCATTGTGTCATGTACTTTTCATGCCTCCAAGCCTTTGTTCATGGTGTTCCCACCAGCAAGATTTTTCTTTATTTTCATTTTGAATTTTTTTTTCATTAAACCTTTGGGGACCAGCTGAAATATTTCTTCAAGAAACATAAGATCCTCTCAGCTCTTCTGCCTCTGTACTTCATTGGTACTTTGAACATATTATATTTGACATTACATTGCATTATATAGACTTGCCTGTTACATTTATGAATGGCTAGAGATCAAGAAATAAGTTTTTAATCTTTAATTTCTCCCAGGACTTAACAGAATCTCCAAAATAACTTAGTTGCCCCCCAAAGTAGTCAACTGACAAATTATTTTCTGAAAATTATCCTAGAGAAATAAAGTACCTACATACAAAGAGATGTCCTCCTGTTACTTAAGAACTAAAAAGTAAGACTTGTTTAATTTTTTAATGTTTGAGATAAGCCTCCACAATCTTCATTAAAAGCTTCCCTCAGCTACTTTGGTGTTACCAAGTTACCAAATGTCATGACCAGTACTCTGGTTGCTTTATTGTATTTTATGCTACCAGATTAAGAGCCTGCTCTCTGATGGCTGCTACTCGAAAATCACCCTTACAGCAGATACTTTTCAAGGGTCCTGAACACAAAGATTCTTCCTGATTTCTGAAAAGAACATGTTACCAATCAAGAAAAAACAAATTTTATTTACTTCAAAGTAGGGAATATCCTCTGCAGGAATGAAGGATGAGGAACCTGAGGTTTTGAGTAGATCTGACCAGAGCTGCTCAGAGGTATCAGGCACAGAAGAGGATCCTGAGGCAAAGGTAGAGTGGCCAGTTACTAAGACACAGGAAAGAAAACAAGCCAGAAGATTAAAGAAAGAGTAGAGCTCAATAGGTACGCAGACTTGGTGTCAAAGGTAGAATAACATGGAATCAACCGGAGTGTCCATCAACAGATGAATGGATTTCAATAATGTGGCATATATATACAATGGAATACTATTCACCCCTAAACAAGAAGGAAATCCTATCATCTGCAACAACATGAATAAACCTGGCAGACATTATGTTAAGTGAAATAAGCCAGGCACAAAAAGACAAATGCCACACCATCTCACTCATATATGGAATCTAAAAAAAGTCAAACTCATGGAAGCAGAGAGTAGAATGGTGGTTATCAGAGGCTGAGGCTGTGGGGTTGAGGAGAGGTTGGTCAAATTATACAACATTTCAGGTAGAGAGAAGAATGTGTTCAAAAGATCTGTTGTACATTATTGTGACTATAGTTCATAATAATCTATTGTGTACTTGAAAGTTGCTGAGATTTTAAATGTTCTCATCACAAAAAATAGTAAGTGTGTAAGGTAATGTATATGCTAATTACCTCGATTTAACCATTCTACAATGTATATGTATATCAAAACATCATGTTGTATATCATAAATATATAGAATTTTTATTTGTCAACTTAAAAAAGGCAGGGTAAAGATTTCACTTCATAAGAGATTATTGTTTTTCCATTGTTATTAAAAATATATGAATTTCTATTCCAGAATTTAGCATAAAGTATAAGTGAGCAGAGATGTTTCTAAACAAGGGAAAACTCAATATTTAGCTAACTTACACAGCCTTACTATGATAAAATATATGATTTTATTAAGCTCTAAGAAATATTCATAATGGCTTGTAGAAATTTTGCAAGCTCCCTGGAGCCAAGATTTAATATTTGAGGGCATCATTACAGTGGATCTATCCCAATTCAATCACATTTATTTTTGGAACACCTTTATTTCAGGAAGAATATTTCCTCTAGCTTTACTTTCTCATCCTACTGCTTTACTCTCAGCAAAGAGGGTCTTCACTGTAAAATTCAGAGAATTTAAAAATCCCTCTGAAGCCACTCATTTTAATTGTTCAAGTCTGCCAATCTACCCTCTTCCTTCATGAAACCTAAGGCTGCCATCTGCAACTATTTGAAGAGAAAGAGGTCTAGATCCAAGCCTTACAAAGAATTTTCTTCAAGGGAGGCTTAAAATGCGTCCTGTGACATGAGAGTCGCATGACACCAGCTGAGAATAAGGCCTTTTGAGGCTGCTGGAGAAAGCGATCAATGGAGTGAGACCAGAGAGGCTGTTCTTGTCAGCCACGATTTACACACTTTGAGGAATCATCCCCCTTCCCTCTGTTCATGAGTGATTTGTGCTCAGTGAGCTGACATTTTCTCTTTTTATTCATTTATTTTTATTAAAAATCAATACATGCCCTACTATAAAAATTCTAAGTAAAAAATATTGCATAGAAAGCAAAATTATTCTTTTACCATGCCCTTATGTCCCCAATTTTATAGTCAGTCCCAAGTCACTATGTATCCTTGCACATATTATTGTCTACATGTGCTAAAAAGAGTAAGCTCATGCATTTTTATTATCTATATAATATTTCATCACCTTAAACATCTATATAATATTTCATCACCTTAAATATGATATAATTGTATTTCATGGACATCATTTCATATAAATCATCACGTCCAGGCAGTGTGTTCTTTTCACAAGCTTATGAAGTGAACTAGAAATAGGAAAATGTTTTTGTCTTTTTTTTTCCTGGAGATTTGATCCTCTGCTTAATTCCAAATAATCAGTTTGCATTCCTCTGTTCTGTAGCTGCAACTAGAGAACAATTTTAATATTAATATTTGCTGTTTACATTTCTTTACCGTGCCCTTCAGTGAAAATTTACCATCCTTTCAGATAAAGAACAACTGTAGAGCGGTTGTCAGCCGCTCAGTATTTCAAAGTAGAAAGATAAAGGTTGATCATCAGAAACCTGTAACACAAATCAAAAGCAAGTCTTTGCTGGATGGTTTACTGCAGATCATTTCTGTTTTCTTCTTTTCCTCTATCTTTACCCCTTTCTATCTTTCATGTGTCCTTTACTTCTCCTCTGTTTTGACCTCAACTTTCCTGGGTGGTTCTCCGTTGCCTGTCTGCATTTCTCTTCTTTGCTCATGTTTTTCATTTCTATCCTGTCTTACTCTCCTGCTTAACTAATGATTTTATAAAATTATAGTCTTTTTAAAAACATTTTTATGGTAAAGGCCCAGTTGAACATACTGTGACATAATTACAGAGCACCATATAACCATTAAAATTTATAGCATGGAAATATATTTTTAATATAGAAAAATGTATATGATACATTGTCAATTTTTAAAATCTGCAAAACAGTATATATAGCAAAATCCTGTTTTGGAGATAATTCTGTTTATAGAGACATGGGATTTTTAGATAACAGTTTATGGAGTTTATATTTGGGTGGTGATGACGTTATATTATTTTCATTATTTCTTTTCACTTTTTATGTTTAAATTTTTTCTTATTTAGTATACGTGTAAAATAAAATGTTTTTTAAAAAGTAACTTAAACACATTTGCTGCGTTTATTGAATGAAGTCATTTTGTCTTTTCTAAAATTTCATTAAGAAAAATTATGAAGTTAAAAGTGCATAACAAAGGAAAAAATTAAAATTAGGATTTTAAGTAAATAAAAGATAAAGTGATTTTTCAACCACTTAAAAGCCTAAGAAACAAGTACGAGACAATTTTTCTTGCAGGGGTAATCAGGGACTTTGAGTTGAGGCGGCTGCCACCACCAGAAAGAGACATATTCTGCTTATTTTCCAGGTTCATACTGTCCCGCTTGGCCTGAGGTCTACCAGTCCCAACACAGTCAGTCCAGATGCAATTTAGGGGCAGAGCCCTATAAACACATTTGTGATTTCAGCATCTTTCTGAATACAAAACAAAATAAATAAAATAAAAAACAAACTTAAAAAAGAAAATCCATTTCTTTTTACCTGTCTGTGGCCTTTGACTGAATTCCTACTTCTAATCCTTTCCTCTACTCTGAAGTCCTGGGCCCTAAAAATAAACAAAATCCAGCAGGTCTAGGGGTAACCACAGGAGTTAAACATGAAGAGGCTGCCATCTGGTGGTCTCTTAGACCGTGCTTTCATTGTCAGTTTTATTATGCAACACAGCTGGGTCATATTAGACTTGTTTCAAACTGTAGTCCATAGATTATACATACAAATCCTATTCATGCATTCGAGAAGAATTGGGTTCTTATACGGTCATTTTTTATGACTTTTTATGAAGAAAGGGTCATTTGAATTAGGGTGTGTGGCCCATTTCTGGCAGCTTTGCCATTAACATGACTCTGAATGACTTACTGTCTTCAGTCTTTGGAGACTCTTAGAAATTCACAGTGCATCTTACTGTGTGTGTTTGCTGCACACTGACGACGTTTTCCAGACCCCGGTAGAGGCAGCCACACAGAAGGTCTCTGTGTATTAAGCCAACAGAGACTATATTATAAAGATGTCTTAGAATTTCATCATGTGCAAAAAATTGTGTCTGGAGGCTTTATTCAAACACACACAATATTCATCTATTCATTTGCTTTTCCAATATTTGAGGAAAAGGCATGGTGGGCTTCAAATTGCCTTGTGTCATTTTATCTGATGGCAGATGGCTCCTTGGTCAAATAATCAATATCAAAATTACTAAAACATTGAAATTACTGGAAAAAAACATCAAATCTCTTCCAACATAGGCTCCTCAGACATACTATATGACCAACTGTCAACCAGTTCCTGAAGGCTGCAGTTTTTGGAAACAAAAAATTCAAAGAAGTGAGTTTCTCTAACTTTCAATGCATCTGTAGCTGACTCCTCCTCTCCTCCTTCAAATTCAATTCTGAGAATTTGTGTTCTTATTGACTTATCATACTCAGACATCATACTAAGTTCTCCCTCTAAATATCCCCTGATATCTTGCCTCTTCAGTCATCTTTCTTTTATTTTGATTATTTTCTTCAGCAACTTCCTCCTAGTATACAAAGTACTAAAAACTCCATTATCCCTAAAATACAACAAAAGCAAAAAATATGACAAAACTAGTTTTGCTTCGTCCGATATTTTTCTTAAGCCACCATTCCTCCCAGTTTTTCTTCTTTCCCTTAGAAGCCTCTCAAGGGTCTAATTTACATTTCTGCCTTTCTGTGACTTTGAGGATGTGACTTAGACATGGAACTCAATTGGATACGTAAATTAAGATGTCCTCAATAGTGACACAGTATCTTAAGTAATCAGAATAAAAAGGCCATCCAGAAAATAAATATAGTTTGACAACAAAAGAGGGCCAGGGGCTAGAGGTTAAGAAACGCCTACCTGTAAGAGGCAGACAAAGAAAGCAGTGTCAGCATAGCAGCCCAGGTGGAACTTTGGAACATAGCCCTGTAAATACACTTGTGTTTTTGGCATCTTACTAAGGACAAAAGAAAAGAAAAGAAATAAAAATAAAATAGAAAGTAGTTGATGAAGAGGGGCTGAATGATGAAAGAACAAAGTGGATACAGCCAAGTACCAACAACGGTAGTAGAAGCACCAGTGTAAGTAGCAACAATAATAAATGCATTGATGGTTCTGTATATTGATCACACATTTTATACTAACCCTCTTTTAGGTGTTTGTACTCTTTTTCATTTAATTCTCACAGCAATCATCAAGATAAGTGTGATTTTTTTTTTTTTTGGTAGAGTTGAGGAGTCTGAAGCTCAGAGCACTTGTATTATTACTTTTAATGGCAAAAACCGCAATTAACTTTGAACTAGCCCAATATTTCCCAGTTTTACCAAACTAAGATGACAAAAGCTAGACTAGAATTCAGTCCCCTTTTCAACATTTCACACATCCCAAAAGATACAATATGTACACATACACACATATATATGTGTGTGTGGGTGTTATATGTGTGTGTGTGTGTGTATATGTATATAATATATATAATTGCAATATAATAAAATAAGCATAAATAAAATACATACTATGTAAATAAAGTAAATATATGTATAATGTTACATGTGTATAAATACATACGTAAATATAAACTATCTCCTTTTCCTTTGTCCCTCTCTTGACAAATGCCAAAGAAGACTCAGGCTAAAGCTTTATTCTCTCTTCCTGTCTCATTTTCTGTTGATTCCATTTTATTTCTATTTTGTGTTGATTTGCAGTTGTACTACTCTGAGAATAGTTCTTCATCTTCATTTGTGTTAAAAATCAAGTTTCCGAAAAATTACAAACCCTTTAGACAATCTTTTACCTCCCCTGATTCAACAGCCTGCCTCTAGAGCTGGGGTTCTTAGAAAGCATTCTACACATACGCTGCTTTTTTTCAAACTTTAATTTTACAGAAAAAAAAGGAGTGTATCAGTTTTCTATTGCTGCTGTAAGAACTTCAAGAAACTTAGTGGCTTAGATAATAAATTTATTATCTCACAATTCTCTAGGTCAAAAGTCTGAAATTGGTCCCACTAAGCTAAAATCAGCATGTCGCAGGTCACATTCCTTCTAGAGGCTCCAGGGAAGAATCTATTTCCTTGCCTTTTCCAACTTCTAGAGCCAATCTGTATTCCTTGGCTAGTGGGCCCTTTCTCCATCTTCAAAGCCACTGATGTCAGGCTAAGTCCTTCCCATGTCACCATCTCTCCTTTTCTCCCTGTTCTGCGTACCTCTTCTGCTTTTATAAGGACTCCAGTGATTCCATAAAGCCCTCTGGGATAATCTAGGATAATTTGCCTATCTCCAGTTTAATTTACCATCTTAATTCCATCAGCAATCTTAATTACTCTTTGCCATGCACCTTAACATATTCACATAGAATGTGGACATTTTTAGGGGGCTACTATTTTGGCTACCACAATGATGAGTTAAACAAGGCTCACAAGAATTAGTACAATGAAACTTATATTGTCTTTAATTATGACATCATGACATTTCTCTCAATATATCTATATTTATTGCTACACATAGATGAATACCATAATAATTATTTATGAAATTTTAAACAAATGACAGGCATTATGACCCTTCATACTTCAGAAAGTAGCTTCTAAGAACAAGGATATTCATTTATAATCGCAATGCAACTAGCAAGTTTAGGAAATTATCAATGATACAATACTATCATCTAATATACATATTTCAATAGTTCTTCCCAAACTATCCTTCACAGAAAAAAAAAATCCCACCCAGGATCAGTCATTGCATTTTGTTTTCATTCTTCTTCAATCTCCTTTCTCTGCTATGAAACTGACATTTTTGAAGAGTATAGGACAGTTTCTACAGGAAGTCCCTCAATGTGGGATTTTCTGATTTTTTTTTCCTCATGATGAGATTCAGGTGATGCATTTTTGGCAGAAATACCACATGAATGATGCTGTGTCATTTTAGTGCACTCCATCATGGGGCATGCATCTGGTATCAGGTTGGCCTGTAACGAATTGGTAATGTTAGCTTTGATTACTTGACTAGTGGTGTTTACCAAGTTTTTACACTGTATAGTTGTCATTTTTTTATTCATAAGTAATTAATAATCTGTGGTGAGACATTCTGAGACCAGAGAAATATTCTAATCCTGAGTCCATCAAAATTTCACCCATTGCTTTTAGCATACACTGTTGATTCTTGCCTCAGTTATTAGTAATAGCAATGGAAAAACGGGAATTAAAAAACCCAAATTCATTCTTTTTGACAGTGTTTATGGAAATACTTCCTCATGACCATATTGAATTATAGTTTATGGTAACTGAGCAAAGCCCATGAATATCTTCATCTCTCTAGAGTGTTGGGGACTCTGATTGTATTACAAATTTGATTCAGTATTATCTTGAAATGCTTGAGTGGAAGTCAGGCCATTAGAGTTTCTGGAGTTTCTTAGGTCTTTCATTTTACTAATTCTAAAACATATGGCCTCTGGCTGAGTACTTGATAATTGTTTGGAGTGATTGAGGCTCAATAAGTTTCTACTAATTTTATAATATCTCTCAATGCTGGGCTTACTAACATGGCAGACCCAAGAGATGATGCAATATCATGCCTGTCATTAAGAAACACATAATCTAGTTAGAGAAAATGATAAAAAAAAAAAAAAACAAGTATAGTTAGGAACAGTCTCTGAGATTCAGAACCTTTGTGAAAGAACTGTAGATTAATTGAGTCTTTAAAATTGAATAGGATTTTAATTGGAGGAGAAAACTAGGCTGGTGTTCAAGGTAATAGAAACTGCATAAACTACATGTGGAAGCAGAAAAGAAGACAGCACTGCTGGAGAAAAATTAGGGCAACTACTGAAGAGGAAGATTCATGTTGAAAATTAAAGAGAGGAATTATTTGTAGAAGTAAGATGATGCTAGCTACTGAAAGTTGTTGAAGTTTTAGACGAGATGTTTCACCTTAAAATGACAGATAGAGGTTCTTGAGCAAGATGAAAATGGTATTTTAAGAAAATTACACTGTATAGGTGTGCAGGATGGATTAGAATGGATGGGCACCTGCGGTAGAGAGATTGGTTAACAGGCACTGCAAAATGCTTTGTAAATTAGAATGCATGATGCAAAGGCTTATGAATGTGAGAGAAAGAACCATAATGAATGCCCTTGGGATGCAGAAGGTGGGGTGAGTTTAAGAGATTTCAGAGTAAGAGTCAAAGTAAGTTAGAAGGATATCTCAGCCTAACAGCTGAGGTTCACATCCAGTCTACTTCTGGCTCCTGGCAGACAGTAAGCACACACCATAACTTGGTTGTGTCTATTTTTAAAAAGGATGAAATTTGTATATGGGATAATTACTCAGGATTTCAGGATCTTCACATTGACTGTCCATGTATTATATTCCACCTTGTTCTAGAAAGAATTTCAGAAGGCTTATTAAGTGATTTGTGCAGCACAATAAAATATTGTAAATTAGCCTAGGTTAAATGTGGGCAAAGAAATAAAGAAAAACTGTAAAGGAGTGGATCTGAGACAGAAACATTTAAAAAGTCTAATTCTTCAAACTACAATAAGCAACACATTTAATATGGGTGTGAGCCAGAAATTTTGGTCTAAACTTTCTGGCAGTAATGTCAAAAGTGAACAACCTGACTATTAAGCCACAGCATCATGCAACAAAACCAGATGGATTACTAGATAAACTTTTAAGTAATCTTGGATTACTTAATTGAGAGGATAACGTCTTAATTGCATGTGTTTCAGGTGAAAATTATTTTTCTCTGCAACAAAATTCTCTCTCTCTTTCTTGACACCCTCCACCCCCACCCCATTAGACACAGATGCACACACAGAAAGAAATACCAAAGCTAATAGTAACTGAAGAATAGCTAATGTCCACATTTTCCCATATCAGGTAGTTTTGATGGATAATTTAACATTCCTTCCTCTGCCAAAAATAATTCCAGACAATATTCCCTTGATATACAAATATACAATTGATTATTTTGCACTTATTTTAGTGATGGGCTTGATAAAATTAAGAATTTATAGATAGGGTGATTAGGAGAAGAGAAGTGAGACAGAACAAAAATGAAATTTTCTTTTAGATTTTTACTATGATATAAAAACTTGTGAGCCAGTGTTTGACCTTGATTGTAATAAAGCTACATCATGAAGCTTAACTGAATCTGTTATAAGAAGTTACCTAAATTTGTCATGCAGATAATATTGTGTATCTAAGGAAATATTAGAAAACTCATGCAAGTCAAATGTGTAGGAAATCAAGTGCTGATGGAAATAACATTTAGAAATAAGAACACAATGTCATTTACAGTAAAGTATAATGAGCTGCTAAATTAGGTACTGTGGTCTCAAAAGAGCAAAGTATTTTTGAACAAACCCAAGCCAAAGTAAGTTCTCCAAATGAGAAAGGCTCATTAAAGTAAGATGTTTGGGCTCCATATTTCTGTCATAATGATAATCAGGTACTCCATAATAAGGCGTTGGTGGATTACTGCTTTTATAGGCAAAGCCACTACAAAGTCTTGGCATGTTTCATTTTTGTTACATCCCAGCCATCAATCACAACCGACTCTATACAGCTTCTAAAATAGAAAGAACATTTCATTTAGCAAGGGAGAATTTTATGGGGCTTATTAAATAATACCCTTGTGAGCAAACAGAGATAAAGAAATTACCTTAATTACAGTTTGAAATTTGAATGGAGAAACAAACACACATATTGGACAACATAAAAACACATTCGTTATATGACAATTGGAAGAAAGCTTGTGTCCAAGAAAATAATAAGTCCTAATGAAAAGGTCATGAGCTTTGGAATTATATAAATCTGGATTTGTGTTAAGTGTATGATCTTGGGAAAGTAGAACAACTTTCTCGGTCTCAATTTTCTCACCTGTAAAATAAGAAGAGCAATACCTATTTTTCAGAGTGGATAGAAAAAATAAGGAGATACACTGATTAACATACCTTGCACATGGCCAAGGCATATAGAAGAGTCAATACATAATGACAACTTTTTGATTTAAGGTATTTTTTGACATTCTGCATAAAGGTATAGTCCTTATTTTTAGAAATACAGAGTCTAATAGAAAGATGTGCAACACGCAGCGATACATTTTTGACTGAAGCTCTAGAGTCTGAGATGAAGATAAAGGGTGAATGAATTTAAATAGTTGTAACAATAACAATAACAGATACTATACGTTGAGTACTTATTATGTACCCAGTCACAATGCTAAAAGCTTTAATACACTATTTAATTTTATTCTGTGAATATCTTGTTTTACATGGAGAACCTCAGAAAAGCTAAAATATTAGATAAGTAGAAAGTGAATTCCATTCCTCAGAGGGAAATTATATAAGGTAACTTAAGAAGCTTTCAACTTCAAGTAACAAAAGGTAAATTCAAATTCTGTAGTTTATTGATTCACATAATTGAAATGTCCAAAACTAGGGTAGGTCTAGTTGATATTTGGCCCTGCAATTTATTATCTTAAGAACCAGTTATCATTTAGTTCCTGCTCTGTCTTCCAAAGATTTGCTGATTGAACAATTTAAATTGTGTGCTTATCCATTATCAATTATATGGGCTTAAGAAACATGAAGTGCCAACTCCTTTAAAGCAGACTTAATGTATGCCCTTGTGAACTAGTCAGTATAGCCAGAAAGTAGGATGAAATTATGCTTATTGGTGAGGGCCTACAAGGCCTTCTTCTCGCTCAGGAGATGTGGATATCAATCCTATTCAAACTCTAGGACTGTGAAAAGTGGAGTTCTTTTGGGAAGGGAAAGGAAGAGTAGAAGAGAAAGAACAATATTCACTCAACAGAGTAACCATGAAAGAGGATTAAAGGTGAAATTCTGGGAAGGCACCATGCTTAGAAAACAGACTAAAAAGTGACCTTGCAAGAGAATGAGTGTTTGAACATGTAAGAGGAAAACAAGGATATTACTCTCATTTGATCATAAAACCTCACTTGATATTTTGCAATAATTTTCTCTTTCTCTTGAAATATTCTAGAATTCTTTTTTGCTTTTTAAAGAGAAGATATGGAGAGTCTAATCTCAGGCATATTGTATGGTGTTTGTTGTGGAGGGCCCTCTGACTTCCAACACTACAAGGTCTCTGTGATGCCTTTGGACTGGGCATAATCCCCACTGCCACTCCCAAGGTATTAGAAGGCAAAAATCCTCATCCAATAGCTGCATTTCTTATGCACAATGCATCCTCTCAAATATTAAAGAGGAAGAATGTGCTCAAACTATTTTCTACTAGATGAGATTACTCATTGAAACTAAACATACAGCATTGCTTTATGGAAACAATATAGGTTGAAAGGGTCCTACAGACCTGAATTGGAATCTGACTTCTGATGCCAGCTGCGTGACCCTAACCAAGTTACCTCATCCTTTTGAAGCTCAGTTTCCTGACAATAAAATGGTAAAATTAATGCTATCTTGAAAAGTGTTTATAACACTGAATAAAACAATGTATACCTATTAGTTAGCATGATGCATCATGATTGTTCAATAAATGGCATCTATTAGATGTTTTAAAGTTTCACATGTATGTAATGTATAAATTCCTATTATCTCTCCTCCCTTCAAAAAGAAAAGGGAGTATAAATAATAGTGTTCACTCACATAAGAATTGAAGTCAAGTTTTCTAGGTATGAATTTCAAAGTCAGTTTTTAATAATTTTGTGTCCTTGGAAAACTTATTATCTCTGTACCCAGATTCCCAATCTGTAAGCTAAAAATAGTAATAGTACTTTCTCAAAGTGTTGTTAGGAAAATTAAAATACATGATAGATGTGAAGTTCTTAGACCTGCCCCTGATGCTCACAAAGTGAGCAGTAAATATTAGCTTGAATTTCCATTATATAGGATGATGATGAGAGGACTTATAGCTTTAATAGAGATATCTCAGAGATGCTCCACTTCCCAGGGCACTTTTTAATAACCTGACCTTATTTCATGAGAGTACAGGTGGTTTTCTCTTTGGTTATCTTTAGGCACACAATCTGGTCAAAGATATATGAACTCCTAATGAACCCATACTCATCTTCGTGCCCAGAGTTTGATATACAATGTGGTCAGGATAGCAGCAGCCACCTCACAGGTCTGTTGTGAAAAATAAATGACATGACATTTTCTAACCATCCAGATCTAGATAAGATTACATGGGAGTGCCATCGTATACTCCCTAGAATTTCAAATCCTTCCTCAGGTGAAACTGAATTTTACACTCTCATGTTCAATTCTGGTCATGAGATTTTTGCTTTTTCTGAATTTGTTCAGGGTTATGAAGACTTCCCTTCCCACATGCTTCTGAATTCTATAACGGTTTTATCAGAAAGTAGGGCCCCGTCCTTGAATATCAGAAAAGAAAAAGGGAGAGAAAGAAGGATGAGAGGAGATTGAAAGAGAGATTAAGTAAACACAAAACATTTAAGTGTGTAGTGAAGATCACTGAAGATGTGGAAGAACAAAAGGTGTGTTACATGTCAATACTTTAAAAAAAATCTCTAACTAAACATTAGATATTCCCACTTAAAATTCCTATATTAAGGGATTTTTTTTTTCCATTCGTTGTTTCACCCTTCAAAGTATACTACCATTTACTCTTATAGTTTCACCTTCTCTGAAATGGCTTACTTATCAAAGGAGTTTGCTGAACAAATGTTTTATCTATACCCATGAGCAACACCTAGCACAGTGAGGGCAAATAAGAGTTGCTCAATAGATACAGCATTTAGTATTAATGGAGATAGTAATAATCATTATTATGACCTTACCAAGGAAAAGGGCACTGGTCATGGGAGGAAGATATGGTTGCAAAGTGTCATCCTATTTATTTCTTACATAGTAATTTAGGGCAAGTTACTTAACCTTCTTACTCTCATGTTCTGTATCTGTAAAATGAATTATACAATTTTATCTACCCCAAAGGGTGGTTGTATGTATTGCATGAAAGAATATGCAATTTGCATAGCACTGTGCCTGGAATATACTTTACATTGAATATTTATTAATTATGACTACTATTATTTGTTTTTATGAAGTACATGCTAGTTAATCAACACATTTTGAAACCCCCAAACACAATCAGTTGTACCCATGGCTTTCTTTCCCAACCTACTTCTGAACGCCTGGTACAATGGTCTGTAAAGAAATGCTATTTTCACTGATGAACCTATTGGGATATAGGAAAAAATATTAGGGTATCCATCTCTCCATCTATATATAAGTATCCTAATTTTATAATATTTAAATATAATACAAAATATATAGTACATATATTTAATGTCTATATATCATATATCTAATATCATAATATATATTATATAATCTAAATGTTTATATTTGAATATGCTTTACAATTTGCATATTAGTATATGTAAATAATTTATAAGTCATATATAGTATATGTAAATAATTTATAAGTCTAATATATTACATATTATAGTATATATAATATATACAATATATATTTATTAGAAGTATGATAAAAAATTTTTACCATGGAGTATGAAATTAAAAAAAAATTTTTGAAAACCAATTTATAACTTTCTTGGCCACAATGATATATTTAATTTCCTACAAGATATCAATTTTCCAGGACCTAACCAAACTCTTAGGAACAACATCAGTTGATGTTGGTATAGGAGAGTCACAACATAAACAACTAATTAAGCAAAATAGGTACCTAAGTGTAATATACAGGGCTTGTATAATAATAATTATTATTATAACTAACATTTGTTAAGTACTTATCATGTATCAGACATTGGGCTAAGCAGTTTGCATATATTATCTAAACCTCATAAATATTGGCTGTGGTTACTACTGTTTCTGTTTTACACATGAGGAAAGTCCCCAAGAGGCTAAGTAACTTGCCCAAAGTGGTGAAATCTGAGTTTGAACTCATGTGTTCTGGCTACTCCATACACATTAGCACATAACAAGTTGTGGTTCTGTTACTTTTCTGTTATACTGACTGAATCCAATATTTAAAACCTGCTGATGGACCCAATCTCATTTGAACTTCACAGCAAATCTTTAAATTGTAATTAACTATTTCTATGAATGGTCCGTATCATAGAGGTTGATGAGCCAAAATCTGGCCCATTAGATCACTGTGCTGCAGGTTCCTTATATAATACTTTTTCTTGTATATAACCATTGCTCTTAGCTAAAGCCTGAATTCTGGTGAGTTTAAGTATCAGAAACTTGTTATGTTCGTCTAATGCT
The DNA here is from genome assembly GCF_000001405.40 of Homo sapiens. Lineage (NCBI taxonomy): Eukaryota > Metazoa > Chordata > Mammalia > Primates > Hominidae > Homo > Homo sapiens. The sequence goes on along the minus strand of NC_000011.10, from coordinate 26,743,442 downwards.
AACATTTTAATTCCCAAGTGTAAACATGAACATATTAGTCTTATCTTTTGTTTCTGATCAATTTTTAATGTAATCTAAAATCTATGAGTTGTATAACTTTGAATTATTTGTGAAATGCAAATTCCCTTTTCTGTGTTAATGAACATTAAAGGTCTTTCCTCAGGTTATAATCTGTTGGATAAAGAAGCAACTAATAATGAACTCCTTCTTGTAAAGTGTGATAAGGGGATGGATTTTCTATACTTCTTTGATGACTAATATCCTCATTCATTCTTAAGCTCCAGCAAAAACACAAGCCTGTTCATAATAGTCACTTTCACTGCAAAAAGAGGTCGTCATCTTCTAAATAAATGTGTGATGGTGGATATAGACATACATATACACATTCCCAAAACTTCACAGTAAATATTTGAAGTTACATGGAAGCAGAAAAGGGAAGAATGGTTTCTTGTGCTTTCTGCAGTTTCTGAGAGAGATCTAGAGAGAGAGACTTGTAAATATTTTTTGAAAAGTCCCTAATCCAACAATTCATGAGCAGCAGAAATAAAGTAGAGATGAAGGCAATTGTCTGGTTCACTAAGTTCTTATAACTCCCTCATCCAAAATAATGACATGATGAAAAGAACTTGTTTTTGGCCTAAACGATCAGGAAAATTGCATGAGTATTCCACTTCACATTGCAGATTTTAAGATTATACTAAAGTTCATATATATCTATATAAATATATTTATATATGTATATGTTTATATATATATACGTATATATTTCTTATATAGCATACATCTTGCCTATCTAGCACCTAGAGCAGGAGATGACAACCTTTTCTGTAAAGAAATAGACAGTGAATATTTTAGGTTTTGTGGGCCAAAGAGTCTCTGTTGCCATTGTAGCAGGAAAGCAACTAGAAACAATAGTAACTGATTAGGCATGGCTGTGTTCTAATAAAACCTTATTTACATGAACAGGAAAATCCTATGAGGGTCACAGTTTGCTATTTCCTAATATAGAGCTACAGCTTCCAAAAAACTTTCACCATCAATAAATCTGAACACAGAAGTTACATATACATGTAATATGCTGTAATATGCACATATGTATACGCGTGTGTGTATAATATCTTTGATGATGGAAGTCCTATTCAAGTCTCATTTAATAAACTAAAATCCTTCTAAATTATTTCTCATTTTTAAATTAATTCTATCATTTAAGTATCACACCAACTTCATGAGGCAGAAAGTGTACAGACATTATTATTTATTCACTTTCATTTTGTAGAAGATGAAGCCAAGACACTAGCTCATTAGTGAGACTTGAACCAGTTCTCCCAAACCCCAACCATGGGTTTTTTTTCTTTTACTGGGTGACTTTGAAATGTAGCTATTATAGCAAATATTGACTCTTTCTCAAATAAATTTATGCCTAGATTTTACAGTGCTATCTTTTAGACAGTATGGATATCAGGTACATCTAAATCTGAAATCAGAGTAGCAGATAGTTAAATTTTATATTAGTGTGTATATCCTAAAAAATGGCGTTCAAAGGTTTTGTTTGCAGCAGTATCAATCTGAATTTTATGATATCTGTATCTCAAAGATCAAACACTCTTACTCCCATACCAAACAAGGAGTGGGACTGTAATAGAATTAACTCAAAGCTTTCTCTACATTTTTTAGTAATCAAGGGAGGTCAAAGGGAGGCACAGAACGGAATTAGGCAGAAACTATACAGAGTTGATTTACTCTGAAAATGAAAATGGGAGAACTTGTATTTGATTAAATGGTTGATGTATTTTTCTCCTGAGGAGAAAAAAGCTAGAGAAGAAAAAGACAAAGAAAGGGGAGAGGATAACTTACAAAAATAACAAAATATAAACAAACAAATAAATAAATAGGAAGAATGGGGATGGCTAGTATTTAGTTTTAAATCGTTTGCTTTGCAGTGATGTAAACAGCCCCAATGTAAAGTCTGCTCCACTTTAAAAGCCCAAGTGCAATTTGTTACATGTGTAAATCAAAAAAAGAAGGCAGTGGTTTTTTTTTTTTTTTTTAGGTGGGGGCGGGGGCTGGTGTGCTGTCTAAAATTCTTTGGCTGGGAAAGACAAATCTGCTCTTGGATTAAATGCCCATTTTTCTTAGAACGAATCACTAGGCTAAGTTGGAAGTGGCCCAAAATAATCAACTTGTCATCAAGTGTCTTACTGATCTACTTACATTGGAGGCCTCCCTGAGTGAGGCAGCATTGCAACCATTGTCTATTTTCATTCATTCATTCTATTTCATCAAGTGCCTTACTGATCTACTTACATCTGGAGGCCCCCCTGAGTGAGGTGGCATGGCAACCATTGTCTAGTTTCATCTTTCATTTACATACTAAGCTGATCTGTCCTTAAATCAAGTTTTGTCCTGCTTATGCTCAATCCAGAAAGAAAAATGTCCATTGTATAATGGATTCCTGCTGGAACTACTGCCTGGCTGTAAGATTTGGTGGGTCCAACACGACTAGATTATAATGGGGAGTTCTAGACATATGGTCACTTGGTCTCAGTGGCCAAGCTTTCATCTCTACCAGAGTCCAGAATCCAAAAGTCTACCCATTGAATCTCTCACTAGGGCCTGGCATAAATTCCTCAATGCATCCTTCTTCACCAGTGACATCTCCATCACTAAAGATTTTTTGAGATCATGTGGCCAAAGTGGCAGTCCTGCTTGTACTGAAGCTTAGATCTGCTGCAGAATGTTGTCTGTCTCTGGTCCACCATTGAAGCTGACATTTTTTTCATGATGTCCAATATGTGGATGAGAAAAGTATTCCTAGGTGTGAAACGGGTTGCCTCCAGAAAAAAAAAAAACAAAAAACTTCCAGGAATATACAACCTGCACAATTTAGCCTCCGCTTTAAGAGAATAAACTGACATATCCCTTAAAACATTTTACTAAAGTGGTAGATCTCTAAATATTTATATGGGTATCTTGCCTCTACAGCACTTGTGCCTCAACATGGGCTTTTGCTTGCTAGCTGCTCTGGCTTATTCTGGCCAATCAGTGTATGTCAGTGATATACTAGATCAATGTGATATTCTGCAAGATGTCGGGATAGCCCTGACATCTCTAGATGGAGAGTTAACATAACCCTGGGGTAAAACTGTGAATATAGTGTCAATTTTTGTAAATGTCTACTGTTTCTGGTCCTCTGTCCTGATGGGATAGGAAGGAATACATTCACCAAATTAATGGTCATATAACACGTACCCAAAGCCATACTATGTCAATCAGCTGTAGAGAAAATATCTTATTTGGCATGATACCTGTGACTGACGCTACTCCTTGAGTGAGCTTGTGGCATCTTATATCATTCTCCAGCATCTATCTAGTTTTTACAGGAGTCCAGACAAGCAAATAAAATAGAAGTATGATAGGGACTTTCACCCATGCTCTTTTTAAATCTCTTAATGTTTTATTCTCTGTATCATCTCCTCTAGGATGTGGTGTTTTTGATTTACTACCTTGGCCAGGGGTGGGAGGCAGTTTCAGAGGTTTCCACTTGGGTTTCCTCATTATATTAGCAATTACATCATAGGCAAAGGACATCGTGTGGAGGTTACTCCGACTGTCAAAAATACCAATCACGAGCATACATCCATGGACTGAGAAAATGATCACCAGTGAGTTCACGTACCCAGTGGATCCACTGTAATTTAGACTTTGAGGATGGTGTTGCTTCAGATCTCCAGGTATCAATCCCCTTAGGGATACTGTGTTCTTATCGTCTCTCCAATTCTCACTGGTTCAAGCCCCCTTGACTGCCACCCTGATCTTGCCATTTGTTAAGAGAACCAGTGACAATCTGGTTTCTGTCAGTGAATTATTGCCACTGAGATTCATTGCTTTATGGCCTCTTCATTCTCACTGCTATTAATAAGGCAAGTTCTGTGGCAGCCTCTCCAACCAGCTGATCTCAGAGATGTTGATACCTCTCTCTCCAGCAATTCCTGCTAGTTTTGGTGAATAGTATACCTGCCAGATCTGTTGGTAAAATCCAAACCTGTGCTAATCACATAACATATCTGTCTAGCTTGCTCACTTACCTGAGCCTATTTTTTTCTTAATAAAATTTTTAAATTTAGAATAGTTTTATATATACAGAAAAGGTACAATCCTTGTGAGGATTCCCATATGTCCCCCAGGCAGTTTCCTCTATTGTTATAATATTATAATAATATAATTGTTACAATGAATGAACCAATAGTTATACGCTATTATTATCTGAAGTCCATGCTTTATTTGAATTTTTTTAGTTTTTATCTAATGTCATTTTCTGTTTTTGGATCTCATCCAGGCTACCACATTACATTTAGTTATTATATCTCTTTAGACTCCTCTGGACAGTAACAGTTTTTTAGACCCTCCTTGTTTCTGATAATCTTGACAGCTTTGAGGAATACTGATCAGGAATTTTGTACAATGTCTTTTAATGTCCATCAGTCTGTTATTTGTATCATGGTTAAACTGGAGTCCTTGAGCCAATTAGTTCCTTTCTCCGCTGCTGCCGCCTATTATGGTAACCAAAGCACTTCAACCTCACTCAACATGGGTCATTTCTTTTCAGTTCTCTAGGAAGCATTCTGGTAGTGAATTTGTATGATTCTCTGATGTCCCTGCCAGCATGTTAAATATCATATCCTAAAAGGAGGTTCCCAGATCAGCAAACTCTTCTTTCTCTAGTTTTACATTTTGGCTGAAGGTACTGATGACCATGGAAAAGATAGGCCCTTGAGAATATGCAAAATTGTGGTGATATCTCTCGATATACATAAGTAGCATAACAAAGAAAATTAAGACTCCATTTTCAAGAAGCAAGAAGGTCCTAGGTGATGCCTGGGTCTATTGTGCAGTGTTTAGCTTTTTGACTGGCACATAGAGAGTAGGTGATCCAAAAACATGCATTTCTTTTCTTTTCTTCTCTTTTCCCTTCTGTTGGTTCTCTCTCATGGTCTGGCCTTTGAAAGAAAATTGCACAGTATGCTTCCTGGGTGAGCTTTCAGTTGCCTAGGAAGATGAAATGTGAAACAACTTATAGAAAGGTGTCATTCAAGACAGTTCAGATCCTAAAAATCATTGAGAATTTTTTTTTTTCAGCTTAGAGACTAAAGGGTACATGTGCAGGTTTGTTACATGGATAAATTGCAGGATGTTGAGGCTTGGGATCCCAAGAGCCTTGTCATCCAGGCAGTAAGCATAATACCCAGCAGTGGTTGCTCAGGCGCCACACCCCCTCCCTCCTTCTTCCATCTAGCTATCTGCAGTGTGTATTGTTCACATTTTTATGTTCATGTGTATCCAATGTTTAGCTCCCACTTATAAGTAAGAACATGTGGTATTTGGTTTTCTGTTCTTGCATTAGGTCATTTAGGATAATGGCCTCCAACTCCATCCATGTAGCTGCAAAAGACATTAATTTTCTTTTTTATGGCTGCCTGGTATTCCTTGGTGTACATGTACATTTCTTTATCCAATCCACTGCTGATGGACACTTAGGTTGATTCCATGTGTTTCCGAATAGCATTGCAATGAACATACTGATAGATGTGTCTTTCTGATAGAATGAATTGTTTTCCTTTGGGCATATACTCAGTAGTGGGATTGCTGGGTCGAATAGTAGTTATATTTTAAGTTCTTTGAAAATCTCCAAATTGCTTTCCACAGTGGCTGAACTCATTTGCATTCCCACCAACAGTGTATAAACATTTCCTTTACTTCACAGCCTTGCCCTGTTTTTTGATTTTTTAATAATCATCATTCTCACTAGTGTGAGATGATATCTCATTGTGTTTTCGATGTGCATTTCTTCATTTTTTTGATGATTAGTGACGTTGAGCATTTTTTCATATGTATTTGGCCACTTGTATGTCTTCTTTTGAGAAGTATCTGTTAATTTCGTTTGCTCATTTTTAATTGAATTTTTTGTTTCTCACTTGTTGATTTGTTTATGTTCCTCACAGATTCCGGATATTAGACTTTTGTCAGATGTAGAGTTTGTGAATATTCTCTCCCATTCTGTAGGCTATTTCCTCTGTTAGTAATTTATTTTGCTGTACAGAAGCTCTTTAGTTTAACGAGGTCCTACTTATCCATTTTTGTTTTCATTGCAGTTGCTTTTGGGGGACTTAGCCATAAATTTATTGCCAAAGCAAAGTCGAGAAGGGTATTTCTTAGGTTTTCTTCCAGGATTTTTATAGTTTGAGGTGTTTTATGGTTTTTATTTTTTTCTTTCCAAATTGTCTTTTAAGTTAAAGGGGTACAAGTGCAGATTTGTTACATGGGTAAATTGCATGTTATGGGGGTTTGGTGTTCAGATAATTTTGTCACCCAGGTAATCAGCATAATACCTGATGGGTAGTTTTTCAATCCTTGTACTCATCCTGCCCTCCACCCTCAAGTAGGCCTAGCGTCTATTGCTCCCTTCTTTGTATCCACGTATTCTCACTGTTTAGCTCTCGTGTGTAAGAATATGCGGTATTTGGTTTTCTGTTCCCGCATTAATTTGCCTAGGATAATGGCCTCCAGCTCAATCCATGTTGCTACCAAAGACATTATTTCATTCTTTTTTATAGCTGTGTAGTATTCCATGGTATATATGTATGAGGTCTTACACTTAAATCTTTATCTTGAGTTACTTTTTATATATGGTAAGAGATAGGGGTTCAGTTTCATCCTTCTGCATATGGCTAGCCAGTTATCCCAGGACCATTTGTTGAATAGGGTGACCTTCCTTCATTGCTTATTTATGTTGATTTTGTCGAAGATCAGGTAGTTGTAGGTGTGTGGGTTTATTTCTGGATTCTCTATTGTGTTCCACTGGTCTTTGTGTCTTTTTTTTTTGTCCAGTACCATTCTGTTTTAATTATTGTAGCCTTATAGCATAGTATTTTTTGCTTAGGATTTCTTTGGCTATTTGGGCTCTGTTTTGGTTCCAAATGAATTTTAGAATAGGTTTTTCTAAATTTGTGAAAACTAAAATTGGTATTTTGATAGGCATTTCATTGAATCTGTAAATTGCTTTGGGTAGTATGGCCATTTTAACTATATTGATTCTTCTAACCCATGAGCATGGAGTATTTTTCCACTTATTTGTGTTGTCTCTGATTTATTTCAGTAGTTGTCTTTGTAGAGATCTTTCACCTCCTTAGTTAGATGAATTCCTGGGTATTTAATTTTCTTTGTGGCTATTGTAAATGGGATTGTGTTCTTGATTTAGTTATCAGCTAGAATGTTAATGGTGTATAAAAATGCTATTGAATTTGTACATTAATTTTGTATCCTGAAACTTTACTGAATTTGTTTATCAGTCCCGGAAGCCTTTTGGTGGAGTTGCTAGGGTTTTCTATATATAGAATCATATCCTTAGGAAACAGAAATGGTTTGACTCCTTCTATTCCTATTGTGATGCCTTTTATTTCTTTCTCTTGTCTAATTGCTCTAGTTAGGACTTCCAGTACTATGTTGAATAGAAATGATGAAAGTGAGCATCCTTATCTTGTTGCATTTCTGAAGGGGAATGGTTCTAGTTTTTGCCCATTCAGTGTAATGTTGGCTGTGGGTTTGTCATAGATGCTTCTTATTATTTTGAGGTATGTTCCTTCAATATCTAGTCTGTTAAGGGTGTTATAGGCTGGGTGCAGTGGCTCACTCCTGTAATCCCAGCACTTTGGGAGGCCAAGGTGGGCAGATCACGAGGTCAGGAGACCAAGACCATCCTGGCTAACACGATGAAACCCCATCTCTACTAAAAATACAAAAAATTAGCCAGGCCTGGTGACAGGCACCTGTAGTCCCAGCTACTTGGGAGGCTGAGGCAAGAGAATGGCGTGAACCTGGGAGGCAGAGCTTGCAGTGAGCCAAGATGGCGCCACTGCACTCCAGCCTGGGCAACAGAGCGAGACTCAAAAAAAAAAGGACTGTTATCATGAAGGAATGTTGGATTTTATCAAAGGTTTTCTCTGCATCTATTAAGATGATCATATGAGTTTTGTTTTTGATTCTATTTATGTGGGGGGGAATCACATTTATTGATTTGCATATGTTGCACCAACCTTGCATCTCAGAAATAAAGGCCACTTGAACATGGTGAATTAACTTTTTGATGTGCTGCTGGATTCAGTTTGCTAGTATTTTCTTGAGCATTTTTGTGTCTATGTTTATCAGGGATATTGACCTAAAGTTTTCTTTTTTCATTATGTCTCTGCCAGGTTTGGGTATGAGGATTGGATTTTTTTTTTCTTTAAGAATGCTGAAAATAGGCCCCCAATTTATTTTGGCTTATAGGATTCCTGCTAACAGGGGTGCTTCTAGCCTGACGGGGTTCCCTTTGTAGGTGATCTGGAAAATATACCATTTTTTTCTAGCAATTATTGCTATTTTTTTCATTTGCACTCAATGACTATTCCCTGGAATGAAGCTTAGTCATTCAGAAACTCGTAGAAGTTCAGCTAAATCTAAATCTCATGCTTTTGATCTGTGATCGGTGGTATAGACTGGTAGTGACATCTAAAACTAGATAAAACAATCATTAACAAAAGCCAAAGTCCAAAAATATATCTTACCTGAAGGAAAAATGGACTTCGTTTTATGCAAATTGCTACATAAACACTTAAAAATTTAACAAAGTGAGATAAGCAGTGCATTTATAAACTTGATATCCTCAGCAGTGAGACCATTTATTGAGTTGTCATTTACTGAATTCCACCTATGCCTGCTCCTGTATCAGCAATTTTATAAGCATTATCTTATTTAATCCTTAAAACTACACTACATAGTATGATTCTCATTTTATAGCTGACACTAGATCAAAAGTTTTCATAACTTTGCTCAAACGTGTTGTGTGGAACAGAGCTTGTAAAGGAACCCCGATTTTTCCCAGACTATAATCTGTCCGCCATCACATCTTGCCTTCTTAATACTAAATATTTAGTTCTATCTTACAAAGTCATCACTTGACTTTTAGCCCCTCCTCCCCCATTAGTTGTATTTCATGCAAGATTTACAAGTTTGGTTAGTTACTTGAGGTCTGAAACCTTAAATCAAGATATAAGACCTCTCTTGGGGAAAAACATATATATGGCTTAATAGTGGATGAATAGAGAGAGCCACACTTCCTAAAAATCATGTCGTTACTTTTGAGAAGGATCATTATGAGTTGATCCTTATGGAGAAATTACATGGAAGTGCCTAAATTTAACACATAGAGATAAAATCAAACAAAACTGTTTCTATTATTAAGTATTATGAGGTCTACTTGCTCTTCTTTTTCATTTGTTTTCTGTCATATTAGTTTGTTCTCACACTGCTAATAAAGACCTACCAGGAACTGGGTAATTTATAAAAGAAAGAGGTTTAATTGACTCACAGTTCCACATGGCTGGGGAGGCATCACAATCATGGCAGAAGGCAAAGGAAGAGCAAAGTCATATCTTACATGGTGGAAAGTAAAAGAGCTTGTGTAGGGGAACTCCCATTTATAAAACCATCAGATCTCATGAGACTTATTCACTACCACGAGACCAGTATGGAGAAAACCACCCCCAAGATTCAATTATCTTCATCTGGCCCTGCCCTTGACATATGGGGATTACTATAATTCAGTGTGAGATATGGTGGGGACACAGCCAAACCACATCATTCCACTTCTTGCCCCTCCCAAATCTCATGTCCTTATGTTTTAAAACCAATCATGCCTTCCCAACAGTTTCCCAAAGTCTTAACTCATCTCAGCATTAACTCAAAAGTCCACAGTCCAAAGTTTCATCTGAGACAAGGCAAGTCCCTTCCACCTAAGAGCCTGTAAAATCAAAACAAGTTAGTTACTTTCTAGATACAATGGGGGTACAGGCATTGGGTAAATACAGCCGTTCCAAATGGGAGAAATTGGCCCAAACGAAGGGGCTACAGGCCCCATGCAAGTCCAAAATCCAGTGGGGCAGTCAAATCTTAAAGCCCCGAAATGATCTTCTTTTACTCCATGTCTCACATCTAGGTCATGCTGATGCAAGAGGTGAGTTCCCATGGTCTTGAGAAGCTCCGCCCCTGTGGCTTTGCAGGATACAGCCTCCCTCCTGGCTGCTTTCACAGGCTGTCATTGAGCATCTGTGGCTTTTCCAGGCACACAGTGCAAGCTGTCAGTGGATCTACCATTCTGGGGTATGGACCTCTTCTCACAGCTCCACTAGGCAGTGTCCCAGTGGGGACTCTGTGTTAGGGCTCCAACCCCACATTTCTTTCCACACTGCCCTAGAAGAGGTTCTCCATGAGGGCCCTGTCCCTGCAGCAAACTTCTGCGTGGGCATCCATGCATTTCTATACATCCTCTGAAATCTAGGAGGATTTCCCATACCTCAATTTTTGACTTCCATGTACCTGCAGACTCAACATCATGTGGAAACTGCCAAGGCGTGGGGCTTGCACCCTCTCAAGTCATGGCCTGAGCTGTACCTTGGCCCCTTTTAACCACAGCTGGAGTGGTGGGATGCAGGACACAATGTCCTTAGGCTGCACAGAGCAGGGGTGCCCTGGGACAGGCCCAAGAACCCATTTTTCCTTCTACGCCTCTGAGTCTGTGATGGGAGGGGCTGCTGTGAAGACCTCTGACATGATCTAGAGACATTTTCCCCATTGTCTTGGTGGTTCACATTTGGCTCCTCATTGCTTATGCAAATTTCTGCAGCCAGCTTGAATTTCTCCCCAGAAAATGGGTTTTTCTTTTCTATCACATTGTCAGGCTGCAAGTTTTCCAAACTTCTATGCTCTGCTTCCCTTTTAAACCTAAGTTCCAATTCCAAACCATATTATTGTGAAACATAAAATTGAATGCTTTTAACAGCACCCAGGTCACCTATTGAATGCTTTGCTGCTTAGAAATTTCTTCCACCAGATGCTTTAAGTCATCTCTCTCAAGTTCAAAATTCCACAGATCTCTAGAACAGAGGCAAAATGCCCCCAGTCTTTGTTAAAGCATAACAAGGGTCACCTTTGCTCCAATTTCCAACAAGTTCCTCTTCTCCATCTGAGAGCGCCTCTACCTGAACTTCATTGTCCATATCACTATCAGCATTTTGGATTTTGGTCAATACTATTCAACAAGTCTCTAGGAAGTTCCAAACTTTCTTTCTTTTTTTTTTTTTTTTTTTTTTTTTTTTTTTTGAGACGGAGTCTTGCTCTGTCACCCAGGCTGGAGTGCAATGGTGGCAACCTTGGCTCACTGCAGCCTCTGCCTGCCAGTCTCAAGTGATTCTCCTGCCTCTGCCTCAGCCTCCTGAGTAGCTGGGATTACAGGTGCCTGCCACCATGCCTGGCTAATTTTTATATTTTTAGTAGAGATGGGGTTTCATGATGTTGGCCAGACTGGTCTCAAACTCCTGACCTCAGGTGATCCACCCACCTTAGCTTCCCAAAGTGCTCGGATTACAGGCTTGAGCCACTGCACCTGGCCAGAAGTTCCAAACTTTCTCACATTTTTCTGTCTTCCTCTGAGCCCTCCAAACTGTTCCACCCTCTGCCTATTGCCCAGTTCCAAAGTCACTTCACAGTTTTGGTATCTTTATAGCAGCACCCTACTCTATCAGTACCAATTTACTGTATTAGTTCGTTCTCATTGCTGCTAACAAAGACACACCAGAGACTGGGTAATTTATAAAGGAAATGGGTTTAACTGACTCACAGTTTCACATGGCTAGGGAGTCTTCACAAGCATGGTGGAAGGCAAAGGAAGAGCAAAGTCACATCTTACATGGTGGCAGGTGAGAGAGCTTGTGCAGGGGAACTCCCATGTATAAAACTATCAAATCTCATGAGATTTATTCACTACCACAAGAACAGTATGGAGAAACTGCACCCATGATTCAATTATCTCCACCTGGCTCCACCCTTGACATGTAGGGATTACTACAATTCAAGGTGAGGTTTGGGTGGGGACACAGCCAAACCATATGATTTGGTTGTGTGTGTGTGTGTGTTTGTGTCTGTGTGTGTATATGTATGTATGTGTTTGAGGTTGATTTAATCTCATGGGCATTTGGGGCCTTTTCTTTCTTTGGTGACTAAAAGTAAGTGCATCAATACGTCAGGTTTACTGGCAGAAATCAGGGCATCCAAGCATATCAGCAGCAGTGTGTGGGTTTTCCTCCACCTGGATGGGAATGCTTGTGTGTGTGGGAGGGTGCTTTTCCACAGGATGTCATAGGATGAGTCCTTTCTTGATCTCAAGCATTTCTCCAGTGGAGACTTTGCCAGAGAGTGGGGGCTGGAGTATCAGAACATTCTGGAAACTTCTATGATAAGAAACAAAGTACCAATCACTGGCCTGAAAGTTAGCCTGAGGCAATTGCAGGAAGTCAGCCAAATTTATTCTCTGAATTTATTCCAGTGTCTGATACATCTCCCATCAAGAGAGAGTGACCATATGTCTTGGTTTTTGCTTAGGACAGTCTCAGTTTATGTCTCTGCTCAGTATTATAGCACGATCTTTTTTTCACTGTCAACGTGTCCCCAGTTAGGATGATGAATCATAAAAGATTACATCATACCACTATTTATAGATGACCCTCCTATCGTTGCAGCTCCACACTCCTACTAGAGTGTAGATATCTTGGGCATATACATCACGTTCCATTTACCTTTGCACACTTCCTCAGCATAAGCTTTTAATCTTTTACATAGCTTCCACTCAACAAATGCTTGTTCTAGTAAATCAGCATCAATATTAATATGGCCATAGTATAAAAAAAAGAAATCAACTGTTACTAGTAATATGTATGGATAAACTATTGTGTGGTAGACACTATGCTGAGCACTGATTTATGTTATCTTGGTACTCATAACTACTGTGTAAGGTAACATATTTTATAAAAGATAAAGCTCAGAGACACTAAGTAATCAGCCTAAATTTTATAGTTAGTAATAGAGCAGAAATGAAATTTACTTACATTTGATGTCCAAGCCCAAAATTCTATTATTCTTCCTGCCTTGCCCTAACTACATATGCCAAGTATCCTTACAGAATGCATTTACAGTTTATAATACATCATAGTATGGAAGCCTCAAAACATCCCCTCTAGGTAAATAATATCATCTTTATTTTAAGGTAAGGATTATGATGCTCAAAGGGTTTGTTTTTTTGCTTGTTTGTTTTGCTCGAGGTCAAAGCATACTTTTGCTTAAGTTTGCAGACTAGTAGTAGAACTGGACTCAAACTCAGTTTCTTTCACTTCAAATTCCACATTCTTTTGACCTGATATTAAAAAAAATACTCAAAGTGAGGAAAGAGACCAATCAGTGATATCCTTGGCCTCCTAATATTAGTTATGCCCTCCTCACCCTATCTCAACCCTCCTTTCTCAGGAAAGGATAGCTTTCTGAGGAAAGCTCAAAATACACAGCTTTTTAATTTACACTGATGATGACTTCTTAAAAAAAAAAACAGTGCATGTATTTGGCTCACAATATATTTTCTTCAGATTGTTATCAAAAGTAATTATGATTAAAAATCTCATCGTATTTCTCTCCTGATAAATATTTTTTTCTAATAAACCATGCTTTTCTCATTAGAAAAACCACAGCTATCCTAAACATCTCATAGACCTCAAGTGAAGTCTAATAATTTGAAAATATACTTAGCAGAGGCAAGAAGTGGGATTCTGAATTAGGAATGTAGTAGATAAACATAATCTCACCCATATAGGCAGTCCTACAAATAGTTATATTTAAAAACAAGTAGAAAATAGCTTCTCCAACCTGTGTTTGTCTCATGGAGGTACTGGTATTGTACACTTTCCCATTAATCTTTCTTTCTAATCCTCTAGAATTTTAAAATATACACAACGAGAACATTTCCAAATGTGCTTTCTTTACAGATTCTCCAAGTTCTGGTTTGTGATTTTCCATAACACTGTTGCTCCATAGGTGGACTGCAATAATGCTGACTAGGGAAAGCTTAAAACATTTGCAAAGTGGGCCATACTCTTGTTTCCACAGCATAAAAATAACTTGAAGTTAAACTTAGAAGATACAATGGCTGCAAATACCTACCAAGCTTGTCCAACTCACCTTATTTTGTTGTTATTGTTCTGTTTTGTTTTGTTTTAGGCTTTTAGCATGCTGAAGCCATGGTTTTTAGTTTCTGTCTCTAGTGATAAGTGGAAAAGAAGGATGAGGAAGGGGCTTTACTGACCTAATCAGAAACAGAAGCTAAGAACCCATGACTGTATTCTCTCTTTTAGACACCCCTGCATCACAAAACAAAGATGAAAAAAGATTTTTTTTCACACATTTGTAAGAACATTTGTAAGAATATTTCCACCCTAGGGTGCAAGGAGATCATCTGAAAAGATAGAAAGAAATGATGTAACAACACACAAAACAAGGGACTACATCAGTGCAATGAAATAGAGAGGATTTCCATAATCTAGACATTATACAGAATTTCTAGATATAGAATAGAGCAAATATCAAGGGAACTCCAAATCAGAAACTTGGCTTTTGTCCTCCTGGGTCAGGAAGTATTATAGGTGATAATATGGTAGCTTCTGTTTTACTTTCCTAGACTCTGTTCTTTCCAGAATAGCATTGGAAGTTGCAAATGTTGAAATGTGATAGACGCAATAACAATAGCATTTTTGAAATTCCTATGATATGCTTGCTTGTATGACGTAGTTGACACATATCTTTAATTCTCACAACAACCCCGTTAAAAGGGTCCCATTTCCATTTTAAAGATGAGTAGGCTAATTACCAAAGAAATGAAGTAACTTGTTCAAGGTGATAAAGTTGGCAAATGGCTAAGCAAAACTTTGAGCCTGGCTTTATCTGATTCATATGCCTTCAGTCTTCATTCTTAATAAGAGCTTCCACTTAATGAGCACCTAAGTACATATCAGTCAGTTGACATGTATCATTTCATTTAAGTTCATAAAATGTATCTGAAAACCATAAGCAGGGCCATCAAGAGCAACCTTCAATTTAAAAAAGAGCTATGCATAAAATAAAATAAATCCAAGCCACCCAGAAAGGGAGCTAAAAACTTTACATAGGATTTGTATAAGTATGCCTATAGTCAGAAAGGTAGGCTGGAAAGTTGTGCTAAATTATTCTGGTACCTTTCCACCTACCATGCTTTGTCTATGGATTAGGTATAATCCTGAGTTCCACGATGAAGAAACTTCAGCTCAAAGAGTTAAAGCAACTTTCCCCAAAGTCGGTAAATGGCTGAGCTGAAACTTGAATTCAGACTTGTCTGATTTTAATATGAGGAAAAGCATTTCACATTAATTGAAGTAATTTCTAAATAGGCACCTGAAAAGCTGAATTCTAATGGGAACTCCATTTATGAGTAATTTTCCATGCATCATGACCCCAAAACAAAACCTTCCAGGGCCTGGCAACTTAGTGAAGAAATCAAGGCTTTTCAGAATTTTCAGATATATGAACACACACAAACATCACTAAAATTCTGACCACTTGAAGAAGATGAATGACCTGAGGCTGGACCTTCATTATTATCAGCTTGATCACTTATAAAGAAGGATAGCAATGTCTTTGATTTGCCACTAAACACTTGAGAACGTAATTACTCGTATCATGGTAGTATCAAAAGAAAGTCTTGCAAAAATGTGTTGAACAGTAGTAACTATAGCGCATAGTTTTTTATCAGCGACTCAATTGGGTGATAATGTGCACCATATAAATGGGCTACATTTATTTATGTATTCCCAGTGATGACAAATATCCACTGGTTTTCAGTTTGGAAAATATGCAAAAGTCATTTATTCAGAGTGATACCTAGTGATGGGCCAAGGTGGCATAAAGAACACTGGAATTGCCAAGAAATGGAAGACTGAAGAGTTCCACTGGTAACTGATAGAATTGCCTCTGAGCTTGTGTGAAGTGTATTTCCAAAGAATTTGAGTAATAAAAATCACTCAATATTAAATCTTGTTTGAATTTAATTGAAGTTCCATTTGTTTATAAAGTATTTGAGAATTTCTTCCTTTTTTGAGGCCTATTCAAACGTCCTGTTTAAGTCCCTACAAGCCTGAACTAAATAAGACATCTTTCCCTTCATGCTTATTTAGCAAAATTGAGCCGATAGTAGATCATGCTGGTTTTCCCCTTTGCCATTCTACAATGGAGTGGATGATTGAGATCCATGAGACAATTAGCTAAGGACCTTGAACCTCACGCTCAGTTGCCCTCCCAGCTGAATATTCTGCTTAAATGTTCTACTTGTTTACTGTGGAATGGTGCTGGCATTAGTCTGTTTTAATATTAAATAATGTTCTCTGCTGACCTTTCTAAGTGGACTCTGAAATTTGCCTCCTAAAAGTTTGAGTCAACATCTCTTTTCACATTTGTTAAGTGTCTGTAGAATATGTGAATAAATGATTAGCCACAGTCACATTTAGTTACAATGAATTACAGGAATCGGATAGGATGGAATATAAATTCAGTTTTTATTTTCATGGAAACATGTTTGTGAATAGATAAATATTTCAATCTAAATAAAAGCTTGAAAAACTTAGGTTTTTTTTTCAGTAAAAGAGGAATTAAACATAAATTGTAAACATGGAAGAGACTCCTAGAATTCACGTAATTTATTTTAATTTATTGAGTGTCTACTATGGGATAGGAACTTCTAGATGCTAAGAGTACATCGGAGAGTAAAATAGACAAAGTCCTTTAGGGGCTTACATTCCAGTAGAGGGATGCTAACATTTAAAATATATAGTATATTAGTAAAGGATACATTTCTTGGAGAAAATTTACAGCTGTGAAGGGAGATTTTGAGTGTTAGGGTTTGCAATTTAAATAGGGTGGTCAAGGAAGGTGACATTTGAGCAGACTTGAAAAGGTAATTTAATTACTTACGTTGATTTAATTATCTTGCTATTAATCTGATATATTCTCATTTTTACAAATGCGGCCACTAAGAATCAGAGAAATTAAGTGATATGTCCAAAATCACAAGATACCTTAGTAAGAGACTGTAAAAAGAGACTTGGTCTTTTGTTGGGGCTAAAGAATGTTTTCCACTTAACACAAATAGCCTTGGAGGGCAAACATTTTTCTAATAAGGGTATTTGAATGAAAGTGGAGTGGCAAATCCTCAACTCAAATTCTTCAACCTTCCAGCATTCTCAGATTACCTTTCCCTTTGAGAGATAGAGAGGGAGAAGAAGGAAGGAAGGAAGGAAGGAAGGAAGGAAGGAAGGAAGGAAGGAAGGAAGGAAGGAAGGAAGGAAGAAGGAAGGAAGGAGAGAAAAGAGGAAGAGAAAAAAGAAAAATAAAGAAAAGAAAGCTCAACCTTCTGACTTTGGTAGAATCGAATACCAAGTGGTCTTTTCCTCTTCAACCTCAAGACTGTAAAGATCCCAGGAGATCTTTCTCCAATTTCTGTTTCTGCTGTATTCTCTACGTCCTTTGTGAGTTTTACCTCCTCTAACAGTTATCCATCTCTACCACCATTTTGAGCCTAAAGTGGAACACAAACTTCTTTCCCTTTAATTTAATGATAAAATACAATACAATGTCAATGATGTAGCAAGTTTTCCCTAAACACTGGGAGTAAAGAAGGAATTTATCCCCCAGCACAGCACAACAAAAAATATTTAATATGAGTTATTCCCATTATTAAAATCTCATCAGCTCTTCCTTACAATGGGATATTTTTTGAGAAACGTCCGTGCCACCAGCCAGATTTTTGTGCCACTTCTTTGTCTTCACTCCTATGACAAGTCTCCAATATCATTCCCATGGACTAAAAAGAAAAAAAAAATTAAAGGTCTGTTTATTCGCAAGCAGAGTTCTTTTATCTTCCCCACCTGCTCATCAGATCAACTCTTTCTATATTCATAAAGATATCAGCCAATCAAGAAGCCGCTGTTGTAGGCCATATCTTTTATAGCTTACAGGAAGAGGAGAACTTCTGGATTTGCAGTCTTTTGTCTTTTATGATAAAATTATTGGACATGGTTTTTTCCCTATCAATCTCTGTAAGCAGAAGTAAGCATTATATTGAATTATCCTCTTCAGGATAGGAATTACTCAATTCCTCCTGGAAGGAGGCAATGGCCACAGTTGCTTTGCAGTTTGTTTTTTTAACCCATAATTTCTGTTAAAGTATAGTTTGGCATCACCAATTTGCCTCCCAGGAATTTGTTTGATAGGCATGCTCATTGAGAGAAAGCTCTATGGGGAGGACTACTTTCACTATCTCAATTAAGCAGCTTATTCACATTGTGAGGAATTCTTTGAGCCATCCTTAATATTCATTGGACTGAAATATGTAAAAATTATTATAATAATTTTTCTGAAACATAGTTTTAATCTTGCCACTTCCTAGTTTAAAATAAAAACAGGGCCGGGTGCGGTGGCTCACGCCTGTAATCCCAGCACTTTGGGAGGCCAAGGCGGGCGGATCACGAGGTCAGGAGATCGAGACCATCCTGGCTAACATGGTGAAACCCCGTCTATACTAAAAATACAAAAAATTAGCTGGGTGTGGTGGCAGGCGCCTGTAGTCCCAGCTGCTCGGGAGGCTGAGGTCGGAGAATGCTGTGAACCCGGGGGCGGAGCTGGCAGTGAGCTGAGATCGAGCCACTGCACGCTAGCCTGGCCGACAGAGTGAGACTCTGTCTCAAAAAAATAAAAAAAAATGAAATAAAAAATAAAAATAGAGCAAAATAATAGCCATTTTATTCTTGTACACCACTCCTACTCCCATTGGCTTTGAGAACAGATGAAGGAAGACACCAATTTAGTGAAAGTCTAGTCTCAAATGACCAAGGCTTGTTCATGTGCATTTTCTTCTCTTTGATCCCAGGCCAAAATAACCATGGTGTGCAGAGTTCACTCTTAGCAACATTGCAACAATGGTGTTTTTTGTTTTGTTTTGTTTTGTTTTGTTTTGTTTTGTTTTGTTTTTAATGCCCCATTTCTTCCAGTTCTTTACCTTTTTCTCTTTTGGTAGCATTTGATATCATCAAACTCTTTCTTTCCCATTACAACTTGTTGCATGCAAATTGCTGAACTATTTTACCTTGCGGAGACTACTAATGTTAGCAATTACAAATTTAACTTGTTAAGCATGTGAGTAATTGAGTAGCAGGACCTTGTTAAGGCCATGTATGAGTAACAGGTGATGGTGTTTATATTCTGACAGGGTCTCAAGCCTTACACTAAATGAGTCAAATACAAATGGCAGTATTCTGTGCACATGAGAGAGGGTAGAGGCGCTACAGGGATTTCTTCAGGTCGAAGAAGCATATTTTCCCTCCTTCTCGCTATATTAACATTTCTGATATAGAAATGTGCCTTCTAATTAATGAGGTCATTGAATGTACTGGGGTTTTTTTTTTTTCACCTGAAAAGTTATGAATTGCTGCTGTGCTTTACAATCTGCATGAACTTTGCATGGAGTGAGTCTTTATGGAATTAAGAAGAGCGTTTGAGGACAACGAATGCTACCAAAGGGAGAAAAGGGTAAATATGTAGAAAATAACTGAAAATTAAATTACTGAATTGATGCTGTGCCTTATAATCAACAAAATGTTGAAAGCAAGGAATACTTTCCTAAGAGGCATAAAGGTTTCTTCATATCCCAGGTATTAACCAATCTGCTCCCTACCACTTCAAAATTCAAGACTAATTGGAGTCATGCAGATAATACTGTTACTACACAAAGTTTAATTAAAACCATCAGTACTCATTAACTCTTTTGTTATAGGTTTCTAGTATGTACCTTTAGAAAGTTATTGATGATAATGTTTTGAACCATTCTTAACCTGACTTATACAAGGGGATTACATGTTTTATAGATTGAATATTAACCATTAGGTAGTGTAAATATTAAACTATAAAGGAGTCAAGTTTCTGAAAGCTAAAAAAGTTCTGATTTTCTGCTGAGATCACAACAAAAACCTCATATATAATTGGAATACTTCATGATACAAATAATTAAAAGCCCAGGTTAAGGTAAATATATTAAAGACCAAGATTTGCAGTAACATTTATCATATCAAATCTCCAAATCTAGTGGAGGAATTTAAACAGAGGACACAGACAGCTCTTGGGAGAGTCTTCATATTTTTATTGGTAACTAAAAGCATACTTTAGCTATCTAATTAAACCTTTCTTTGGTCTAATTCAAATTCATGAAGCAAAGATTTATTCAGTTATCCAGATGTGAAAAGCAAAATTAGAGCGTTTTTTGTTTTATTGTTTGGCTGGAAATGTTTCTGTCTTTGGGCATTATGGATAATTTTAGTTTTCTCCTTTCTAAAAATTATTTTTTTTATTTTCTACAATGGCTATAATGTATTGGGTATATGGACTAGAGCTTTGCTTCTGTCTTCAAGGAAATGTCATTTGAACAGCTGACAGACTCCTGTAGCCGGTTACATAGAGATTCCCTAAAATAGGCAAGATGATGGCTGAGTACAAAATGAGTACTAGGGAGGCTACGTTCTACAGGAGTTGACGTGGAGAGGCAGAAAAGCTTCACAGAGTAGAGAAAACTCATACTAGATCTTGTAGAATACACAAGCTTTGTAGAGGTGGGGATGGAGAAGGCCACTGAAGAAGGAGGAGAAGCATGAACAAAATTAGAAATTGCACTAGAGGTACTTTGGAACAATTGACAGAGTCTAAAGAGAGCAGAAACAGGAATTTATAACTGGATTGTTACCTTCCTTCTCTAATTTGTCCTGGTCCTAATTCTAACTTAGCCTGTGGGTACAGTGATAGTAACCTGGTGAAAATAAGAGAAAGACAAGATAAAGTTGAAGGCTATAAATAATTTATTAATTAATGGCAAATTGATTTTTCTAGGTCCTAGAATAAAGAAAGAAAAGCTATGATGTTCCAGAGTGCTCTGCTGTAAGCACAGATAATAGCCAATGGGGTACATATTATTACCTTTCATTTTACAGATCAAGACAAAGAGAGTCAGGAAGTTTAAGACTTAAGTCTTTAAAGACCTTGTAAGGTCTTATTATCCCTGTGTTCCAGGTGAAGTTCAGAAATGTTAAATGATTTATGAAATGTTTCATGGCTTTCTCGTGGTTGAGCCAGGACTCGAGCAAAGGTCTCTGAATTCCTAGTCCTTTGCTTCTTTCTCTCCACATCCACTGCCTCAGACAATTGCAGGCACACAGCCTTCACTCTCCCTTCTTCAAGAGGAAGACACTGCTGAGGATTGTGTTTGCATTTTACAGATTCCATCTCACGAATTAAAAATGCTGAGGTGGTAAATTGTTATCAATTCTATGTTTCCCAGAAATGTTTAACCTTAAGTTAAAAAAAATCTAAGAGATAAAACAGCATGTTATCTGGCCAGTCCATTCCACCCCCAGTGGTTATTAATTTCAGAACACATCTGAATTCCTTCTCTGTGGCATATGCTTTAGGAGAGGAGCAGACAGCTCTTAGCTAGGGTCAGATTTCAAATTCTCATCTCTTGGTGCCAATACCACCACCAGATTCTTCTTTGAAGTCAACTTTTGAGATCTTCACTAAGTACACGTTGGTGTCTGAAGATTCACACGAGTGCCTCTGGTAATCATTTTCTTCAGGGAATCACAGTCTCTCCTCTCAGCAAAGCATCCACTGTACTGAACTTTGCTTTTGGAAACATCTTCTTCCTGAGACCTCGTTGAAAGAAACTCTCTGGTGTCATACTTTCCAATATGGAGGTGAAGAACTTTGCAGTTTGGGATTATGTTGTATTTGCAGCCCTCTTTTTCATTTCCTCTGGAATTGGGGTGTTCTTTGCCATTAAGGAGAGAAAAAAGGCAACTTCCCGAGAGTTCCTGGTTGGGGGAAGGCAAATGAGCTTTGGCCCTGTCGGCTTGTCTCTGACAGCCAGCTTCATGTCAGCTGTCACGGTCCTGGGGACCCCTTCTGAAGTCTACCGCTTTGGGGCATCCTTCCTAGTCTTCTTCATTGCTTACCTATTTGTCATCCTCTTAACATCAGAGCTCTTTCTCCCTGTGTTCTACAGATCTGGTATCACCAGCACTTATGAGGTAAGATGATTTCTCCATTCTTCTCTAATTTTTTTTTCTCATCCTCTTGATGATAGCACCTGGTAGTTGAAGAACACTCACTGATTTTCAGGATAATTACACATTATGAGAAAGACATTAAAATGTTTTTGTAAAAAGCCTAAGCTTTGGAGACAGACATATCTATTTTCCCATCTGTAGAAGGAAAATAATGATGACAATCCCACAGGGCTATTTTAATGATCAAATGAGAACCTCTATGTGAGCACTTAATGTATGGCCTCATTTGTAGGAGGTTTGCAATAAAGAGGGCTGATGTTATTTTTTATTATTGTGAACGTCATCATTCTGAAAAGCAAACAGAACATTTCTCATGAGTACGGCAATTTTCCAGCTAAGAAAACTGAGATACAGATAAATGACTTAGTTAAGATTTTTGAATAGTAAAGTGACCTGAGAACCTAATTTTTTCTGTATCTCTACTTAGTGGCCTTTCCGTCAGAGAGTAGAGGGCATTTTAATACAAATTATAATAAGACTAATTTTTAATGAGGAAATGGAAACATTTTTGAAAAGTACAAAACATTTTAACGAAAGGAATTGCTAAATAATACAAATATGGGAATTATTTAATGTGAGGGAAATGAGGCAGTGGTGTTTTGGCTTTACAATGATTCTCAATGAAGACATCATGTTCAAAATTGAATTTGCATGCTCTATATAGAAATGTGATCAAACATAAGTTTCTATTAATAAGGTATTTATTTTCATTATCCAATATCATTCCTAAAGTCACTGCAGGAGACTGAAAAGAGACCTATTTTTTTTTAAATATGTAAGCTATATGAGTATAAAACATTATTCTAGCCTTCAAAAGTCACTCAGGCAAATGAACACTTTTTAGGAAGTCTTAAAAAGTGTTATTGATTCCATAGTTTTATGTAATGTAATTTTTATGACTATTCACTCAGTAAATACTCATTAAGCATCTACTCTTAAGATACTTAAAAAGGCACTCTTCTTTTTTTCCATGTATTTATTTACTTATTTATTTATTTATTTATTTATTTATGAGATGGGGCTTTTGCTATGTTTCCCAGGCCGTTCTCAAACTCCTGGGCTCAAGTGATTCTCCTGAATCAACCTCCCAAGTAGCTGGGACTACAGAAGTTTGCCACCACACCCAGCTTGTTCTAGGCATTCTCGTAGCCCTAGGCATAAAGCATTGCACCAAGTTCCTGCTGTCATGGAGCTTACTTCATAGCAGAGAAGGGCAGTCAATAAACATATACTGTGTAAGAAAATCATAATACAAATATATATGGTATTTAACTATGTGCTAAGTACTTCTCTAAGTTCCTTATGTGTGTTAAGTCTTTTGGCCTTAAAACAATCTTTTTTAGACAGGTACTGTCACCTCCTTTTAACAGACTAGAAAACTGAGGCATATAGAATTAAGTAACTTGCTAAGTGACATAAAGCTAGCAAGTAACAGTTTTTCAAACCAGGCAGTCTAACTTTAGATATCATATGCTAAATAACTATGCTGTCCTGTCCTACAAAAACAAATGGAGAAAAAGTAAAGTAAATAGGATGAGATAGAGAGGAGGAATGCTGGTATGAGTAGAGAATGTCCATATTCATAGAGGGTGATCATATGAAACTTCAAGTAAAATAAGACGTCTAAATGGAGACTGGAAGAAAGCAAATAATTGCACCAGACAAGGGAAGTGCATCTCAGGCTGAAGTAGTCACAGATGCAAAGGCCCTAGAAAAGGAGTGTGACTGGCATGTTGAAGGACAGCAAAGAAATCAGTGTGCTTGGAGAGGAGAGAGCAAAGGGGACAATGGTAAAAGATAAGATCAAAGAGATGGGAGTGCCCAGTTATATACAGCAGGGGTCTCAGTGGAGCTAGTGCCACACAGAGGGAGCACTTGGGATATTTGTAGGATATTTGGTTGTCACAATGATTAGGAGTCACTACTGATGTTTAGGGAGTTGAGGGCAGAGACATCAGATGTCTTTCAGTGTGTAAAGGCACATATACAATGAGTAATTTCACTCTGCACTGCATGATATTTTAATGCCGTAATGCTCAAAAACTACTGCACATATTAGTATTACCTTAGTGCACAGTAACTTTACAATAAAAAGTTATACACACACTATAAATTAGCACATTTTCCAGAAATTAAATGAAATAAAAACACTGTCTTAAAATTATTGAACAATTTACTTACTTTGAACAATCTGTCTATTCCATATGTGCTGCTCATTACATGCTTAGCCATAACTGGTTTTAGTAAAATGGCCTAGTTACTGCAAAAACAACTAAACCAATTGCAATTATGTAACTGAGGAGATTTGATTCTCTTTTTAAATTAATAAATTAGTACAAGTATTGAAAATATAAGGACTTCATTGAATTTAATTTACTAAATTGTTTTTAAAATATTTACTATTTTTGCCTCTACATATTTTCAACTTTTTAGTGACCTAATAGTAAGTAATCCAGAGTGTGTAAAGTAGATATAAGGTTATTTTGGGATTACCTCTTGCTTTATAAAAATTGGCATTATGGCATGCAAGTTAAAAGTATGGACTCTAGGCCAGGCGTGGTGGCTCACGTCTGTAATCCCAGCATTTTGGGAGGCTGAGTTGGGTGGATCACCTGAGGTCAGGAGTTCGAGACCAGCCTGGCCAACATGGAGAAACTCCATCTCTACTAAACAACACACACACACACACACACACACACACACACACACACACACAAAATTAGCCAGGCATGGTGGCGCACATGTAATCCCAGCTACTCGAGAGGCTGAGGCACGAGAATCACTTGAACCTGGGAGGTTGCAGTGAACTGCCGAGATCCACTGCACTCCAACCTGGGCAACAGAGTGAGACTCTGTCTTTAAAAAAATAAAATAAAAAAGACTATGGACTCTAAAGTCTGTTGACTTGGCTTTCAGTGTCAGCTCTGCCACTTGCTAGCTGCATGACCTTGGCGTAAATTACTTAACTTTTATATACCTGGTTTTCACATGTGTAAAATAGTGGTAATAAAAACATCTATCTCAAAGGATGTCTGTGAGGAGTAAATGATTTATTGTATACAAATACTTTTAACAGAGCCTGGCAAATAGTAAATACTATGTAAGAGTGTTGCATTATTATGATCATTGTTGTTGCTATCTTCAAATTTATACCACTTAATCTGTCTATAGTATCTGGAGTTTCTGTTTCTTTCTTCAGCCTCCATTCTCTAGTAGTTATTGAAAGGTATGCTTTCTAGGGTCTTTTTAAATACTAAAGACTGAAAGAGGTGGAGTCTCTTTATCCACCCTGTGAACTTTGGCCAGTTTTGTGACTTGCTTTGACCAGCAGAATGTAGCCAAAGTGATGTTCTGTGAGCTTGGAGCCTAGGCCTTCTGAGCCTTGTAGCTTCTGCCTTTGTCCTCTTGGAATGCTGCCCTGATACTGCTATGTAAGGAAGGTGGCATAGCTGATCTAGCTTCAGGAGCAGCAGTGGACACATAGAGAACAGAGACACCTAGCCAACAGCCAATACAAGTTACCAGACCTGTGAGTGAGGCCATGTCAGACCTCTCTCCATTGATCTTCCAAGTTACTGAAGCTACATGAAAGTCCTGATGAAACCAGAGAGATCACCCAGCCTGACCTCAGAGTTATGAGAAATAATAAATTTTTGGTTTTTGAGCCAATGAGTTTGGAGGCGAGTGTTATATAGCAATAGCCAACTGATTTAAATGCCTTGATATGCAGTGGGATTTCAAGACTAAGATATGCCATCTGTGCTACTTTATCACTACCCTGTCACAAGTCAATGTATAGGGAATTCTTCTCACCCTCAAGTGATAATTTAGGCTTAGCTAGTTTGCAATATCATATATTTTCATTATCTCAATTGTACAGTTTGTTATTAGTCTCATAATATTATCTTCACTTTAAAGTTATTTCCTTCCTTCTCTTATCATACACTCATAAATCTAGTTTGCTATTATTTACCTAATTTAATATTGGCTTATAGGCCAATGTCTACCTGTTCTCTCATATTTCTTGGACTTCTTGGCTTCTGAACTACTTACTTCTCTTCAATTTCAAATTTTCTTTATGATAATGCCCGGGCTACTATTTCACTGTGTTTTCTTGTACAGTGGTTTCTGAGCATTTATACATTACATACTTTTTTTAGGTAAATGCTTTCCTTTTAGTTCTCCTTCAAATAACAGTGGTGGTATTGTTAGTAATTATATTTATATTTTGAGAAATTCAATGTTTATCTATAAGATATTATTGAATACTATTTCAGCAGAGTGAACGGTGCTATATAATATTTGTTGTAAAAGAGATATTTAGGGTCTGAACCAACGTTATGGGGCCTTTTAGGTCATCATAGGGATTAGCTTTTACTCTAGAAATGATGGGTCATTACAGTGTTTGGGAAGGGAAGTGACATGATGGGATTTGTATGTTAAGAGGATTACTCTAGCTAGATATTAAGAATAATTTTAGGGCTTTTACTGCTGAAGCGGGGAGGTAATTGGGAGTTTCCTTACATAATCTGAGCAAGAGATGATAGTAATAGGGTTGTAAGAGAGGATGAATGCAAGTAAATATGTTTTGAAAGTGGGGGGCAAGCACCCAGATTTCTTTTATGAATTGGATGTGGGGAGGGAGAGAGAGGAGTAAAGGCTGGCTCTATGTTATTTGGGCTCGAACCAACCTGAAAAGTAGAGTTGGTATTTCCTGAGATGGAAAAGAGTATGGCTGGATCAAGTTTGGGGTTCTGAAAATAATCCATCATAATGTTGGTAAATGTCACCTCAGGTATTTTTACAAGCAGGCATGAAGCATGCAACTTCTCTGTTGTATTTTTACTTTTGACAATAGGAATAGCTTATATATACACCAAAGGTGACCACTGAATGAATGAGTGAATACATTGAAAGGAAAAGTGGATAAATTCTTTCAGATATAGAATTATGCAGTTGCAGTAGTCTTTCTTCTTTCACAGATGAGAATCCTGAAGCACAGATCACAGAGTGAGATGCCAGCAAATCTCAAACTGGAATTCAAGGAGGCTGATTTCTGATCAGGTCTTTATTCATATAGCTTTTCCCTAGTACTGTCTTTGTAATTTTACTGGGTTGAGTGGAACTTAACTGAAATGCGAAAACCATTGATTTTTTTCAAGATCCCTATAGCAATAGCCTCGTGGCTTTACTGGTTTTCAGGATTCGTTGCCCCTTATGTTTTCCAGACTTCCTTGTGCCACCCAGTACCAAAGCTAATGCTACATATTTTTGGTTTTTGTTACACCTCCCCACTTCTAGTGCCAATCTTTGTATTCATGATTATCTATTGCTATGTAGCATACTACTCCAAAATAAATGTCTCAAAATAACAATTTTAGTTTTTCACAATTCTGCAGATTAACAATTTTGCCTGGCTCAGATGGGCCCCATAAAATTGTGCTGGTCTCACTTGGGACCATCTATGTGACTTCCATAAGGTAGCTAGTTGGCTAGCAGCTTGCTGGCCTAGGGGAATGCAAATGAGACAGCTTGTCCTTGTTACCTTTAGTCTCATCCTCCTGTAGGCTAACCTGAGTTCTTCATGTGATAGAAAAGAGTTCCTCTCAGAAAGAGAACACACCTCATTACAGAAGCATTTTCAAAATTTGTACTTGCAATATATTTACTAGAAATGTCTCTGTCTTAAGTTGCATTCTACTAGAAGCAGATCCTGAAACAAGGATTTGAATGCAAGTTGATTTGGGGGAAGTGATTCTAGTAAGCAGTGATAGACAAGTGGCAACGTGAAACAGAAGAAAAAGATGCCAATTAAAAATGTAATTTTGAGCAGGTTACCACTGTGAACAACTGGGGTTCAATCCAACTGGGGATCTCTAAGAGACAATATAAAGTGCGTCTCAGGGTTGTCCTCACTGAAAGGCAAAAAGCCAGGGTATTTTGTTCCAACCCCATTTAGTAATTGGCTGAGTGCCAATGATAACACCCTCAAGCCTTCTGATCTGCCCTATGGCCCTGTGCAAAGGCTCAGAACACTCTCAAGCAGATAATCTCAGGCACATTTAGATGCCATCAACATGTACTGGAACAGGGAATGCCAATAAACTATGGGTGTTGCACCCTCAGAGACCACAGCAGTCATTAAATCCTACTATAGCCCTAGCTCTGTACCTGGCATTATCATACTTCCCACCATCTGATCCATACAACATCCACTTTCAGAAGAGAAAATCATGGCTTAGTGGCAGAAAATAGTCTTCCCAAGGGCACAAGATGTGAACCCAAGGTGTCTTCACCACAGACATTTCAGTGTTTTCTACCTTATGATATTTGTGACTGCTGACTCCTCACTGACTTCCCTTCCTCTGTAATATTTTCCTTATGTCTGATGCCCTCATTCACATATTCACCGGACTATACATTCTGGCTCACAGAATATATCATCTGAAGAGAGGACCTGAAAATAAGGTGGTTTTCTACCTCAGGTTTGGGAGAATCTGGCAGGATAAATTGAGAATGTGAGTTAGTATAAAATGGAGTCACAGTTCTGCCAAGAGATGTCCTTTGCTTCAAAGAAGGGCCAATTGTAAGCCATGAAACATTTATCTAATGTTTCTAGGGAAAGGATAAATTGATTGTCAATCCTTGATTTAATCAAAATGATTTTTTTAATTCAGAAAAGAAAGAACTACTATCAAGTAGAAACTACTAGCAAGAAATTTAATCCTCAAGCCAATTGATACTTTAAAATTTTATGGTGTTTATTCAATACATGTTTATTATATACTGAAAGACATATATTAATGTCTTCTAGAATACTTACTGAGAAAAACTTTTCCTAATCTCCAAAACAGTAAATGAGATTCTACTATTTAGGAAGTTCACAGCTACTTTTAGCTCTTGTAGTACATATCACAATTGCAACTTTACTTCCATTAGTATAAATATTTGTTAATGGTCACTTCGTCTAATCTGTAAGATCCTCTATGGTATGGACTATATCATATTTGCTTATCATTTTGTGTCAGAATGCAATATGTAAAGCAGGTAACAAACATTTGTTGAATGAATGAATGTGTAAATGATAAAGATAAAAATGAATAAAATAGAACAGTACTTGTATATTAGGAATAGTAAATATGGTAGGCTGAAAACAGCATACCTTCCCCAGTATATATCCAGGTGTAATCCCTGAGAGCTGTAAATGTTACTTTACATGTTTTTTTTTGTTCGTTTTGAAAGGGATTACTGCAAATGTGATTAAAGGATTTTGAGGTGAGAAAATTGTCTTGGATTATCCAGAGAGGCTCTATATAAATGCAATCAATCACATATATCCTTATATGAGGGAGGTAGTGGGAAATTTGACAGGCAAAAGAAAAGGCAATGTAACTGTAAAGGCAGAAATTGGAGTGATGGAACCAGAAGCTAAGGACTGCCAGCAGCCACTAACAGCAGGAAGGCAGGAAGCTGACTTTTCCTTAAAGCCTCGTGTAGGAGCCTCCTGCTCACACTTTGATTTTGACCCAGTGAAATTGATTTTTAACTTTTGGTTTTCAGTACTGAGAGGTAATAAATTTCTGTTGTTTAAAGACAACAAATTGGTGGCAATTAATTTATACAGTATTAATAACAAACTAATACAGAGAGATAATCAAATTCAACACCAAAATATAAGATAGCAACTGATAACCATGAAAAAGTCTTAATATTAGTGCCATATGAGCTCAGAGGATGAAATATGAGCAGAGCCAGGAATAGCAATTGGGCTGATGCTTTCATCAATGATCTAAGTCTTGAATTTCTCATCTGTGAAAGAAGAAAGACTATTTCAACTGCATAATTCTATATCTGAAAGAATGTATTTACTTTTCCTTCCATCTATTGACAGATGACTAAGACTTTGTGAAATTTGGGGAGAGGGGCTCTTATATTGAGAGTTCTGCCTAAATGAAGGAAAGGTCTGAAAAAGCACAAAATGTGTTAGCTGAATGATAAACAATAATTGTATGTGGAGAATAAATTATGTGAAGGTTAGTGACATAAGAAAGGGAGGGCGTGGATCCGACAATGGAAGGTTTGGAATATCAAGCTTGGGATCTGCACTTTGTTTGTCAATGATAGAGAATTGTTGAAGAATTTGAGAAAAAGAGCAGCATGATCAGAGCTCTGCTTTCAAAGAATTGATATGGGAGATATGTGGTTGATAGGATGAGTGGGCACAGATGGTATTAGGGAGATCAATTGGGGTGCCACAACAGCAATCCAGAAAAGAGAAAATAAAGGATCGAACTAAATTTGGAGCAGCAAAGATATAAAAGGAAACAATGGCTTCAGTGAGTCCACTAGGAAGACTTTTGGGCAGAAAGTCAATAGAGTTGAATTTTTATTGAAACAACCCACTTCTCTTCTCTGATCATCATGAGAAACACGAACAGAAATTGATTTTTAATAGATCTTTGACTTTTAACAATCCATGCTTTTTTATTCCTGTTGCTTCTAAGGATACATATCATAAAATCAGATTACAAGTCCAGAGCACAACAGAGGATATACCAAGATAAAAAGGACTTTCTTAGCAGTTCTTATCTAAACCTCACTGACTCTGCATGTCTTTCTGTTTCCTTTAGTACTTACAACTACGATTCAACAAACCAGTTCGCTATGCTGCCACGGTCATCTACATTGTACAGACGGTAAGTGGTCATGGCTGCTGCAGATGTGGAAACTGTG
Organism: Homo sapiens; assembly: GCF_000001405.40. Classification (NCBI taxonomy): domain Eukaryota; kingdom Metazoa; phylum Chordata; class Mammalia; order Primates; family Hominidae; genus Homo; species Homo sapiens. The sequence continues at coordinate 26,712,603 of NC_000011.10, read as the reverse complement.
AGGTTACTAGATATAGGTTTGTTTATTTTGGGGGCAATAAACTCAGCTAAAGGACACTTAATACTAAGAAGACGCTACTTTCTTCCAAAGATAGCACTTTTAATATGTACTAAAAATAACAAACAAATGTATATTGCAAGCCACAAAGGGAAAAAAAGCCGTTTGTGTGTGTGTATAAGCCACCCACATTTTCTTAACACGTATTTCACTGCTGTTTAACCTGCATAAGTTGCTCTAGATTAGATATGAAATGGTCTGATAACTAGGTTTTGCTTTTTTTGTTTTTGTTTTTGTTTTTGTTTTTTTACTTGTTTGCTTTAACCATTAACTGAGTTGAAGCAGAAATACCTATTTTGCAGAAAGTCATTTTAAGACAATATTCCCAGCTAATACTCCTACTTCCCTCTCTTTCTTATGAACTCCTTTCCCACCCCCCCAGCTTTGGGATGTCTTCATGCTGCTCCAAATTTGCCCATGGCACGGCATTGATAGACTTCCTACTACTCACCAAGTACTTTCTCCTAGAAGATAAGCTTCTTCCCTCTTCTTAATCAAAACTCCCACACACTGACTGAAGAATTTAGGCAAGCAAATGGAGGAAAACAATGCTCCTTTACCTGCCCATAGATATTTGCCTTTTAAAACCCTAACATGAATCTCTACATGGTGAAATTCCGAATAGAGACTGGAGAAACTGGACCTATTTCCAGCAGGGTAGTGGTTGCACTTCTGGGAATTAGAAGACATATTCATTATGGAGATCAACCATGTTGTTAGTCTTCCCAGCACAGTACTTTCTCCTCACAGATTCTTTCTATCTCACCTCTAAATTCCATATTTCAGCAAACTGCTAAAATATGCTTCTGTTGCTTAGTAAAGCTCCTCATGAAGTCGGTAGAGAGTTCACTGTGACGCGTGCATCAGGAAAATGGATAGAAGGAAGATGAATCAAAACTTAATTAAGTCTATTTTTGTATCCCTTAGAGATATACAAAATATAACCATAATATCTCAAAATTAGTAGCAATTTTGAAAATCCAACTCTCTTCCTCCATCTAATGATTACATCCCCTCTACAGACTACTGATAGTGGTGAGCAACTTCAAAATTAGAGTCAACAGGAATGCAATGTTTCATGAACAAGTTGAAGAGAATACAAGTCTAACGTCGATAAAGAACTTTCTAGGCAGTTTTCCTTTCTATGTCCCTTTCTCACTGCCAATCTGATTCTTGTTTCTCTACCAGATTCTCTACACAGGAGTGGTGGTGTATGCTCCTGCCCTGGCACTCAATCAAGGTGAGTTATCAGCATTCTCTTGGCATATTTTACCATTTTTATGCCTGAATTCTCACCTTGCAGAATTAGAAATAAAATACTTTGTTGGGGAGATATTCTTCTGGTTAGAGGATTCTGAATTACTATTAGAAGTCATTACATAAAGCTCTAAATATTGATTAAACATTGAAAATAATGCAAACAATTAGTTACTTGGTTTTGACTCATATACTTCTAGATACCAATTTTGATTGCTTTTGTTTGTTTGGGATTTGGTTTTTATTTTTAAATCATTGGAATTATGGCAGTTTCGGTATTGTATATGTTGCTAAGTATGGTCATCTATAATACAGGGACTTCAGTAATCTCATGAAGTAGATAATCTCAGTATAAAAGTTGCTTGTAATAGTTACACTAAAATTTATAGTCTATTATTTCAAAATAATAGAATCCTAAAAACAAAAAGGAAAGAAAAAAAGTCAAAGTAAACTTCACAATGACACCTGCCGTATTGAAAGTCCTCAATATTGCATTTAATTCAGCTATGTGCTTATACTGAGAAATATTAACCTCAGAGTCAGTGAGGTTTAGATAAGAGCTGCCAAGAAAGTCCTTTTTATCTTGATATTCCTCTGAGTTTTGTGCTTTGGACTTGTAATCTGATTTTATGATATATAATCTTAGAAGCAACAGGAATAAAAAAGCATGGATTGTTAGAAGTCAAAGATCACTGGTAATTAGAGAAATGCAAATCAAAACCACAATGAGATACCATCTCATGCCAATTAGAATGGCGGTCATTAAAAAGGTAGGAAACAACAGATGCTGGAGAGGATGTGGAGAAATAGGAATGCTTTTACACTGTTGGTGAGAGTGTAAATTAGTTCAACCATTATGGAAGACAGTGTGGCGATTCCTCAAGGATCTAGAACCCAGCATCCCATTACTGGGTATGCACCCAAAGGATTATAATCATTCTGTTATAAAGACACATGCACACATATGTTTATTGCAGCAGTATTCACAATAGCAAAGACTTGGAACCAACCCAAATGCCCATCAATGATAGACTGGATAAAGAAAATGTGGCACATATACACCATGGATACTATGCAGCCATAAAAATGATGAGTTCATGTCCTTTGTAGGGACATGGATGAAGCTGGAAACCATCATTCTCAGCAAACTATCACAAGGAAAGAAAACCAAACACCACATGTTCTCACTCATAAGTGACAGTTGAACAAAGAGAACACATGGACACAGGGAGGGGAACAGCACACACTGGAGGCCTGTGGGTGGGTAGGGGGCTAGGGGAGGGATAGCCTTAGGAGAAATACCTAATGTGGATGATGGGTTGATGGGTGTAGCAAACCACCATGGCAGGTGTATACCTGTATATGCTAGGTACATTCAATAAAAGGATTGTTTTCCTAGAAAAAAAGTCAAAGATCTATTAAAACTCAATTTTTGTTCATGTTTCTCATGATGGTCAGAGAAGAGAAGTGGGTTGTTTGAATAAAAATTCAAGTCTACTGACTTTCTGCCCAAGAGTCTTCCTAGTGGAACCTCTAAGGCCATTATTTCCTTTTATATCCCTGCTCATGGCTCATGTTTAGGTGATTTCAGAGTACTCAGACTAACTTTGTTGAGAAAAACAGAAACTCAAAAACAAAACATTTGGATCAAAGATTGGAAGCTACAAAATCTTAGGAGGAACAATTTGACTTAACATTACATGAAATGTATGGACTAGATAGAAGTATAAAAATATAATAAAAATAATCTTTCTCGAAGGTGAGAAAATTTAATGAGGGAAAACTCTAATTTGATTTTATTTTTGCCTACAAAGAACACTGATAAAAATATTGTGTCTTTTTCCTCATAAAACTTGCTCTTTTAATTTTTTGAAGGAAACTTCTTTTAATATTTTTTTCTTCTTTCCTAGTGACTGGGTTTGATCTCTGGGGCTCTGTGTTTGCAACAGGAATTGTTTGCACATTCTACTGTACCCTGGTATGTATCTAGCTGTGAAGAAGTATTTAACACTACCTCCTAATATGGGATAAGGGCAAATCTCCAGCAATAGGCATCTAATTATAGCAGAATTCGTTATTCCAAAATTAAGCAGAAGTATGTCGGCTTATCTGTCACAGTTTCCTGAGGAAGGTGCTGTTGTTTAACATTCTTTTCATTACCAACCTTTAGGAGAATTTAATCTCTGCACTCATTCAAGAAAATCATGCCTAATAAGAAAAAAATCTAATGAAAAAGTCTTCTTGATTAGAGAATAGGTGGCCCTATGCTACTTCTGAGAAAAATAGTTTATTCATTCATGGCCCTCATAAACCACAGATGGCACTTATACTTTACACTTTATGCTTCACTGTCTACTGGTTGAGAAATAACAAAATGTACATACAAGTGAGCAGTGATGGCTGCTATTTTATAAACTTGAGGATTTCACAGCTTGTTTTTGTCTTGTATTTCTGGGTAAGCCTGGATTACATTTACCACTTGGCTTTACACATGCTCTGTTTTTAATTAAGGAGCCTGAGTTGTATTGACAGCATGTTTATGTAATTAATACAATTATATATAGTTTAGTTAAACATTCATTGAGCACCTATTGTTTGCCCATTCCCTGCAACTATAATCTTTATTCTTCTGAGTCATTGTACCATGTACAACCTATAATTAACCAGTTAAGCATATGGTAGTGGTTCCCAGACAGTTGAATTATCTTTCCTTCACTATAGATAAAAATAAAAAATTAATATATTTTCATATAGCAGATGATTCATGTATTTTGGTGTTATGTGCATATCACCTAGTCTTTGTAACATCTATTCCAATTATATACAATTTTAAAATAGCCTGATCTTTTTCATACTTGCAAATCCCATTATTTCTTTGCACTTAGTTTTGTCTTCATTTTAAAAAATTACATTCTCATTACCATGATTCTATTCCAGACACTCAACTCTTCCCACCTATGCTAAAAGAATAGACTCTTGCTCCTCTTACCTCTGACCTCATATAATAGATTAGTTGCTCTGAGGTACCTGTCCAGAGAAGATCAGCTAGATGCTGGATATAACAATTTCTAATGCATTGCTTGCCTTGAAAAAGGTATCATAGCTCCCTAAGTAAGTGTTCTCCCCCAAAAACAAAGTAACAAAATAATATAAAACAATTTAAAATATATTAATTATCAGGGCTGATATTTGGAAGGAGTGTTGTGAGTAGGAAGGATGCATGAGGCTGACTTGAAGGCAGGTGGTGATAACAGTACTACTACTATTAAGGTATTGAAATTTGGGTCAGTGAAAATGTAGGGAAACTGAGCTTGGGACTATAACATTAAGCTAGAATCCTTGGGGGGAGCTGGCATGGTTTTACTCCAGTGATGCACTTCAGATTTTGCAAGGAAAAAGTGCAAATCCTCTCTGGAGGAATAATCCAACTGAAGACTATAAGATATTTACACACAGATAAAGATCTAACAATAACTTTAACAAAATATCATAAAAAATACAAAATAGCAATTTACTGTGAGTGAGGATCAGCAAAGCAACAAACAAGATTTAGCCTCTCAAGAACAAAATATTTTGGTATTAAAAGATACTGAATAAGAGAATAGATATGCATAAACAACTGAAATAAATAAAGAATGTAATTTCAAAGATGAGTAAGCATCAGGAATGACTGACCACACAATATAATGATTATGATAAAGAGCAAATGTATTTGAAGAGACAATGAGTATGATGGAAACTCTATCCAAAGAAATAACCTAAAGAATAACAGAGAGACAAGAAGATGAAAAAAGTGAAATAGAAATGGAGACATATGGTGGACAAAATAAGAAGGTCTAATTCATGTCCAGTTGAAGTCTCAGAGGAGAGTATAAATAGAATGGAGGTGAGGTAGTGTTTCAAAAAATTATGGATTCTAATTTTTCAGATATGATAAAATATAAGTATATATAGATTTAGAAAGTGTAACCTTAAAGCAGAAAGAAAAAGAATACGTTTATACCTGGATACATTAGTGAAACTGTAGAACAGCAAATACAAATGGAGGACCTGAAAAAGAGCCAGAGGAAGGAGAAAGAGATACTTAAAGAGGGACACTTAGCAACAACAATGGAAACCAGAAACAGTGGGATAACACATTCAAAGCATTGAGGAAAAAGTATTCCAGACCCAGTCATAATTGTGTTTTTGATAAAACTATCTTTCAGGAGTTGAATGTCAAGAACCAAAGAGAATTTAGCACTTACAGATCTTCCCTAAAGAAAAATCTAGAGGAGATACTGTGGGAAAAAGGGAAAACATTAAAATATGACAGTTTTAAACAGAAAAATTGATAAGAAAATAAAATAGTAAACATTTAATGAGTCTAGTTAAACTATTTTTGGTATGAAATGATAACCATTATTTTATAATTTATATATTATTAAATGTTTTATATTATTGTACAATTTAAAATACAAAATATATCAATAATTATAATTATAATTATATGCCATTTTGAAATTTAGAAAAAAGAATTACCCCCAAACTGTATAAAAATAGAATGTAAATCAGGAAGAGAGTACTCAGACTTAAATGTTTTATCATCCTTGAATTTCTGAGGATTATGGCATTGCTTAAATATTTACTCTACATTTAAAATGCATGGCAAAATTTCAAGGGGACCCATTTAAATAAAATAGTCAAAGTTAAGAAAAATGGAGTTTGAAAAAGCAACCCTCAATTCATCAAAGCAAAAGAAGAAAAGAGAAAAACAAGCATAGCAAAAGTAGGACAAATAGAAACCAAAAAACATGACATCAGAAACATCCAGATATTTTTATAATCACAATAAACTAAAATAAACTACCTTCTAACTGGTTTTGTGCTTCCAGCCTCTTCTTGCTCCCACACCCTGCATACCTCTGTCAGATTAATCTTCTTAAAATATTCATTTCTTCATGCAACTTTACTGATCTAATTCTCTTGTTACTTCCTATTGTTCACAAGATAAATTATAAGCTCCTTAGCCTGGTGTAAAAATCTTTCATTCTATGAATCCAATCTACCCATATAATCTCTGTACCACACCTCTGTTCTTCTCTCTCGTCAAATTAGAGGCTTCACCTTTGCTCATATTGCCGTCTCTTTACTCTGCTAAGCCTGTGGATGTATAAAATATTTAAAATAACCAGTGAAAGAGAAAAGAGAAAGTGTTTGTTGCCATCCAGGGTTCCGTAGTTTAGTAGGGCAAACATTAGACCCCAAACAAGGCAGTTTGATTAAATATGTGGGTGACACACAAGGTACCCTCAGTATTAAAGAAGGTAAGTGTGTGTGTGTGTGTGTGTGTGTGTGTGTGTGTGTGTGTGTGTGTGTGTGTGTATGACAGAGAAAAGAGGTGAGGACTCGCTGTATGAAGGAGTCAGACAGGTCTTCATGGTGGCTATAATCTGCCTTTTGATTAATATCTGATAAAGTGGTTTGTTCTCTTGCCTTATGCCAAGTTTATGCAGATTTCTGCACAACCAATGCCAAGTATCCTCTGAAAACAGAGGCCTTTGACATTTTGTCTTCATAGCACTAAAATCTTACATTGAGATTTGGGTTTTGAAGGCTTAATGGATTTAAGAAAATTAAGCTAGTGCTACCTAGGAGGTAACAGGTAAGAAATTTATTATACCTCAAACCATGTGTGAACAAAATATATAAATACAGTGCCTTTGGCAGGTATTTTAATGTCTATTTTTAAAATTGAATTTCAATTTTAATTAAAAAAGAAGTGATGGGGCAACCCCAATGTCTTCTTTCATCTCAAGATGAAGATGAAGCCTGTCATCTTTTCACTAAAGTTCTTGACACTCTGGAGGAGTAACCAGAGATGATAATTCTGTTTTTCAATGTTAAAAATACCACGTCATTTCATTTTCATAGGGCTCATTCATTTCCCAAGCACTTATTGATATATCACTTCATTTCATCTTTCCCCACTTGCTCATCCCACATAGATCATCATCCTAAGGGCTTCTATACCTGTAATACTACAACAGCCTCTCTTTTTCCTTCCTTCTTCTTGCCCAAATGTTCCCAACTGTAATTCTACACTAGAGTCAACTGGGGAGCTTTCAAAAGATGCTGAGGACCAGGCCCCAATCCAGACCTTAATTAATTCACAACCCTTGGGGATAGGGCTTAAATGTTATTTAATTATTTATTTTTCCTTTTACATTCCTCAAGTGACTCTAAAGGGGAGCTGGGTTTCATAACCACTGCTCTAACCTCTTGCCTAATCATTGTATCCTAAATTTTACTATTAGATTCATCCTCCTGGAACTCTGTTCCACTTACCTCACCATTTGACCATTCTGTAGCTCTTCAAACTCATTCCTCTATGAATGTCTGGAATATACTATTCCTTCCTAGTTCTTTGTTTGATATTCTACCATCTCAGTTTCCCAAAATATATTCCCTGTCACTAATTTTGCAAAGAGTGTTTCTAGTTGTGCAAGCCAGATCCTATTTGTTAGTTTTCATTCCCTTACTTCTTTACCACCTGTATTCAATGAATCCTAAGTTATGTTGATTTTACCTCCAAAACAGTCCATCCACTTCTTTTCATCTCTACCTTACCTCTATCTGTCAATCATATTGGGCATGGACTGCTGAAATAAAATGAGATGGTCTCTCAACTCCTTTTCTTTTCCTGCAGTTGATTCTCCACACAATCACCAATGAAACTGCTGTGAAACAAAATCTCTCATCATATAACTCTTGCTAATGCTTCCTTATTGCTCTTGAGAAAACATTTAAGTGTCCTTATCAAAGTCTGTGTGGTCAGGCCTCTAGCAAGTTCACCCACAGAGCAAATTCCTCTTTGGGTGTTTCACACCTTTGACCAACATCTTCCAGCTTTCTTGTATTCCCTCAGGGAGTTGTGCTTCTTCACACATGCTGGTTCCCGCTTCTGTTTGTCCTCTGTAGTTGGTAAATTCCTACTCATTCTTCAGAAATTAGCTTGAACATCATTTCCTCAAGACCAGGTCAGGGCTCCCTGTTTTATGCTCCTATAGTAACCTGTCTTTCTTAATTGCACTTTCCACATTTTTAAGTAAATCACTATCTTGTTGTCTAACATCTGCTTCTCCCATTAGATTATAAACTTTATAAAGTTAAGGAAGGGGTATGTCTCTTTCACTTTCCATTTTGTTCTCATGCTTAACATGGTACTTGGCACATAAAAGATCCTCAGTGGCTGATGCTGAATAAACAAAAGAATGCATGCATGCATTAGCAGAGAGGCTTTGCAGAGCCAGTACAGTTACAGGGTTTGTTTTCAAGGACTCAAACATTCTCTCTATTTCAGGGAGGATTAAAAGCAGTGGTGTGGACAGATGCATTTCAGATGGTTGTCATGATTGTGGGCTTCTTAACGGTTCTCATTCAAGGATCAACTCATGCTGGGGGATTCCACAATGTATTAGAGCAATCAACAAATGGATCTCGACTACATATATTTGAGTATGTCCAATGCAACTTTTTCATACTTTACAAAGACTTAGCTACATGACCTTATCACCTAAAATAATATCTTAGGCATCAAAGGAATATCTTTGTTCACTCATTTCTCTCTGTCTCATAGCTTTGATGTAGATCCTCTCAGGCGACACACTTTTTGGACTATCACAGTGGGAGGAACTTTTACTTGGCTCGGAATCTATGGGGTCAATCAATCAACTATTCAGCGATGCATCTCTTGCAAAACAGAAAAGCATGCTAAGCTGTAAGTTCTCAGTCAAGAAAAATTTTAATGTTTTATCTTACCTTATTTGGTACTTATTATATATTAATACTTCCTCTTGGGGGGTGTGTGTGTGTGTGTGTGTGTATGTATGTGTGTGTAAGAGAGAGGCAGAGAGACTCACTTAACTCTTTCAACTTTTTGAGCCCAGCATTACTACTGTCATCTCAGCAGGAAGTGGCAGAGGTGGGGTGTGAACTGAAGTCGGTTTGTCTTTTCTCTCAATTATTTGCTGCCTCCATTTATTGAGAAATTACTAGATTAAATTAGGTACTGTGGGTGGCAATGCAAAGGTAAATAGCTCACATTTCTTCCTCACTTGATTTAGCATGTGGTCTTTTCAACTATTATTTTTCTTTTCATGGGTTAAAAGGTAAACTGAGGCACAATTAAATTTTTAAAGAGTTTATTTGAATGAACAGTGATTTATGAATTAGGCAGTTACCAAATAGAAGTAGCTGAAGGCCTCCACTGAGGGAACACAAGGGGAAAAATTATAGATTAGACATGGAAGCAAAGCAAAGCAAGTATTTGATTGGTTACAGCTGTACAGTTGTCTTACTTGGTCTATCCGATTGGAAATTTCTTAGTTAGATATCTCTAAGTTAGTTGGTGGTTTCTGAGTAGTTAGCATTAAGTTTCATTTTTTTCTTTGATATAGGCATTTACCAGAAATAGCCCAAGTTAAGCTTCATTTATATTTGCAAAGGTTAAGCTCACTTAACAGATGTTTGTACTCTTAAAGTTTCCAAGGAGAGGTTAAAAAAATAAGAAAACAGAGGGTAATGTAGCAAGCCACAGTGGAACTCAGCTGCTCTGACTCTTTCCTGGTCTGCTTGTTCTGAAGGATACAAGCAGAGGCACAAGCCTCATGCATTTTCCAAGCCCTGCAAGCCACCCCATGCTCCAAAGTAGAGACCAAAGTTATATACACTTTCACAAAACTGGCAGAAATAAGCCAGAACTGCATCCAAAATGATTCTTCATCTTCAGTGCTGTTTCCCAAGGTTTCAACCTCCCCAGCCTAACCAGGATACTTGAAACTTTTCTTGGAGAAACAGTCACTATGAATGTTTCCCCAGGTGATTTTAAAATGCTTTCAATGCACAGTTTCTTATTTCACTAAATAAAATATAAAATTGCCTGGAAACGATTCAACCATTTTGTAAGTTGAATTCCAAAAGGAGAACTGTAATGTTCTCCTTATATATTTCATAGCTCTCAGAATAAGGAAATAAAAGCATTATCTGGCGTTCCATCAATTCACTGGTAATATACTCAAATCTTATTTCAATAAATAATATTGTAACAAACCCTCCACACATGTGGTCATCTCTTTATCCAATAGCTGTGTCATTGAAAATGCATGTGACTTTGATCCGAAAATTTCATTTAAAATTCTGCTCTAAAATAGATTATAGTTGGCTGTACCTGTAAAGAGAAGAATCCTTTGGTAAAATAAATAATGATTCTTTGTTATATCTAGTTTTTAAAAATATTATGAGTTTATATTATTTTCTGTTGTGAATATGCCTAATTTCTCTATGTTAATACCTGAAAGTTAGGAAATGTGTCTTTTTAATCATTTTTCCCCACAAGACCAAGAACAATGCTTTGTGCTTACTAAACGTTTATCGCTTATTAAACAAAGTAATGCCTCGAGAAGGCCATGCTTGTGTGTATGTATATACACAGGGACACACACAAGTATGGATGGGCATATATATATGTGAGTGTGTATGTGTATACACTTATATACGTATATATAATATATATGTAAATGAAACTTAAGGCTAACTAATCAGAAGCCACCAATGAACTTATTGTTATCTAGTTAGGAAATTTCCAACAAGAAAGGCCAAGTAATAAAATTATATAGCTGTAATCAATCAATATGTGTACACACATACACACACATTTCTGTATATAAATCTTAAAACCTGATTTAGTAAAGTAGTTTAATTCAAGAAAAATGAACACAATCCCATTCCTATAGTTGCCTGGAACTTGGAATTTGTTGTACTAGTATTTAGTGAGTATGAAAGCTGTCAGAAAAGGAGGCATACTCATGAAGACAGAAATGTACATAATTTCCTAACAAATGTACATAATTTTCTAATATTCAGGACTGCCATTCCTGGTTCCACTCATGCCAACTCCCATGAAGGGATTAGGACTGTGATAGTAATTTTGTGAGAATAATGAAAGATGAAAAAATAAAAATTCTCTTTAGAAAAGGGTTCCCTGAGAGAATCTAAGGTGATAGGGTTAATAAAATTCAGGAGAGAGAAATCAGTTCAGATGTTTGGTATAGTTGCAGTGCACAGAGCTGGAGGGGAGATTGCTGTAGTGAGAAAATGGTGAGGGGGGTCCCATCTGTCACACAGCTGGAGCCTTGAGGGCACTCAGGGGCATCTGGAAGCCACTCAGAGCCAGCTGCTGACTGACTGTCACTTAGGAGGCTCTGAAGATGTTGATGAGATGTTCTGCTTTTGTTCCATTATCTGAGAGCCTAATGTAATTAAGACATTCCATGCGGCTTAGAAAAATCTCTGGTACTTGAGGAAAATAAATCCTGCAAAATAGGTAAGTAAAAATAGATCCATAAAGTTCACACTAAAAGTGGGCATGGGTTAGAATCAGGAGTGGCTCATATACATGCATTTGGTTTCATGACCAGAAATGTGATTAGTCACCAAAGACAACTTAATCTAAAGCCAAATCTTCCTTGCACCTAGAAATAGTATCACTTACTGAGACACTTACATGTGCTTCCTGGAAGCTAACTGTGTTTCTAATCCCTTGTTTATCTTTCAGGTCTGCTGGTAGCAAATGGTGCTATGAGGGTAGAAGGAGTTGATGCAGGGTATCACGTCCCATCTCCCAGTTACGATGAGCACATCTACACACAGTTGCATTTCCATTTCCACTTCCTTAGTTTATTTTCCCCATATCTCTATCAGATCTAAAATTATCTGATTTATTTATTTATTTATTTATTTATTTTCAGTGTTCATTACCTGCTTCTAATCCCAAAATGTAATCTCCATGAGGTTGTCTTCTGCATTGCTTCCTGCTATAGCTACAATACCTAGAAGAGGGCCTGGTACAGAGAGTTGCCCAATAAATACTTTCTGAATGGATCAATGAAAAAGCCTATTTTACAAACAGAAGAATTAGCCCTGTATAGAACCCAAGTCCATTTTAAATGAGAAACGAATTCAAAATACAATGACTTTAATATTCTATTTCCACTGGTTTCTCATTTCACATAGTTGACTGATGAACTTATAAGATTGTTCTGGATAATGTATGACTGTCCTCTGTATGGCTATATAACCTCCACATATTTTTACAGAGTATAACTCATTAAATCCTCATAATCCTATAATAAAAAGTAAGGCAGTTATGTTACATTCTTTTTACAGATGATATAACTGACTCAGAGTGTTATGTGATTTGTCTAAAGTCACACAGTTGTTAAGGATAAAGACTTTTAACTCCAGGTCCAATGGTATATTTTAAAAAGAAACAGTGTAAAAAATGCAGTTATGTAGTAAAGAATTTCTACCATTAATTTCTTCAATCATTTCATTATTTCTTACCAAAAAAATAATTTTATATTTGCTATATGCTGGAACTGTTCAGTGCTCTGGGAACACAAAACAATAATACATGAATAAATATAGAATTTCAGATCATAAATACTATAGTGACATAAATAATTATAAGGAGTAGAAACTGACAAGAGAGCAGGAAGTGACTGTTACAAATAAGGATGAGCAGGAAAGTCTCTCTAGCCAGCCAGAGCAAAGGCTTGAATAGAGTTGGCCTGAAGGTTGGAGACAGCAAGAGTACAACTAATGCAATTATCGGTATTGCTCATTTTATGTAGCAATTGTATTCCCAAAGCCCACCAAGAAAAACAAACAAACACATAAAAATCATTGCATTGGCAAAATACTTTCAAGGAAGTAGACTTTGAGATAAAAACTTCTTCTAAACTGTGAGGTGAAAACTCCTCTAAATGGGATAATTATCTGGCGTATTTGCCTTATAAATGTGGACTTTGATTTAAGGGTCTTCTGAAAATCAAGTACACCTGTACGGTATAGGTTTTAGAGGATTTTGAAATAAACGTGTGTCTTTACATTTAAATATGATTCCCTTCAAACAATGACTAGATCTTAGACAATGTTCAGCGTTGCTCTCTTGGCCTCCTGCGGCCATCTCCACAGTGAGGTTGTTTATTCTCTCAGGCCAAGGTAAGGCCAGCCTACTTTCATGTCCTCTCTGGAATTGAGGAAATTAGTAAAATTTTTACTTTCAAAGGACAGTAATGAATACAACATAACCGTAGGATACTACAAAAACACCCAGACTGGAATTAGGCATATCTGTGGGTTTTAAAATAAAATGAATTGCACCACATAGTATGGGTAAGATGATCCTAAGTTTTTTGTACTTTCTGTTGTCTTTTTAAAAAACCAACTCTAACTTTTATCTGCATTAATCTCCAAAGTGAATATTTCCAACACTTATCTATTTCTGTGTTAGCTCATTATCTCTCTGGAAAAAGATGTTAAAAATGTAAGTTGCCTTTTTGACAGTTTTATGAATTGAGTAGGGGGAAAATCACTTGAAGTTATATAATATGAGTGATTGGTATGTGAAATTTCATCCAAGAGAATAGATCTCATACCACACATATCAAGGTTTTGCAAAAACTCTTGATTTCAAAGGAAAATTCACTTAAAATCTTACTTTATTTAAATTTGGTAGTGAGTCTAAAAATGTAATGTTCTCAAGCAAAAAAAAAATAGCAAAAGTATAAAGTGTAGTGATTCTTAAAGGCTATAGAATTTTATTTTACTAGCAAAAAGACCCAAAACCCTTTACCTTGAGTACCTGGTAATGACCTCACCACAGTATGATATGGTATACAGGCTACCAATAGGCCCATGTGCTCTTTTCTAGTGCCTTGTATTTTAACTTGCTGGGTCTCTGGATCATTCTGGTGTGTGCTGTCTTCTCTGGCTTAATCATGTACTCTCACTTTAAAGACTGTGACCCTTGGACTTCTGGCATCATCTCAGCACCAGACCAGGTATGGGTTTTCTTGAGGACAGTGGCGAGTGTCTGGAATGAGCGTGCTTCTAGCTATTGGTGGATAATCTTGGCCTTTCTCTTTTTCTTCCTGGACTGCTCACTATTTCTCAAACCCCAAGAAGTTGGTTTCTTTCTTCTCTTGGGTGATATCAGCACCTACCAGGTTCTAATACAGGGGAATGAGCATGTAAAAAAGAGGGCACCTTGGCCAGGCACGGTGGATCACACCTGTAATCCCAGCACTTTGGGAGGCCGAGGCGGGCAGATCACCTGAGCTCAGGAGTTCGAGACCAGTCTGGCCAACACGGCAAAATATCGTCTCTACTAAAAGTACAAAAATTAGCCAGGCAAGGTGGCGGGCACCTGTAATCCCAGCTACTCAAGAGGCTGAGGCAGGAGAATTGCTTGAACCTAGGAGGCAGAGGTTGCAGTGAGCCAAGATCGTGCCACTGCACTCCAGCCTGGGCGACAAGAGTGAGACTCCGTCTCAAAAAAAAAAAAAAAAAAAAAAGACGGCATCTCACCTTGTTCTTAAAGACAAGGTCTGGCAGCATAGCAAGGCTGGAGAGAGTGGAATGCAGGCTTGAACCATGGCTTTGGATGTCGCTGCTGCCTTTGGACTCTTCCTACAGGTTTCACAGTTGATTAAGGAACCTCAGATTGAAGAAAACGACCCTTATTTCCACAATGCCTGCCTCTTATCATGTCTTCTCAGCATAACTTAAACATCGTGCTGATATACTACAGTAAACATGGTTTTGAAAACTCCATTTATGGAGAATATGCTCAAGGGAAGTAATCATTTGCCTTCCCTCTCTATATATATTTAACTGTCCTGCTCTGTCAAAGAGGGGCTCCTCTGCCACAAACCTGGATGTAGAGTAGTGCATCATATCTAGATTCCCTGAAGTCTTCTTTTAGGGGCTTGATTTTAGGGCTTAGTTGCTAACATTCAGGATAAACACGAAAGAAAATGGCGTATATTGAAAACAAGGAAAATAAACTTCCTACCTCCTTTTGCTAAACAGCTATGTTCCCACATTTCAAACACTGATGAGAAGACCACTAATCCTATTTTTTTCTCTCTCTTCTCTTTTCTTTTCTTTCTTTCTTCTTTTTATTTATTTTTTTATGTTTTGCCTCCTCTTCAGCTGATGCCGTACTTTGTCATGGAGATATTTGCCACAATGCCAGGACTGCCAGGACTTTTTGTGGCTTGTGCCTTCAGTGGAACTCTGAGGTTAGTATAGCAACAACAATCTGATGATGATGATGGAAAGGATAACAAGGATGATGGTGTAGTGATCAACAATATTTAGCAAGCACTCACTGTGTGTAAACTGACCTTCTGAATGTGTTATTTGTATTTGCTCATTAATTGGTACACAACATATGAGCCTAGAATTTTACTCATCATCAGTATACAGATAAGGAAACTGAGATTTAGCAAGATAGAAAAATTACCTATGGTGAGTTAGTAAACTGCAGGGGCTGGATGTAAGCCTTGGTCTGTCCCGACTCAAGAATTTTATGCTCATTATCCTACCTTGTCTGATGCTAATTGCCCCCACACTTTTGTATCACCTTTACATAAAGCAGCTCACTCTGCTGGCTCTTCTCATTCATTTGGCTACAATATATACAGTCTGCCACATGACATTTCAGTCAATGATGGACTGCATATATGATGATAGCCCTATATTTTAATACCATATTTTTATTATACCTTTTCTATGGTTAAGTATACAAACGCTTTGTGATTGTATTACAATTGCCTACAGTATTCAGGACAGTAACATTCTGTACAGGTTTGTAACCGTGGAGCAATAGGCTATACCGTATACCCTAGGTGTATAGCAGACAATGCCATCTAGGTTTGTGTAAGCACATTATGATGTTTGCACAATGATGAAATCACCTAACAATGCATTTTCTCAGAGCACAGCCTTGCTATTAACCAATGCATGGCTATATATTCTGCACATCTATTCTTTGCATTCCATTGATCTCATCTTTAATAACACACTCAGACAGCTAATAACTTCCATTCCCCAAATAAGGGCATTATTCTAAATACAAAATCATTCATGCATTTATTGTGACAAATATTTTAGAAGGCTTATATTATACCAGACACAGTTGGTGACATCAGGGATACTGCAGAGAACAAGACTGATATAAGCATTGTCCTCACTTATATAGAGTTTGCTTTCTAATAGACATGGAAGATGGCCAATATGTGAGTAAAAAAGATTAACAAGATTGTGTCTGAAAATAGCAAATAGTATATAAAGGAAATAACAGTGTGTATCCTAGAGAGAGGTGAAGTCTGAGGATTCTAATTTCGATAGGGTCTTTAAGGAACTCCTTTCTGAATATGTGATATTTGTATTGAAATCTAAAGGATGCAAAAAAGCCAGCTATGTGAAGAGCACAAGCAGGAACATTTACAGGCAGGGGGAAAAGCAAATACTAAAGCCCTGCGGAGACAAACTGTATGGAGTGTTTGAGGAACACAGGAAACACTGGCACCTAAGGCCCTGGAAGGAGAGCAGGTGGGGATGAGTTAGAAGAGGTGAGCAAGGATCAGATCACAACAAGCCTTTATGAAGTGGTAGAGTTTGCATTTCAAGTGAAATAGGAAGTCATTAGAAGGTTCGAAACCAAGGGAGTGAGTGACACACAAATTGAAGACTTGGTCTTCTGTGTCAGGAAGATTTGAGCTTTCCTCTTTATATATAAGAAAAATAGCCAATTGACCTAGGTTAAGGACTTTTTTTCTCATTTGTTCATTGTCTATTTGCTTTATTAATGACATTTTTGACCACGTAAAGATTTTAATTTATATTAATGTTTTACATTATGATTTCAGGATTAACATCATTCTCAAAAAGGTTTCTCCATTCTGTGATTATAAATAATCAACCAGACACCATTCTAGTATACTTATGGTTTTAGTAAATATTAATGTTATTAAATTATCTAGACTATACATATAAGAAATTAAGTGAAGTTCCTGCTTTATTTTCTTTGTAAACTAGTAACCAAGTTGTCCCATTTGTCTTTAATAAATAGGCCATCTTTTCACTGCTGACTTGAAATATTACTTTTATTACATTCTATATTCTTCTATGTATTTGATACCTCTTCTTAATTATCTTTTACATTCTTTTGATCTACTGGTCTTTAGCTATGCCAACACCAATAATTTTGATGACTGTACTTTAAAATATAATTTATCTATTAGGTTAATACCTTAATTAATTTTATTTTACAGAATTTTCCTGATATCTAGGGGTTTTAAAAAAATATTTTTAGTTGATTCTTTGGAGTTTGATTGTAATCAAATATCTACAGATATTCTTGACTTTTTTTCTTTGTTTTTAATAGATGCATTTCTATGTTTATTCTCTTATGTAATTGTGCTTTGAGAACATGATAAATAATTAAGGTAATGTTTTATTATGTACTCTAAAAGGAATATTTGTTTGGTTTCACAATTTAATAAGATATTGACTTTTGGTTTGAAAGGTATTATTTATATTTGAGAATATTCACATAAATTATTTTAAAAGTAGAAGAATAAAATGCATGTATTTATGCTAATTTTAGAAAAGATGTTTATCTGAGTGGTATATTTTGGTAAAATTTTAGCATCTTTGAAATGGTCACATATTTTTCTCTTTTAAAACTTTTAGTATGTTAATATGTTGACAGATTTCCAAAATAGCAATATCCTTGAATTTATATAATGACTTTACCTTAGGATTTTAATTTAGTGTACTGCTAACTTGTTTTTACTAATATTGTTTTTAGAATTTTGCATCAATAGCACACAGTGACACTGTCCTATGGTGTTGGCACTAGGATCTCAAGGACACTAAGGACAGAGATAATGAGCACCAGAGACTCAAACACCAGTAAGGGTCACACTCTGTCCTTTCTTTCGTCCCTCTCTACATGCTTTATTTTTTGCCCTCTTACTCTGAGGCTCACTCTCTCCAGACTGGAGAAATATGGCTGTTAACAGATTATATCCCCCATGAAAGAATGGTTGATTCCTTTATCCTAAGTCCCAAAGTTTCAAGGAAGAAACACACTGGACAACATATGGTATAGGGAGATTACTACTGCCACAAGCACAAGGAGACTGTGGGGATAGAGAAAGGAAAAGACAGGAGTAGGGATAGAATGGGAAGATAGTGGTTGAGAGGTAGGGGAAAAATATTTCCACTATCTTGTAGCAGCCTTAGAATCTGAAAATTGACATATGGATACACCTGACTGCCAAAGCAACCCTGCAGAGGTTGTACAAACCTTACCCTTCTGGGCCAAATTCAACTTTCTGCTCCCTCCCGCCCAAAGGATTCAAAGATTAACCTTGATGTTGGAAACTTTCACAAGAAGTATATTGAGACAAAGATTTTGGGAGCATAAAAAGTCCTTTTATTTAATCCCCTTCTCTCCTTATTTAACTTTTATGGAGCTCCAGATAGAAGAGGAGTCTGGCAGGGATCACATATCATGTTTTGATTCTTAGAAAAATAAGAATAGTACCCCCCAAGCAATTAGTTTTCAGATATGGGTCTTGGACAGTTTTTACTTCCTATATATATATATCACTTAGAGAAGTCATAGCTATATCTTGTTCTCAAGTGAGCACTGGAGGATAGCAGAATAATTTTTAATCAATATCAATGGAAAACTTACAAATTGCTAGACATCTTTTGTTCATTGGCCTGTTTCTTTTCCAGAATTTTTTTCTCATAGTTGTGATTTTGCATCACTTGAATTGAATATATTATCTGTTCCACTAGCTAAAATATTCCGGGTCTGTATGAGGAATTGAAGAAGGTCTCATTTTATTCTGCAAAGAAAACCCCAACGTTCAGGTCCTCTGTCACCTAAGCAAGTTTTAGGTCCAATAAGATTGAGCTCTGATTGGAAAGTGACAGAGGGAATATTAGAGGTTTTATGCAGTTTCGATTTGTGGCTACTTCCCAGTCTTACCTCTTGCTACTTTCTCTTTTACTGTTATAATATCATTCTAGCAACTCTGGTAGCTTTAGGTTGTTGAATGTAACAGCTCCTTTTTATGTTGAGACATCTATACGTAATTTTTCCTTCATCCTACAACATCTTTTTCCCACTTTGCATGGATTTTCCCAGTGCCTATCTGTCACTTCCAAAGGAAAAAGTTTCCAAACTACATGTCAATTTAGGTCTCTGTATGTTCTTACAGCGTCTTGCTATTTTCCTTCACAACTATAAGCAGGTAAATAATTGGTTGTTAAATGTTTGTGTCCCAGTTAGAGTGCAAGATCTACGTCTTTCTGGTTCACCATTGTATGCTTGATACCCAGAATGAATAAAAGGATGTAGAAATAAATGAATGAATAATTAATGAGTGGCAGGCTCTACTGATTCCTGGGTTAGAGTAGTCACTACTTTCTGCCTCCACTCCAACCTGAACACACACATAGACACACACACAGATTTCCTCTGGTGCTGCCTGCTAGTTCATTTAACCTCTTGTTAAGGGGAATTAGTGGGTGTTAGATTATGAAAGCCTAGCTTCTTCACTGTAGTTCATGGAAAAATTTTAAGAGCAATAGCATGGAAAAAGATTTGAAAGATGAGTAAAGAGGCCATATAGTTCCCATGGAGTCTCAGAAGATAGAGATATATCTGCATCTGTTTTTTCTAGAGGCCTGCCTTATCTATCTGCCCTGGACAAGAGGGCAGGCTGGTAGCTCCGCCTTATATAGCTTAGACCATGTTCTCACTTTTCTTTCCTTATAGCACCGTGGCTTCCAGCATCAATGCCTTGGCAACAGTGACCTTTGAGGATTTTGTCAAGAGCTGTTTTCCTCATCTCTCCGACAAGCTGAGCACCTGGATCAGTAAAGGCTTATGTAGGTACAGCTGGTGGACTTTCTATTCCATATCATGAAATGTACATGTGGTAGATGTCAAAATCCTGCATGTGCTATTCAGGACACACTTATAAACACAAATGCACTGTGAGATATGTGAAGAATCCCACACATAGATTCTTACACTTCCAAAGATCCAGCAGGGTATCAGGAAAGAATGACTAGCTAGTTTACCTTAACTGCCTTTATTTTCAGATACTCTTCTATACTTACCCTACACTCTAGACGAGGCTTATCCAACCCACGGCCTGTGGGCCGCATACGGCCCAGGATGGCTTTGAATGCAGCCCAACACAAATTCGTAAACTTTCTTAAAACATTCTGGAATTTTTTTGTAATTTTTTAAATCTTAGCAGCTATCATTAGTGTTTGTGTATTTTATGTGTACTCCAAGGCAACTCCTTCTTTCAACGTGGCCCAGGGAGGCCAAAAGATTGGACACCCCTGCAAACTAATCACATCAATCTCTCTTGATTACACTGTGTGATGGTCATATTAGTCTCTCTACATGGGAAGATGTTGTGCTTACTATGGCCAGTCACTTTGACAAAGAAAAGCCAAATTCTTTTCTAAAGAATTGTTCCTTATTACCAAACTCCCAGTAACCCCCTCAAAGAATAATTGCCCCTTGCTTAATCATGCAATTGCATATTATGTTTATACTCACTTCAGCACTTATCAGAGATAATTGCAGTTTCACAAGGTTTACTTTTTAAAGTATAAACAAATTATGTATTTACTTACTAATAGAAAATATAGGTAATTTGGGGAAATTTATGTACATTGTTAAATAAAATTATATCTATCTAACTTTGTTCCTGGTTGTTTTTACCAACATACTTGTGACATATACAATAACATATCATGTTATTATGTATTTTTTTAAAAACATGGTATTTGAATGATTATACAGTATTCTATCAAATGGCTTCTTTGCTTAATTTTATGTTATTGTTACTTTTTAAATTTTTTTCATTTTCTTTTAATACTGTGACAAAAAAAAACATGTACATAAACCTTCGACTGCATCTGTAATGTTTTTCCTTAACACGAACTTCTAAAAGAAAATTACCAGGTTAAATAATACAAATTCATTGATATTTCTTGGTACATATTATGAAATATGGTTCTAGTAGTGAATCAATAAGTATGTGTGGCAGCAGTGAGTGTTGATATATATTTTGTGTGCTTAATATTAGTATTTTTTTAAATTGCCCAAGTTAGTGGACAAAATGGCATCAGATTTTTGCTTTAATTTATGTCTTTTGATATATACAGCATTTTTTTCAGATAGTAATGATTTGTATATTTTTGTAAAAAATTATTTTTGCTTTCTGTATATTTGTTGATGGGACATTGGAAATTTTATTGTTTGTAAAATCTCTTTATATAAAGAGGAAATAAGTCCTCTGTCTATTGTAGAATGTCTCCCAGCTTCCCAGCTTTATTGTTTTTAAACATATTTTCATGTACAGAAAATTTTAATTTTATGTTTGATCAAATATATCATTTATTATTTTACCATTTCTTTATGCTTATACATTTCTTACATTAAAAACATGTTTACTTATATTTCCTTTAGATTGTAAGTACTTTTATATTTTATATTCAGTATATCTAAATTATTTATTTGATTTATAATTTAAGATAATAAACTAAATTTTTTTTTTTTTGAGACAGAGTTTCACTCTTGTTGGCCATGGCATGATCTTGGCTCACTGCAACCTCCACCTCCTGGGTTCCTGCCTCAGCCTCCTAAGTAGCTGGGATTACAAGCATGTGCCACCATGCCTG
Source organism: Homo sapiens (assembly GCF_000001405.40). Taxonomy (NCBI): domain Eukaryota; kingdom Metazoa; phylum Chordata; class Mammalia; order Primates; family Hominidae; genus Homo; species Homo sapiens. Next base: position 26,690,673 of record NC_000011.10, on the reverse strand, counting down.
GCTAATTTTTTTTTTTTTTTTTTTTTTAGTAGAGGTGGTTTCTCCATGTTGGTCAGGCTGGTCTCGAAGTCCCAACCTCAGGTGATCCCCCGGCCTTGGCCTCCCAAAGTGCTAGAATTACAGGTGTGAGCCACTGCGCCAGGCCACTAAATTGTTTTTCTTATATAGTTCACTTTCCCAGCATTATTCTTTAAATATTCCTCAGTTTTAAAAATATTTCCATTAATAAAAATATATAATATAAAGGTTTCTCATGTATAAGAATGTTTCATGTTGTATACTTATTTTCTTTAATTACAAGAGTGTACCATCTTGTTTTATATTATAGCCTTGTAGCATTTTATTTAAATGTCTGATAGAACAATTCTCATTTTTCTTTCAGTTTAAAAATTAAAAATGTTTCCATTATAATTTTTACAAAAAAATTTTGGCTATTCATTACTATTTATTCTCTTAAATTAACTTTAAAGTTTACTGCATGGAACCTATCTGAACCCACCACCACCACTCCCCATCCCATGGGATTGCATTAAACATGAAAATGTATTTGGGAATAACTGATATCTTTGTAAGCCTTCCACCTAGCAATAGCATCTACTTTTTTCTATTTAATTGTGTTGTATTTTGTATTTTATGTGTTAAGTATACTCACATCTTCCTCTTTCAACTCCTCTTCCTTCCTCCCCTTTGCTCTCTTAACAATAATGATTTTAATTATGCTATTGTGTTATGTTCCTTACATTATAATAATTAAATTATATGGCCAAGTTTTAAAACTTTATTGTGATCTCTCATATACACATTGCCTAGATTCTCCATTATTATTTTCCTATACTTGCTTTTTCATGTATTCATCCAGTTGTCTATTCATCCATTAATCCATCATATTTTTGATACATTTAAAAGCAAATTGTGGACCTCTGCACACTTCCCCCAAATTATTGTAACATGCACATTGTTAACGATAATTCACTATTTGTTTCAAGTTTTTTTAAATGTAAAAAAAAATTCACCTATAATGAAATGAACAAATATTAAATACAACTTTCTTGAGTATTGACGAATGCATACACCTGTGTAACCCAACCACTTATCAGGATATGTGACCTTCACCGTGGAAAGTTCTCCTATGCCTTCTCTAGTCATTCTTTTCTCTCACTCACCCTCCAGAGGCAAATACTGTTCCAATTTTTTCCACCATAGATTAGTTTTACCTCTTCTAGAATTTTATATAAATGGGATCACACCATTGCACTTTTTTTTTTCTTTTTGTGAGACAGAGTTTCACTCTTGTTACCCAGGCTGGAATGCAGTGGTGCGATATCTCGACTCACTGCCACCTCCGCCTCCCGGGTTCAAGGGATTCTCCTGCCTCAGCCTGCGGAGTAGCTGAGACTACAGGCGCATGCCACGACACCCGGCTAAATTTTGTATTTTTTTAGTAGAAACGGGGTTTCACCATGTTGGCCAGGCTGGTCTCAAACTCCTGACCTCAGCTGATCCGCCTGCCTAGGCCTCCCTAAGTGCTGGGATTACAGGCATGAGCCACCGCACCCAGCCTGCACTTTTTTTTTTTTTTTTTTGTAACGTCCTTCTTACGGCATAAAGTTTTTGAGATTACATGATGTTTTGTGTGTGTTCATAGTTTATTCTTTTTTATTGCTCTTAGTATGCCACATATGGATATACCACAGATCTTTTTTTAACATCTGAGTCTATTGATGGGCCTGGGCTGTTCTTGTTTGAGGTCATTATGACTAAAACTGCTATGAATACTCTTGCACAAGTCTTCTTGTGTACGTGTTTCCATTTCTCTTTGATAAATAGCTAGGCATGGAATTGCTTAGTCAACTATTGTCATTTTAATTTCCTTGCAGTTTTTCCTTATCATACCCGGATCCATCTTCATCTAAACTTATTGGTGTTACACCCTGTCTTCCTGTTCTTTTCATCTTGTTTTCTCTTGACTTGTATGTCCTTGCTTCATTGAGTCTGTGTATCCTTGCAGCATATTAAGATTGCCAAAGTTTTAAACTATTTTTTTCTGGTTCCTAAAGTGAATTATTTGCAGAAAGAATACTATTTATTTCAGTTTTTAGGTTAATATATTCATTCCCATTTTTGGCAACATTTTGTCATGTATTCTATATTTCCTTTCTTCGTTTATTTGTGTTTGAACAAGAAGAGAGGAATGTTGACCACATGTTTGCTAACTGGGTAGCTGAATTGCCTTGATTCTGCTCACTCTCTGAGTTAGAGCTGATAGCAAGTAGATGGGCACTGCTGCCAGTATAATTCCCGATTTCTGGCAGATATTCATGGATACTCTGGATTGAGGTAGAAGTTTCACCTATGCCTGTGTTTTGTTGTCTGATCCTCCGAGCTGATGCTGCATTGGGAAAATCCATAGCATTTTCTGCAACTGTGGAGCTTTCACTCCCTCTACTGCTTTGTTTTTGGGAGATATTCCAGATGTCTATGAAATTTCCACAAATTTCTCCTAAACTTCCTGCCTAGCATGCTGCTGTTGGTTGCAATCTGGTGGAAGGATAAAGATTTTGTGGGGAGGACTGAATCAATTCTCTAGTCGGCACAAAAAAGAAGAACTTATGAATTGAGGGATGGCTGCCTAGAATCTCATTTGAACAGGTAACCATTGGTCCAGTGAGAGGGCAGTCAGAAGGAGAGAAAAAACATGTCTTTCTTCTGTTCTTCAGGCTTATAGGGCTCTCCTTTTTCATGAAGCAATACAAAGTCAGGGCAGACATTGTTTTCTGTAGTCTTATCTATCTATCTAATAGTCTAATAGTAGTCAATCTATCTAATAGTAGCCTATCTATAATAGATAGTTGGAATACTTTTGGAATTTTGGCAAGTGCTTAGTGATCAATCTTGAAGTTTCCTTATTTTTGTGTGTCTTATTGAGAAGTTGGAAAAGATAGCCTCAAAGATGACTAGCCTGATTTCATTTTAAGAGTGGGTTCCTCATAAGGAATATCATGTAATGACTCTGAAATAAAATAATAAAAATGATAAATACATAGTACTTGCTGCGTGCCAGGCACTGTTCTTGGGTATGTGCATATACTTGTTGGATTAATTTGCAAGCAGTTTCTTCCTAGAATGAAAGCTGTTAGAGACAGGAATCACATTCTAACTTTATGGCACTGGCATCTGGTGCAGTGTCTCATCTATGGTTGGTATTCAATAAGATTGAATTAATAGTCATGTTGGGAACTGGGTTGGATATGTAGCTGACAGAGAATGCTCAAAAAGAATCAACACAATAGTTTTCTTTCCATTTCTGACACTGTGTCTCCATCTCTGTCAATCTGCTACTTTTTGCCTATCTTTCTCTCTATTGTTTTGTTTATGTGTTATTATTGGAATTCAGTGTACTTTTGAGATTATTTTTAAACAAAGATGTATAAAAACAATGACTTTTTAAAAGATGGTTTAGAAGAAGATATTATTTTTAAAAGATGACAAAATACATATGCTGATTCATTTAGCGAGCTTTCATGATACCAGAAGAGCACCATACTCTGAAGGTCCTTTTGGTGATATGGAAACAAACAAATCATTATGTAATGTAACTAAGGACCATAAGGATAATATAAAAAAAAGCGCCAAAGGGAAAAATCTGAAAAACTTTCCAGATTTGCGAAACCTGTTAGGTAGAATGTGTAGACATTATTTAACCATTGTTAAGATGAAAAACTACTGGAGTCCTGGAATTAGTAGCTTCTTTTTCAGCTCCTTGCTGGAGGGTGGTTGCCCAGGAATTAATTTCCACTAATTTTGTCTAGATTAGTCTGGACCTCTCCCACATTTTCATGTTGTTTCCACATAACAGATTTCTTCCAGAAGCTTAGAAGGATAACCCTTGAGGCTGGATAGCAGTTCATTCCGCCTGATGAGGAAGCAGGTCATTGAAACTTTTCCTTGGTAAAGAGACTTCCTAAGTGCCTCTCTTGGGGCTGATGATGGCTGAATGGGGAGGATGGTCCTCGCTGAGATCCCTTTGCAAAGGGCTTGGATCAGAGACAGTTCTGAGTGGGGGCTCAAGGCATCCCTTGAAGTCAGGAATCCCTCAGGAAATTATGATTGTAATTTTTCTTTCTTTCAGGTCTCTTATTTGGCGTGATGTGTACCTCTATGGCTGTGGCTGCATCTGTCATGGGAGGTGTTGTGCAGGTAACGAAAGAAGGAAAAGACACATTTGGTTTCACTGGAACTTCCCCCCACTCTCTTTTAATGTCTTGCTTCTTCCTCCAAGATCCAAAGGCTGACATTTAATGATACCAGCTCCAAATTAAAAATAAATGTAAAATGCATGTAAAATCAATTCTCTAGTCAGCACAAAAAAAGAACTTATCTTTTCAGAAAGAGAAATCACTTTCCGAAGGGGAAACTATTAAATCACTTTCAGAAGGAGAAACGATTAAAACTAGTAATGGGATAGTGAGATAAAATTAGAAACTCTTAAAAATTCTGATCTGAGAATTTATTATCCTGATATGAAAGTAGTGATAAAAATAGTAAAACCAATAATAATTAACATTTATGTAACACTTACTATGTTCTGGGCAGAGTCCTAGATGTATTATTTCATTTAATCTTCATCACTTCTCTTAAAGGTAGTATAATTAATGCACTAATTTTCCAGATGAAGGAACTAGGAAGTAACTGTCTCAAAGTTACATAATTAAAGAGTGGTAGAACTGGGATATCTGCTCACCTCCACCTATCATCCAAGCCGAACTCACAACTCCCAATTCCATAAAATATCAGTGCTAAAAGGAACCTTATGGATAATCTGTTTCAACATCTTCATTTTGCAGGTGATTACGGGAAAAAAAGTGAAAATACCCTGTTCAAGTTCTCACAGTTAGTGGAAAAACTAGGTTTATGACTCAAGTCTCCTGAGCCACCCATCCCCATTCTTCATGTTGCCCAACTCACAAAGCAGCATCAGATAAGCACATATTCAGATTCTACTCCGATTCTCTCAGTCCCGTTGTGTCTTTGTGGGTTTTTTTGTTTTTTTGTTTGTTTGTTTTTTTGAGACAGAGTCTCACTCTGTCACCCAGGCTGGATTACAGTAGTGTGATTTTGGTTCACTGCAACCTCTGCCTCCCAGGTTCAAGCAATTCTCCTGCCTCAGCCTCCCAAGTAGCTGGGATTACAGGTGCCCAGTTAATTTTTGTAGTTTTAGTAGAGATGGAGTTTCGCCATATTTGCCAGACTGGTCTTGAACTTCTGACCTCAAGAGATCCACCAGCCTCGGCCTCCGAGTGCTGGGATTACAGATGTGAGCCACTACGCCTGGCCTTTTGTAATCTGAACATTATTTAGAGTTTCTTATCATGGCATAAGTTTTCAATAAATGTTTTTCAAATGAAGATATGAGTCACAGTAAGTGAATAGTAATCATTAATGTTTATAGAAGGCCTTCCAGTTCCCAGAACAGTGTAACTTACTTGATCCTTCCAATGACTACTTAGATATGTTCCATTACTTCCATTTTAAGATTCAGGGAACTAATCTAGGAGAGCTAAGTGATGGAATAATTCACCTGTCTACATAAAAGAACTTGTGGGACATGATGTCCTTTCTAATAGGCCATTAACTACTGTTTCATCACAGATGCTTTGTAATCCCTTCATAATGTTTGAAGCACTCTGATATATACCCATCTACACAGCAGAAGTGGCAAGGTGGTGAGGTTTGTCTTTAGTGATCTCAGGCACTTATTTTAGGTTTATTTTCCTATTCATGGAACCTATATTTCCAAGTTGCTTCTGATGTCTTGTGCGCCACAATAATATTTACTCTTAAGAAAGTATCATCATGTCCAACTGGTGATTTGAGTCACTAAATTGTTTTCTTCCAGAGATATTTCCATTGTGAGCTCCTCTGCAATTGAAGTATGAGGGGCTCCAGATAGGCAAGGACTCCTCCAAAGACTGGTGGAAAACAATTCTTGTAGTGAGGAGGAAGTCGTGAGTGATGCCCTCATCTGCCTGCCTTAGTTCAGATGAGTATCCTGGGCCCACCTTCTTGATTGATTAAGATGTGTGCCACGCAGTTTAAGAGATGTTGATAGGCAAGAAATGAAAACCCTGACCTCTCCTTTCCTAGGAGAGGCATGATGGCTAGTGACTTTTGTAAGAGATTGTCAAATATTTTTCCCACAGGGAAGATAAAATTACCTTTACTAACTTATTGACTCTCCTATGTAATCACTAGTAAATTAGCTTTCAAATTCAGCAACCCTAGAAACTGTGAATTAATGCTATCGTCAGCAGAGGAAATGCCAAGAATATTAACTTAAGTATTGATGCTGGGTAAGAAGGAAGGCTTTACCCTCATCTGCCTCCATTTTGTCAAGAATATATCTGAGGCATTGACTTCTTTGAAATTAATCTGGAAAAAACAATCATGCATTGTAACCCATCTTTCTGGAAAAAAGAACTTGCATTACAGCTAGAGGTGATTTGAAGTCCCCTTGGTTCTATGACCTTATATTTTTTATAGAGAAAGAAGACTCTGAAGTTCAATGAGTTTCAACTTGAACTTCAAACTAAATTCAGGTTACCTGCCTTTCTACTATACAAACACACACACACACACACACACACATACATAAATACAGTGCTTATCATTCATCCCAGAATTGAGAAATGACTTATAGAAAGCACATAATTAACAAATGGCACAGTCAGGACTAGGACCCAATATTATCCCAGGTCCAAGAGAGGTATGATGCCAGGAAGTCACAGATGCCCTTGAGTAGGGGATTCATCTGGTCTGCCTTTGTTCCACAGGCTTCCCTCAGCATTCACGGCATGTGTGGAGGACCAATGCTGGGCTTATTCTCCCTGGGAATCGTGTTCCCTTTTGTGAATTGGAAGGTAAGGATCCCACAGCCCTCTTCACAATTCCCAGTCAAAACTGGGCCCAGCCGTTTTCTCTCTCCTCTCAGCCCTGTTTAGAAAAGCTATCTGTCTTAGCCAGGAAAAGAATCCACAGCAGAATTAAACAGAGCTTGAGTCTACCTGTCTCTGACTTCAGTGACATCTTTCTGGGTACAGAAATGAAAGAAGAGCAGAGGTAGTTATGAACTGCCACATATCCTGACATCAAAGCTGACTCTTTAAGGTTAAATTAAGTCTTCTCTAAATTAAAGGCCCACAACATTAACTGTAAAATAGATATTGAATTCAAGAATAGTTTTGTTGAAACACAATTTTGAAAATTCGTATTTACAAATGTAAATCTCATTGTTTTCTGTGTATAGTTACCTAGATTTATAACTAACTTTATTAAATTAATTAACTAATTTATGTAGGGGAGAAGGGACAAACTTGGGTTCTGACAGCTGGATCTTCATTTTGCTGCTCTGACAAGCTAATAGTATGTCTTCAAGTAAATGTTGGTTGGATAACTATGTATTGAGTTTAAATCAAGATGAATAATTATTTGGAAAAATAACATAACAATATTTTTAAAACATTTATAATAGCAGGATTTTCTCAGTCTAACAAAATTGCCATCTTTCAATTATTGCCATGTGCACACTTACATGCATGTATTTTGAGAAAGTCTTTTGATTCCAGAAAGCTTGACTTTACACTTATTAATGTATATACTATAGGATATTCCATAAAGTCTGTGTCAGATAGTATACTTGATTAGGTCTCTGTGGCTACCTGACCCTTATTGACCTTTCTCTTAGATAAATCCTGTGGGGCTAAGTAAAGGAGATTGATGGGTAGCGAGCATTCGGGTCTTTGCAGCACTTCCCAAGCAGTCTTAATCACTTGTCTGATATTGGGGTTGACAAGAATATTATGTCTTTGGGGAGATAATGTGAGGGAAGACAATATCCTAGCCACAAAAAATATGAGCTAACTACATAAGATTTTAGTGCACTGTTAACATTGATTTATTATCTATGTTAGTACATTGTAGTTTTTTCTATTTGGTCAGGAAAACCACCTTGATTTCTCTTAATGAAATCACCTTGTCATTTTGGGCAGCCATTGGGGCCCTCATTTACCCTGCACCAGCCTCTAAGACATGGCCTTTGCCTAGATATTTAATAAAGTATAGTAAATATTATAAATTTGTGTCACCTCTCCCCTCATCAATGGCCATAGCTGATCCTACTAACCAATCATGGCTCTCCTTCCCATAGAATGTGGCTACACCTTCAGAATCTGTCTCAACATGGCTCTCCAGCTAGCCATTATAGATCAACCAGGGTTAACCCTCCAGTTGAAATCCATTTTCCACTTACTGGTAGGCCAGGGGTCAGCAAACGATATGCCTCAAGCCAAATCTAGCTGGCCCCCTGTGTTTGGTATGGCTTCAAGCTAGAAATGGTTTTGACATTTTTTAAATGGTTGGGAAAAAAGTCAAAAGAAGAATAATATTTTCTGGCACAAAAATATTACATAAAATTCCAATTTCAGTGCCCATAAATAAAATTTTACTAAAAACACAGCCAGGCTCTTCTGCTTGGGTATTGTCTATAGTTGCTTACATGCCATAAGAGAACTGAGTTGTTGTGACAGATACTGCATGGCTTACAAAGCCTAAAATATTTATTGTCTGACTGTTATATTAGAAATTTTCAGATCACTTGTTTAGACCAAGGCACAAGTATTCAAATCACACACACTGATTAAATTTCTTCAAACAATAATGGAGAAAGTATTCTGGAACTCTTACCAAGGCCTCTTCTATTTTTTTCTGATTAACTAGAGAAGCCAACAGGTTTCTTTTCTCTGACTCAGAAGGCTCAGTTTCCTAGCAGTGACCAGAAACATCAGATTATATTCTCTAGTGGTCCTAATCTCTGCTAGATTGTTCTGCCTCCTCTACAAGAAAAGTGATTCTTTGACTTTTCACTATTTATCAAGAAATATAAACCTTAAATGACAAGACCATTAAATGCACTTGCTAGTATTCATACTCAAACAAAAAAACTCAGAACTAGGGAGTCAGGGGACTCTGCTGGTTACTTAGGAAGAGAGATAGGAGTAATAATTTCTGTATAAAAGCTGTCAATAACTAAAAATGACCTAGTATTTGAAGTTTTCCTTAACTTCTGAAAGTCTTCTAATGAGAATTGAGGTTTCAGCAGCTTTTTAAGTAGTAAGAGAAAGAAACCCTAAGGAGAAAAATAATTATTGCTAGAAATCTAAATATAATGATCACCATGAAATTATCTGATGTCTTCATTTAAAGAACAAGTCACTCCTTAATAAACCTGCATTATGGGAGTTGAGGTGAAGGCAGTTTGAGCAGAGTGTTTCTGAAATATGTGGCCAAGATTTGGGATGGAAAGCCAGAATCTCTAAGGCATAGAACTCCTCATCTCATTATTCTTTCCATAGACAGCTTTGCCAAATTTCCCATTAACCTTTTTCTTCTTCATCCAGGGTGCACTAGGAGGTCTTCTTACTGGAATCACCTTGTCATTTTGGGTGGCCATTGGGGCCTTCATTTACCCTGCACCAGCCTCTAAGACATGGCCTTTGCCTCTGTCAACAGACCAATGTATCAAATCAAATGTGACAGCAACAGGGCCTCCAGTACTATCCAGCAGGTATGCTGACTTTATAGATGGTGCTAAGTCCCAGAGAGTGGGTCACCTGGTAAGAGGGAGGTGCACTCTTCAGAGATAAGTGTGATGAGACATATCTTGTTCTCTTATGAGACTCACTCAGGGAAGTACCCAGCACTGAAGAGTGCCACGCAGGGCTGCAGCTTTCTGCAGATGTCCATTCCTCTGTATTCAGACATACAAAAACCAATTTGGTGAAAGAGTTAATGCGAGATATGAGTACAAAAGAGAAAAAATAGTGGAGGGTTCAAAGACAGGTGACTGGGTATGAGGAACATGGTTTCCTCAAAGAATAAAACTCAGTAGAAGAAGTTTGTGAGCAATGAGGATAATGCTTATGGGCAAGCTGAGTTAGGAGCACCGCTGTGAACCTATGGCTTCTAAACCAAACAATATGAACACAGGGTTTAACAAAGGATTTCCCTTTGTACTTCTGGCTGGGGTAAGTGATCAAATATATCAAAATACATCAGATACTATGGTGTAGAGAGACGATTGTGGACTTTGAAATCTGAAATATTTGGGTTTGGATTTTGGTTTTATAATTTATTCCCTCTGTATCTTTGGACAAGTTAGTAAGTTGTAACTTCTTGAATTCTCAGAGCCCTTGATGGAAAAATGAGGAAATATATATATATATATGAATATATATACATATATATATGAATATATATACATATATATATGAATATATATACATATATATATGAATATATATACATATATATATATGAATATATATACATATATATAAAGTAGCACTACACGTGACTTTAATAAATGTTCACTCTCACATTCTAATTGTATGTAAGAGCAAGTCTAGAAAATATAGGATTTGTGTTATTTGTGTATCCTCAAAAGTACTTCATTTTTAGTAGCCCTTTTCTGATTATCATCAATATCTCCCCATACTGGCTCATTCCCTCTGAGTCCAGGCTTCTCAAACTGGCCAGATAATGTGGCAAATTGCATTCATGAAAGTCTCTCTCGGTCCGGCATATCTTCTCCTCTCCATTGTCCTTGTCAATCTTGAGGCTAGTCTTGTCTTTACAAAGTCCAGAAAAGTGAAATTATCTTATTTGTATTTTTTATTTCCTCCATTTTTCTATCTCTTTTCCTTTCTAATACAACCCATTCTATCCAAGCATCACTAGATTTATTTTTTCTGAAGCACCTTTCTGAACTCATTACTACCACATGGAGATGACTTAAATGATTCATGTGCTTATGGAATAAAACACAACCTTTTTATCCTGGAGCTAAATACCTGCCAAACTTAAAACTTTCCTGTGGTTTTAATGTTATTAACTATTGTTTTCCTTCTACTCTGAATTCTGTTTCTTCTCGTCTACCTATGCTTATCCCACTCTTTCCTACATTTGGGTCCTTAAGCTATTCCCTTTACATGAATATATTTTAGTGTTCATTTCCACTCTCCTAAAATCTGTTTATCTTTCAAGAGCCATACTAGTGTCTCCTATTCCTCCATAAAGTTCATTTTGACTCAGGTTCCAAATGGGCACTCCATTATTTTGCTTCCATTTGTCTTTGAGTTTCATTTTCTTTCCATAAATTTTATATCGAAGAATTTCAACCTATTCATGGTTCCCCATAAACCATGTTGATTCTTCCCTCCTGCCTATACTTACTGTATTCTCTTCTTAGAATGCTAATTCCTGGCCCTGACTACCCTCTTTGCTTGATTAACTACTAATTATTCTTTCAAAATGAGCTGAGGTATCATCTCACGCATTGGTCTGAATTTGATACTACTCTGAAGGCTGCCATAGTATTTTATACCTTTTCTACTGAGGCAAAACCAACCCATTTTATGATTGTCTATTAGCTCCTGTATGTAGACTTTGTGACTTTCTCATCTTTATATCACTAATGCTTGTCACAATTACTAGCACTAAATCTGGGCTTAATAAAAGTCTGAAGAATAAATAATACAAATGAAATTGTATTATTTGTATTAAGACACAATCCTCATTGTAATACTTATGATTCAGTATCAACATCGTTATATTTGTAATTCAGGAATGAATTGAATTGAGTGGAATACAAAGCACATCTTCTCTAAATATAATTTTTTAAATGACAAAAAGTTATGATTTAGGCTTTTGAGATGCCAGGCCCTAAAATGAATCCTGAGCAGTCCTCTACATCACTGTGGGTCTTTAGGATGCATGGAATTGGTGACATGTGCTGTTCTCCACAGACCTGGAATAGCTGATACCTGGTACTCGATCTCCTACCTTTACTACAGTGCAGTGGGCTGCTTAGGATGCATTGTTGCTGGAGTAATCATCAGCCTCATAACAGGTTGGTTATAATTCCTCCCTTTGGGACTAAAGAAGATATGGGCTCATGCATGCATTGGTGGACTGGCTGTCTGTCTTATTGCTTTGAATTCACGTTTCCCACAAAAACCCTTCTTCCCACAGAGATGTCTACTCTCTCAACGCTGACATACAAAGGCACCCTTCATTATTATATACCTGACTATTAATATATAAAACATATATTCACGGGAGGCTGAGGCAGGAGAATCGCTTGAACCCAGAAGGTGGAGGTTGCAGTGAGCTGAGATGGTGCCATTGCACTCCAGCTTGGGCAACAGAGCAAGGCTCCGTCTCAAAAAACCAAAAAAAACCCCAACCAAACAAAAAAACATATATTCAAACATTTCCCATATATTATTTAAAAAAAGATGCTTTGACACATGCCCCCCAGAGGCCTGAGTATGAAAAACCCTCTGTAATATAACAATCAGTAAATAAGGTTAAATATTCAGAGTGGTTCTTTTCCCTTCATCCCAGTAAGAGACAAGATTTTTGTCATCACCATCTTACTATCTCATGAAGTCAGCCTTTGCTAACTTACTAGAAAAGCAAAACACTGTTGTTTTTGCCTATGTTGTCCTTTGGAGGCTGCTTCTCTAGGGTCGTGGAGTTCTCTGCAGTGAGCAGCTTCACTGTAAGCCATTTTTAGCAAAGTGTCTACCATCCATACTTGCCCTTTTGATGTATTAATGTCCTTTTTGTTTCAAAGCCCATGAGGGGTTGGTAGTGGTGAGAGTGTGGGAGATAATGGGGTGGAATAAGTTCACTGTACTCTTGTCCCTCCACCTCCTTGGAGTATGTATTTTAGCTAAAAAATTTTAAGGTATTCTATTTTTCCATGACTATTATATACCAATGAACAATGGCCAACATTCTGACTCAACACAAAACCTGAATGGCAACATTTCTGGTGACTGTGTACTAGAGATGTTATATTGAAGCTCCAATGCCCTATTGTTCTGTGCATGATGTCACTAGCCATTCACTGAAATTTAAGAAGATCTTGGCTATGATAAAGAATAGACTATAAATCTTGTAACCCCAGTCTTTCACATAATAACAACTCTCTCAATGTCTTTATGTAAATGGTTTCAGGCAAAAGATTGTTTATTCATTTTGTTTAGATTTTGCCTTAGTACCCTGACATCTGTAACTCCTTCCTTGATGCTAGTGGGATATACCTAGACATTTCAGTTTAGTGATCGGTCACCACTAAGAAGACAACCAAGATTTCAGCTGCCTGAACATTTCCTTCTAAATCAGGAAATGTGTACACATGAAATCCAGTAGTTTGCCAGTCCATATTTTCCATGTGTGCACCAGAATTAGCATGCTCTTATGTTGATACAGCAGCACTTATATTAAATTTGATTGAAAATTCTTACACATTTTCAGCATGAATAACTCTTCCAGTATTAATCCCTTTGTTTTCTTTTTCTCCAAATAAGCCAGGTCTTAGTCAAATGCCCTTCAGGCCAAAAGCGAACACTCTAACAAAGTCTAATTATGCCTTCAAACATTTGGAAAAATTTTTGAACATGACCACCAGATGTTCTTGCCTCCTGGTCCCTGTCTTCCAAATGAGGCCTTAGGGCTAGCCTGATAACCTCAGGTCTGCTCACTAAGAGGCTTTAACAAATCTTCTGTAATACCCACTGAATCTTTTAAAAAGTCTTACAATGTTTAAATGTAGAATAGGGTCAGTAAGGAAGGACAGAGGCCTTTTGTGGGCCTGTTCTCCTTGTGTCATATTTTATCTTGGTCTTGTTTGGTCTTAATAGGTGATGTCTTCAATTATACTTCTTCCAGATAAAATACGGCACCTCGAAGATATGCTGTTTATGTTACTCATACATGTTGACACATAGAATCATGTCTGTGTTGATTAGCAACTCCAGGAAGTTTATATCATTAATCATTTTGTGCATCAGCTGCTGAAAGATCTTGGCCTAAGATACACTTTAAATTCTTAATTATTACTGATAAAATTCTGCTGGATGGCTGAAAGTTATTTTTTAATTTTTCCATTTTAGATATGTGAAATGAAAATATCATTTCCTAAATCAAGAACAAATACCATTGTTGGTGTATCAAGTGGCCAAAACATCCCATTATCAGGACAGTATATAGAGATTGATGCTACTCTGTTTTTCAGTGTACAGTAGTTTATATTTATCTGAATCTTACTATATTTTTCTCATTTACCATAAAGCTGCATGTCTCAGATATAAAATCTTTAGTTATCAATCTATTATTTTATATTTTAGATTATGTTTCCGTACTAAGGTTAAATCTGGCCTACTACCTGTTTTCTTTTTTTTTTTTTTTTTTTGTTTTCTAGAAACAGAGCTTGCCCATTTATTTGCTTTTAACTATGGTTGATTTCACTCTACAAAGGCAGAGTTGAGTAGTGGCAACAAAGATCCTCTGGTTAGCAATGCCTAAAATATTTACAATCTATCTCTTAACATAAAAAAGTAATCTTTGTATTAGATAATTAATCTCATCAGAGAAATTTACTGGACTAGTTTATAAATTGTCAGGAATTGTGCAGCTCTGTATAACGATGAGAGACAGATCAAAAATATTCTAGCTTTCAGTTTGCTGTGGTGAAATCTGATACCATTCTAATTTCTGATTCTTGTGTGTAATCTACCTTATTTCAGTCTCTCTCTCCTCTTTGTCACACACACACAGACAGAGGTACATACACACACACACAGATACATGCACACACACACACAGATAGATACACACACACTCATGCCATTCTTTCTGTTGCAAGTTTATAGACCATCTCTTTATTCCTAGGTTTCTGAAATTTTATGCCCTTTCCACTCCTAATCTGACTTTCCTAACTTCCAACTTAAGCCTATGTCTTATACTCAGGACTTCTGCTGAGAGTTTTGGGGCTTGTGCCCAGTAGAGGGACCATGTGGGGAATGGATTCTAGGTTGCATTCTGCTCATGGAGTCAGTACCTTGGCATAGAGTTGGTTCTGCTCAGAGGAAGGGGAACTTTCCTCAAAACCACCCCAGGTTACTATACATCTAGAGACATTTCCTCTATAAGCATGAACTTTCTTTTCCTTAGGATAAACCTACTTGTCTACAGGATATGATCTCATCCCCTTTGACCTTCTCTTTTCTCACCTAGTATGTCTACAGTCCTGTAGTCTCTTGACGAACTTGGTTTCAACCAATTTTCTCAGCAGTCCACTGATGCTCAATCCCCAAGGTCTTGCTCATGAAAGAGATGATAAATCCACGATTGAAGGCAAACACAGAGCTTCTGGTTTGAGAATTTGAGTTTCATTTTCATTTTTAACTTTCCTACCTGTGAGAATTATAGCCCTATACTTTGCTTTACCATCTGCTATCTCCCAAAGGGAATACTGTCTTTTTCTAGAAGAAAACAGAATCTAAATCCATATGAAGCAGAGTCCTGTCCTTCTTAGCAAATCTCAGGACCTGCTCTTAAGAGACAATAGATCTACATCATTTGTTGGAGTGTTTGATGATTTTGTGGTTCATTCAGAGACAAAACTCTTCTCTGTTTGAAACCCTGGAAATGGCTTTGTCCCAAATTAAATTATTCTGATTCAGAGATGCCCTTGGATAGAAGTTTGAGGTTTTGCAACTCCTCCTCAGCCACTCACACATACGCACACATTAAGGCAAATGGAGCGTTACAGAGTGTGAGATCACATATGTTTAACTAAATGTATACTTCATCATTTATTAGCTTCTAGAAAAGTTCACCATTTCCTCATCCATGAAATGAGAATAACAATACTTACCTATTTATAGGGATTAGTGATAATCTATGTAAAATGTGTTCAGTATGTAGAATACACTGACTAATTGATAAATATTATTATCAACAGTAGTAGAATTCTATGTGGCCAAATGTCTTTTGACATAGTGATGTAAATGCCAGGGAATAGATTGCTTAAGCCTCAATTTAGATTTTTAAAAATCCACATTTTGGGCCAGGCATAGTGGCTAACATCTATAATCACAGCACTTTGGGAGGCTGAGGTGGGCAGATCACCTGAGGTCAGGAGTTTGAGACCAGCTTGGCCAACATGGTGAAATCCCATCTCTACAAAAAGAATGCAAAAAATTAGCCGGGCATGGTAGTTCGTGCCTGTAGTCCCAGCTACTCCAGAGGCTGAGGCAGGAGAATCACTTGAACCCGGGAGACGGAGGTTGCATTGAGCCGAGATCATGCCACTGCATTCCAGCCTGGGCAATAGCATGAGACTCTGTCTCATACAAAAAACAAACAAATCTACATTTTTTTATTTTTTTTGTCTCTAGAAAGCAGTTTGAGAAAAAGTTTGTGGATGGTCACAGTATCTGGCACTTAAAAGAAATTTGATCAACAGTGTAACCACTACTCCACTCCTCCCTCTAGGGATCTTTACACTACACTGACTATGGGACTAATAACTATCCTTGAATGATATTGGGTATTAGTGAATAGTCTTTATGACTTAAAATTTGCATAAGTTCTGGGAGGAGCAAAATCATTGGCCTTTACATCTTGGTTTGAATATCAATTTGACTCTTGTTCCACAGCAGGATTTGAAGAAATAGGACATTGAACAGGTATGTTTCAAGGAAGGGAAAAGGAGGGTGTGAGGCATGAGGAGGTGTGAGGAATGCTTAAAGTACCTGGGAGGAACATGAGGGTATTGCTTGTTCAGGATGTTAGGGTGAAAGAAAAGAAGGAACAATAAAAATACTCTTTCTAATTTTACAAATACTGACTTAGATGATCTCAAATATTAATATATCTGGTTTGGATAAAAAGTCAAGAGCTTTTTTAAAGGAAGAAATTGCATAATTACTGCTATCCCCTCTGTTGGCCAAAGAAGGTTACTAGTAGCATTTTCTATAATAGATATTTAAAAATAAATAGGTTGTCTCTGTTTAACTCTACAGTCATGAGTCTACCTGACCTGACAATTTGTTGATGTTTAAAAACGAACTCCCACCCCTTTCAGCAGTTAACCAATTTCTGTTTATTAACCACTCAATCTTGTTTTCACTCTTATTCTAAAAAGCAACCTACTTTTCAAGTTGACAATGTTTAAATCTGTAAAGGAAGACATGGAGGCCTGCAACCATCTAATCTATTTGTTCTTTTGTTAATAGGTCGCCAAAGAGGTGAGGATATTCAACCACTGTTAATTAGACCAGTTTGTAATTTATTTTGCTTTTGGTCTAAGAAGTACAAAACACTATGCTGGTGTGGAGTTCAGCATGACAGTGGGACAGAGCAGGTGAGCTGATGTTTGAGCTTCTAAAAATGTGTATGGACTCAAAGGGATTCCTGGTTTTGCCCATTTAAACCGGCTGCAAAGATGCACTGGAAAGGGAAAGCAGTGAGTGTGAGAACTTGAAGGAATTTGAGTTTCAGCTTCAGAGTTATCTCAGCTAATCAGCTTTTAAGCACATAAATATGTTGATAGGTAAAAGTGCCTTGTAGCTGAATTACTGGCATTGCAGGTGGTCAGTTTTCAAACTGTTTTAACCCCTGTGAAGGTGAATTCTAGGAAGACATAAAAGTGAATAATAGAAAAGGAACAAATTGAAGACACATTCTCCTATAATAGTTCAAAGCATGGACTTTAGCGTCAGACAGTCCTGGGATTAATCCTGGTTCCATGTCCTACATTCTTTGGGTAAATTATTTAACTCCTCAACTCCAGCTTTTCTGATCTAAAAACTGGATGAGTAAGGGGGGTATTATACAGAGCAACATGGACACAAGCATTTCCAGTTCTATGGGATATAAACGTAAAGCAAGGTCATGGTGGGAATGTACAGGCAAAGACGCAGCAAGATGCACCTAACTCTCTAACTCCCTAGCTCTCTTTATTCTGGGAAAAAGAAGTGTGTTTAGATCAGGCAGTACTAGAGACACTGTCCAAGTTCTATTAAGGTTTCATCAGCCAAAGACCACCAGAAAGAGCCTGTAGTTAGACAAAATTGGACTTACTGACTTGATGCAGCAAGGTGGGGTACTTCAGAGGAATCGGGGAATGCCACCCTCAACAAGAGGGAGGAAGAACATGTCTTTTGTAAGGTTTGGGTTCCCACTGAAGGATTCTTAAAGGGGTCTATGGGAAGCAGAAAATGACCACAAAGCTATCTGGGGCAGCATTGGTAAGAGTGCAATGGTCACTCAAAGGGTTGTTACAGCATTTGATGACTGCCAGACCTTGGCAGCAGCTGACCTTATCAGTGTCTGTCTTCCCAGCTTGATTAAGGGCAGGAGTATTTTTTGTTGTTGTTGTGTTTTTCTTTTTAGTTTAAACTTATATTCACTTTTAGTCCCAGACATTTTATTCTTTTACGATTTTAGGAGAGGGAAGCCTAACCCATATCATGGCAAATATTTCTGAGTTGTCCATTGCTCTTATCTCCAGAAAACAGCAGAATAGCATGTATATCACCTAAAGCTGAGTTTATTACTTTTGGCAGGAGGCAAGAGCACCACGTTTACAGAGAGGCTCAGAATACAGAAGTTAGGTGCAGACATGTATAGAATTCTGAGCTTAAGTGACTTAAGGTAGATCTTTCAATTCAGGGTTCTTATTGGAACTGGGCAAAACTGTGTTGTGAGAATTTAAAATTGGAAAACATAGCCAGGTGAGGGTCCTAAAGTCAGTTTTGATAATTGAACAGTGGCTTGATAAGCAAGGAGTTTGCTTCATTGAACAATCTATACTTTTGAGAAAAGGGCTGTTTACCCAGATGAGCAATTTATTTTGCTGAGAAGGCAGCTGGTTAAGCAGCCTATTGTTTGTATAAATGAATTTTGAGGAAGTTCTAGAAGCAACGGATCAAGTTATTTGTTGGTTTGCAGACTCAGGAAGATAGAATTTCCTGGAATAAATAATAAACTTAATTAATGCAGGCAGCCAGCTTCTGTTCTCAAGGATAAGTTGAAAGGGAGGGGACACTCCTTGTGTCACTACTGGGCTCCTTTGCCAAAAAATAATGTTGAGCAGCATCCAGGGGAGTTTGTGCATAGGTGTCCCTGTTTTTATCAGCAGACTCTCCTATTCCCAGGTAGGAAGGGGGCCATCCCCATATGAGATACAGGTATGTTTCTCCTTATAAGGTAATACTACTACCTCACAGGATTGCTGGGTTAAATGAGAGGTATATAAATTTCTTCATGCAACACGAGACATACTGTAAATGCTCAATAAATTGTTCTTTTTGCTGTTATTATCATTAGAAATAGTACCTTACGTGGATTATCAAAGTTATCAATTAGAAAATGTCTTAGGTCAGAGTTGTTTATGCTTCTTTTGTACATATATATAATTTTTTGAAGCCAAGGCCTAAACAAGATTCTCTCAGGTTAATTTGGAGTACATCAAGGATATCTTGCTAATATGTGTCTTTGTATTTCCCTCAGGAAAACCTTGAGAATGGCAGTGCCCGGAAACAGGGGGCTGAATCTGTCTTACAGAACGGACTCAGAAGAGAAAGCCTGGTACATGTTCCAGGCTATGATCCTAAGGACAAAAGCTACAACAATATGGCATTTGAGACTACCCATTTCTAAGGCAATACCTGTATGAATGCACACACACACGTGCAATACACACACACACACACAAACTCCACATACTTCTTGCCTACTTGTTAGTAGATATGTATAGTTGCCATTGCTAGAAGACAGGGATGTCTGGTGCCTATTTCTACTTATTTATAACTACATGCAAAATGACTGTCTCTCGGGATATTCTTTGAAAGACTCCAACTTTCACAGAGAAAAACCAACCTGCTCCAAATGCCCTTGACTACTTCCTTCTTGAATAAATTAGGGCTGGATTTCATTACCATTCAAGAAAGCGAAGTCTTTTTGCTTGGTGTCATATTAAACTTCAGGTTTTTCGTTTTAGTAGTTTTTTAACCATCAAAATATCTTGGAGTTTAGAGGCAGAACGGGAAACAGAAATATGCATATTTAACACTTTCCTGCCACGAGGGATAAAATAGAGGAATGACATCCACCCCTGACCTCATACCTGACATACATGTAGATATATTTTATGCCACCCATCTCCCATCCTGTAGCTACAATTGGCATACAACTACTATTAACCTCCCTTCACCACCACTGTCAGGTCCTCTTCCAGTCATTCCAGTCATTAGCTGTCCTGACCAAACATTAAAAAAAAAATTCAGCTAAATACAGAAGAAGATGGTATGTCTGGCTAGTGGGAGTGATTATAACTAAAAACTTTGCTCCTTTTGTGCTGTCCATGCAGTATGTCTTCTTCCTTTCTATCACTTTACAATGAAAAATTGCCTCAGAGCTCAATAAGAAGTCTAGAGCCTTTTTCCAGGGCTAAGGAAAGAGAAAAGGAATGTCCTATAGAAGGTTGTTAGGATAGAATTTGGTAAAAGAACGTTGCAAATATTGTAACAGACCATAGGAGATTTCATCAGCAATAGGATTCTTCTTTGGAGAAAATACATTGTCCATAAGACTTGTACTCTGCTCATTCAACTCATGTGAGCAAGCTCAACTCACTCCACCTGGGTTAGGTAACAGAAGTGGAGAACTTCATAGTTCGTGTCTAGAAAATAATGTTTAAAGTTCTGGAGAATGAGGGTATTGCAGATTAAAAGGCGAGTTGACAAATGAAGGAGCAGTGAAAGATTTTTGGAAGAAGTGAAGAAGTGAAATTCTGAAAAGGTAAAAGAAAGAACCAGTATGTCACAGGGGCCAAGTCAGAGGACAGATAATAAGAAACAAAGTTGTATCTGAGAGTCATATATTAGGACAGGTGTCAGATATTTATTTTGGTGGCCAGATAAAAGCAAAAGGCCTAGAAACAGTGTGTTAGCAAAGTAAGAAGAAATGGTCCAAATAGGCAAGGATAAGGAAATCCAAAGGTTGTCTTTAAATATTTCTCAAAAGAGAAAGCCTTGAAAGAAGCATACAATAGAGAAAAAATAAATTACCAGTATTTATTATTAGAAAAGATAGAAAGACAGACAAATCAGTGGAGGAATTAAAACAGAGAAACTGGAGTTTATAAAACAGAGCCCAATCCTTGCCTTCTCTCCCTCCACTCAAATAGAAAAGGAGAATGGAGAAAGAGAAAGAAGGTATTAGGCTACAGTTTATAAGAGAGATGAGAAAAAAATACATTTGGGAATAGAGGGAAAGGGTCAAAAGGGGTCACATTTGGAGAAATATCTGAAAATGAGAAGGAGCAGAATTTTTGGAAACATTTTTTAAAGTCTGGCAACGCTAATTAAGCTGTTGATCTAAGGATTTGCAAATTGAGAGGTGCAATTATTTTCCAAATGATTTGTGACACTCTTATTAATTAGAATATATATTTTGTGAATATTGAAATCTGAGCCAAAACTAGTTAGCTTTATTAATATCTTAGGGAAAGAAGAGAGAAAGAAAGAGGGAGGGAGAGAGAGAAAGAAAGAAAGAAAGAAAGAAAGAAAGAAAAGAAGAAAGAAAGAAAGAAAAAGACAGGAAGAGGAAGAGAGAGACAGAAAGAATAAAAAAACAGCAATTCTGAGGATGAGAATAAATTAATGGTAGGTATTACATATGCATATACATATATATATCTGTACACATATATATGTAAATATGATTTGGAATACATCAGGATTGTGAACTTCCACTTGGGATAGCATAAAAGCAAAATATACCATACAATTTTTCATTTTACTCACAAATTTTACTCACAAATTCTCCTAAAGACATTTCACTAGGTCAGTACATTTCCGAGAAAGTTTTAAAAACGTTTCTTCTTTTATAGTCCCTAATTATCTTACCTGGAGTGTTATCAAAATGTCATACAACTGGAAAATGCAATTATTATTATAAAAATATCTCTGCCTTCTCTTGTGTAATGAAATTTATGGCATTAGGAGATGACATTTCAAGAGATTTTAGAGGTCAATGTAGAGACTCCCCCCATTCTTCTTAATTGAACAAACATGCATAAATCTAGGGTTTCAGGTAGAGAGCAGATGGGAATCTACAGGAAACTGTCTTCCATAGTGTATGAAAACCGTGTTTGTTGTGTGGTGAAGCAAAAGGAAACTATGAAGCGCACAGTCAATAGATTCAGCTAGTGAGTCCCAGCACTCCTTTCAGGCCCTCACTAGGATTAGCAGCCCAGAGTCATGCCAAGGCCACTGGTGCAGTACAAAGACAGTTCAGTGACAAGTTCCATCCATACCATGGAAGAGGGTTAAACTTGTGGCTGTTTTTGCCACAGCATGACCAGAGACATTCTCAATAAATGGCACTAGGAATGATGAGTTTTAGAGGGGCCTAAAATGTTCCAAACTTGATACTCACCACTGTACCTTTAAAGCACAACCACAGATATTGGTAAAAATGGAACAGAATTACCTCAATACCTCTTTAACTCATTCTGTATGAATTCATTTTGATGACAGACATTTTTTGTCACCATTTGGAATAAGAACTACAACAGCTTATGATTGAGGTGAGGAACTGCAGTCAAATGGCTTAGGTTCAAACACGAGTTCTGACACAAATCTAGGTAATTTTGGGCAATATTTTAAAATCTTAGTTTATTCACCAATTAATAGGAGTAAAAATTACCCCTACTTAATAGAATTATTATGAAGATTTATATAAGTAAATCATATAAAGTGCTTAGCACAGTGTGACTGGCCCACATGGAACATTTAATACTTGGTCTGCAGTATATGAAGAAAATGGTGTACATGTTAACTTAAATGGTTTCATTATTTCTCTTCAGGATTTTTAAGATGTGGGATCAGAATATATGTTACTATTTTGAGAATTAGAAATAATAAGAAAAACAGAATGTATACATTAAAAGTCATGCCTAAATTTCCAAAGAGTAGTTTTTTTAATGCCAGAGTTTAAATAAAATATTATTTTCCAGAGAGTAACTTTTCTAAAGGTCCTAAATTCTGAAAAGAGAGAAAACTACTGTTATAAACAAGTTTATTACTAAAAGATGCAATTCATTACTATGATTTATTATTATTTTGTACATGTAAACCTTGATAAATAAACAGCATCTCAACCCAAGTTTATTACTCATTGCACAGTTCAAAGCAACTATGACTCTCAAAATAGCAACAGAAGGTGGGGAGGGTCTTTTCCCTTTGTTTATATAGTATTTGCTAAAAATGAACTTTACTATTTTGTGGCTTTATAGGGTTACACCATTTCATTCTAAAGAGAAACAAAAAGTAAACCATTGGCCATGTGGCTTTCAAACAGTATTTCAAAGAGAATATTACTGAAATATTTTTGTGCTGTTACAGTCTTAATCAAACATTATTACAAAGATCAGATACGGAAAAAATAGAGGAGTCTCCCCTTAATTGTTCCCTTTGAAATAAATTGTTTTAAATTATTACAGAAGTTATAGCTGTATGTACATGCACATTTGTATATTTACAAGTCTCATGTACTTAATCTCAATATTGCAAATTAGCTAGGTTTACTATAGAGTTAACTGCTTTTATCTAGCATTTATAATCTTGTAGTATAACCTATTTTCAAATAACTAAAATTTAATTGATGTCATCAATGGTACACATGAAAATGATACAAATTTATAAACTAATAAAATGTAACTCGTCATTGATAGTAAATTACTAATGGGTAGATTTTATTGGTAATTCTTGGAAACAGATAATATCATTGTTTCCTCTCCCACCCCAATCTCCTGAGTAAATCAATGTAGATTTGCAAATACTCATGTGAATAACAAACATGCACAAGCCCATTTTTCCAATATTATACTTTGGTGTTTCAAATATTAGCCATCTTCAGAAGACAAAGAGTTAAGCTCATAAGTATGTAACTTCTTAATCACAACATGACCCTTTCTTGAAGTGTCAGGCTGTCATCATAAATTAGAAAAATAATCTTACCCTGTGGAGCAAGATGTTCATTGATAATGATATTTCAGTACATCGATAGGACATTTAATGTGATATTTTTGTATTTTCAAAATCTTTTGCAGCTTTTTAATTTCAGAATCCTAGAATACATCTAAATCTAATGTTGTTTATACAACTAGTTAAGATTAGGAAAAATGCCTATAAACAAGTATAGGTATATAATTTATATATAATTATTTAAAAATTTTTTAAATTAAGTTCCAATGTAAGTGCATTGGAATTATCAATGTGAATATTTTCTACAGGGTTAGGGATGGAATGGAAGATAGTCACCTATTCTAAAATCTTTTGTTAAAACCTTATAGATTAAGGCAGGTCTACCAGGTGACCAACTAACCATATGCCAAAATAAGGTTTTTCATATCATATAACATGACTTCCTTTATGATGTTTTGGATAATGCCTGTAATATTTAGTTCACCCATGGGTTATGACACATACACACACAGAAATAAACATCAAGATGGTTTGTAACTTAATAAAGTGGGTTACTATAAATCAAGAAAAGCAATGAATAATGGTGATATCTTTTGTGGACCTTATCCTCAGGAATTTCCAGAAATGATTCACCTGTGTCCTAAGTTGCAAAAGCAAGTGTGTGCACAGATGTTCAGAACACCTCATCCCTATTACAGGATCTGCTTTTGACACATTTAAAAGGCTAAGAGTAGTTTCGTGTAATTCTTTACTTAATGTCTTAATTTAACTGCCATATAAAAAAAAAGTGAGCAACCTTCAAATCACTTATTTGCAGTATAGTATAATATAAGCAGGCTGAATCTGTGGATAACATTATTGACTGATTTGGAATACACTTCATAAAGGTTTATACACCTTTGTGCTAACCACTTTTAAGAATGTTAATAGGTCACCTTCTTAAAAATTGATTCAGTCTATCTCAACAGAGCAAAGCTTCCTTAAATTGGCTTTAGAATTTAAGAATTTGGAAGGAATATTTAATGATAGCAATACACAGTGTATTTTTTTATGATTTTCAGGATAACTGCAGTGAGTAAAAGGAGTAATAAAACCAATATTTATAATCATCTGGATAAATATATGGTTGCAACATAATTTCTCCTGTTGAGAATAAAAATGGTTGGAGAAATCCACTCTTGTCTCTTCTGGCCATCCTCCAATTCCTTTTTCAATTATAGAATTCCAGTAGCTCTTTCCTACTTGAAAAATACAATATAGAGGCCAATGGACATACATATTAGGAAGATAAAATTGTATATCCTTAAAATTGTATATCTTTTTAAGTGTATTTTCATCTTCAACACTGAAAATAGGCTGTTTATTCTTTGGTTAGAGTTGTCACCAAAATCAAAGCTTATTAGATTTAGCTTCATAAATCATAACATAGATAAGAAAAAAAAACCTTCATTTCTTCTGAGTGTTAACAGATGAATTACACTGTGGTTTGTTTTTCAGCCAGAAAGAAGGCAGGGTGTGTGCATAGCAGATACTGAAGTAGGATCTGTAAAGTAGACATTTTTGCATGGGTAGAAAACACTCTAAATTGCCTTTATCATCTTCAAAACATTGCTTCCACAATTATCTTGGCCATCCGGTTTTTCTGCCACTCAATCTCTCTTTTCTCACCAGAGAGAGAAAAATACGCTGGGTAAAGATCAGTGGAAAAGTCTGTTCATATTACTTGTTGGAAAGATACTTAATTTTGCCTGAAGAGTTTACTGGTAGGGTTGAATTTCATGTATCAACATGCAATTCAAAATGATTGTAATGGTACTGAGGCAGTTTGAGTAGCACATGGGGCTAGCCACCTACATGGCGATTATTTTTTGAGCAGTATCTAAATAGATCTCATAAAGTTTTGTTTTTCAACGAATAATATAAGAAGTGTTACTTTCTGAAAAACAAAGAGGGCAGAGACATTGCTTTTACCACATAGAGAGAATTAAGATGAAAAAAAAAAAACACTCTGAGGAAGTCAATGCAGGTCTATACCGGAAAATCTCATTTCTTTCCTTCTTAGGGAAAAATGTAAAGCAGAGCCCACATAACTGACTGTCTAGTGTAATCAAGACTTCCACTTTGGGCTGGCTGCACGTGAACGAGGCTTTTTCTAGAGAGAATTTTGCAGAAGCACACGCTGATACAGTCATAAAGCAGTAAAACTGGACTTAGTTATAGATTTCTGTTTGAGGGTAGACTTTGATAGTACCAGATATTGGAACTGGTCCCAAATATGAAACTTTTTTCTACCAACTGTTTGTTTCATTTCACTTTCCTAAAAAAGATATCTTAATGTGGACATGGCTAGGATGTAGTGAGGGTAACATTTGTGTTCTCTAGAAAACAAAAAAGCCATCAAATGTGATCATGGGTATGTTTTTTTCAAATGAAGCCAGATGGCAAATTCAACTGAAGATAACTTATCACCATTACAAAGGTATCAATCCTAGCTAGCAGAAGCCTGGGCTGATCAATGATTCAAGCTAAAGCCCAATTAATATCTTCTTTGGACTATGTATTGTTGTCATATTTCATTTGGAATAGAAATGCCTGTAGGGAAATGTTTGGCTTTTCATCAGAAGCTGGGTTGTTCAGGCCACTCCTAAAAGGTTCTCTCTGAGCCACTAAGAATACCAGGAATGAGGTAAGATGTTAACTGATTCCCTGGATAAAACCTAGAACTATACCGAGTCCATTTTAATACCGTGATTTTCAGGGGAAATGGAGTGGAAATATCTGGTCACTATAGTAGGACTGAGTTGGGCATATTTCAAAGACAGTAACTGCTCACTGATTCTTATACAAAGGATGGCAAGATGCAAGTGTGTGTATGCACACCCACACACAACACACACCCTAGGCTTATATTAACTTGCCCCCATTTGACAGGCTAGTCAATCAAGCCATATCAGTTAAGCAACTCTGCAGGCCACCTGGATTTTCCATTTTGACTATCATTAAAAAAAAATGGGCAAATTGGCAGCCTCTTTTTGACAGTTGGCTATGGTGCTCCTGCATGTCCTCCCTCCTTAGCATGCATTGTATCTGTGCTAAAATTCCGGTCTTAAAGAGATTTTGATGGTGATTGATGGAGCCAGCATAAATGTGAAAAAGAGAAAGGGCTTATGTGTGATGACAGTATTGTTAACCCTCACAAGAACTAATCAAGCTTCTTCTCTTATCTGTGTCTAGTACAAAGCATTAGATACGTGTGATTCCCCACCAGCACTTTATAATGTGCAAACGCCTTGAAGAAAATGATGATCTTATCAGAAGAAAGTCAAACCTTTTTAAGAGTACGGTAATGGCCTGCAAGAATAAGAAGCTAGCCTTGTAGAGTTAAAGAATGAACAACACCCCCTCCCCATAGAAAACAAATTTCAATTTAATATTTAAAAAGCAAGCAGAATTAAACTTAACATGCAAATTATAGGGAAAATACCATATCAAATAATAATTTATTGAGTGAAAAAGTTTTCTATTCATTCCATCATACAATAGATTGTGCTAAGGATCATTTTGGAAGAATGTGCAGCATTCAGAAGTTGTATCTCATCATGCAGTCACTCAGCAGCATTTTATCTAAAAGTACGTGCACAGACTCAGACAATTACAAACTATTTCAGCCATGATCTATGGTGATTTTCCACACATTGTACAGTGAAAGCTCTTCAGCTTGGAACAACTTGTCAAGGCAGACTGCATGCACATATATATTAGTTATTTGCTTGAAAAGACAAGTTAGAATATGAAAATATATAAGCAGCATTCATGTAATACAGAATTCCTGAGAATAGTGTGTGCTATAAATCTTTGAGAAATAATTTGTATTCATATAAAAACCATGATATAAAACATTTCTCTCAACTAAAACAGAGTGATCTAAAACTAACACACTGCAAGGGGCTGTCAGTATTTACTGTCAACAGTGATGAAGGCATAACTAGATTCTATTGCACTGTTTTGCAAAATAAACATTTCAGACAATTTTTTCTTTTTCTGTTTTTCACATCTGTTTCAAAAGTATCAGAGAAGGCATTTTATAAATCAATGTATTACAATTTTTAAATTAAAATATTTTTCTCTTTTCATATTTTTCTTTCTAGTTGATCAATATGGTTTTAAACCCTAACGGGACTATATAAAAAGGAAAGGAAATACTTCTTAAGGATAGAGCTATCATTATTCTTTATACTACTGTCAGACAAATGTTGCTGTTCTGTGGCCCTAATTTGGAAAAGATGTTGGTTGATGTTATTATTAGGTAGAGAGAGTATTTATACTCAGGCAGGTGTATACATGTACCTAACAAAGAAAAAGAAATGCAGATGCTATAAAAATGGAGGAGTGTAAAAAACTCCCTTGTACTTAGTGGAATTAGTTGCTACGATTGCTACAAATAAGGAGGGGGGGGAGCATGAGAACCTCTCTGGAATCTGAATGGAAGAGTTTCACATAACAACGGCACTTGAGGGAAGTTCAGAGTCTGAGGCCCTTTGCTCAGAATCAGAGGACAAGGAGGAAAGTGAATATGCTTGACAAAAACAAACAATGAAACAGCTATCATCTATCCATGTTTCTTCTGGAGAGAAAGAAGGAAAAGCTAACAAAACATTTTCAGTGTTAATATTTAGAAAATAGTTTTCTAGTAAGAGAAACATAATCTTACTAGAGAAATACTGGCATATATATGTAGTAGCTTTATTTCCATTGTGTTTGATCTGGTCTTTTATATGTTAGAAATAATGGTGCTTTGCTTGATTGGACAAATAATAACAATCATAGTAACCATAAATATGTATGTGTGCATATGTGTGATTTCCTTGTTTTGCAAAGAAACGTCTTAATTTCTACCATACATTTACTTCAGCTCTTCTCTTTCTTCCTTTCCAACCTCCATAGCTTATGCCTCCTCTGAACTTTCTTGAGTGCCCCATCACTCCTGCCTCATCTGTCTGTGGAACAGACATACTCATAGATACAGAGTTGACGTTGAAATAGAAATTCCACAACAAAGCAAAATTATGTCTTTTGTGATTAATTTGACTTTGTTTCTAGAGCGTTGTTAAAAATAAACCAAAACAAAACTATGGAAGAAATAATAACATAAAACTCCCTTCAGTCATGAAAAAAGAAACTAAAACACAAATGTTTTTTCTTTTTTTAGCAAATAATATAGATTTATATTCATGCATTATTTTCATTAGTTCATGAGTAAGAGTGCACATTGTTGAAAAAGCGTAAGTGTTGCAGAGCATCTGGCCTCAGTTTTCCCGAATAAACATATTACAATAGCAAAAACTGGTGTCAGAGCTGCATAAACCACAATGTATACTACGTACTGTCAAGGTGCAAAGGGACAAGGAAAACCAACGTATTTACAGCATTTCAAGTTAATATTCCGTGAGAGTTGTAATAAATCATAGAGAAAAAATTAAATAAACTATAAAACAGCCTTCCACAATAAAGTATGGATTAGTTGTGTTCTAAACTATATAAGAATAGCCATTCATAGTTTATAAGTATGTGGCTTTATTGGCATTTAGTACAAAAAATTGCACTGCAACTGGCTCTGCCAGGGGTAAAAGAGACTTGAAGTAGCCAATGCAATGGAATATTATTTCAATGAATGCTGTTCTTTTTGGAATCTTAGATTTTTGGTTTGACTACTAAAGGTGATGTGCAACTCTTCAACTGCATAGTCAATGTAAAGCAGCATAAATCCCCTGTGGCACAGATCCATAATCTCAGCAAGAGACATGGGCAATTCCTACCAACCTGTAAACTGAAGGGATGTAGAGTTCTGGCAGCCAAGGCAAGGATTTGTTTAAGTCATTTCTTATAAGTATCTGAACTCAACCATACTTTCCAAAGTCAAATTAGTATGTGAGTGAAGACTGCATGATATTTTAAGCCATGCCTGGCTTGTGCACATTTACATGGAAATCTGTCTTTCAAAACCTCACCACCCTCTTTCCCATTACACTGCAGTTGATGGAAGGCAGAGTTCTCCAAGCATATATCTCCCTGAGACTGGTTCTGAGAATTACATCCTGGCTTCCTGCAATGTCAATCTAACCCTTTTTAAGGTCGTCAAGTCATTGTTTTCTTCCCTACAAGTCTGGATATTTCAAATCCCAGAGATGGCTGTGATACATTTCCAAGTAGCATATTATACATGTGGTTTGCCAAGTATGCCTTCCTCCTAGATTTCACCTAGCATTCAAAGTTGCCATCATTTCTTCCCATTAATGTTATCACCCCTAATGGGTAACAGGTGTCAACTAAGGCCATTCATGGTGAACAGGCTGACCACTTTTTCTCCGTTGTTGTTGCAAATGTTCCAGTTCAGCCTCATACATCATTTCTTGAACTAAGTACTTCTCTCGTCGTATTCGGTCATGTAGACCCTTTGGTACGTCTGGAATCAGGTATGCGATGAATGACTTAATCCCAAAAACAAGGTGCTGCAAATTTAAATGTGAAAAGGACAGTTTTCAAAGATTCTGAAATGCTAATTATAAAACAGTACAACAATGAACAATGTTGCATTTGCCTTGAATCAAGCATCAGAACTTAGTATGTACCATTTAGAATATTAATATTTTCAAAAATTATATTGAAAACACTACTGTTGCTTTCTTCCTTAAGTATTAGGACAAAACAAAGAATTACTTCCTCTTATTGCTGCAACATGTTGATATCACTTTATAAGCACTGAATAAATCTTAAATTCACTCCTATAAAATCTTTACATATTATGAAATATTATTACGACATGAATTGTTACACACAGATGAGAAAGATCATATCCAGGGAGAACCCATGTCCAATAGATCATAACACATATCATGTAAACCACATAGAATGCAGTCTGCCTGTTATGCTAGCATTAGACTCAAACTCAGAAAATGCATTTTTCATGTCTATTAAGTTCATATATCATCATAGCTGCTTTAAATATTTTTACCTTTATTACATAATAATTCTATGATAAAAAACATATTACTTTTATTTTATTATTACTTCTTTGAGACAGCATCTCATTCTTTTGCCCAGGATGGAGTGCAGTGGCATATACACAGCTGACTCCAGCCTCCATCTCCTGGGCTTAAGCAATCCTCCTGCCTCAGACTCCCAAGTAGCTGGGAGTACAGTTGCCTGCCACTACACCTGGATAATTTTTTTTAAAAAATTTGTAGATATGAGGTCTCACCACATTGCCTAGACTGGCCTCGAGCTCCTGGGCTCAAGTTATTCTCCCACCTTGGCCTCCCAAAGTGCTGGGATTACAGGTGGGAGACACTGCTCCTGGCCGATATTTTGAAAAATGAACTGACAAAAGTAATGCATTAAAAAAAAAAAGCAGGAATAAAACTCAAAGGTAGTATGTCTGTGGTAGGAAGTATACATGTTGAATGAGGCTGCTTGAATCTGAATCCTATGCTTATTAGCTGTTTTAACCTCAGGCAAATCACCTATATTCTGTGTTATATCCCTAAAGTGGTGATAATAGTAGTACTTCTTAAAGGTTGGCATAAGTATTAAATGAATATATATACACATACACACACAAATACACATACACAATATACATATACATGTTTGTGTATGTGTGTATATATATATGTGTGTGTGTGTGTGTGTGTATGGCTCAAGGATTGCTTGTCATAGTGTGAGCCCTGCTTAAATATTACCTCCTGTTATTATAAATGCATCCTGTTTTTCCTATGAAGAAGAGTAGATATTTCAATTTCTCAGAAAGGAAAAAACATGATACTAATAGAGTTAGCATAACCTGTGGAAAATAATACATTCCTAATGGATTCTTAGTAGATAATAGTCTATGAAGAATTCAAGGTACTTTAACTGGGCTTATTATATGTGTCCCAAGAGACTGTACTGCAAAGTAGATCATAATAAGGAAGGTCATATTTTTCCATATAAAAGCAAATAATCAGAAGTTTCTTTCTTGATAAAATGTTTGATATTCACAGAAATATCCAGGAATGTGCCTCAAGGGTATAGGAATAAAATTCAAAACATTTGCTATAATTAAATTAGTAGGGATATGCTTCAAGTCCCTGAGCAAAAAATAATTCAGTATAGCTTTTTTTTTGGACGGAGTTTCACTCTTGTTGCCCAGGCTACAGTGCAATGGTGTGATCTCAGCTCACCACAACCTCCGCCTCCTGGGTTCAAGTGATTATCCTGCCTCAACCTCCTGAGTAGCTGGGATTACAGGCATGCGCCACTGCACCCGGCTATTTTGTATTTTTAGTAGAGACGGGGTTTCTCCATGTTGCTCTTTGCTCTTGAACTCCTGACCTCAGGTGATCCACCTGCCTGGGCCTCCCAAAGTTCTGGGATTACAGGCGTGAGCCACCACACCTGGCCAAGTTAGTATAATTTTAATAACACTGACTATTAGAACTTAATGCAGAAGTATTTTATAATTAAAAAGTTTATTCAACTCATTCTAAATGGTGCTCTAAGGGGAAAATATTTAATACAATAAAAGATAGTCTCTTCAATAAATGGTGGAGGGAAAATTGGATATCTATGTGCACGAGAATGAAACTAGACCCCTATCTCTTACCAAATGGATTAAAGACAAGTGTAAGTCCTGAAACTATGAAACCACTAGAAGAAAAACACTGGGGAAATGCTTTAGGACATAGACCTGGGCAGAGATTTTTTTGGGGTAAGAACTCAAAAGCATGGGCAATAAAATCAAAAATAGACAAATGGGATCATATCGAGCTAAAAAGTTCCTGCATGGCAAATAAAAAACATCTACAGAGTGAATAGACAACTGATAGAATGGGGAAAATATTTCCAAACTATCCACCTGACAAAGGATTAATACATTTGATGAAATATCATACGGAAGACAGAAAAAATGTTCTAAACGTGGATCAATCTCATGGCTAGCTCTCTATATATCTAAAAACAGTAAAATGGGGAAGGCACAAAATAAGTTTCATGAAACAATACCATTGAAGTAATTTTGAAAAAGAACACTCAAATTAATACTATGTATTTTTTTTGTAAACAAACACATGTGCAAGTAAATATGTGGAAGAATTTATACGGATGAAAAGGGAGTGGATGTTTTTGGAATGGGTGGGTAATGGAATTAGCAGTGGTGAAAGAAGAAGAAAAAAATAGTGAGGAAATTACATGGATCAATGATGACAGTTTGCTTTGAATCCATGCACTCTATTAACTTTGTTCATTTGAGCTCCAAAATAAGATGGGGGGAGAAGTGTAAATAAAAACACAACAGAAGTTTTTTTAATCACCGGGTTGGAAATATGCCTTAACTCTTATATTAGACACTCTCACTTCATCAGGAGACATGTATATAGGTGCAAAGTCGTTAAATAACAGAATTTCAGTCCTCGATGATACCCTTAGGGGTAAGCATTTCATTTTAAAGATGAAGGATACTTCACTAAAAAATTTGAAGTACTTTTTGGAGATCAGTTGAGAGGTGTATTACCTTTAAAAATATTTGTTCCAAAAGTCTTAGTCATAGCTACCTTTTCTCTGAATTAATTGGTGTGGCCATATAAAACAGATTCATTTAAAGTCTTTTTATTGACCTTAGTGGTACCTCAGAGAGTAGATACTCAATATATCCCAGTGCTAAATTATTCACTGTATTGAAATAATTGTATGCTAAACAAGGCAATAATACAATAGCTTCTGCCAAATTTCTTCACAGGATTACAATCAGATATTATTGTATGGATCTGATAATCAAAGTCTCTGAATTTTTAAATAAAATGTTCTCAAGCACAATTTATTGAACCATCCAGTGTTGCTTACACAAATATATAAGTGATCAACTGTAATTGGAATTGATTGTTCAGAAAATCAGTTTTTTCCATCCCAATGAATCGATATGGATTCTTTTATTGGATGATGAAAATCATCCTTTCCTTTTTAAACTTGGTTACTAAAAGGCTCAAAAGTAGGAGGCTCAAAAGTTTTCAGCTCAACTGTGCAGTAGCTTTTTTATTAACGCTGATTTCCTGGTATTTAAATTAATGTACACTCTTACATTATTCAGCTCTTGCTTTTCTGTACTTGTAATAATGCTTTCATTGTATTAAAGCCTTTTACGGGACCTACTTAAGTGTTTTTATGGAAGTCTGAGGAACTGATTTCAAAGAGGCAACTGATAAATCATTTAGAAAAGCATTTATCTATAGTAATTTTCATCTCAGCTTGTGACTAACCTCAAACACAATAATGAAGGCCAATCTAGCAGCAAGGATATGCCAGTATTGTAAAGTAAACTCATAGGGTTTGGAACTCCAGGGCGGGCCTCTGTAGTCTCTGTACCTGAAATCCACAAAAACAAAGAGAATGACAAATAGAGATCAAAGAGTGGAGGCCCAAATTTTCTTGATTTGCCAAAATGCCAAAATAACAGTTTAAATGTCCTCATTAACATGCAGGGGGGAGTACTTGGAATGGTGAAAGCAAGCAGGAAAGATAACTATTATAAGTACCTGCAATAACCAGATTTTCCCATACCAAGCTCACTCAGGTCAAAGAAGGATAGGCTATTGTTGACATATCCCTTCAAGCAACTGGGAGAAAAGAAAAATATCATGTGATTCAAAGATTCATACGTTTCTAGCCTAATTATTTTATTACAAATGCCAGGATTTTACAAATGTATTATTCTTTCCATTCTAATGATAAACTTTTAGCAACCAAGCTCTTTTATTCCATTCCCTAACTCTCATAATTGTACCTTAATGAGACAGATTCCTGCCCTGCCGTTTTCTCCCAATAATTCCTATCTTGCCTTTTCATCTGGTTTATGTTTATTAAGTAGTTACTACACACTAGATATTTTGCTAATTACTTTCTATGCATTAAAACTCTATAAAATATGTTTTATAAATATGCATGCACATAATATTATTCAATTATAATTAAGTAGTTAATAAACATTGCTTATTTTTTACTTAACTTATTAAACATATATATTTATTCAAGACCTATGATTTGCTGGAAAAATTATCGATGCTTGATACTTAACAGTGAACAAAACAGGCAAAAACCCCTATCCCTGTGTAGCTTACATTCTAGCAGGGTGGGAGAGGGGAGAGAGATGCACACAATAAACATAATTAATAAGTAGATTGTATAGAATGTTAAAATGCAGTAAGTGCTATGAAAATAAAAATGAAGTAATTCTTCCAGATGGGATATTGTTAAGTCAGCATTCCTACGGTAACAAAAATCAAGTTTTTAAAGACATTGAAGATGTATGGAAACAAGAACTACATGAATGTTCCAGAGAGAGAAAAGTCCTTCCTAGGGAAATTGGCAATCACCTATTCTTTCCCTTTCCTGGAGGCATTCATTTGTCAAATCTGGGTGAATACTAAGAATTAGGCTCAGCAAGTCAGAGTGTCTCTACCAAGGGCAATAGAAACCAATGAATTTTACCAATTGCATGGGGCTGATGTGACAGATGGGAAGGTACAGAAGCCCCAAATGCCTGGATGTTTTCTCATGAGATATTTGCTAAGTTCTTGGGCAGCCTGGAAAGCTGGGGGTGGGAGTGATTTGATTTTCAAAAGGCAGAATGAAATCTTCTAGAGTGTCACAGCACTTAAGAGAAAAAGGCCTTCTACAAATCCTCCTGCAAGAAGGAGGGGGCCTGCCACTAACACACAGCCTCTCAAACTTTTGAGGCAGTGGGGGCAGAAAGATAAGTTTAAATTTTCTATAGACCACAAATGAATCTCATGACCAAGTGGAGCTAATTCTCGCAATACAAGGTTTTTTCTATCATATAAAATCGCTCAGTGGAACTCACTACATTAACAGAACAAAAAGAAAATCATATGATCATATTAATAAATAAACAAATGTTTTATAAAATTCAACTGGAGACATAATAAACTCTATTCAACAAACCAAAAATCTGGTAGGATCTTAATGTGATGAAGAATATCTACATAAATACATATAGCTAATATCATATTTAACAGTGAAATGCTTCATATGTTGAACACTTTCTCCTGAAGCCAGGGAGAAGACAAACGTTTCCCTTGTAACTATTTCTATTCAACATTGCCTACACAAGTAGAAGAAAAAGACATAACTGGAATTAACATAAAGAAACAATATATAAATATGACTTTATTCACATATGGTATAGTTATATACATAGGAAATATAAAATAATCTAAAAACCATTTGAATTAATGAGTGAATTTATCAAGGTCACTAGATAGATACAAGGTCAATATAGAAAAATATTTCTATATACTAGCAGCAAACAAAAGAAAATAAAATTTAAATAAATACTATTTATAGTGACATTACAAATACCAAATATCTGGGCATAAATCTAAAAATGCCATATAGGACCTCTACACTGGGATCTAAAAACAAACAACCAAACCACATGTCTCAGAGAATTCAACGAACGCTTAAATAAATGGAGTCAGCATGTTTCAAGATTGGTTGTTAAAATGTCAATTCTCTCAAATTTTTAAAAAATGGTAACTGATAAATTGAATCTAAAGTTTATATGTAAATGTAAAGAATCTATATTAGCAACGTCGATGTTGAAGAAGAAAATGTACAGAAGATTACAGCACATAATATTGACTTACTGTAAAGTTACAGTAATTAAGACACTGTGATCTTCATACAAGGAAAGGCAATAGACCAATGAAGAGGAGATAGTTCAAAAACTGATCCACAAATACACATTCACCTGATTTATGACACAAATGGCACTGCAATCCTTGGTGAAATAATTGTCTTTTCAAGAAATGGTGCTGGAGAAATTGGATGTTCTTAAAGAAAGTAATGTAAAGTTTTGACCACCTCACAACATAATAGATTAGGCTAAGGGAAATTGGAATTAGGGGTTTAAAATTTCACGTAGAGTCCTTAGGGTAGACTTTTTTAGGAAGATAACACGAGGAAAGATTAGGAGTTGAAAGAGGCAGCCGTGAGGGTATCTGGGGATGGACAGTTTCAAGCAGAAAAAGCAGAGACCTTGGCACGTACTGGGGACTGTGAGAGGGCGGTGGTGGTGGAAACAAAGGGAGGGAGGGAAATAGTGCCGGAAAACGAGCTCAGAGAAGAAGCTCCCTTTGTATGAATTTAAGGAGGATTTTGGCTCTTAGAGTGAAATAAGAAGACACTACTGAGTTTTGAGCACATGAATTACATGAATGAACTTAAGTTTTAAGTAAGATTATTCAAGGATCCAGGTGAGAGATGATAGTGTCTTGAGCTAGGTGGTGGCAGTGGAAGTGGTATGAAAAGGGGATGTTTAGAAAGCAGGGTCAACATGTTTTCCAGTGGGTTGTGTGGGGCGTGGAAAAAAAAAGTATTCAAGGCTGATTGCCAAGGATCATGGCCTGAGCCACTATAAATATGAAATTGCTGTTAATTGATATGGGCAAGACTGAAGGTTAAGCAGGATTGGATGAAATTCGGACTTTAAATTTGGGCATGGCAAGTTTTAGATGTTTATTAGACAGGTAAGAGGAGATGCCAAGCAGACAGTGGAATATTCAAGGCTAGAATTCAGGTATGAGCGTAGATCGATCCATGAAACTGAATTAGATGGTCAAGGAAATAAATAGAAATACAGAAGATAATAAGTCCATAGATTGAGCCCTTGGGGAACTCCAAAACTAAAGCTGAGAGATGAGGAGAACTAGCAGACATGACTTGGCAGGTGTGGCTGGTGGGGTAGCAGGAAAACAGAAATTATGTGTCTTTCTGAAAGTCAAGTGAATAAAGTACATTAAGAAGGGAATGCTCAATTATCAAATGCTGCTGAGAAGCCAAATGATGTGAGAACTGGAGTTGACCAGTGGGTTTGACAATGTGAAAGTCATCATGACATCTCAACGGAGCCATGGGGCATACACATTATCGAAGAGAGTTTAAAAGGGAAGAAGAGAAGGGGAATTGGAGAACATAGGAACAGAAAACTCTTTGGATGTAGTTTCTGTTATAAATGGGAGCAAAGACATAAAGATGTAACTGGAAGGCAGCCAGGACAAGGGAGGACTTTATCTATTGACTAGAACAATAAAAGCATGTTTCAATGTTAATGTGAAAATGTAAATAGAGGCAAAATACATAATGTATGAGAAAAAGGGGTGAATTACTAGAATGATGGTTTCAGATAGGGAAAGAAGAAGAGATCCAGGGCACAAGTGGAGGAATTTTGCCTTCAGTATGGGAGCACAGATGGTTCTATTTCTAGGAACTTGGAGGAGGCAGGCTACATGGGACACATACTGTAGGTAGGAAGATGTGATAATAGACGTCTGTGGAAGATCTTTTCTAATTGATTCAATTTTTCTTAAGTAGGAAGCAAGATCAGGTCAGAGTGAGAATAAAAAAGGAGGTTCAGAAGGCTTGAGGAGCAAGGAGAAGCTATGACAAACTTCTCTAAAAAAGTAGACGGGCAAATGGACTAGAAAAATAAAATACGTTTGTCAGGTCCACACAAAGTATGTGATACAAATTTAAAGTGAAACTAGTCAGTGTGGTTGTTCATTTTCCTTCATTTGCATGCAGCTGCATGAGTGCAGTGCAGAGTAGACAAAGAGTCTGGAGAACCAACGATGTGATTCTGCAATTCCGTAACAAAGTGAATGGGGGAAAGGACCTGCGTATCCAAGGAAGTGGTTACGGTGATTGGGCAACTGGTTTGTAAGATGGTTAAGGATGGAAAAGAGGACATCAAAGGAAAGGGGAGGGGCAAGAATGAGTTATTATGACCAATGCTTTAGAGATCCAGGTGAGTTCAAAGAATTGTTAAAATTAATTTTTACAACAACCTTAAAACATATATATTTTATCTCCATCATAATGACTAAAGAATTGAAGTTTAAAGGGACTAAGTAACTTCCTGTAGGCCTATAATTCCAAAAACGTTTGCCCTCAGAACCCCTTTGCATTTAGAAAAATTATTGAGGATCTGAAGAAGCTTTTTTCTTTTTTTCACAGAGGTGTATCTATTGATATTTTAAGATATTTGAAATTAAAGCTGAGAAATTTAGAAAACGTCTATTACTTCATTTAAAAACAAAAATAATTTATATTAAGGTAAATTAATATAAATGACCCGTTTCTTAAAGAAAAATACCTATATTTTCCAAAAGAAAAACATAGTGAGAATGACATTACTTTAAATGTTTGCAAATCCCTTTAATGCCTGTTTTAACAGAAGACGGCTAGGTTCTCATATCTGGTTCTATATAAAATCTGTTGCAATATGTTGTTTTGGTTGAAGAATAAGTAGAAAATCTGGTCTCATGTATTGACTATTTTAATAGTATTTGAAACAATTGTGGATATTTTTCATTGACATTCCGTCAAAGCTCTACATGTGATACTTTCTAAGGTTTAGTTGCAATGCGGAATTTTAAACCATATCAATGACGTTTTCATTCTGTTACATTAAAATCCCTAAGTCTAACTTGCATTTTAAATTCATCTTTTATTCATTCATGATTTTATAACATCAAATATGGGTTATTTGGAAAATTAGTTCCTGGAACCATGCAGCTCTTCCAAATATTGACATATTTTTTACTATAGATCATGAAAAAACTCACAATTGTTAATATCACCATTTATTTTTATCAGAAAAAAAATTGGGAAGCTTTTAGGCTCAAAGTGGTAAACAAAAGTTATCCAAAATTCTTAACTTTCACTTCAGTGCTTGAACTTTTTCAATGGCAATAAATATAGCAATTATTTTCTTTAAAATGACAAGCTAGTAGTGAGCATTCTGTAAAAGACTGCTAAGTATCCAAGTCTGAATAATCATAGTTTGTCTGGCAATCATTATTTCATGTTGGAAAAAAGTTTGCTCAGTTTGTAACTCCAACGATCACATGAGTATTTTTTTTCTTTGAGACGACCATTACGCTTTGGCATTCAGCAGAAAGTGGTTTATGCACACTTCCTATTTTGTCACATAGAATATTTAAAAGGCATCTATTCAATAGTGGAGATTTTATTAAATCAATAATTATTGCTGCTTCACTGAGGACACACTGAACTTCTTACTGAAATTTTTTATGTTGGCCAAATTATGGTGAGGAATACAATCACTAGCAATACTGTTTGGTGCCACTGCCTTTAGTTATGCAAAACTACCAGAAACTTTATTCACCAATATTTTTGGATCACTAGGGAAAATGTCAATATATGAAAAGGGCAAATGATATCTTAATTTCAGTATAAAAATCGCATCGACTTCATGGACCCCTGAAGGAGATCTGCAGACCACATGTTAAGAAGGACTGCCCTCGGAACCTAGATTCAAACACGCATCTATCTGATTCTAAACCTTGAATTCTTAATTACAGAGCTATGCTGGCTTCACTCCATTCGTTGTCCATACTAGAACAAATAATTTATCATTTCACCTACTCTTTTGCCAATATCCTCCCCTCCCACTGTCATCTTCTTCCGCCACCTTGCTCCGAAAATTTCCAATCTGAATGAATCTATGCCAATTTAGCTGCTAAGCATACATGGAAAATAAACAGGGTGCTCCTCTGAATGTGTGGTGTCACTGTAACATAAGCCCTCCACATCTTTGCTTGAAATTAGTCTATATTCCTAACCGATGAATATGGAGATGTCGGGCGCTATCTACACGAAAGGCAGGCGCTATCTACATAAACGCAGAGTGCTAGATACCCAGTCAATCTCATTTTCACCTGCCACTAGGTGGCAGTGAAGACACTGGCAAATAATGCTATGGAAGAGGGCTCCCTAACAAGCCTGTATATTTTAAATCCTTAACATCTGCTTCTAGATTATTTTGAACTAAGAAAAAACAGGGTTTTTAAAACTACTAATACGAAATCCCTCTTACACTTAAATTGTGCTTTAGAGTTCATAAGATCTTATTTCAGACACCACTTCTTAATCATAAGGGCTATGAATATATATTTTTTTTTTGAGACGAAATTTTGCCCTGTCGTCCAGGCTGGAGTGCAATGGCGCGGTCTTGGCTCACTGCAACCTCCGCCTCTCGGGTTCAAACGATTCTCCTACCTCAGCCACCCGAGTAGCTGGGATTACAGGCGCCCGCCACCACGCCCAGCTAATTTTTGTATTTTTAGTAGTGAGGGGGTTTCACCATGTTGGCCAGCCTGGTCTGGAATTCCTGACCTTGCGATCTGCCCACCTAGGCCTCCCAAAGTGCTGGGATTACAGGCGTGAGCCACCGCGCCCGGCCGAACATTTCTTATTATGAACCAACTAGGTCCAGATTAATGACATGCCTTTTACTAAAAAGCAGAATACAGGATAAGCATGTCTAAGTTTAAAACTACAGAAGTTTAATATTTACTCATTCTATATTGTTAAGGGCAGAAATAATTAAGAACAGATTATCAAAAAAGTCAGATTCTACTGTTATATACCTTTAAAATGTGTACATGAATAGAATACATCTGAAAAGATGGGTTCAAAATATTAGTAATATGTATTTCTGGAATGGAATTATAGTCTCGTTTTGTTTTTGCTAGGGTTTTTATGGCCTTTTATTCTTCTGTATTTTCAATTATCTCT
The DNA here is from genome assembly GCF_000001405.40 of Homo sapiens. Classification (NCBI taxonomy): domain Eukaryota; kingdom Metazoa; phylum Chordata; class Mammalia; order Primates; family Hominidae; genus Homo; species Homo sapiens. The sequence goes on along the minus strand of NC_000011.10, from coordinate 26,649,121 downwards.
AAAATAAAGTAGACAATTTATTATAAAATTTTAAAAAAAGGCAAAGTTACAACTCGAACCTAAAATGTCCGGCTTCAAGTTAAAATCCTTTGACAAGACCCCACGATATGCAATACATAAAGGAAATATCCATCCCTTTATCACCTATCTGAAACAACTGAGACATTTATATCCAGAAAGGTATTTCATTGATCTGAGAAAACGTCAGTTCCTCAGCAGAGTTAACAGTGCATTTCCTCCTATTCCAGGGCTCATCCTGTTGTGGCACATGCCCTGCATCCGGATCAGCTGCACACCCAAAGCTACTCCTGAAGGAAGCAGGAGAAGCAGCTTCTCCTGTCGCTTCTTCCACACCTAAGGCTGATCTCCAGCTACAGCTCTGTTTCATGTGCCTCCAACTCCTCTCCGTTCCTCAAATCCAATGCCCTCTTACATTTTTCCCCCAATACCTTATTTAAGTAAGGAAAGAGCTGAGAAAACCTGTATCACCTAAAGCAGTGGTTCTAAACTGGGTCATTTTGTCCCCCAGAGGACATCTGGCAATGCCCAGAGATAATTATGGTTGCCACAACTTGGGGAATAGTGAGGTTACTATTGGTATCTACCGGGTGGTGACCAAGGGTGCTGCTAAACATCCTGCAATGTACAAGACAGCCCTCTGCCCTCCATGAAAAGACAGAATTACCTGATCTAAAACGTCAATAGTGCAGAGGCTGAGAAACTATGTTGCAAAGAGTGGACTTAAATTTTAAAAGAAAATACATGGGAGACAGGATTTTTTGCGTCCTTAAAACCCCTAGTTGTAAATTCCTTTTGAAAATCTCCAGTCACAGAGCTGACAGTTCCTTCAAGTTCTGCTTCTTCCCACAAACTAGCACTGCTCCATTCAGCAGTTTGATTAGCCAGTATAGGTTGCAATTTCCCCATCTATACGGTAAGAAGATTGCATTCTTCTTACCATCTAGATGGTAAGAAGTTATTCTAAGATAACTTCTATTTACAGAATGTAACTTCTAAATATATTTTTAATATTTTGATACTTGTGATGCATTTCCAAGTAAAAACAGTAGACGGACTCTAAGATTATTTGCTATAATAACACTGTTGTCCTTTTTACCTTGCTTGATTTCACCTAATAAACACATTATAAATGCAATGCTTAGAAACACCACCCTTAATGGTCACAGAACAAAACTTCCCAGTAAGATCCTATTTTAATTACAAATGTAAAACATATCAGGAAAATGTTTAAATTTAAACCTTACTTTTCACTTGGTTCTACATGATTTGCACAGGGGCCATATTTGTATTCATAAACAAAACGTGGGATGTAATCAGAAGTAATAGCAATTACAAATGCATTGGTGATCACAGCCAATATACCGATTCCTTCGAGAATTCCAAGCCAGATACCTGGTAAGAGAAAGATTAATCATGGTGAACAAAAATGAAGAATATGAAAACCCTGTAATTAATCTTATTTTGGAAATAATGTTTTACTTATGTTGGAACCACAGCTCTGTCCACTATGTGCTTTCTTATTATACTATCTCAATACAGACATTATAGCTATCGAATACACTTTTTCCACAAAGAGAAGATATATCTCGTCTAGAAAGATTCAAAAATTGAAATGCCATTAGGACTAGGTTCATGTCTGCAACAATGAGACATGGCACAGGTGCACAGGTGCACAAGATATTTCAAAGTCTAATTTACAGAACTTGCTGAGGCAATAAAAATAGTACATAAGAATCTTCAAGTTCTTCATGGTTATGCACACTGTGAAATATCTGCATTCACTCTGGGGTTTGTCTTTATCTTTGTCAAATGTCTTTTTAAAGTAAAAATACAAAAAAAGCAAAACTAGTCTGGTGGTAAGAACTGAAAAGTTCTAGTAGACATTTTTTACTTCCTAGGAGGTCAATCTGGCATCATGAAAATACATACACACAAAAAACTTTTGAAGATGTATAGTATATAGAACTAGTATACTATTCATTATAGTCAAAACTAATGTTTTCAGTGGGATTAAACTTAGTTTTAAAAATATGTATGAGAAAAAAATATCCTGGAAAAAATGCTCTACAGCACTAAAGGTGATTATGTAGCATGCCAACTTTCTTTCCTCCCACACTTGGCATTTCAAAATTTTTATGAAGTACTACATTGATTTGTAATTAAAAATAATAATTTAAAAACATGTTAAAGTTTACTTGATGAGGAGATCATAAGACAAGAAACCGATAAAAATCATATTTGAGTACATTAAAATTAAACATTTATTTGTACAAAAGTCACAATATTTAGGCAAAAGAAAATATTTTGGGAGAAACTATTTGGTTTACAAAAACCGACAAAGGGTTAACATGCCTAGTATACAAAAAGATCCTAAGATGTTAATAAGATAAACCTAGAGAAAAATAGACAATAAAATGAGCAATTTGCTTTCTGAATTAAAGTAACTGATAAAAAGAAGTTTAAATCACTAGTATTCAGAGAAATGGCACTCAAAAATAAGATTTAAAAAAATCCAATAGATTGACAAAGATTTGAAAGTCTTACAAAATCTAATGCTATTTAGGGATTGTGGAAACAGAAACTCCTTTACAGTGTGACTGGAAGTGTGACTTGTTACAACATTTTTGGTAATTAATCTGATACATCTTAAATTAAAATATGCAAACATTTTAATCCTACTTATTGGGATCTATACTACAGATACACTATGCAAACACATATATATGATATGTACTACATATGTAATAACTATGTACATATTTATATTTATAGCTATGACTGTATGTTTATTCCTGCTTATAGTGGGAAATAAGTAAATGGTTATAAAATTTATGGTGTATCAGTATTATGAATATTACTATTCTATTAAAATAAATTAGATGAATATGTTTTGAGCTGGAGAATGTTCATGAAGAAAAAACAATGCAGAATTCTACATATGTGTACAAATATATTTTTTGTATATTTCTATGAGCAAGAAAAACAATGGCAAAGGATAAATGCCAAATTGATAGCACTGATTCCCTGAGGTAGAAGAGAAATATAAAGGTGAAAGATTACTAACTGTTTTCTTTATACACTTTCGTGTTGTCTGGCTTGAGCAAAGTAAAATCCAGTAGTTTAGAAAACACTTACCTATCTATGGGAAGGTATAGTAAATGCTCACTAAAGCTGAAATGGAAGTTTTTTAAAATTTATTTTCTAGATTTTCTTTAATGTGCTTATATTATTTTTATTTAATTTTAGGTTCTGGGGTATATGTGCAGGATGTGCAGTTTTGTTATAGAGGTAAACGTGTGCCATGGTGATTTGCTGCATCTATCAACCCATTATCTAAGTATTAAACCCAGCATGCATTAGCTATTTTTCCTGATGCTCTCCCTCCCTCTGCCCCCCAAAAAGGCCCCAGTGTGTGTTGTTCCCCTTCTGTGTCTATATTGTTTAAATAATGAAATCAATAACATCACCAAATTTAAAGGACAGCAATAATTTTAGTTGCTTAAAATATGGGAACTCAAATTGCATTGTATTCAGTCTTTACAGATAAGTATATTTTAAATAAACTTTGATGACAGTATAATATATAAATGGGTAAAATTAATTAAAAGGATAACCTTGCAGTATTAGCCAGAAAATCTCCCCTCCCAAAAAAAGACATGTGGAGCTGCTTTCCAATATAGTTGGAGTTTTTATTTAAAAACTATAGTTTATTAAAGCAGTATATGTAATAAGTAGCTCAATGGGAAAAGTGGATTATATAAATATAATTAAATTTATAGAGAATGTAGTATAAAATAATAGAAACAAAATAAGTTCAAAAATTGAATTATTTAATAAATGGTTTTGGAAAAATTGATTAAGCATTGGGGAAAAAAATCCTGGACCTCAATTTTATCAACAACATATTCCAGATAAATCAACAATTTAAATGAACAACAATTAAATGCATCAACAATTTAAATGAAATAATAAAATGACAGCAAACAACAAGCAAATACACAAAACAGAACAGACATATCTAAATAATGAAACAACAATAAATACAACAGGTGAAAAATCATTAGTTCTAAAGTACCTTTTTAAGAATGTCAAAAATAATAACTATGAGAGATATATGTCAATTGGATTATATATAAAATTTAAAACCTTATCCAAAATAAAGTGAATAAATTGAAAACCAGCATCTCTGTTTATATATATATGTACACACACATATATTTATACACACAGTTATAGTATGTATATATGGTATGTGTGTGTGTGTGTGTGTGTGTGTGTGTGTGTGATTAGTATTCCCAATAAATATAGGGCCAGATTACCAAATCAGATTCAATGGCCACCAAATGACCAAAGAACATAAACACAATTAGCAAAGAAGGAATACAAATATACTTAATCTCACGGTTAGAAAAATGCTAGTAAATAGAACAACAAATTTTTTCCTCTTCAGATTCTCAAGGATAGAACAACAATCCAAAAATCCTTTTTATATTTGGAGTTGTTGCAGAAATAGAGAAATGTACTTATGATGACAGTGTAAATTGGCACAACATTTCTGGAGAACATGCTGCCAAATTACATATCAAAAATTTAGATGTGCATACTCTTTGAACAGGTGCTCCAGTCTAGAAATGTATCCTGAGGAAATAATCTGGCAAACTATATGTGAATATGATCACTTCAGTATTGTTTATAATAGCAAAGTACTGAAGCAATCTAAACATCTCTGGCTAAAGTAGTATTTTTAAAAAATGTCATATACATATCATAGAAATTTGTGCAGGAATCATACAGAATGAGGCAGAGCTGTGTCTATTAACATGGAAAGGTATATATGAAATCCGTTTTAGTTATGACCAAGTTTATGAAATAGCATATTGGATGTAAACTTAATCTCAACTAAATTAATGTTCCTTTTATTATTTTCATAACTAAAAATGTTAAGTTTTGTTACGGTTGGAAGGGTGTCCTCACAATAGAAAACCACATGGTGCTAAGTAGGACCAGCTTATGTTGTCTTAGTGCCTTTATGCTGCTATAATAAAATACCTGAGACTGGGTAATTTATAGCGAACAGAAGTTCCTTGCTGTTTTGGAGGCTAGGAAGTCCTAGATAAATGCACCAGCAGGTTCAATATCTGGAGATGGCCTTGCTTCCAGCTTCCAAAATGGCACCTTGCTGCTGTATCCTCTGGAGGGGACAAACGCTGTGTCCTCACATAGCAGAAGGTAGGAAAGCGAAAAGGGGATGAATGCTGTGTCCTCACACCACGGGGAAGTGGAAGAGAATGAAGTCACTCCCTCAAGCTATTTTTTGTAAGAGTCCTAATCCCATTCATGAGGGATCATGGCTTAATCACTTCTTTTTTTTTTTGAGAGGGAGTTTCACTCTGGTTGCCCAGGCTGCAACCTCTGCCTCCCGTGTTCAAACGATTCTCCTGTCTCAGCCTCCCGAGTAGCTGGGATTACAGGCACCCACCACCATGCCCGGCTAATTTTGTATTTTTAGTAGAGACAGGGTTTCTCCATGTTGGTCAGGCTGGTCTCGAATTCCTGACCTCAGGTGAACTGCCCACCTCAGCCTCCCAAAATGCTGGGATTACAGGAGTGAGCCACCACGCCCGGCCAGCTTAATCACTTCTTAAAGGCCTCTTAATACTATGACACTGGCAATTAAGTTTCAACATATGAATCTGGGGGCACACTCAAACCATAGCAACCTATTGGTGTTAGCAACGTAAAAATCATTTAACTTCCGAATCTTACCTATGTCAGTTGCTCGGGCTGGCAAAGGCCTCCGCCATTGAGTGACAAATTTGTATGCATCCAGCCTGATTTCAATGATATTGTTTAACAAAGCCAAAAGAGGGGCTAGAGGAAAAGCCGCAACAAAGATGGTGGTAAAACCAAATTGCAAAACTGCAAAAGAAGAGCATTAGGAAATTACTATATAAACTTCCTTTGTGACAAATTTGGTGCTTTATATAAATTGCTTTTAATGCTTTCAACATCCTTACAAAGTAGATAGCTTTATCTCATTTTACAGTTAGGACAACCTTATTTCATATATGTTAATTAAACTTGCTAAAGGGTAGATAGCTAGAAAATGTTGAAACCTTTATTCAAATTAAGTTCTGAATGTATTGAAAGTCTATGGGCTTTCCACCTCTATATAATGCAGCACGAAGGAGAGAGAAAAAGAAGAAATAGAGGGAAGATGGGAGACAAAACAGAGGAGGAGGAGAAGGAGGAGGAAGAAGAAAGAATAAGAGATGGAGGAGGAGGAGGAAAAAGAAGAAGAAAGAGAAAGAAGAGGAGGAAGAAGGAGGAGGAGTTAAGATTCAGAAGTTAAGATTCAGACGGAGTCTGTGCAAAGGTTTATTGTGAAAAATAATTATTGCTTTGCGTGAGTAGAATGGTAGGTTTCTTAACATAGAAACTGGTTCAGCTGGCCAGGTGCGGTGGCTCAGGCCTGTAATCCCAGCACTTTGGGAGGCCAAGGTGAGCAGATCACCTGAGGTCAGGAGTTGAGACCAGCCTGGCCAACATGGTGAAACTCCATCTCTACTAAAAAATGCAAAATTAGCCAGGCATGGTCATGTGCACCTGTAATCCCAGCTACTTGAGAGGCTGAGGTAGGAGAATCGCTTGAACCCAGGAGGTGGAGGTTGCAGTGAGCCGAGATTGTGCCACTGCACTCCAGCCTGGTTGACAGAACAAGCAAGACACTGTCTCAAAAAAAAAAAAAAAAAAAAAAAGAAAGAAAGAAAGAAAAAGGAAAAGAAACTGGTTCAGCATTATTTTGTTTGCTTCAAATATTTGCTCATAAAATAGGTGTTCCACTGTGAGAAAAACTTTCATTTTGGTCAATGCATGACTCTCAGAGAATAAAACATGTGAATCTGCCAAGAGTTAGTATCTCTAGCTCCTTGAGATGAAGGTGCAGACGTGTTTTAGAATGCTTGGGGTTGGAAAGGAAAGAGATAATTTTCTCTGTTGAACCAAAGCTTCTGTGAAGTAGAAAAATTGTATCAAGAAGGCCAAATAGTCCTGCAGATTTTTTTTCCTTACCCATTTCTAAGTACTCATCCATCAGTCCATGAAGGTTCATGGGCTGCAGATTCCAATCATTTTCCCACTGAGGTATGGAAGCATCATGTATTCCCCGCTTGATTTTATGTCGTGACCACCAGTTCTGGATCAACCTACATCACAGAGCAGACCAAGGACTTTTGAGCTCTGATTCAAGCATCTGGTTAACAATGTATAGTGAATTAAGAAATGAGTAAAACCAATTCCAGCTCCTCGGAATTGGAGGTATTTGGTTTTACCTTTTATAAAAGTTTTTTAAAAAAGTTAAAAAAACATTTTGAAAGCTTAAATATCTTAAAAAATTTTTTTTAAATCTTTTGAAAAACTTTAGCATAGGAGAGTAGGCCCCAGCCTTCCAGAACTCTCCTAGGTCCTATAAATATCTACATAATTATCTAGGAATTCAAGCTCTATACACTAAAATGGTCCTTGACATTGATTAAACAAATATTCATTTCTATGATTCCTTCCCCTCTCCCCACCTATAGAAATACTTAAACTTCTTTGTTGCCTGCTGTGATTAGGTCTGACCCTTTCATTGCTCATAACCTAAAATCTTCAGAGCTATACTCTCTGAACAGGAAAAAAATCATGTTTCACATAAACTAATTGACCCTTGGGTAGGATTTCAAAAGATCTAAGTTCTAGTTCCCATCCTGCAATGCATTAGCCGTGTGATTTTTAGCAAGTCACTTCACCTCTCTGAGTTTAGAAACATGAGGAGTCTAAGTGTTAGTGATTATTATATTCTGCTATTGTAGTGAACAATAATTACTAGGCAATAAGTCTGTGTCCGTGAGTCTGCTTCTCACACCTGAAAAGGAAGTAACAATACTGTTTTCTTAGCCCAAGTACAATCTTGGAATTATGTGACTCAGAAATATCCTGGTATGCACATATTGTGGCCTTCTGGGTAATGAATTATTTAAGAGGTCAGTGAAAATTACCTCCAGGACAAGGTGAATTTTACAGGACTCAGTGAACAGTACCCAACCCTCAATTTTAATCACGGAACCTAAGTGGCAGTTGGAGGAGCAACCAGAGAACAAACGTCAGGCAGTGGAGGTTGCCTCCAGAGCCTCATGAAGGTGAAAAAGGGGCTGGAGGTGAGAGTTGAGGCGATCTGCTTATTTCTATTATATGTATTTAGGTTCTGTTTAAAGTTTTGCTTGAAGAAAGACAATTGTGGTTTACAAGAGTTTTGCTTTAATGGCTGGTCTACTCCCGCTCAATTTTCTTTAACAAAGCCTTTTCCTAGATATCGGGAAGGGTAAGATGTGCCATGGTGCCCTTAGGATTTGATATATGTGATCCAGACTGACCCCTAGCGCAAGGCCATAATGAAAATGTCCTGTCTAAAGTGCACCAAGTGTAGCAGTCCATGAGTAGTGATAATAAAAAGAAACAACTTTTTTATACTGCAATGACCCCTACATCATCTTGTTGATACTTATGGAGTACTCACAGCATGTTACATTCTGTGCTAGGCACTTGACATCTAATTTCCTATTTCTTTCAAACAATGTTTCCTAAAACCAGTTTTAAAGAAGTGACCCAAGAATAGGAAGGAACACCACAAATGAACTGGGCTCCCCAGTCCTCCATCTTCTATTCTCTCTTTGTTTAGGAGAGATTTGCTTAAATTTGTTTTGAATATTAAGTCTGTATAAAACTCTCTTCACAAAAAGGTTCTGTCGTTTATGATGAAGGTTTAAAAAGCACTGGGTCATCTCAGTTAATCTTCATAAATATCCTATTTTATAAATGGACTAAAAAAGCCTAAGAGATGTCAAGGAAATATTAAGCAAATTTAGCAAGGAAGAGAGAAGGAATTTAAACCAGGTCTGGGTAATTCCACAGCCTATACTCTAAGGCTGCCTGTAAATTAACACAATACTTTATAGCAGATTGCAGGGTTAATATCACTTCTACAACCCCCAGATCTTTGTTCAAGAATGTTCTGATAAAATATGTACCACCACAAGAAAAAAAAAGAATATAATTTGATATATAACCCCAAGCTACTTACTTCATCAACCAACTAACCAGTTCTTCCCCAATAGTCAGGAAATTATTCAAATAGACATGTTTTTAGTTGATTAGACTCAAAGCTTCAATATTACATTGTTTTAAATACCCAGTATTTTGCCATATTTTAAAGGAAAGTGTATTTTAATATATGAGAAAGTGAGCATTCAACACCTCTGTAAGCATTTCACAGGCAGCTAAAACATCTAAAATAATGAAAATAGAATGCTATTGTTTTGATGTTAGTACAATCATCCCTGTTCTAACATTTTTTTCTTAGTTGTAACAAAGAGAACAAAGCTTCTCATCCAGGATTTGATCTTTGCTTTATTCTTTTGGGAGGAATGAAGGCTGTCTTTATTAAACAACAAACTTGGTCTGCTGGTAGCAAAAGAAACACCCCGGAAAATTATTTTTATATATACAATCCGTAATGTCAATCATGTTTTCAAACTAGTAACAAGTGTCTTAATGCATTAAACAAGTTACTCTACATTCATTATTCTGTTTAACCCTTACAGCTGTTCTTGAGGTAGATATATTGTTGATACATTCTTAGTGAAAACAGGCTCTGAAAGGTTTAATTTACACATGGGCAGACATTTAGTAAGGAGCAGAACAGGAATTGAGCCATCATTTGTCTGATTACCAAGACCAAATTCTTAAGCACTACTCACGCCACCTCTAGCTTTCCTCTTTGTAACTAGACATAAGGCAAGTTTGAAAATAATGTGCTCACGGGTATCCTAGTTCCATGAAGTTGTTCCATATTTGCTTCAAAAACATGATGACACCCATCTGGAGGCAGAGGTCTATCAAACAGCCACTAGGATGACACTGAAATAGAACATAAGAGCAATAATGATATTGGTCTTCTTCCCAGTAGGCTCAGACATGCCCACCATTAAATTGTACAGCAAATTTTAAAGCTGGGTCACACCATCTCATGCATAAAGAAAATAAAAACAAGAAAGAAACAGCATGTATGAGGGCACTTGATGAGGGAATTCTTCAGTAATTATAACGAAATATCAATCAAAATTATAATAGCAATAACAAAAAATCTAACTTTTAGTGAGTACTTACTATCTGCCAAGCTCTGTGTTAGGCATGATCACATTTAATGAATGCTATGGAATATTATATATCCATTAACAATCAGGTAATAGAAAATAGTTAATTCTATGGCATAATGTTTATAATATATTGTTTTTAATAACCTTTTTATTTCAGAATAAGTTTAGATGTACAGACAACTTGCAAAGATAGTACAGAGTTCCCATACACTCCTTACACAGTTCTAGCTGTCGCTCCATACATTACCATGGTATATTTGACAAAGCTAAGAAAATGATATTAGTAGATTACAATTAGCTAAACGCAAAGCTCTCTTTGGATTTCACCAGTTTTCCTCTCTTTGCTCCAGGATCCAACCCCACATACCCTATGGTATTTATTCTTCCTATCTCCCCAGTCTCCTCTGGTCTGAACAGCTTCTCAGTTTTTCATAACTTTAAATGTTTGAAGATTGCCGGATGTGTACCCTGTGGAATGTCCCACAATCTAAGTTTGTCTAATGGTTTTTCTTATGTTTAGACCAGGGTTATGTGTTTTGGAGAGACCAATCACAAAGGTGAAGTGCTATTTTCCTCACATCGTATCAGGGATATATGAGAAGCACATGACATCACTGGTGATGTTAATTGGTTAGTGTTTTCCAATTTTTTTTTCCACTGGAAAGCTGCTCATTTTTCCCTTTTTCTGTTCTATTTTTTAGAAGGGAGCCACTAAGTCTAGCCCATTCTCAAGATGGTGGGGAGGTGTTGAATTCTACCTCCTGGAAAGGAAGTATCTACCTATATTATAATGCATTTTTAAGTGATAAATGCAACACCACAAAAATAATTCATCAGTATGATCCTATTCTTTCGTCTGTGCTTTTCTGCTTTTTTAGATTTTCAATAAGTTAGTATTAGAGACCCATACAAACAAAAACGTGATTTCAACAAAAATCACAACCGATGTGTTTTACTTGAAAACTTTGCAGTATTCAAGATATTTGGGTGGGAAGGCGTGGGTCTGTTTCTTTAGAAATGGGTACATGTCCTGCTCATAAGGAAGACAGTCTTCTCTATGGCTTTGATCCACAGTTTCTATTTCTATCAAATTGGTACTAGTGGAACTTCAAAGAGAACAAATAAGACACAAAGAGCCTGCTTTTCCTGTTCCAGCCCAGTAATTTAAGACTCCCTAATCTGAGCCTGAGAGAGGATTTGCAAATGGTCATGCTTACTGCATGAAGAGGTCTAAATTCTCGCATCCAAGCAAACCTCTTTTTCTAGGATGAATTTAGCATTTCCTGAACTCTCCCAAATATATCTGATAAATGGGTTCACTGGAATGACTGAGGCAGAGTAATTATTAAGCTACGGGGGCAAATCACAGATCACAGCTGCAAGCTGAAGCTCTTCATTTTTGTAGAGACTCAGAGGCAAGCTGACTTGCCCAAGGCCATACAGTGTTGACTGGTGCTGTGGAAATGAAAGGCTTGTCCCCATTTCCCCAATCCATTGCTCTTTTATATTATACTAAGGATGAATTCCATTTACCAATGTGTTTGCTGCCTTGAAGTGTGGGTTTAACACAAACATTATTTTGTGGGATGGGAAAAAGAAGATGATCATAGGATCATGTGATTGGTTCGCTACCCACAAAGGATAGGCCAAAGTGGGGTGGCTGGAAGACAGGCCATTTATAATTTTGTTGAAATTAAGCCTTGATGACTTTATGATTTATAAGGAAGAGAAGGGGGTCCAATAGTTTTTGTGGGTTTGTCCATTCACATAATGGTGGTCTTGCACTAAAGCCAGTCTATCAAAACTCTAAATTTCATTTGGTAGAAAAAGCCCATACTTGGAATGTGTAAAAGGGCATGAGTGAGTGTGCAGAAGACACAGGCATTCATTCCAATTGCACCACCCAAATCATATCACCCTGGACAAGCCAAACTAGATGCTGTAGTGTATTTTTCTCTTACTCCTTGTGAGAACCTGGCAGGGTAGTTGTTGGTATCTTCACTCTGCAGATGATAAAGCTAAGTGACAGAAAGAACTGTCAGACTCCAATACCCAGGTTCCTTCACTTACTTTAGTATGCTTACTCTAAATCCAGCATAGAAGTGTGAGCCAGCAATCAGACAGCAATTTCTCAGCAAAATAAATTTTCATTATGTCTTTGATTATACCTACACGCCATCCTACTCGTGGCTGGAAAGCACAGTGTTCAGAGCACAGACTCTGAAGCTACACTGAAAAGATTTAAATCATAACTTCATCAGTGTTTATGTTTGTACAATTGTAGGGAAATTACATTTGCAATTGCAGGCACTGCACATCTGTGACTTTGTTTCCTGATCTGTAAAATGGATATAATAATAGAACTGTGAGGATTAAATGCATTAATATACAGAGAGCACTTAGAAACAATTGCTGGAGTACACTAGCATGTAGTAAGCCCTCAATAAATCTTAGCTATTATTAAAAACTTTTTCATATTGATTTCATAAAAAATATTAATGTGAGATATTATATAGTTGTAGTAAAAGATTCACAAGTCTAGCTTAGCCAGTTCACAAATATCCTAAAACAAACCATAGCACTTTTTAAATTTTGTAATTATGGCTATCATTAATTGTAACTATTATTTTACATACACAATCTAATTTAATATACCAATCACCAGTATTACTGGGATAGCTATTCTTTATTTTTTCTGTTGTTTAGGGACAGAGTCTTGGTCTCTCACCCAAGCTGGAGTGCAGTGGTACGATCATGGCTCACTGCATCCTCGAACTCCTGGGCTCAAGGGATCTTCCCACCTCAGCTTCCTGAGTAGCTGGGACTAGAAGCATGTGCCACCACACCCGGCTAATTTTTATTTTTTTTAAATAAAGACAGGGTCTCACCATTTTGCCCAGACCGGTCTCAAACTCTTGGCCTCAAGCAATCATCCTGCCTTGGCCTCCTAAAGTGTTGGGACTACAGGTGTGAGCCACAGGGCCAGGCAAGATAGCTATTCTTATCACCAATTTACAAAAGAGGAAACTGAGATTTATAGATATTAAATCATGCATCTGGGTGGGAAGAATTAGAATATAGACTGCCAGTCTCCAAAGATAAAATATTTGTTATGTTTTATTGCTATGCCCTGTTCTTCAAGGCTATGAACAGAAATATAAAATGTTCAAGAAAAATATGAAAAATATTATCCATCTCATTCATAATTATAGAAACTAAAATCACTGGCTATTAGATTGGTAAAAGTGAAAATTCTACCATTGGCTAAATACTGAAGAAGCAGGCTCACACAGTCTAGGTAGGGGTGGCATTTGGAGGCCCATTTCTCAGTCTCAGTGAAAATATACAATATGCTTATCCTGTAACCCAACAATACTACTCCTGGGCAGTTTTTCCATATAACATACATATTGTAAATCAATAAAGAAATATGAGTCTTAGGCAGGTACTTTTATATAATTACATGTTGGTGTTTCCAGTATGATGTCTTTTGGACTAAAAGGAAACCTAACATATTTAAAAGTTTGAAAATTTACCTAATGAATAATAATAATTTAAAAAAAAAGGAAAATTACTGGAGCTAAATTCCTGGGGTCTGTAAATAAAAGAAATTGATGTGATTAAAAAAATAGAGCTGAGGTGAGAATCTTGGGGTTTAACTTTTCAGTTCACCCCCTTTTTTGAAAAGATGTAGTTGCTTCCTTTCTGAACAATGTGTCGTCTTCAATATCCATAAAGTTCCCTGAACTTCTCCTTTCTTCAGCTCCCTTCCTCCCGCAGTAACTGGCCCATATCCATGCCCATTCCTGCACCCACACTCCCAAAGTTACTTACTTCCTCCAGTCTCCACCGGTCAAAAAGTTTATTGTATTTTCCTGGGTGGCCTACGAATCTGTAAGAAGACATTTTAGTTCATTAGCATTTAAGTGGGGTTCACTGAAGAACATCTACTTAGGCATCACAACGAGTGCATGTGTGGGTAGACATAAACGCTCACTGGTGCAATCTGTCCCCAGTTGACTTCTGCTATCTTAAACATCAAAGTATCTGACTTACAAAGGAAAAAGTGATGCGTGAACTAATGGGTCAAGAAAGTACAGACAAACCAACTGGATGACATTTCCGACCCTCACATAGAGAGTCTTAACGTTTTGTTGACCTAGTTAATGACTATTACAATAATGTGCTGCATTGTTTGATCCAAAATGTTTCTATCTTTAGTATGTTTCCATGGCATTGGATGGAGTGTTAAGCATATGGCAAAGCAGAATCATTAGTTTAATATGCTGCTTTTTTCATATTTTGCACTAAAGGTGGAAAAATGTTAAGATGATAGGTAGAAGAGGTTTCCACATTAAGGAATTATAACCCAAGGTCACACAAAAATTCTTTGCTTCTTTAACAAAATTGTTACTGATGATGAAACAGACATAATTCAGCTCAAATGCAGCAAATAGGTTTTATTTTTTTGTGCCAACTTTAGCTGCTGGTGGCTGTCAGAAATCATTTGAGTAAGAACAGTAATCGTCAATTAAACTATTGACTGTGTTTTTCACTCTGCGAAGATAATGTACAAAAAGTTGACTTACCTTCCCAAAAAGAAAGCGATATAGAAGATGGAACTGTTTAAATTGACAAACTGGAAGAGGAACATCTTCAGGGCGAAGCTGTTTTCCCACTCTGATTCTGTTCGAGGATATTCTAAAAGGAACACAGGTTGCATTGACACAGGTGAGGTGAGGTGAATATCAAGACTCTGGACATGGAGGCAGAAACCCCAAGTTCAAGTTTGTCTTTTTAATTTAATTTTTTTTTTTTTTTTTTGGAAATGGAGTCTCACTCTCTGTTGCCCAGGCTGGAATACAGTGGCACAATCTTGGCTCACTGCAACCTGTGCCTCCCAGGTTCAAGCAATTCTTCTGGCTCAGCCTCCCAAGTAGCTGGGATTATAAGCGCCCGCCACCATGCCTGGCTAATTTTTTGTATTTTTAGTAGAAGTGGGGGTTTCACCATGTTCGCCACGGTGGTCTCGAACTCCTGACCTCAGGTGATCTGCTGGCCTCGGCCTCCCAAAATGCTAGGATTACAGGCGTGAGCCACCATGCCTTGCCAAGTTTTTTAGTTCTATGAGGCACTTAGTTTTGCTGATTTCTAGCATCTGTGTCTGTAAAATGTGAATGATAATATCTACTGTTCACACTTGATGAAAGGACTTCGTAAGATAATCTTTAGACTTTCCCCACATCTACAAAATCATGTTATTAATACATAAAGATTTTCAGGATTCTCTCTGCTATCATCATTTAGTAGTAACCATACATAATGGATCAATCATTCACTCAAACTGGCTACACTCAATATAAGGGCCTAAACTGTCCACAGAGTTCTCTGAAGAATGAATATTTTGTGTACAGACGGAAGTGGAATGGCAAAGAGAAAAAATGGTAAAGAGGTAAAGAGAAAAGAGAAATCAGTTAGGAGAGCTGAGCTCTTATCTCAGCCTTGCACCTGACTGGCAGGTAATCTCAGGCAGGTCTCTTCACTATTTTTTTGCAGTCAGTTTGGTCATCTATAGAATAAGGGATTTAGACAAGATGATTTCTAAAAACCCTGTCGACTCTAACATCTTATGGTTTTATAATGCTTAAAAGAAAAAAATAAGGACTGCCTGTACTGCAGCCTTAGTACTCAAATGAGTGATAGAAAATAGATACGTCTCATCTAACATATATTTTAACGTAATTGAAGAATTCAATAAAGATGGAAAATAGATAGGATCTCATTTAAGGAAAACATACACCAACACATGCACTAGCCCAATCACATGGAAGGAGGAAGGCATAGGTCCTGGGGAACTCCAAGTCCAAAGGCGGTAGTTGCCAAAAGTAGGAAGGGTCTGTGGGCCACCCAGAAGGTGACTGGCAAGTGTGCCTCAGTAAGAACAGTCAGTAAGAACTTGTCCCCACGGGTTTTGACATGTCATGCTTTCACTGTTGTTTCTCTCTAGTTTACAAATTTAGTTCATTAACACAAAACTTATTTAGAAAAGAGGATGTAGATTTTTAGGTACTTTTTATTGTGTAGATTAGTTTTGGTTCTTCATTTCTAATTTTATTTCAGCATTGTCCACAAATGTGTCCTGCCTGATTTCTGCTTTGAGGCAAAAAGTTGTGATGTCATTTGTGGCTAAATTGTGTGGATAAGTTTTGTCAATGTATCAAGTGCCTGAAAATAATATTTGTGTTCCTGTTGGGCATATGGTTTGTGTGTGTGTGTGTGTGTTTGTACATATATAGAGACAGACATATATTATATATATATAAAACGTATATTTTTTATATATTTATATATTATATATATTTTATATATATATAAATTTTTTTTTTCTTGAGATGGAGTCTCACTCTGTTGCCCAGGCTGGACTACAATGGCACAATCTCGGCTCACTGCAACCTCTGCCTCCCAGGTTCAAGTGATTCTTCTGCCTCAGCCTCCTGAGTAGCTGGGATTACAGGCAGGTGTCACCACGCCCGGCTAAGTTTTGTATTTTTTGGCAGAGACAGGGTTTCAACATGTTGGCCAGACTGGTCTCGAACTCCTGACTGCTAGGATTACAAGAGTGACTCACCGCATCCAGTCTGGTTTGTACATATTTTTAAAGAAGGATGTCAGATATGACAGTCAAACACTGTGTATCTTTTTTTTTTTTTCTTGAGATGGAGTCTCACTTTGTCGCCCAGGCTGGATTGTAGCATGGCAATCTTGGCTCACTGCAACCTCCACCTCCCGGGTTCGAGAGATTCTTCTGCTTCAGCCTCCCAAGTAGCTGGGATTACAGGCGCCCGACACCATGCTTGGCTAACTTTTTTTGGTGGGGAGGTATTTTTAGTAGAGACGGGGTTTCACCATATTGGCCAGGCTGGTTTTGAACTCCTGACCTCAAGTGATCTGGCTGCCTCGGCCTCCCAAAGTGCTGAGATCACAGGCGTGAACCACCATGCCCGGTCTAAATACTGTATATATTTACTTATGTTTTGGCTATGGATTTTTCAGTTCTTTTCTATCATTTTTTTGCTATCTATACTTTAAAGCTTCTTAAAGATGCATAGAGATCATGATTATTATACTGACATGTTAGTTCATTTACTAGTATGCAGTATTCCTCTTTGCCTCTAGTTTCCCTAATATTAACCTGATGACATTTGATTTTACTGTTACTATTTTCTTGATATATGTGCTTTTACTCCTCAAGTGTCAGTCATTTTTCAGCTTTTTAAATTCAGTTGTGTTTCTTTTCATTATCATCTAGCTGGATTTTATTTTTTGAAGTTTAATCTGTGTTCCAGTTTCCAAATGGCAATTATTCTTACAGATAATTGAAAGATAGATGGATAGATAGGTAGGTCTGGAGATAAATACAAACACACTTTTAAAAATTTGTTTAATGATTTGTTTCATCTTTTCTTCTCTATTTGTTATATTGATCATGATTCTCACTATTTTATTTATTTTTAATGTATAAATATTGCCTTATATAGAAGAAAATATTTTAGTTTTTCCTTCAAAGAAGCTACAAAAACAATAAAATAAACAAAATAAAATGAAAGAACAAAAATAAACAATAAAATGTTTTCAAATCTTCAATAAAATAGAATGATTCTTGAACATGTAATATTGACTAACATTTATGAAGTCTAGTTATGAGAAAAGAGAGAAGACTCCACCACCCCAAATAAAAGATGTACAAACACTGTACTGAAGAGATTAACATTACTAAACATCCTATCAATAATTTTCAGTTGACAAGTTAAAACATTTATATATAATAAACAATTACCTACATAAATAGGACTTTTCAAAAAATGGCTCAAAAATAGGTAGGTACTCTTCAAAAAACTAATTACCAGTGCATTAACTAAAAAAAAAAAGAAAATGTAAATATCTACCTCAGAATGACATAATGCCTGAATAGTCATATGGGTTGATTCTATGAAACTCTTATTAAATAACAAATTTGCCTTTTGTATGTTTCAGAAAATATAAAATAATTAAAGTAATTCAACTTGCTTGGTGAGATTAACGTAATATTGACTTAATACAGCATAGTGTAACAAGGCCAATGCAAGGACACTATAACCCACTTTCATTTATAAATTTACCACAGAATTCCTTACTCAACAATGTAATAAAAGAAAAGAAAACTATATCTCGACTAAGCCTAGTGGCATAAGGCTAAATGCCTTCAAAGTCCAAAAACTTAACAATGAGGGGCAGAGAGTTTTGGTTTAATTACAAGCTAGAGAGTATGTAATTATCTAAATGCCTTATAAACTGTTTTTTATAAAACTGTGTGATAATAAAAGCTACATGTACACAAGAAAAGTGTTTGGATAGTTTGGATATCCTAAAACAGGATTTAGTAATAGACTTCATCCTCCCAAAGTAAGACTTTCTCTGAAAGTTCATGTTTTCCTGATTAATGTCAAGTGACAATAATAAAGGAATCTATGTGGCCAACTAAAGTGACTCTTCTATGCGAAGCCAAACTGAAGATGTAAAGTACTCCAAATTGTCCTGTGAGAAATGCCAGTGAAGACAAATAATACTTTAAAACATTGTCAAGAAAATTAAAGTTTTAAACTCTGGTTTTTACAATTAATTATATAAGGAGAACCACATACCTCTAAATCTTATATTCAACACATTTATTTGTGGGCCATTCTTGATATATTTATTATCATTAATTTTTCATCCACTCTTCTGACAAGTGTTTATTGGGCTGCTATTTCATACTGGAACAGACTTGATACTATCTACACTATGATGATGGGGACTGAACTTATCTTCTTGTTACTTGTGAGATTTGCATAATTTCTGACACTAAAACCCTTCAAGGACAGCGCAAGTAAAAATCTACAAACTATTTTTACTTAAAATCCCATTGGAAATTCCTAAATAAAATATAGCAGATTTAGGCCTGGTGCAGTGGCTCATGCCTGTAGTACTAGCACTTTGAGAGGCCAAGGCGGGCAGATCACCTGAGGTCGGCAGTTCGAGACCAGCCTGACTAACATGGAGAAACCCTGTCTCTACTAAAAATACAAAATTAGCCAGGCGTGGAGGTGCACGCCTGTAATCCCAGCTACTCGGGAGGCTGAGGCAAGAGGACTGCTTGAACCTGAGAGGCGGAGGTTGCGGTGAGTCGAGATTGCACCATTGCCTTCCAGCCTGGGCAACAAGAGCAAAACTCTGTCTCAAAAGAAAAAAAAATAGCAGGTTTAATTCAACAGTTTATTAAAGGAATAATGCATCTTGATAGTCTAATGGTCTGTCTCCCTATCACGTTGTCTAAAATATTAGGTCCTCCATACATATTTCTTTTATGGATGAACGCATGCCAAACTTTGTACCTAAGGATTGAAAGAATCAGAAGTAAGTACATTCAATTCTTGGCCGTAAGAATTTTTTAGTCTTGTAAAGAAAGTAGATAGATAGATAGATAGATAGGAATAATGTAATAGATGCAGTAATGAAAGGAATCACAAACAGCTAAAGGAACATTGTAGAGTGAAGGACTGAGAAGTCAACAAAGGTTTCACAGAGGCGAGCTCTGATATAAGAAAAGATTACTATGATTTTACTGGGAGAAATCATTCTAAATGGTAGTAAGGTTATATACCAAGTTGGAGACATGCTGAGTGCTATTCAGTTGCTTTACCCATTCTGATGAAGATTACAATGTTCCCAGCAGAATGGCATTTTGCTAGAAGTGGAGGATTGTTACATTGGTAGCAGTTAAACTGGTGTCCACAGTGAACTACTCCTCCAAGTATACATACCCTAGTGTAGTTGCCTCCAACCTTGACTCTGACTTGCCTTCACCAAGAGGAGATTGGATATGCAAGTAAAATGCAAGCAGAAGCTGGATAAGCACTTGTGTATAGGGGCTTGTCTTCCTGGAAGCCAGTTGACATGTAAGATGTCCTATCATACTGCTATAAGCAAGCTAGCCAGGTAGAGGCACATAGAGGAGAAGAAGGCTGAAGACACCAGCTATCCCAATAATTCCATATGAGGAAACAGATGTGATTGAAGAGGCCCTCTTACACACCAGCCCCAGCAGATACCATATGGACCAGAAAAATCACATAGCAGGGCCTAATCTAAATTGCAGGATCATTAAAAATAATAAGTTGTTGTCCTGAGCTACTAAGTTTGGAGTAAAAGGCTATGTGGCAACAGACAACTGAAACAATGGAAGTTACTGCAATGATGATAACTTTGAGGTTTAACTTAGGTTCTACGCTGCCAGGAAGAAAACTTTTATTTTTCAACACCGTGCCATTCACAAATATAGCACATTGTGGATCATTTTGAATTGGTTTTTAACTCAGAGGAGGAATCAAATCCTCAACACTAAGGATATAGGTGCTGTTTCTAGGGTAATGTATTTCTGGCCAAAATATCTCTTACTTTTTCCCTAATGAAGCTAATTACGGATGAAAAGTTATTTATGAGATGCAGTCACCCAGTAAGGTAATTAGTCCTTGCTTTTTACTGTTAATTTCTCTGTTTCTTGGAATTAATAGTGTGTATAGTAGGAAGTTACTTTGTGTTACGATTTTAACACTGTAAGGTAGTTTTGACCCCTGTCTGACAAAGTGAAAACTCTTTTCATTAGTTGGCTTAATTTGTTCCTTCTAATCCCAATTTATCTTTAACATAGACAGTTCATTATTAAGAAAAATTAACAGCCATCCTGATCTAATCCTCAAAAACCAGGAAACCAAAGTTCAAAAAATCACTTTGAAGTAAATGCTTTTAATTTTTCCCATGTTAAAAAACAAATGTAATAGAATTTAAGCTTTATCTCTTTTGCTTTGTGGTTTTTGAAAATACTTGGAAAAAAATAAATCAAGAAACAGAAAGTTTAAAAAAATTCTTTAAATAGCATATGACCTCTTCTGAGAAGTAAAACTTAATTTTTCATTTGTATTTTGAAGCACAAATTAGCGCAGCCAAAAATTAAACAGAACATAATGTCAGGCGCACACACACACACACACACACACACACACACACACACACACTAGATTCTATTATTTTAATCAAACTATCAATATTTTTATCCATTTAAACTAATATAGCCATTATTAGTTAAATGATGAATCAACAGACATAAATCATCACTGGATTATAGAGGAAAAAATCAAATATCAAGTGAAAACCTTGACATTTCTTGTTACTTAGCACAAATAACTGTTCTGTTTCCTACTATTAAGTATGATTTTCCCAAGTCATTCTCCTTAGATTTGCTTCAATCCTGGGTATAGGGTACTTCAAAAGCAAATGAATGTAAGGAACAGAGCTAGTGCTTCATTACCCAACTGAAGAAAATGCAGCTCAGAGGGTTTAAAGAACAATGAACTGGACCATTGCTATTTATTGTACACTTGTCATGTGTCAGGCAGCCAATCTACAACAATGGTGAAATAGGAACTATTATTATTGTCATTTTAACAGTGAGGAAATGAAGACCCAAAAGTAAAGAAGAAGGACAAGCAGAGGGAGGAGAATGAGGGGGAAGAGGAGGAGAAGGAGGGGAGAAGAAGAAGAGAGAACAGGGAGAGGAAAAAGCTTAATGATAGTTATACAGTCATGATGCGGCAATCCAAATGTTCATTGCTATATCCAACTCCAAAGCCTGGTGTCTTCCCCTTTCAAAACATTGTTTCTCCAATGTTAGCTCCAGAGCACAGACTCTATCTCCTTGTATATATATATATATAAAAGAATTTAAGAAACCGAGAGAATAAAATAATTATTACTGCACAACTATGATAATGTAGTAAGTTATGGTGCAAAGATTTCAACTCAGGCATTCTCACTCTAGAGCTGATATTCTTAACAATTACATTATATTGCCTACTTAAGACACTGCATCTGTGAAGCTGGAACTGGATGACATAGAAAAAGGACATTCAGAGAACAGGAAATAATTCTAGAAAATGTGAAGCATGAGTCAATATAAAACATTCAGGAGAATACTTGGAAGATAAGGTTGAGGTTCTCTTGAAGAAATCCCAACAAAAATCATAGAAAAGGAAGAAAGAAAAAAAAAACTATTGAATATGATAAGAAACATCCGAATGTAAAGAGTTCCAGAAAGATTTTTTAAAGGAGTAAATTATTGAACAAAGAATATACAAAAATCTCCTGGAAGCGAAGTTTCTGAGTTTTCAGATTATGGCAGCAGTGGAGGTTTGTCACTAGGATTTCCCCTCAGTAAGAACTTGCTGTTCAGCTGCAAGGAGTACAGTCAGCCTCCAGCTGTTTCCAGCCTCATCCTATACCTCAGCTTTCATGCCAAGGTCTTGCTCTTCCCAGGCAACAACCAACCAGTGACTCAGAATGACAGGGGTACTAGGTCTTGGCCAATTATACTCAATTATACCCAATGTTAGAGTCCTCTAAATCTTTACTTGAAATATTTGTTCTAGAGCTCTCCATTGGATTGGTTAAAACCATCAGATCTGCATTGTTGTCTGAGGCTCTCCTTATCCAGTCCTGCTCCTTTCCTCAGGAGTTTTCCTCTAAGAAATCTCTTGCATTACTAACTCCATCTCAGTGTCTGCTTCCCACAGGACACAATGGATATCAATATTGATGGGATGCACTAAGTATCCAGCATAATAAATGATAAAAGGTTTTCACCAAAGTACATCATTGTGAAATCTCAAAATGAGAAAAGATTCAAAATTATTCTAGAGTATAAACAAATAACAAAAATCAAAACAGGTCCTGTGCAAAGGACTGGGAATCAGAATGGTAGCAGAGCTCTCAGTAACAATGCTGGAATCCAGAAGAAAATGAAACTCCTTCAAAATTCAAAGGGGCAGTATTTCTAACATAGGGTTTCATACCTAGGAACATGGATATCAAGTTTGAGGCTAGAATAGAGACATTTTCAGATCTACAAAGTTTTAAGAAACTTACTTACAAGTAGCAAAATAAGGAACTGAGCCAAGAAGGAATAAGACATAGGATTTAGTAAGTAGTATCCAAATTCTAGAAAAATATAAAAGGAATTCCCAGAGTGTTTATGAAAGTAAGTCTAGATGCAGTTGGCTACAGGCCTAGAAAATAACCCATCTAGTTTGGAGGAGACAGCTTGAGAGGGTAACTCTAAGAAGAAAATCAAGTTTGTATAATACTTGATGTGTCTGAATATATTCAGAGAAAATTTAGAGTCTTGGCAAAACCTTTGGGATAAATTAAGAAAAGTATGTAAAAAAATAAGCAAAAAAGTGGCCATTATTAGCTTAAAAAATACAGAAGTGGTATAAAAAGTATACACAATTATAGAATATACCATGCCGTAGGTATGAAAATAGTTATAGAGACATAATGATGTGAAGACTAACGATTAATTTGGCTAAAAATGCTGATATATCCACCTTGGAAGGAGGAGAAATAACTGTGTTTATCAGATAATGAAAGATGGAGTGTCGGGGGACAGGGCACTGCAGGGAACATTAAGAGCTAAGTCTTAATAATTCATACTTGTATAATGGGAAGGCAATAGCTATCAAAAGATAAAATCCAATAATGGCAATAGAACGATATCACGTGGAAACATGGTGGGAAATAACAAAATAAACAGATAAAAATGTTAAAAGTAGCCGGACACAGTGGCTCACGCCTGTAATCCCAGCATTTTGGGAGGCCGAGGCGGGCAGATCACGAGGTCAGGAAATTGAGTCCATCCTGGCTAACACGGTGAAACCCCGTCTCTACTAAAAATACAAAAAATGAGCCGGACGTGGTGGCAGGCGCCTGTAGTCCCCAACTACTCGGGAGGCTGAGGCCGGAGAATGGCGTGAACCTGCGAGGTGCAGCTTGCAGTGAGCCGAGATCGCGTCACCACCGCACTCCACTCTGGGCGACTGAGCAAGGCTCCATCTCAGAAAAAAAAAAAAAAAAGTTAAAAAGTAGTTCCTTTGGTATAGAAAATAGGAATGGGTGATGTGGTAAAGTACTGGTTTTCATTGTAAATCTCTTAATATTGTTTTGGCTTTTAAAAAGTGTACATGTAGTATAACACTTTGATAAAAAATAAATATTGAGGAAAAACCCAAAGAACTGAAAAGTTGGAGAAGCAAGCACTCCTAAGTAGGAAGAACTAGGTGTGCTGATTTCTAGTAAAAATATTTTGTAACTACATGCATTGTCTCTCTATTGTTATTCAATATAGACCAACTTCCTATACTACCCCTCTCCTTTTTAATTGGTAAATACTTAAATAATTGCAGTTATTAAAATGCTACATTATATAAAGTAACTACAGACTGAAATGCCCATATGTTATTTTCTGACTAAGGAGTGAAGTAAGAAAAATGGACTTACCTAAATTGGTGAGGAGGTAAGCAATTTTTTCATAAGCCTGTAATAAAAGAGAATACATAGTGAACATTATTCCTCTCTTTTGGAAAAGGCTGGTATTTACACTATTTGAAGAAACATCTATAATGTATGTTATACAGTGGTTACATTTTACTTTAAATAGAAACATTTATTGAAACTTAGTATGTAAGGCTTTATATATACATACATGAATGAAATTGATATAATATATGTGAATGTAAATGTGTGTACACGTATATGTGTGTGTAGATACACTTGTAATCTGTAATAACGAGTCTTTTCTGGTAGCTATCTTCATTTTCATTTTGTAAATCAAGAAATGAGAAAAAGTCCCTAAAAGTCATTCAGCTAATCAATGGCTGAGCTGAGATTTGAGCTCAAAATTACAGTTTTTTGGCCGGGCGCGGTGGCTCACGCCTGTAATCCCAGCACTTTGGGAGGCCTAGGCGGGCGGATCACGAAGTCAGGAGATCGAGACCATCCTGGCTAACAGGGTGAAACCCCGTCTCTACTAAAAATACAAAAAATTAGCCGGGCACGTTGGCGGGCGCCTGTAGTCCCAGCTACTCGGGAGGCTGAGGCAGGAGAATGACGTGAAACCGGGAGGCAGAACTTCCAGTGAGCAGAGATCGTGCCACTGCACTCCAGCCTGGGCGAGAGTGAGACTCCGTCTCAAAAATAAAAAATAAATAAAAATAAAAATAAATAAAAATTAAAAATTAAAAAAATTGTGTTTTTTTTTACAACACTGGAAGGCAAAGTGAAAGTTTGAATTCTGCCCTACTGATAAAGAAATTTCTAAACTATGATAAAAGACCGTATATATTTGTATTTGTAAAAAACAAAATTGTTTTTGTGGTTATTTAAAACAGATGCATAAGTCAAATCTGTTGAATCTGTAAGTCACAATTGATTTTTCTGATAATACTTTTCCTCTTCTGCCATCTTTTCCCCTCTCCTATATACTCTGACCAATATTTACATAGACTCAAGAAAAGGGCATACATTTCACAATATTCCAAGTAAATATAGTTGGGAAAGTATTCGCTATAGACAGAAGTACTTGTGGGTATATGTATGTGCATATGAATATTACCTCATAACCACATAATTCAATAAAAAATTGTTTAGATTATCATTTCCAATAACCTTCCCTGTTGGCACGAAAAATTAAAAGGTATGCATCTGGACATATTAAAAGTTGTTCCCCTTCTCTGACAGTTCTTTCAGCAAAATGATTGTGATGACTCATCTTAGCTGTGATTCAAATCTGCCCCTTCCTAAGAGTTAAAGTGTTATCTGGAGACAGAAAGATTACACTGAGTACAGTACTCTCATTCTCTTCCTAGTGCAGGTTTTTGGTCTTTGTTTTAGCTATACACAAACTATAATTTTCAAATTTTAGGATAAGATTACTGTGAATTCATGAACACCAGGTGATTCCTACTGTAACAGGTTCTTTTTCATGTCTTATTTATTAAGTGAGATAATCATAGCAGGGTCTCCAAGGAGTACAATAGGATAGATTCAATTGCCCAAAAAATAGTACTTGAGCACCCACTATGCCTCTAGCACTGAGTTGAGTGCCTTTGTGGGGATTGAAAGTTAGTTCTAGTTCAATAATTGCCATTTGGCTTGTGCCAAACAGTGCTTTACGTATATTATTATTCCTTAACAACAATTTTGTTAAGTAGGTATAATGATTCCCATTTTACAGAAGAAGAAACTAAGTTGTGGAATGTCAGGCACCTTAGTAGTGAGACAACACGACTGAGCAAGTAGCAAAGTCAGGATTGACTATCATGGCTGTCTAGCACCACATACATCGTGCCTTGTCACATAAACCATTTCATTTTTAACTATTTATTTATTTTCGAGACAAAGTCTCACTCTAACACCCAGGCTGGAGTGCAATGGCATGATCACAACTCACTGCATCCTAAACTTCCTTGGCTCAGGTAATCCTCCCACCTCAGCTTCCCAAGTAGCTATAACTACAGGTACACACCACTATGATGCCTGGCTCATTTTCTTTTCTTTTTTTTTTTTTCAGAGATGGCTTTTGGGCATGTTGCCCAGTCTGGTCTCCAATTCCTCATCCGCCCCAGCCTCCCAAAGTGCTAGGATTACAGACATGAGCCACCACGCCCAGCCCTATTCAAATTTTTGTCTTAATATCTAGCACATAGAGCCACTCTGCAAACTTAGGATGGCAATATCTGCAACTGATGCATTAGGGGGGTTACAATAACACTGGGAAAAAAGTTATAAATTACAAAAGATGCCATAATGCTGTTGCAAGACTTTCTGGGGTATTTGCAAACCTGCATCATCCAAGGCCCAAATGCTATGGCTGACTGGCAACATCACTGATGAGCTACAAAATCAGTTCAAGCAGAATGAATTGTTAAATCTCAAACTACAGACTACAAAAATAAATAATGATTTAAATATATCCAACTGTATGGTGTCTGGCAGCAATCACTTTGGCAGTACATACAAGCTGTGAGTGTGTACATTTGTGTGTGATTGTGTAAAGTGGAATGAGTACGTGCTTGTTGGGGAAGAGGATAAAGGGCGTCAGGGATAACTATTCCGGGCCCTACCTGATACACACACGTGATAACATGTTGGAGAACCTATACTTTAAAAAATCAGCCACTGATGCATTTAGTAAGCTGAAATTCTCTTATTCATATATATTAATTAATATATTCATTATAAATTTCTAGTGCATCAGTTAGTGTTTTAGAAACCAAACATACCTGAATCAAAAAGACATAATCTCTACTTTCATAGAACTCAAATTTCAGTGGGTAGAGATAAATGGCAAATAAATACATAATTGGTCAGGAGGTGAAAAGTGCTCTGAGGGAAAATAAAGCAGGCAGAGCGGATAGAGAGTTTTGGTAGACACAGAGAGTACTATTTTATAGAGTATTCTGAAAAGCCTCTTAAAAGCCTGAATAAAGTATTCAGAGGGTAGCATCTGAGCAGAGAAGTGCATGCAATGAGGGAGGGAGCCAAGCAGAAATCTCAGCTAAGTACCTTTAAGACACAGAAATGGGAATGCCAATGCTCTGAGTCTGGCACAGACTTGATGTATTTCATGAAGGGCAGGGAAGTTAGAGAGAAAGGAGTGGCAGCAATAAGACAGTGAAGTAGTAAGAGATGAGTCACTGAGATCTCACAGGGAAACACTTTTTCAGTGCACAGTAGGCCATGGTAAGCATTTTGGAATTCATTCTCAGCTAAGACTTCATCATCTTCCCAGTAATGCCTTGTTTGGGGTGTTATGCAAAAACCAGTTAGGGAGAAAAAGAACAGCAAAGGCAGGAAAAGGACATGGTTATTGTGAGGGGGCATATTAGGCAGTTCTACATGGGTTTTAGAACTTTTTATCTTTTAGTCATAGCCCCACAATACAGCCTTCACTGTGAAAATAAACTCCAAGCTTTTGCAGAATTGAAAAGAGCCTTCCCTTTTCCAGTAATCTACTTGTCTGAATTTCTAGAAACTATGGACATAGACATGAACAAACTAAACAAATACATTTATTAAAAAGCCAATCCTCTTATGAGATGAGTCATTTGACATTACCTCTTTTCTTGGTTAAGATGCCTGGTCCAACCCTTTGATCCACCCTATTCCATAATAGCTTATTTGCACTGTAATTGGTAACCAGTGGTAACCAGGTATTAAGGAAAGTTAGGTGTACTTTGAGGCCTTCAGTGATCAGGCCCATGAAAGAAGTATAGGGATGTATGCTCTGGACTCTAGAGATGGGAATGGATCAACAAGGGAGAAAAGTCCAGAACCTACATGGAGTACTTACATTAGCCAAATGTAGATAGGACTTTTTCTTTTTTTGTTAGAGTGCTCCGTGCATGATACATGGATTTTAAAATCAGAGGAGGAAACCCAAAAGGAGTTCATTCTTTAATTTAAAAATTTTTAATTGGAATTAAAGTTTTAATTTTAGTTTAATTTAATTTTAATAAATTTAATTTAATATTTATAAAATTTGATTTTAATAACATTTTAATTTTTGATTAAAATTTCACCATGCTGAAATGATTTAATTAGCCTAATTCCAGGTTTTTCAAACTCTAAGAGTACTTCTGTTCTGATGTTTCTATATATTTCTTAAAAGTTACCCTTTAATCATGAGACCAGGCAGCTGTCATGCTGCTGTAATATGACAAAATTAGTTAAAGTTGGATTGTCAAGCAACAAGAATATACATTTTTGGAATAATTTTGCATATTTAATTTTCATTAAAATATTTTTAGGAACATTTCCTGATACAATAGTACCATGCCACTTTTGGCACCTTCGAGCAGCATATCCTTTTCTGAGGGTAGCAAAATAAAGAAGAAAAATGGTAGGCCTAGGAAAGAGCAATTCTCGGTTTCAAATTCTGTCTTTGTAGTTGTTTAGCTATATGCCTGATAAAGGGATGTTAAAAATAATACATTGATGTTTTAATTATTGTCAAATAAAATTATTTGTAATTTAATTTTGGAAGATGTGATTTCTGATCCTGACTGTGCATCAAAATTACCTTAGCTCTCTTAATGATTTTCTAATGCTATTTGAGGGGCTGGCTGGATAAGAATTACTAGAGAGTATTTTTGAATGATTTGTTTTAAATATAGATTTCTTAGCCCAACAAAGGAGATTCTGAACAGGACTCAAGAATCTGTAGTTTTTTGGCCGGGCGCAGTGGCTCACGCCTGTAATCCCAGCACTTTGGGAGGCCAAAGTGGGCGGATCTCTTGAGGTCAGGAGTTTGAGACCAGCCAGGCCAACATGGTGAAACCCTATCTCTACTAAAAATACAAAAATTAGCCAGGTGTGGTGATGTGCCCCCAATTACTTGGGAGGCTGAGGTAATGAGAATAGCTTGAATATGGGAGGCAGAGGTTGCTGTGAGCTGAGATCCTGCCACTGCACTCCAGCCTGGGTGACACAGTGAGACTCCATCTCAAAAAATAAAAAAAAATAAATAATAAAAAAAGAATCTTTAGTTTTTCAAAAGTGTTCCAGGTGATTTGATGAATAGTAAAAATAGGAAATACTATTTTAAATTACTTTCATGACCTGTAAGATGGACTTGTAACCAAATTTTGATTGTATTAGCCCATATTTTTCTCCCCAGTTAAATATTTATTTAGGAATGCCATGATCCACCTGTTCTGTTTTGAAATGTTTAGAAAATGTATAGTCTTTGGTTATAAGTGTAAATTAAAATAAGTGCTGCAAACTTGAAATATGTTAAAAATACAATTCCAATAACAAAAA
Organism: Homo sapiens; assembly: GCF_000001405.40. Taxonomy (NCBI): domain Eukaryota; kingdom Metazoa; phylum Chordata; class Mammalia; order Primates; family Hominidae; genus Homo; species Homo sapiens. Next base: position 26,619,176 of record NC_000011.10, on the reverse strand, counting down.
ATAATTTTGAGCACATACAGTAAGATGCTAAGATATTTGGTGAATAAAATATTTCAAATTTATTTAAATATTTGGACATACAAAAATGAGGAAGCTACAGCCCCTGTTCATAAGGAGCTTATACTCTGATAATGGGAGAAATGACATATCCTAAGCACTGTAACAGAAGAATATTCACAAAATGGATTGCTTAATTCTTCAGAAGAATCTGATTGGAGGAATAATTGACATGTCCAAACAAACTGTGAGAAGAATAAGCACAAAATTCAATTCTAAATACAATATTGAAAAAAATGCTTTATGGAGGAAGTGATCCTTAACTGTAATTTTCAAAGATAAAGAGATATTCACCAAGGAGACAAATTAAGAATGGCATTCCAGACACAGGAAGCACTGTGGAGAAAGAGACAGGGGTATAAAAGAGCAAAGTTCCCTGGGGGACAAGCAAAAGTGGTTCTGTAGGTTGGAGTGCAGGGTGATTTGGAAAGAGGGGCAGCAAGAGACAATTTTAGCCAAGAAGAGAATGGAAAAGTGGTTTTAAGCAATGAGGGCCTCACAGGCCAGGCTAAAGAATTTAGAATTTATACCCAATAAATACAATAGAAACCCATTAAACAGCCTCAAGCACATGACAAGCACGTTTACTATTTAAAAAGATCCTTCCAATAGTCCTGTGAAAGGGATATAGGAAGAGTTTAGATTAGAGACAGGAAGACCAACCAGCAGGAAGCCTGCTGCAACAGTCCAAGCTAAAAATGACAACTAGTTGAACTAAGGAAGGAGAAGCAAGGATGGTGAGCAAAAAATGGATAATAAAAATGTTACAGAAGCAAAATTCACAACAGTTAGTCACGATACTGTGAAGGAGATAAAAGAAATAAGTAAGAACTAGTTTAAGGTTTCTGGCTATGTACAGAAACAGAATTACGTTAAAAGTTCCTAACCAAAAAAAAAAGGTCTGACTGATTTAAACTATTTTTCTATGCCTATATTTTATAATCCCATGTACATGGATTATATTTGAAAAGCAATTTTGATCAATAGAATATTAATCTAAGTCCCTCATTTGGAGAAAATGATGGTACAGGGATCCTGCAGTCAATCTATTAACAACAAAAAAGCATATATTTTATTAGCTGCATATTTAGTTTTGGTCTGAAAATAGCATAACAAAAGGTAGCATTTGATTTTCTAAATAAATACTTTTGATGGTATAATATTTAACATTAATGGTTTTAATCTAGCCCTACTTGATTAAATCCATAGGTTAATCCTGTATATTCAGGTGATCAGAGGGCTATTTAGTAATCTGTGATGTGCTTTAACATCCTGAATAGAAAGAGAATGCATAAATTCAGAAGAGCATTGTTATTTTATACTAATTAAATCTGAGGAATATAACCATCTTCTTACATTGTTTGAGTTGGCTGTATTATAGTTCACTTCCTTTGCACTCAATTCATTTTATAATCTTCTCCTGAGTTAGTTGCAAAAGCAAAGGAGAAGTATTTATGGTCTACTCCACTTCCAAAAATCCCTGAATCTTTATGCCAAATTGACCAATAAGTAGAAATAGATATTTAGAAAAACAGGAGGTAGCTTCTGGTTTCTCCCAGGAACTATGATTGTTTTATAGCACTAAGAAGATACATGGGTTCTAGTATTCAATTAAGTGGAGCTGGTGGGATGCTGAGGCTCTCAAAAGATTCTTCTATAATTCCAATAATCCTCTCTTCACTTGCCTTCTGAAGTCTTATTTCTACAACTAGAGATTCACTCCACTGAGTTCAGCCTTTGTTTTCTGTAAAATGCAAGTGCTTTGGAATAAATAATACATTAAGCCTCATTAAACACATAAACTTAAGAGCAAGTTGTACTGGAACCTTATAAGAGAAAGAGAAAGCCATAGGTATGAGAATCAACTGTGATTTTATGGAAGGTGTGGTAACTGAGGAAGAGGGTAGGAGGTGGAGAAGAGTGACAGTTTAAGAGATTGGACTTTAAGAAGCAACTGGAATAATATAAAACTGGAGTCTGGTACAACAGTGACAATTTCAGCCAAATCTTGATTTCTGCAATATTAGTGATAATATAAAGAATATTTTGGGCCGGGCACGGTGGCTCACGCCTGTAATCCCAGCACTTTGGAAGGCTGAGGCAGGTGGATCATGAGGTCAGGAGGTCGAAACCAGCCTGGCCAGCATGGTGAAACCCCGTCTCTACTAAAAATACAAAAATTAGCTGGGCATGATGGCGTGCGCCTGTAGTCCCAGCTACTCAGGAGGCTGAGGCAGGAGAATCACTTGAACCCAGGAGGCAGAGGTTGTGGTGAGCTAAGATCTTGCCACTGCACTCCATCCTGGGCAACAGAGAGAGACTCCATCTCAAAAAAATAAAAATAATAAAAAAGAACAATTTTGTAAGAAAATGTTTGAGGGTAAACCTCCCATTCTGTTCAAATTCAGGTTCTATTATGAGCTTGGTCTGACAAGTTTTCAGCTTATTTGAGAATATAGTTATTTCATAAAGTGGAAACTAAGTATCGAATCTTGGACCTGGAGTTTCTGTTCTAGGAGCTGTCATGCTTGCCTTCCAAAGTAAAAATTAATTAACCATATTTGGCTCCTTCATTTTCCTTTGCCTGTCTTCAAAAATATTAAGCTAGTTCATTAATCTTTTCAAGATGTTTTTGAAGATCAGTATGTCTTTGCAACAAATTACCAAAAAAAAAAAAAAAAAACCAGAAACGCAGGATGTTCCTTTAAAGGCAATAATACTTAATGGGAGGAGAAGATAATTAAGGGACATGAAAAGTCATTGTGATTCTTGCCATCATTTTCAATAGCAAAAATCGCAATAACTTTTGCACCAACCTACATTAACATTGATTACCTCCAACAGGTACAATTAGGTTTATAGTAAGAAGGGAGATGAGTGGCATTATGAACTGAGGAAAGTGGCTTTTATTTAGCATTTCTAACATTTTTATACTTCACTACTTTTTATAATATCAATGTACTGATTTTATAATTCATAGCTATAAAAGATAAAATAATTACAGACCTTAAAAGGGCATTAAAAAGAGTAAGACATTTTAAAAATAAGATTACTGAAAATTATCACAGTGGTATGATTTCAGCATGAACTAATTAAATATTTTTTAAAACTTGTTTATATTACTAGACATATTTGATAGAAAGACAAAATACAAAACAGTGATTCTCTTTCTCTCCAAAGATGGCTTTGAGCATTCAAATATTTATGAACGGGTAATAGAAAACATTTATTTAAAAAGAATAAAAAGTGAACACCAATCAATGCAGACGTGATATAAAGAATTTAGGACGATCAAAGAAAAGGTTGTTATTGTTTTCATACCTTGAAATGAAGGGAAATAAATGATCAAACTTAAAGATGCAGAAAATGGAGAAAAGTAAAAGTTGGTATTTTGCAAGAAGAAATATGAGTATAGGTAGTCTTAAAAAGGGAAATGAAATCTTAAAATATCGAAGGGAAGCAAGTGTAGAGAAAGTTAACATTTATTACCATCTTCTATGCACTAGAGAGGTTACTCATTTAGTCTTTCAATATCCCTATGTGTTATTTTTATGTCCCTCATTTAAAAGATCCAGAAATTACAGCTCATAGATGTTATGTGGTATGACCAGCGTTACACAGGTCAAGTAGGAAATTTCTGCTTTGCCTGTGTCCAAAGTCCCGTGTTTTTGTGAAGACACCATTGAGGAACTGAAAAAAAAAAAATATATATATATATATATATAAACTGACAGAAGCTTAGACAGTATTGCGAAAGCCAGGGGAGAGAGGGAACCACACATGAGAACAGAAGGAATAGGGTGTATATGTGCTGGGATGCTGCAGCCACTGATAAATCTTTTCTTCACTTGGCAAAAGACAAAACTCAAAAAGTGACCTAATGTTGCTACTTGTATAGCGGTGGTTTTATGGGTAGCTCATAAAGTAAAAAAAAAAACAAAAACAGAAAAGAAAATGCATTTCATTCCTAATTTGTTCTTCATTTTATATAAATAGTAGGATGTTTTAAAAGCTAAGAGTTTTTTTCTGATTATAAATCAAGACCTATATACAGAGATAAATATTCAAATGATCCGAAAAAGTTATATTCTTTTTATAGAATATAATATAAATAGAATAGAATATATATGTAGAGAGTGATGTCAGAAAGAAGGTTGACTACGGTTACCTGGCACTCGTCCCTCCCCAACAAAAAGGAACCAAAACAACAAATAAACAACTATATTGTAAGTAAAGTGACTGAAGTAGAGTGCTAGGCAGCACCAGGGGAATGGTAAAATTTATGTGGAGTACAGACACCAAGGATACCATAGAGAGAGAGAGGAAGACACCCTACTTCTACCACTCTCTCTTCCTTACCAGAATTAGCTCAGAGTCAGGGGGACTTCTTCCTATGGAGAAAACATAAGTTAAAGATCCTCAGTGGTCCCCATTGCAACCACAAACACCAGCAATCCTTGCTACAGGACAGCCCCTAATCCCCACAGGCCTCAAATCCAGTCTGGAGAGTAGCTGAGGTCCGTGCAACTCCATTGCCTCATTGTAAGAGACCACCTTGAGCACCTCCCACCACTGTGACCTAGGCTGCTATGGCTCTATACTATTTTGAACCTGGACCCATGTATACAGTGTGTCTTGCCCTGGGGATCAGTATCAATTGACTTTCCATTCCTGAGGCCCTGCCATCATACTACCATAGTGCCTACAGTACCATGACCTCAGCTGCCCAGAACATAGGCCAGATCGAAGGACTGAGACCCTGGCATCCAAACCCATGTGGCATTTGTCACAACCTTCCAATAAACAGGTGAACCTGCACAGCAGGAAAGTGGCTGAACAGCCTGCTAGCCATCACATCCATGTGCACCTACACTGCACAGTCTGCCAACCCTGTGAGTGCTTATACCTAGCCTGACAGCCAGTCCTATGTTGAATCCACCCCCAGAAACAACTGCTTCAACCTGCCTAGCCCCCATCCCCAACACCTGCATATGTTCATGTACAGCCTGAAAGCGGGTCCTGCAGCAGCAGTATCCCCAGGACAGCTTGCTACAGCCTGCCTGGCCCAAGTGCATGCATGTGCCTGCATGGCCTGACAGCTGGTCCTGTGGTGACCCTGTCCCTTCAGACAGAACTTTGCAAAACCACCCAGTGCCATTACACCCATGAGCATCTGTGCTTGGCTTCTGACAGCCAGCCTGGAAATGGCCAGTGCCTCTGCAGGAAACTCACCATACAGATTGTTGGCCCTCTGCAGCTTCCCTTGTCTGGCTAACATCCAGCCCGCTGCCCCAGCCCCAAGCAAAACCACATTATTGCCCTTATAGTCAACCATAGACTAGGCTTCTGAGACAATATCACAGACATCACTGACAAGTATTGTAGCTAAAGAAACACCATGAAGATCACACTAGAGACTCCACTCAGAACCAAAGCCAAAGCTCCTCTGGGACCACCTACCAAAGAAAGTTTCTTCCTACAAATGCTATCCTATAAAACCAGAAAGAACAAATTTACACTAGATTTGCAGATATCAAAATAAGGACACAAGAAACGTGAAACAGCAAGAAAATAGGATACCTCCAAAGAAACACAATAAGTCTCTAGTAACAGACCCCAAAGAAAAGAAAATTTATGAAATTCCTAAAAAAGCATTGTAAATAATGATCTTAAGAAAATGCAGTGAGATACAAGACAGCACAGACAAATGATTCAATGAAATCCGAAAAATAACCAATGATCTGAATGAGAAATACAATAAAAAGATAGACATAAAAAAGAACCAAACAGAAATCTTGAAGCTGAATAATTCAATAAATACAATAAAAAATACAATTGACAGTTCCAACAACAGACCAAATCAAATAATATATTTTTAAGCTTGAATACAGATCTTTTAAAATAACAGTCAGAGAAAAATAAATAAACAAATAAGAATAAAGAAAGTGTATGAGACTTATGAAACACCATTAAGTGAACAAATGTTCCCATTATAGGATTATTAGAGAGAGAAGAGGTGGAGAAAGACACAGAAAGCCTATTTAACAGGATAATAGACAGAAACTTCCCAAATATTGGGAGATATATTTATATCTAGATAGATTCAGGAAGCTCAAAAGTCCCCTATTAGATTCAACTCAAAATGATCCTCTTCAAAGTACTCGTTAATCAAACTGCCAAAAGTCAAAGAGAAGATTCCAAAATCTGCAAGAAAAAACTTTCAAGTTATATATAAAGGAAGCCCCTATTAGACTATCAGCAGATTTCTCAACAGAAACTGCAGGCCAGAAGAAAATGGGTTGTTATATTTAAAGTGCTGAAAGGAAAAAAAAATCTGTCCGGCAATAATACTATATCCATAAAGCTATCCTTCAGAAATGAAGGAGAAATAAAGCCCTTTCCAGAAAAACAAATGCTGAAGAAATTTGTCACCACTAGACTGGCCTTACAAGAAATGCTAAAGAAAATGCTACAGTTGGAAACAAAAAGAATATAATTATTGTCAAGAAAACTGTATAAGCATAAAACTTACCAGTAGACAAATTCATAAATCGAACTGAGAATAATCTATTGAAATAACGGTGCTATGTAAACTTTCAATCATCTAGTATGAAAGGTTTAAATTCAAATAATAAAAAACAACAACAGCCAGAATTCGTGGCTTAGGAACACCTAATAGATGAAGAAGTAAAAATTAAACATCAGAAATATAAATTGTAGGGGGAGGGAAAGAGCCTATGGTATTTTTTATGTGAACAAAGTTACGTTAAAATAATAAATCTTAAAATAATACATCTACAAGATTATTTAGGTTAGCCCCATGGTAGCCCGAAAGAAAGAAATTACAGCAGTCACACAAATGCCAAGAGTAAGAAAACAAAGCATAGCACCACAGAAAACCATCAACCCACAGAGGTAAACAAACAGAGACAAAGAAAGGAACAGATGATCTATAAACAACCAAGAAATCATTAACTAAATGTCAGGAGTAAGTCCTTATCTATCAATGATAACTGTGAATACAAATGGAACAAATTCTCCAATTAAAAGATACTGAGTAGCCAAATGGATTAAAAAATATATCCAACTGTATGCTGTCTACAAAAGACTCACCTCGCCATTAAGACAAAGGTAGGCTGAAAGTGAAGGCATGGAAAAAGATATTCCATGCAAATGCAAACCAAAAGTGAGCAGGAATAGCCATACTTATATGAGATGAAATAGACTTTAAGTCAAAAACTGTAAAAAGACAAAAAAAAATTATATAATGATAAAGGGATCCATTCAACAAGAGGGTATAACAATTGGAAATATATATGTACCTAACACCAGAGCACCCAAATATGTACAGCAAATATTATCAGATATAAAGGCAGAGAAAGACAGACTACAATACAATTGTGGGAAACTTCAACACCCCACCCTCAACAGTGGATAGATAATCTAGACAGAAAACCAACACAAAAAATTAGACTTAAACTACACCATAGACCAAATGGACGTAACAGATATTTACAGAACATTCCATCCAACAGCTGCAGAGTAAACATTCTTCTCAACTGCATATAGAACATTCTCCAGGATAGATCACATGTTAGGCCACAAAACTAGTCTTAAAAAATTTAAGAAGACAGAGATCATATCGAGTATCCTTTTAGACCACAATATTACAAAACTAGAAATAAACAAGAAAAAGTTAAGAAATCTTACGAACATGAAAATTGAACAGCATACTTCTAAATAACGAATAATTCAATGAATAAATTAAAAGAGAAATTGAAAAATTACTTGAGACAAATGAGACTGGAAACACATCATACCAAAACCTATGAGACACAGCAAAAGCAGTTCTAAGAGAGAAGTTTATAGAAATAAATGCCTAAACAATAAACAAAGATTCCCAATAACCTGACCATGCAGCTCAAAAAGTAGGAAAAAAAGACAAACGAAACCCCAAATTGTAAATAATAAAGCTCAGAGCAGAAATAAATACAATAGTGACTTTTGAAGTTTTCAAAAAAATCAACAAAATTAACAGTTTTATTGAAAAGATTAACAAATATGAGAAATCTTAGAGTCACCACAGAAAAAAAGAGGAAAGACCTAAATAAATAAAATCAGAGATGAAAAAGGACACATTACAGGTGACATCACAGAAATACAAAGCATCATAAGAGACTATGATGAACAATTATACACCAAAAAGTTTGCGAACATAGATGAACTGGATAGATTCCTTGACAAATACAAGTTACCAAGATTAAATTAGGAAGAAACAGAAGATCTGGACACTCCAATAATGAGTGAGGAAACTGAATCAGTAATAAATAGTCATCTACCGAAAAAAGGCCTAGGACCTAAAATTGAATACCTATGTGCAAAAACAAAAAACAAAAAACAACACTATCTTTCACTACATACAAAAATCAACTCAATTGCAATTAAAGACTCAACTGTAAAACCTAAAACTATGAATCTACTAAAAGAAAATGTAGGGGAAATGCTGTATGACTTTGGGCTGGGCAAGGATGTTTTTTAAAAAGGCTGCAAAAGCACAGGAAACAAAATGAAAAATAGACAAATGAGACCACATCAAATTAAAAAGTTTTTACACAGCAAAGGAAACAACAGAATGGGAGAAAATATTTGCAACTATATATCTGACAAGGGGTTTATGTGCAGAATATATAGGGACTTAAATAACAACAAAAAAACAAATAACCTGATTAGAAAATTGGAAAAATAATAGGCAGTTCTCAAAAAAAAAGACATTGAAATGGTCAACAGGTATGTAAAAAAAAAAAAAAAAAATGCTCAACATCCCTAGTCATCAGAGAAATGAAAACCAAAACCACAATAAGATCATACTGCACTCCAGTTAGAATGGCTAGAATCAAAAATACAAAGTAGGCCGGGAGCGGTGGCTTACGCCTGTAATCCCAGCACTTAGGAAGGCTGAGGCAGGCGAATCACCTGAGGTCAGGAGTTAGAGACCAGTCTGACCAACATGGAGAAACCCCGCCTCTACTAAAAATACAAAATTAGCTGGGTGCGGTGGCACACGCCTGTAATCCCAGCTACTCTGGAGGCTGAGGCAGGAGAATCGCTTGAACCCAGGAGGTGAAGTTTGCAGTGAGCTGAGATCGCGCCATTGCAGTCCAGCCTGGGCAACAAGAGCGAAACTCCGTCTCAAATAAATAAATAAATACAAAGTAAACTAGCGTTGGCTAGGATACAAAGAAAAGGGAACACTTACACACTGTTGGTGGAATTGTAAATTAGTATAGCCACTGTGGAAAACTCTATGAAGGTTCCTCAGAAAAATGAAAAATAGAATTACTATATGATCCATCAATCTCACTACTGGGTATATATCCAAAGAAATGAAATCAGTATGTAGAAGAGATATCTGAATTCCTAAGTTTATTGCAGCACAATTTACAATAGTGAAGATATGGAATCAACACATGTCCTTCAATGGATGAATAGATGAAGAAAATGTGGTGGGGGGCGGGGCCAAAGATGGCTGACTAGAAGCAGCGGTGATTGCAGGCTCCCCTCCAAAAGAACCGTGAATATTAGCATGTGAATCCTGCATGTGATATCCTGCACCTGCAGGATATGTGAATCCTGCATGTGATATCTTGCAGGATATGTGAATCCTGCATGTGATATCCTGCACCTGCAGGATATGGGAATCCTGCATGTGATATCCTGCAGGATATGTGAATCCTGCATGTGATATCCTGCACCTGCAGGATAGCATGTGAATCCTGCATGTGATCCTGCATGTGAATAGCATGTGAATCCTACACCTGCAACCAAGGTATCCAAGTTCTCTCATCAGACTTGACTAGGCGGCTGGTGTGCTCCACTGAGTGGAAGGAACAGCACTGTGGTGTGGCGGCCCACCTGAGAGCCACAGGGGATAAGGGAGCCTCCATGCCCCCAGCCAAGGGAGGCAGCCAGTCAGCGTGCTACCCAGCCTGGGAAACTGCTTTTTCCACGGAACTATTGCAACCCATGGATTTGAAGATCCCACTTGTGAACCCATGCCACTGGGGACTAGGGTCCCAACCATGGAGCTGCATAGATTCTCAAAAGCCTCTCAACTAGAATCTGCTTAAGCCCGTTGAGTTCCCTGGGGGAGGGGCGACCAGCACCACAGCTGCAGGTGCCTGCTGTCTAAGCCCTTTGAGCTCTTTGAAGGACGGGCAGCAGCCAGCACTGGGACTAATAGCTGCCTAACACACTAAGCTACCTGGGCAGGGGAAGATGGCAGGTATCTCTATAACTCCAGGCTGTGCTTTTCCCGTGCTGGAGCCAGGGAGGCTGGACGGTTTGTTCACAAGAGGTGTCCCCCACAGCCCAACACACAGTCTGCTGTGGCAGACTGCAGCCAGAGTACCTCTTCAGGCCTTACCCTGACCCATCCCTCCTCACTGGGCGAGGCCTCTCTGCAGGAACTCCAATAACTCCAGCCAGGGGCTCAGGGACAGAACTCTAATCTCCCTGGGCCTGGGTCCCCAGGGACAGGGGTGGCTGCAGTTTCTATAAACCAGCAGACTTAGCCTTTCCTCCTCTTAATTCTGAGAAATCCAGGCAGCCGAGAAGACTGGGTTTCCCCTCCAGCAAAGCACACCCCCTCCACCAAGGGACAGTAAAAGTGCTTCATTATATTGCCCCTGTACTCCGTGCCACCCAACTGAGTGAGACCCTCCAGCAGGGGTTGTCAGACACCCTATGCAGGAGAAATCCTTCTGGCATCAGCTTGGTGCTCCTGGAGGTCAGAGATCTTAGAGGAATGAGCAGGCACCCATCTTTTCTGTTCTCCAGCCTCCTTGTGTGACATCTACAGGCATGGGGGTGAACCAAATGAATAGGGCCTGAAGGGAACCCCCAGTCAACTGCAGCAGCCCTACAGAAGAGAGACCTGACCATTGAAAGAAAAACAAACAGAAAGCAAGAACGACAGTATCAACAACAACAAAAAAGTCCCTACAAAAACCCCATCCAAGGGTCAGCAGTCTCAAAGATCGAAACTAGACAAACTAACGAAGATGAGAAAGAATCAACGAAAAAATGCTGAAAACCCAAAAGGCCAGAATACCTTTTCTCCTCCAAATGATTGCAACGCCTCTCCGGCAAGGGCACAGAACTGGACAAAGGATGAGAACAAATTGACAGCAGTAGGCTTCAGAAGATGAGTAATAACAAACACCACTGAGCTAAAGGAACAGGTTCTAACCCAATGCAAAGAAGCTAAGAACCTTGGTAAAAGGTTAGAGGAGGTGCTATGTAGAATAACCAATCTAGAGAGGAACATAAATGACCTGATGGAGCTGAAACACACAACACAAGAACTTCATAAAGCATACACAAGTATCAATAGCTGAATCGACCAAGTGATTCTATGCACCCAATACAGGAGCACTCAGATTCATAAAGCAAGTTCTTAGAGACCTACAAAGAGACGTAGACTCCCACACAATAATAGTAGGAGGCCTTAACACCCCACTGGCAATATTAGAAAGGATGTCAGAGTTTGAAAACCATGTTGCTGAAATAAGGCATGCAGACAAGACTAGAGAAAAAAGAATGAAAAGGAATAAACAAAGCCTCTGAGAAACAGGCACTGTGTAAAAAGACAGAGCCTACAATTGATTGGAGTATATAAAGGAGATGAGGAGAATGGAACAAGCTGGAAAACACACTTCTGGATATTATCCAGCAGAACTTCCCCAACTTAGCAAGACAGGCCAACATTCAAATTCAGGAAATACAGAGAACAAGAAGATACTCCACGAGAGGATTAACCCGAAGACACATAGTTATCAGATTCTCCAAGGTCGAAATGAAGGAAAAAATATTAAGGGAAGTCATGTTAATATTTTATTTTGTTTAAAAATTTAAAATATTTTATTTTATTTCAGGTCACCTACAAAGGGAAGTCCATCAGACTATGAGTGGACCTCTCAGCTGAAATCCTACAAGCCAGAAGAGAGTGGGGCCAATATTTGACATTCTTAAAGAATTTTCAAAACAATTTCATATAATATCATATGGAATTTCATATCCAGTCAAACTATACTTCATAAGCAAAGGAGAAATAAAATCCTTTCCAGACAAGCAAATGTTGAGGAATTTCATCACCACCAGACCTGCCTTGCCAGAGCTCCTGAAGGAAGCACTAAATATGGAAAGGAAAAGCTGGTACTAGCCACTGCAAAAACACACCAAAATATAAAGATCAATGACACTATGAAGAAACTGCATCAACTAGTGTGCAAAATAACCAGATAGCATCAGGATGACAGGATCAAACTCACACATAACAATATTAACCTTAAATGTAAATGGGCTAAATGCCCCAATTAAAAGACACAAACTGGCAAATTTGATAAAGAGTCAAGACCCATGTGTGTCCTATATTCAGGAGACCTATCTCATGGGCAAGGACACACACAGGCTCAAAATAAAGGGATGAAGGAAAATTTACCAAGCAAATAGCCAAAAAAAAAAGCAGGGATTGCAATCCTAGTCTCCGATAAAACAGACTTTAAACCAACAAAGAATAGTGGGAGGCCTTAACACCCCACTGTCAATATTAGATAGATCAATGAGACAGAAAATTAATAAGGATATTCAGGACTTGAACTCAGCTCTGGACCATGCAGATCTAATAGACATCAACAGAACTCTCCACCCCAGATCAACAGAATATACATCCTTCTCAGCACCACATCACACTTATTCTAAAATTGACCACATAATTGGAAGTAAAACACTCCTCAGCAAATGCAAAAGAATGGAAATCATAACAAACAGTCTCTCAGACCACACTGCAATCAAATTAGAGCTCAGGATTAGGATACTCGCTCAAAACCACACAACTACATAGAAAGTGAACTGAATGATTATTGGGTAAATAACAAAATTAAGGCAGAAATAAATAAGTTCTTTGAAACCAGTGAGAACAAAGACACAACATACAAGAATCTCTGGGACACAGCTAAAGCAGTATTTACAGGGAAATTTATAGCACTGAATGCCCACAAGAGAAAGTGGGAAAGATCTAAAATCAGCACCCTAACATCACAATTTAAAGAACTAGAGAAGGAAAGGCAAACAAATTCAAAAGCTAGCAGAAGGCAAGAAATAACTAAAATCAGAGCAGAACAGAAGGAGGTAGAGACATGAAAACCCCTTCAAAAAAATGAATGAATCCAGGAGTTGGTTTTTTTTTAAAAGATTAACAAAATAGACTGCTAGCCAGACTAATAAAGACGAAAAGAGAGAAGAATCAAATAGACACAATAAAAAATGATAAAGGGGATATCACCACTGATCCCACGGAAATACAAACTACCGTCAGAGAAGACTATAAACACCTCTATGCAAATAAACTAGAAAATCTAGAAGAAATGGAAGGAAGAAATTCCTGGACAGATACACCCTCCCAAGACTAAACCAGGAAGAAGTCGAATCCCTGAATAGACCAATAACAGTAACATATTCTGAAATTGATGCAGTAATTAATAGCCTAGCAACCAAAAAAAGCCCAGGACCAGATGGATTCACAGCCGAATTCTACCAGAGGTACAAAGAGGAGCTGGTACCATTCCTTCTGTAACTATTCCAAACAATAGAAAAAGAGGGACTCCTCTCTATTTCATTTTATGAGGCCAGAATCATCCTGATACCAAAACCTGGCAGAGATACAACAAAAAAAGAAAATGTCAGGCCAATATCCCTGACATTGGTGTGAAACATTGGTGCAAAAATCCTCAATAAAATATTGGCAAACCGAATCCAGCAGCACATCAAAAAACTTATCCACCACCATCAAGTTGGCTTCACCCCTGGGATACAAGGCTGGTTCAACATATGCAAATCAATAAACGTAATCCATCACATTAACAGAACCAACGACAAAAATTTGTCTTGGTTATCTCAATAGATGCAGAAAAGGCCTTCGATAAAATTCAATATCCCTTCAGGTTAAAAACTCTCAATAAAATAGGTACTGATGGAACATATCTCAAAATAATAAGAGCTACTTATGAAAAACCCACAGCCAATATCACATTGAATGAGCAAAAGCTGGAAGCATTCTCTTTGAAAATCAATACAAGACAGGATGCCCTCTCTCACCACTCCTATTCAACATAGTATTGCAAGTTCTGGGCAGGGCGATCAGGCAAAACAATGAAACAAAGGGTATTCGAATAGAAAGAGAGGAAGTCAAATTGTCTGTGTTTGCAGATGACATGATTCTACATTTAGAAAACCTCGTTGTCTCAGCCCCAAAACTCCTTAAGCTGATAAGCAACTTCAGCAAAGTCTTAGGGTACAAAATCAATATGCAAAAATCACAAGCATTCCTATACATACCATCAATAGACAAGCAGAGAGCCAAATCATAAATGAACTCCCACTCACAATTGCTACAAAGAGAATAAAATTCCTAGGAATACAGATAACAAGGGATCTGAAAGAACTCTTCAAGGAGAACTATAAACCACTGCTCTAGGAAATATGAGATGACATAAATAAATGGAAAAACATTCTATTCTCATGGTTAGGAAGAATCAATATTGTGAAAATAATCATACTGCCCAAAGTAATTTATAGATTCAATACTATTCCCATCAAACTACCATTGACATTCTTCACAGAATTAGAAAAAAACTACTTTAAGTTTCATATGAAACCAAAGAAGAGCCCGTATAGCCAAGACAATCCTAAACAAAAAGAACAAAGCTGGAGGCATTACACTACCTGAATTCAAACTATACTACAAGGCTACAGTAACCAAAACAGCATGGTACTAGTATCAAAACAGTCATATACACCAATGGAACAGTACAGAGACCTCAGAAATAACACCACGTATCTACTACCATCTGATCTTCAACAAACCTGACAAAAACAAGCAATGGGGAGAGGATTTCTTAAAAATCAATAAATGAGTTCATATCATAGAGGAAGTGTTATCAGATACTGGGTTGGGGAGGGGAGGATTGAGAGAGGTTGATCAATGGGTACAAAATTATAATTAGATAGAATAAATAAGTTCTAGTGTTCTACTGCACAGTAGGGTGACATTGTGTAACACTTAGGTATTTTACATTACAAAATAGCTAGAAAAGAGGCTTGGATGACCATCACAAAGAAATGATAAATGCCATCAGGTGATGGTCATGCTAAATACCCTGAGTTGACAATTATACAACATACATATGTTTAAAACATCCAATTATACTCCTAAACCTGTACCATTACAATATGTGAATTAAAATAAATATACTAGGTGAACAAATACAAATCCCTATAAGCAAAATTTATACTAAATCAAAAGGGTGTGCCACATTTTTTCTCACTATTGAGGGACCAATATTGTTAATATTTGATTGTAATTTCTTAAAGTTTCAAAATCCAGGAGACTGTATGTGTATTCTAGAAAAAATGGAATCAAGTAAACTTTTATATCCTTATATAACTGTATTTCATGTTCTTAAATAACATTCAAAGAGCATTTTAATAGTTTATATGATACTACCTTACATAGAATTTGAATAACTTTTTTTTATTTTTGGTTATTTAAGGGGTCTCTTTTTTAATATCTACTACTCTAAATAATACTACAATGATAATCCTTCTATATGAATCTTGGATGATATTATTGATAATTCCTTTAAAATAGAATATTGGAAATTAATTTTAAAAAAGGTTTGTCCTTTACTAGAGTTGAATAGAATATAAGCTTATTGTAGCAAATCTAGAAAATTCAAAATAGGTGATAAATATTAGACAACATGTAAAGAAAATAAAAATTACTTGTATTCTTCCTTTCAAGAGGTAACTCTAGAAAATATTTTGATCTATACTTGCCACTATTATGTATATAGCTGTAAATGCTCTTTAGTTTGAGTTTTGATTCTAGCTTTGCCAGATATATTTTAAAAATCAGTTTTATGTTTGCCCAGGAAGCATTATTTCTTTATCTAAATGCTGGATTAATTTGCACAACAGGTAATTATCTTTTTATTTAAAATTTTTTAAAAATGTAATACGGTGCCTATGATAAGACTGCTTTGTTAGTTTGTAATCTTTCTTTCAATTTCTTTCATGATTGACAATCTACTTAGAATATCTACTTTTACTTTAAGCAGTTGTGACTATTTATCTTTTCCCCAGAAAGGCTTACATTTTCTTGAGAGTTTTCAAACTTACCAGCACAGTAATTACATGGGTTGGGGAGGGGTAGCAATTACATGAGGGGACGTTGATCAATGGGTACAAAATTATAATTAGATAGAAGAAATAAGTTCTAGTGTTCTATTACACAGTAATGTCTTTTTTTTTTGAGACTTGGTCTCATGTTGTCATTCAGGCTGGAGTACAGTGGGGTGATCACAGCTTATTGTAGCTTTGGCCTCTGGTCTCAACTGACCCTCCCACCTCAGCCTCCTGAGTAGTTGAGACTACAGGTGTGCACCACCACACTTGGCTTTAAAAAAAAAAAAAAGAAAAGAAAAGAAAAAAAAACTTTTGTAGCAATGAGATCTCACTATGTTGCCCGGGCTGGTCTCAAACTGCTGGGCTCAAGCAATCCTCCTGCCTTGACTTCCCAAAGTGTTGGGATTGCAGGCATGAGCCACCATGCCTGGCCCCTCTTCTAATATTTTAATCTCCTTTATATCGATAAATGTATCTGATAAGATGATTTGTGGCTATTTACCTATCAAATACCATCAAGTATGGCTTCCCACTGCCCACAGTGGGCAAAAAACAACATCATATCCATACTCTTTACATGCCACTCACACCTCCAAAGCTAGGCACTGATTTAGTTTTCTAGTCTTATTTTTCTTTATTCTAATATGCTTCACAGACACTTCCCATTATTTCCTTAGGGCAAAGAACATGCATTTCTGTGCTTCTGTCCATCTGTGGGTTGAATTTCTTCAAACAACAATCTCCTTTCTGCTCTTTCTTGGCTGATCAGAATAAGCACCCTCTCTTCTTCCATTCAAGTCTTCTGATCCACTATCATAAAACGTACCATCCCATTTCACGTGCAATAGATGACCTTTTTCTCACCTTACTCAGGGCCCTTTTTGCTTCAACTATTGTGCATTTTTCACTGAATTCTTCAATTCTCTTTCCCCACTAGACTATAAGATCCTGGGTAGCAGAACTATGACCAGCTACTATTATTAATTTTTTTGTCAACCAACCTACTTACGATAAGAAATGAGTCAATTTAAGATCAAATTGGGCAACTGCTTCTGTGACCTAGAAATCGACACAACTACTTAGTTATCTTTTCCCAGATAATAGGGCCAATTGCAATAACCTCTGTCTACTGAAAAGCTGTCATAGTTTGTACTGATTTTGTTACAAACATGATGTTTTACTATATACCAGAAAAGTAACAGCAAAAATATAAAAATCTACAGTGTCTGTGCTGAAAATGGCTCTTCCATCAATGTGATGCTTGTGCAGTGCACAACCTATACTATCTTATATATACTACCATATAGGTTTCCTACTTCTAAAAGTGTATTTTTTTTCAATGTTTATTATACACTTTAAATTATGAGTCAAGAGCATAAATTATTTTATGGCTCGTTTAGAGATAATGTAAACAGTATTCACTTTCTACAAACTAAACTGGACCCGAGCAAAGCAAACTCCAGTAGAATATGTTAACTATTGTCCTCATAATAATGAGTACTCATTTATAACTGTGACTGTTCACTTTTCTCTTAAGATCTTCTCTGATTATTGTTTTAAAGTTAAATAGCAAATGGTCTCAACTCCCTCCAGGCTAAACAAGTAACATGAGTATCAATCACATTTGGAACCAAATGCATATTATCTATCTATAATACCAACCTTATTACTTATGTATGGCTCAGCTATATCATATAAATTATCTCATGATGTAAATATACTAACATTAACACTTACTATATGCAGGTTATTTAAGCTCTTTGAATCTCAGTTTCATTATTTACATAATGAAGGATAAATTGACTTTGTGGAGCTGTTGGAAGAATTAAAGATATTATCCTTAATGTGCCAATAGGTGCCTTCTATTTTCAGAGGAAATTGGTTCCCATTGATAGACCTGATTGAAGAGGTAGGCCTATGCATACTCTTGTCCCATTAACCATGGATATTTGGTCCACAAGTCATTAAGTGCATGCGATGTTGAAACAAAAAGGTGCTTTCTTTGAGTAACTAGCACATAAAAATACTGGATGATTTAAGTTAAATAAGCAGTTGAAACATGAGGAACATGGTCATAGAGAGAGTCAAAGAATAAAGGCGTAGCAATGCCACAGCATGCCAGACTATGACAAAATGGTATAGTTAGGCAAAAAACAGTTATCTTCCTGATAGAATAGAGCAGGCATGCAAAGAGAAGCAATGGGAAAAGGAGAGAAAGGAAAGAAGGTAGAAAGGGAGGGAGGGAAGGAGGGAGGGGGAGTGAGAAGAAGGAATGGAGGGAGAGGAAGGAAGGGAGGGAGAGGAAGTGAGAGAGGGAGGGATTAAGGGAGAGAGAGAAGAGGAGAAGGAAGGAGAGGAGAGATGGGAAGAGGATGAGAGGAGGGGAGGGGAAGAGGGGAGGGGAGGGGAGGAGGAAAGGAGAAGGGAGGGGAGGAGAGGGGAGGGGAGAGGAGGAGAGGAGGGCAGGGGAAGGGAGGTGGGGAGGAGAGGAGAGGGGAGAGAAGAGGGGAGAGGAGAGGAGAGGGGAGAGGAAAGGAGAGGGGAGAGAAGACGGGAGGGGAGAGGAGAGGAGAGGGGAGGAAAGGGGAGAGGGGAAGGGGAGGGGAGAGGAGAGGAGAGGAGAGGAGAGGAGAGGAAAGGAGACGAGAGAAGAGGGAAGAAGACAAGGGAGAGAGAAACAGTAGTTCCAGAGAAAGAAAACTGGAATAATTGCCTTACTGTTTTTCATTTCACATGAAGACTAGTAGATAACAATACTTCGCTTTCAAAAAGATTTTCCCATATCTTTCCAACAAGTTTTCCCATAAAATGGAGTTTATTGGGATGATTTTAAAGCCCAAACAATTCTTTATTTGTTTGAAAAGTGCATGGCACCATCTCTAGCACACACGAGATACTAACTGAATGGAAGCTATCACTAATCAGATTATAAACCCAAAATGCAGGGAAGATAATACAATTAGCATTTATTTTAATTTCAAAAATCTATCATCTAAACTACAAAGATGAAATCTTTTCTGTTAAACTGAATTGTCATTGACAGAAATGTGGCTTGGTCTTATTTTGGCTCCATGTAAATACATTTCAAATATAAAGGAAACATAGACCTCTCCCCTTTCCACCCCTTTTTTGTCTACTGAAGAATAACATTATAGACACTTACAAGATTCAGCAACATAATGATTATGAAATTGATACAGACAGCAGCAGCAGATGTTGCAAACTGCCAGTATTGTTTGATGAAATTCCACTTGAATGATGCAAACTGTTCCATGACAACCAGGCGGTACACCACAACTCCAAACACTGCAGTGATCACCAAGGATATCTACAATATTGGACACCAGAAAAAACATCCATATTTTACATCATTAACAAGTCAAAAGCAAAACCGTAGATCAAATCTACTGTCCCCAAGAATTGAAGGTATTTACCTTTCCAAGAAAGGATATCTAGATTTAATTTTCTCCTTTAAGGAAGTTATATTCTAGTCAAAACAAATAGGACAAAATTTGTTGTTTTAGTATGATAACAAAGTTATCACACTAACATGCAAATTCTTCCCAACGTCCTCTTAAATGGAATGCTCATTTTTAACACAAGATGTCTAATCCATCAGGTCAACTGATATAATTTCCATTTTATCTTAGATGGTCTCTGTTTCTCCCAAAGAGTATTTTCTTTAAAAAGGTGCACAAACTGCCTTTGTAAAATCTCCATAACCTGTTGTGATTTGTTTGTTTAATTGTACGTGTTACCAAGTTGTTGGAAAGAATAAGGTTTCTGACATTCTCAACGTCACAAAATGAGTTGGTATCATTGAACTTACTTCTAAATTTAGAATCCCAAAACATTTTGATATCGATGCCTATACTTTACCATGAAGAATATTCCTGAGACAGAAACAAGAAGACGAGTGACTTTGTCTGAGGAAGGCTGATGTGGTTCAGGTTTTCCCGTGATGGGATTTACAATCTCCATCTTGTAATACTTGGCTTCAAACTGGGGACGAAGTGTTTCCTATGAGAGAAACGAAAGTTATCTAAATATCAAAGCCATAAACTAAAAAAACATACCCCCAAGAATTGATACGATACTCCTAAATTTGGCCTACTTTTGTATTAAGTCTTCACAATAAAGCAACCTTTTAAAAATAACATCAAATTACCTTCCAAATAAATCCCGAGCAGTATTGAAATTAGCATAATTTTCCACTAATGTAATTTAAAGAAACATCACAGAAGTGGTTTGAAAAATACATACTTCATTGATCTCTATTATCTTCATAAAATAATAAATCTTTTTAGTAGGAAAGATCAAGGGAAAAATCTAATGGTGGTTAACTGCTTCCAGCCGGAATGCTAGGGCAGTAATTTTCCATATCCTGTAATAGCCCAGTTTCCCTATTTCCTTGTATCCTAACATCTTACCTCCTCTTCTTCCCATTCGATAAGGTCCCAAGTATAGGTCAGTATACTCCTTCTCCTTTTCCAAAACTCCAGGAAGACTGTGGCTATAAAATATAAAAATGATAATTCTTTACCCAAATCACATCATATTGCTTTTCTTCTTTATATTGAGATATCTTATCTCATAATTAAAATTAAATTATGAAAATAATAAATTAAAATTTTATTTTTCCCTTTTCCTCTTCTCCCTGTGTTTATACATCATTAATTAGTGTATCTATTAGCATACACTGCTAGAGGGGTGTGATTTCTTTTACTGGAACCAAGAAGCAGGGACTTTTTGTCAGCACAGCTCATCAAAATGATGCAATCAATATTACTGAGCTAAATATTGACCATTTTGACCTGCATATGCTTATTCAAAATTATCTAAAGACTCAAATAAAGCCTTCTCCAAGAATCACAATAAAGGCCAAATGCTACTCGTCCAGAGCTTACAGAGAGATGGTGTAGGAGAGAGAACAAAAGAACAAACTCTCGTGGTGAAGGAGAAGAAAAGAAAGACAAGAGAAGAAACTCCCAAATTCATATTCTGGGTGGACTCTACATGGACTGAAAAGGACTCAGTGGAAAAAGTAAAGAAATTCCTGAACTGTCAGCTTTCCCGTTTAAACAGTTAAGAAAACGATTGCTGTTTTATTTTTTTTCTAGACGGGCTCTATCTTACACCATTCAAGACTTTGTGGACACAACTAAGAACTCACATATATGTTTTAGAAATCTGTGGTACTGGGGCAACCCTCTTTGGGTCCCCTCCCATTGTATGAGAGCTCTGTTTTCACTCTATTAAATCTTGCAACTGCACACTCTTCTGGTCCGTGTTTGTTACGGCTCGAGCTGAGCTTTTGCTTGCTGTCCACCACTGCTGTTTGCCACTGTCACAGACCCACCGCTGACTTCAACCCCTCCAGATCCGGCAGGGTGTCCACTGTGCTCCTGATTCAGCGAGGCGCCCATTGCCGCTCTGGATCCAGCTAGAGGCTTGCCGTTGTTCCTGCACGGCTAAGTGCCCAGGTTCGTCCTAATCCAGCTGAACACTAGTCACTGGGTTCCATGGTTCCTTCTGTGACCCATGGCTTCTAATAGAGCTATATCACTCATCGCATGGCCCAAGGTTCCATTCCTTGGAATCCGTGAGGCCAAGAACCCCAGGTCAGAGAACAAAAGGCTTGCTGCCATCTTGGGAGCAGCCCGCCCCATCTTGGGAGTGGCCTGCCACCATCTTGGGAACTCTAAGAACAAAGACCCGCCGGTAACATTTGGTGGCCCGTACGGCGCTTCTCCAAAGCGGTGAGTAATACTGAACCACTTTCACTTGCTATTCTGTCCTATCCTTCCTTAGAATTGGAGGAAAATAACCGGGCACCCATCAGCCAGTTAAAAACGATTAGCGTGGCTGCTGGACTCAGGTGTGAGGTTTCCTGGGAAAAAGCTTTCTAACAACCCCCAACCCTTCTGTGTTGGGAGCTTTGTTCTGCCTGGAACCAGCTTCTGCTTTCACAATTTTCCTAGGGAAGCCGAGGGTCGGCTAGAGGCAGAAAGCTGTCGTCCTGAACTCCTGGCATTGGCCGGTGGAGATCATTGCACAGCCAGAAGTCTCTACTCAACAGTTGCCCATGTGTGTGCCCCTACCTCTCCTTCTGACCCATATCTCCTGGGTCCTAACCATGACTTTCTTGAAAGTGTAGCCCCAAAATTCTCCTTACCTCTGAATCTACTTCCTCTGATCCCTGCCTCCTAGGTACTAATGCTTCAGACTTTCACTTCCGTTCCCAAGTATTAGAGCAGGTTGTATCTCCAAAGGGATCTAAGGAAGCTCTACGCTGTGTCCTTAAGCACCTAGGCAATGAACCCAGGGAGTCTTGGCCCTGGTGACTCTCCCAATTCAGGCATACAGCTCTCGACATGGGCAGTTATGTGGGACCCGTTCCCCACCACCCTTGCCAGGGCCTTAGAATTGATAACCCAGTACTTTAACAACTGGAACTGGGTCTACAACAACATAATAGATCAGGTTGAAAATGAATTGAGTAAATTAAAGGGAGGCACATATTCCTATAGTGGCAAATGGGGGCAACAAGCGAATGTCCTTCCACTATGTTTCCAAAATCCTTCTACAGAGGCAGAGAGGAGAAAGAGAGAGGCAGAGAGGGAGAGAGAGAGGAAGAAACAGAGACAAAAGATGAGTCAAACAGAGAGAGACAGAAAGTCAAAGAAGAAAGAGAGAAAGAGAAAGATAGAAATAGTAAAGGAAAAACAGTGTGCCCTATTCCTTTAAAAGCCAGGGTAAATTTAAAACCTGTAATTGATAATTGAAGGTCTTCTCCGTGACCCTATAACACTCCAATATTACCTTGTTGTCAATGTAAACAAGGGCATAGCCCAAAACACTGAGACCACTGACAACCCATAGCCTTCCTATCAAAAATTCTTAACTCAGTAACCCGCGAATGGCCCAAATGCATTCAATTGGTAGCGGCAACTGTCTTGCTAACAGAAGAAAGTAGAAAAATAACCTTTAGAGGAAACCTCATTGTGAGCACACCTCACCAGTTCAGAGCTATCCTAAATCAAAAAAAGCAAAAAAGTAGCTTACTAACTCAAAAATCTTAAAGTATGCGGCTATTCTGTTAGAAAAAGGTGATTTAACACTAACCACTGAAAATTCTCTTAACCCAGCAGATTTCCTAACAGGGGATTTCAATCTTAATTACCATACAAAGTCCGATCAGACCTAGGAGGAACTCCCTTCAGGACGACAGATGGTTCCTCCCGGGTGATTGAGAAAAAACCACAATGGGTATTCAGTAATTGATAGGGAGACTCTTGTGGAAGCAGAGTTAGGAGAATTGCCTAATAATTGGTCTGCTCAAACGTGTGAGCTGTTTGCACTCAGCCAAGCCTTAAAGTACTTACAGAATAAAAAAAAAAAAAAAAAAAAAAAAAAACAACTCTATCTCAATACTGAGTCAAAAGTTTACCTACACCCTCTCCAAAACGAATTCGCATAAGAACTGTTGTTTATGGGAATGAATCTGGATGGGGCAGCTGGGTTGTTTGAAGTACTCAGGAATCCAGCCCAGCTCTAGGACTCACCCCTGAGCCAAAGGCAATGTTGGGCATGCTGGTAAAGGACCACTAGAATCCAGCAGCCTGGACCCCTTTCTTTGTGGTCAAGAAAGGCAGGAAAAAGGGTGCAGGACTGCTACACTGGTGAGTGTAACTAATCCGATAAGCAGAGGTCCATGGTTGGTTACACACCCTGGAAAGGAATAAGCATTAACACCATAGAGGACGCTCTAGGACTAAAGCTCATTGGAAAATGACTGGGGATCCTGGCATCCCTATGTTCTTTTTTCAGATGGGAAACATTCCCCCCAAGGCAAAAATGCCCCTAAGATGTATTCTGGAGAATTGGGACCAATTTGACCCTCATACGCTAAGAAAGAAACAACTTATATTCTTCTGCAGTCCCGCCAGGCCACAATATACTCTTCAAGGGGGAGAAACCTGGCCCCCTGAGGGAAGTATATATTATAACATCATCTTACAGCTAGATCTCCTTTGTAGAAAGGAGGGCAAATAGAGTGAAGTGCCATATGTGCAAACTTTCTTTTCATTAAGAGAAAACTCTCAATTATGTAAAAAGTGTAATTTATGCCCTACAGGAAGCCCTCAGAGTCTACCTCCCTGCCCTGGTGTTCTCCCAGCTCCTTCCCCAACTAATAAAGACCCCCCTTCAACCCAAACAGTCCAAAAAGAGATAGACAAAGGGGTAAACAATGAACCCAAGAGTGCCAGTATTACCCGATTACGCCCCCTCCAAGTGGTGGGAGGAGGAGAATTTGGCCCAGTCAGAGTGCATGTACCTTTTTCCCTCTCAGACTTGAAGCAAATTAAAATAGACCTAGGTGAATTCTCAGATAACCTTGATGGCTATATTGATGTTTTACAAGGGTTAGGACAATCCTTTGATCTGACATGGAGAGATATAATGTTACTGCTAAATCAGGCACTAACTCCAAATGAGAGAAGTGCCGCCATAGCTGCAGCCCGAGAGTTTGGTGATCTCTGGCGTCTCAGTCAGTTCAATGATAGGATGACAACAGAGGAAAGAGAATGATTCCCCACAGGCCAGCAGGCAGTTCCCAGTGTAGACCCTCATTGGGACGCAAAATCAGAAGATGGAGATTGGTGCCGCAGACATTTGCTAACTTGCATGCTAGAAGGACTAAGGAAAACTAGGAAGAAGACTTTGAATTATTCAATGATGTCCACTATAACACAGGGAAAGGAAGAAAATCCTACTGCCTTCCTGGAGAGACTAAGGGAGGCATTGGGGAAGCATACCTCTCTGTCACCTGACTCTATTGACGGCCAGGTAATCTTAAAGGATAAGCTTATCACTCAGTCAGCTGCAGACATTAGAAAAAAACTTCAAAAGTCCGCCTTAGGCCCCGAGCAAAACTTAGAAACCCTATTTAACTTGGTAACCTTGGTTTTTTATAATAGAGATCAGGAAGAGCAGGCGGAACGGGACGAACAGGATAAAAAGAAGGCCACCGCTTTAGTCATGGCCCTCGGCAAGCGGACTTTGGAGGCTCTGGAACAGGGAAAGGCTGGGCAAATCACATGCCTAATAGGGCTTGCTTCCACTGCGGCCTACACGGACACTTTAAAAAAGATTGTCCAAATAGAAATAAGCCACCTCCTTGTCCATGCCCCTTATGTGAAGGGAATCACTGGAAGGCCCACTTCCCCAGGGAATGAAGGTCCTCTGGGTCAGAAGCCACTAACCAGATGATCCAGCAGCAGGACTGAGGGTGCCCAGGGCAAGCGCCAGCCCATGCCATCACCCTCACAGAGCCCCGGGTATGCTTGACCATTGAGGGCCAGGAGTTTAACTGTCCCCAGGACACTGGCGCGGCCTTCTTAGTCTTACTGTCCTGCCCCGGACATCTGTCCTCCAGATCTGTCACTATCCAAGGGGTCCTAGGACAGGCAATCACTAGATACTTCTCCCAGACACTAAGTTGTGACTGGGGAACTTTACTCTTTTCACATGCCTTTCTAATTATGCCTGAAAGCCCCACTCCTTTGTTAGAGAGAGACATCCTAGCAAAAGCAGGGGCCATTATACACTTGAATTAGGAGAAGGAAAAAGGGTAAATATGTATACAGACTCTAAGTATGCTTACCTAGTCCCCTATGCCCACGCAGCAATATGGAGAGAAAGGGAATTCCTAACTTCCGAGGGAACATCTATCAAACATCAGGAAGCCATTAGGAGACTATTATTGGCTGTACAGAAACCTAAAGAGGTGGCAGTCTTACACTTCCAGGGTCATCAGAAAGGAAAGGAAAGGGAAATAGAAGGGAACCACCAAGCAGATATTGAAGACAAAAGAACTGTAAGGCGGTACCCTCCATTAGAAATGCTTATAGAAGGACCCCTCATATGGAGTAATCCCCTCCGGGAAACCAAGCCCCAGTACTCAGCAAAAGAAACAGAATGGGGAAACTCACGAGAGGACATAGTTTCCTCCCCTCAGGATGTCTAGCCCATTAAGAAGGAAAAATACTTTTGCCTGCAGCTAACCAACGGAAATTACTTAAAAACCTTCACCAAACCTTTCACTTAGGCATTGATAGCACCCATCAGATGGCCAAAACATTATTTACTGGACCAGGCCTTTTCAAAACTATCAAGCAGATAGTCAGGGCCTGTGAAGTGTGCCAAAGAAATAATCCCCTGCCTTATCACCAAGCTCCTTCAGGAGAACAAAGAACAGGCCATTACCCAGGAGAAGACTGGCAACTAGATTTTACCCACATGCCCAAATCTCAGGGATTTCAGTATCTACTAGTCTGGGTAGATACTTTCACTGGTTGGGCAGAGGCCTTCCCTTGTAGGACAGAAAAGGCCCAAGAGGTAATAAAGGCACTAATTCATGAAATAATTCCCAGATTCATACTTCCCCAAGGCTTACAGAGTGTCAATGGCACCGCTTTCA
Organism: Homo sapiens; assembly: GCF_000001405.40. Classification (NCBI taxonomy): domain Eukaryota; kingdom Metazoa; phylum Chordata; class Mammalia; order Primates; family Hominidae; genus Homo; species Homo sapiens. Next base: position 26,592,394 of record NC_000011.10, on the reverse strand, counting down.
AGGCTTCAGTAACCCAGGGAGTATCCCAGGTGTTAGGCATACAATATCACTTACACTGCACCTGGAGGCCACAATCCTCAGGAAAAGCCGAGAAAATGAAAGAAACACTCAAACAACATCTAAAAAAGCTAACCTAAGAAACCCACCTCGCATGGCCTGCTCTGTGGCCTATAGCCTTACTAAGAATCCGTAACTCTCTCCCAAAAGTGTGACTTAGTCCATACAAGATGCTGTATGGATGGCCCTTCCTAACCAATGACCTTGTGTTTGACCAAGAGAGAGCCAACTTAATTGAAGACATCACCTCCTTAGCTAAATGTCAACAAGTTCTTAAAACATTACAGGGAACCTGTCCCTGAGAGGAGGGAAAGGAATTATTCCACCCTGGTGACATGGTATTAGTCAAGTCCCTTCCCTCTAGTTCCCCATCCCTAGATACATCCTGGGAAGGACCCTACCCAGTCATTTTATCTACCCCAACCATGGTTAAAGTGGCTGGAGTGGAGTCTTGGATACATCACGCTCAAGTCAAACCCTGGATACTGCCAAAGGAGCCCGAAAATCCAGGAGACAATGCTGGGTATTCCTGTGAACCTCTAGAGGATCTGCACCTGCTCTTCAAGCGACAACCATGAGGAAAGTAACTAGAATCGTGGATCCCCATGGCCCTCCTTTGTCACATTTTTCTTTTTACTGTTCTCTTACCCCCTTTCACTCTCACTTCACTTCCTCCATGCTGCTGTACTACCAGTAGCTCCTCTTACCAAGAGGTTCTATGGAGAATGTGGCTTCCCAGAAATATTGATGTCCCATCGTATAGGGGTTTTTCTAAAGGAGACCCCACTTTCACCACCCACAACCATATACCCCTGCACTTCAGGCCATACATTTCAATCCCTGTATCTTTAACCTCCTTGTTAAGTATGTCTCTTCCAGAATCGAAGTTGTAAAACTACAAATGGTTCTTCAAATGGAGCCCCAGATGCAGTCCATGACTAAGATCTACTGCAGACCCCTGGACCAGCCTGCTAGCCCATGCTCTGATGTTAATGACATCAAAGGCACCCCTCCTGAGGAAATCTCAACTGCACGACCCCTACTACGCCCCAATTCAGCAGGAAGCAGTTAAGAGCGGTCGTTGGCCAACCTCCCCAACATCACTTGAGTTTTCCTGTTGAGAGTGGGGACTGAGAGGCAGTACTAGCTGGATTTCCTAGGCTGACTAAGAATTCCTAAGCCTAGCTGGGGAAGGGGACCGCACCTACCTTTAAACACGGGGCTTGTAACTCACCTCACACCCAACCAATTAGGTAGTAAAGAGGACTCACTAAAATACCAATTAGGCTAAAAGCAGGAGGTAAAGAAATAGTCAAATCATATATTGCCTGAGAGCGTGGGGGAGGGACAATATTCGGGATATAAACCCTAGGCATTCGAGACGGGAGTGGGCAACCCCCTTTGGGTCCCCTCCCATTGTATGGGAGCTCTGTTTTCACTCTACTAAATCTTGCAGCTGCACACTCTTCTGGTCCGTGTTTGTTACGGCTCAAGCTGAGCTTTCGCTTGCCGTCCACCACTGCCATTTGCAGACCCGCCACTGACTTCCACCCCTCCGGATCCAGCAGGGTGTCCGCTGTGCTCCTGATCCAGCGAGGCGCCCTTTGCCGCTCTGGATCCAGCTAGAGGCTTGTCATTGTTCCCACATGGCTAAGTGCTCGGGTTCGTCCTAATTGAGCTGAACACTAGTCACTGGGTTCCACAGTTCTCTTCCATGACCCACGGCTTCTAATAGAGCTATAGCACTCACCACAGGGCCCAAGGTTCCATTCCTTGGAATCCGTGAGGCCAAGAACCCCAGGTCAGAGAACAAAAGTCTTGCCGCCATCTTGGGAGCAGCCCACCCCATCTTGGGAGTGGCCTGCCACCATCTTGGGAGCTCTAAGAACAAAGACCTGCTGGTAACAGCTGGATAAGCCCAACTGCTTTGTAGCTGCCTGTGTGTGGCAAACAACTAACACTCCTTAGGCCTCAATTTTTTAATTTATAAAATGAAAGCAGTAAATATCACATCATATAAGTTGTTGAGTATTTATGAGAATTAAAAGGAATAATCGCCATAAAAGGCCTGATACTGGCAATAATATATTTGACAAATATGAGTTTCTCTTTTTCCCTTTATTCTACTTTACGGCAACTCCTACCTCCTATTCTCTTTCTTTTGCTACTAAGCAGACATCTGGGTTTGTTTGTTTGTTTCATCAGGGAGAGGTTCTAAACGTTGTATCCTTTAACCCTCAAAGCATCATCTATTCTCTTAGAGGGTAAAGGGCAGAGATGTTATCCCTGTTGGTTTCTAACCTTGGAGAAGGTCAGAAATGTCACGAGCTCTCTATAGATCCTCTTATCAGCTTCTCTTACACAATCCTTTGGTTCTGTGTGTGGTGAAAACTGGATTGGGGGAAAATCAGATCAGTAGAAACCAAATGTTGAAGCAACTGGTGAATAGAGAAATACAGATTGCGTATCCCTACAATGGAATGTTATTCAGCAATAGAAAGAAATGAAGTATGCACCCATGCATGGAATGATGCACGGATGTTTACTACAGCATAGAAGGACCTTGAAAACACAGGGCTAAGTGAGAGGAGCCGGACAGGAAGGATCATGTATTGTATGGTCTGCTCATGTATGATCTGCTCACATATTGTGTGATCTGCTTACATGAAATGCCCAAGGTAGGCAAATCCACAGTCAGGAAATAGATTGGTGGTGGCCAGGGGCAGGGACTTTTGGGGGAAAATAGGGAGTGACTGTTAACAGGGACCTGCTTTCTTCTGGGGTAATGAAAATGGTCAAACATTGATTGTAGTGAGGGTTGTGCGGCTCTGTGAATATGCAAAAAACCCATTGAATTGGACACTTTAAATGGGTGCAAATTATATTCCAATAAATTATTTGTAGAAACTAAAAAAAAAAAAAAAGAAAATTGGGGTACTGAGGTTTTTTCTCCTTCTTTCTTTGTAACTAAAAATCAGCACCAGTATTGGTTAGAAAAAAAATACAATGTTCATAGTTGCATTTTCTTACCTTTTATGACATTTACAAAGCCCTCTCTCACATATGTTTTAAATTCATTGTCACTCTCTTAACATTTACAAAGAGATATGGCAAATGTTATCATCATGTGGATTTTGGAAGCAAAGATGCTAATTGGCTGTGACACAGACAATAAATGGCAGAGCCAGGACCAAAACTCTTGCTAGTTACTCTCCACCCACAATGCCTGGCTGGTACATTCCTCAGGCTGGTTTTTGTTGGTTGGTTGGTTGGTGTTCTGATTTTTGTTTTTTCCCCAGGACTACCATAAGTCATTACTCTCTACTGATTTTCAGCAGTTTTAAAAGAGTACAAACGACTAAAAGAGGCAAAACAGCCGAAAATTATTGTCTGCAGGAAAAATTAGAATCTCCAAGCACTGGATCTGCTTTCAAATAGCAGACCAGAATCACTGTTACCAAATGAAACATTTAAAACTTAAGAGGAAAGTGGAATATAGAGGAAGTAAATAGGAGAAGAGCTACAAAGAAAAGCAAAAACTGAAAAAAAGGTACAATATTAAGTAAGCAAGTACAACATACAGTGATTCCTAGGCTGGGACTTAAGGTTTTTTAATGTAGTGTACAACATTTAGAATGCTCAATCAAATCCTAATTATCATTGGTCTCTGTCAAGGCTTAAAGTTTAAATGTGTCTGTCACATGCTTTCTTCTTAATTTATATTTCCAGCATATACTTGAGCAAAAAACATCTTTCACAAAATATAAAAAATAAAGGTAATCTTGAATTTGGTGCAATTTTAGCTTGAAGGTAATAGCATTACAGAAAATATATTGAATCTTTCTCAGAAAGTAGGGTGTCCACTTTCAATTTTAATATTGAGGTAACCTTTGTTAAAAATCCATGCTCAGCTGGAGATATATGTATTTTATTAATGGCTTATTTATCTCAACTTTCAGGTAATCCACATTCTCACTTTTTAAAATTGTTAATTAGAAAAAGGTATACAGAAAAATTGAGTATGCAAAACACTAATTGAAATAAATTGTTATTTACTAATCCCTACTAAAATTATTAGTAAAGATACAATTAATAATACAAATAGCTAACTTTGAAAGTTAAAACAGTGGTTGACAGGCAAGAGGCTCAAGAACTCTTGAGGCATTGTAATCTATGTTTTAACAGGGGTGACGGTGGTTATACAAGTTCATTTATTTTTCAGAAGTGACCATACTGTTCTTAGAATCTGTGGATTTCACTCTTATGCAAATTATACCTAAAAATTACAGAAAATAATTTTTTAAATAATCAGTGATTAAAAAGATTATATGACTTGATTCTAATGAAAACCCTCTTTGCTTTCCGAACCTTTTTAAGTACTTTTTTTTTTTTTTTTTTTTGAGACAGAGTTTCACTTTGTCACCCATGATCTCGGCTCACTGCAACCTCTGCCTCTTGGGTTCAAGTGATTCTCTTGCCTCAGCCTCCTGAGTAGCTGAGACTAGAGGTGCACACCACCATGTCCACTGATTTTTTTAATTTTAGTTGAGACAGGGTTTCACCAAGTTGTCCAGTCTGGTTTTGAACTCCTGAGCTCAGGCAATCCTCCTGCCTTGGCTTCCCAAAGTGCTAGGATTGCAGGTGTGAGCCACCGCACCTGGCCCCAACCTTTTTAACTCTCGTGCTTAGCAGTAGTGGGACCTATCTTGCAGTGAGGGGCTGAAAAGAAAGCAGGAAGATGGGATGACCATATGCCATTCCACAGTCAGTTCCAGGGTGGTTGCAAACCTAAGTTATGAACACAGGCAACCAGCTTGGATTTGAAGGGTAGGCTGAACAATAAAAATGTCTGTACAGTTCTCTAGAACAGTTGCATTAACCAGCCTTGGAAAGGAGAAAGGGCTTCTATTTATGCCAAGATCTAAGCAAACAGATGAAGCAGAAGCACCCAGCTTAGGTGATCTCAAGGTTCTCTCAGGTATGTAAATGGATGTGGCTTTGTATAAACATAGGAGGAAAGGCTGGGGCCGACCCTAAACATAAAAAGTGCTTAGTTCATCTAGACACACCCAAATTTCAATCATACATGATGAAATAAAGCTCTACACTGCCCTAAGTCATCCGCCAGATTTGACTCACTGCCTCACATTTTGTCTACTCTGGCATAAATAGTGGGTTCCAACTGATGGAAATGTGAGATGGAGGGCAAAAATTGTTAGGGTCTCAATTCAGTGACTGTTCTCTCAGAAGGATTACATGAATTTAATCTCATCCTTGATAGCAGAGGAAAAGAGGATGAGAAAAGGGGTTGAGCTGCCATCTTGATCAAAACTGAGTAATGGACATGGGAATTTCAAGAGGAAACAGAAATCTGTGAAAAACTCTACGAATCTATGACTTTGAATAAAGTATCTTATAATCCATTTTATTATAATTTCTGGTGAAAAGTTTGGCATGCATAGTTAACTCTGGGCTCCTGGCTGGATCAGGTGGTCTCTGAAGCAAGCAGCAGATTAAAAGAATACAGGAGCATTAGAGGCCGGGCGTGGTGGCTCATCCTGTAATCCCAGCAGTTTGGGAGGCCGAGTCAAGTGGATCAAGAGGTCAGGAGGTCGAGACCATCTGGCTAACACGGTGAAACCTCCTCTCTACTAAAAATACAAAAAAGTTAGCCGGGTGTGGTGGCGGGCGCCTGTAGTCCCAGCTACTCGGGAGGCTGAGGCAGGAGAATGGCGTGAACATGGGAGGCGGAGCTTGCGGTGAGCCGAGATCGCGCCACTGCACTCCAGCCTGGCGATAGAATGAGACTATGTCTCAAAAAAAAAAAAAAAAAAGATTCTCACCAGGGAAGCCCCTTCTTTATCTGTTTTATATATTGAACAATCAAGATCAATTCTAGTTGAAAAAATATTTATTGCTCAACAATAATTATTTGTCTTACGACAAAGTGAGACTCCGTCTCAAAAAAAAAAAAAAAAAAAAAGAATACAGGAGCATTAACGACAGCCCCAGATAAAATCAGGGGTGAGAACTGAGCAGTTGGAAGAACTGACAAACTAACTGAATCAGGGGGATTTACATATTTCAATATTTTAGAGCTTCAAAAAATTTCAATGCTCAAGATACACTTTAGACCAATTAAGTCAAAATCTCCAGGAACAATACCCCATCATCAGTACTTTTTAAAGCTCCCAAAGACTTCCAATGTGCAGCCAGGGTTGATCAGAGTAGCCTAGAGAATAAGCAGTTGTGCTGATGGAAGAGGTAGAAGAGCAGTCAAAGTCATGGTTACTGAGGTGGTAGAACCTCAATACAAAAACTATAAGGTCAAGCCAGGAGAAATAATGCTGTCATTTTGTTTTGACTTCCAATTATTTATAAAGTATTTTAATAATCACTTTAGATAAATTACTTCTAACATCTATAACACCCATTCTCTTAACAGTCAATAAAAATCTGAACGGGAACTACATGTACGAGGTGTACATGAAATGTTTCATAAAATGGCTATTGTTATTAACCTTCAGTTTAACATATGAGAAATTTGGAGTACTGAGAGGTTAAGTGACTTGCTGAAGTCACATGGATGATAGGAACCAAAGTCATCCTAACTCTAATACTCATACTCTGTCTACCATACAATGCTTCCCTGGATAGACATGAAATAGGTTCTGATAGGTGGGAATGAAAATCTGAGAACACGCTTTGAGTGTCATCAATAAAGAAGTATCCTGGAGATAGGTAGATAGGGATGTAGAAAAAACAGCAGAAATGAAATAGCATGGGGTTCAAAGCACAGAAATCTGATATATAAGAGCAAAGGAACAATGGCTCAAAATAAAGATGGCAACAGAGGGATGGTGAGGAGGGGAGGGAGTGTATTAAACTTGTTAAATATTAAAATAAAGATACTTAAAAATGAAAGTGTATAAAATGAAAGTCATTAAATTTATAAAGAATGAAATACCAAATCAGATATAGGTATGGGGAAGGCTTATATATATAGGTAGGTAGACTGACAAATCTAGATATATAAATAATGCCTATATATATATGATATATCTCTCTCTCTCAAAGCATTAGTACTAATTGTTTGTGGGAAGTGGATTAGGGAGCATTTTCACTTTGTTCATAGTAGACATTGTACAAAGAAATGTGTGCTGCCTATGTTCTTTTTAACCACTCTGGAAAGTTTATCAGCTCCTTTCTTTGGTCCTGTGAAACTGGTTTGGAGATGGAGTCAGAGGATCAGAGGCCTCCATAGGAGAAGGACATTTTTGTTATCAGGGGAAAGCCAGGTTTGACATGACTCATGGAGGTGAAAGGGATATTCCAGAAAAGCTGAAGACAATAAAGCATAACTCTGTTCCTTAGCAACTACACATTATATTTACTTTTCACACCTGCCTCTCTGACAGCAGTGACACCCTCTTCTCAACTTAAAAAAATTTCAAAGATGAACAGGCTGCACTTAGTTCTTATAGCTCCATTTCCTCAGTTTACAGTTCACAGCACAGACTATCAGAATCATAGAGTCACAAATATAAGGGAGGTTAGATGCTGCAGGTGGTTTGTTCTAAGCTATTTATTTTAAATCTAAAGAAAACAAGGCCCAGGTGGTTGAAATATATCAGTGAGCTTGTGCATCTTCAGCACTTTTTTATCACTTATTACACTTGTTCTTATACATGATTTTTACTACACTTGAAGTTTTTTTAGTCTTTTTTTCCTTAGCTTTTTTAGTGCTTGACACACTGAAAATGCTCAATAAATGTTCATCAAATTGAACTGAATTTTTGAATAGAATCCAGTCATAATGTAACTCCTGGTCTTGTCATCTTTCCATTATTCCAGGTTTTCAAATTATGCTTCAAGGAATCTCATTGGCAATACAGGAAGGCCTATAATCCCAGCACTTTGGGAGGGTGAGGTGGGCGGATCACCAGAGGTCAAGAGTTGGAGACCAGCCTGGCCACCATGGTGAAACCCTGTCTCTACTAAAAATACAAAAATTAGCCGGGCATGGTGGCAGACACCTGTAATCCCAGCTACATGGGAGGCTGAGGCAGGAGAATTGCTTGAACACAGGAGGCGGAGGTTGCAGTGAGCCGAGATCATGCCATTGCACTCCAGCCTGGCGATAGAGTGAGACTACATCTCAACAAACAAACAAACAAACAAACAAACAAAAAAACAAGACAGAATCTCACCAGGGAAGCCCCTTCTTTATCTGTTTTATATATTGAACAATCAAGATCAATTCTAGTTGAAAAAATAATTATTGCTTAACAAGTTTTGAAAACCACGGTACTATACTTTTAATATGGTTGATTAGAAGGGGTCAGGGAAAGGGGTCAGTTCAAACACAAATGAAGCTAAATATGTCTGAATACGGAGAAAAAAGGAACTCCAAGCATTGTTTTCATCAGAACAGTTAAAGACTTGAAGCCTTCTCAAAAGAAGGCCCAGTTGAAACAATAGTTTATCAGAGCAACAACTCAGATTGCCAGTTTGGACAGCACCCAAGTACTACTTAAGACTCCTCCATTCCCCAGGTTTATTTTCAGCATCATCCTCAAGCATAATGTGCTTTCCCAATGCACTATTGCAACACCACTACACATGAGGTAGAAACAGAAACCTTGCTAAACAGGTTCTGCGTTTGGCAAAAGTGCCATGAATATGGGACATTGTACATCTCCATGCCTGGGGAAAATTCCTCGGTCTTTTTGGTTAACACCTTATAGAAATGTAATGCATGGAGTTCTCTACATGAGCACAAAGTAGACTAATTGATACGAAGAGCCTGTAAATATGTGTGCAGCGGCAGATTTTGAACATTTGGACCGAACTGTATTTGACACAGCGCAATATCTGGAACTGGTTGGTCAAAACCTGCTTGTCTTGTTAAATTTCCTCTGTCCAAGGACATGGAATCTCTCTCTAATTTTACTTCAAATTTCCCTTTCCTTCATTTCTCTAAAAACGTTAAATAAGAAAGAAGATTGTAAAGCCAGCATTTGAAGCCTAAGTATTGAAAGTCTTTGACAATTTCTGAAATCAGACTTGACATCTTTCCCCCGCCTTGCAAATTTCTTGAAGAAATAAGAAGCTACATGTAAGCATCATCATGTTTATTAAATTACAATGAGAACTCTCACTCAATCTTGACCAGAGCAGACTCTTAACTTGGAAGCAGAGTCCCTCTAAAGGTAACTCTTGTGGTCACTCAATATTGTATTGGCATTTGCATATTAAATAGACATTTCAGTAGCATTTATTCAAATTGAATACTCTCAATTGAATTGCTAAAATATTGGAGGTGTCCACACTTGATAAACTACTCAGCTTTTTGCCATGTATTTTTCATAAATGCAATATAATCTTTTAAAGCACAATATTAATTTTTCTCAAGCCTTTTCCTCATCTTACCATCCAATGATTTGATATACTTTCTTTAATTCAGTTGAATATTTTCTAATTAAAAATGTAACATCAACAAAAATAACAGGAGTAAGCACCTTGTCTTATTTACTTCTGAAATCTAGGGATAGAGGAGTGCATGCCATACAGTTGGCCTTTAATTAATATATGTTGAAATAATTAATTAAAAGTATAAAGAAGAAAATAAAAGTCACTAACAATCCCACCATGAATAAACAGCTACTATTAAAATTTGAGTATTTCTATCCAAAGTATGTTTTCTTGAGCAGTATATTCAGGACTGACACCTTGCTGATACTCAGAAGTATGGCCATACTAATTGTTAATTTACAAAGGAAAAAACAAAAACTGAAACTACAACTAAGCTCCTTAAAGACTTCCATCTCCTTACTGGCTAGCCTATCCTTCCCAGGAAACTTTCACCAGGACCAGATACCTGTATAGTCAGTCCCTGGAACAACTTGTGACTCTAGAAAACTGCTCCAGAACTAAGGTCTTCGTCTATTCAAAGTGGCCAGTACTAGAGCCCTAATATTTGCCTTTTCAACCTATATGTATTTATCTGGAACTGGATATAGTACCTCAGTTAGAATGTACTTGTCACCGTAAGTAAACACCGATCACTATAAAATAAATTACTGACTTCACCTTTAAAATAAATGCAATGAAAATTATCTTTTTGATTAAGTAATAATGCTCCTCAGAACATACAGGAACAGCAGTGTGGTACTGAACAAAGACCATGGATTAGAGTAGGGATGTTCTGGGTTTGAAAGGTGCATATATTTCTAATCATCTGACCTTGGACAAATTACTAAATGATGATAAAATTCTGCTGTTACTACTTAATATGAGAATAATAAAACTGTATTCATAAGAGTGTTGTACAAATTGAGAGACAATTTGTAAGTAGTCTATGCTTAATCCACTGGAAGGCCATAATAAATTATAATAACCAATTTTCTTAACACTCTAGTTGTTACACATACCAAGAACTTTGTCTTGGTTTCCCCTGCATGAAGATAATTTTCTGACAGGGAGAACGGAGATATTGTCAATTATTTATATTTCAATTGTTTCACTTTTATAAAAATTCAGTCACAACCAGTCAGTTTCCACATGATACTTTCCATCTTTTGTTCATGACCTAGGAAATGGCATGGCATCTTGTTTCTTTTCTCCTTTTTTTTTTTTTTTTTTTTTTTGAGACAGAGTCTTGCTGTGTCGCCCAAGGTGGAGTGCAATGGTGTGATCTTGGCTCACTGGAACTTCCGCCTCCCAGGTTCAAGCAATTCTCCTGCCTCAGCCTCCCACATAGCTGGGACTACAGGCACGTGCCACCATGCCCAGCTAATTTTTGTATTTTTAGTAGAGACGGGGTTTCACCATGTTGACCAGGGTGGTCTCGAACTCCTGACCTCAGGTGATCCACCTGCCTTGGCCTCCCAAAGTGCTAGGATTACAGGCGTGAACCAAGTGTCCGGCCTTCTCCTTTTGTATTTAAGACTGCTGCCTCTAGAGTCAATAATTTAATCCTAAACTTATGTATGTTCATCATTATAGTGAGCATACAAAAAAAAAAAAAAGGGAATTGCACCATATTTCCAAAGAAGAGAACTGGCATTTACTGAGGACTTACAATGTCCTTGAGTTTGTGCTAGATATTTTTACATTAAGTCACATCATCTTCAAAACAACTCAGGTTAAGTAAACATTATCCATCTCACTCATTATATAAACAAACCGAGACTCTTAGAGGTTAAGTTATGTGAGGAAGTTACTTGGCTGGAATGCTGAATTTCTTCCATGGTTTATTTCAAACATAATTTGGAATAGAACTTTCTTGGCTATATGATCTGTAACTTCTTTCTAGGAAGAAATTAGCATCACAGATAAAACGTTTACGTAAGTTTCTGACACAGCAAAATGAGACAAGGAACTTCTGGGAGGTGAGCTGCTCATCCCACCAGTGGCCCATCAATCAGCAGTTCAAAGGCCTGTGACTTGACATGCTTTCCTTTCTGAGTCTAATAATATTTACTAACCATTTTTTTTAAATAAACATTTCTACTAAGATATAAATCTTTGCATTGGTCTGTTAGAGGACTTTTGCTTTATGGCAAAACTCATAAGATTATGATCCATGCTCATAGCTTAATTGTCTGAAAATATTTCTTTTAAGAGAACACTATATCTGAATTTGTAGATATAGTGTAGTTAAATATGTCTGAATATAGAGGAAAGCACTGTTTTCATCAGAAGAGTTAAAGACTTGGAGACTTCTCAAAAGAAGGCCCACCTGAAACAATAGTTATCAGAGCCTTCTTTTGGCTCTCTATTCAGGAGTGGTATGTTAATTTACATATGTTCTATGGTGCCCAACACAGGTAATGGAAGAGAAATAAGATCTGAATACATGAAGCCAGAAACTATAGGAAATTGTAAAAATTTCAACTAATCTATGAAAGACACTAGAGATTTTGCCAAATTCACAACAATCTTAAAAATGTACGTAATACTGCCAGTGATGAATTATGAAGCTGAAAGAAACTTTGAAACTATCAATAATAAAAACAGAATTAACCATGCTAGAGAAAGAGGAAAGACTGAATTACTTTTATATTCCCTTTATAAAATATTTTTTAAACATCATATAAAGACATAATTTAAAATCTCTAAATTTGCAGACAAATATAGCCCAAAAAGCATTACAGAGATGTGTTTAGCAGTCAGTTGATTAAAATATTTTTAACCTACTGGATTTTGCTTTTTGTGTATGTTATTTTGGAGTTTTAAAAAATTTATAAATTTGTGATTTTTTCCATTCTCATTACTTTTGCACCTCATTTTGTATTGGTATTTTTGTAATCTTTTTCTTAAAAGGGGCTTCCAAAATTGTATATCTCTTCTCATGAATGGCTATAATGCATTAGAAACTTATGTGCCAGTCATGTTGTTACATATTCTACACATGTCTACTCATTACATCCTCATACCAGCTTCATGTGTAAGAAACTGTTCTATTGCTCTTTTACTGGTAATAATGCTGTTCAAAAGTGAACTCGACTCTGCCCCAGGTTTGTCTGACTCCTCAATGTTACTAAAGTACTTATATTTAAAAGAGGGGATTCATAACAACTTTAACTGGATCTTTTTCATGAAAAAAAAGATCCACGTGACTTAATACTTTCTTTTGCTTTTTAAACAAACAAAAAGTGAGGCAGATAAATAGAAAATCCTAGCATATCTAATCTGTTGCTTTCTCCTAATTCAGCACAAAAATTGAGTTCCTTTTCTGTAGCTAAAGAGCTTGTATGAACTGTCAGCTTAGCTAACCATATGTTTTCAATGTTCCCTGCAAATTGTTTAAGGTATGTATAGTCCTTTCAATGGATGAGTAAGTCTTTTGTCATTGTTATTTGCTGCCTGTGGACTTGATTTCAAAATCTTCTTCAGGTCATGAATAAATTTCCTTTTCCTTCTGTCCCTACTTTTGAGCCAAGGAACAAATCAAGATTCTTCCTCAGAGTGTACACACCTTCCCAGGCATCTCACTCTCTCCTCACTCTATCTGCTTCAAGTTATGGCTCGTTGGTGAGAACACTCTGCTGCTGAGGTTATTATTTAGCTATAATAACTTTTTCTAACTAGACAGAAACAAATTAGATATGCCAGGATTTTCTAATTACCTGCCTTAAGTGCTTTTTTAGAAAGCATTAATAAATCATGTGGATCTTTTCCTAGCAGTGGTAAGATAAGTTATAATATTATCAAACTGTCAGTTTTGCCACTTCAATATATGTATGCCTGGTTGTAACCTCACTTAATAAGTTAAGTCCATGTAAAAATAGTTGATAGTTAATAAATTGGGCAAGAGTTGCTTAAACAGATTAGACTATATAACAAAATTAGGGTTTTAAAAGAATAAAGCTGCTATAACAGTACGCTTCATCTCACAGGAATTAATCAGTTATGGTATCTCCACAAAACAGAATATCACGTATTGTTGAAGAGAGCCGTCTCATTTCCCTGCAAGGCTGCCATTTGTAGGTTGAAGAGTCACTTGAGTGCTGGAAAGAAAAGGCTCTATTTCAGAATTCTTCTAATAGCAGGAATCTACAGGGAGCCTATAACTCTCCATTTTAGCAATAGGCCTCTATCCCCATATTCTACACACAGCTTTCTGCCTGTGAACATGCACAAGTGGTCTATCGAGACTAATATAATCGTACTTTTTAACCCTGTTCCTATCAGTTACTTCAAGGAGCCCACAATTTCCAGATCATCCCTCACTCCCCAGGAACTGATCCTCATGCCACCAGGAACAGGGATTGCCTTTGTGATGATCGCCCGCTCCTTCCCAACTTTTGAAACAAATTCACTATTCCCTTTTTACACAAAGTCAAGGCAAAGCCTTTTGTATCCCTTCACCTTCTTACTCTAATTGAAACCTGGGACTCCCCTAAAACCCCACTTTCCATGTAGCACACTCAAGTGATAGCTCTTTGTCTCCTATGTCAATACGTACTGCTGAGGTAGTGAATTTCTTGCTCCTCATTGCTGCTTTAGGACCATATTTCCTCCCTCCTAAACAATTTACAGATTCGAATCTCATATTGTCAATTCATGCTTCCTACTGCCACTCCTTGTGGTAGTCATCTTCTGTCTCCTGGAGACACTTACCTAACATCTATGAAGATTTTAAACTCATGTCTTAATATAACTCTTATCAACATACTCCCAAAATTACTCTTGGAAATTACAATATACACAGATAATCTTTCTAGTACTCTGGCTTCTCAGTTCTTTGATCTCTATCTTCAAAACTGTTTTCTCCTACTCGGTCTCACTCATGTGCTCCCACGACATACTTTTGATCAATAGTAGCAGGCCTTCCATGATATTCAATAATTACATTCATAGTTCTAGTTCACTCCCTATAAACTGCAATTCCAACATTCTCTTGAGCCAGATTATCAGTTCATTGATCCTATCATATTTTTACTATCCTTTCCTCCCTTTGTGCCTTCACTTTTGTCTTTATGTATCCTAATGGGCAATCATTATACTCAATTGGGTGCAAATGCCCTCAACTCTCTAGCTCTTGTTTCAGTTTGTCATAAGCCCATGGTTTAAATACAACCCTAGTTAAACCCATCACTCCATCTACTATCGATTTGTACTCATGCACATTAACATAGCTGGAAAAAAGCACAGCTATTCTGAGTAAATTGTTTTATTTTATATTAATGATTACTAACTTTGAGTAGATCTTTGAGGCTGCCATGCTGTAATACTTTCTCTCTCTCTCTCTTTTTTTTTTTTTTTTGAGACGGAGTCTCTCTCTTGTTGCCCAGGCTGGAGTGTAATGGCGCAATCTCAGCTTCACTGCAACCTCTGCCTCCCGGGTTCAAGCCATTCTCCTGCCTCAGCCTCCCAAGTAGCTGGGATTACAGGCATCTGCCACCATGCCCAGCTACCTCTTTTTTCTGTATTTTTAGTACAGACGGGGTTTCCCCATGTTGGCCTGGCTGGTCTTTAACCTCAGGTGATCCGCCCACCGCAGCCTCCCAAAGTGCTGGGATTACAGGCGTGAACCACCATGCCCAGCCACTTTCTCTCTCTTTTTTAAAAAAAATCTGATACCTATACTCTCAGTTGACAATTTTTCTGTCTACATGACTACCACCAAAACCATATCTACCCACTTATCTATCCTTGTGTCCATATCCTCTACATTCTTACATGTTAGAAGATTTCTGCATCTCTAGTTAAGGCCAACTCTTCTTGTGAAATGGCTCCTATCACTAACCACCTACCAAAGAAAACTGCTCACAATCATATAAATGTGGCCAAGGAATGTCCTTAAGTGAAAAAAAAGTCAAGTTTCAGATCTGAATGGGCCAACGTTGAGAAGAATATTCTAAAAAGAAGAAAAAGTAAACTTACAGCTGTCTCATGAATAGTATATTCACTTTTTGTTATTATTGTTGACAAATATATTAATATTTATTCAATCTTTTATCAATTCACTCATTTAATCTTTCACTTATAAGTTTATCCAGCATTTACTCTGTGCAAGGCATTAGTCTAACCCTGTGGATAAAGCAATGCAGAAAACAGACAAAAACGTAAGCTGTCACGAGCTGACTTTTCTAGTATGGGACTAGATAAGAAATACATACATAAATAAGATATACAGTATGTTAGATGGCAATAAGTGCTATGAAGAAAATGCAGCAGGAGGAGTGAGAATAGGTCAGGAAAAAAGGGTTTCAGTTTTACAAAGTGTGATCAGAGAAAGCCTCTCTGGCAGGGAAAAATTCAGGTAAAAATAAAGAAGAGTTTACTCATTCATTTTTCATGAAATTAATATTCATTGAGTAACTACTATGTGCTGAGAGATGCAAATTCAAAATAATCTAATATGTGCTTGTACACTTAGTTAGATTCCTCTCAACATTTATTCATGCTGACACTGAAGCCTCAATTTTTATCATCTCCAAAAAAATTATTATATTTATAATTAATTAAGTCTAATTGAGTTTGACTACTAAGTGTCCAGTAACACACAATTATTTTATCTATTTTAACTTGACTCCACACACAACTAAGAAGTAGTGTCACTTTCTTTATTGTACAAATGAGAAAATATTCTTGGAAACGTGATGGCAATTATCCAAGGTTATGAAACCATTAAGTGGCAAAACCAGGATTCAAAACAAAGAAACTGTGACGTGGTAGCCTGAGCTTGTTCTACTCAGCACACTGCTTCCTTGGTGATTATAAATCTGGAGAATCTAGCCAGAGACAGAGCCCCAGAGTGCTAACACTGAATAAAGATTTCATGGGGCCACCTGAGCGACAAAGTCTTTCTGCTAACATGTGCGGACTATGATCACGTCAGCAAAAGTATCATTCTGAAGAAAGTATTGTTTATTTTTTAAATGTTTCCATCATCTTGTAACAACGCTATCCTCTACCTTTTTTGTTTTTGTTTGGCTAGAACTGGAAGGGAAGATAAAAAGATATAGTGGACACTATGTGAGACCCTAAATAATACAGAAAAATACCCAAGAAAATATTTTAAACCTATGAACAGCTTCAAGTACTATTAGCCATCACATAGAAATTATTGAAAATGTCTGATTTACTACTCTGAATTTAATAGCTGCACAATGTCAGTGGTTTTGAAAATGATTGTGTAATCGCTAAAATAATTTTGTGAAATTATTTATCTCCTTGTACAAAATTTCTTTCCATTATATATTTAAATAGTCGTAAAGGTTATGATTTCCAGTGCTTTATAAAAATGGACATTTTAAAATAAATTTATACTAGTATTTTATACCTAATTGTGTCTCTTTAAAAATATACCTTTAAAAAGCACTAATCTGTTGCAAAATTTAAATTGTTCATTTTATCTTTAAATCTATTTCCATCCAATTTCTACTTCAAAATATTTCTAATATATATTTATGTTTGAAAGTGTTGATTATCTTGCATAGTACTCTAAAATAATTTTAAAAATGAGATAGCAATTGTTTAAATTTTTAAAATTTCTTGTGACCATTAGGCTCTTACCTTAAAAAACAATTAGAATTGAGTAATCATCAGAAGTAATAAAACAATATAATCAATTTTAAATTTTAATGAATATTAAATGCAAAATCTAAGACTGTTATATTCTTAAGGATATCAATAGGGTTTGTGTTTGTTTTTCAATTCATATTTTATATTGTTACAATATGGTATTTTCAATTATATATTTTATATTTCAAAATGTTTACTAAGAAAACAGGTTCACATAAATATATAGATAGAAATGCAACAGGTTTTGCTATAGTCTTATCATTCAATTCTTTTAACTATGGTCGAATTAAATGCCCCAAATCACATAAAGATCTATCCTTTAAAGTTATTTTTAGTTGATTGACCAGGTTTACAACTTTCTTTAGCTCACCATTTATGTATGTATGCATGCAAGTATGTATACTTGCATATATGTATATGCAATATCATAACCTCTGCTTAACCAAGGGCATTGTCCTAGAATTTCCTTAACCCCAAAATGGAATATTTGACCTTTCCAAAAAGTTATAGTTAAGTGAAGAAGATCTTATTATAGCACCATATTACTTACCAGAGAAAGATAAACTTGAATAATAAACAACCATTAGCATTTATGAGAATAATCCCTCTATTTCTATCCTAATAGAATATTGAAATAAATTAAATGTTATCCCCAAATACATTTCCCAGCCGTTAAATTCTATTTTATTTATAAAGAATATCATTAAAATACTCTCAAATAATAGATTCATAATGTAATTTATTTTACTATTATTCAAATATTTCTTATTTGCTTAAAGTACCTATGTCCCTATGGGGAAACAAACATGAATTCCACTTGTAGCCTGTATCAGACTAAATATGCTATCAGTGAATCTGATCAATGCAAATTCCCTACATGTGACATCAGCATCAAGATTTGATGCTATAGGATTTGTACAAAAAGATACTCTTTTGGATTCAAAACAATGTTTTCAATTAGTTTGAAGTGTGGTCCCAAGCTATGTCTGCTTCTGTATTCAGATCCATTAGTGATATTCATGTGTCTTCGTGTTCTGGAAACTCCACTTGTGAGTGGTTCTATCATTGCAGACTAGGAAGAGGTTTTTCTTCCTCCCAGTATGTATTGTGAAACGTAATTAATGAGTGTAAAGCAATTGGTGAGTGCCAGATGAAAGGCACCATAGTGGGTAAGTACCAAAAAAAATTATACAAGCACTGCACAGTGTGTCATCTCAGCTGGGTTTGCTGATGAAATTGCAGGTAATTATCTCTCATTGTGGAGTTCCTCTGGAGAAAGGAGGTCTAAAGTGGGATTGGTCTTACCTAGAACCTAGGACTGTATCTCAGTGAAACTTGTTTGTTTGGCTAGAAATTACTTTTTAACTCCAACTCCATGAGTAAACAAAGGTTTCTGATAACAACTAAGTGAGCTAAGTAACAACTGAGGCATTAAATTTACGTACAGTTTACATTTTATAAGTTTATTTCCAGATGTGCTCAAGACAGTGAGGGTAGGTAAGGTTTATCTCTAGGGTGAGGTCTAATCAATTGATTATGATTGTAAGGAGGGCAATGATGAATAGGATTCTGGGCCCACAGAAAGGGTCTTCAGGAAAAAGCAACATGAGAAATTAGCGGGACTTTTATGGCAGTGAAAACGGAGAGCTATAGCAAAAGTGCATTGCAATGTTTATGCCTGGTATAAGCCATAATTACTATGGTTAAGGCAGAAGGGGATAATGATATTCCCACACATATTGCAGAAAAGGCCTAGGGAAAAGGTGCACCCAGTCCTGCCCAATCATGTTCAGTTCTCTAACTACAAACAGAAAATATATTTAGTTGGATTTTTACCTAAAAAGTGGCTAATCTGAAAATAAGCCATTGAATTCTATTAAGCCACTGTTCAGTAACTAACTGTTTGATTAAATTTAACCTGCTTTTCTTCGTACCACAGTAGAGACAGCTTAAATATCTTTTGAGACAATATTTTTTCGGGGTTGGTTTAATTTCTAATCAAACTCTGAAGGGGCCTTTGGGCTTCAGAAAATTTAAAACTATAGAATTACCTTGTTCTTTCCTCGGGCCAATTAACTGGGCAGATTCTTTGCATTCCATTTGAAGCTTACTAGCTCCTGCATTTTAGCTAAAGTTTCGTTTCTCGCTCAGCAGTTGAAAACCTATCTCCTTGTGCAGCAGAAACCAAGTATGAACCTCAGGCATATTGAGCTGAACGGCCCTTGGCGCCATCCCCAAACGCTGATGTGCGGAAGATCCCAGTTTCACTCTTCTCCCTTTCATAAGCTCTGAAAGGAAGTGTAGGAAGTATGCCAAGTTGTTATTCAACTCTAGTATTTAATCAAGCATTACCTGGGCACTTCTGAAATTCTCCAGCTTCTAAAGTGAGAGTAAACCAGAGAGAACACAGGGTGGAAACTACTTAATCGAGAAGGCTCCTAGGATAAGTGAGGATCACATGGCCATTCTCAGGCCCCAGTTCCTCTCCAAACTCCTGAAAGTCAGCAAGAAACCGAATCTCAGTCATGATGATTATTTTTCATGTAACACCTCACAGCGTTCTCAGGGATCCCAATATATGCTACTAATTCACTTTGTGTTAAGTAGGAGTTTCTTAAAAAAACAATTTCAGTGGACCTCAGAATAGACGCCTCACTACTGACCCCACTACATTTTCTCTACTTAGGCTTTAAGTACACAAATAGGGCAATCTACTAGAGTACAGAAAAATTGTTTATGATTTCAGAGAATGTGCGGCTGGCATAGAGCAACAAGTGCAGGGCATGACTTGTTTGGATTCCTCACCTGCAAGGAGCAGGGGGCCCAGCACATGTCAGAAATTCCTGCTATACCAGATGACTTTGCCAAAATCTTTGTCCTTTTTTTCACTTAGGGTGAAAAAAAAAATTGATGACCCGTGTTTTGCTACCACTGACGAGAGTAATACCTTGTCCCAAAGCTAAAACGATCAACCTATGAAAACTGGAGGGTTGGGCTTTTGTTGTTGTTGTTAAAGGCCTGAATGAGGTGATATCTTAATGCTTACAGCTGAGAAGCAGGTCAGTCAGGTTCCTGGGCGCTCTGTTACACAAGCAAGATACAGCCAGCCCCACCTAATTTTGTTTCCCTGGCACCCTCCTGCTCAGTGCGACATTGTCACACTTAACCCATCTGTTTTCTCTAATGCACGACAGATTCCTTTCAGACAGGACAACTGTGATATTTCAGTTCCTGATTGTAAATACCTCCTAAGCCTGAAGGTAAGTGTGCGTTGGGTCACTTAGGTCTCTCGCTTTCTCTCTTTCACTCTCTACTCTCTCTCTTCCTTGATTATTTACCAAAGAGAATCGCAGTGGTCTCAACTTTGACAGAACAGCCTGGCAAGTAGCTACGGCAATCCTTGCAGAGACAAGTAGTTGTTTTATTAAGTAATGACCTTCCAAATGAGTATTTGCACTCCTAAATGAGTTAGCTTTAAAAATTACTGCCAAATTTGCTAGATTACAGAACCAGCAGAAGAGTTAAATAAAAGCCTTATTTAAAACATACGTGACTATGAAATAGAATTTTCTTAAGTCAGATCTTAGTAAAGGTTTCAAAATGTTTAAAGTGGAAGTGGCAGCATGAATATAAATTGAATCTTAGATTTAAATTATGCATTTGTGCTGAAAGGTTTTTGCTTTAAGTATTAGAGGTTTTTGCTTTAAGTATTAGAATAGTTTTGGAAAAAATCTTCTAATAAAATAGATTAGAAGCTTCTATAAATCTTTTTCAAAGATTTTCTTAATTAAAAAGTTGGGAAACTGTTGTACAGTACATATAATTATTTAGCATGATATGTGTACATGTCTAACTTTCACTGGAAATCTAAAAGGTTACATCAGTTACTACAGAAAACATCCTATGAAATGAAAATGTGGTAAAATTTCTTAAAATTATTTTCATTTTGTGGCTATATAAGCCTCTTTTTTTATTAAAAGGATGCTGATTTCCATTTATCTACTTTCTATTTAGTCTGTAGAGGCTGCTCCTATAGACATTACAGTATGATACAGAAGGCTGGAAACCCTATGCTTGAAAATTTTGATCTAGAACTTTCCTTTCGGAGAAACTTTCTTTCTTTCTAAGCTTGACACTCATCACTAATTAGTTAAGTACTGAATTTTATGACTGAAAACTCCCAAGGTAGCAGGTCATATGACAAACTCTACATTTTTCCTGTAGTTACATAGCCTAAGTCTTTTAGCCAGAATAATGTTCTCAAACTTCTGAAATTTGTTTTTTTCTTGAAAGAAAGCCAGTCTTTTCTTTTTTATTTTTTCTTTCTTTTTACATCACATAAAAGTAAAATGAGAGGCCTAAGTTTCTCAGTCACAATCCTTTTTCTAGTTGGTTACGCTTCCAAAACCCTCTCATAAAAGAGGCATTTTTAGAAGGATGTCTTATGTCCTCATTTATTGTTGCTCTTGAATTTAGGAAACTAAAAATACTGTCCAACATTGGAAAAAGTCACTCAGAGTAACACTCAAGTTCTTCCTGAGATGTTAGCTACATAGCAGACAGAGTTTTCTTTGAGAGACAAACAAAACCCATCTGTCTTAATTTGTAGCCTAACATCTGTGAGAAGAAATGATCAAACACAACTTGGAGAAAAGGCAGCCCAATGTATAGTCGTCAGTGATTTTACTATAGAAACATGTTTTTATATTATGCCTGCAGTATACCTGAACTGATGATTCTATTTAGAATTTCTGATTTTGATTCTGTTTAGAATGAGTAGCATTTCTTTGCCCTTATATGGGTTAATTACCTGACATAAACCAGGACATCTCCTTATTTCCAAAGCTTGGTATAAAATAAGTATGACCCACGATTTCAACAGAGAGCCTGGACAGAATAATGACTTTATGCATTTAAAAGGAAGCAAAAATATGGACAGTGAATGTGGGTTTGCTTCCCTTACTGGCCAGAGGTGTTTTTTGTTTTTGTTTTTTCTCATCACTTTCTGCAGCCCTCCATACAAAAGTAATAATGTGAAACCACTTTCCAGTGCCAGTAACAAAGAAGGCGAAAGTCGTGTTCATTCTCCCTCTGTAGAGGAGTTGTTCTAAAACAGTGACACTATGAAAATATATTTTAAAACTAGTTAAATTTTAAAACAAAAAAAATGTTAATATATACAGGAAAGTTTAGAATCTGTATTTAAGGTATCACAAAGGAACTGGAAATCCTCCTTTCTTTCTCTGTTCACTTTATAGTAATTCTACCTTTAGAAGGTTTTCGAGTTTGTGATGATCCTAAACCTCTATTTTATAACTTCAAAATTTCTCTTAGGAGCTACCACCCAGATGCAAAAAGAGGCAAAGATCAGGAGGTGAAATCATTACTGGGTTCTCCTGATTTCTCTCCCTCTGCAATTCTACTTTTCTTTCATCCCACCTTCTGTCTGCCCCCACAGTGCACCTGGCTGACAGATGAACTTGGGTGCACTCAGGGATACCATCCATAATCCATCATCATTTCAGCTTTATAAAGCAAGTATATAACATAGAGTTAGATATTTGAACTCCAGAGATGGAGAGAGGCTAAAAGGAAAGCACACACGAAAGTAAAACATATATAGATTTCATTTGTTGCCCTCTGGAGTTGCTGTCCCACCTCCATTAGGCTTCTGTCACTTGCAATGTGCTTTGTTCAGTTGGCATGAGGTCAAACTTCGGCCAAATCTCCTGGACCTTACTCCAGCAAAATTTCATGGTGGGGTTCTGAATAACGGATGACTTCAATTCCTGGCTGCTTCTACGACTTTAAGATGAAAGGAACCTGAGTAAGTGGCGTAACCTGGCTCTCCTAGAAGCCAGGCAGCAGAGGCAAACTTGTCCCTACTGCAATGTCAGGACAATCCGTCTTCACAAAAGCCTTATCTGTAGTGTATAAATTTCTGAATAAACCATAAATATTTAATAGTATTCACAACATACTGAACTACCCCTCTCTTCCATTTCTCTCCTTTTCCTGGGAGATAAATTATAGGCAGTAACAGAGTGCTTCGCACGTTTGGGGGTGTTGATACCCTAGGTTTTCAAGTTACAATCAAAAGCTGGGTAAAGGAATGAGAGATCCCCTTGGTGGTTCAATGTCACAGGCAAGGTGAAACAGGAACAACAGAATTCACTTTATTGACTCTTGATGTGTAGATTTTCATTACAGGCAGGTAATGAAAGCTCAATGCCATGTCTCTCACATAATATTATAAGAAAAATAGAAGAACAGCTAAGGACATTTTTCCCCCCACTGGTGACCACTTTATTAGGAAGAGAAAAATAGCAAAACAACTAGATATAGAGAAAATAAATCGAATGCCATAATAATGCTGAAAATAGTGGCTAAGTACAATTGACAAATTAGATCACATGCCGTAGATAATGAAAAGGAGCATTATGTTTGCTGTGAACTTTGCAGAGTTCACAGGAGAGAGATGTTTCTGAAAAGGTACACATAACTATTTTTAAACTAAACTGAATTATATTTTAAACACACTAGGTGAGGCATCAATTTAAGTAAATATTGGTCAACTACAGGTGCCAGAGATAATCATTCATGCTTTGTAAATGCTAATCTGTAAACTTCATGGTAAAGATGTCCATCTAGAAACCATAATAGACAGTTATCGTGATTTTCTTAAATTACAGCAAAAGCATATTTAGTGTATTTAATGGGTCCTTTGAAGATAGAAAGACTTATATTATCAGTGTTTTGTAAAAATGGGATTATAAACTGCTCTGGTTAAAATAATTAAATTTGGAGAGGCTGTATTAAAAAAAAAAACTATGGTAGGAAGAAGTTCTAAAAAGCAGCTGTGTACCAAATTCTATATTCCTTTGCAACTTATGTTACAAACATGAATACTGACTAGCTTTAAATCAGACATGTCAAGGTTTGAATCCAAATCCGATCTCTCAGTTACTAGCTGTGTGTCCTTGGACACATTACTTACATTATTTATGTCCCACTTAATCATCTGTAAAGTGGGATTAATAAGCCCTTCTTCACCATTTGTTTATTTTTGGTTAGCATTAAATGGAAAATATGTAAAGCAGCTGATATATCAAATGCATAATAGTAATATACTTTCCAATTATGTTAAACATTTTTAGAACAATCTGAATTTCTTAGTTGTCACAGAAAAGTGAATGAAATATCAATAAGCAGAATGATCACAAATACAAACACCTATGTAATCACAATCAGGTTGAGAAATAGAGTATCACCAGCACACAACCTCCTTCCATGCTCCACCCAATCAATTCTGTTTACTTCCAGTAATAAAGCCCTTTCCCAATCGTATCATTGTAGCTTTTTGCCTGTTTTTGAACTTTATATACATGAAATCACACAATACAACTGGTGTTTCAAGCAGTGCATTATGTTTGTGATAATCATCCATGTCGTTGCATACAGCTCTAGCCTGTCAATTTTCACTATCTGAATATACCACAGTTTATTATCCAATCTGTTACTAATGAACACTTAGGTTTGAGGCTCTTATAAATAATGCCGCTATGAATGTTCTCATATGTCTGCCAGCTTTTATTTTTAAGTAGATTTTTCTTAAGTGATAACCATAGGGCATGGAAGATACAATATGTCTAAAATTCTAGAAGTATATGATTATGCAATTGCTTGCTAAAAGCTTTTGAAGAGAAGTATCAGATTTTGAAGATAACTAACATATATTATAGATATATTTACGTTGTACCACATGTGAGAAATTATTATGTAAGAGAGGACTTGCTATTTAAAATCAACACATAACTAGTGGGAGTGTTTAGAAGCTCTGTAGACCCTAATGAAAAATCAACAAGGCTGAAAATATTTGTAAAAATTTCAGAGAGCTGTTGAGAAATGGCACACAATACAAGAACTAAGTAACAGCACTTGTACCTCCTCCCTTTTCCTCTCTCAGTCAGCATGGAGGCTTTCAGTGAAAAATAAGGTTCAATTCAAAAACATGAAATCAGTACTCAGATTTTATTGCTTGAGGAAAAAAAAGTCTATTTTTTTAAAGTAAATTTTCCATTAAAAGCACTGCAAATTTTAGCCTCTAATGAGATTGGAGTCAGTTGACTTGGCTTTAAATATTGCCTCTTCCATTTTCCAGCTTCTGTTACTAGCCATTGTGAGCTTCAGTTTCTTCATCTGCAAAATGGGCATAATACAATCTATTCTTGCCACATCAAGGGATTGTTGTAAGTATCAAATAAGATGATACTGTAAACTTTGTAACCAAAAAGACACTATAGATATATTATTATATTTGAATATTAAATGGAGGTTAGCATCTATTAAGTGTTTACTTTAGGCTAGATCTTGTTTAGAGTGCTGCTACCTAAGTCAGCCCATTCAGTCTTCAGAACAACACTCTGAAGTTAATTATAATGATGATAAAGCAACTGCTTATTATGGTGATTATTTTTCATGAGTTATTTGTGTCAGAAGCCAGAATTTTAATATAAATCTGATTTCAAAACATTTTCCTATATCACCCTATTTATGAATTGTGGCACTTCCACACTTAAGAGGCGGAATGATGTGCCTGGATTGGAGATCAGGACCCAATCTGCAATTATCTAGCTTATTTTCCCACACACACCCCAACCATATTCTTCTTTTATAAAATAAGAGAGTAAGATTAAAGAATATCCTTAAATCTAGAAGGCTTCTGAATCTCCCCAGTTTGGGATTAAGTAGCAAGAAGGACATCATGAAATGAAAAGTATTGTGGAAAAGGGATACATTCAAATTCATGAGTTATTTCATGACTAGTATTAATTCAAACTAGATACTAATAAAATGTATTCAAGGGTATTCCTGACTGACTCACTTTAAAAAAATCTAATATATGGTGCATTTAATGTATAGTCAGTAATGTCATTTTCATAATAAATATTTCAAATGACATCTTTATAAAGAATGCGTTTTCTTAAATAGATTGAAGAAATCAGCCAGCTCTACATGGTCTATATTTACAATATTTTTAAAATGTTATTTAACAGTTCATATACATGTTTTAAATATACGTGTATGTGTGAGTGGGTGGGTTTTTATGGTTTTCTTCCACCTTTTCCCAAGCTAAATGGTCTTTGAAATAGCAGTGTGTGGCTTGAGGAAGTTTTTGCATGGCATTTCCCTAGAAGCAAGGAAGGAAGAAAGATTACGTGGAAAGCAGTACTCAATGGCACTAATTTAAGTACATAATCCAAAATAAGCAATTTTGGAATAAAAATATGATATTACCATCTCTATATTATGTCTAGATTTTTATCACTTTAAAATATATAGATCCATTTAAAAACTCAGAGTATTTTATTTAAGGAATTCAAATTATGGTTATTTTCTTTCAGATTCCTTTAAAAAAAAACCAATACCAAAGAAGCCTACAATGTTGGCCTTAGCCAAAATTCTGTTGATTTCAACGTTGTTTTATTCACTTCTATCGGGGAGCCATGGAAAAGAAAATCAAGACATAAACACAACACAGAACATTGCAGAAGTTTTTAAAACAATGGAAAATAAACCTATTTCTTTGGAAAGTGAAGCAAACTTAAACTCAGATAAAGAAAATATAACCACCTCAAATCTCAAGGCGAGTCATTCCCCTCCTTTGAATCTACCCAACAACAGCCACGGAATAACAGATTTCTCCAGTAACTCATCAGCAGAGCATTCTTTGGGCAGTCTAAAACCCACATCTACCATTTCCACAAGCCCTCCCTTGATCCATAGCTTTGTTTCTAAAGTGCCTTGGAATGCACCTATAGCAGATGAAGATCTTTTGCCCATCTCAGCACATCCCAATGCTACACCTGCTCTGTCTTCAGAAAACTTCACTTGGTCTTTGGTCAATGACACCGTGAAAACTCCTGATAACAGTTCCATTACAGTTAGCATCCTCTCTTCAGAACCAACTTCTCCATCTGTGACCCCCTTGATAGTGGAACCAAGTGGATGGCTTACCACAAACAGTGATAGCTTCACTGGGTTTACCCCTTATCAAGAAAAAACAACTCTACAGCCTACCTTAAAATTCACCAATAATTCAAAACTCTTTCCAAATACGTCAGATCCCCAAAAAGGTAAATATAAATGATTTTAACTTTCCTTTTGTGTGAAACTGAAATTCCAAATAAGTCATGCAGAGTAAGTCTAAGGAATCACCATGCTGGAAAAACAGAAGAGAACACAATAGCATGGATTTTCTCACTTTTGAGGGATGATCATTATAGTCACTAGAAATAGTGAAGTGGTTTTAGGGCTTCAATGAACATATACTAGTCATTTCTCTTTGGGAGTGTAAGGAGACAATGGGACAAAATGTGAAGTTAGGTTAGGTCAAGAAAAGATGGAGACTGAAGCAATGGTACAGCTTTGAGATACTAGGTAACAATTTTCAATGAATCTTGAAAAGACTACCTGAAATTTCACATGCTCATGTGAATACTATACAACTGAACTTATATATATATATATATATATATATATATATATATATATATATATATATATATGTGTGTGTGTGTGTGTGTGTGTGTGTGTGTGTGTGTGTGTATATATATGAGTATATATATATGAGTTTTTAAAAAGTTGAACAAAGTAATGAATTTATAAATTATCTGTCACAATCACAAACAATTTATTATGTGGACATTTTTATGTTTCATTTAAGGATTATGTCAATCTTTTCCATTTGAAACATAAAAATTGTTTTACATTTTTCCATAAAATGAAAAAAAATAACTAAGTTTTAATAATTCATTCTTGTTTTGTTTTTTGAGGTCTAATGTATTTTCCCCCCTTGAAATTTTTTTAATAATTTGTTTTCCTCCAAGAACTCACTTCCAGTGTGGTTTACTTAAGGATTATATTAGTAATGTAAAAAACAAATCATATATACAAATTCCTGTTTGAATGTTGTTGCCAGTGTGTAGGAAAAGTTTTAAATTCTGAAATATAGGCTTTTTATAATACCACTATCAATATATTGTATATGTACATTTAACTATGATTTTAACATATCTTGTCATTTTTAAAAATGCTTCCTCTCTTTTGTCTATCTAAACCTAATATACATATTGAGAATACTGAGTACTTACTCTTACCATTGCTATTTTATGTAAAAAAAAATTTAGTTAGCTTACTTCTCTTTTAGTAACAAGTTTACTGTACTCTAACATGAAAATTAATTTTTTTAGAAATGAGATTTTATATAGAATCAGAGACCCTGCAAGACCCTTTGCCTACCTAATTAATGAGTCCTTCAAAAAAAGAGAAGAAAAAAAGAGAAATGTACTAAATTTCAGTTCAGAGAACATTTAGTTTATTGAAAATTTAGTCTTCAAATAAGATACCGAGTGAAAAGAATAATACAGTGAAATTTTGAACTCCCGTAAGCTCAGGCCTAGACAACTGTTCTTGATATGCAAGGCACTGAAGTTATCTTGCCTTGGTTTATTTGTGGTGTTTGGAAATACCTTCTATCAGGATACACTGATTTTTCCTTGTAGTGACTTCTTATTTGTTTATGGTGGACTCATTTTCTATTACCCACTTACTCCTATTGGCTTTTAACCTTTGAATTATTTACAGAAACAAGTGCAAAATTCATTTCATCATTAAAGTTCAACACTGATATTAGATCTTAATGGAGTATGCACATGGCATTTCAGTGCCACTGATGTTAATAAGAACAAGACACAAGACACGGCTATAGAGCTAAGACTTAGAAGTATTTCAATGTAATTAAAAATTAGAAGTGTGGTTTTATCAACAAATACGTTTGCCCATATATCCCAAATAGTACTTTACAAGACACACACACACACACACACACACACACACACACACAGAGAGAGAAACACACCATTATCTAATTTTAAAATGTTAAACATTCTTTGTTATATGGAAAGTTCACATGCATAGAGTTCGGTTCTTTGAATAATTATTTTATATTTCTTTAAATTTTTTTTGTCCTGTAGAAAATAGAAATACAGGAATAGTATTCGGGGCCATTTTAGGTGCTATTCTGGGTGTCTCATTGCTTACTCTTGTGGGCTACTTGTTGTGTGGAAAAAGGAAAACGGATTCATTTTCCCATCGGCGACTTTATGACGACAGAAATGAACCAGGTAAAATCTATTTTCAATACTTCACCTGGGCACAGTGGTTTTAATTAAATGAGGATGCCAATGTTCACTGCATTGCCTAGAAGGTAATTCCAAAAGAATTCATATGAATGAACAAACTAAAGACTTATTCTGATCCACCTTCTGTTTATCAAAGAACAAAACCAAAATAATTATAGACCTGTGACTGAAATTTAAAAAACATTTGAACTGTTGCTCACTGCATCAAAATTGGTTTTAAATAATAATCCAAGAATCTAAACATATGTATAAAATTGGAAGATAATGAATGGTAGGACATTCAGAAAAAATGACCAGTTTTGTTAGCAAGTGACGGCAAAGCTATTCCTTGCCATTGTTAGATCATTAAGTAGCAGTAATTTGAACAAAGATTGATTCTAATTTGGAGCTCTTTTAAAGTTTATACAGACACAGCAGCCCTCCATTAACCATCTTAATGAGGCTCTAAAACAAAGCATCTAAAAGTTGCATATTTGCACACACAGTCACATTGTACCTTAATTCAGGAATTTTCCACTCATATGATGGAAAAAGCCAACCATAATATCTATGAATGAGAAATATGTATACTAAAAATAAAGTTGTCAGTTTGTGCTTTAATAATATAATATCAATTTGATATTTGTTTTATTGCTTGGTTCATCTGCAGTTTTATACTTCAGGGAAAAAAATATGTGTTTTCTGGTTTGCACAAGGGATTCTTGTCACCATAACAAATAATTAAATGCTTCTGGTGGGTCCCATTGATGAAGTCTTACTGAATTTGAGTTTTGATGAGTTCAGATATAACTGATATATTTCTCATATTCAGAACCAAATCTGTAAATTATAAATGTAACTGAATTCTGATTATGGGTTTCTAGGAACTAATACAAAACAAAAAGTACCATTCTTCAAAAATTAAAGGATAGGATTTATAACGGTGGTTTTCAACCATTTTTTAACCTTTGAATCTTGTCTTTACATGTAATCTCATGTAAAAACTCAATCTATCAAAAATTGATACAATCTAAACTGCTGTGATAGAGGCATAAAAGAATAACTCAATCCACAACAACTGTTTTATCCATCAAAGACAGCTTTGAGACACCTCTCCCAAAGACCTAAGGTTCCTGGGAGCCCAATTTGTAAACAGATGGCTACAGGAATAAGTAGATAAGCAAATGATGATACCTAAGTGAATAGTTTACTGATATAATTAATAATTAGTTACTGCTTGTAGTACTTTAAGATACCAAGAGCATGTCCAGTTTTGCTTTGAAAATGAATTCAAGATCTTTAGGAAATAATGACTATTTGTTTTAAAAGAAAACTAAATTTCCACATCAACAATCAGAAAACCTCAAGTGCATGATAACTTGAATCGATCAGAAGAAAACATAAGCTCCCACAAATACTTTTTTTATCTCCTCCACCTTAAATGGTTTAGCCATCAAGATACTGTGATATTTGGTAAAATAATAACATTAATTTAAAAATTATTGACTTCACTTAAAAAAATTTTACACCAGAAGTGACAAATTCTGAACATGTTGACAAGGCTTTGAAATCACAAGATTCAAAAGTCAATGAGGTATGGTCTACACTTCTTTATGCAAGGTATTGATATACTATACTGGTCTCTTCTTTAGTTCCTTTACTTTGAGTCCATCAACAGTAAAATTTTGGAAGTAAAACTGTACTCTTAGTCTTATAAAAAATGAAGCTTGAAAAACATCTACTTATTTAAAATTTTAAAACTAAAATCTAAAAAGCCCATATAAAAATATATTTATTTTCTCATCTAGAATAATTCCTATAACTTGGTGGATGCCTGAACATGAATCTTTCAGAGTATCACTGTGAAACAGTATTATTTTGTTACTTTTTTAGTTCTGCGATTAGACAATGCACCGGAACCTTATGATGTGAGTTTTGGGAATTCTAGCTACTACAATCCAACTTTGAATGATTCAGCCATGCCAGAAAGTGAAGAAAATGCACGTGATGGCATTCCTATGGATGACATACCTCCACTTCGTACTTCTGTATAGAACTAACAGCAAAAAGGCGTTAAACAGCAAGTGTCATCTACATCCTAGCCTTTTGACAAATTCATCTTTCAAAAGGTTACACAAAATTACTGTCACGTGGATTTTGTCAAGGAGAATCATAAAAGCAGGAGACCAGTAGCAGAAATGTAGACAGGATGTATCATCCAAAGGTTTTCTTTCTTACAATTTTTGGCCATCCTGAGGCATTTACTAAGTAGCCTTAATTTGTATTTTAGTAGTATTTTCTTAGTAGAAAATATTTGTGGAATCAGATAAAACTAAAAGATTTCACCATTACAGCCCTGCCTCATAACTAAATAATAAAAATTATTCCACCAAAAAATTCTAAAACAATGAAGATGACTCTTTACTGCTCTGCCTGAAGCCCTAGTACCATAATTCAAGATTGCATTTTCTTAAATGAAAATTGAAAGGGTGCTTTTTAAAGAAAATTTGACTTAAAGCTAAAAAGAGGACATAGCCCAGAGTTTCTGTTATTGGGAAATTGAGGCAATAGAAATGACAGACCTGTATTCTAGTACGTTATAATTTTCTAGATCAGCACACACATGATCAGCCCACTGAGTTATGAAGCTGACAATGACTGCATTCAACGGGGCCATGGCAGGAAAGCTGACCCTACCCAGGAAAGTAATAGCTTCTTTAAAAGTCTTCAAAGGTTTTGGGAATTTTAACTTGTCTTAATATATCTTAGGCTTCAATTATTTGGGTGCCTTAAAAACTCAATGAGAATCATGGTAAAAAAAAAAAGTTAACCAAAGAATATACCTGTACATAATTTGTACAGTTTTAAGTTGTTAGATAGGAACTGGATTTCTTATGTATTAGACATTATTGCTCAATCATAATGGAATAGATTCTGCATCCCTAAATGTATGAACCATAAGGTTAAAAAAGATGAATGGAAATATCAAACAACTTTTTACTGAGCATCAGTTTCATAATCAATAATATAAGAAGATTAATTTGGATTCTAGTATGTTTCAGTTTGTTTTTAATTACCACCTTCCTTTGGTAGAAAAAATATGTTCCTTGATGTAGGAAAGTCTAGGTTTTAGAGATTAGAGGATGAGATCAAGAGTTAAATTCCTAAAGAAGCACTGAATATATGAAGAGAGCAAACAAATCAAGTACCAACCTAGAGGCTTTATTTTTGAATTGATTCATGGTGTGTGTGTGTGTGTGTGTGTGTGTGTGTGTGTGTGTGTAACACAGAAACAGCTTCAGAAAATAAGGGATAGAAAGTAATGAAGAAAGTACTTACCCCATATTGCCATAAAAATAGCAAAGAAGACTGTCCCTCCATTATCGAACAAATATGTCACCTGAGTAGAAAACAAACAGAAATATTAGTCATGCAAATTGATTATAATAAGCCAGTGAATACTGTTTGCACTCAGGTACTATGATTTTTTCTCAAATAGAATCATATTATTTTATAGTACAGAAATATTATATATGAATTCCTTTCATGGGTCTTGCAACAATTTCACATGATTTTTCTCATGGGGAGAGGTGAAGAAACAACATTAGCCCTCTTCTCTCCTCTCTTGATTCCCTTTATACCCCACCATCATTTCTGATTATAAATAATTCTACCATTCTATGGAAGTATTTGTGGGTCACAGATTGTCAAACTACTTAATGAAAGTTGTATGAAATTAGTTTTTCAGGTGAGGCATTCCTAGTTGCAATTCCTGTTAGCAAAACTTCTAGGAGTGGGGAAGTTGGAAAATGCAGGATTCTTCCAGTGAGCCAGCATTTCCCATAGCTAACCCTATTCTCTTAGTCTTTCAAAATGTAGAATGGGTCCAATAATGGCTATAAGATGTAATAAATCCCATCTTAATTTGTTTTAAAAGTTTCATAAATCACTGAACACTTATGAAACAAAGTGTTTTTTAATCAGATATCAACTGAAACTTCATAAAGGATGCATAGTTTTATAATGTTATTGAATCAAATTTTAAGGCTTGTATTGTTTGATTTTAATAAAGTATAAATTCAATTTACCTTTGCTTGTTTGCATTTGCATAATGCCCTCAGTATATATGTAACTTAGTGAGAGAAATTAAACTAACACAGTGAAGGCAAAAAATGTCTGGCCAGCACAAAAATTCCATAGAAACGATAGAGAAAATAGGGCATTGTCCTCACAGGAGGGTGA
This sequence comes from Homo sapiens, assembly GCF_000001405.40. Classification (NCBI taxonomy): domain Eukaryota; kingdom Metazoa; phylum Chordata; class Mammalia; order Primates; family Hominidae; genus Homo; species Homo sapiens. The sequence goes on along the minus strand of NC_000011.10, from coordinate 26,558,876 downwards.
GGACAATCATGGGTTAAAGAACAGTATTATAAGGAAAGTTGGAATGGAATGGTGTCCTCCTTGTTCAATCTGACATCCAGAGGGTGCTCAATGGGAGCATTAAAACAACAGTAATACGTATTTCAGTTGTAACATCTGGAACACACTGCAAAATATATGTAAAGCAAGTCATCATAAAATGTATTTTCCTATAATGTGGCATTATTGATAATATCATCATAGAAAAGATGCGCTCCCTTTGAAGGTTGGTGGATAGGTGCAAAATGTCCCATATGGCTCTAAAATTCATTGTTGGTTAAGGCACGGTATTTCTAAAAATTAATATAAAAATCGGTTTTCAAAACAATCATCAGTGTACATTTATATCAGGAGAGAAAAGGATCATAAAGAAATTCTCCCACAGAGCTCATAAAATTATACCCAGCAGGGAGTCAAGAATTTTTGTTTCTCAAGACGTCCCACAGAGACACCTGAGGCTGCTGAACAGCTGAACAGCTGTCTGTTTTCCTTTGTAAACCAACATCATACAGGAAACAGTCTCTTAGAGTGTTAGAACAGACTTTACACATGGGGATTTAAAGGTCACCAAGAAATAATGGCCCTTCCCCGCTCTAGAAATAACCATGCTTTTAGAAAAGTGGCAAATAAAAAGCCATCCTTAGTAGCAATTGTGTTGCATGAACTTATCATAGTTTGTGTAGTATTTTCCTTTAAAGTGCTTCTCATTTTTTTTCTTACTAGGTTTGCTAACAAATCTTTCAGGCATTTTAAGTCAATAAATTTAAACATTAATAGTTTAGGAACATCTTCCTGAGATAAAGTTGGAGTACATGTAATATTCTTGTAATGTGGGATTATATACATCTAATGGGAGATAAAGCTAGAAGGAGCATTAGAGAAGACTTCAGAACTTGCTCTAAGGAAGAGTACGACAGTGTTTAATCATGTGTTAGATTTACCAAGCTATTACACATGGGATGTATTATGACGTGGGAGATCATAGAGACAACAAGAACAGTTCGAGGTCTGTGGTTATAGCTTGAGATGTTCAGGGCTTTATTTAGGGTGCTGACATATGAGCTGCTGAATGAAAATGGGAAAAAGAATGAAGGAAGAGTCAAGCTTACTGTGAATGGCTCAAGCTTAGATCATGGGTGATTGACAGAAGAATTAAGTGATAACTGGCCTTCTGTCTAATAGGACAAGAGCACTTGTTATACTGAAGAAACTCCAGATGAAATATTGAGAAAATTCCATAAGCAGCATAGCAGATTTTTCTAAAAGCAAAAAGAATCTTGTCCTACACATATAATTAAATATGTAATACATTAAATTATTTTATTAGAAAAACAGCTTGCCTTTATGAATAGAGGGACCCATGGCAAGCATTTTGTTCAACTTTTTTTTTTTTTTTTTGAGACAGAGTCTCGCTCTGTTGCCCAGGCTGGAGAGCAGTGGTGTGATCTCGGCTCACTGTAAGCTCTGTTTCCTGGGTTCACGCCATTCTCCTGCCTCAGCCTCCCGAGTAGCTGGGACTACAGGCGCCCGCCACCACGCCCGGCTAATTTTTTGTATTTTTAGTAGAGACAGGGTTTCACTGTCTTAGCCAGGATGGTCTCGATCTCCTGAGCTCGTGATCCGCCCGCCTCGGCCTCCCAAAGTGCTGGGATTACTGGTGTGAGCCACCGCGCCTGGCTTGTTCAACATTGTTAAGATGACTAGGCATAATATATAAAGAAGGTAGCAAACTTAGCCTAAAAGCTTGATTTAAGTACAAATTGTCCATTTTCTTTGACACCTGATTTCTCTTGAAGAACTGAGTGTGACTACAAATCAAAAAATGTGGGTACTGTTAAAGAGATATATATCTGATTAGGTTGGAAGCTGAAAGTCTATGTTTTCTCCATGATACCTGCTGGGTCTTGTTCTAAAGTTGCTTTATAGGTTCAGAAAAACATAAGGCTCTGAAAAATGCCACTTATATCCCACTAAAGTCTCTCCAGGATAAGGAGAACAAGGTGCCTCCTTGGCAGATTCAACCATGTATGCAGAGCTATTACTGGAGACTTGGAGGGCAGGGAGTCAGAATTGAAGCTGAAGGTCACTCCCTTTCACTTCCTCATTCCTTACCTCTTGGGCAGGGTAAAACCTGAATAACCATTTTATTTGCTGGACCTGGGCAGAAGCTACATAAAAAATGCAGTCTTGATTAGACTATTCTCCACGTATCTTTTAAAAAATTTGGTCCTAGAAATTAGAGTCACCTGAGGAACTTGTTAACATAGAGAGTTTGAGGCCTCACCCTTGACCAATTGATTCTAAATTTCAGGATACGGGGTCCAGAAATCTGCTTTTTTAACAAATGTTCTAGATGATCTGATGTACAGTCTTATACAGACTCCTTTTTTTTTTTCATGAAGTTTCTTGAAAAGAACAGCTTCTCTCCTACTTCTGTTGTAACCTCAAATCAGTATACAGTCTGAGGTTCATACTGGGTATTGAGTACATGTTTGTTAAACAAGTTTTTTTTTAAAGAGAAAATTATTATGAGTAAGACTTAACTTCAAGGGGTTGAGTCATTTTTCAATTATATGAAAAACAATTTAGGACCTCTATCTAATTATTTCACCTTAAATGAGAATTCCTAGCATCACAGGGTTTGATAATGTAGTGTCAGTGCATTTAAATGTGTGCAAATATCACTAAATTACTTAATTGCAAAAATATCCTAATTCCAATACTTTTAAGTACTAAAATAAAAGTAGTCATGAAAGGAAACATTAATGTACTTAAATATTAATTTTTATCATATGATAGGACCAGTTATTTTCCATGCAAACATATCACTGAAATTATAAAGGGAATAATTATATGTACACACATGGCCTTTTCAATATAATATGGAAAATTTAATTTATTTTTCTTTGTCACAAGCAGTAATGGATTCTGTAAGGAACTGAATTGAGAAGTCCCTAGATCATGTGTCCAGATGATTTTGTTTCTAGATGATCCTAGATTGGTTGGCTTGTACCTTTGGCAAAAATCTGCTCCCTTATATCTGATTCTACCCATCAATAAATTATTAGCTATTTAAATTCAAAAATATATAGTAAAATAGACTGTTGATTTCCATCCAATAAGGGAAGAGGAACTCTTATTTTTAAAGTATAAAACAAGTAGCTACATTTTATCTTAGTCAGAGGAACAAATAAAAGACATTTCATCCTAGTGGGTTGTATTTCTTGTATTCTTCCATAAGGCAATATTCTCCTTTGCAAGCTAACTTTTCCACCTTCCTTATACATGTTATTAAGTGAATTCTTTGTGAGTCATCCCTGTCCTTAAATGTACCTTTCTCTGTTCAGAAAAGAAGAGATGTATTTACTGCATGATGACAAAAGCAACCTAGATGTAGTGTTTCCTTGGACGGCTTCCTTACTTTATCACTCTGCCATATGTGGATATTTCTTGTCTTCAGTGTTAAAATAATGCCAATGTGTGTTATTAGATATGTCCAAGTGAAAGAAGAAGTATCTGGATTTTTTTGGCATTCCTAGGCTGTTTTATGTCTAAAATCATAGGCTAGGAGAGAGACATATGTGTATACATCTAATAACTCTTAACACACTTGGTTCTTGCCAAAAGTGATGAGAAAATGCTGCCTCCAAACAAGATAACCATGTTTCTAAGTCTCTATCATCTTTATGGAACATTTAAAAGAATGAAAAACTAAACATTTGTTCTGAAATTAAAGTATAAACGAAACAGACTTTTCACATGTTCTTCATTCAAGATAAATCAGAAACTAACTTTACTAAGTTATGTTCTTGTAGTAAGGACATTGAGTGGCTTTGGATTTTGCACCCAGCCTTGTCAAAATTAATTGTATGGAGACCTCCACTCTGGAAAAGATGGAGTAAGAGGGATTGATTTTATCCCTATGCTGGAAACACCCCCAAAATGCACAAAATGTATAAAACAACAGATTACAAGATGGTAGACATCAGGCAAAAAAGGGCAATGATCCCTGAGAGACGGAAAACAAACAACGCTCACATTATTACTCCTCAGATTACTGCCTTGAAGAGTTCCCAGGGTGTAGAGAAGAATAACCTAGGCAGTACTCAGTGAGTATGTATGCAAGGAAACCATCTGTCAAGGAAAGCACCACTTGAGAGACTGGAGTCAGACCAGCCACTGGGAGCCCTCATTATGCACAGTGACTTGGGTAGCGTACACAGAAAGAGCATTAGAATTGTTAAAATTCATAAAGATTGACCACACCGAGGCTCGGTGACTACACAGAAAACTGGAATTCTCATATACCATGGGTGGGTATGTAAAAGATATAAACACATGGGAAAAGTTTTGCTTAACAGGGTTTTCATAGGCTAACCATATACCTATCACATGATCCAACCAGTCTACTCCTAGGTAATTACCCAAGAGAAATGACAGCATTTGTCCATATAAGGACTTGTAGATGAATGTTAATAGAAGACTTTTTTAAAATAGGCAACAATTTGAAACAATCCAAAATTTTGATAATAGGTAAAGAAATAAACAAACAGGGTATAGATATTATGGAATAATGTTCAGCAATAAAAATGATCTATTGATAAATGCTACATTATGAATGAATCTCAATACATATGCTGTGTGAAAGAAGCCAGAAAAAAATACATAAATACACAGGATTCAATTTACACAAGAATCTAGAAAATACAAATTTATCTATAATGACACAAAGCAGGTGGCTGCTAGAGCACAGGGGAAGGTCAGGGAGGCAGGGATTGAAAGGGCGTGAGGAAAATTTTGGAGAGGATATGTTCATTATCTTGATTATGCTAACGGTTTCACAGGTGCACGCATATAACAAAATATATCAATTCATACACTTTAAGTAGGTACATTTCATTACATGTTAATTACACTTCTATAAAACTGTTTTACAAACGAAAATAATAATGTAGAATTCAGTGTTTCTTAAACTTGAAGGAACATTGAAATCACCCAGGAAAATTTGAAATACACCGATATTCATGTTCCAATCCCAAAGATTCTGATTTAATTGTTCTGGGGTTGATCTGAGCTTCAGGAGTTTTAAAAGCCGTTCAGTTAATTCTAACAGGCAGCAATTTGGGGATTTTTTGAATGTTATTTCATTTTCTCCGTACCGATAGAAGTATTTTAACTTCATAAGTTTTCATGTAACGTACACATTTAGTAAGTAGCAATAGAAGTAATTGTTTGCTAAAAAGAATCTAGATATAATTACATGTGGAAGTTTATGTTTATCTATGGTGGCAAAAATCAGTTATAAAAACAAAGGAAGACAAAAATGTTCAAATAAAAGTATACTCGCTTTCTAATTGCAATAGACTGACATTTTATTCAGTTGTCAATGGCACTTATTAAGGTTGAAACTCTTGAGAACACTTAACTTTGGTAAAAAGCTATTGACTAGAGGACTTCTTACAGCCTGCTTCTCAGTACAGCTCAGGGAGGAGAATGTGAGGGTCCACACTCACCTTGGCATAGATACAGCTGTCGTTGAGTCTCTGCAGGGAGCAGTTCTTGTCACAGAGAGGGCACATAAAGACTTCAGTGGCTTTACAAATTTCTTGGCTTGAGAAAAAACAAAAACAAAAACAAAACAAAACATAGCATGAAACTGTGACTAAGAATTCACTTAGCCCCTACAGCAAATCCTGTTGGAACCAGCAAGGCAGAGAGGAAAAGGAGAAGAAATGGGAATAGTGGGGAGTGGTGGGCACTGTGGTGTGACTCCAATTCAAACACTTTAGAATATTTGTGATGCAAAAGTTTGGGATTCCTTCTTTAATTTTAGAAAATGCTGTCAAGATAATTGTGTGATAAATGGTGAAACTTTGTCTACAATGACACTTTTATACATGATTTCATGGCACTCAGGATAATCTTGTGCGGTATACCAATGGAGTTTTAGCCAAACTCGCAGGCTTGGAAGTGGCTGAGATGGAATCAAACCTATTTGGTTTTCTCAAGTCTGGTGATCACACAATTTATAACACCCACTGCAGTACATATTGTTGGTGCAGAATGTTCATTGGAGATTAAAATAATTGCTTTTTTATGTTTGCTTGTTGGGTTTTTTTTGCAGCACCTTGACATACACTGTCACAATGACATGCCATAGTTTATATTTATGTAAATATGTTCTCTAATAGAATGTAACTTTATGACACATCTCTTCAGTTTTATGTCCACTGCCTTTAAGAAAATTTCTCAGCATACATTTTAGATGACTTTGTGACAGCACTAACACATCAATAACAATTTCCGAAGAGCCTCAGACTCACAGTTCTCAGCAACTTATTTGCAGGACGCTTTGTGCCCTTTCCTCTCATACATGGCCCTTTCCCATTTAGTATCCCCTGAATTAACTCTTCTCTAGAAATGTTGAAAGGAATTTAAAGGCTTTAGAAAATGTGTCTGGATTCAGCTCTTAATACAAGTTTAATTGGCAATGTTTACAGCAAGATTTGTTGTTTTTACACATTTGTACTTGAACCAAAAAAAAGAATGCGTGTGAATTTCCATGTGTATTTCAAGTATGGGATGTATATAATCTCAAGCCAAAGTGGGGATCAATAGTAAGTAATGATACCACATAGTAACATGATGCTTTACAGCGGGCAAAGATGATTTTATGTCTGTCAAATTGTTTAGTCTTCACTCCAATCTTGGGTAATGGCAATTATCTCCAGTAAAAAGAGAAAAACAATGTTCAATTTAAGGAACTTGCTCAACATTATAGAGCTAGCTAGAGGTACTTCAGGGACCCCAAGCTTAGGTTTTCTGATTGTAGATCCAGTTCTCCATCAACTATATCTAAAAGAGAGATACAGTTTGTTTCATATTTTAAGGGAACTTTTCTATCAAGTAATAATTTATTAGTGATCACGATGATGAAATGGGTCTTACATATACTATAGCTCTTCTACTTTCACACTCATCATCTTACTAGTAATCAGGATGTCTACATAAAGTAGGAGAAAGCAGGTAAACTACACATTTTAAAAACCAAAAAGAAAGAGAAGATTATATCTCCTCTTATGTCAATACTAGTAATTTGTAGGAATAAGAACTATTAACACACTTCTTGAAAAAAATTGAAATGAGCTTTTTAACATAATTCATTGTTTCACAAATGATACAATTTGTCCTGCTTTAGAATCTTATACTAAAAAGGTATTGAAGTTTGTTTATATGACATAATCTTTCTCAATTTCCAAATGGAGTCAATCAAAAGCTCAGATTTATTGAAGCACCAAGTCTAGAATTCCAGAATCTTTTTACTGCTAGAATCATTACATTCATTTTCTGAAAGTTACTCAACATTCAACTTGATACATGGTACACAAAAATCATCACAAAACTTTTGACATTTTTTAGTCTAAAATATTTAAGAGTATCACAAGTTTCTTTGACTTTACTTAACCACTAGAGGGAGAGAGAGTTCCCATCATGAGTGTTTCTTAATTTCTTTTGCAGTGCTTGACAATCCAAACAACCACTCAAATTGTGGTTTTCTTTTGTTTTGTATTTATTGCTAAATATACACATCAAGTGTGATTCCAAAGAAATAATCATTACTACCAATTAAAGATAAAAGTAGCGATAAATTTTCTATATGGAGGTGGATGTTTGGACCCACTCACTTGAGGGTTCTCATGCTTCCTTATAATCCAGCTAACATGATAAAGAATGGAAGATAAAATATTTGCTTTGTGGTACACATTTTTGGGGAAAAGTGTGAAACTAGGTTTAAGGAAAACCAGTAGGGCATTATGGATAAATCATTGCTTTTAAAATCAGACATAATCATCAGAGAAATGCAAATCAAAACTACAATAAAAAATCACCTCACACCTGTTAGGATTGCTACTACTCTTTTAAAGAGTAAGTATTGGTGAGAATGCGGGGAAATTGTAATCCTGTACACTGCTGGTAGAAATCTAAAATGGTCCACTGCTATGAAAAACAGTAGGGAGGTTTCTCAAAAAATCAAAAATAGAATTACCATATGATTCAGCAATCCCACTTCTGGATACATATCCAAAAGAAATGAAATCATGATCTGGAAGTGCTGTCTGCACTCCCACATTTATTTCAGAATTATTAAAAATATCCAATATTTGGAAACAATCCAAATGTTTATTGACTGATGAATGAAGAAAGAAAATGTGGTATATATGTGTAATGCAATATTATTTGGTCTTAGAAAAGAAGGAAATCCTGCCATATGTGATAACATGGATAAACCTAGAGGAAATTATGCTAAGTGAATTAAGCCAGTCACAGAATAACCAATACTGAATAATTCAACTTATATGAGGTATATAAAATAGTCAAACTTATAAAAAACAGAGTTAAATGGTGGTTGCCATTGGCTAGGGGAAGGAGGGAATGGAGGGTAAAACGGATAAAAAGTTTCAGTTATGTAATATGAATAAATTCCAGAGAACTGCTGTATGACATTGTGCCTGTGGTCTATAATACTGTCTTGTGCACTTAAAAATTTATTAAGGGGGTAGATGTCACTCTGTGTTCTCATCACTAATAAATATTTATTAATAATCAATTGATAATTAAATATAAATTAATAAAACATTAATTAATTGTGTTAATTTATTTCTGTAATAATTATATATTAATCATAATCATATAATTGTTAATACTGTTGATAATTTTAAAAATCAGAAATAGGCTTGAAACTTAGCTGACCACTTACTAGATATATTGCCTGACAAAGTCATTTTTTTTTTAAAGGATCAATTTCTTCATCTTGTATGGGGATATCTAACTGGGATATTAGATTAAAAATTTTTACAATGTACTTTACACATTACAGGGACTTGATAAATGGAAGAAGCTTATTGCTAAGGACAGTGTCAAGAGAGGGCTTGGAAATCCTCTAAGAAACGACTTTTAAAAATCTGGTCAATATTGAGAACCACATTAATTTCTTGGTGAGTTCTGATGCTGAAGAGGCAATAATAGGCCAGAGAGTTGGGGCTTCAGCTCTGCTTCCTGGTTTCTGAAACCCAGGGCCTTAAAACCAGGCCACACGTGTCTGCCTGTTCATTTTCAAATTCCTGTATCTTTTCCCAGGCACAGATATGGCCATATTTGATTATGTAAGACCAGTGTATACATGTAAATATATACATGTATGTATATACAATCATCTAAAACCTGATTGTTATATACTTCTATAATTAAGTGCAGGGCAATTGAGAAACATGATCTTAATTTAGTTGGACATAACTTGTAGAAACATGATCAATAGAGCCACATCTGCATCTTTGGAACATTTTTCTACCCTGCAACAAGCAAAAAAGAGTTTAATAAAATTATGCTAACGTAAGTCCACACAAAATAAAAGCTTGCTCTCCTTCCCCCACCCACCATGATAACACCTACAACTCAACCACGTCTGACACCTTGAATGGAAAATTTCAGTCCCCAAATTTTCAGTCAAGATATTCAGTGCTGCTTATCTTGGTTTAGAATAGAAAGTCTGACAGGATCTTAATTATAGTGTGACAGAAGTGGGAGTAATATAATGCCATACAACACTGAAGAAAAGAGTTTACTAATGCCTTTTAGAACACTCCTTGTACCAAAGGTTAGAGAATAATTATCTCATACAAAAAGAGCCTAATTTACTCTATTGGTATATAAATCAATAGAAACAGCAAATCTATTCCCTTCATTCCTCTTTGTTCATTTTCAGCTTTGTAGTGGTGGAGTGGGGAAGTCTGTATCATATGCTAACATTTTGTTAATATGTTCTCCACGGGACCAACTTGAAGAGTAGCTGTTGAAGAATCATTTCCCATATTTTAAAATTTATCTTAAAAGTGTTTTTTTTTTTTTTCCAATTCATTGTAACTCTAAACCACAACCTTTCTTCTGAGCCCCGGATGTTACTGATACAACAGAATACGGGGAAATGCCGAAAAGGAGGATGGATGTTTCCGGTGGGCCGAAGTTTGTTCAGGAAGATGCTACCTTGCAGGATGGTAGTGAGTTTGCAAAACTCTGAAATAAACCCAAGACTAGATGAAATGGGTTTTTGCAGTAGGTGTTTCTTTGTTTTCATGCTATCTATCTTTTGGCATTCATGAAGAACAAGGGGACTTTGAGATATCAAATCAAGCAACTTGGTTATTGAATAGGATTTAATTCTAGGACAATAAAGCTGTTTTGTTTTTAAGCATAATTGTTATACTTATACATACATATACATATTATATTTGTTAAAGAAAATTCAGGGAAATTAATTGTTATGATCTCATGAAGCATATAACCTTAGCATTAACTGTCATGTTCAGTATTCAGTAGCAAGGCCATGGTTAAAAAATGGACCAAAAGAGAAGAAAGCATTGAGCTTTGAAAGAAAGGGGAGAGATATTTTTCATATTTTTAATTTTACCATACAAAGTCAAAGTTGATAATATACTCGTGATATATTAAATAGAACATGCTGTTAAGATTATTTAATGCTAGGGTGACTCTTGTCCTTGCTGAATAACAATGTGCTGTTCCTATTTCCAAATCTCAAGTCACTTCAACTTTAACAGAAGCATCACCATTTTGATATATGTTTGACTTTTGTCAAATCCGATTTCACTACCATTCCATATCTTAAGTGGATGCTAAGTAAAATTTATAAATATTTGTTCCTCCAGAGAGTAATAATAGGGTAGAAAGTATGTTACGTTTTGTCACGTACTCAGGAGAGTAGAGGAGGTTGCTTAGAGCAGGACTTATGTGGTATAATTGTTTTATTTAGACATCTTTAAGTATATTAGGTTCCCTCATGTGCAAAAAGAGCTATGCATCTCCCAGGGTGGTAGTGAAGGTTATAGCAAATGAAACAAGGTATTTGGAAGGACTTTGTAAATTATAAATTATAGCTTTTATAATGATTTGAATGAATATATCAAGAGGGCATTCTAGACTAACAAATGCTATGCAAATGTAAATCACACAAAGCTATCAAATTTTTGAATTATATGGTATATACTGGAAAGAGGAATTTTACATAAACATTCTTAGAAATTACTCAAGATAGTTTGCAAATAAAAGTATTAAAATGACCTTTTATAATTGTGTTCTCTTCCTACCAAAAACAAAAGCCAAAAAACAGAAATAGCAAATAAATTAAATTGTAGTATCATCAACCATTTGATTTTTTATAGTCAGCATTATCATTAAACTTTTGCCCATTCAGAAGACAAGCCAAATATTTTTAATAGGTCTCTTAATAGCCTACCTTACTTGACTATTATTCATTGTAAATAATCCATAGAAGAAAACGCACAAACCAACAATTGCTGCAGGAATCAACATTCCAGTATACCATCCCAGCCAAGCAAAGTATAGTCCAATCTTCTCACCAAAGTATAGCCTGCATGAGAAAGCAAATCCTTAGACTGAGTTAAGGCAACATAAGCAATATTACAAATATTGATGCCACACCTAGTCAGAATTTCAGATGGTAACTTGAAGCTACACTCAGTTCCTCCTCAGCTCCATCTAAAGTATCTAATACTCCTGCTTGTTAATTAATCCAATGATGGTAATGTTGTTTATTTTTAAACATTTTCAATATGGGGCAATTCTGTCACATGTATTTAGGTATATGCCATACTTCTTAACATGCTCATAAACCTGGCTTTTCTCCATCTTCCTACTAGCATCCCTTTTCATTTTTTCACATCACAGAGCTGCTCTAAACCATATAGCTTTCATGAAAATTAAGAAAAGGTCTCCCCTCTGGGTGGGTGCTGAGAGCAGGTTAGTTAGATTTCCCTCTCCATCTGCACCCTTCACCAGACACCCTTATGCTAGACACAATGTGCACCATTATGTCACATCTTCCTCAACAAAGCTCAACTCTGCAGTTTCCAAAGCACATGGCACTTACCCTGGTTAACGCTGTCCCTAAACTTACAAAAATGTATGGTAATTACCAGTCATTCTTCCATTCCTTTTCCTCCCTATACGATTGTAAGCTGCTAAAAGGTAGAGCTGTGTGTTGCTTCACTAGTACCCATCGCAGGAAGTATCGAAGGATGCTAAGAGAGTTAATGCGTTTAATTCCCCTCTAGTTGATGAATATCATTTAAATTGAAATGGCAGAGAAATAAGGCAGCTCGAATAACTACTCAGTTGCGCTTTCTTCACCTAACCTACTGCCGGTATTAAAGGCCTGGTTAAAAATGATAATTTCCTGACTTCTTTACCACTGTTTGGTCTCCATCTTCTAAAGACGGTTACTTAACACACACAGTTTTGTTCCTGCAATAAAGATGGGCACTTTAAAGTTCGTTTGGGCATATTGCACTGAGCAGTGATTCTTGATAAGAAGAAGATTCTCTTGTCATATTTCCTTAACAAGCCTTCTCTTCTCTGAAAACTATTCTCTTTCTGCTTCATTCTCTGTGTTGTGCCAATTAAATCTTTTGCATATTCTACTGGGTGCAGACCTGGAATAATCATCTGTCAAGCATCACTTCTCCAATTTTTTCATTTTATTTATCTCTCTCTCCTAGGAAACCCAGATCAATAGAACATTCATTTCTCATACAATAATAGTATTCTACTGTGAGATGGAAACTTATTATATTAATAGGTATTGAAAAAAAAACATTTGTTTGTTTGAACAAGTGTTCCTCTGTGGGGTGGAGCAAAGTTTTTAGCACATGTTACTAACACAGTAGAGGACCTTTATGATTTTGGTGACAGAGGGTTGCACAGACAAATCAGCTGATATAGACAGTATTATCTATATCAGTATGATATAGATAATGATATTTTAAATTACACATTGTTGAAGGTTAAGAGAAGCAACAATATTATTTGGCGAAGTATAGTCACCTAAGTAAAAGTAGATTTCAGATCTGTGTCAGGAGAAGAAGGAGCTGGTGCCATGTAAAAGAGGCTAATGAAAAATGTCCTTGCCTTAGAGCACTGGTACTCACAATCTTCTATGATTCCTGTGTTCCAAATAGAGCAAGGAGGAAGAGGGAGGAAGAGGGGGCTGCTACTGGGTAACTCCCCATCACACATCAACCACAGCTCTGTTTTTATCTGTTTTTTTTTTTTTTAATATTTGTGCCTTGTGTCATATTTCATTCAATGATATAATTCTGCTGCTGAAATAATTTCTATCATACAATGAAACCATGTGGAAATCTATGCTTTTAGAATTGTTTCCTTCAGTGACATTGTTTTCAAATACAAATGTCTCCAATACCTATTGTGTAATTTTTTAAATTGCCATACAAGAATTTTGCTAAGCAAGTTTTATAGCTGATGATTTTGAATGTGTGCTCTTTTTAGTTTCAAATATTTTTCATGGAAAAACAGATTGCAACTAAAATAGGCCTTAGCTACAAAATGTTTAAATTTATTTTTAAAATGGGAAAAACCACAGACACATGTCCAGAAATGGTTATTTATATACAAAAGGAATTGCCTGTATCTGACTTTCCATCCACTACTAAGGAACTACTTTATTCAGCATGAGACAATACAGGCTGTGCCTATGGGTCTCCATTATCCATAACCAAAGAGTATAAGGAAATTCAACTCTGAACACCCTCTTTCTCTCACTACAGATAGGAAGCAACACAATAAGAGATGCATGTCCTGAAAAGTGTGTGGTTTTAAGAACAACTTACTCAAAATAAGTAGTTACAAATTTTAAGACAATCTTTCTTCTGGTTGTAGAAAAATGGGGCTTGTAGAAAATGCTATGCATAAATAGTTTAACATCCATGTTTGTCTCATTACCATCTAAATTTTGGTAATACAAGTTAAGTTCCTAAGGGGTAAAAACATGTTCAAATGCCATCTATACTCTTTCATAAACTTTCTCTTGGGTGAGTATTTCATCACAGACTCCTTCTCTTAGCCACTTAAAGGTAAAAATATAATTTTTTAAGAAAAAAAATCCTCCTATGTCATCAGCCAAAGAAGTGGTAATAGTAGCTGAATAAACCTATTTACTGAAAATAAAGGCTGCTTGCTGGAATTACCTGAAGAAGCAAGAGTAATGTCTTCTATAGATGAGAACTTATACTTTCTGTTTATTTTTTGTCAACAAAAATTGTACATATTTATTGCATGTGTGATGTTTTGAAATATGCATATAGCTTTGAATGACTAAATGAAGTTAATTAACATATGCATTACCTCACATATTTATTCTTATTTTATGGTAAGAACATTTAAAATGTACTCAGCAATTTTCAAGCATAAAATACATTATTATTAACTATAGTCACCATGTGGTACAATAGATCTCTTGAACTTATTCCTCCTATTTAAACCAATTTTTGTATCCTTTGACCAACTTCTCCCCAACCTCTGCCTCCTCTCCACCCCTAGCCTTCGGTAACTACTATTCTACCCTCTGCTTCTATGAGTTCAACCTTTTTAGATTCTACCCATACAGGAGATTATGTAGCATTTGTATTACCTTGGCTTACAGGTAAAGAAAATATGGTTTATATACATATGTGTGTGTGTGTGTGTATGTGTGTATATATATATATATATATATATGTATAATGAAATACTACTTAACCTTAAAAAAGGAGAAGATCCTGTCATTTGCAACAACATGGATAAGACTGGAGGACATTAACTTTAGTGAAATAAGCTAAGTAAATGTAACTATTGACACTAAAATGTGTGCTCGCAAATCCTAACTTCATTTTAATTCCTAATAGATATAGCTTGGTGAACCAGCACATTTCACTATGTTCATAATATCTAAAATAATTCTCCCATCTGCATAAAATAAAATCTGATCATTTCTTGTGATCATCAGACTAAGAAATAAAACATCTTGGTTCTGAACATACCAAAACACTTAATGTTTGAAATTAAAAGCGTATGTTTATTGTGACACTATTCACAATAGCAAAGACTTGGAACCAATCCAAAGGTCCATCAATGATAGACTGGATTAAGAAAATGTGGCACATATACACCATGGAATACTATGCAGCCATAAAAAAGGATGAGTTCATGTCCTTTGTAGTGACATGGATGAAGCTGGAAACCATCATTCTGAGCAAACTATCTCAAGGACAGAAAACCAAACACCACATGTTCTCACTCATAGGTGGTAACTGAACAATGAGAACACTTGGACACAGGGTGGTGAACATCACACACTGGGGCCTGTCGTGGTGTGGCGGGAGGGAGGAGGGATAGCATCAGGAGATATACCTAATGTAAATAACGAGTTAGCAGGTGTAGCACACCAATATGGCACATGTATACATATGTAACAAACCTGCACGTTGTGCACATGTACCCTAGAACTTAAAATATAATTAAAAAAAAAGAAATTAAAAGCGTTTGGTGGTGGATGTTTACCCTCTGTGTCTCCAGATCCACATTCTACTTTTTTCCTTTCATTATAGGCACTAGGAGGTCTACCTCTATGGACTCTATAAGCTTTGTTCCCTCCCATTTTCTTCTGGCTTCCTGATGGGTTTGTTGAACCACTGAATGTGCCAGCAGGAGATCAGAGGGCAATATAAAACAGATGGGGTTTATTACCCTTGCTTCCTCTTTCTTGGGCCATGGTTTGGCCGTGGCTGTCTTCTTCCTAAGGTCATAGCTTGTTTCAGATGACCCATCCTTTTTATGGTATAGATTTTGACAGGTTCTGCCGAATGCTTTCTCCCCCTGCCCCTTCAAGATCTAGGTTTGATAGCAACTTCCAGCTGTGCTGGTCCCTGGGAGCTTCCTCATCCGTCACTGTCTCCCTTGACCCTGGCTTATGCTTCTGTATATAGTTCTTTTATTAAATTCTCTACAAGTACCCCTTTCAGTGTCCATCCGTTTTACACTGGGGGCACTGACTGATTCAGCTGTGATTTATTCTTGATGTTTATATTTCATAAACAGCTTAAAATATTAACATATATTAATATAAATGGTCTTTTTCTTTCATTCTATAAATATAGTTAACTAAAGACTTAAGTCCTTGTTAATACAGATTTCATGATCTCTAAAAATAAAAAACAAGTTATCCTCCATCAAAATAAATGATATAAATCGTGAATACAACAATATTTCAAGACTAGTTCAAGTTGAAGGCAGTTACTAGAATATGCATCCTGAAGTAGAGTAGATCTTTGTTGAACAGTAAATATATACAAACATGTGAAACATGTGTTAGTCATTTTTCTGTTTGCTCTTAGATCCACTTTCTGGCTTTTTTTCTTTCTTTCTTTCTTTTTTTCGGTTTGGACATTTTAGTCAGGTTTTACTCTAAATTACTTCTGGTTAAGTTGAGCCAGGAGGTACTAGACCACTCAAAGGTAGAAGGAAGAGATAAGCCAGGACCATTTTCCCTCTCTATGCCCTCTCCATGGCTCCATCCTCCCCCTCACTTTCACCTCTCTGCTGGAAGCCCTAGCAATGGTACATAAGTATTGGGCTCTGGTAATATGTTTTTATTCCAATTTCTCTCCACCCTTAAGGGGTGTTAGTAATTTTTTGCTGTTGCTCATCCCTTAGACACCTTGCAAAGCCTGTTTGATTTCTCAGCTCTCCCATCCCCTGTATAACCAATTACCTACAGTGAGATTCTTTTACTGAAAAATCTTATAGTGGTTGCTTTTTTGTAGACTGCATCCTCACTGGTGAGCACAATAAATAATTCCAAGTCTAAGACAATGACACAAAACAGAATACTTTGCTTTTCATTATTGTTCCATTTGCAGTACCTGATTAAATCCAGAGGCTGATGCTTATACCACATTCCCCAGCGTGCCCAGCGCTCATATAATAGATGTCTGTTATTCTGAGGTCCATGGGTTTTAATGGGCTGGCTACTTTTGTAGGCTCCCTGCAACAGATAAAGTAAGATACATTTGGTTCTATTTTTTAGTGAAATTTTAACTGAGTAAGAACTGTATTTTCCCTTGCAGAATAATTTAACAACTTATTGAAAGCTTCAAAAATGATAAACTTAAGCCCATCGCTGGAATGATGTGATGGATGCCTTTACATATCTTTCATTAAAAATAGTCCGATAGTTATTAAAAATCTTTTATTAAATTACTTAAAAAATACAATGGAACCCATTTAGCTTAAAGTAAAGTAGACTCTAGGCTTCACTGTTTGGAATTTAAGGTCTTTTAATAAACACAATATCTTCACCATCATTGAGAGAAATTGTGATAATCTTTAGTTCAGAATTTCAGGGCATTATTTTGTATAAGAAGTGATGCAGTTCCAGGAAAGGTTTCTTCCATTTTTATAAGCTAAGGAAGAGAGTAAGTGTTCATTCAAAAAATATAAGAGGCCTCAGCCACCAGTGCTAGTCAGATTTTCTTCTCTCTTTTTTTATTATAATTTATGTTCTGGGATACATGTGCAGAACGTGCAAGTTTGTTACATAGGTATACATGTGCCATGGTAGTTTGCTGCACCCTGCAATCTGTCATCTGCATTAGGTATTTCTCCTAATGCTATCCCTCCCCTACCTCCCCACCCGCGAACTGGCCCCATTGTGTGATGTTCCCCTCCCTGTGTCCACGTATTCTCATTGTTCAACTCCCAGTTATGAGTGAGAACATGGGGTGTTTCGTTTTCCGTTCCTGTGTTAGTTTGCTGAGAATGATGGTTTCCAGCTTCATCCATGTCCCTGCAAAGAACACGAACTCATCTTTTTTATGGCTGCATAGTATTCCATGGTGTATATGTGTCACATTTTCTTTATCCAGTCTATCATTGATGGGCATTTGGATTGGTTCCAAGTCTTTGCTATTGTGAATATTGCTGCAATAAACATACGTGTGCATGTGCCTTCATAGTAGAATGATTTATAATCCTTTGGGTATATACCCAGTAATAGGATTGCTGGGTCAAATGGTATTTCTGGTTCTAGATCCTTGAAGGATCGCTACTCTGTCTTCCACAATGGTTGAACTAATTTACACTCCCACCAACAATGTAAAGGCCTTCCTATTTCTCCACATCCTCTCCAGCCTCTGTTGTTTCCTGACTTTTTAATGATAGCCATTCTAACTAGCATAAGATGGTATCTCATTGTGGTTTTGATTTGCATTTCTCTAACGACCAGTGGTGATAAGCTTTTTTTCATATCTTTGTTGGCCCCATAAATGTCTTCTTTTGAGAAGTGTCTGTTCATATCTTTGCCCACTTTTTGATGGGGTTATTTTTTTTCTTGTAAATTTGTTTAAGTTCCTTGCAGATTCTGGATATTAGCCCAGATCAATAGATTGCAAAATTTTTCTCTCATTCTGTAGGTTTCCTGTTCACTCTGATGATAGTTTCTTTTGCTGTGAAGAAGCTCTTTAGTTTAATTAGATCCCATTTGTCAATTTTGGCTTTTGTTGCCATGCTTCATCAATACCTAGTTTATTGAGAGTTTTTAGCATGACGGGGTGTTGAATTTTATCGAAGGACTTTTCTGCATCTATTGAGATAGTCATGTGGTTTTTGTCATTGGTTCTGTTTATATGATGGATTATGTTTATGGATTTGCATATGTTGAACCAGCCTTGCATCCCAGGAATGAAGCTGGCTAGTCAGATTTTTAACATGGTAGTATCTTTAAAATTTATTTCAGATAAGATATTCAAAAAATTGAAGGATTTTTTTTTCAATTCTGTATATCCTCTTTCAAAAATCTGTCATATGGGTTGCCATTTTGGAAGTGCAGATTATATGATATGCCTTATAGAGCAGAGTGTTCCCTAAAGGCTGAACTTCTCTGCTTTTATTATCTAAAAAGAGGACAATATATGCGGTGACTATATATTTTCTGAACCAAAATGTGAGATACAAGACATGACAAAGTCTTTCTCCTCACTCCAATGTATGGCTCTATCTTTATGAAAGTTTGACAAAAATTTAAAGCAAGTGGAGTTATGTCTCAGTTTTCTCACCTAGATGACAGAAGTAATAATAATAATACCCAGTATAGAGGGGTTTTACGAGAGTCAACTTAGATAATACCTATAAAGTGCCTGGCACATGGAAAGTATGCAATTAATGTGAGTTAGGTATTTTACGCATTTGATATATTGTGGCTCTTGAAAAGTGCAAAGCTCATCAGAATATTCCTTGACAACCAGGACGGTGAGCTCCCATAAGGAAAGAAGACACCTTGAGTCATGGCTCACAGGTGCCTCAAGGTTGCCATGAGAGACATGTGGATGCCACTCCTGGCTCCCTAATGAAATAGATACATTTATTAGGGAAGAAAGGAGGTACCATTTAAGTGCAGGCCCAAAATTGTCTTCCCAAACTAGCTCAAGGTGTTTAAAGCCCAAAGATTAAAAGGCTTTTTGGGCTTCATATGCTAAACTTTAGAATATTTAGGGTATCTTTTTTTAACTCTGCTCTATAATCTCAATCAGCTACATCATTCTGGCCTGATAGTGACATGCAATGGGCTGCAAGAGAAAACGGACCGAAGTGATTATTCTTGCTCACTCATGTACTTTCATGCCTTTCTGAAGTATTACGTACACTCAGTGGTCCCTGCCATCCCCATGACTGGCCTCCTCTGACCTACACACATTTCCTCTCTTTCCACTATTCATAATTGATAGGATTATAAATTCTATCAATATCTTGGACAAACTCTTGTGTGTGTGTGTGTGTGTGTGTGTGTGTGTGTGTGTGTGTATTTCTCTTGTTCCCTTTATTTTTCCTTTTCACACCAAACTCCACAAGACATTTCTTCTTCTTCCCTCTAGCCACTGTCCTTTTTGTAAGTAAAAAACAAACCTCGACCACTGGTAAAAATAAGAGATTGGCACTTGTCTCCTGCATTAAGGAAAAGGAAAAAGGAAGCCTAGAATTGTGAACTATCCTTAATCAAATCAGAGTCAAAGCCATTGACTCCACTTTCCTCCTAATAAGCCTTATTTTTCTTACCTCAAGTAGCAGCATTTAAAATCAACAGAAAATTCCTGAGCCCATTTTATTGACCTTCTAATTTACTTTCTTGTATTTCAACAACATTGTTTTGTGTTCTTTTCATGTATTTATTGCATATATTAATATTTCATCCAAATTACAAGCACATGTGGGAAGATGATACTTATAACTTATTTATAATAAGTCCCAAATTTCACGTAAAAAACCTGTCAAATGAACTTTCAGAACTCAGCCTAATTATGTAGAGAAAATTACCTAGACAGAGAACAAATTAAACCTTCCTTTGCTACAGAGGTTCTCCTTGGGCCTTAAGTTTGCCATTCTGAACACTTTACCATTTATTATGTGCTATCTGATACAGTGTTTAATTTCTCTGAGCTTTGTTTCTTCAGCTGTAAAATAAGAATAATAAGATTTACCCCTCCAGGGTTATGTTCAGAATAACGGGAAAATACATGCACAAGGCCTGGTACATTAAATACACAAACATATTTCCTGTTATTATTTCTATTCTTACTATAAGTATGTATACCATAATGAATATAAACATTGGAGATTGGCTTCCGGTGCTCAAAACTGCGCCTTTGATATCTAACCTTTCTGTACCTCAGTTACCTATATACAAAACAGAGTTAATGTTATTGTATATCTCAAAGGGTTGTTGCAAGGATTAAATGAGACAATCCATATAAAACATTTACGTCACTGCCAATAGCAAGTACTCAATACATTTTATCTACTATTGGTCGTACCAGACTGCAAATTCCTCAGCCTTGTATTATGTACTGTGAGTCCTCAGTCATAAATTTATAAATAGAAGTGTGATAGTCTTTGAAAGTTCAGAAGTGAAACCTGTAAAGACCCCATTCTTACCTTAAAATGTGAAATTGCCTTAAAGAAAGAGGTCAGGGAATAAAAGTTGGCTCAAATATCATTTACAGTGGACAAGGCCCACTGCAGCTTAGAGCAGGCATTTCTATTTAAAACCTGTAGGGAGGTAATAATCTGACAAATAATTGAGGAGGTAATTGGCTATAGGTTTTTGTGGTGGACTTTAGATTTTCAAGTATCCCAAAGTAGTAGGCACAAACCAGGAATCTCCTCTATTTGGAATGGTGCTGATCTCAAGTTGGATCAAGCTTGGAGCTCTGTACTGGAGCAGAAGGCAGCAGCTACAGTGTCCAGGAGTGTTCTCGCTAAGGCTGGGATTCCCAGTATGGGGCAAATTGAAGACAGGCTTTGAGGCAGAGGAGCCAGTGCACAGCCACAAAATTACAATGGGGAGACAGAAGGCCCATGGCTACTTGCAGACTGAATCCTCCTGGGAGTGGACAGCTAGATTCAAATGCAAACAACAGGACCAAGCATTGAGCATGAAAACCTTGTTTATAAAGCGGAAACTGTATTTCAAAATTACCTCATGTGGTGGAAACGCTGCTATGTATGAGCCATTGTTTATAAGTTTACGGATACCTGCAAAGAGAAGAAAAGGACAGTTATTGAGTTAGTTTCAATGAAACATTTCCTCTGAAGCAACAGAAATATACGGGGAACAATGAATCGATTAAAAAGTTTAAGATAACCCAAATGACTTCCATAGCCACATCACCTATGAGGACAGTGAGATTGTGAAAGAAACCTGATACTGCATCTAGTTATGTCCTTATGATATTAGCAAATGAAGATTTGCAAGTTGCCACATGATTTTACTTTACCATATCATAAAATATTGGGCATTTAACCCATTTAGTTAGGATCATGTGACCCAGAAGCAACTTTTTGTTTTTCTCCAAATAACAAAGTTGGTCAAGAAAGAAGACAAATTCTATATCCCACCCAGTCCCCGTCCCCTACCAAAAAAAAAAAAAAAAATTTAAAGGATATTGGTATTGAGAAATACTTAACTGTATAATACCAAACAAAAAAAGACATAAATAGCAATATGAGACACTTATTAAAATCTCCTCCCTCTCAATGAGGGTAGAGTGAAATGGACACTCTCATATACTCCTGGTAAGAACAGATACTGAGTGAGCAACTGTTGTTGCAATATTATTTATATCAGTAAAGAATTAGAAATAATTACATATCCAAAACTGATAAATCATTTAATTTTTATAGCACAATCAATTATAATAGGTACATAGTAAATAATAGTGATTTGATGAATTTTATTATGGAATATTGTACAGCTATTTATAATAATGTTTTCGAAGAGTAATTAAGGGCTTGAGAAAATATTCATAATGGTAATTTTTTAAAAACCTGAAAATTATAAACGCTAAGACATCTAATTTATATGTACGTCTAATTTATATGTACACACACATAAATTTATATACATATATATAAACTTAAAAATGTATAAGTGAGAATTGCAGTTAGGAATAATTTTAATTCTTCTGTATTTACTACAAAGGGAATGATACCCTTATAATTATTTATAATGTCATAATTATTTCAAAAGACTACAAAACAATATAGTACTAACATTTAGACACATTTTCAATTTATATTCTGGATTTCATTATTTTCAGTTTCTTTCTTTTTTTTTTTTTTTGAGACAGAGTCTAACTCTGCCACCCAGGCTGGAGTGCAGTGGCATGATCTCGGCTCACTGCAACCTTCACTTCCCGGGTTCAAGTGATTCTCTTGCCTCAGCCTCTCTAGTAGCTGGAATTACAGTCACCCACCATTGTGCCTGGCTAATTTTTGTATTTTTAGTAAAGACGGGTTTTACCATGTTGGCCAGGCTGGTCTTGAACCCCTGATCTCAGGTGATCGAGCCACCTTGGCCTCCCAAAGTGCTGGGATTACAGGCTTGAGCCACCGCACCCAGCTTATTTTTAGTTCCTTAAAAATTACTTACTAAATTTATTTCTTTATTTTTGGTGAAGTTTAGGTATGTGAGTTAACTGTTTTGAATGCTCAGTAATAAATAAATTATTAATTAGAAGAACAACAGTCTGAAGGTTTTTCTTTAAAAAGTGGCTATCAGCCGGGCACAGTGGCTCACACCTGTAATCCCAGCACTTTGGGAGGCTGAGGCGGGCAGATCACCAGGTCAGGAGATTGACACTGTCCTGGCTAACACAGTGAAACCCCGTGTCTACTAAAAAATACAAAAAATTAGCCGGGCGTGGTGGAGGGTGCCTGTAGTTCCAGCCACTCGGGAGGCTGAGGCAGGAGAATGGTGTGAACCCGGGAGGCAGAGCTTGCAGTGAATTGAGATCGTGCCACTGCACTCCAGCCTGGGCGACAGAGCAAGACTCCATCTGAAAAAAAAAAAAAAAAAAAAAAAAAAAAAGTGGCTGTCTTGAAACATAGTGTATTTTACCTATATAGCACTCAATTTTAATAAAATCAGTAGAGATTGGTACCAGTTTTTGCTGGCTGTCAACTTTTTATTTTCAAGGCTTTTAGGATATGACTAACATTTGATCCCTTCAAGCATTTCGTCACCCCTATAATTAAAAGTATATCTTGTTTGTTACCTATTGCTTTCTGCTCAGCTCTATGTAAATTCTGCAATTTTATTTACTTTTTCTAGGTGAAACATTCTCAAGTTTATTTTGTATTATACATGTTGTAGCATACTGCTAAACATTTAAACAACAAAGAAATTTAGAAAATTAAAATTAACTATTATTTCACCTTCCAGAGGTAACCTCTAAAAAGTTTCTTACATATTCTTCTAGAGTTTTTGTCTTTTTATGTATGTGGGTTTAAGAAATGAAATTACATGAGACATATAGTTTGTGGATATCTTTTGGAGTTGATAAATAACGAACTCATAACCAATTTACAATCTCCCTGAGTATAGGGCTTATGTCATATACTTTGTAAAACAGATGCTTGAAATTTTTATGTTAAAATAAGAGTAAATAAATGAAACATAACTTTTAATGAATGTACTACATGGACACAGCCTAACTTATTTTTCAGTCCCTAAGCATGGACACGTAAGGTATTTCCAGGTAATTCTATTACAAACAAGCCCATGATGAGCAAATTTCTGCATATTTTGTCACTCAAAAGTCTGATTATTTGAGGGGGATAAATTTCAAGAAATAATATTTCTGTTTCAAAGTGTTTTCACATTTCACGTTTTGATATCTATGACCAAATACCCTCAAAAAAGTTTTTTTTGTTTTATTAAAAGGCTGAAAAATGGAATGCTTATAGAGTGTGTGTTCAATATGTTATACACATCTATTTAATGAATTAAAGCAAAGCTACAGCTGTTAAAAAAAACAATAATTCTGGGTATAAATAGTAACAGCAAGTTCTACTCTGTTATTAATTAATGTTCTTACCCACTTTTGATATTCCATTTTCATATTTGGTGCGTTCCAGCATGTGATAGACTATTCTGCTTCGAGTAGCATTGCTGAAGAAGGTGTCTTTATTATTTATTATGAAGCTGTTAAGATGAGGGGATTGGTTTAATATTCAAAGCAGAACACAGAATCCAGCAATAGTTACAAGTTCCATTAAAGCTAATGCATATGAAGCATAGTAAATCAGAAGGGAAATCATCCTCTTTAAAAAAAAATTGACAGAGAAAAAGAATTCATAAATAATACAAGGCATTATCAAATGTTCACTTTGTTATCTTCTTTCAGTTTATAAGTGTTCCTATTTCTTATTTCACATGGAACAAGGAGAGAATAGATAGCCCATTGGCTCCCATACATTTTATACTACCTTAAGCAATGTATTTCCAAATAGAACACATCAAAAATTCATGTTATCCCCCATACCATGCTTTCCAATGCAGCTTATCTTGTTTTCAGAGCCTTAACAATGAAAAATCATCCTACCTTTCCCTTGATGCTCTATTATTGTCCCCATGGGAAGAGTAGCAATGAAGAACCATTTGAGAGTCAATGATGTAAGAGCAAAAGCATGAGCTCAAGAGGGATGGAAGGGTCTGTTTCAGTATTTACTTTATAGTATGCTGGGAATCTCGAAAAAATGGAAGTGTCCTGGGTCTTGCTCAACTTCTGACATTTTCTGTTTCTAGTTACTCTATCTATGTGAGTGATAAATCGCCATTGTGTCAAGCACGTAGTCCTGAATTAGAAGGTCTTCTAGGATAGTTGCTTCATCTACACTGCTCATATTCAAACAGATGGCAAACGGTGTAACTTTTCTGACTAAACTGTCTCTCTCCAGCTTTTTGTTCTGGGTCTCATTGCCTCTTGCCTAGATTATGAGTAGAACATCCTCCTAACTTGCCTTGCGTTTTCCCACCTGACCTTTAATGCACAGCTCTGATTTTCAGAGCACTCCCTTACTTTTAGTGTGCCAACAGCTTTCCTCTACAAGCATCATTAAATTTCTTATTTTCCTCCAAGGCTCTCGGTACTCGCATTCCAACCTACTCTTCAGTCTTATGTCTTCAGTTTTATATGTCTAACAGCTCTGCCTTCATTTATCCAATCATCTGTCAATTTGTATAATTATTAGGTTGGTGCAAATGCAATTGCAGTTTTTGCCATTAAAAGTAATGTTGTACCAACATAATATCATCACCTTAAAATCCCATGCTTCTTTTTCTTTAGATTTTGCTCTGTTTCTTCTTCTCTCCCCATGCCACTACATATTTTTACCCGACAAAAAGAGCTATTTCCTTTGAAAAGGCATCCCAGATCCTGCCCTTTGGATGTGCTGCTCTCTCTCTTACAAAACGTGCATTTTATTTCTGTCTTTCTTAATACATTGATTTTACTCTGCATCATTTAAGTTAATATGCACATGTGTCTATTTTGTTAGACTCTGAATTCCTCCAGTATTCTTATCTCTGTACTTGGATGTACCAAATTCAGAGTCCTGTTAATTGTAGGTAGGAGAAGGAATGTCCACCTGCCTCTTTCCCCATTAAATTGATTCAGCATTCCCTCAACAAGTAATTTTTAAGCAGATCAATTCAATTTTTCATGGAGTTACATTATAGAGAGATGAAATAGCTGATGCATAAGTAAAAAGTAAATAACATAATTTCAGATAATTTCTATGAAGAAAAATGAAAACTGTATACTGGGATAGAAAATGACTGGGACAAGGGCACTTTAGGTCACATTTTCAGAGCCAGTCTCTTGGAGGTGGTGGTGTTTGAGTAGGAGCTGAATGACAGGAAGGACTACGCCATATGAAGATTTGGGGCAGAGCATGGCAAACAATGAGAACAGCAAGAAGAAAGACTGAGTTGGGACTAAGCTTGAGCTTTCAACAGATAGAACCAAGGCTTGTATGGCTGGAGTGAGTAAAAGGTGAAAAAAAATGCAGAAGATGGGGTGATAGTGCTGGGCAGTAACTATGGCATCTATGCCCACATAGTAAATAATAAGAAATTTGAATTTTATTGGAAGTACAAATGGGAAACTGTTTCAGAGTCTTAAGAAAGGTGGTTGTATGATGTGGCTGATATTTTCCAAAGATTACTCTGGTTTCAGGGTTTAAAAAAAAAGAGTAGAATGTTTTTCATTTGGTGTATCACAGATCCTTAAAGGTCCTGAAAAAGTGCAGCAAAAAGCTGAAAAAGCTTCCGTGAAACTCTCACCTCTCTCTAAAGCCAACAGTCATTTGGAATTTTATTCCTTCTGCCACTACAATATCACTGGAATTAGAAAGCATGCTTCTAGTTACACCTCCAAGAATAAGTAATGAGATAAATAGGCTATGGGGAAAAGGAGGGTTTCCCATTGATTGATGGCTATGTTACATGTTTGGTGGTCTGGAAATCTGTTTCATCCACCCTTTCAACTTCCTGCATCCCAGAATATAGCTCAATTCACAATGGCCTATAGCAACGTAGGCCCTATAGCTATAGTCCTTCAATACATCACGCCTTTTCCTATCTTTATGTTTACCCCAGTTAATTATAAATTTACATTTTTGTCTGCCCCATTAGACTGGGTGTACCTTGAAGATAGAAACTGTGTCATAAGTTCCTTTATATACACAACCTGTGTGATGTAGAAACACAATAAATACTAGTTGAATGAAAACATGAATAAATAAACAGGTATGTATGTAGGTAGGTAGATGGAGACAGTAATGAAACAAATCTCTTTAAAAATTATCATTCATTTTAGTTTAATAAGATTGAACTAAAATAGATAGCTTAATTAATAAATATATGTTAATTGAAGCAATTATAATTATAATTTATTTATTTATTACAGCAATCTATTACTCAAACATGCTAATTAACAGTAATCCTATTATTATTAACATTATTGTTATTTTAACTGAGTCACTACTACAGTAATTATTTTTAAAGTGTTAGAAACTAGACTACCAGTCCATAGGTCTACAATTAATTATTCACTACTGAATGTCTCTAAATCATCAAATTGATAGCGAATTAATAACATTCACTTAGTGTTGTTTATAAGTTAAGTGTGTATTTTAATACAATGATAAGTTCTCTGACGTATTTGGTAAACAATGGAAATGGTCCCAGGTGTTTTTATTCTATAAACAAGCCCCACCAAGATATAAAGGTAGGCAGTATGAAAAAAGAGGGGAACTCACTGGTGAATCCGTGCACGGCTGAAGGGGCCAGTATAGCAGTCTGACTCCTCTAGGTCTGGAAAAGCTGACTTGTCAAGAACCATTGGGTTTTGGGCCATCCAGTTTTTGATTCTTCTAAAATAAGTTTGCATCCTGGAATGAAGTCACATTTGAGAACTAGATTAGGTTGTATTCCAAAGCCATGACTACCTTCCACTACAATTCACTTAAGTACTAAAGAAACTTCTTTGAAAAGAGATACACAAACCTACACACACCACACATACACGTGCATTGCTTCTGTTCCCACACAAAAGAAGAAAATAGCAAAACAAACCAAATCTTGCAGTTGTTTAAACTCTTCCAGGACAACTATGTTATCCTCATGAAAAAATAAAATAATTGTGGAAAAGATTTCAGAAACAGGATACATAAAGATGGTGGTAGGAAAGAGATTTTTTGTTTTTGTTTTTGTTTTTGTTTTTTTTCTTTGAGACAGTCTCGCTCTGTCACCTGGCTGGAGTCCAGTGGTGCAATCTTGGCTCACTGCAACCTCCACGTCCCAGGTTCAAGCGATTCTCCTGCCTCAGCCTCCCAAGTAGCTGGGAGTATAGGCGCGAGCCACCAAGTCCAGCTAATTTTTTTATTTTTATTTTTTTTTGGTAGAGACGAGGCTTCACCATGTTGGCCAGGAAGGTCTTGATCTCCTGACCTCGAGATCCACCCGCCTCGGCCTCCCAAAGTGCTGGGATTATAGGCATGAGCCACTGCGCCCGGCCAGAAAGAGAGTTTTTTTTTTTTTAAGCGCAAAATATATTTATTAAAATGGTGTGTGTATACATGTAGATAGATAGATGATAGATAGATAGATAGATAGATAGATAGATAGATAGATAGACAGACAGATAGATGATAGATATTAATCCCTGCTTTTTTTTAAAACAAACAGCTTTGTGGCTCTAGAAAAGTGGAAACTGAAAATAAATAAATGACTGTGACACATTTAGTGGCACTGGAAGTCATAAGTGTGGTAGACAGCAAAATTTTAAAGTCAAGCAAAACTGAGTTATAATTTATTGCACTGTGCTAGCCACGTAAACTTGTACAAGTTATTTAACTTCTTGCCTTGGTTTCCTCACACATAAAATAAAAGTAATGCTGACTTTGCTGGAGAGTTGTAAATTGGTATTTTATTCTAGACTTGGTAATTAACAATGTGGAACACTGAGGCAAAAAGCCTTTGCAGGACTTTTAAGATTCTCACGGGCATAGGAATACCTTGATTATCTTGTTAAAATGCAGATACTAATTCATAGGCCTGGGATAGGGACTGAGATTCCACATTTCTACATAGCTGCTAAGGGACACTCATATTGCTAACCACTGACTATACTTTGAGTAACGGGTTTAGCATAGACACCTGGCATATACCATTTGGACACTGTTTGGGAAATCTGACATCAGGATACTTTGGCTCCAGCTTTAGATTACATTCATAAACTAGTTCTATTATGGTATATATACTGATTGAAATCAGATTTATTTTACAAAGAAAATAGAAACAGAAGAAAGCTATTGACTCCAGAGATGGACTCTGAAAGTCTAAATTCAGAGTTACTATAATAATAGCTGTGTTTAATAACACATTTGCAATATTTACACACTATGGGTTTCTATCTGGGGAAATTTTTGGCTTCTTCTGCAATAGTAAGTCCAAATAGCAGGATAGAATATTTTCCTAGAGGAGTGTTAAATATAACACACCTCAATATTTCTTTGGCCAACTCTGCTTGAACTTCAGAAAAAAAATTAGTATAGCAGTGGGCAGGCAGCAAGTATTGTATCTCAGGAATTATTTCATTCAACTCTATTATGGTAATATATGATTATTATATAATATCATATATATTATATATGATATTATATAATAATATAATATATTATTATATATTATTATATAATATATAATAATATATAATATATAATTATTATATAATATATTATTATATAATATATTATTATATATTATATACTATTATATATTATATAATATATATTATATAATATATATTATATATTATATAATATATAATATATATTATATAATATATATTATATAATATATATTATATATTATATTATATAATATATATTATATAATTATATATAATATATATTATTAATAATATATATTATATATAATATATATTATTATATAATATATATTATATATAATATATATTATTAATAATATATATAATATAGAAATTATAATTGCCATGTATAATTTGAAATAATAATCAAATCCTAATGCAAGACTTGGTATGTGAAAGTCTGGATTTTTCCTTTGCCAAGTAAGGTTATCACTTACTTATCAAATCATTTTTGGTTTTGGAAGAACCAAAACATTTTTTTCTAGCCTAAAATAATAAATACATAGTATTTGAGGTGTTTACTTTGCTTCTTCTCATTACAAAGACAGCCTTTAAAATAATAAAATATCACCTCATTGGAGAGGTTGATGTATAGACATGTAGAAAACATTGAATAGACTGCACAGAAATTACTCAAGCTTTTTAAATTTAGCATAGTTGATAAAAAGCAATGGGGTAGGAGTTGGAACATGAGTGTTCTAGTGCTGAATTTGCTGGTCACTGAAATTGGGCTAAACATTTCTAATCTTTGAGCTTCAGGTTCTCATTTCTAAAGACAGAGAGTAATTCCATTTGTTCTCCTTCATTAGGAGGCTAGCAGGATCAAATAAAAGGAAGCATTCTAATTACACTTAGAAAATGCTGACAGGCTACAGCACCCAAGGCTCTAGTTGCTCTGACTACATCATAAACAAAGTATAAATGTGAATTTTAAATAGTTTTAAAAGAAATAGAATAAAAGGGTTTTCAGACCATCATTTGTGATGTTAACAGAAAACAAACAATATTATCACTTTAGGTTTTCACATACACTTCCTGTGAAGGAAGGGGTAAATGGAGTCTAATAGTGAAATATGGTTGGCCTAAATTTGAATACCACAATGCAAGGATCTAGCTTATTAATTTCTTGGGCCCTCACTAAGTTTTGCTTCTCTTAATTGAAAAGAAATATTTTGAGAATTAAATAAATATTGTCTGACACCACGGGGCACAGAACATAGTAAGTACTCAATACGTGTTTATAATGATATATGATTTATACTACTAAAAGTACCATCACCATGCCACCAGTGTAATCTAATACATTATCTACACTCTACTAAACCTTTATTGTGTTGGACGTCTTGCAAATCCAAGATATCACAGCACAATGCAAAAATAGAGCTTTAGGTTTATTTGCTACAATCCAGGAAAACCTAAGATAATTCTATGAAAATTGAAAATAAGTCTGGATTAAAGGGTCAAAGGAACTTGACTGAAGCACAAACTCTGCCAAAACAGCTGTGAAAGCAGGGCATGGGGTGTGTGGGTGGGGATGATAAGGGAGTCTTTTTTGTTTTCCTATCTGCAAAACTGGCTACTCTCTGTTCTGCTTCCCTTGCAGAGTCATTTTTAAGATGGTTTAATAATTGAATGTGAAAATGCTTTCTGAATAAAAAATAAATTGCAGTGATAATAAAACCAACAACATCCTTTCAACCTGCTGGAGAAGGGATGATCCTCAAAAGCTGGACAACTGCCTGTACATTATTTATCCCCTAATATGTACCGGTCAAAACTAAGCATGTGAGGAAAATACCTTTCCCACTTCAAGAAAAGAGAAGCACAAGTGAAACTAAATGGCCACGTTTGATTTCAATTTTCCACTTTTCAAACTGTCTACAGATTGAGTTTCCAAATTTTGTAATTTTTTTCAGTTTAATGTTATATAATTTTATAGACTTCTTTTCTATTTATTCCCTACCTCTCCCACATGAATCCACAAAGACATAGAATAAAGAGATTTACTTATTATAAGTAAAATGAAAAGGGGTGGGCTAGAGTAAGGTTCAAGATATTTTAATAATCATTTGGAATAAATGATAACTGAATTTTCATTTTATGAACTTACACAGAAAATAAGAAACACAAAAGATAAAACAAGTAATGACATATAATAGTGTTCATTTTTCTAGTTTACTTTTACATTTGACCAAAACAGAGAAAAGAACATTTTTTACATTATTAAAAATGTTTCGTTAGGATTTAGTATACGCATTTGCCATGATAGCTTTATATATAAACAGACATTTGTTCCAATTTTAATATACAGAATATATACTTTCCCAAGTCTCCAAAGGAAAGATTCTTGTTTAACAGAAAACCTACTAATTATGTAGTAGCAAAGTCTCACTAATTCTATAGTAGCAAACTGAAGCAAATCAAGAGATTTTATCAGCCATCCAACAATAAGCAGGCATATGCAGAGCAAAGACAAGAAAAACCTGCAGTTGTAAACTTGCAAATTGTAATATTCCAATGACTAATTTTATTAGCAAAAATGACTGGAAATTTGCTACATAGACCAGGACCAAATACCCACATGGGAAATGAGAGCTCATTCCAAATTAAAATATGTTAACCTGACAGAAAAATGTGACTCGGTTGAAGAGCATCATTAATTTAAAGAGGAAAAGCTATTTCAGTGCTAATTTCTTTAATATTCATTCTAATTTCAAGTTTTTTTCTCCATAATTTACTTTTCTTGTCACTCAATACTGCCACGCCTAAAATTAATGCTTAAAACAGATGGACATTTTCCCATTCTGATTTCTAAAAGTTTGAAATTACATTCAATTTTATTTGGTAAAGAAACTAGATTTATTGAATCATTTCCTAAGATGGTCTGTTATTCACACCATACAGTTCTAGCTTTTGTGTTATTCTGATTTGTAACATACATCCTTCAACATCATTTAATGGAGCATACTCTACCACATTCACATGCTTTATCTTTGTTAACTGGTTCTTTGGCAAGGTGCAGAAAACGGCCAAGGGTAAGAAGCTTTTTCTTTGAGCATTCATTAAATGGGAGCTGATTTCTTCCAGTTAAATAGTGACAAAAAGATTCAGATGGAAGAGTTTCTTCTGTCTCAGGGTAGTGGTTTGATTGACTCCTTTTCCATAGTTATTCTTACCACAATAGGTAAAGAGCTAATGTTTTGAGGTAAAGCTCTTCAAAAGTTCGTTTTCAATACTAGGATAAGAGCGGTACCTTCCGGGGTTAGAATGAGAGTGGGTCTGCAATTCAAAAGACGGTACATGGCCTTGGTAAAGCACCTCATCTCTCTGAACACTAATCTTTGCCACTTCTTTCAAATGAGAGAACTGGACTGAATGATACAGAAGGTCTTTGTCAGGTTTATTGTTCTGTTACTGTGGGTCATCATTTAAACATTGATCCTGGTCTTATAACTATTTTTAAAATTAAAATATCATAACATGTGAACTTGCGATTAAAGTCCTCCTTCCATAACATTATAACATGGGAAGATTCCAAGAATGGCAATGATAAATTGTAACAAAAAGATTATCAGATTTTAAATGTTATTCGATTTGGCATAAGTTATTTTGGAAATATCTTCGACAAATCAATAGAATTTTTCTTCCTATGATTTACAACTGCTGATATGGGGAATCAAATATCTTCTTATTTTTTTCAAAACGACAAATTTGTTATAAAGAAATGATTCATCACCCACCAACCTGCCCATTGATTTGCTCCTCCCGTCAGTGTAATAGCATTTTTTCCTGAAAAAATAATAGAAAACAGCTAAGGAAAGCCACAGGAAAATAAAGTGATACGAGTGAGTGACAACATTCAATCATATTGAGCATTTCTATACTCCAAGTTCCGTATGCTTAAGAAACTTAAGATGTTTGAAATAACCCAGCATACTATGAGGAATATCAACCTTACATTGTTTTAATTTCAGAATCTAAGATACTAATAACAAAGACACTCTAATAAATCAACAGACCACTTTTGAAAAAATAGAATTATTTTTAATTCTATTTATTGAAAGTCTGTCTTCTGCCACTCAATTTATACTAATTGAATTATTTTCTTACATATTATATAAGGCCATCCATCCATCCATCCCTCCTTCCATTTTCCCGTCCATCCATCTATACATCCATTTAATACGTATGTAATAAATACTTCTGATTTGCTAAGGAGTGTTATAACCACTAAAACTTTAGAGAAAAAAGAGGTAGGGTCAGTTTGTGCCCTCAAGAAGCTTCCTTGATAGTTGAGGTGAGAAGTCATCAGTTAAAATAAAATGTGAAAATGCAAGAATGGAAATACCCAGGAAAGGGAGCTCAATTAGTTTTTACAGGTGGAGGACAAAGGACACAGGGATGTTGCCCCAGAGGATATGTCACCTGTATTGAATCTTGAAGCATGAATGGGAGTAGTCTTTTGGGTAAAGAGGTTACACATGACATTCTAGACAAAGGTAGTAGCAGCATATGAGGTCGTCATTGGGACAAAACCAAGTATTATAAGATTTAGATAACTGCAACCAACTTGGTAATAGCTGGAGTATACACTAAAAGTTGAGGATCCTGATAAAAGAGTGGAGGATGGTAAACAAGGCACAGATGATAACGGGCCTTAACAGCTAATGCTGAGGTTTTTGGATGAAAAGCAAGGGGAAGATATTGAGTGTTTTAAGTAGAGGTATAGCATTTCTTAGAGAAACTAAAAATTAAGGTGACAGAATTAATTCATCTCTTAAATAATTTTCTCTACATGCTCATGTTGGAGCTCAGGAATCTGATATTCTCGCTCTTCTGAAATACCTCTTTATCCCCATCACTAAAATTCATTTCAGAGGATCAGTAAGCTCCTCTATGCTGTGGTACCTAGAAAGCAGGGTTAATAGGACAACTGATATTTAGCCCTAAGTATGTTATTAGCTGCTTAGAAAACTTGAAAACTTTTGGAGATACCATATTTCATTGCAGTCCCTTTCACTGCAAACTTTTGGAGATACCATATTTCACTGCAGTCATATTGCCAGAAAATAATTTTAAAGTTGTCCCTGCCATATTCCAACACTAACTTCAAATATGGAACATTGAAACTTGTTATATCTATCCGAAACTCACACTTTAAATACTTCTCTATTTTTTTCAAACATACACAAAAGCTTGTGTGCGTACTTCACTCAATTCTTACTGGACTGTAAACTCATCTTTTCTTCAGAACCACCGGTACATATATTGTCTTGCACTATTTTCCCTGATGTAACATACCTCTTCACTGATGGTCAATGAATAAATGAATGAGCCTTTGTTTAATTCACAGTTGCATTTAACTCTTTCAGTGCCAGAGAGTATTTTTCATTTCATAAACACTTACTAAATACAGTATTTTTTTCAAAAAAGCTACAAATATGGAAATTGGTATAAAATAATTTCCAGCATCAAATAAATCCAGGGACATCATTAAAAGGAGATAATGTTTACAACTGTAATTATCAGGAGTGGATATGGTTAGGAATATTATAAAATAATATGGAGAGGGTTGGTTGGCATTTGAACTAAACACTACTCTCTGTCTTTATTGATGGTAGTCTGAATATTTCTCTTAAACAATTAAAAAACTTTGAGAAAATGCTTTTGGAGAAATAAAGAAAATGGAGAAAGTCATACAAAATGAATATAAATACTTTTTAGAACACTTATATGGTAAGAACAAATAAAAATGAAAAATAATAGACTTAATTCTCCCTGTTGAAAACGAAAGAGACTTCTCCTCCCTTTCTCTTCTGAGAGCATTAACTTAAGAAAACTTGCCATTATAAGTACTTTCTCCTCTCTTTGAAATGTATATGAATTCTTTAGAAAATGCGATGGGCCTTTTGTCAGGATTTAGGAGCCGTCTTTTTAAAATGTAAACATGAAGGGAGGTAGCAGTCCCCTGTCCATTTCTGTGAGAGGTAGGAGCTTAACTTTGGCGGATGCCTTGCGCCAAGTTGCAGAACTACCTCCTGTCAAAAAGATATGAGAGGTTTTATTTCTCTTCCGTATGAAGCTAATTAACAGCCCAATTACCAGGTGAATCTATGATGAACTATGAGTGATGATACGGTTTGGCTTTGTGTTTCCACCCAAATCTCATCTCGAAGTGTAATCCCCAGGTGTTGAGGAGGGAGGTGATTGGATCATGGGAGCGGTTTCCCCCAAGCTGTTCTCATGATAGTGAGTGAGTTCTCACGAGATCTGAGGGTTTTATAAGTGTTTGGAAGTTCCTTCTTCATTTCTTCTCTACTGCCACCTTGTGGAAAAGGTGCTTGCTTCCCCTTCCACCATGATTGTTAAGCTTTCCAAGGCCTTTCCAGCCATGCAGAATTGTGAGTCAATTAAACCATTTCCGTTTATAAATTACCGAGTCTCATGGAAGTTCTTTATGGCAGTATGAAAACGGACTAACATAGGGCTACTTATTGTTTATTTTGAGAACACGCTTACAATAGGTTGTATTTGTTTGGCTATATTAAAAAAAATGAGATTTCCCTCTGTCTTTATAAATTTTAGTGAATTGACTATGATATGCATCACATTCTAGTTTAATATTTATTCAATAACGAAATGGTTTTCTTCCTTTTCTATCTTTGTGGAGAGGTTTTCTGGGTGGGGGAAATTTTGTTTTTATATTTTCAATATACTGCATATCTTTGATCCAGGAAGCAAACAACAACCTGTAATTCTCCTTAATTCTTCTGTATAAATGAACGTGCAGGGCCAAATCCTTTTCTACCTATAATCTTCCATCCTGTAATTTAGTAACTGCCTACTGTTCATGTACGGTGCTTTATTTTTCCCTTAATTTTTCATTTGAAAGGTTCTGCTATTTTATACCTTGTGTCAAGGCTGCAGTCATCTATCTACCTATTACAACAATCACTTCATATTATAAGTAAATGATTGTCTCAACCACTGTTTCCAGCCAGAGTCCAACACAGTCAATGGCTACATGTGGAGATGCCTGTGGGACTAAGTGAGGAGGACAGTTAAATGAGTGAAATCCTGACCCCCATGCTCCTATTTTATAGATTGGCCTCCCTTTAGATTTTATATTTCATATTATTTTTGCATAAAAAGTGATCTAAGTTTAACCCCAATTATGATAAAAATGATTGCTCTTAATGTTTTTTTTTTGTTGTTGTTGTTGTTGCTGTTTGTTTGTTTTGAGATGGAGTCTCGCTCTGTCGCCCAGGCTGGAGTGCAGTGGCGCGATCTCGGCTCACTGCAAGCTCAGCCTCCCGGGTTCACGCCATTCTCTTGCCTCAGCCTCCCGAGTAGCTGGGACTACAGGCGCCCGCCACTACCCCCGGCTAATTTTTTGTATATTTAGTAGAGACGGAGTTTCACCGTGTTAGCCAGGATGGTCTCCATCTCCTGACCTCTTGATCCACCCGCTTCGGCCTCCCAAAGTGCTGGGATTACAGGCGTGAGCCACCGCGCCCGGCCGCTCTTAATGTTTTACAAATATAGCCCCAAATTTGCTTTGTTTAAAATATTTGTGGGAGAAAGAGCTTGACAAAAAATGTGAGGTTGGCCCTATCTGGGTACTCCATCTGAGAAGCCGCAGGATGACTGAATTGTCTTAAAATGTGCTGAACTCTCTTATGTGTGAGAGGTAAGCATGAATAGGAATCAGCTTTGGATCGCAAGAAAAATGCTAAAATGATCTGACATGTCTGGAATGCAGAAGACACAGGCTGAGTCCTTCCTGATATGACAAAAACTAGAAAATGTAGACTATTATAAACCTTTGAAATTGTCCTGGTTAGACTTGAAACATCAAGTCCAACATGTAGGTCATATTTACTTTAAAGAAAAGTCAAGAAAGTAGTGGCTAGAAAAATGTAGGCAAATTAAAATTTTACACATACATCCAAGCAGAAAATTTAGATAAAATGCTCAAGATTCATGTTTATGACAGAAGGAGGAAGAAAAGAACTTGCAGAAAGATTATAGCTAACAAATCTTGTAACTTCGTTAAATATGACAGGTAGGTTTCAAAGTTGAATAAATATGGAACTGCTCTGTATGAGTAAAATTTTGAATGCATAAATTTTTAAAAAATATTATCCTAAAAAGAGATACATATGTTTCCTATTTAGGTTATTATTTTATATAATTTAATTTTAAGGCAGTATTTGTTCTTGAATATGCTAACAATTGTCAATTGGAGACTAGATTGGCCATCACGAAAATAATTTGCCACTTAGTTTATGCTTGAATAGCATTCCTTTATTATGAGTTGGCTGCTATCCCAAATTTCCAGTGTACATTGTAAATAAATGACAAGTAGTTCCTAAGGAGTTAATGTTACATCCATTATTTAAACTGGTCTGGGAAGATCTTCCAAAAGAACTCCAAGCAGTTCTCAAACTCTTTTCTCAAGAACACCAGTATTACATGGAAATTAGGAAAAGGCTATACAATTTATAACTGCCTCTTGAAATTTATAAAATATATAAAGACTATTAAAATATTAAAATATCCAAGACAAGATTTCCTTACCATGGACATCACAAACATTTGGAATGCTTGCTAAAAATTTATATACCCAATCCCATTCCAAAGCTAATATGCCAGAATCTCTGGGAGCAGGTTCCAGAAATCTTCATTTTTATTACTTCCCAGGTCATTTTAAGGTGCTCTAAAGACTGAGAGCCACTTCTCTAAAAATATTTTCAGTAAATATTCTTATTTATTAACTCAGAAGTTCAGAAACAAATTTGGTCACAGTATATTCTTCTTTTAAGATCCTGTTGAACTACTAATACTTTGACACACTTTGGAAAATGCTGCATATTTTAAAATATTTTTATTGGTAAATCATGAGAATTTCCACGGTATTTTCTAAGACTTTCCACGATCACAATGCAATAATCATATTTTTTTGAAAAACATTATAAAGAAGAAACTTCAGGCAAAACACCAATTAAAAGGGATAGTAACTGCACATGTTCCATGTTTTCCCCCCCTTTTTCATTTTTTCCTTGGATATAGTAGAACTCTTCTTTTACATGCATTCCTACCAGGTAATTAAAAAATGAATATAGTTTTTTTAAAAATGATCTGAGTCAAGAAAACATCCTCTTCAAAATCTCCCTTGGGACAGAGCAACACTTGTGGCACACAGCCCAAAGACCTAAGCTCTAATTCATACAAAGGAAGGTCACTTACAATCCAGCAAGAGAATGTTTTTAATGTACTTCTTAGGAAGAGAAACAAAGAAATTAATTGTGATAAAGATTTTTTAAATCTAAGTTAAGGGAACAACAATTATTCCATCACTAAGAGTTCCTTGAAGTTTATTTGAAAAGGCAGAAATAAGGAAAAAGAGAAGAGGCCAAACGTGCTCTGACTTCCATTTTTTTTTAAATTAGTAAAATCCAACTGAGATGGTGGAAAGAGCAATATGATAAGTATTACACCATAGAATTGTGTTCCCATTGTCTCTATAAGACTTTTCCTGGATAGAGTACTGCAGAATGAACATGTGTTAAAGAAAGAAAAGCTATTTTTGAAACTATGAAAGTCAAATATTAGGGGTAAGGCAAACATTTGTTACCAATTGCAATAGACAAAGCAGTTGTGTTTCCCGAAAATTCACATGTTGAAATTCCAATACTTAATGGTTCTTGGAGGTGGGGCCTTTGGGAAGTATTTAGGTCATAAGAGTGGAATCCTCATGAATTGGAGGAGAGAGCAGAGAGCTAGCTAGCCCTCCTTCTACCATGTGAGGATACAACCCAAAAGAGGGCCCTCACCAGAGCCCAACCATGCTGCCACTTTGATCTCAGACTTCCAGCGTCCAGAACTGTGACAAGTAAATGTTTGTTGCTTAAGACATCCAGTATGTGGTAATTTGTTCTACTATCCCAAACCAATCAAGACACTGAGGTTGTATTTATAATTCACTATTCTATTAAATGAAAGTATAATCACATCTTAATAATAGGTGGCTGTGCCAGATCTAAGTAAAATAATGCCAACAACGGAAATAAAAAAATGGAACCAATCTTCTGGAATCATGGCAAATATCTGTTTTGTATGAAGTCTAGAGGAGGCAGGTGGAAGACATGCTCTCTCTTTGAGCATATTTTATACCATATTCATTCAGCCTGAACTGAACTTTATACTGATATGTACTGAAATGACATGCTTATGATAGTTGCTAAGGGCTTCCTCCTCTTTAATCTACAAGGAAATTAGTTTGTACATAAATTCAGTTATGATGCTTAGAAACAATGATGAATTCATAGGATGGGGCAGGATGAAGGATCCTGAA
The DNA here is from genome assembly GCF_000001405.40 of Homo sapiens. Taxonomy (NCBI): domain Eukaryota; kingdom Metazoa; phylum Chordata; class Mammalia; order Primates; family Hominidae; genus Homo; species Homo sapiens. The sequence goes on along the minus strand of NC_000011.10, from coordinate 26,519,066 downwards.
ATTAGGATTAATTTATTAGATTTTTTCTTTAGCAATTTTGTCCTGATATTAGAAAACAGGTCATTTTCTTGTGTCATTCTTTTGCATCCTGTGTTTACATTAATGCAGTCAAATTAGAACTTGTGGAAAATATATACTTTTGTAAGAGTATAAAGAAAATAACTGAGAACCACAATCCCACTCATCAGAAGCAATCCTTTTTCATCTCTTATTATATTTCCTTCTAATTGCATTGCTATATATTTTACATGATGAAATCACCTTGTATGAATAATTGTATATGCTATATATTTTATTTAAAATTTTATATTTAATATTCCCCCAAAATCACTAAGAAATCTTTGTACCCATTCATTTTATAAACTATATTTCATTGCAAAGTTGTATTCTAATTTGCTTATATCCGCTAATAACATATTAAATATTTTATTTTTCACAATTATAAATTATACTTCAGTGAATATTTTTATACATGTTTCAACTATAATCATAAGATAGAAAGTGGAGTCTGAAAAGTTGTAAGGCTCACAGAAAATGTTTTCAAATTGAATTTCAGAATATTTTTACGAAGTTTGACTCCCACTATGAAAAAACAAAGGTGATTATTAACCATATCTATGCTAAATTTGAAGACTGCTACTTGTAAAATTATTTGAGAGTTTAAAATTTACTTCACTGTTTTTATTCTGCATGGTTTTGTATAACATGAATATGCACAGACCAGAGAATAAATTTGAGCAAAGAGCAAGTATTCCTGCCATTATCAGCATATTATTAATATTGTATATTATCATCTGTAATAAGTCCCAGTCAAGTATTTTAAAAGACTTTTTAGAAGGTTATAGCATGAAGATAGAAAAATTCCAGAACTCAAGAAATGTTGTTTAGCACAAATGCAAACTTACCTAGCTGTACTCTCAAAATTAGTTTATTAGGTGCTGAGGAATTGGAAAGAATATTATTTCCTTTATTTATCTTTTTTTAAATTTTATTCTTTTTTTGCCAAGATCCTTGAGGAACTATTTGCATATATTCTAAATATCAAGTCTATAGAGAATTTTTAAACCCTTAGCCAAGCATGAATATAAGCTAATTTAGGTGTTTAATTCTAATATTGTCAAGAGGATTCCTTAGTAGTTTCCAACACTTAATTTCTGATTTATGGGCAATGACTATGGTTGCATCTTTCGAGCCCTACGTGTTTTAAATGACTAAGAAGATGAGGCTCAATACCTCACATTTTACGTTGAATACTGTAGAGGCTTGTCACAATATTTGAGAATATCAGCACTTCTACCAGAGTTGGACTCTTTTATGCTAGCAGGTCTGAGAAATTTCTCCATATTTTTGAATTGCACTTAATTTTCACTTATATTCATTATCTAGAGGCTCTTACTTGGCATTCTGTTTGTGCTGAACCTTTTAAAACCATAGCAACTGAGGAAGCATATTAAGCTCCACATCAGTGTACATGTTCATGTCTTTAATATGAGTAAATACTTTGCATAGTAAGAGCATTGTTGAATTTTACTGTGAGAAATGATGGAGGAAAGTGACACATTCTGCATAAAACACAAGATACTCAATATAGGGAAACGGATGTCTATTTAATCTTTACTTGCCTAAAGGAAGGACTGAAAAATCTTTGAAAGAAGCAGTCCTCTTATTACCATTTATTTCTTGTTATTGAGGACAGAATTAAGAAACCTTCCTGGTTGCATTGACTTGAGAAATGATTCTTGCTAATGACTATACAGAGAAGAACAATTTACATACGAAGAAAATGCTATGCACTTATACTTTCTGCCTTCCACAAAACTAAAAAGAGTTCTGCCCACCCATATGAAATAAGGAGTGAGACTGATCTTGGGAATTGTTGTAAGTTAAAATTGAAAATAACTGTTTTACTCTCCCACTAGGCAGGTCCACCTTGAAATGACATAGTGTCCAGGAAATCAGAAAGTTTACCAAATTAGGCAAACAAATTAGGAAGAAAAAAAAACTGTCCAGAATAACTGAAATTTTGAAAGAAAAAGCATTTTCTCTGTAGAAGGGGTTGCATTTGTTGCTCTAAGGTGATGCAAAGATAGACTCATTTTAATATATATTGAGATAAAATAAAGTAAAATTTGAAAGTACCTGAAGGGCATCCTGATATTCAGCCTCTCTGCATACTTGCACAGCGTGTCCCATGGAATGTGAATTTTAATAAACATGATATCGGGGCTTGCAATAGCTGGCTGCAAATGATAGTAAGATAGGCAACATTATTTAGAATCAGAGCTGATGATATCATGCCACAGTTTGATTTGGGAATAAAGAACATTGTCCCCTTGACTATGCATGATCACTGACACTGATTTAAAAGAAATTTATATGGATAAAAAAAATCTTAATGAAGAAAGACCTTGATAAAAATGTAATAATGACATCGTGTAGAAGAAATAACCACCTATGTGCATTAGTGCATTTTCTTACATTGATGATTTTCAACCTGCAGAATCCCCAATCAGAACAATCAATCATGAGCCAATTAAAAATCTGAAGTTATTTTTGATGGGCTTTTTATCATGACCCCATTCCTGTTCAGAGGGGGAAGAAAACACTGCCAGTTACCACTAGTCATTTATTAACTAGTTCACTAATTTTTCTACCACATTTTACTGAGTACCTACTAGGTCCTCAAACTATGTGCTTGGTCCTGTGATAATACTGGAAAAAACTGGGTATAAATTGTAAAAGTCTGTTATCTCGTAGAGTCGTCATATTTGCTTTCTTTCTTTCATCTTTTCATCCAGTTTTACTTGTATCAACAAATAAGAACTAAAGTGTCTTTGACTAGACAAAAGGTTTTTAAGCAGAGTCAAGTATGCATAAGGATTATGTAAAGAGCTTTTACAAAATGGGGTACTGTGGTTTAATTCTTGGAAATTGCAGGATTATTTGCATATTTTGATCATACTGCTATACTCAGAGAATCTGATACCCTTTTGAATAAGAGAATCATCACGATACTTAGCTTTTGTTCAGTAGTCTAAAATAAGTAAATAAACAACTGACTACCTAGGCATCATACATCACTCATGTTCATATTCGACCCTGCTTTGAAAGAAAGCCAACACAGTTATTCCCTGAAGTTCCTACAATATCTGAGGTTCATAGAGCATGGAACAAGTTTATGTCCATTCTAACACTGAATTACACAGAGCTTATCCTTCATGTGATTATAGGAGCAAAACATCTGAAATAAAAGAACTGTTGTTTGCTTCCCTTTAGATGCACCCACCAGGTTAGACACAGCTGAGCTCCATTTGATTAACACTGTTCATTATATTTCCATTAGATGTAATTTATCAAGAAACATATGAATCTTAAAAGCTCAAGAGTAGGGTAGAATTATTGAATTTAATTTAAAATCATATATGTTTTAAAATTAAACTATAACATTTTCATATGCATATACTACTATAGCCCCAAATTCTAAGCAGGGCTAGTTTCATGGATTTGCCAGACGATATTTTATTTTTGTATTACCAATGTTTCTAAACAATACTTAGAGAACCAATGTCATTGGCCTAATATTCAAACCTAGAAGGCAGCATGGCTACCCTTTCCATAGAGTATTAGAAGCAAACAAGTGGGGGCTCATTCCATGATTAAAGTTTTGGTTTCTCATTAGAGGACTTCTAAGACACTTTAATATGCATGCATTTGCTAAAAAAATATCCAAGCAGGAGATAAAGTATGCTGAATTTCCAAACTTCTGGATCAAGGATTGATTTTTCTCAATAGCTTACTGAGACACTAGTATTTTGCAAATCAACATGGGAAAATAGCTTAAGATGCTTTCATGTCAGTGCAAATTCCAAAGGACTTTTCCTATTTAAAATACATTTGTTTCAAATTAAAGACAAAGGATTATTAAAATGAAAATTGACAATGCCAGAAGTAAACATAATATATCTCAAATATCTATAGGTCTTTGAATTCAGACCAACCAAGGTTACACATATTATCTATGCTTGGGAAAAATGTATATAATTTTTTTAAAGTGACTATTGATTCATTCAAATAACCATTTGTTTAAAAATATATCACCCAGCTGGAAATCTGTCACTGATCAGAGAAAAGAGAAGACCGTGACTTTTTTTCCATTCTCTTTTAGTGAATCTTCCAAATTTGGTGAAAAGGTTTTTGTGAAGGAATGATAAAGATGAGAAAAACTTTTTAAAACGTAAAGTGTAAGCATACATCTATTTGAATGACTCCTTCATCCAGGGCAAGTGAAAGACGTGTTAAGTTTTATTATACATTTTCCTGCTTTATGCTTACAAAAGTTCTTAGGTAAGATGATGACAAAGATCCTTCGTTTGAAATCATCGTGTTGGCTACCAGTGTTGCACCAACTTGCCTCTCACCAAGCATAGTTTGAATTTCCTCAATCTTTACTGCCTACTTGGAAGAAATCACATGCTATAAATGAAAAAGCATGGTATTTGGGATCACAAAGACTTAAGTACAAATTCCATCTCTACCATTTACTAGCTCTATGGCCTTAGAAAAATTATTTAACCCCTCTTATCTTCAGTTTTCTCATCTGGAAAATGAAGAAAATTATCTCTGCCTCACAGAGTGTGAATGTTATAAAAGATTGGTCACCTCATAAAGTGCCCATGCCTAATAAATTCTCCAGAAATGTTTTTTTCTCAGTTGACAGCATACCTCTCAAATCAGAAACTACCCAAAATGATGATGACTTACAAAGCTTGAATCTTTTTGTCTACTCAATTCATCTTTGGTAGAGCCTCTTCCTTGGCTCTGTAAACCTTCTGTATAGACCTTTGTGTTGCATAAGCATAAAGGCAGCATTAACCTATGATTTGGGAAGAACTCTGAAGTACAGTGACCTGAATCAAGGTTTAACTTGATGAGTTAAATGTTTTTCTCTGAACTGGGCATACATTTTCTTAAAAAAAAAAAACTCTTTCTGTAGTCTTTATAGTTTCTTTGGAATATTTGTCCTTTTCATCTTTATGTATTAAATTATTCTATGCCTATACTTTTACTTTTTGTTCCTGGGGAGATATGAGTTCTTATTCAGAGGTTATTCAAGGAGAGAGAAACTGAGACCCTGAAGATTACAGAAAACCTATATAGTCCTCATTTTCCCCAGAGGCTGGAGGAGTGACCTTCATGAAGATGAATGAGTCTAGACTCAAACAAAAACCAATCTATATCCAGACTGAGATGTTTGACATGTAGGACTATGTAAAACTGAGTAGCCATGACCTTGAGAACACACTGATCATTTGTATTCTTCCTAATGGTTCCCTGCAGGATTTGAAAGTAAAATTTTTATTGTGGAATGGATAGATCTTGGGACAAGAAATAATTTTTCAGGAGCTGGGCCTTATTCTGGTGTGAATGGAGGTCTCATTCGCTTTTAAACATCGTGGTTCCTGAAGTCTAGTCATGTTGGTTGCCAGAGTACATGAAAGAGTGACTAATATCTGATGAACGCTGGAAGAGATCTGGAAAGATTTAAGCTCCACAGCAGGAAAACTTGGGTCTCCTACTACCAGGTTGTTCCCGATTTGTTTTACTTTACCGTACAGATAGCCAGATTCTGATCCCTCTCTACCTCCTTCACAGCTATCACTCTGGTTTACATCATCGTCATCTTTGGTTGGGACTCCTGCAGTACTTTCAAGCAGCTTCTTTGCTCACACTCTTGTCCTCAGTGGCCTATCCTTCTCACAAGGGTCAGGATGACCTATTTAAATGTAAGTCGGGTCATGCCATTTCTTAGAACCTCATTTCATCCAGAGTGAAAGCCAAAGTTTCTTCAATGACTTACACAGCCTTTTATAATCTTACCTTCAATATCCCATACCTCCTCTGCTACTACCCTTTGTGTCACTCATTCCACTTCCATCATTTGATCACTTGCTAGTTCTTGTCGGTTCTTGCCTTATCTTTCTTATACCCTCTCTTTTTTTTTCTATAGTATTTTTACTTTCATTTGCTCTGTAAATGTCAAGAGAGAAGATTCTTTGTTTTGCTTATGTATCCCTAGCACCTAGTTCTGTGCTGGACACACAGTAGGCTTGCACTAAGCATTTATAAAATGGATGAATAAGTTAACCTATTTTGAGAACACATGTTATGTAATTTATATCTAAGCCAGTGTGATAGAGACAAGAAAGCAAATAAGCCTGGACTATTCTGGAAGAGGGTGCTGTGTCAGGATTCAAATTAGCATCATGAACAGCTTGCCTAGTACTGGTTATTAATTCATTACTCTCAACCTCTAGGATGTAAAATAATCTAATATACTCAAGTAAGGGGATGCTTTAGAAGGATGTTTCTGCATTACAATAACTACTATCAATGAGTAAAATGTCAAACTAAGTGCACACACATAATATTTCTCATTTTGTAAGTCTTAAAATGTATAGAGATTTTTATCAACCAACAGGAATAACCTTCTTTTATAACTTACTCAACTTAATTTCTCTCTTTCTATACCTCTACATAAAAAACAAAGCAGAAGAAAAGAAATGTAGTTTCATTTTTTTGCAGTTACTGGCCAGGGGGCTGGTGCGGGGATGATGCTGTCAGGGAGAAAGATTACCTTTTCCCCAGGAGTCAAAAACTGCCAATCTGGCACTATTCTGTTCAGCTCTGATGAAGGCAAGCTCCTCAGAGAACAAAACACCCACTGCCTTCACACTTCACATTATTATTTAATTATTCCACCCCAAATTCCCAAGAGAAAGGAGATTCACTCTTGAGAGAAGGGAAAACTTAAAAATTACGTTTTTACAAAGTCACTCTGCAAATTGTTAGCACAGGGTGGAAAGAACATAGGATAAGATAGCTCATAGCATTCAAGTCTAAGAGAAACACAAATTGCTGAAATGAACTGCATCTCTAATGCCACCCATGATCTCTGTGCATCCAGTCTTGTTCTTCAAATCTATGTTCTTTTCAGTAATCCAAATTTATTTTTTGAAAACGAATGTGATCATGATACTAACCTGCTTAAAATTATTTAATAACTTCCAATTTTTCTTAAGTTAATGATCAAAAGTCTTAAACTAACAAAAAAGAATGACTTAACTGCAGCCATTCTTTCCAACCTCATTTAGTACCCTGTTTTTTTCTGGTATTGAAAAATATTCCTTCCTCCCACCACCATCTTGATCTTTAATTGATCTATGCTGTGGTGGGATCTGGCATCAATAGTTTAAAAGATCACCACATGACTCTAATATACAGCCAGTATTGAAAACCATATCTAGCCCTTTTATTCACCTACATTAGCTACTATTCATTTTTCAAATCTCAATTCAAAGTTTATTTTTAAAATTTCCCTCCTTCCCTTTCTTCTACTCTCCCCTCACCCTCCAGACCATACCACTGCCCTTGTTGCAAGCCATTTAGCACCATTTACTTTCCTTTTCAGCCACTTATCACAGTTTCAAATGATAAAGGTTATCCTATTAAAGAATTTTAAGCATTGTATTAGTAAGTGTAGATTGAAAGTCACCCTGGGTCAGATCATCTTTCTTGTGCAGTCTCTGAAGTACTCTCTCAGTTGTGCAAGTATTAATCAAGTGGAAAGAGTATAAAAAATTTTTTTTTGTTTGTTTTCTTAATTTGCAGCACCTTCCCTTGCTTGCATAGGCAGAGTTTTTACAGAGGTTTGGGTAAAATTTCATAAGGCTTCTATGGCCTTTTCAGAGGGAAGATATAAAAATCTCCCAACTCGGCTTCAAAACTAATAATATCTGTTCTGGAAAACTGGGGTAGCTTTAACCTTTTCACTGTTAGGAAACTAAGTCAGAGGTACACAGTTGGGAGGACAGAGAAAGTCAAGACTGGTAACTTGTGTTCAACACAATGGTAGCAGTTTGCAGGGACGACTGGTTCCAACAACATGCAATTGAGGTTGAATACACCTCCTGATCATGCTGTCCTGGCAATTTATTTAACAGTAGGAAACAAATCCTAAGAATGTGAATGTGGACTAAAAGAACTGTAATTGTGGATGAGAACCCTCTCTGTTCAGGAATAAGAGTAGACAAATGGACACTGTCCTGCTGAGATTCAACCTAAACAAAGACACCATTTGGGAGTGATTTGAGAGTGAGAGCTCTAGAATAAATAGACTTCCCTTTAAAAGCGGAACAGGACCCTTTTTGGATGACTAACATCCAGTATTATTCTTGAGAAAAGTTTGGAGGAATAAGGAAGAGGAAGACTCAGAACTGAGAATCTGAGCTTTCTGGCAAGAAAACTAGGTAGAAGCTGAGAGCAATACCTGTTATGAATATACAGATTTCATGTCTGACTCCTATACTGACTGTAAATTTAGTCAAGGCAGTGAGTTTGTTAGTTTGTTACTTATCTTATATCTCAGCAGCTTGCTCAGTGCTAGCCAAAATAATGTGCTGAATGAATAAATAGTTTGAGATATGTGAGAAAAACAAATACCAGCATCATAATAAGATCTATGTATAAACTGCTCTGGGAGCAGATGAAGAGTGATTAATTCTATTTGTATGGAGGAGAAGTCACAAGGATATCAAAAGAATAAAAGTCTATCACAACACTGAGTTCATGAGATTTTTTTTTCAATAAGTACTTCTTTATTTAATTAGCCACCAGTGATTGGGTGTGGGCGGGAGGCGGAATATTCTGGGTTAAACTTCCTGGAAGATGAATAATAAAGAGACAACTAAAGGAGGCAACAGAAAACTGAAGTCAGAATTTTACTTGCTGGGCTCTGTAACTCTAAGTTGTGTGTGAGTAATTCCTTGTAAAGAGTCAAGTCATGATGTGTTTGTTATTTCATACACATTAAAGGATTTTAATAAACATAAATGGATTAGTTTTTCTTTTCTACTCTTTTTTTTTTTTTTTTTTTTTGAGATGGAGTCTCGCAATGTAGCCAGACTGGAGTGCAGTGGCATGATCTCGGCTCACTGCAAGCTCCATCTCCCGGGTTCAAGTGATTCTCCTGCCTCAGCCTCCAGAGTAGCTGGGACTACAGGAACGCGCCACCACGACCAGCTACTTTTTGTAAGAGATGGGTTTTCACCACGTTGGCCAGGATGATCTTGATCTTTTGACCTCATGATCCGGCCTCCTTGGCCTCCCAAAGTGCTGGGATTATAAGCGTGAGCCATGGCGCCAGGCCTAAATGGATTAGTTTTTCTAGGGCTACCCCAAACTACAGTTTAGTACTTCCTAATGTGTGTTCCTCAGAAAACTAATTCCAGGAGATGTTCTGTGGGGGTAAAGGGATTCCAATATTATATCTAAGTGCCTATTAACCCTCTGATGATGCTTATTAGCAAATTATCTAGATATTTCATCAAAAACAGTTTTTTTTTCCTTTACCTTGTTGCTCCTATTTTTTACAAAACTAGTTAAAACCCAATAGTAGCGCCGGGCGCAGGAGCTCACGCCTGTTATCCCAGTACTTTGGGGGGCTGAAGTGGGCAGATCACTTGAGGTCAGAAGTTCAAGACCAGCCTGGCCAACATGGTGAAACCCCGTCTCTACTAAAAATACAAAACTTAGGTGGGCACGGTGATCGGTTCCTGTAATTCCAGCTACTTGGGAGGCTGAGGCAGAATTGCTTGAGCCCGGGAGGCAGAGGTTGCATTAAGCCAAGATCGCGCCACTGCTCTCCAGCCTGGGCAACAGAGTGAGACTCAGTCTCACAGAAAAAAAAAGAAAAAAAGTAACTTAGGTTTAGGTGTCTCTGTAATAGTTAGTTAATTGATTTTCTTTTTCTCAGTAGCGGAACAGCTGGGTAAATCTCTAAGTTGTAATAATATGTATCTAGTAAAAAGCTGAGTTGGTTCTAAATGTAATGGCAATTTAAGATATCTGTAATATATTGCTAAATGACAAGAGTGAACAGCAGAATAATATATATATATATATAGAGAGAGAGAGATAGATGTGTGTATATATATGTATACGTACATATATATCATGGCTAATTTTGTGTAAAATTTTATATATTTGTATATATATAGAAAATTTACTGAGGGGCACCTAGCAAGATAAAATCAAGTTGTTAACAAGACCACCAAAGGAGAGAAGCGTATGATTTGAGAGACTGTAGATATTGACTTTGGCTTTTTATTTTGTACATTTCTATACTTTTAATTTTCTACCTTAAGGTTTTTTCTTTCTGTAATGCGATTAATACATGTTTTCTATAACTGTACAAGGTATAACTAAAATAGTGAGTTTTTTTTTAAATTTTCTCTGATACTAGGATTATGGAGGATACGCTTTTCCTTCTTTCTATTTTTTTTCTAGTGAGTCTTGCTACTTTTATTGTTTCACTACAAAAAATAAATTCTTCCAAGAACATTTTTTTAAAAACTCACAAAAGAAAAAGATTTGGGAAGAAAACCACTCATAGTTCCAGCACTAAAAAACAGACATTAATCGTTTGGCAAATTCTTTTCTTTCAAAATGTTATTTTCCTTTTCATAAAGTTTTCTACTTGACATAACTATAATCATTCCTTATTCAGTTTTTAAAATTGCAAAAATAGTCATGCCCTTTGAAAATACTTAAATTGTACAGAATTATATAGATTAAAAAGTGAATACATATTTAATAGGGCTATGTGCATGTATTTATTTAACATTTGTTAGAAAAAAACTATGTATTTTATAAAGTCATGTGATACATATTTTTCTTTCTAAACCATAAGTGATTATATCTGTTCCAACACATTTTATCACATAACTAATAATAGTAAAGCACCTACCTCCTTCTCCAACATCAAGCCTTCTGCTCTGAGGTTCTTTTCAAATGTGTTTCTTTTATCATATTGTATATTTGTCTTTCTATAAACCAAGATGTAATCAATTCTCTTTTTGCCATCTTTGAACAGAGGTCCACTGGATGCTATGTAATTCATGTCATTCTGCAAATAAAGCAATGATTGTTAATGGTGTGGGTTAGACAAGCATGTATGTTTTAGTTACAGTTACTGCCATTTGAACACTGGCAATACAATATCAAAAAATGTATTTTTAATATTCCTACCATGAGATATGGAAATAGAATTAAAGAGTGTTTACAATCTACTATAGGAGCCACATTAGCGAGTGATGTTCCAGGATATGAAATTAGGTGGTCTGATATCTGAACATGGGTTCTCTGGTGCTGGCATAAAAATGCATATGTTTTATTCAATAAGACCCATGAAAATGATATATCATATAACAACAAATAAAATGATTACTTATTTACTATTTTATTTCATCATAAAATAATGCTAACATATGTTGAGTATTTACTAAATATCATGACCAGACATAAGTGCTTTCAATATTTTATCCTATATACTACTCATTACATGCATTTCAAAGATAAAGACACTAAGGCTTAGAGAACATAAATACTAAAAACTCAAACCAATTTTATTTCTTGTGTTACATAGTACTCAATCCAGGCATTATTTTCCTAAATGTATATTTAGTAATACTGAAACCAAAAAATAATCCCTAAGTTGTTTGCTCTGGGAAATACTTGTTCCTAGAATATATGACTGCAAACCAACTAGAACAGCTTACTTTTCAAAACAAACTGCTTGCTCAGCAAGACTGCTCTAGGGCCTTCACTCTGTTGTATCCACCAACCTAAGCTATTTTTAATGGTCTCTGCCCAATTTTCAACCAAATTCCTGCCTTATAAGACCTACTGATTACCCAGTCCAGGCCATGGGAATCCTTTGAAAACTGTTGCCTAACTTCATTCTTCTAAAACACTACTTAGACTATCCGTGTGGTATTCTTATTTGCTGTAAGGAATTTTAATAAATCAGCTTTATTGATCAACACATTTTCCTCATGGTCCTCTTAGGGGGGCTTTTCCAGTACATTGCCCAAGATCAATGAGGAGCCAGGACTTGAACCCAATTTCTTCTGCCTCCAAGTTCATGTTCATAACTATTATCTACCCCATCCTTCTTTCGCCACTTTCCTTCAAACTATTTGGACATCTGTACCAACTCTCTATTTCATATTTCCTATACAGGCATTCTTGAGATTCAAAATGCTTTCCAATGTCTGGGGAGATATTAGATAATTTCAGACAAAAGCATTTCAGACTGCTTTGGAGGACTCTGACTGGGGCAGATAGGCAGCTCCAGGTGAAAGAAGTGAGGACCAGAGCAACCTGATGTTTAAGGAGATAAAGGCCAACGAGTCATTCAAGAAACAGAAAGAATATCCAAGAAAGAGTCACCCTACAGCAACAGGTTAGGTTGCCTGAGGGGCTTCTAGTTGGCTGTAGTTCTGCAGAGAGATTAAGTTCAAGTGCATAAATTTATAGTAGTAGAGACTTCCAAGTTCAAAAACAAGAAAGCTTTACACAGTCTTTTCTTCAATGAATAAAAAAGCTCTGAGATTTCCAGGATTAACTTGGAATTCTGGCAGATTTCACAGGATCTGGAAAGGATTATAAAGTGACTAAGTGACTAACACCAGTGAAGCCACCAGGGCCTTGTAGTTCCATAACATAGTAATAATGACAATAGTAGCTATCACTTATCAAATACTTACTATGTACTATGCATTGTGCCAAGTGCTTCATAAGGTTATTTAATTGTCATAACTCATGAAGGTAAATATTGACAAGAGTACATAGAAGCCAAAGAGGTTAAGTGACATACAGATATCACAGAAAAGAAAATAATGAAGCCAGCATTTTGACCAAGTTGATACCTTAGCTGGTGGTCCTGACCACTATATTTAAAAAGATAAGGAGCCATATACAAATAAACACTCCTAGGAATGAGGCTTGAGTAGTTTAAAAAGGGTAACAAAAAAGGCCATTTCCAGCTTTTACGTGAGAGAAGTACTTTTAGGTGAGGGAATTTTTTTGCCACAGAAGGCACAGTTAAATTCAGATTTTAGAGGGCGTTTGCCTCCAACACTTCAGACACTTTTTTTTAACAATGTCACTAATGACATATTATTGCTGTATCCAGTTATCAATTTGCTGTCTTTTTTTTTTTTTTTTTTTTTTTTTGAGACAGAGTCTCGCTCTGTAGCCCAGGCTGGAGTGCAGTGGCGCGGTCTCGGCTCACTGCAAGCTCCGCCTCCGGGATTCACGCCATTCTCCTGCCTCAACTCAGCCTCCAGAGTAGCTGGGACTACAGTACAGGCGCCCGCCACCACGCCCAGCTACTATTTTTTTTATTTTTTGGATTTTTAGTAGACATGAGGTCTCACCATGTTAGCCAGGACGGTCTCGATCTCCTGGCCTCGTGATCCGCCCGCCTTGGCCTCCCAAAGTGCTAGGATCACAGGTGTGAGCCACTGCGCCCGGCCAATTTGCTGTCTTAAATTTATCTTCCTGCAGTGGAATCACTCTCACCTACTTGGTACAACTTTTTCCTTTGACTCCCAGTATATCTAATGTGTCTGGATTTTCTCCTAGTTAAGTGGTCACTCGTTCTCTCTTCCTCTGATTTGTTAATTAACTATTCACTGGTTATCTTGCCTTTATTCCCCCTATATACTCCCTCCTTGTGATTTCTTCTAAGCTCATGGCTTTAAATAACCATCTATATGTTGACCACTACATAATAAATATTCACAGGCTTGTATATCCAACTGCCTTCTTGATTTCTTCACTTGGATGTCTAATGAACATCTCAAAGTTAATTGTCCAAAATGAAATTGTTTATCTTCTCCAAACAGGTACTTCCCACAACCTTCTTTATTCCGGTTGATTGCAACTCTGTCCCTTCAATTGCTAACACCAAACATTTTGAATCGTCTTTTTTTTTCTAGCTCTTTTTCTTACCCATCAAACATTCAAATCATCAAGAAAATCTTTCAAAATATATTTAAAATCTGACCACTTTCTAACACCTTCATTACTTCCACCATTACTACCACTCTGGTCTAAACCATAGTAATCTCTATTGGATTATTGCAGTAGCCAGGCTTGTCTCTTTGCTTCTACCTTTTCTCTTCTTTTTTTTTTTTTTTTTTTTTTTTTTTTGAGGTGGAGTCTCGCTCTGTCGCCTAGGCTGGAGTGCAGTGGCGTGATCTCCACTCACTGCAAGCTCCGCCTCCAGGGTTCACGCCATTCTCCTGCCTCAGCCTCCCGAGTAGCTCGGACTACAGGCGCCCGCCACCACGCCCGGCTAATTTTTTTGTATCTTTAGTACAGATGGGGTTTCACCATGGTCTCGATCTCCTGACTTTGTGATCTGCCCGCCTTGGCCTCCCAAAGTGCTGGGATTACAGGCGTGAGCCACCGCGCCCGGCGGGCTTCTACCTTTTCTCTTCTATAGTTTGTTCTCAACATGACAGCCGAGTTATCCCAATGATTCTCGACATTATAGATGAGATAATGTAACTCCTCTCCTCTAGACCCTCCAGTTGCTCTCCAAGTTACTCCTCACTCTTGATCCCACTTCCCCTGATATCTTTTTTTCTTAGCATCTGCTACCTTCTAATACATAATATAGTGCTAGCTAATTTATTCATTAATTATCTTTTGTTTGCTCACAGTCTTATTCTACAAGGATATAAAGTTTACGAAGGTAAGAAATTTTTTAACTTTTTGGTTTACATAGTATTTTAAACATCTAGTCCACAGCCAGACACATTGTAGGCATCAATAAATATTTATAGAAAGAAGGAAAGAAGAAAGAAGAGAAGGAAGAAAGGAAGAGAATACGCATAGTTCTATGTATTCAGATAGGGTTAACCTCAAGAATACTGGCCTAAAAAAAATCATGTGGTCATTTGTCATTCTCTCCCTTCTGACATTTATAATAGAACAAATTATAATAGGCTAAAATGAAGAAACACACAATTATAGTAGCACCGCAATTAGTTACAATTTGGCTTGCTTTTTTGCTTTATATCTGTGACTCACTGCTTACAGGCATCTCCATGCTGATCTAAGAAAAGATTAGGTGAAAATAAAATAAAACACAAATTTTCTTCCACGTTTTCTTAAAGTATACTACTCTCCCAGTGCGGTAAACGGAATCAACTGAGTCTCATAGCATTGGTAACATATTTAATCCCAGGTGAAGGCAAATGTTGTTCAATGAGAAGACCTAGAAATCAAGAGACTGGTTTGTGGAAAAAAATATTAGAAAGATAAAAAGGTTTTTAAAAGTATTCTATATGCTTTTCATATTTTAAAAGCAATATGGACTGAAAATGGAACGCTAACAATTATTATCCATTACTCTGATTCTAAGCTAAGTAAATGCTAAACTCTCCCAGAAAGACAGCTATCTGTTTTAAAAATCCACATCTTTATAAAAAGAAGTAACCTATTATACCCAAATTTTGTCTCTCAGTGAGTAAATAAGTTCACAAACTTACTAAATGAATTTTTAATTATTATATAAATTCTAAATGTTTAATGATGAGTTTTTACCAGTTTTAACAGACACGATAAAAAGTAGATACCAAAATGTCAATAGAGAAGCATAGCAAAATTTGGAAACCTCTTCTGAATTACGTAGCAAGAACTCAGTACAGGTTTTATATCATTTTAAGGTTAATAGTGGTATACTTTATTTTAATATATATGACAGCCATTCACAAATATGTTAATTAACCCATGTTCAAACCTATTGCTTTAAAACAGAATTAACTGAAAACTGATTACCTGTGTCATTACATCTAGATAAAAAGAATACAGCTTCTTGAATTGTTTGGTATAATAACAGTTGTCCAAACATAAAATCATGATTCATTTCATGAGTTATCTGAAAGAGTGAAATGCTTTCCAATTACAATGTGGAGTGCATTTGATTTAGAGTTTTTTCATGTTTATTGTTTCTAGGGGACAGAATAAAATTCGCTTTTTCTCAGAGAGGGTGGGATGCAGTTCATTCATCAGGTATCTACCTAATCTTTAAACAGTTTGAAAATAACTAAATCATTAATGTGTTTGCAAACCATGAAGCTCAGATACTTTCAGAAAAGCTGATCTTTCTAAAAATTATCTCAAGAATATGCAAGTTATGGCTTATGTTGAGTAGGAACACTTTGCAAATATTTTAGCCCATTTGCAAAATAGTGGTAGAGATTTGCCCATTTGCACAAGGAACCTGTTTTAGGGTACTCTTTAAATAAGATTAGAGCAGTAACTGCTTGTCTTGGTGAAGGTGACAGGCTTTTTTTTTTTTTTTTCCCTGAATGTTTATTCTTCTCAATCTAACAAGCATCATTTAACACCTGTGTGCTAAACTGTAGGGCTAAAGAAAATAAGACATTGAAAACTTTCAGGGATTTTATCATATACTTGCAGTTATAGGCATGTAAACATTGCATTACAATGCTCTATTTTGCGCATTAATAGAGTTATGAGCTATAAAGACATGAAGAATGTCAGAGTGTATCCAGAAGAAGCCTGATAGGTACCAACAGACACGGAAGGTTATATAATCTTTGTGAATTTACCACAGCCAGTCTTTATCCAGCACATATAAAATTAGATCATGTCATTAATCAGTAGGTGATTGCCAGTTATCTGTTAACCATACTTGTGAGTTAGTAAAATGTAGTATGACACACTGGTTAAGGTGTTGAGAACTGTATTCAGACATACTTGGAATCTAATTTACTGCCTTCTTAGGCATTTAACTTCACTACTTAGCCTAAATTCTACAGCTTTTAAATGAAGATAACAATGTTGCCAACATTGTAGAATTATTATTATGGCTAAATGAGACAGTGCAAGCAGAACAGTCGCAACACTGATTCATTTCAGGAGATCAGAAAAATGTTGGCTATTTTAACTAAAAAAAATCAGGTAAAACTATATAATGTATTCATTTACATTGCGATTTTACTTGTTTTCCAATAATCCAAATTAACCCTTTTACTTTCTGGAAAATTATCTTTCTCAGGACAAAGACAGTTGGAAACAGATAAGTAATGCAAATGGCATTGATGTGAATATGGAACCATAGCAAAGGAAAGTAGAAGTCCTTTACGTATAATTTTGAAATATAATTCACTACAAAACACAAAGTGCAGTAAAAGAATTCATAGCTTAATGAGTTGTTACAAGATAAACACCTACATAACCATTACCCAAGTTAAGAAAGAGAACCTCACCAACTCCTGAAAAAGCCTTCTTTATACCACCCTCTCACATGGTTATCCAACTGTTCCAGCACCCTATTGTAAAAAGAACTCTTTCCTCATTGCTCTGTGGTCCTGTTTTTTGTCCTAAATCTAGTCTCTGTATGTGTGAATACTGAATATTATAAAGATGTTTTCCATTCGACTTACATTTGTGAAATGGTCATAGTTCAGAAGAGGTCATAGTTCTGCCTCAGCTTGCCGATCTTGACCTGATGTGGAGCTTGTTGGGTAAAGGCCCTGATCCAATTTATGGTGTCCTGCAAGTCTTCATGTAGCATGCATGGCTCTGTACAAGTAGAATATTCTTGATTACTGATTCCTGGCCTATGCTTAAAATGTTGTTTTGCCATGCTCTGTAACATGGCAAAACAAGGATGTAACAAGGATGACACTCTTTCCCAGTGTGGATGGCTCTCAGATGCTGCCAGTATCTGCTCCCACCCACAGTACTCCTTTTCTCTACAGTTTTTGTATTCAGAACCAATGTAACCAAATATTGCTATACCCATTTAGTAGGTATTTTTATTTTTTATTGGATTTAAAGAATAATAGGCACAGCTGAGGCAGGACACAGGAAGCAGGGCGTGACTCTGGCCTGCTCAGAAGACTGCCCAAGGGCAGTAGGTGGTTAATTTCCTTGGTTATGTTGCCTCTGCAGTCCAATGTTAAAGGCAGACAATGAATCAGGTTAGTCCAACTCTCCTCCATAATTTGGGTGGCCATCAGGTGGGTTTCAGCTCATAAGGCCAAGTATCTGTGTTCTAGGTTTGTTTTTCTTAATCCTATCCTACTGAATCTGTTAATAATAGGAATGTTTTTCATTACTTTCTGGTGGTGGAATTTATTTTTTACTTTCTGTATCCTTTTATGGCAATTTTTAATGTTAAATTAAAAGATGGAAGTCTAGACACTGGTAGCCTGATGTTATGGTTTACCTAGTAGTTCTAGATTTACACTCCTAAATTAGAGAAAAATCCAAAGCCCTTGGTATGTAATTAAAACTTATTTTACAGCTACAACTGTTTCCTCCTAATAGCTCTTGTTACAGACCCTACTTATTATAAAGAGCAAAACCGGGTGTTTTTCTTTTTTTGGTGGTTTTTTTTTTCTGCAAAATATACCATAAAGCAAGTGAAAGTGTAAACCACAGAATGGGAAAAGTATTCAGAAACCAAACATCTGATAAGAAACTTGTTTCCTTAATATGTAAACAACTCTTATAACTCAACAATAAAAACACAAATAAGCCAATTAAAAATGGATGAATGATTTGAATAGATATTTCTCCAAAGAAAATATAGAAATGACCAACAAGCACATTCAAAGATTCTTAACATAATTATAGTTATTAGAGAAACACAAATCAAAATCACAGTGAGACACCATTTTTCACCATCTATGAAGGCTATAATGAAAAAGACAAAAAATAAGTATTGACGAGGATATGGAGAAATTCACCCTGTTCATCTCTGATGGGGATGCAAAGCAGTGCAGAATCTTTGGAAAACAGTTTGGCAATTTCTTATAGTATTAAACATAAAGTTACAACACTATCAGTTTCACTCCTAGGTATATATCCAAGAGAAACAAAAACAATGCATCTACACAAAAACTTGCACACCAATTTTCATAAAAACATTATTCATAATAGTAAAAAAAAGAAGAAAATCAAAAAGCCTATCAGCTTAATACATAAATAATGTGGCACATATATCTATCCAATAAAATATTTGGCAATAGAAAGAAATGAAATGTTAACACATGCTACAACATAGGTCTACTTTGAAAATGTTACTAAATGAAAGAACCCACTCACACACATACACAATTATATAATTCCATCCATATAAAACTGAATAGTAGGTAAATACATAGAGATGAAAAATAGATTAATCAATTCCTAGGGCTGAGGGAGGAGTGGGTAGAATGGAGAATAATTCCTAACAGGTACAGGGTTTCTTTCTAGGGAATCAAAATGTTTTAAAATTAGATTGTGGGGATGGTTGCACAATCCTATGAATATATTAAAAATATTGAATCAAATACTTTAAATGGGTGATTAATTGTATAGCATGTAAATTTTATATCAATAAAGCTGCTAAACGTAATTACAAATGCATTTTTTGATTGTAAAATGCATGAGACTATATCTTACAGAAGCTAACATAGGAATTTACAGTTCATAAATATTTCTTAAACAGGACATATGGTATTCATGCAGGAATAGGCAACATAAAAATCGAAATAAAACAATATAGAAATAGAAACAGAATAGAAAGATACCAGTATGTATATGATTGATATGGAATTACAAATCCATAAAATTTTCATGGATATAGTGGACTACTCAATTAGAGACACTAAAAAAATAAGTTAATTTAATGGAAATAAACAGACCCTTAACTTTCAATTTACAATAAGAAAACAAAATGAAAGGATTAAAGATTTAAGTGA
Source organism: Homo sapiens (assembly GCF_000001405.40). Taxonomy (NCBI): domain Eukaryota; kingdom Metazoa; phylum Chordata; class Mammalia; order Primates; family Hominidae; genus Homo; species Homo sapiens. The sequence continues at coordinate 26,499,435 of NC_000011.10, read as the reverse complement.
GAAAAGTAAAATTAAAAAATAATTTTTAGAATAAACTATGAGAGCATTTTATAATATTTTTGGTAGGAAATTTATGTTTGCTTTTAATAAATAAAAAGCATCAGCACCAGTTATAAAAAAAAAGCTGGTACATGCAATTACATTCAAATAAAAGCTTTGTAAATTTAAAAGATATCATAAAGATTGTGAAAAGGTAAGTTACAACTAGAATATATTTTTATGAATACAACCAATAAATTATTAAGCTTCAGGTTGTATAAATAACTGCGAAATTCGTAAGAAAAGGCAAATAATCCAATGGAAAAATGTCATGAGATATAAACAAGTATTTAATAAAAGAAGAAATGTGACATTATCTGAAAAAGCAGAAGGCTGAAAACAAATAAAATAGTCCATCAACTGGAAAGTGAAAACTAAATTGTGGTCAAACAGTTAATGTCACTTGTTTTGTAGTCATGCAATAGAATATGACAGTACAAATGTATCTGCTCCTACATCCATCGAAGGGATGCTGTTGATCTTTTGTAAAAGCAATGTCTGTTACATTTTTTCAAAGCTTAAAGATATAAAAATGATCTTCAATATTGTTTAAAGATTATTTATACTTTTACTATATAACTTATACAGTAAAAGTTCAAAAATATTCATAGGAAAGCTAATCATCAAAAGCAGAATACTAGTTCGTTCTGTTGAGACTAATTGAGAGAAAAGATCAGGGAATATTATACAGAAGTCTCAATTTTGGCTGTAATAATTTATTCTAAACCAAATAAGGCAAGCAATAGAGATCCTGTAAAGCTCAATGTTGGATATAACTTGTTCCAGCTCAATATGATCTTATAATATGGTTTTTGATATGCATAATAATTATATTATTATTATTAATTTTAATTATTAATAATTATTGACTATCATTGATAATAACAAATATATGACTATATTCATAATAACAATTTAAAAGACCAGCATAATCTATGAATTTGGGAGTAAATAATGTGGGATTCTATATTAGTGTTAAAATCTTACTTATAACAAGTCTGTTTTCTCACCTGTATAATATAATAGGAATAATAATAGCCTTGCGTGACTATTTTAAGAATTATGTGAGTTGAACACTCTGTGAATCATAAAATGGTATACACCCTATAGTTATTATAACTAAAGACCTTCAAACGGTAAAGTCCAATTTTAATCATAATCCCTAAACAATACATTCTCTTCAGTCAATTACAGTTGTATCTACATAATCATTTACAAAATTAAAATATGATTCACATATGCTTATTAGAGATATTAAATTGAACTGGTGATTCTGAAGGGATTCCATGAGGTCTAAAAGACATCATCAGGAAAGAGTGATCACCTCAGAGTACATATGTTGAGATGTGAACACATTCAAGTCCCATAAAGTCAGCTGGCAAAGACAACTTTCTACACAAACTCTACTTAAACCCAATCTGTAGTTATTCTGCACTTCTGCCAATGATCACATGGAAATACAAAAGAAAAGACTTTAGAATTTACTGATAGCTTGAGAATGAAAATAATGAGAATAAAATTTGATCTTATATGCTAAAAGATCAAGTTTTAAATACAAAATAAAATCAAATACCATTTTATTGTAAAGGAATTTGGGGAGTAAAATTTTATAGAAAGTTTGAAAAAATCATGAACATGATTTCAATGCATTGCTTGCTATCATAAATGCCACACTTTCCCTTGAGGAGCTCCCAAAACAAAACAAACAAGAGTTTTCATTGCAAAGAGCCACTTGATGATTTCCAACATGTATTTAGAAAACTCCTGTAAAATATGAGTAACCTCACAGACCCAGTGAAAATATTCCTAAGATACTAGTGCATTTCTATTTCTGGTTATTTGGATCAATCTTTCCCATGAAATCAAATAAAAATTACACAAAGAAAAACTTTTTACAACATCGGTCTGGTGTAAGATAGTATCTCATTGTGGTTGGTGAAAATGTAAATTAGTACAACCTCTATCAAAAACAGCATGGAATTTTCTTAAAGAACTAATTGACCTAGCAATGCCACTGCTGAGTAACTACCCAATAGAAAAGAAACCATTATATCAAAAAAAGTACATTTGTATATTTATAAGAGCACTATTCACAATAGCAAAGATGTGAAATCAACCTATATATATTTCTGTGTGTGTCTGTATCTATCTACACACATATATATACATACTTCTGTGAGTGTCTGTATATATACATGTATATACATGTTTCAATGTTTGATTTTATAGATTTGTGTGTATGTCTGTATACATATTTGTATATACATATATACGTGTATACATATATACACACACAGAAATATATATAGGTTTGTGTGTCTGTGTATATATATAGAGAGAGAAAATGTAGTGTGTGTGTGTGTGTGTGTGTCTGTATATATGTGTGTGTGTCTGTGTGTGTATATATATATATATATATATACACACAACATTTTCTCTTTACAGTCATCTGTGATGAATGCTTAGGTTGATTTTATATATAAATCTACAGACACATACACACACACCATGGAATGCTACTCAGCCAGAAAAAAAGGGATAAAAGCAAGTCTTTTACATCAACATGGATGGAACTGGAGTCCATTACCTTAAGTGAAATGACTCAGAAACAGAAAGTCAAATACTGCATGTTCTCACTTATAAGTGGGAGCTAAATTATATGTACACACGAATATAGAGAATGGAATAATAGACATTTGAGGCTTGGAGAGTGAGGGGAGTGAGGGATGAGAAATTACCTAATAGGTACGATGTACACTATTTGGGTGATGGTTACACTAAAAGCCCAGACTTCACTACTACATAATATATCAATGTAACAAATCTGCATTTGTATTCCTAAATCTATAAAAACAAACAAACCAACACTGAAGAGTTCACAAGACAGTGAGGAATCACTAAAGTTCAAGACAAAGTGGAAATCAGAAATCAAGAGCTAAGCTGCATCCCTGAGCACTTGGGTCCCTATTACCTCCAAGGACATCTGCAGATCCTGCAAATGTGGACTTTTTATTAGCACTTTTTTGTGTCCTAGGTGCCAGGGATACACTGGTGAACGAGTCAGACAGCCCAGTGTGCATCAGATATTTTTAGGACACCTCAGTAGTAAGTGTTCTTGAAATATTAAGATACTCCCTTCATTTGGCTCTGGACTTGTAACAGATGAAATGTAGGCAGGTGCCTGAAAAGAAGGAAAAGCTCAACACAGAGAGGTCAAATTATGCAAGGGCAGGTTGAATTTATTTGCATGCTTGCAAATGCAAAAATCAAAATATCAAGTCAAAACAGAATGGGAAAAAAAATCTCTGAAACAGGGGAAATAGCCCCAGAATATTCATTACCTTGGTCAAAGCCTACTATTTTCACTTGAATAAACTTAACTTGAAATGTCAGACCTCTATATCAAAGAATCAAAATTTCTGGCACTGAGTAACTGCTTAGTATCATCATCAGTGTCCTTGGCCATACACATGGAAATTAGGAAAATTCACATGTGCTCCAAAGCAGACAATTCCAAACTATTAATTGTTCTCCATTAGTCATGTATGTGGAGAAGGCAAATAATATAATCTCCCATAACCTTCACACCAAGATGGATTTGATCTGATGATAAATGTATTGGCTTCCACAGAAAAGATGAGCCCTAGGCTGTGTTCCTTACGTTTGCAGGAAATTACTTTCCATGACCCAGAAGACCTATGTTCTCCTTTCCTTTCCTCTAAAATCTCTATCAACAAGACAAGAATGTCCTGAGACTTAGGAAGAGGAAGAAGGATTATCAAACAACTATATTTGCTCATGTCATAAATGAGATGACCCTATCATGTTGGCTACAAATCATCTACTCAGAGTACAAATGAATAAAGTCATGTTAGAATCTTTGGAAAGCTGGCATGGAAAACATATCATAAAATATTCATGCCTATTTTTCCATGAGCTTAGCTCTTTCCAGTACAGGAGTTACTCTTGCTGTTAAAAGTTAGATTTTGGCCAGGTGCCATGGCTCATGCCTGTAATACCAGCAATTTGAGGGGCTGAGGCAGGAGATCTCATGAGCCCAGGAGTTCGAGACAAGCCTGGGCAACACAGAGAAACCCTATCTCTACAGAAAAAAAAAAAAAAAAAAATCAGCCAGCCGTGGTGGCACGTCTGTATTCCCAGCTACTCAGGAGGCTGAGGTGGGAGGATCACTTGAGCCCAGGAGTTCAAAGCTGCAGTGAGCTGTGTTTGTGCCACTGTACTCCAGCCTGGATGACAAAGCAAGACCCTGTCTCAAATAAATAAATAAATAAATAAATAAATAAATAAATAAATAAATAAATGTAGATATTTATAAAAGATAAACTCTTTTAACCTATGGGTATCATTTAAGATTATTTATGGCTCCAGCTATTTCCATTTTTATAGGCTTCTTTGAAGTGGATGGCTTAATTTCTGGTAGTGTTGAAGGACAGGTCAAGAAAAAATCAGTGGATTATAACCCTTCTCTAACCCTACTCTGATAATAGGCAATATCTGGAGAAAACCACACAGACATACATATTCAAATCATGCGTACAATTTCAGGGACTTCATAGATCTCCTGGAGCTCACGTGTGTCCTCCCTTAGAGGTCCTTGGGTTCCATGCTAGGAACTTATGGGTCAGGCAGTAGCTTAAAATCCCTTCCGTTCTAGGAGCCCCTGTTTTTGCAAACAAAGCTCCCCTTGGCAAGCCTAGGCAGAAAGAAGTTGAATTTCTTACATGAAATCTAAGCACTTTGAAATTCCTATAGCAAACTGACTGTGAAGCCATGTGAATTTTTAAGAAAAATGGGCATTAGTGAAGGTACTCAGCATTTCCTCTAAGGTAAGTGGAAGCATTCATATTTCTTTAATTTTGTGGGGACAATATGAGGTGTAGTTGAAATACCTGAGGTGAAGACTCACTTCTACTTCCTATCTCACGTTACTGTGCACATATAAAGTTTCAGTATCTTTACAAAAAGATAATAATATGGACTATGCATTTCCTGACAAAATTGTGAAGATGGTGACATATGTAAAATAGCTAGCAAGAGTGCCAGACTTCTTAGGTGCTAGCTGAATGACAACCATCATCTGGCAAGTGATTAAGCAAGATACAGCATGGCATTCTTTCTCAAATTTTAATTATATATATATACACACACATATATATGAATATATATTTATATATGTAAATGTATATATATTTTACAAAACTACAGATCACCTCTTTAATATTGTTTCTTTAGATTATACTATTTCTGCAAAAATAGACTTTGCCCAAATTTTAATCTAAAAAAATAACAAGTTTAAGATGCTGGTTATGCCTTTTGTAATACACATTAAAATGAAATCACAGAAAAAGTTGTTACTGAGCATCATAAAAATTATTTTGAAAACTATCCTTTTACAAACATAGCAAGCCACTAACATCTTAGCTTAAATTAAACCTAATCTAGGTTTATTTAGTATTTGCCTTGGCAAATTCCAGGCTTGAAAGAAGGTATTTAGAGTTTTCACGGTGGAAAGAGAAGAAGGAAATCCTCAGAGGGTGTCAGGTGGCAGTCCCTAGGGCATCTGGGGTCCAGCCAGTGAATGGCAGTCCCTGAGGGCTGCAAACAAGAAGGAGGAGGAGAAAGGAAGGCCAAGTTAGAAGCTGCATTAATTTTTAAAGACTGGTGTCACTTTCTCAGGTCCAGAACTGGACTAGCCTGTGACATTCCTAGCATGTAAGAGCTGCATCTCTATTTAATGACTTCAGTATTCTAAAGGTGGCAAAAAGTCATATATAATTCATCATTTGAATAGAAATAAAAACATAAGGAAGGAGTGGTTAGGGCATTAGTTCAGAAAACAGAAAATCTAGCTCTCTGCTGCTGATGGACTGATGTGCATCTTTTATAATGCACCCTTATTTGGAGGCCAAACACAAGGCCGTAATTCTGTGAAGGGTTTGGAAGGTCATTAAAACTATGCTTATCTTTTAGCCAATATTGGCCCTGGAACTGTCCACAGCAGTCCTTTCCAGCATGCCCCTGTATATACAATCACACAATATATCAATAAAGAGGGATGGAAACACATCACATCTCACGAAATCCAGATTATTAAAACTCAGAGGTATAATCTTTATTCACTTAAAAAGTAAACTCTAAAAAACACACACCTAATGTACTTAACACTACTTTAGGCTATCCATTGAAGGGACAAGAGGCATATATAACTTAACAAAATAATTTTTGAATGCCTATTCAGTCCCAGACACTTAATCAAGTTATTAAGGCTAGAGAGCTGAATGGCAACTAGAAGACCTAAATGAATATTAAAGTGACGTCCTTTACACTCCAACTTGAACAAGAAAATATTTATTAAGAATCTATTATGTGCTAAGAATTGTGTCTTTATCTTTACCTTAGCTTTTTCTTTCTACCATATGGGAAACAGTGCAGCCTAGTATTAGTAACTTATTTTTTGCTGGTAGGTAGACTCAGATTTGAATTCTGGTTTTGCTTCTTAACTAGCAGAACTTGGACATGGACTTGAATTTTCCTAATCTCTGCCTTCATTAGTTGCTTCATTCATAAAGTAGGACAAATATTTCCACAATATAAAATTAAGTACTCACTAAAAATTGATTTTGTGTTCTTCTGTCCTTTTACTATTTTAGGCATAGGTGAAAAACACTGAACAAAACAGAAATGGCCTCAAAATCTAGCGATGAAGATAAATGAGTTGATTAGTCTAAAAATGATTGGGCAATTAATGCCCTGTACTTATCGTTATAATTATCAAATGATGATATTTTGAGTGTGGGACAGGATGAGAACTATATACACATAAGAGTACTTTATTAAAACAAGTGGCAGATATTAAATGATAAATCACTATCTAACATATAATAAGCATTTTGAACTGTATGGTTAAAGAAACAACTGCTGCCCCAGAGAGTTATCATGACAGATGGAGCTGACCAAAGGTAGTTTTATTGAACAGATAAGTTCTACTAATCAGACATTATATAAGTAGAATGACCCATAGGATTAGGAACATGCAAAAATATAAGAAAAATCAGATCAGATTGTGCCATCACCATTTAAGCAAAAGCATCTATCAATACTAATTTCAGAAGTGAAGCAGAAGAATTGAAACAGCACAGAACATAGAGCTCAGCTCGCTGACTCTAATAAGACACTAATGCTTAGTCTCCTTCATCCTAATGCTTCAAAGAGAATCTAATTTTATTAAACACTATTTTAATTCTAGATAACTAAATTATTCCCATTCCATGGCCAATGGCCCATAATCAATATATTTTTGCTTATCCACATTGGAGTGAGAGACTTCAGAAAACAGGGGAACCCTTGTCCTTATTATGATTGATTTAAAATGATATTTTCAGATTTTGGAAGTTACATGTAGTATTTAGAGAATATATTAAGCTGTACTTACGGACAAATTAAGTTTCCTTAGCATAAGCTACCATTTAATAATGTATATGTAATTAACTCTTTTACTTTTAAGTTTTTATATTTTTTTTCAGAAAACTTCAAAAAATTATAAATTATAGGGCTGCTTTAAATCCTGTGCTGTTTTGTAGAAAATGGCAGTGAGCATGGAAGTGGGGACTATGTAGAAAAAGTAGGTAAAAATTCAACTATTTCCTTGTGCGTATGGGAAGGTTGCGGACAAACTGTATCAAAAAGCAAAATTTCTTATGGCTATTTTTCCATAACCAAGAGTAATAATAAAATGGTGAGGGAGAATAATATTGCTGTTTCTTTATTCCTGACACCTCGTGTGGCCTCCTGGTATGAAGCCCTCTAACACGCTGCTTCTGTTTTCTGAATACCCTTCTTTATGCTGAGATGTTTCCCTTGCTCAGAGGCAGATTGTACCAGCTTACAAGAGCTGGCTTTAAATTTTTAGTAATTTTTGAGCCAGTTGATCTCAAGTTGGAAGCTTGAAAAATCAGCATTTTTTAGAAAAACACTGCTTATATGTGTCAATCGAAGTTGTTGCTTATAACTGTTACAACTGTTTATGTGGTCCTTGGTCTAGTGCCTAGTATATGGCTGGTGTATACAGGCTAGACAAATTAGAGAGTTATCAAAATAGATTCACTAATTCATTCTTAAAATTTATAACTAACCCTTAAAATCATAACTGCTCAGCCTCACAAACAGCCCCAGTTGAGTAGTTTCACTGTTTCACCATTTCCATAATACCCTTGTAAGACACAGGAAGGGGAAAAATGTACAAGAATAGATACATTTATCAGAGAAGACAGCAATAAAACACAAATTTTATAACAGCTGTGGGCATTTAGTCCATACTCCCAGCCAGTATTCACAACAGATGAGTTTAAATAGAATAAAAGAATTGCTTTCTGAACAGTTTTGGGAGCCATAGATTTGACATTGCTTTTTAGCCTCCCACTATTAAGAACCACCATGGTGTAGGAATAAAGAATGAAAAAGCAAACAGATTCGGCAACAGGCCAATTAAAACGCTGTTCAAGGTGAGTCGCCAAGTATTCTTTTCCAGTGTGGCAATACTGAGTTCCTTGATAAACACTCCATCTATCTTTCATGAAGGAAACACTTGCCAAATTAAACTTAAAGCGTGAAATGTGGAAGAAGATGTGGTTTGGGGAGAGGATCAGTTGTTGGCATGTGGGAAGTCTAGTCTGCATCTGGACTATCTGATGGAGTTGTGGTTAGGTGTGAAATCACAGGGCTCTTGGCCTATTCATTCTACCTTCATTTCTCTGTGACGTTATACTGTTTTATTATTTCAGATACGTGGAATATCTTAATGGGCAGTCTCTATGCTGACTTATCAGAAATCCAATCTCTCAGGACCATGCAGCCATAACACCTAAATATTGAACAGTAAAGCACAGTTTATACCACAAAGCTATAACTCTGTATTTTGTTAGTTTGTTAAATTGTCTTCTTGGCAGTCTACTTTGGTATCTAGAGTTTATAATAATGTGCATGTTTGCAAGAAAAGTGTTAGTCCATTTTCACACTGCTGATAAAGACACACCAAAACTGGGAACAAAAAGAGGTTTAATTGGATTTACAGTTCCACATGTCTAGGGAGGCCTCAGAATCATGGCAGGAGGCAAAAGGCATGGCAGTAGCAACAGAAAAACAAGGAAGAAGCAAAAGTGGAAACCCCTGATAAACCCATCAGATCTCACGAGACTTATTCACTATCACAAGAATAGCACAGGAAAAACCAGCCCCCATGATTCAATTACCTCCCCCTTGGTCCCTCCCATAACACATGGGAACTCTGGGAGATACAATTCAAGTTGAGATTTGGGTTGGGACACAGTCAAACCATATCATTCTGTCCCTGGACCCTCCAAATCTCATGTCCTCACATTTTAAAACCAATCATGCCTTCCCCTCAGTCCCCCAAAGTCTTAACTCATTTCAGCATTAACCAAAATGTCCACAGTCCAGTCTCATTTGAACAAGACAAGTCCTTTCTGCCTATCAGCCTGTAAAATCAAAAGCAAGCTAGTTACTTCCTAGATACAACAGAGGTACATGTACTGGGTCAATACAGCCTTTCCAAATAGGAGAAATTGGCCAAAACAAAAAGGTTACAGGGCCCATGCAAGTCAAAAATCCAGTGGAGCAGTCAAATTTTAAAGCTCCAAAATGATCTTTGTTGACTCCAGGTCTCACATCCAGGTCACAGTGATGCAAGAGGTAGGTTCCTACAGTCTTGGGCAGTTCTGCCTCTGTAGCTTTGCAGGGTACACCCTCCCTTCTGGATGCTTTCATGCACTAGTGTTGAGTGCCCGTGGCTTTTCCAGGCACATGGTACAAGCTGTTGGTGGATCTACCATTCCAGGAACTGGAGGATGGCAGCCCTCTTCTCGCAGCTTCACTAAGCAGTGCCCCAGTAGAGACTACGTTTGGGAGCTCCAACCCCACATTTCCCTTCTGCACTGCCCTAGCAGAGGTTCTCCATGAGGGCTGCACCCCTGCAACAAACTTTTTCTTGGTGATCCAGGCATTTCCATACATCTCTAACATCTAGGCGGAGGTTCCCAAACCTCAATTCTTCTGTGCTCCCGCAGGCTCAACACCATGTGGAAGCTGCCAAGGCTTGAGGCTTCCACTGTCTGAAGTCACAGTCTGAGCTCTACGTTGGCCCCTTTCAGCCATGACTGGAGTGGCTGGGACACAGGGCACCAAGTCCCTAGGCTGCACACAGCACAGGGTCCCTGGGCCAGCCCACGAAACCACTTTTTCCTCCTGGGCCTCCGGGCCTGTGATGGTGAGAGGTGAAGCCAGCTGGGCTTCTGGGTCGGGTGGGCACTTGGAGAACTTTTGTGTCTAGCTAAGGGATTGTGAATGTACCAATCATCACTCTGTGTCTAGCTAAAGGATTATAAACGCACCAATCAGCACTCTGTAAAAACATACCAATCAGCACTCTATAAAGTGGACCAATCAGCACTCTGTAAAATGGACCAATCAGGATGTGGGCAGGGCCAAATAAGGGAATAAAACCTGGCCACCCGAGCCAGCAGTGCCAAGCAACCTGCTCGGGTCCCTTTCGAGGCTGTGGAAGCTTTGTTCTTTTGCTCTTCATGATAAATGTTGCTGCTGCTCACTCTTTGGGTCCACACTACCTTTACAAGCTGTAACACTCACTGCGAAGGTCTGCAGCTTCATTCCTGAAGTCAGTGAGACCATGAACCCACTGGGAGGAACAAACACCCAACTCCAGATGCACGATCTTTAAGAGCTGTATCACTCACTGCAAAGGTCTGCGGCTTCACTCCTGAAGTCAGCAAGACCAAGAACCCACCAGAAGGAAGAAAGTCCGGAGGCATCTGAACATCTGAAGGAACAAACTCCAGACACACCATTTTTAAGAGCTGTAACACTCACCACAAGGGTCCCCGGCTTCATTCTTGAAGTCAGCGAGACCAAGAACCCACCAGAAGGAATAAATTCTGGACACAATGGGAGGGGCTGCCATGAAGGTCTCTGACATGGCCTGCAGACATTTCCCCATGGTCTTGGGATTAACATTAGGCTCCTTGCTACTTATGCAATTTCTGCAGCCAGCTTAAATTTCTCCTCAAAAAATGGGGTTTTCTTTTCTACTGCATTGTCAGGCTGCAAATTTTCTGAACTTTTATGCTGTTTACCTTTTAAAATGGGATTTTGTTTTGTTTTATTTTGTTTTGTTTTTTTGAGATGGAGCCTCACTCTGTTGTCAGGCTGGAGTGCAGTGGTGCAATCTCAGCTCACTGCAACCTCCACCTCCTGGGTTCAAGTGATTCTCCTGCTTCAGCCTCCTCAGCAGCTGGGACTACAGGTGTGTGCCACCACGCCCAGCTAATTTTTGTATTTTTAGTAGAGATGGGGTTTCAACATGTTGGCCAGGATGGTCTCAATCTCTTGACCTCATGATCTGCCCACCTCGGCCTCCCAAAGTACTGGGATTACAGGCGTGAGCTACTGCACTTGGCCTAAAATGTGATGCTTTTAATAGCACCTAAATCACCTTTTGAATGCTTTGCTGCTTAGAATCCGTTTCTTCCACCAGATACCCTAAATCATCTCTCTGAAGTTTAAAGTTTCACAAATCTCTAGGGCAGGGGTGAAATGCCACCAGTCTCTTTGGTGACGTAACAGGAGTCACCTTTGCTCCAGTTCCCAACAAACTCCTCATCTCCATCTGAGACCACCTCAGCCTGGACCTTATTGCTCATATCACTATCGGCATTTTTTTCAAAGCCACTTAACCAGTCTTTAGGAGGTTCCAAGCTTTCCCACATTTTCCTGTCCTCTTATGAGCCCTCCAAACTGTTCTGACCTCCACCTATTACCCAGTTCCAAAGTCACTTCCACATTTTCGGATATTTTTCAGGAACACGCCACTCTACTGGTACCAATTAACTGTATTTGTACATTTTCGAACTGCTGATAAAGGCACACAAACTGGGAACAAAAAGAGGTTTAATTGGACTTACAGTTCCACATGCCTAGGGAGGCCTCAGAACTATGGTGGGAGGCAAAATGCACTTCTTACATGACAGCAGCAAGAGAAAAATGAGGAAGAAGCAAAACCGGAAACCCCTGACAAGCCCATCAGATCTCTTGAGATTTATTCACTATCATGAGAATAGCGTGGGAAAGACTGGCCCCCATGATTCAATTACCTCCCCTTGGGTCCCTCCCACAACACGTGGGAATTCTGGAAGACACAGTTCAAGTTGGGATTTGGGTGAGGACACAGCCAAACCATATCAAATGGTGTTTGGGTTAAAAGACTGTTGTGACTGATTTCTTGGAGACTTTGGAAGCCAATCAATTGTAAGTCACCAAACGCTCCTTGCAAATTAGGTTAGTGTCTGCAGGGCAGTGGCAACTGCATTAAATAATGGTGACTAGGAGCACACAGCATTAGAGATGATTCTTAAAAATAGTACTCAACAAACGTTTGGTTAATGCTACCTTTCTTCCTCTAAAAGCCTCCATTCCTAACAGCCTGCTTTGACCCAGTACCACTTTAGGACCCTATCAAATGAAGATGATAGATTCAAATGTTCAGGTTCCAAAAGAGTGGTAGTTTCTCTAATATTTTTCCCTGCCCCAGGGTTTTATTTTATTTCATTCCTTTAAGATGGCTTTTTCATTAATTAATGAAAACATACCAATTTAGTGTATAAGATGCCAGTAGTTTCCGCTGGACTAAGATCTCATGTCAGGGTAAGAAATCCCTTGAAGGCAGTATCTTGTATAGCTTCTTGTTACCAAAGGAATAATTGCTTATCTAAGAAGAACTAAAACAAAAACTTGCACCTACAAACATATAAATGTTTTGATCACGCCAAAGAGCACTTACAGTTTCTGAAAATACTGCTTTCCAATGTAGTCACATCACAAATAAAACTCAAACATGGCTATAGCCAATATAAAAAATGTATAGTTTTAGAATACAAAAAATGTATATTTTTAGGTATTTTGACTTCCTTTTTTTTTTTTTTTTTTTGAGACAGAGTCTCACTCTGTCGCCCAGACTGGAGTGCAGTGGCATGACCTTGGCTCACTGCAACCTCCGCCTCCCAGGTTCAAGTGAGTCTTCTGCCTCAGCCTCCCGAGTAGCTGAAACTACAGGTGCACGCCATCACATCCAGCTAATTTTTGTATTTTTAGTAGAGACAGGGTTTTACCATATTGGCCAGACTGGTCTTGAACTCCTGACCTCATGATCACCTGCCTTGGCCTCCCAAAGTGCTGTGATTACAGGCATGAGCCATCGCGCCTGGCTGTGATTTTTTTTTAAATAAATAAATTTCATAAGGAATATTTGCTTTATTGATATACACATTTCTTTTAAAAAGGCAAGGTTATTTTTCATTGACTTGTTTGAGTTCCTTTTAAATTCTGGATATCAGTCCTGTTGGATGCATAGTTTACAAATATTTTCTCCCATAGTGCAGGTTGTCTGTTCACTCTGTTGATTCTTTTGCTGTGCAGAAATTTCTCAGTTTGTCTCATTTGTTTATTTTTGCTTTTGTTGCTTTTTCTTTTGAAGTTTTAGTCAATAAATTATTTGCCTACCCCAATGTCAAGAAGATTTTTCCCTAGGTTTTTTTCTAGTACATTCATAGTTTCAGGTCTCATTTAAGTCTTGGATCCATCTTGAGTTGATTTAAAAAGTGGGCAAAGGACACGAATGGGAATTTTTCAAAAGGAAGTCATACAAAGGACCAAGCATATGAAAAAATGCTCAACATCCCTAATCATCAGATGTATTTTTCTGGTCTTGAATTGCTGTAAAGAACTACTTGAGACTGGGTACTTCATAAAGAAAAGAGGTTTAATAGGTTCACAGTTCTGCAGGCTGTACAGGAAGCGTGGCTCGGGAGGCCTCAGGAATCTTAACAGTCATGGAGAATGGTGGAGAGGAAGGAGTCATGACTTATATGGCCAGAGCAGGAAAAAAAGAGCAAATAGGAAGGTGCCCCACACTTTTTTTTTTAAAACCAGACCTTCTGTGAACTTACTCATTAACATGAAAACAGCAAGGGAGAAGTCTGCCCCACGATCCATTCCCATTCCACCAGGTCTGTCCTCCGACACTGGAAATTGCGATTCAACATGAGATTTGGGCAGAGACACACACGCAAACCATATCATTCTGCCCCTGGCCCCTACCAAATCCCATGTCCTTCTCACATTGCAAAGTACAACTGTCCCTTCTCAAGAGTCCCCCAAAGTCTTAACTAATTTCAGCATTAACTCAAATGTCTGCAGTCCAAAGTTTCATCTGAGACAAGGCAAGTTCCTTCCACCTATGAGCCTGTAAAATCAAAACAAGCCAGTTGATTCCAATATAAAATGGGGATACAGGCATTAGGTAAACACACCCATTCCAAAAGGGAGAAATTTGACAAAACAAAGGGGCTGCAGGCCCCAAACAAGCCCAAAACCCAGGAGGGCAGTTATTAAATCATAAATCTCCAAAATAATCTCCTTTGACTTCACGTCACATCTTGGCCACACTGATGAAAGGGCTTGGCTTTCATCAGTGCTCCCAAGACCTTGGGCATATGTGCCCCAGTGGCTCTGCAGGGTACAAACCTTGTGGCTGCTTTCTTGGGTTGGTATTGAGTGCCTGCAGCTTTTCCAGGTATAAGGTGCAAGCTGTCAGTGGATTTAACATTCTGGGGTCTATGGGACAGTGGATCTCTTCTCACAGCTCCACTAGGCAGTTCTCCAGTGGGGACTCTGTGTGGGGGCTCCAACCCCACATTTCCCCTCCACAGCCCTAGTAGAAAGCTCCACCCCTGCAGCAGACTTCTGCCTGGACATCCAAGCATTTCCATATATCCTGTGAAATCTAGGTGGAGGCTCATAAGCCTCAACTCTTGCCCTCTGTGAACATGCAGGCTTAACACCACATGGAAGCTGCCATGACTTGTGGCTTCCACCTGCTGGAGCAGTGGCCTGAGACATATATGGGGCCTTTTAGCCACTGCTGGAGCTGTGGTGGCTGGGATGCAGGGAGCAGTGTCTTCAGGTTGTATAGGCATTTTCCCCATTGTCTTGGCAATAACACTGGGTTTCTCTTTACTTATGCAAATTTTTGCAGCCAGCTTGAACTCCCCCCAAGAAAATCAGTTTTTCATTTCTACCACAGTCAGGCTGCAAATTTTCCAAACTTTTATGCTCTGTTTCCCTTTTAAATACATGTTCCAGTTCCATGTGATCTCTTTGCTCATAAGGATAGCCTACTAGAAGCAGCCAGGAAACATCTTGAATGTTTTGCTACTTTGAAATTTCTTTCATCAGATACCATAAATCATCATTCTCAAGTTCAAATTTCCAGATCTCTAGAGCAGGGACATAATGACTCCAAACTCTGCTAACGCATCACAAAAGTGACATTTACTCAAGTTCCCAATAAGTTCCTCATTTCCATCTGAGACCTCCTCAGCTTAGACTTCATTGATGATATCAGTATCAGGATTTTGGTCACAACAACGTAACAAGTATATAGGAAGTTCCAAACTTCCTCATCTTTCTGTCCTCTTCTGAGCCCTCCACACTCTTCCAACCTCTGCCCATTAACCCCAAAGTTGCTTCTACATTTTCAGGTATATTTATAGCAATGCCCCACCTCCCAGCACCAATTTTCTGTATTAGTTCATTCTTGCATTGCTATAAAGAACTATCTGAGACTGGGTAATTTATAAAGAACAGAGGTTTAATTGGCTCATGGTTCTGCAGGCTGTATAGGAAACATGATCAAGGTGGGAGGGGGGCACTCAGAAAACTTACAATCATGGTAGAAGGCAAAGAGGAAGGCAGCATGTCTTACATGGCCAGAGCAGGAGGAAGAGAGTAAAGGGGAAAGTGCCACAAACATTTTTGCAACCAGATCTCATGAGAACTCATTATCATGAGAACAGCAAGGGGAAAGTCCATCCCCATGATCCAATCACATCCTACCAGACCCCTCCTCCAGAACTGGAGATTACATTTCAACATGCGATTTGGGTGGGAACACAAATCCAAACCATATCATCAGAAAAATGCAAATTAAAACCACAAAAAGATGTCATCTTACAAAAGTCATAATGACTAATATTAAGATTTAGATGTCCAAAAATAACAGATGTTGGTGAGAATGCAGAGAAAAGGGAACGTTTACAGGCTCTTGGTGGGAATGTAAATTAATACTACCTGTATGGAAAACAGTGTGGAGATTTCTTAAAGAACTAGGAACTACCATTGGATCCAGCATTCTCATTACTAGGTATATAGCCTAAGGAAAAGAAATCATTATATTGAAAAAAAAATACCTGCACTAGTATGTTTATTGCAGCACTGTTCACAATAGCAAAGATAGGTAATCAAGTGTCCATCAATAGGTGACTGAAAATAAGAAAATGTGATATTCAGCCATAAAAAGGAGTGAAATCATGTCTTTTGCGGCAACATGGATGGAACTGGAGGCCATTCTCTTAAGGGAAACAACTCAGACAGACAAAATCAAATATCTCCTGTTCACATAAGTGCAAGCTAAATAACTCGTACACATGAGTATACAGTGTGAAATAATATTGGAGACTCAGAAGGTTAGAAGGGGAGTGAGAAATGAGAAATTACTTAATGAGTACAATGTATACTATTCAGGTCATGGATACACTAATAGCCCAGGCTTCACCACTAGCAATATATCCATGTAGCAAAACTGCTCTTGTACCCCTTAAATCTATACAAATAAACAAAGATAATGTTAAATATACTTTTACACAATATAATGAAATAAATACAAATGAAACTCTATTATATATATTATGAATTTCCCTTACACAGAGGTGAAAACATCTCAAGTCAGATAATTTCTAAGTAGGACTTTTTAAAGATACACACACACACACACACACACACACACACACACACACACACACACATATATCTGTGTTCAAATTACTGCAAAATGGAAAAATTAAAATGTTAGATTTGTAAGTATTCAACAAAATCAGTCCCAAATCACAAAACTAATCTCCATCATATTCCACATGATTCAAGAAACACCAACATGGCACATGTATACATATGTAACAAACCTGCACATTGTGCACATGTACCCTCAAACTTAAAGTATAATAATAATAAAATTAAAAAAAAAGAAACACTAAAAGCTGGGAGGAGTGGCTCACACCTGTGACCCCAGAACTTTGGATGGCTGCAGTGGGAGGATCACTTGAGCCCAGGAGGTTGGGACCAGACTGGGCAACATAGTGAGACTCTGTCTCTAAGAGAAGATTAAAAAAAAAATGAGCAAGGCATGGTAGCATGTGCCTGTGCTCCCAGCTACTTGGGAAGCTGAGGTGAGTGGAATGCTTGAGCCCAGGACTTCGAGGCTGCAGTGAGCCATGATTTCACCACGGCACTCCAGTATAGGTGAAGAGTGAGACATAGTCTCCAAAAACAAAGTAAAAAAAAGAAAGGAAAAAAGAAACACCCTACAGACAGAATTGAGCACATATGAAATAGATCATGGGGGAGGTCAATATTCTTTATATGTTGCTTAGGTTTTCTTTGATTTTTAGAAATTTCCCAAAACAACAACTGATCCCTAATTTGTTTATAGACATTCTTTCCCTTTGCTTTCTGTTTCATTTAGTCCATTTTTATGAGGTGCTTTATTTCATTCTTCACCTTCCATCTCCATGCAATACTTGAAGATAAATTTTATCAATAGGCTCCATCCTAGACATGATCAAGCTCCTTGAAACACATTTCACCATTTATTTAGCTGTGCAAGGAGAAACTACCTTTATAGTATTCAACATTTTAGGTCTTTTTGTTATAGGTTATAAACATATAGCATATATGAACTTCCCTTCATCATCTTTTTAATTTCACTCCCAAAAATCCCACCTGTGGAAATTAGTGAATGTAGTAGAATTTTCCACCTCTACTGTAAAGAAAAATGAGGATAGATTGTAAGATTATATATCACACAGTGTATTAGATAAATTTATTCCCTCAGATCTCTCTCCTCTCTTGCTCTCCTCCTCCTCCTTGAATTTCTAACCACCTGTATCCTTTTTATCATCTCTCCTTTCCCTAAGGTCAACCTCACTTCCCGTTTCACATAAAATCGTCTATGGTGTGGGTAAAGGCTAGCTTTGCCACTCACTATGTGGTATGTTCTTGCAGCAGTCACTTAAGGTCTCAATTCCTTATTTTTTTTTCATCTGTAATAATATGAATACATTTTCTTTATGGTGCAATTACTATGTGCTGGTACTTTTCTAAGTTTTTCAGTGTATACTCATTCACTGATTCCTCACAAATACCCATTGAGGTGTGTATTATTTTCTGTAACCATCCCAATCACATTTTATAAATAGACAATCAGAGGTACTGAAAATTTAAACAATTTTCCAATGTCACATAGCATGTAAGTGGCAGGACCAGGATTCAAATTCATGTGTTCTAACTCCAGGGGCCAAGTTCTAAAAGATGGCAACTTATTTGCTCAATTATTTTATTTATTTATTTATTTATTTATATTGTTTTTGAGACAGGGTCTCACTCTGTTGCCCAGGCTGGAGTGCAGTGGAGCGAACTCAGCTCACCGCAAACTCCACCTCCTGGGTTCAATTGATGAACCTGCCTCAGCCTCCCAAGTAGCTGGGTCTACAGGTACGAGCCACCACGCCTGGCTAATTTTTATATTTTTAGTAGAGACAAGGTTTCACCATGTTGGGCAGGCTGTTCTCAAACTCCTTACCTCAAGCGATCCACACATCTTGGCCTCCCAAAGTGTTGGGATTACAGGCATGAGTGCCCGGCCTGCTCAGGTAATTTTGGAATTCCTTTATATTTTTCATTTTTATTTTTAACTTACTACTACTATGAAATACATAAAAGACCACAGCCGAACATGTTGTTTCATAAACAAACAAACAAAAAAAACTGGCATATTTGCTCTTAAGAATCAAACAGGCCCTTATAACATAAACTGAAAGGTTTATTTTGTCATTTTTTCTAAAGAATTACACATGGAAGACCAGTGAACTGGTGATCTGCTTTTAATTTGTTTTAATGATGTTATAGCACCCCCAGCAGAGGCTCAGTCAGCTGACTCTTCAACCCAGCTCAGTGTGGAAAGTGTTTTGTAAGTTTGAAGAATATCACGGAAGTTTGTATTTGTGGGTATGAGGCATTAGAAGTTTCTGCATGAGACTGTTATATAAATCCCTACTGTCCTCAGACTTGTACTCCTTCTACAGCCCATTTCTCCCACGCGGTGTTGTAGCCAGGTATGCCTCTTGCTTTGGCCCCTGCACATGCACAATCTAGTCCAAACTCTATATCTTTGCTCACACTGTTCCTCCAACTGTCCAAACCTTTTCCTCTGCCCCTAGCGATGACATTTTCAACTCCCTCTTAATTTTTCCCTGCAGTGCTTTTATTTTCCTAATGTTGCATGATTGATACAAAATAAAGAGAAAGTGGAAGCACTGCTAAAGATAACAGTTCAGGGATAATTTGCTATTACAAGTTTAGAGTTCTCTTTCTCTTATACCCTCCCTTTCAAAAATGTAGATTTAACTGTATTCGTGAGTGCATATATATTATAGATGATATATGACATGCAGTATATATTATAGACACTGATATGGTTTGGCTGTGTCCCCACCTGAATCTCATCTTGAATTGTAATAATCCCCAGGTGTCAAGGGCAGGGCCAGGTGGAGATAATTGAATTGTGGGGGCAGTTTCCCCCATGCTGTTCTCGTGGTAGTGAATAAGTCTCACGAGATCCGATGGTTTTATAAATGGGAGTTCCCCTGCCCAAACTCTCTGCCTGCCCCCACGCAAGATGTGACTTTGCTCCTCATTTGCCTTCCGTGATTATGAGGCCTCCCCAGCCATGTGGAACTGTGAGTCCATTAAACCTCTTTCCTTTATAAGTTACCCAGTTTCAGGTATGTCTTTATTAGCAGCGTGAGAGCAGACTATTACAGACACACATCGAATTCTGTACATACTGTTAAAAAATCTATTCTTATTCAACAGTATACTGTAGTTATATTAATCAGGACTCTTTCAGTTCTAAATGACAGAAATCTAATTTGAACCAATCATAGCCTCTCCTAACAAAAAAATTTTAAGTCCATGTATCCAAAATTATTCAGCTCTCTACCTCTGAAAAGTCCAGAGCTAGTTAGCTTTAATAACAGCTGGTTCTGAAAATCCAAATGGAGCTGTCAGGATTCTTACTCTACTATTATATTTCTTCTCTATCTCCATCTCTTAATTCTGATGCTTGTTTTTGCTTTTTTCTCTGTCTCATTCTTTCTTACTCTTGAAAAACTTTTAGACAAAATGAACTTGACAGACTTTATTTAAGCAAAGGACAGTTCATGAATTGGGCAACACATAAAACTGGAAGAAATTCAGAGAGCTCTGCTCCAGCGGCACAAGCAGTGAGCTTTTATAGCCTGAAGACAGAAGCAAAGTAATTACCTGATGACTACACGTAGTCATTTGCCTCATTTATGTGTGGTCTGAGAAGAGACCCCTAGTTATATAACCAATCAGCTAGTTGCCTGGTTGTGATTGAGGCTAGATTTTTTTTCAAGACAGACAAAACTGCCTCCAAGTTAAGTTTTGTTTTGCTTGCATAAAGGTTTTGGGTAAAGAAACAACCCGAGCCTGATGACTTCCTGCATATTTTGCTGTAATACTACTAAAAATAATTTTCTTCCTGTAGCTGAGAGGGGAATATCTTTTCCTATATAAGTTCTAGGAGAACATCTCAGAGTGGAATTCAGCTTGGGAAATTTGTCCATTACTGTATCTATCATTCTGTCCAACAGGAGGGAGAATTCTATTGGCTAGCTTCAAGTAGGGAAAGAGGGCCAACAAAGGAAGTGATGCTTGCATAAAACAGGAAAAATCCACCATATATCTCTACATCAATATGTAAAGTCTCTTATCTCTTTGACCTAAAGTGGGCCAGAAAACAAAGGCTATTCTAGGTTAGAGTGATTTGTTGTTTTCATCTTGTTTTAGTGCAAAGAATAGACATGTGATCAAGGTTATGAGATACTGGGGCTCTCCAAACTTTTTCTTGCTTTTCAGAAAAGAGATCCTGAGGCTTGGTGGTCTCCAGAGCATATAGAATAGATCTGCTGGCCCAGGGAATCACAGAACCAGATCTCGTTACTCTCAATATAGTGTTTCCCTGGGGCGAGAAATACAATTTTATATTCCCCTATTTATTCTTGTTGTGTGATGGCACACTTGAGAATTAGTGGTGCAGATTGGCCTTGTTTCACTGCACTTTTAAATAGCTAAACAGTATTCAGTTTTATGATTGTATTGTTACTTACCTCCAACCAAATGATATTTTAGCTTGTTTTGCCAAATTATTCTTTGCTATGATTCATAACGATGCAATGAGTATCCCTGTTCATATATCTGTTAATCTCTCAATTGTTTTATTAACACAAATCCTTATAAGTAAAATTACTCAAAAAATTTTGCCCATTTTTAAAGACAAGATTGATTTCCTTCCCTTCCATGAATTGTGCTTTTACTCTTGAAGGCCACACTAATAACTCTATTCTACATATTCCAATGTTTCCCTAATATTCTCTTTCATTAGTTCACTTATTTGACAAGTTTATCCTGAGTTCCTGTTATGAGTCAGCCTCTATGCACAATGCAAAGGTAATTACAAAGAAAAAATAATCCATTGTCCCCCTCCGTTAAGAGAGTAATTTAGTTAAGGAGACAGATAAGAGGACATGTAATTGCAATTTGTGTGATTTGTGCTATGAGGGGGCGGAGGTGCAAGTGCTATGAGAGCAAAGATGAAGTAACTGTCTTGAGAAAGAGAAAAAGCCTTCATTCAGAAGTGATATGTGACTTAAATCCTAAAAACATGAATGGAGAAAGGTGGTCAGCCTTTCCAGGTCGAGAAAACTCCATACACAAATACATCTGGGCATGGAAAAGGGTCAGTATATTCAAGACCTGTGGGAGTATGATAGGAGTCACTGGTATCTGGAAGTCCTGTCAAATGATATAAAGCATAATTCTTATGCATTCTAAAATCTGAGGACCATTCTTCTGAAGCTCCTATGTTTACTGTCCTCAGTAAACTGCAAACTTTTTGACGATGGAAACCATGTCTTATTCATTTCATATCCACTGTTTCTCATATGGTACCTGGAATGCACGCATCTGTGCACACACAAATGTGCAAATGAATCAATTGAAAATTCAACTTGTGATTGAGTAAAGCCAGTTTTACTCAATAAAATATATGAATTTGGAAATCTTATAATAATGTGTATTTTTTATTGCAGGAAACAAAACAAAATTTAAAAATCACCTATATCCTCAGCAGTATTAAAAGTCTCTCTCTCTCTCTCTCTCACACACACACACACACACACACACACACATACACACACACACAAAATTATAACAGCTTTCTAGCCTGCTTTTTTGACTTTGACTCATCTCCCTGTCATTAAGTAATCAATTCCAGTGTGATTTTTCTAACTTTCACCTCTGTAGATAGACATCTAAATGGTTTCCCCATTCTGATATGGGAAACTGTCTGATATATTCACCTTACCTTTAACCAGTCTTGGCCAGGCACCTTCACCTTTGTTGAGTTGTATTACTGTAGTGTCGTCCCCACCTCCGACATTGTTTCCCCACCCAAAGGGGCAGAGTGATCTTATAAAAACAGAGATCGTCCAAAAACCTTTAAACTTAGAATCAAATTCAAACTCCTCCTCATAGACCCCTGCAGCATTGTGTCTGCTCACCTCTCTCTCACCTCTCCTCTTGGCCATCCTTGTGCTCAGTTTCTGTGTTTTTGCCATATAAGCACATAGCTTCTCAAACACATCTGGATACTTTCCACACCAGGGCCCTCACATAGGTCACTCTTCTGCCTTGAATGCCACGTTCTTCCACTTTTCCCTCTGTTGACTTCTCATCTTTCATTTCTTGCTCTTAATACCTTCTGAGAAGCTGTTTTCCTGATCACTCAAGTAACTCCCCTTCTACCCTGCACCCACTTAGGACAACTTCAAATAGATAATTATATGTAGGCTTATTTTCTTATTCCTCCACTAGACTACAAGCTTTGCACACTTAGGGATTTTGCCTATTTTATTCATCAATGCATACCCAGATTAGTATAGAGTCTGGCACATGGTGAATTCTCAAAATAGTGTGCACTGAAGATATTAAGGGGAGAATTAAGACAATGGTTCTCAAATGTGCTATCTGCACCAATAGCATCAGAATCACCTGGAAACTTAAAAATGCAAATTCTCAGGCCTCAACTGAAGCTACTGTTATCAGAAGCTCTGGGGGGAGGAGTCCAGTTATCTATTTTTTTAACCAGCCCTCTAGGTAATCCTGACATTCAGTAGCTGTGCAACCACTGTTGTATCTGTTTAGGAAGGGAACACACACATTTTGTTTAAAGATGATGTAGCCAGAATTTCTTAGAATGTGAGATTTGAACCTTAAATATCACTGAATTTAGTCTCTCATTTTACTGAAAGAAAAGTCCAAGGATAATTTTATTTTATATTTTAATTTAATAATTAGTGATAATTCTGCTTATCAATTTACTTTTATGATAGACATACATATTTCTTATGAATATTAAGTATAATTATGCAGCACATACTTTTGAAAAGTTTTCAAATATGAAGCTCCTTTTATACTGATAGCTGAGTATGTATTAATTTAGCTAAAATTAGGTGTAAGTATGGAAAATTGCAGTTTGTATTTCTCTCAAGATGGTTCAAGCAATGAATTGGTCTAGGTAATTTAACAGACTCTATTTCTCTGTGATTAATTTTGCCCATATTGATTTTGTGTTATTAAGGGGGAAGCAATAGTTTCCTATGAAGTGTCTTATGAAATCTGGCTCAATGAGCAATGTACCATCATAGAGTTACAAAAAAAGCTAGATTAATTTTTTTCAAATTGGACTTCAGATTGGATCCAAAACACCTGAGCTATCTGACCTTAGTTAACCGGATAAAGTGTGATGCTGAATACCATATGGTAAGACATGTATCCACGGGAAGAATAAAAATCATGAAGCAAATGTAAATACTCTACAAAACTTAAAAAATAAAAAAAACTAAGAAGGAAAGAAAATATTAATTGAATTTTCATTATGTAATGGTATTATACTAAGTGCTGTTTCTTAGACCATCTTATATTATTCTCTTTCCACCAATTTTTACTTTTTATTTAAATCATAGGTTCTCTAGTTTATCTAATGAAGACACAAAGCCAATTCTTAAAAGAATAGTCTGTGATGAAGCATACACTATGATTTTCTATTGGTTTTTCAATACAATAAACATTTTTAAATTTTATATGTGAACTTTAAATATTCCCTTAGTGGAAGTAATTTACAGAGAATACATTTGAGTAGAACTTTTCTCATCACTGATTTTTATATTTCTAATATTATATAAGAAATCATTTAAGTACTTATTTTTCATAAAGAACACTTATTTCCATATCAGTGATTATCTATGCTACATGATCTTATCTTTAACATAGATGTAGAAATGGAAATTTTCCCGATGGAAGCATCTGACATTTTTAAACCAAAACAAGAACTGAATCAAAATTAAGTTTCTTATTACCTTTAAAACTGTGAGAAAATAAAGACAGCAGGTTGAAAACATTTTGTTCCCTAGCTTACATCATAGTGAACTTCGTACCTGATGTGATTTATTTATTTTAACATTTAACACTATGAGATATGCTCCTTTAAGTTCAGATGTTTTTCTGACTTTCTATTTTGATGAAAACCAGTTAAAAATATTGTATAAAATTATTAAGAAAAATTGAAAATATTTTAAAGGTAAATATATTTTATGTTTTTGAATAAAAAACCATTTTAGAGTAGATGCTGTAATTATTTCAATGAAATCAATAAATACATTCAAAAAGACAAAACTTCAGAGGTGATATTTGGTTTACATGCAAGATAAACACAGATATTTTAAAAATAACACATTTAGATCATACTTTACTTTAAAATATATATCTAGTATTTTGAAATAACAGATACACTCAATTCCAATTCTGAAATCAATATTAATTTCTCTCAATTGGCTTCTCTACATATGTTTAAGAAAATAGAAAAATAGTATAGAATTCCTAGATTGATGCACTTTTAAACATACCACAGTCAGAATTCTGAGTTCAGCTGCATTTGGAATCCTTCATTGCTGACAACAGTCTCAAATGACAATCTTCTTTAAAGCACTCTTCAGTGTGACAACTGAAAGTTCTCCCTTTCACCGCCTGCTTTTTCCATTAACTAGAATGTTACATACTGAGTGCTACACAAAGCATTTGACTGGAGGGTTTTTAGCCTACTCTCTAAATGCCAGAGTTTGAATAATCATTTTTTTTTAAAGATAACTCATCTCTTTATAAGAACATCTGTATTTTTTATTAATTTCATTTTAGGAGTTGGTTATAGGGTGGAATAGGGGGCTGCTTTCATGTGTCATTGGTTAATGTCTATGCATGAGTCACCTAAGTGACATTTAATCATATAACGTCAGTGACATTTTTATGATTTTACTGTCAATTATTAATAATCTATTGTATGTGCCATTTGAGCTGGGCAGATTAACATGGGAGGTGGGAGGTGTGTTTCAGTTTGATAATAGTGGTCTGGAAAATACTAACTTTTTAAACGGTGAACTAGGTAACACTTTTTTGATAGCGGAGTGGAGTTCACCAGGAATTCCTGTAATTTTTTTTTCTGGTTTTAAAGGAAATTGCCTCATTTTCTTGTTCACTGGAGAAAGGTATAATGGAAAGCTTTGTGGTTTCTGAAAAATCCTGCCTGTGTTCAACTTGACATTGCATTGTATTGTCTCTGAGCTGCACATAATGATATGATTGTAATCTGAGAGCACAGGAATTAACTGTCACCTAAAGGTAAACAAGCAAATAAAATTGAATGCTTTTGTCCTCATTTACTTAACATCCACATAAGAGATGCAACAGAGGATTACATTTATTTCTGTTTTAAAAATGCCTCTGTAGGGCAGCTTGTAATTGGAACTGACAAGACACTGAACCTAAGAAGTAACCACTTAATGTATATGGTCTTGAGTTAATAAGCATGCTTTAAAATTGATTTTCTAGCAGGTTCAAGAAATAGAAAAAATAACTTCACACAATGTTTGAAACAGTTAAAGAACAAATGGTATATTACTCTAATATGTAGGTTTAAATTGTCTGTGGCATGAAGGGATTAATGAAAGCAAATGGGTTTCCGTGACTGAAACCCTCATCTGGAATCCTGGTTTGCATCATGCAAGAAGTCAACCACCACAAACAAAACAAGAATTAGTTTTTTAAAACAGAAGTGTCAGAAACTATTCAGTAAACACAACAGTGCTTTATTCTGTAGGTATTTTCTTCTCTACAGTGATAATTCCTCAAAATATTCATATTTTGATTGACTGGTGAGGTTAAGAAGGCTGTGTGCGGAAATACATGGAGAAAGATGACATGGGGAGATGAAGGGCTATAAGCCGCAAGCTAGGGACAAGTGTTTTAAAATTTATCAGGATCTAACTAAGCACAGGAGCCTCAATTTTATTATATTTTCTTAAGTATAAAACATTGAAAAAACCCACAATATTCATGCTGCCTAATAAACATAATTTTCCAGTAATGTGAACATGACCCCTAACTACCCAATTCACTTGTCTCATGGTTTCTATAGTCCCTTGCACACACCTCCATTACGTGCAGTGTAGCACAGTGCTTGACAGCATGGTCCCTGTATATAATTCCTGCCTCCTCCTTACCAGCTGTGTGATAACAGGAAAGTTACGTAGCCATCTAAGCCTTCATTTCCTCACCTATGAAATGGGGGTAAAAATAGACCTTACATTTTAGAGTTGTGATGATAGAAAAGTAGAAGTCATTAAAATCCCTGTTAAGATCCCTGGTAAATGTTAGCTGTTGTAATCATTTAACATTATTATTATTAATATTGAAACTTCCAATCCAGTGTTCACAGCCTGGAGGGCTTGGAGGTGACAGATTAAGGAGGTAGATTTGACTTTCAGTATGCTCAAATAACACGGTTTCTGATCTGTCTTCTCTGGCTGCTTTCATGTCTGAACAACTAGAGAACTATTTGATTTGAGCCTGTGATTGATTGAATGTTTAAATATCAAGTAGAACCATTATCTGCACCATTTAACTGGAATGCCCATACATTAATTTATTGAATTTACTTTCACATCCCATCAAACTATGTATACTTTTTTTGCAGAGAAGTTATTGCAGCTCTCATTTTAGAGCTAACATCCTTCAGGGAGGCTTAGGAGATATATCTTCCAAAATAAATTCTTAAGTACTCATGGGAAAAACAAATTGGTGATTCGAGAAACCTCTATGTGTTTAATTACTGAGACATTAGTGTCAGGGGAGAGAAAACACCTTTGACTTATTTTTTGTTTCTTTGTATCATATATGAAATACGACTTCCTAAATAGGCACATTTTTTTCCCCTTATAGTCTTTCTGGGAACTAAAGGCATCTACCCCAACAAATCCATCTCTCACCTAATTTCATTCTCTCAGGTAAATCGTCTCATGTCATGACTTCCTAGCCCTCTGCTATAGACATATTGCAGCTCTACACACAACTGTTGGCAGCTGTAGGAGCTTTTGTGCAGTTTTATTTGTTTTGTGATGGTGGTGGTGTTGCTGCTTATTTCATATTTTGATTGGTAAGGGGAGTTCCCATACTGTAATAGATTCAGTTGAAAATATTTAGTCTACTTATTATTATTTGATCCTAAGGAATAGAAACTTTCTATTATTTGACTACTTTTGTTGAGGTTTAGTGATATTATATTTGTAACAAATTATCTATTTTTACTTAGGGGTTTGTTGATACAAGAATAAATTACAAACAGGTCAATCTAGTTACAGGAGGTTGTAAATTAGCCACACAATTTAGAGCTGCCTTACTTCAGAGTAATGTTTCAGGGTTTTGGAAAGAGATAAATCTGAGAGTATATCTCAGAGATTGAACTGGACACAGAAAAGCCGAGTCTACAGTTAAAGAGACACACCACAGTGCAGCTCTGGTTCCACCTAGCTTACAGACTTGGGCAATAAACGTTTCTGTTAATTCCTTATTTTCTTGTTTGTCAAAATGAGAGTATTACTACCTAATGTCATTGAATTATTGTGAAACTTAAATTAGATAATGTATATAAAGTGCTTACCACAGCTTCTGGTGCAAAAGTGATCAGTGCATATTAGGACAAAGAAACTGAAATGCTTCTTACCATGGTTATTGGGCTAAAAAAGGTGAAGTCCTGAATGGCTATTGTCATGCCAGTGTAACAAAATGGAAAAACTGTTTGGAAAACAAGACTATCTTATTTTAAATCCTGGCTCAGTCATTTATTAGCTGTATGAGATTGTAAAAAGGTAATGATATTATAATATTTATGGCTTAAATCTATGAATACTTAAGTTTTATGTCCTTTGAATTTTACCACCCGGTGTTAAAAACTATAAA
The DNA here is from genome assembly GCF_000001405.40 of Homo sapiens. Classification (NCBI taxonomy): domain Eukaryota; kingdom Metazoa; phylum Chordata; class Mammalia; order Primates; family Hominidae; genus Homo; species Homo sapiens. The sequence goes on along the minus strand of NC_000011.10, from coordinate 26,470,743 downwards.
CATCTCTTGTATATCATTCTAAATATTTTCCCCATGAAAACCAGCTAGATATTTTTATAGAATTGGCATTATACTGCACATTTTTTTACAGCCACTTTATTATATAATTATACACTGTGATCATGTCCTATTATCCTTAAATAGTTTAGAGATTTTCAACATAGTACTGCCTTGTCTGAGGGCATTACGAATTACTATTTTAAATGTTATCATTTACTCTTGACTCTGGAAGTGGTCCTCCCCCACCACAAATTACAATGTGAGAAACATTCTTAAACAGAATTATTTGGGCTAACTTCTTGCTTTTTTTTTTTTCTGTTTTTTTTTTGAGAGGGTCTCCCTCTCTCTCTCTCTCTCAGGTTGGAATGCAGTTGTATAACCATGGCTCACTGTAGCCTCCACCTCTCAGGCTCAAGTGATCCTCCTGCCTCAGTCTCCCGAGTAGTTGGGACTACAGGTATGTGCCACCATACCCGGATCATTTTTGTATTTTTTCTGTAGAAACAGGGTTTCACTGTGTATCTCAGCCTGTTCTCAAACTCCTGGGCTCACACTCCAGATTACTTATCTGCCCTCCTCAGCCTCCCAAAGTGCTGGGATTATAGGCATGAGCTACCACACCCAGAAATTTGGCTAACTTCTAATTGCATTCTCTGCATAAATTCCTAGAACTAATCAAAGGGCAAAATTACCTTTAGGTACTGAACCTTCCTTGTGAAATTGTTTTCCAGAAAATTTGGCTCAATGTACATATTGGCCAGCAAGGAATAAAAATGATAGCTTATAGTTTAAAAGTACAACAAAACCTAATACTGATATAAACAATTTCTAATTTCAAAAAACATTGCTTACATTTGTATTTCTGTAATTAATAGTACAGCTGATCGTTATATATGTTAAAATTACATTGCTTTTCAATTTATTTCATTCTTACATTATAAATTACATTATAATATCTGTGTGAATTAAGAATATTAGCCATTCTTCTGGCATATATATATTTTCCAGTATGTGAGCTGATCACCACATCTTAAGCTTGTCTCTTTTTGATTTTATCAGAATTTTGACACTGATATATTTAGTATCTAAATAGTAAGTCTATCCATGCTTAATTTTATCACTGATTTTAAAAGTCCACTTAAAAAGGCCATTTTTCTATTCTGTCATTAGAAAAATTGTTTATTTTTGTTTTGCTTTGTTTTCAATATATTCAGTTTGAGTATACCTCTTTAGCTCTTCAGTAATTCATTTGTTATGTGAGATGTCGTCTAAGAATATTTTAACTCTTTCCAAATAATTGACTAGTTGTTGTGAGAACATTTGAATGTTTTTAAATGATTAATATTTATTTCCTGATGTGAAATGCTACCTTTATCATAACATATACACCACTCCCTCACATGCGCCTGCACACACACATACATGCACACACCCAGGTTTAAGCAGTCTACAGAAAATTTGAAGCAACTCTGAAAACTCTTGTACTAAATCTTTTGGAAAATTTACACTAGCAATCAGCTAATGTAGAACAAGTCTTCACCATTTACTTAGAGAGGTTTCCGAGGGTCAAACTAAGTACTTAAATGGCACAAGGAAGGGAGATTCCTTTTAGGGTTGCAGGGAGGATAATGCCTTTTCAGTATTTCAGAGAATACAAAGACTCTGAAAACAGGACGAGATTACTTTGGACTGATTGAAAAGGAGACTTCTTAATGTTAGGTAAGAAGAGACATTTAAAAACATGGACAAAAAGATTAATAAGCCAAGGTGATTTTCTGTGTAACCCATGTTTTATATGAAAATTAAATATTTAGGATACCACTTAATAATATAAATAAAAGGTTACTTCAGGTACTAAAGTTAAATGAATATTAATATTTTCTTTAGAAACTGACTATCCCAAAAAGAAGTAAAATTTATTCTCTTAGTATTTCATGTATAATCTTGTCCATTAAAGCAGCCATATAGAGCCAAGTTAGTCATTCATCTTGTAGTTTGTCATCACCATCTCACAATATCTGGACAAAAATAGGAAGTAGCACATTCAGAATACTAAGTCCTATACACAATTTGAGGCAAAGAGCCATTTAGGCAAATGAAATAGTTCCTGACATCCACATAAAAGGTATGCTGTAGAAGACTACAAAAGCTATCTCTTTCTCACCTTCTCCATCATATGACCAGTGTCTCCAGTCCTAGAGAAAATTATTTCTAATACTCATTGAGATAAAGATGAGTACCATCTGCCAATGCCAGTTGACACAAAGTGAATGGCCTTGTGATCTAATTTTAATGAACTGCTAAAATATTCATGTCCAGATTTTCCTTGTCTATAACCTTCTTCCTGTTTGATTTGATACCCAATATCCTTTCAAAGGTGAAGTCACTGTAACTGAAAAATAGATTAATATTCTCAGACTCATTAATGGCAATATCTGTAGTTAATTTGGGCATCGTAAGTGACAGTGGTGGACCCGTGAAATATCCCAGCTGAGACCGAAAGAGCTACGCAGCTGAGCTTCACTAATGCCCACTACGGATGCCATGGATTCTTTACCGTAGGCTTATTCCTGCTAACCTAGATTAACTATAGATAATCCCTGTAAATTGACCACATCTAGAGGCCTCAGCTGGTATGTGGGATGTGGCTCCTTGGTGGAGAGAGGGATTCTAGTTTTGAGGATCACACAGTTTGGTGGTAGGACCTCATTATCTTCAAATGTTGTTCTCAGTGTTCTCCATATTCATGAAACAAGAAAAGACGATATTTACCCAAACCATCTTAAAAAGAATCCCCCTCATTTGCTCTAGAACTTTGCTTGCAGTCAGGCCAGGTCCTTCAGTCTATGGATTTTTGGGAATGTTCCTTTCCTTTCATTACAAAATGCTTCCTTAAATTGCTTAGCCACATAGGGATGAAAAAGCCTTTTGTCAAGAGGTAAGACAGAAAGTAAATTGGTCTTAAAGAAAAGTTTTATAAAAGAAATATCTGCACTCCCATATTTATTGCAACAGTATTCACAACAGCCAAGACTTGGAAGCAACCCAAGTGTCCATCAACAGGCGAATGGATAAAAAAAAAAAAAGTGGAACATATACACAATGGAGTACTATTCAGCCATAAAAGAATGAGACCCTGTCATTTGCAACACTATGGATGGAACTGGAGGTCATTATGCTAAAGGAAATCAGTCAGGCACAGAAAGACAGACTTTTCATCTTCTCACTTATTTGTGAGAGCTAAAAATTAAAACAATTAACTCAGAGATAGAAAGTAGAATGATGATTACCAGGGTTTGGGAAATGTAGGGCAAGGGGAGAGGGGATGATTAAATGGGCACAAAAAATATTTTGAAAGAAGGAATAAGATCTATTATCTGATAGCACAATAGGGTGACTATAGTCAATACTGATTTACTTGTACATTTTAAAGAGTATAATTGGATTGCTTGTAACACAAAGGATAAATGCGTGAGGTGATGGATACCTCATTTATCCCAATGTAATTATTATATTTTGTATGCCTGTATCAATATATCCCATATACCTCATAAATATATACATTTACTCTGTACCCAGAAAAATTAAACTGTTTAAAACATTGCATGTTTGTGACTGCTGTTAACTATAAACACATTTTGATTAATAGTAATCTTGGAATTTTACCTTGATTTAATGTTTTCACAAGGAAGGCACTTTTGTAAATAGAGTTTTTAAAAAAAACAATTTTAGAAAGTTTTAGATAGGTTGCTTAAATACCATGTGATTTCAGTTATGCTATTTAAAATATACTTGGGCTCCATAGAATTAAATGCATGCTGTGAATATGCTGTGTCAAACTCTGCGACAATTTTGCAAATCTTCCTAGACACTGAGGAAGAATTAACTTCATATTAACAATCATTGGTATTAGCCAATGTGTTATTCTTTAACATTTGTGGTTGTCTCCATTATCTCTTGCAGAGAGACAAACCATCCCCAAACAACTCTTTGGCTCATGATTCTGTGCACAGGCTGGACTCAGCGGGGTAGCTCTTCTGGTCTCAGTTGCGATTTTTCATAGGTCTGATTTTCCTGGCCTTTGCTGTTGGATTCTCTCATCTCTCTCTGCCTCATTTGGGGCAACTGTGCTTATGAGCCTCTGGTCCCTGTGGTCTCTTCTCCTCCTCAAGACTAGCTCTGACTTATTCACATGGTAAAGGGAGAATCCCAAGAGAAAGAATGGGAGTTGAAGACCTTTTGAGTTCAAGGCTCAGTGCTGGCATAATGTTACTCCTGCAACAGTCTACTGACAAACATGAGGACCAAGGCCTGTTCAATAGACTCTATCTCTTGATGGGAAAAGCTGCAAAATCTCATTGAAAATAGAGTGGATACAGGAAAGAAAAGATTGTGGCCAATTTTATATCTACCACAATGCCTCTGAAATATTTAAATATAACTCCTATTGTAAAGCTTGAGGCTAACTAAATACAGATTTAAACCATGTTTAGTGCTGCCTCTAATTTCTAGAATCTCATGGATTTCCCAATTGATATGCATGTCTGAATTCCTAAACTGCATCCCAGTTAGTACTTGGATAGCAAAAGCTATTTACTGTTTGCCATATTGGTCCTAAAGTACCATACCAAGCTTTGTGCATTATAATTTCACAATAAATAAAGTATCTTATTTATCAATGTCCCTTCATCATAGTAGATATCAAAATTATAGATCCTTTTGATCTGTAAAATTTTGAATAATTTCAGTATAAATAACATGCTAAAAACTTATGATTTGAAGCAAGATATTCTAAAGATACAATGCATTGTTCTGAAGATTAATTCTACAGCAAACTATAGTTACTCATAAATACATTAGCTTACAAAATTATTACAAACAGTGCATATGTACCTGACAAAAATTAAAATTCACTACCCCAACTCAACTCAGAAAATGTTTGCACAATGATTGATAAACCAAATGTTTAAACACATATACAGTCTATTTACACAACTCCTAGTAAATTAGTCAGATGTTTTTCTGTATTTCTTTGTTTTTACGTTTCATAACTCAACAGTGCTTCCTCATAAATTCAATATAAGACATCAGGTTGCAGGACTTGGGGTTATTTCCTATTATTTTAGTGTTTGGCTGATGGCAAGCTTGTTAGAAAGCTTTGTTTTCTGTAATTTAATACTTGTTATTACTCACTATGTAGTTTGTATTAGGAGTTACTTTCCCCCCTTCAAGTCTGTGCCCCCTTTCTGTTGACTCCTCATAAATTTGCTTTGTCATCACTAAAATGATCTCTTTGCAAATGAGTAACTTTTGTGTAGAAATAAAATATTGGTTACATTGCATAATATGCACAATGTAGATTACAACAAGCACAATTGTCACATATGATGCTATAAGGCACACATCTTCAGCCATATAATTTAACTATCTATCTATCTATCTATCTATCTATCTATCTATCTATCTATCTAAATAGGTTCATTTGAACCATAGGAAGTTTCTATTTGTAGGACACAAATGAATAAAAATTGTCAATGTCATAAGATCTAACTGAAAATATATATGCTTTAATTCACACACAGACACACACACACACACACACACACACACACACACACAATTTAATGATGGGGTATAATAAGAGAAAGGCCAACAAATTTATAAAGCACACAGGGTATACAGACACCCAAACAATGAAAATTTAGATTATTGCTTTTTTGAGGTTTCCTGTGACAAATGTACACAAAGGAAATTGTCTAAGTAGGTAATTTTGCTCTTCACTTGTAGATAAACTTTAAAAGTAGACTACCAAAATGGCATTTAAACATTCTGGTTATTGCTCAAATGGAATTTATGCTGCACTCAAAACTATAAAATGGATAAAAGTGGACACATTTTAATAGAAGCTAGAAGAACAAGTCACTCCGGTGTGTCATGATGTTCTACAGTTTGAGTGGAAGTATAATAGGAGAAGGGTATGTAATCAGGTAGATTTAGTAGGGCATTAGAATAAGATATATTGGATTGACCTATTGTGGTCTGTTACCATAGTCATACACCATTCTCTTATCATTAATGTTACAATCATAATATGCATGCAGGTCCAACTTTTTTAAAACTTTGATATCCTAAAGTTCTAGTCTAGTCAAAGTGGAACTTGGGAAATTGCTACTGTTGAGAAGAAATAAAATGGTGGATATCATTGATGGCATGTGGTAATTCTAGAAAAGCAGATAATACAAACTATTTAATCGTAGTTCATTTTCTAATTATTTCAGCATATTGTGTTTGTCTTCCAGTCAGTGCTATATGCACATTAAGAAACAACATCTTAATTTCTCTTATAACTCCTCCTCTCAGTTCATTTGGAACAGTGCTTTACAGATAGTAGAGACTCTAAACAGCCTTTATATTTATCAGACAGACACAGGGAGGCAGATTTAGTAACCATAGAAAGATAAACACCTGATTTGCAAAGATAACTTAATTATTAGCCCATAATACTGATGCAATTTAATAAAACCAAACAAACAGTAATAAAGAAATCTGGCACAATTATCCCTGCATCTATGTATTAGTTTGGTCTCATGATAGTAATATTTAGTCTCTGCCATATTTATTTACTAACACACTGGTGGGTGACTAATAAAGATATTTGCAAAATTAATCCAAGAAATACAAAATCAAATATCACCAAGAAAATTGTATTCAAGAATGTGATTATTAGCCATGCAGTGAAAATTGAAACCTAAGTCATTCCTTGTGTTAAACTGCACTTAATATCCAACTATCTTTTTTACAAAGGCATTTCCTTTTTCATCAACACAAAAAATGAAAAAAAAAAAGTGAGCTTATCCTGAGCTAGGATTTGTCGTGAAAATCATCAAAAGGGAAATATGGATCAGTTACATTTGCAATGATGAAAAGAAGCAGCATCCATTTTGTCTTTGGTATCTGATGGGAACACTCCCATGCTTTGAAGAGTCCATGAAAGCATTTTGTTTGAGGGATGGCAGGATTGTTGGAGCCAGGAGTTTCTAAAATTGAACTCTACCTCATTTTTGTATTGGTGAACTATAATTTCAATAAGGTATTCTCAATCTTTTGCTATGCACCAGACACTTACATGGTTTTCTCATTTTGTCTTCCAATAATCTTGTCAAGCAGACAACCAGAAGCATATTTCAAATGAGAAAAACAATTCTCAGTGAGTTTAATTAGCCTTATCAAGTTATTACAACTGGGTAGTAGAAATGGAATTTAAATCTTGGTTGATGTGATACTAAAATCCATGTTCTCATTAAGTCATGCTAAGAAAGATGAAGAAATAAAGCCTTAAAGGGACTATTAATGAATAATTTTACATTTCAGATTAAGTATTTTAAACATTCTGTTTGAGATATATGATGAATCAATATAACAAATATGAATATCAACTCTATATACAACTTTTTGCTTCTGAGTTCTTAATAGTACATATTAACATGTATATTCTTTTATATTCTCCAGCAGAAAACCAAATATGTAGATGAATATTGTAAGGTTTTAAAAATGATGCTCTAAAAATGACTTATTGATAATTTAGTTCTCATTACCTTAGATAATTTTGTCTTGAATTCAGATTTATCTTTGATAACAAAGTCATTAATGAGACGAGATCGGTCATAAGTAGCGTGTTCTGATTCATCCGTGTAATCCTTATCTTTTCCTAGGGCTATAAAAGAGAAAGAGAAAGTTATATCCATTTCTATAGTTTTTCTCTTTTTTCATTAAACATACTAATCTCTCCTCTTTCATGTTTTCCCAGAGTTTAGCCTATATATATACTAGAAAATACATAAAATTTGTGTGGCATAATTTTCAAATAATCCATACATTCAATAAATAAGCACATAAAAGTAATGTGAAAGCCTGCCTATTATTTACTAATGCTGACACTGATAGTGACTTTCAGAAGAATTAAATTCATCTATGCTATTCAATGTACTTCAAATTTTTGAAAATAAAATTGGAACCATGAAAAAAATCATCATGTTTTGAACTTGAAGATAGTGACATTTGTAAGAACTGTACAAGCATTTATTTGCTTAATTAAAAACTGCATTGATCTTGAGAGTCTGTTTTCTTAAAAGCTGGAAAAATTTGAAGGGTGCAAAAAGTCTGAGAAATAGTAGAAAATATCTTAATAAACATTACAAGAAACATAAAATCAGGGGATTGAAACAACTGTCAGGAAAGAACAGAGAACACTGAAAAATGATGGTTACTAGCAGAATAGCCAAAAACTAAAATGCTATAATATCAGTTACACATAAGGATGTACATGAACAATGAATAAGCTGTAATTAATGTAAAATAATATAAAATAGGAAATCTCTATGGTGTCTATATGACCAAGAATTCTTGACACACTTCACTAAATTTATATTCCATGTGATATAAATATCTCTGCAAATTAAAAAACAGATTGCTATATATTTAGCCCTTTCAAAGATATCAAAACATCTTAGAGTTATTTGATTAGATCAGTTGATATCTACTAAACGTGAATTTTGACATGGAAAACTCTAGTGCTTTCAAGATTTCAGTCAACTTATTGTACAGAGGAAAAACAATTTTGTTTATAGTATATCCATTCCTTTATAAATAATGGTTAAAAACTATTAAAACATAATATGTTACATCATGGGCAGCTAATAGTATCAGGTTTTTAGTGGTATAAACTAAAATTATATAGGTCATATTATGTCTTAGGATGCAGTTAATGGCCAGATATGTTAAGAAGCTCTAAGCTTTTAGTGGTTACACTTAGACCTATTAACCATACCTAACTCATTGATGGTTAACATTTGCTAAGTGCATGCAATAAGCTAGAAACTTTACCTGTATTATTTTCTTTCATTCTGATGACAACTTTATAAAGTGGGTATAATTTCTTCCTACATTTAATAATAAGCAAAAAAGGAACATGGAACATGCCAAAGTCACTAAACTAGTAAGAGGTACATCTAAAACTGAAACAAATTCTGATCTGATTCCAAAGCGCATGCTTGTGAATATAATATGTTTCCCCCATATTTAGGTAAGTTACATTGTATTCATTCAACTTTTGTTTATTAAACAACCCTGATATGCAAGATACTCTTTTACAAGTTGACATTAGAGTGGCAAACACAATTCTGCCTTCATAGAACATTGAAGTAAGAGAAGAAATGCAATTTTAAAATAAGTAAAATATTAAGTATGTCTTGTGGTCAGTGAATTTGAGAAAAATACGTAGATAGGAAGGATGAAGGTGTGAAAGGAGTGGGGGGTGTCATTTTAGTAAAGAACATAGTAATATTTGCACAAAGATATAAAGAGTGAGGCAGTTAGACACACAGGTAAACTGGAGGAAGAATGATCAACACAGAAAACTTTAAAATGCACAATCTGGATTTGCATTGAACTGTTACCTAAGCGTGAAAGAAACTGAAATTTTGGAGTTATATTCTTGGAGCAGCTACCAAAACCCTACCATTGACTGCCAGTTTGTAAGGCATAGAGTGTTTTGTGTTTTTATTTCCTTGCCAATCCTTTCTCCCCCTTTCCTTCCTTTCCCCCGGTAGGCACTCTCGCGCTCGCTCGCTTGCTCTCGCTCTCTCTCTGTCCCTGTCTTTCTCTCTGTCTCTCCATCATTTTCACCATTGGTTATTAGAGAAGCAAGAAATCCTGGTTTGGTTAAACAGCAATCGGCAAATGGCATGTGCTGTTGGGGAGCAGGCACTGGCTTGTGGATCACAAGATGTCATTTCTCATTCTAAATCTGCCACTTCCTTAGCATGCAATTTCCTTTTCCCAAGTCTCTAAGGGTCCTCTAAACTCTAAAATTATCTAAATATGAATTTAATGCTTATAAAAGATAAAATGACAATTTACATTAATTATTTTATTTTCCATGGAACACAAGAAATTAAACCTATAGAAGTTCATTACTCATTTCCTGCTCCTATTCCACTCACAATTTAGTTTTCTAGGCAGAGATTTTTCTGTTTACTTTTTTCTTTAATTCCTATAACTCATCTATTTCTGGAAAAGAAATACACAGCATCATCTTGCTGGAGGAAAGCTAAATCAATTTTGAACATTTGCCAAATACCACCACATTTATGAAGTCTTTTCAGATCTTTTTTTCCCCTACCCTACAGCGCTGACTAGAGCTAATCATTTTATTTTCTAAATTCCTTCACATTTGTTTTCTTTTCTTTTTTACTGCCCTCCCTTCCTTCCTCCCTTCCTTCCTTCCTTCTTTCCTTCTTTCCTTCCACCCGCCCGCCCCCCCCCCTTTCTTCTTCTTTTTCTTTCTTGGTATACTGGAGAAGTCAGCATAATATCTGGGTGAAAAAACTATCTGTACGCCAAACCTCTATGACATGCAATTTACCCATGTAACAAACGTGCACATATACCTCTTGAACCTAAAAGTTGGAAAGCAAAGAAAATTTTTCAATAAATGCTTATTAACAGAATAAAAATGAAAAAATATATAACAGAAGTAGAAAAATTGAAGTAAATTAACTAAGAAAACAAATAATATTAGAGTATGCAGATAGTTTTAAATCACTGTCCTGATGAATGATATGCAAAGATATTGCTATGACTTGGATATGGTTTGTTTGGTCCAGGTCTCATGTTGAAATCTGATCTCTAATGTTGAAAATGAAGACTGGTGGGAAGTGTTTGGATCATGGAGGCGCATCCATCAACATGTTTTAAGAGCAAAACAGCACAACTGGAAATGCATTCTAAAATTATAATCTAAAAGAAAGAAAATCTGTGTTAGCAGGAATGTTCCTTTAAGCCTATGAATAATAAAACGTAGAAACTATTGCCATCTTAATAAACAAGTTTATTCTAGTTACACAGGCTAAAACCCTAGGAGTGATCTTGACTCCTCATTTTCTCTTGTACCCTACATCAAATCCTTCACCAAATTCTTTTAACTTAACATGAAGCATTAACTCTTTAGTACATTTCACTCTTCAGCACATACCACTAATATGTAATGTGTTTTTACTTATTTGTCTTTTTCATTATTTGTTCCCCTCACTAAGGTATTTTTTGTGAGCCTGGCCTGGCCTATATATATATATATGTATGTGTGTGTGTGTGTACATTTTTTCCCACTTTTGTTGTCTTGTTTGTTGACTGCTTTCTCCTTAACATCTAGAATAGGGTCTGACACATAGTTCATTCAATAAATGTTTATTGAATGACTAACTGGATTTAAATGCCCAAATCCTGTCTAAACTGTCTTTAAATTATAGCTCAAAGCTGATCATTTATCAACATCTGATTATAGTTAATTAAATGAACAGAAGTCCATTCGATTCTCCAAAATGATCTTCCTGTATCCATCTTTTCCTCCTACCACATGATAGCCAGGGTGGCCCTTTTAAAAACCCAAGATAAATGATATTAAATCTCTATTCAAACCTTCTAATAATTCTGCATCTCCAGGTAAAGCCATAGTCCATACAACAGCCCACTGGGCATATGCATCATCTAGCTCCTTACTATCATTCCCTGTCCAGCTCCTACAGCTCTACCCTCATGCCCTCCAATCCAGCTGCACCAGGTTATTTGATGTAAAGTATGTTCTCACTGTGGGGTTTTTGCACTTGCTTGTCTCTCTGCAGATAATGCTCAATATCTGTTTTAGCCAGGGTTCTGTTCACTTGTCACCTCATCAGAGAATCACTGTTTGACCATTATTTCTAAAATACAGTCTCCATAGTTCTCCCTCTGCTCGCAATGCTTTATTATTTTTTATTATTTTTATCAGCACCTGACATCAAATGATAAAACACACACTCATATAAAACATATATGCTATATATGTACATATACATCAACATCGGGCATTGAATGTATACATTTATATGTATAAATGTTATATCTATCTCCTCCTAACTGTAAGTGCTATAAGTGCAGTGACTGTTTTGTTCATCGCTATATCCAGATATTTAGTTCATTGTTAATTGCATTGTAATCTCTTAGTAATTGTTAAATTAACTAATAAATGAATGGTATGCTTATATATGGGAATATTTTGCATCCATTAAATTGCTTTGCAGACTGGCAATGTACAGAAATGCTTAAACTATAATCTTAAGTTAAAAAGCTGTTTTAGGCTATTCTCACACATTTCATTTGAAATATAATTTTCCTTCTGAATGTAACTTTGTAAAACAATATAAATGTAAGGACAAACAGTGAAAAACTATAGTATGAAGGAAATGTAAATTGTGTTACCTATTTTAACTAGGTAGTGGTAGTCCTCTCTCCCTCACAGATATTTTTTTTCTTGCTAGGAGTTATTTGTATCATAACGGCAGAATTTACAAAGCTTTTTAGAGTTAGTATTAGCGTCAGTCAACATCTGAGAGCAACAATGGAGACAGTCATATTGCATTTTGGTTAATGAAGCTAATTATTCTGCCATCAGTGAGATCTTCTGAAACACAAATGAAACCTACTAATGTGTTTTGGTTGTTCTCAAGGGCACAGATCCTTATTTTTATGAAATCCTCCTCATGTGGTGATGAGACATTTATTGCACATATGCCCAGAACATCAATTAAATTTCAAATTAGAAAAATGTTTAAGCAATAGCACTAAATTACAATACCAAATATTATATTTCCTATTTTTAAGATGACTTTCTCCCATATTGTAACATTTCTGAAATCATGGCAGTAACCTATTTTTCCCAAAAGCTCTTATTAATTTGATGATGCTTCCTAAAATTGATAGTGTTTTAAAATCTAAAAAGATCAAAGAGTTAAGAAAAACAGATTTTCACAAAAAAAAGACAACAGCTTTCTGGAACAGGTGGTAACAGTTACAGTAAATCTGATTATGACAAATAGAACTCTTGCTGTTCTCTAGTAGCAGAATAATAGGAAGGCATACATCCATAAAAATGCAGTCTCAAAGCTCAATAAAATCACTTCATATGTTGAAGAACAAAGGCTGACATAGTGGCAAGGGAATCAATATTGGTTTCAACAAATCCAACTTAAAATCTTTGTTTTATCATTTGTTAGCTGGGTGGCAGTGAGTCCGTTACAGTTTTTTAACGTTAGACTTTAGAATAAAATATTCCCATAGAATATTTCCAAGGATTAAATGCAAGAATCTATACACAGTTACTCAAACACATAAATATATATTTTCTTCCTTTTGTTTGCATTCAATTCACAATTTGAGTACTGAGACAACTACAAAAAAATAAGTAATTTAGGGCTACCAAAAAAGTCCTATCTTTAATTTTAAAGCCTAAGTAGATAGGAAACAATGTAATTACCTCGAGTATGCCAGTGGAAAATTTTAAATTTAATCTATAAATCTGTTTTCTTTTTTTTTTTCAGAGTCAAAACATTTTTATTTGTTTTCTTTCTTTTTTCTTTTATTATACTATAAGTTCTAGGGTACATGTGCAAAAACGTGCAGGTTTTTTTTTTATTTCTTTTTTTAATTATACCTTAAGTTTTAGGGTACGTGTGCACAATGTGCAGGTAAGTTACACATGTATACCTGTGCCATGCTGGTGCGCTGCACCCACTAACTCGTCATCTAGCATTAGGTATATCTCCCAATGCTATCCCTCCCCCCTCCCCCCACCCCACAACAGTCCCCAGAGTGTGATGTTCCCCTTCCTGTGTCCATGTGTTCTCATAGTTCAATTCCCACCTATGAGTGAGAATATGTGGTGTTTGGATTTTTGTTGTTGCGATAGTTTACTGAGAATGATGATTTCCAATTTCATCCATGTCCCTACAAAGGACATGAACTCATCATTTTTTATGGCTGCATAGTATTCCATGGTGTATATGTGCCACATTTTCTTAATCCAGTCTATCGTTGTTGGACATTTGGGTTGGTTCCAAGTCTTTGCTATTGTGAATAGTGCCGCAATAAACATACGTGTGCATGTGTCTTTATAGCAGCATGATTTATAGTCCTTTGGGTATATACCCAGTAATGGGATGGCTGGGTCAAATGGTATTTCTAGTTCTAGATCCCTGAGGAATCGCCACACCGACTTCCACAATGGTTGAACTAGTTTACAGTCCCACCAACAGTGTAAAAGTGTTCCTATTTCTCCACATCCTCTCCAGCACCTGTTGTTTCCTGACTTTTTAATGATTGTCATTCTAATTGGTGTGAGATGATATCTCATTGTGGTTTTGATTTGCATTTCTCTGATGGCCAGTGATGATGAGAATTTTTTCATGTGTTTTTTGGCTGCGTAAATGTCTTCTTTTGAGAAGTGTCTGTTCATGTCCTTCGCCCACATTTTGATGGGGTTGTTTGTTTTTCTCTTCTAAATTTGTTTGAGTTCATTGTAGATTCTGGATATTAGCCCTTTGTCAGATGAGGAGGTTGTGAAAATTTTGTCCCATTTTGTAGGTTGCCTGTTCACTCTGATGGTAGTTTCTTTTGCTGTGCAGAAGCTCTTTAGTTTAATTAGATCCCATTTGTCAATTTTGGCTTCTGTTGCCATTACTTTTGGTGTTTTAGACATGAAGTCCTTGCCCATGCCTATGTCCTGAATGGTAATGCCTAGGTTTTCTTCTAGGGTTTTTATGGTTTTAGGTCTAATGTTTAGGTCTTTAATCCATCTTGAATTGATTTTTGTATAAGGTGTAAGGAAGGGATCCAGTTTCAGCTTTCTACATATGGCTAGCCAGTTTTCCCAGCACCATTTATTAAATAGGGAATCCTTTCCCCATTGCTTGTTTTTCTCAGGTTTGTCAAAGATCAGATAGTTGTAGATATATGGCATTATTTCTGAGGGCTCTGTTCTGTTCCATTGATCTATATCTCTGTTTTGGTGCCAGTACCATGCTGTTTTGGTTACTGTAGCCTTGTAGCATAGTTTGAAGTCAGGTAGTGTGATGCCTCCAGCTTTGTTCTTTTGGCTTAGGATTGACTTGGCGATGCGGGCTCTTTTTTGGTTCAATATGAACTTTAAAGTAGTTTTTTTCCAATTCTGTGAAGAAAGTCATTGGTAGCTTGACGGGGATGGCATTGAATCTATAAATTACCTTGGGCAGTATGGCCATTTTCACAATATTGATTCTTCCTATCCATGAGCATGGAAGGTTCTTCCATTTGTTTGTGTCCTCTTTTATTTCATTGAGCAGTGGTTTGTAGTTCTCCTTGAAGATGTACTTCACGTCCCTTGTAAGGTGGATTCCTAGGTATTTTATTCTCTTTGAAGCAATTGTGAATGGGAGTTCACTCATGATTTGGCTCTGTTTGTCTGTTATTGGTGTATAAGAATGCTTGTGATTTTTGTACATTGATTTTGTATCCTGAGACTTTGCTGAAGTTGCTTATCAGCTTAAGGAGATTTTGGGCTGAGACAATGGGGTTTTCTAGATATACAATCATGTCGTCTGCAAACAGGGACAATTTGACTTCCTCTTTTCCTAATTGAATACCATTTATTTCCTTCTCCTGCCTAATTGCCCTGGCCAGAACTTCCAACACTATGTTGAATAGGAGTGGTGAGAGAGGGCATCCCTGTCTTGTGCCAGTTTTCAAAGGGAATGCTTCCAGTTTTTGCCCATTCAGTATGATATTGGCTGTGGGTCTGTCATAAATAGCTCTTATTATTTTGAGATATGTCCCATCAATACCTAATTTATTGAGAGTTTTTAGCATGAAGTGTTGTTGAATTTTGTCAAAGGCCTTTTCTGCATCTATTGAGATAATCATGTGGTTTTTGTCTTTGGCTCTGTTTATATGCTGGATTACATTTATTGATTTACGTATATTGAACCAGCCTTGCATCCCAGGGATGAAGCCCACTTGATCATGGTGGATAAGCTTTTTGATGTGCTGCTGGATTCAGTTTGCCAGTACTTTATTGAGGATTTTTGCATCAATGTTCATCAAGGATATTGGTCTAAAATTCTCTTTTTTTGTTGTGTCTCTGCCTGGCTTTGGTATCAGGAAGATGCTGGCCTCATAAAATGAGGGAGGATTCCCTCTTTTTCTATCGATTGGAATAGTTTCAGAAGGAATGGTACCAGTTCCTCCTTGTACCTCTGGTAGAATTTGGCTGTGAATCCATCTGGTCCTGGACTCTTTTTGGTTGGTAAGCTATTGATTATTGCCACAATTTCAGCTCCTGTTATTGGTCTATTCAGAGATTCAACTTCTTCCTTGTTTAGTCTTGGGAGAGCATATATGTTGAGGAATTTATCCATTTCTTCTAGATTTTCTAGTTTATTTGAGTAGAGGTGTTTGTAGTATTCTCTGATGGTAGTTTGTATTTCTGTGGGATCAGTGGTGATATCCCCTTTATCATTTTTTATTGCGTCTATTTGATTCTTCTCTCTTTTCTTCTTTATTAGTCTTGCTAGTGGTCTATCAATTTTGTTGATCCTTTCAAAAAACCAGCTCCTGGATTCATTAATTTTTTGAAGGTCTTTTTGTGTCTCTATTTCCTTCAGTTCTGCTCTGATTTTAGTTATTCCTTGCCTTCTGCTAGCTTTTGAATGTGTTTGCTCTTGCTTTTCTAGTTCTTTTAATTGTGATGTTAGGGTGTCAATTTTGGATCTTTCCTGCTTTCTCTTGTGGGCATTTAGTGCTATAAATTTTCCTCTACACACTGCTTTGAATGTGTCCCAGAGATTCTGGTATGTTGTGTCTTTGTTCTCGTTGGTTTCAAAGAACATCTTTATTTCTGCCTTCATTTCGTTATATACCCAGTAGTCATTCAGGAGCAGGTTGCTCAGTTTCCATGTAGTTGAGCGGTTTTGAGTGAGTTTCTTAATCCTGAGTTCTAGTTTGATTGTACTGTGGTCCGGGAGTTTGTTATAATTTCTGTTCTTTTATATTTGCTGAGGGGTGCTTTACTTCCAACCATGTGGTCAATTTTGGAATAGGTGTGGTGTGGTGCTGAAAAAAATGTAAATTTTGTTGATTTGGGGTGGAGAGTTCTGTAGATGTCTATTAGGTCTGCTTGGTGCAGAGGTGAGTTCAATTTGTGGGTATCCTTGTTAACTTTCTTTCTCGTTGATCTGTCTAATGTTGACAGTGGGGTGTTAAAGTCTCCCATTATTAATGTGTGGGAGTCTAAGTCTCTTTGTAGGTCACTCAGGACTTGCTTTATGAATCTGGGTGCTCCTGTATTGGGTGCATATATATTTAGGATAGTTAGCTCTTCTTGTTGAATTGATCTCTTTACCATTATGTAATGGCCTTCTTTGTCTCTTTTGATCTTTGTTGGTTTAAAGCCTGTTTTATCAGAGACTAGGATTGCAACCCCTGCCTTTTTTCGTTTTCCATTGGCTTGGTAGATCTTCCTCCATCCTTTTATTTTGAGCCTATGTGTGTCTCTGCACGTGAGATGGGTTTCCTGAATACAGCACACTGATGGGTCTTGACTGTTTATCCAATTTGCCAGTCTGTGTCTTTTAATTGGAGCATTTAGTCCATTTACATTTAAAGTTAATATTGTTATGTGTGAATTTGATCCTGTCATTATGATGTTAGCTGGTTATTTTGCTCATTAGTTGATGCAGTGTCTTCCTAGTCTCAATGGTCTTTACATTTTGGCATGATTTTGCAGCGGCTGGTACCGGTTGTTCCTTTCCATGTTTAGTGCTTCCTTCAGGAGCTCTTTTAGGGCAGGCCTGGTGGTGACAAAATCTCTCAGCATTTGCTTGTCTGTAAAGTATTTTATTTCTCCTTCACTTATGAAGCTTAGTTTAGCTGGATATGAAATTCTGGGTTGAAAATTGTTTTCTTTAAGAATGTTGAATATTGGGCCCCACTCTCTTCTGGCTTGTAGAGTTTCTGCCGAGAGATCTGCTGTCAGTCTGATGGGCTTCCCTTTGTAGGTAACCCATCCTTTCTCTCTGACTGCCCTTAACATTTTTTCCTTCATTTAACTTTGGTGAATCTGACAATTATGTGTCTTGGGGTTGCTCTTCTCGAGGAGTATCTTTGTGGTGTTCTCTGTATTTCCTGAATCTGAATTTTGGCCTGCCTTGCTAGATTGGGGAAGTTCTCCTGGATAATATCCTGCAGAGTGTTTTCCAACTTGGTTCCATTCTCCCCGTCACTTTCAGGTATACCAATCAGATGTAGATTTGGTCTTTTCACATAGTCCCATATTTCTTGGAGGCTTTGTTCGTTTCTTTTTATTCTTTTTTCTCTAAACTTCCCTTCTCGCTTCATTTCATTCGTTTCATCTTCTATCACTGATACCCTTTCTTCCAGTTGATCGCATCGGCTCCTGAGGCTTCTGCATTCTTCACGTAGTTCTCGAGCCTTGGCTTTCAGCTCCATCAGCTCCTTTAAGCACTTCTCTGTATTGGTTATTCTAGTTATACATTCGTCTAAATGTTTTTCAAAGTTTTCAACTTCTTTGCCTTTGGTTTGAATTTCCTCCTGTAGCTCGTAGTTTGATCATCTGAAGCCTTCTTCTCTCAGCTCGTCAAAGTCATTCTCCGTCCAGCTTTGTTCCATTGCTGGTGAGGAACTGCATTCCTTTGGAGCAGGAGAGGTGCTCTGCTTTTTAGAGTTTCCAGTTTTTCTGCTCTGTTTTTTCCCCATCTTTGTGGTTTTATCTACTTTTGGTCTTTGATGATGGTGATGTACAGATGGGCTTTTGGTGTGGATGTCCTTTTTGTTAGTTTTCCTTCTAACAGACAGGACCCTCAGCTGCAGGTCTGTTGGAGTTTGCTAGAGGTCCACTCCAGACCCTGTTTGCCTGGGTATCAGCAGCGGTGTCTGCAGAACAGTGGTTTTTCGTGAACCGCGAATGCTGCTGTCTGATTGTTCCTCTGGAAGTTTTGTCTCAGAGGAGTACCCGGCCATGTGAGGTGTCAGTCTGCCCCTACTAGGGGGTGTCTCCCAGTTAGGCTGCTCAGGGGTCAGGGGTCAGGGACCCACTTGAGGAGGCAGTCTGCCTGTTCTCAGATCTCCAGCTGCATGCTGGGAGAACCACTGCTCTCTTCAAATCTGTCAGACAGGAACATTTAAGTCTGCAGAGGTTACTGCTGTCTTTTTGTTTGTCTGTGCCCTGCCCCAGAGGTAGAGCCTACAGAGGCAGGCAGGCCTCCTTGAGCTGTGGTGGGTTCCACTCAGTTGGAGCTTCCTGCCTGCTTTGTTTACCTAAGCAAGCCTGAGTAATGGCGGGCGCTCCTCCCCCAGCCTTGCTGCCGCCTTGCAGTTTGATCTCAGACTGCTGTGCTAGCAATCAGCGAGACTCCGTGGGCGTAGGACCCTCCGAGCCAGGTGCAGGATTTAATCTCCTGGTGTGCCGTTTTTTAAGCCCGTCGGAAAAGCGCAGTATTCGGGTGGGAGTGACCCGATTTTCCAGGTGCCGCCCATCACCCCTTTCTTTGACTAGGAAAGGGAACTCCCTGACCCCTTGCGCTTCCCGAGTGAGGCAATGCCTTGCCCTGCTTCGGCTCATGCAGGGTGCACTGCACCCACTGACCTGCGCCCACTGTCTGGCACTCCCTAGTGAGATGAACCCGGTACCTCAGATGGAAATGCAGAAATCACCTGTCTTCTGCGTCGCTCAGGCTGGGATCTGTAGACCGGAGTGGTTCCTATTCGGCCATCTTGGCTCCTCCCCTATAAGTCTGTTTTCTAATCATCAATTGTATGCTTTATGTTGAAAACTTATGCTGACTCAAGTGGGAATGCACTGTCTTATAAATTTTGTTTGCATGTAAGCATCAGTTCAAAACTTAAAGGAACTGACCAATATAATATAGCAGACTATTATGATCACAACATAAACCTTACAGCTATCTCTGGGAGTAAAATTTTAATAGCTAAATTATTCCAGCTCAGTCATTCTTCTTTACTATAATGTCATTTTATTTTGTTACTCCGTTACATTGCATTGTTTCAGCATTTGAAAATCGATGCTATACTTCCTGGAGAATTTTAAATGTGTGAGTAGATCTCTGACAAATATTGTCTAATTTGAGTCTCACAACAGCTTTCACTACAATTCTGCTCAATCTCTGTTTATAAGAAGAAATTAATATTGATATCTCCATTTCTCAAATCGGAAAACTCAGGCAAAGATGGTGTGTACCCAAGTAGTAAGTGACAGGGTTGGTACCTGAAACTGGACCTTTTGACCACCAATAAATATCATGATTTTAAAAATTATCCTACAGAAGCTTTCTGTGAAGAATAAATTCATGAATGGTCCATACATGGCTTGCTCTGTGGTTAGGACACAGTAACAACAAGGACCCAGACTTATTAATTCTTTGGGGTTCCTTTGTTAGCCTGCTTCTCCCTAGCCCTATTGTTCTAAAGTACTACCACTAGCCAGTAGCAATGAGGGTACTGACAGAGCTGTGCTCAATGAACAACACAGGGAAGCAAATCCTGCAGATACACTGCTTTCCATTGTGTCAGTGTGCTAGTGTTTTCTACTCACCATCTTTCCCTGCACTCTTCCAATCCTCACCCATCCACCCAAGTCAGTGAGTAGATAGCTTGCACCAAGCAATATGAGTAAGGCAAACATAAGTCACAGTTACTATCATCTAGTGAACAGTCATCCAAAGTGCTATAATAGAAAGGAAGTAGCATCTAAACAACTATGTATTAGGGAGGACTTCAGTAAGATTGATGTTAGAAAGGCAATTCTACAGCTGGGCACAGTGGCTCACCCCTGAAATCCCAGCGCTTTGGGAGGCTGAGCTGGGCGGATTGCCTGAGGTCAGGAGTTTGAGACCAGCCTGCCCAACATGGTAAAACCCCATCTCTACTAAAAATACCAAAAATTAGCCGGATGTGGTGGTAGGCACCTGTAATCCCAGCTACTCGGGAGGCTGAGGCAGGAGAATTGCTTGAACCCGAGGCAGAGGTTGCAGTGAGCCGAGATCGTGCCACTGCACTCCTCCAGCCTGGGCAACAACAGCAAAATACCATCTCAAAAGAAAAAAAAAAAAGGCAATTCTACTACTTAAGAAGAGTTTTGTTTTAAGCCTTTAAATACTCTATATAGAGGTCTATCATCACAATTTAAATACAAAAGAGAATAATATTTAGATCAGGTCCTCAGTGAGAAAATTAACAAAGCACTAACTCATAACTAGTGAGAAAACTCACAGTGATAAATGACATCACAGAGAGCAAAAACAGGGTGTATTCTATAGCAGACTCTCCAAAGAGATGTGCGTGCGTGTGTGTGTGTGTGTGTGTGTGTGTGTGTGTGAGAGAGAGAGAGAGACAGACAGACAGAGAGAGAGAGGGAATGCTCTTTCATCCATTTGTCTGTCCTAATCCTAAAAGTATTCTTTAAGCACCTACTATGGGTCAGGTACTATTCCTGATTCTGGTGCTAAAGGTGGCAGCAAGATTGACAGTTTCTGTCTTCTGGAAACACAGAATTGGGGTGAATAACCTAAATAAATAACTTTAGGTAATAAGTATTATGAAGAAAAATCCATCAAGATTAGGAGACAGAAAGTAAGTCTGATGTGAACCTAGCTTATTTCAGTGTAGAGCCCTAGGATAAGCACATATTTATTGTGAACAAGGAACACAAGATGGTTGAGCTGTCTGCAGCTCGTGAGAAAAGGGAAGCATCAGGAAATGGCCTAGAGAGACCAGACCCAGATTCTGTGAGGTCTCTGAATACCAGAGTGAGTTTGTGTTTTAAATGTAATGGGAAACCTGGAGAGACAGGAGCACAGAAATGATGGGATTTAATCTTCCTTTTATTAAAGCTTTCTGTGAGTCCTGTGTGGAAAATCATCTATAAGGAGGCAAGATTTTGAGCAGGGAGATCTGTTCGGAAGTTATTGTACCAGCGTACCAACAGAAGGTAGCAGACGGACCCAGGAGCAGCAGTGAATGTGGTAAGCAGTAGTCAGATTCTGAATATATTTTGAAAATTGAGGCAAGAGGACCTTATGTGTTCAATAAACAATTGACAAGATTTACAGTGACTGTGAGACTGTCATAACTGAAAAATATGTTCCTTCAGTGTAATTCCCTCATTTCTGTAATCTTAAGTAGCTTAGGAATATTAGAAGAAAGTTATTTCTTATGCCATCTTCATATAAAATGCTTCTAGGAAAAAATAATGGGAATTAGTGGATATTATCTATAGAATGAAAGTTATAGAATGAAAGCAAAATCACCATGTACTCCTTTGACCATAACTATTTAAAGAAATAGACCAATGAGTATTCCACTGAGCTAAACTATTATGTTTGTAGAAAGCAAATAAATGTTTCAGAACTCTAATATGAACCCATTCCTGAGGAAGTCATTTTATAACATTAGCAAAATGTTGATTTCATAACAAGATTAGACAGATGTGTGTTTGGGTTGGTTGGACTCAAATTATGCTGGTCTTAGTGAGCCCTAAATATTTCTTTCTTTTTTTTTTTTTTTTGAGACGGAGTTACGCTTTTGTTGCCCAGGCTGGAGTGCAGTGGCACGATCTCGGCTCACCGCAACCTCCGCCTCCTGGGTTCAAGCGATTCTCCTGCCTCAGCCTCCCTAGTAGCTGGGATTACAGGCATGTGCCACCACACCCGGCTAATTTTGTATTTTTAGTAAAGATGGGGTTTCTCCATGTTGGTCAGGCTGGTCTCGAACTCCCGACCTCAGGTGATCCACCTGCCTCAGCCTCCCAAAGTGCTGGGATTACAGGCATGAGCCACTGCACCCGGCCCTAAAATATTTCATTTCTAAGTTACCTGAGTTTATAGCCACATGGGCATGGGAAGAATCAAGCATCAGGCACTTGTTAACGTGGATTACTGTGTCCTTGTCATTTTCCAGCATACTGAGAAGAAAAAAACGTAGGCAATGGTAGTGGGGCTTCCAAGATTAATAAAGAAAATTATTGCCACACCAGGATTTCAAATTCACTGCTACAAGGGTCAGCACTTTTGAGAATAATTCTGTGAGTGTGTGGGGATATATGGGATGCTGCTCTGGCTTTGTGAGCTGCTTTATGTAAAACAGAATTAAAGGTTATGTGATGTCAATAAAAAAATGAAGAAGAAAACAAAAAAAAAATCAAACTCATTTTGGACTCAATTAGCTTTCTAACTAATCATTACCCAAATATATTTTAACATGCAGCTTTATCTTCACCTTGTACTTTCTGCCTGAAACTTACTAACATCTTACAGAACTAGTGTCTTTGGAAATCACTAACCACTTTTTACCTTAAGGCCTTTGTGGCTAGTGTGGTGATTAAAAGAGAAGGTTAGAGATCAAGCCTTCCTTGGTTGAAATCTCAGCTCTCCATTGGCTAGCTATGTGACATTTGGCAAATTATTTTCTCTCTTGGTGAATAAGCTTCCTCATCTGTAAAAAAGTGCTACCTAACTAAAAGGGTTGTTATGAAAATTAAGTGAGATAAGACAGGTAAAGTGTATAATAATAAGGAGTCCAGTAAATTATTGTTTATCCATCGTGCCATCATTATGCCATAAAAGTACCCCCCCCCACCTTTTTTTTTTTTTTTTTTTTTTGAGGCAGAGTCCCACTCTGTTGCCCAGGCTGCAGTGCAGGGGTGTGATCATAGCTCACTGTAGCCTCCAACTCCTGGGCTCAAGTGATACTCCCATCTCAGCCTCCTGCGTAGCTGGGACTACAGTCGTGCCACCGTGCTTGACTAATTATTTTCTTTTTGTAGAAACAGGGTCTCACCACTTTGCTAATGCTGGTCTTAAACTCCTGGGCTTAAGCAGTCCTCCTGCCTCAGCCTCCCAAAGCGCTGGTATTACAGGTGGGAGCCACCACACCCAGCCTAAAATCACTTTTGATGATCACAGAAACAGCTGTTTATTGTAGATCTCTCTGGGCCCAGCAGAATTTGGAGTGAAAGATAAGCTTAGTGAGTGACTGAATAAAGCAATGAACAAATATTTGTTGAACCCCCATGATGTGCTAGGAGCTATGATGAAGTTATACCTTTTTATTTACTTCAAGTCCTACTAAGAATGGCTCATTGATCCCAATTTACTAGTGAAATCACTAAAGCTCAGAGAGGTTAAATAATATACTACAGTTACACAGCTAGTGGATGTAAGAATAAAGATTTGACCAATGGCTGGCTGGAAAAATAACATTTTTTTCATGATATGTACCCATCCTGTTAGGGAGCCTTAGTAGAAATGTCCTTCTCTGAATCAACAAAGCCATTAATATTTTTTCCTTCATGGTTCTCCTTTGGAACAATGAGAAATATCAATCCTCAATGAAACACTGACCACATGCAGTTAAGTCTGCCTCAGCATTAATATTCTCATGGGGCAGCTCAAAGTGGTTAACTGTAAAAAAGCCATTAATAAGATGCATTAGTCAGGAAATTCCCATGCAATAATCAGCCCAATGCAGGAACCTGGTACTCTGCACGCTAAAGGCAAACTTAGAGAATGTAACTGCTTTGTATTTAAAAGAGAACATGTATTGCCAAAATGTTTACTCATGCTTTATTTAACTGTACTCTTGGTATATTTGACATTATTTTACTTGATTTCTTTTCAAAGATGATTAAAACAGTCATATTAGGCCGGGCGTCTTCTTTTCAAAGGCAATTAAAACACTTATATTATGTGGCTCATGCCCGTAATCCCAGCACTTTGGTAGGCCAAGGTGGGTGGATTGCCTGAGGTTGGGAGTTTGAGACCAGCCTGGCCAACATGGTGAAACCCCATCTCTACTAAAAATACAAAAATTAGCTGGGTGTGGTGGTGAGTGCCTGTAGTCCCAGCTACTCGGGAGGCTGAGGCAGGAGAATCGCTTGAACCTGGCAGGCAGAGGTTGCAGTGAGCTGAGATCGCACCACTGCACTCCAGCCTGCGCAAGAGAGAAACACTCTGTCTCAAAAATAATAATAATAATAATAAAATAAAATAATAAAAAACACTCATAGATATGCATCTAACTCTAAAAGAGTATTTCCCAGCCAGGTGTTACATCCAGTTGGATTCCTGAAATGCTTAGTGATACTACACAGTTAGCTGGAGACTGTACCTCACCTTCATTATAAAGGCAAACACCTCATCATTTGTATGTATTTTAACTGCAGAAGCTGTGATGTCTTTCTAACTTGAATAAATGACAGATTGATGCTGGGGGATGCTAAAATAGTGAATACGAGATACAGTGCCTGGAGAGATATAAACACAGGTCAGCTGGAACAAATAACCGAGACACACAAAAGTGATGAGAAAAGAATCATAAAGTTACGAGCATCCAATTATGTTAAGCATTCAGAGAAAGTGCTTTTTAATATTTGGAATGGCAAGCCATCAAAAATAAAATGCAAGGAATTAAATGGAAGGTTTTTTAATAGGGTGATTGTTAAACTATACATTGGTTCTAATTTGGAGGACAGGTTAGTAAAGGGTGCTTTGCAAACTTTCCCACCTGTATGGATATTTTGGACAAGAAAAACTTCAGGTTTGTTTTTTGTTCTTATTTTTTAAATTAGAAAATAACTGATAATATAGTTTCAGCTTCCCAAATCCAAAATGCTCCAAAATCTGAAACTTTTTGAGTGTTGAAATGATGCTCAATGGAAATGCTCACTGGAGCACTTCAGATTTCAGATTTTCAGATTTGGGATGCTCAGCGAGTAAGTATATAATACAAATATTCTAAAATCAAAAAAATTGAAATCTGAAATACTTCTGGTCTCAAGAATTTTGGATAAAATTTCTCAGCTTGTAGTAATCTTCAGAATTAATTACTACAGGAAAGGCCTTTGTATTCTGAGTGAATTTTTTTCTGATGAGATGCTCTTTTTGATTCTGTATATGAAATGAACCTGCTGGTTGCTGGCTTTAATTAAAAAACTTAATAAGCCAGCACTGTTTCTGTGCCACACATAAAACAAAAATTATTATAAGAAATGTGACTAATTTGCAGTCATTCAGAATGCTATTATAAATACCAAAATTCATAGTTTTAAAAGTTATGACGAGTGATTTAACAATGCCTGTAGAGAAAAACCAAGATACAGTTTTTAGGCCAGAAATTCTTTATCCTGGCCATATTAAATGTTTACTGGGCAGTTTGTTAAAAGTACGTATACTAATTTCACTCCTCAGACCAATTAAAACTGATTTTCTGGAACTGTGATCCAGGAGTTTTGAAAAGCCCTCCAGTGATCTGAATGTGTAACCAGAGTTGAGAACTCCTTATGTAGGCACTGAGGCCTGGCCACCGATGTATCTACTACTGAAAACTCAGGGCTTCATTTCTTCAGGTTATGTGTTAAGGCACTGAGGTTGCAAAATAAGTGTTGACACATTAGTATCACTTTTTGATTAATTCTGGCTTTATTTTATTTCTATTTAATTCATGAAAATGAAAACCCAATTCAAAAGAATTGTTTATGGGCAAGCTACAGATTTGAATGCAAAGCTTGCTCAACTGAAGCAAATCTTATGTGACAACATCAAAAGGCAAAAAAGGAGATTGAGTAAACTTGTCACTGTTATAGGAAAAATAAATAAAATTTATAGTATCCACTAATGATGGGCCAGGATAGAATCTCTGAGTGTTACTAACATTCTAAATTCTGAGTGTCAAAATGTTATAGATCTTGAAATAGTAGACTATATGTTCTTAAAAAATTGAAATTTTCAGAATAATGGCAAAAATTGTTATTTGTTATTATGAGACTGTTGCTCATCATAAATCCTCCTATATATTTGAATTCCAAACTATACATTTCTTAATTTCTTAACCTCAGAATATTATACTCACCTATTACGTTAAAAACCAAACATGAACTTTTTCTTAAAAAAAAAATGCTAGTTTTTTTTAGAAGAACACAGCTTACCTTTGGAGAGAGGGAAAGGAGTAGGTAAATACTGATTATCAACTTACCCAAACAAAAATCGCTGAGGTCAGCAAATGAACATCTCAGCACAGAGTCGTTTTTATTCTCCTCAGTATTAACTGAAATAAAATAAGATACTTTGTAGTTTTGGGAAATAAAAGCATAACAACAGAAAAATAACCATGGTTATAGATGGACAAATGATGGCCAAACATGATGAAATTTCTTAACTTAATGAATTAAAATTAGTTATTTAAAATGTCACTGTTTTTTCCGTTTTTTAAGAAACGGAGTCTCGCTGTCACTCAGGCTGGAGTGCAATGGCATGATCTCGGCTCACTGCAACCTCCGCCTCCCGGGTTCAAGCGATTCTCGTGCCTCAGCCTCCTGAGTTGCTGGGACTATAGGTGTGCACCATCATGCCTGGCTAACTTTTGTATTTTTAGTAGAGACAGGGTTTCACCATCTTGGCCAGGCTGGTCTCGAACTCCTGGCCTCAAGTGATCTGCCCACTTTGGCCTCCCAAAGTGCTGGGATTACAGTCGTGAGCCATCATGCCTGGCCTAAAATTTCACTTTCAATAAGGGAAAAAAGAAACACCTATATTATGTTTTAATATCTTCATCTTCTTGAACAGTTTGCCACTTTACATAGTAGACATATTTGTAAGCTAACTACAATATGTAGTGATTTCACAATAGTATTGAAACAATAATTTTGATATTTTTTAGTTATCCAGAAAAAGAAGCAACCATATGGAATCATAAGGGACTGCATTCTTATAAGAAAAAGCAACAAAAGGATTGAAAAATAAAAACATGGCTGGGTGCAGTGGCTCACACCTGTAATCCCAGGACTTTGGGAGGCCGAGGCAGGTGGATCACAAGGTCAGGAGTTTGAGACCAACCTGACAAACATGATGAAACCCAGTCTCTACTAAAAATACAAAAATTAGCCAGGCATGGTGGTGTGTGCCTGTAATCCCAGTACTCAGGAGGCTGAGGCAAGAGAATCACTTGAACCCGGGAGGCAGACGTTACAGTGAGCCGACATCGTCCCACTGCACTCCAGCCTGGGCGACAGAGCAAGACTCCATCTCTAAAAAAAGAACAAGAAAAACATACCCTATCCACTGCACAACAGGGAGCTTGGTTGTATTTAAATTCTTAACTCTTATAAAAGGGAGTTGTCTAAAGGGATAGTGTGTGTCTTAGTGGGCAAATGTGTGTAGAAGAGTGCCTAAGGGTAGCCACAGCGTTTCTTTGTGTGGCACCTTGCTGGTATGTCTCTAAAATTCAGCCCTTGCACACCAGCCTTGGGTTGCCAACACTTGTCCAACTAAATCTTTATGCCACCAAATCTTCAATGCTTTATTGTCAGTTGTAAAGTCTTCAGCCTTTATTTTTAGAAAACAGTTTATTACTGATGACATTTTCTATTTGAATACTGGTTATAAGTTCTCGCCAGGAATGTTACTCATCAACAAGAGGGATGCAAACAGTGGCCAAATGTACCAGTGATTCATGTAGCTGGGACTTCCACTGCAAACAAATATTAGGTCCAGACTCCATGGGATTGGCCACCTTCAAGGCAAGGAAGAGATAAAACACATCTGGCCAACAAATGGCATGGTGTACTGGTCTCCTTTCTATGCCAGCCTCCTTCCTGAAGAGCTCTATAAAACTGGTCCAATGGAAAAAGGAAGGAAAGGAGTGTTTGGAAAACACGTAGTTTTTATAAATTGAACAAGAAAATAGGAATTGCTGCTCACCTTGCTCTGCTTTGTCAGTGGAGATTAAGGTTATAGATGTGGGAGCCTGAGATTCACTCTCGGTTGACTGGAAGAGGGAAGTAGACTGGCTCAAGCTCTTTGAGTAAGCGTAGCTCTGGGCGAGGCAAGGCAGGGATCTCCGAGACGGTTTTAACGAAGTTTCTTTTGTTATCTCACTCTTGCTTATATTCATACCTGCAAATCCAAAATGTTGAGTTTTAGCAATAAAAAATCAATCAGTAGAGGTCAATAAAAAGTTTTAATTCTTGTGATACCTGTTTCAGGAATGAACTATTGAAAAGTGCCACTTAGATATTAGAAATAATTGAGTTAGTCTTGTTTATGTTTTGTCAAGAAGAGTGTTTGAGATTTTTGTTAAATAGTTTTGAGACATAAACATCTCTGTTTCCTGTTTGAGCTTTCACCACTCCTTTAAAAGTTCTGTGAAAAAAGAAACTGATGTTTAAGTTCATTTGGGGAATTATGACAACAATTATTTGGATACTCTTTGAATAAACCTTATGATTTAGGCTTTCAAATAGCAAAATACATAAAACCTAATATATAACCATTGAAATTACTAAATGGGGCCCTTCTTTCTACGCCCTCCTCTCCCTTAAACACATACATAATGTCCTAACAGTGACTTAGAGGCTGGAAAGAGATAGCATAACATAGTATAAAAACTGGGCAGCAGGCCGGGCGCAGTGGCTCACGCCTGTAATCCCAGCACTTTGGGAGGCCGAGGCGGGCGGATCACAAGGTCAGGAGATCGAGACCATCCCGGCTAAAACGGTGAAACCCCGTCTCTACTAAAAATACAAAAAATTAGCCGGGCGTAGTGGCGGGCGCCTGTAGTCCCAGCTACTTGGGAGGCTGAGGCAGGAGAATGGCGTGAACCCGGGAGGCGGAGCTTGCAGTGAGCCGAGATCCCGCCACTGCACTCCAGCCTGGGCGACAGAGCGAGACTCCGTCTCAAAAAAAAAAAAAAAAAAAAAAAAAAAAACTGGGCAGCAAGCAGGGATCAAGACACCAACCCTGTGCTTAGTGTTAGAGCTACTTCCCTCATGCACAGAGTCTCATCTGCCAGAAGTCAGAATGCCCTTCAACCAAACTAGTCCTCCAAAAGCAGAAGTCCCCCTACACTGTGTGAACCAGGAAAGAATGGCTCCACTTCCCTGTCTCCATTCCTCTTCATCCCATAATGTCAATCCCAGGTCACTCCTCTCCCTTGGCACTCTAAACCTCAGTGTCTCTGGACACTCTCATTTCCAACATCTCCCACTCAGACTCTCTCACTATGTCCCTGGGAACTCACATAAAACATCAGAAAATCCACTTAATATCCTCCTTAGATTTTTCTGTGGATCACCCATTT
The DNA here is from genome assembly GCF_000001405.40 of Homo sapiens. Lineage (NCBI taxonomy): Eukaryota > Metazoa > Chordata > Mammalia > Primates > Hominidae > Homo > Homo sapiens. The sequence goes on along the minus strand of NC_000011.10, from coordinate 26,440,734 downwards.
CCCTCCATAATTTTACCCAAACCTGGCACTGCACCATATCCCCACAGTGACACTGCTTCTCTTGCAGCCGCCTCCAGTGGAGGCTCTTTTCTCTTCCACAACTTCTTATCAACTTTACTTGAGGTGGAGTAGATATCCTTATTGTACCTAATTGCCTGTCTCAGTTCATTCTTCATGTTTCCTCTCTAAAAATCAGTATTCAAATTCCTGTCATTAAACTATTCTTCTAGTCTTCTTTATTACTGTCATTTTCGTTTACCAGTTCCAGGTCATTTCCCATCATTTAAAAAGAATTTAGCTTTTAACACTACTCTTTTGCTTATTTTTTCCTAAACACCCCCTGTCATTCATATTATATATTTTGTTTTATTTCTGTATACCTCCCTAGAATGCAAGCTCTATGACACATGAGCCAAATAAATACTTTTCTTTATAAATTATCCAGTCTCAGGTAGTTCATTATTACCTGAGACTGAATAATTTATAAAGAAATACCTTATCAATGTGAAAACAGACGAATACATATGGTAAATTGTACAAAGCTGCTTGATCGTGAATCACTCCCTAAAAAGTTTCTTATTGACACCTGAGTTGAGATGTTGGCTATGTATGCTGTCTGTATAATGTGAATAAAACCATGAACCACCCCCGCCCTCCGCCCACACCCAGTGTTGTGTTTGGACTTCACACCACATGAGGCAAAGGGACTTTTTATTGTGGCGTGCCTATTACATGTCAGGTTTTGTGGTTGGTGCCTTTATTTATTCACTTTGAGGATATTTAAGTATTTTATACAAGCAAATTACATAAAATGTTCTCATTTTAAAAGGTTTTAAATTATAGAAGTAAATAAAATTAAAAATTAAAATTTGTTTTACTCTGATTCTTAAATTCCAGTCTCTTCTCTAAATGAAATGAATGTTATCAGTTTATTGGTCTTTGTCTATGTATTCATATATGTAACTATGTATAAAAATAGTTTTCTTACAAAAATGAAATTATAGTTTGTCACATTATATATTATGTCTTAGGTATTTTTTCCATCTCAACACATACAGATCTATCCCAGACTTTTCGGAGTTAAAAGTTTTTAAAGGCTTTATTGATATATAATCATATACCATAAAATCGATTCCTTTAAGTATACAGTTTAGCTCTTTTTAGTATATGCACAGAGTCGTGCAAACATCACTCTATGTGGCTTTAAAACGCTTTTATTATTCCTCCAAAAAGAAACATCATACCTATTCGCAGCCGATCCCCATTTCCTCTTCAGCTCAGTCTCTGGAAACTACTAACCTAATTTCTTGCCTCCATGCATTTGCCTATTTTCTCCCACTGCATGAGTTGTCTTTGCACTTTAATGATTGTGTTCTTGGAAACACAATGCTTTTAATTTTGATAAAGTTCAATTTATCTATTTTTTTTCTTTAGTTGTTTGTGCTTTAGGTGCTGTATCTATGAAACCATTATCTAATTCAAGGTCATGAAGATTTACTCCTATGTTTTCTTCTAAGAGTTTTATACTTTTAGCTCTTAAGTTTAGGTTATAATCCAGTTGTAGCTAATTTGTACATGGTGTGAAGGTAGGCTCCAACTTTATTCTTTTCCATGTGGATATCCAGTTGTTCCCATACAAGTTGTTGAAAATGCCATCGACTTGTCTTGGCACCCTTGTCTACAATCAATTATCCACAAATTTATGGGTTCATTTCTGAACTCTCAATTCTAACCCACCAATCTATATGTCCATTCCTATGCCAAAACCACAACGTCTTTAGCATTGTAGCTTCGCAGTAAGTTTTAAAACCAGAAAATCTGAGTTCTTTACTTTTGTTCTCTCTTTTCAAGATTGCTTTGGCTATTCTTAGTCTTTTGTATTTCTATATAAATTTAAGGATCAACTTGTCAATTCATGCAAAAAAGGCAGCTATGATTGATTTTTTTTTTTTTTTTGAGACAGAGTTTTGCTCTTGTTCCTCAGCTTGGAGTGCAGTGGTGCGATCTCAGCTCACTGCAACCTCTGCCCCTTGGATTCAAGCCACTTTCCTGCCCCAGCCCCCCGAGTAGCTGGGATTGCAGGTGCCCGCCACCATGCCTGGCTATTTTCTTTTTTTTTTTTTTTCTTTTTTTTTTTTTTTTGTATTTTTAGTAGAGATGGGATTTCACCATGTTGGCCAGGCTGGTCTTGAACTCCTGACCTCAGGTGATCCACCTGCCTCAGCCTCCTAAAGTGCTGGGATTATAGGCATGAGCCACTGCACCCGGCCGGCAGCTGTGATTATGATAGGGATTCCATTGAATCTATAATCACTTTGGGGGTAAGTACTGCTGTCAGCTAGGTGACCTGTAAATATTTTCTCTTAGTCTGTAGCCTATATTTTCATTATCTTACTAGTGTCTTCTAAAAAGCAGAAGTTCTTAATTTTGACAAAATCTATCCTGTGATTGTTTTATAGTTCATGCTTTTGGTCAGGTGTTTTAAAAACTTTCCTTTATATAAGTTTTGCATATTGGTTAGCTCCCGCTCTCTTTTGGCTATTGTAAATGCGAGTTTCTTTCCCACTGTATTGAAATTATAAATAATCAATTGGATTATTTTAAACAATTGAGTAAAATACTGGCTTTAGCACTGAGGTATAAATATTTTTTCAAGTTAAGAATGTACTACTCACTTTCCAGTTTATTATTTTTTTGTTCAGTAGTGTGTTGAATTTTTTCAAAGTTTATATAATTTTATTCCTTAGCTATCTTAATATGTTGAATTCCATTAATGGATTTTCTAAAATTAAATCCTCTTTTCATTCCCAGAAATCAAAAACAAAACATACTTTGTCTTGATTAATTGTTTTAAATATGTTAAATTCTAATTCCCAATATTTTTATTAGGATTTTTGTGATAATACTCATACATGAGTTACGTGTGTGTATGTGTTTAAATCAGACTTATGTATGTTCTCACTTATAAGTGGGAGCTAAACACTGAGCATACATGAACATAAACATGGGAAGAATAGACACTGCAGACTACTAAAGGGGTGGAGAAAGATGTGGGTTGAAAAACTACCTATGGAGGGGCTGGCCAAGACAGCCAATTAGCTAGTGTGCCCACTCTCGTGGAAAGAAATAGAAGGGGTAATAAATACAGCACCTACAACTGAAGTACCCAGGTACGTGCATTGAGATTCATCAAGAAAACAAGCTGACCAATGGAGAATGGAGAAAATCAAGACAGGATGACTATCTGACTACCCACCCCTGAGTGACACAGAGCCAGGGGAGCCTCCTACTCTCAGGGAAGCAGTGAGTGAATGTGTGACCTTGGGGACCCACTCTTCTCTCATGGATATTTGCAACCCTCAGGTTAGAAGATCCCCTTGTGAACCCACTCCAACAGGGCCTTCATTCTGACAGGCAGAGCTATGTGGAGTCTCGGCAGAGCAGCCACTTGGGCACACGTGGAGCCCCAGGAACTTTTGATGCCCAGGCTTCCTGGCAAAAGTGGCTGCAACTCCAGCAAAGTGGGAGGTTAGACCCTTGTACATACCCCTAGGAAAGAAGCTGAGTCCAGGGGGCTGAGCAGTGATGGTCTGCAGGCCCTTCTTTCACAGCACCTCGCAGGATAAGACCCACTGGCTTGGAACCCCAGCCTGCCACAGGTATCACTGTTACACCTCCCTGAGACGGAGCTCCCAGAGGGAGGGGTAGGCTGCTATCTTTGCTGTTTGGCAGACTTAGCTGTTGATGCCCTCTGGCTCTGGGGAATCCAAGGTGATTAGGGACTGAAGCTGTCCCCCGGAATACTGGAGCAGTTCTACAAAGAAGCAACCAGACTGCTTTTTCCACCACCGGACGAATCTCCTAACTGAGGTCTATAACCACCCCTGCCAGTGTTTTCCAGTCAGCAACTGTTCCAAAGCTCCCTGAGACAGAACTCCCAGAGAGAGGGGAGGACTGCCATCTTTGTTCTTTCACAGTCTTAGCTATTGTTGCCTTCGAGTTTTGGAGAGTGCAAGGCAACAAGAGGCTGGAGTGGACCCCCAACCCAGCACTATGAAGAAGTGGCCAGACTGCTTTGTTATGCAGGTCCCCAATCCTACTCCTCCTCACTGGGTAGGACCTCCTGACCAAGGTCCCCAGCCACCCCTGCCAGTGTGTTGGGGCTGGCAGCAGGTCCATACCTCCCTAGGATGGAGCTGCCAGAGGGAGGGGCAGGCCACCATCTTTACTGTTTTGCAGGCTTCACTGTTGATACCTTCAGGTACTGGAAAATTGGAGGTGATTAGAGACTGGAGCAGACCCTCAAACATATTGGAGCAGACTTATGGAAAAATGGCCAGACTGTTGGTTATGTGGGTCCCTGATCCAGTATCTCCTCACTGGGTCCACCCCCTGCTGGGACTTTTGAGCCAGTAGCAGCTCTGTAACTCCCTGGGACAAAGCTCCTGGTGTGAGGGGCAGGTTACCATCTTTGCTCTCTCACAGCACTAGCCCTTGCTGTCTCCAGTTCTGGAGAATCCACGGGAACAGTGGCTGGTCTGGTCCCTCAGCACAGAGCACCCATCTACTGGAAAAGTGGTCAGACTGTTCTCAACGCAGATCCCAGTCCTCGCTTCTCCTCACTGAACAGGACTGCCTGACCTGGGACTTCAGCACAACCTCCCTGCCCCCACATGACCATTGCAATCAGAGGCAGCCTAGCAGTTAAAGGAAAAATCACACACACACATAAGAAAGAACCAATGCAAGAACTCTAGCAACTCAAGTGGTCAGGGTGTTTTACCTCTCAAACAACTAAACTAGTTCTCCAACAAGGGTTGTTAACCAGGTTGAGTTGACTGAAATGACAGAAATAGAATTTAGAATATGAACAAGAACAAAGATCATCAAGATTTAGGAGAATGGCAAAACCCAATCCAGGAAACTAAGAATCATAATAAAATGATACAGAAGTTAACAGGTGAAAGAGCTGGTGTAAAAAAGAACCTAACTGATCTAATAGAGCTGAAAAAAACACTGCAATAATTTCACAATGCAGCAGCAAGTATTAACAGTAGAACAGACCAAGCTGAGAAAAGGATGTCAGAACCTGAAGACTTAAAGAAGACAGTCAGACAAAAGTAAAGAACAAAGAATAAAAAAGAGTGAACAAAACCTCTGATAAATGTGGGATTATGTCAAGAGACCAAATCTATGAATCACTGGAATCCCTAAAAGGGATGAGGAAAACATATTTCAGGGTATTGTCCATGAAAATCTCCCCAACCTTGCTAGAGAGACCAATAGTCAAATGCAGGAAATACTGAGAACACCTGAAAGATTCTACACAAGACCATCTCCAAGAAACATAATCATCAGATTTTCCAAGGTTGAAATGAAAGAATGTTAAAGGCAGCTAGGGAGAAAGGGCAGGTCACCTACAAAGGGAACTCCATCAGGCCAACAGTGAACCTTTCAGAAGAAACCCTGCAAGCCAGAAGAGATTGGGGCCTGTATTCACATTCTTAAAGAAAAATATCTTCAACCAAGCATTTCATATCCGGATCAAAAAAGACAAAGAAGTGCATTACATAATGGTAAAGAATTCAATTCCACAAGACCTAAATATCCTAAATATTTATGCACCCAAAATAGGAGCGCCCAGATTCATAAAGCAAGTTCTTAGAGACCTACAAAGAGACTTCAACTCCCATACAATAATAGTGGGAGTCTTTAACACTACCCTGACAGTATTAGATCATTAAGGCAGAAAATTAACAAAGATATTCAGGACCTGAACTCAACATTGGACCAAATGGATCTGACAGATCTTTACAGAACTCTCCACCCCAAAACAACAGAATGTACATTCTTCTCATCACTATATGGCACATACTTTAAAATCGACCACCCCACTGACATAACAACCCTCAGCAAATGCATAAGAACCAAAATGATACCAAACACACTCTTGGGTCACAGCACAATAAAAATAAAAATGAAGACTTAAAAAATTGCTCAAAACCATGCAATTACATGAAAATTAAACAACCATTTTCCTGAGTGACTTTTAGGTAAGTGAAATTAAGGCAGATATCAGGAAGTTCTTTGAAACTACTGAGAACAAAGATACAACATGTCAGAATATCTGGGACACAGCTCAGGCAGTGTTAGAAGGGAAATTTATAGCACTAAATGCCCACATCAATAAGTTAGAAAGATCCCAAATTAACAACCTAACATCACAACTAAAAGAACTAGAGAAGCAAGAGTAAACCAACCCCAAAGCTAGCAGAAGACAAGAAATAACCAAAACCAGAGGTAAACTGAAGAACGAGAGATAACAAATCATTCAAAAGATCAACGAATCCAGGAGTTTGTTTTTTGAAAAAATTAATGATGTACATAGGCCAATAGCTAGACTAATAAAGAAGAAAAGAGAGATGATTCATGTAAACACAATCAGAAATGAGAAAGGGAATGTTACACAGAAATACCGACCCCACAGGAATAAAAGTAACCATCAGAGAGTATTAATGAACACCTCTAGGCACACAAACTGGAAAACCTAGAAGAGATGAATAAGAGGGGACACATACACCCTCCCAAGACTGAATCAAGAAAAAATTGATTCCCTGAACAGACCTGCATCAACAGAACGACTGATTTCCTGAACAGACCAATACTACAAAATTGAATCAATAATCACCTAACAACCAAAAAAACCCCAGAATCAGATGGATTCACAACCACATTGTACCAGATGGATAAAGAAGAGCTGATAGCATTCCTACTGAAACTATCAAAAAATTGAGGAGGAAGGACTCCTCTCCAACTCATTCTGTGAGATCAGCATCATTCTGATACCAAAATCTGGTAGAGGCATAACAAAAAGGATAACTTCAGGCCAATATCCTTGATGAACATTGATGCAAAAATCCTCAACAAAGTCCATGCAAACTGAATGCAGCAGCACATCAGAAAGCTAATCTACCATGATTAAGTAGGCTTTATACCTGGGATTCAAGGTTGGTTCAACATGCAAATCAATAAATAAGACTCATCACATAAACAGAGCTAAAGACAAAAATCACATTTTTTTAAATTATCTCAATAGATGCAGAAAGGCTTTCAATAAAATTCAATATTCCTTCATGTTAAAAACTCTCAATAAACTAGGCACTGAAGAAATATACTTTAAAATAACAAGAGCCATCTATGACAAACCCACAGCCAACACCATACTGAATTGGCAAAAGCTGAAAGTATTCCCCCTTGAAAACAAGCACAAGGCAAGGATGCCCTCTCTCACCACTCCTACTCAACATAGTATTGGAAGTCCTGGCCAAAACAATCAGGCAAGAGAGAAAGAAAGAAAGGGAACTGAAATAGAAGAGAGGAAGTCATATTTTCCCTGTCTGCTGATGACATGATTGTATACGTAGAAAACTCCATAGTCTCAGACCCAAAGCTCTTAGAGCTGATAAACAATTTTAGCAAAGTTTCAGGATAAAAAAATCAACATACAAAAATCACTAGCATTCCTATACACCAACACCAGCTAAGCCGAGAGCCATCAGGAACACAATCCCTTTCACAATTGCCACACAAAAAATACCTAGGAATACAGCTAACCAGAGAGGTGAAAGATCTCTACATCGAGAATTACCAAACACTGCTCAAAATCAGAGACAATACAAACAAATGCAAGAACATTCCATGCTCAGGGATAGAAAGAATCATTATCATTGAAATGGCCATACTTCACAAAAAAATTTACAGACTCAGTGCTATTCTATCAAACTACCAATGATATTCTTCACATAATTAGAAAAAAACTATTTTAAAATTCATATGGTACCAAAAAAGAGCCCAAATAGCCAAGGCAATCCTAAGCAAAAAGAATAAACCTCGAGGCATCATGTTACCCGACTTCAAACTATACTACAGGACTACAGTAAACAAGGTAGCATGATACCAGTACAAAAACAGACTTACAGACCAAAGGAGCAGCATAGAGAATGTGAAATTAGGGCACAAACCTACAACCATCTGATCTTCAACAAAGCTGACAAAAACACACAATGGGGAAATGACTCCCTATTCAATAAATGGTGCTGTGATAACTGGCTAGCCATAAGCAGAAAATTGAAACTGGACCCCTTCCTTATACCATAAACAAAAATCAACTCAAGATGGATTAAAAACTTAAACACAAAATCCAAAACTATAAAAACCCTGAAAGACGACCTAGCCAATACCATTATGTACATAGGAACTGGCAAAGTTCTATGATGAAGATGCCAAAAGCAATCACACTAAAAGCAAAAAATTGGAAAATGGGATGTAATTAAACTTCTTCGCAGGGAAAGAAACTATCAAGAGAGTAAACAGACAGCCTACATAGGGGAAGAATATATTTACAAACTATACATCTGACAGAGATCTAATATCCAGCATCTATAGCGAACTTAAACTATTTTACAAGAAAAACTCAAATACCCCCATTAAAAACTGGGCAAATGACATCAACAGACACTCTTCAAGAGAAGATATACATGTGGCCACCAATTATGGGAAAAAAAAGCTCAATACCACTGATCATTAGAGTAATACAAATCAAAACCACAATGAGATACCATCTCACATCTGTCAGAATAATTATTATTAAAAATGTCAAAAAATAACAGATGCTGGAAAGGTTGTGGAGAAAAAGAAACACTTCTACACCGTTGGTGGGAGAGTAAATTAGTTCAACCACTGTGAAAAGCAGTTTGGTGATTCCTCAAAGAGCTAAAAAAAAGAATTACTATTCAAACCAGCGATCTCATTATTGGGTATATACCCAAAAGAATATAAATCATTTTACCATAAAGACACATGCACGTGAATGTTCTTTGCAGCACTGCTCACAATAACAAAGACAATGAATCAAATTAAATGTTCATCATTGCTAGACTGGATAAATAAAATGTAAAATGTGGTACATATACACTATGGAATACTACACAGCCATAAAAAGAACAAGATCATGTCCTTTGCAGGAACATGGATGGAGCTGGAGGCCCTCATTTTTAGCAGTCTAACACAGGAACAGAAAACCAAACATCACTTGTCCTCATAAGTGGGAGCTGAACAATGAGAACACATGGACATATAGAAGGGAACAGACGCTGCGGTCTATTTGAGGGTGGAGGGTGGCAGGAGGGAGACAAACAAAAATAACTATTGGGTACTAGGCTTAGTACCCAGGTGGCAAAATAATCTGTACAACAAACCTGTGGCACGAGTTTATCTCTGTAACAAACCTACACATGTATCCCTGTACCTAAAATAAAAGTTAAAGAAAAGCTACCTATTGGGTGTTGCTCACTACCTGAGTTATGGGGGCCATACCCCAAATCTCAGCATCATGTAATATAACCATGTAACAAACCTGCACATGTACTCCTGTTATCCATTATAAAGGTTGAAATTAAATAAATCTGGTTTAGGCTTCAAAGTTCTACATGGTTCATAAAAAGAATTTAGACATTTTCCTACATTTTTAGGAGCTAGCACTATACTGCCCAGTACAATAACAATCAGTCACATAAGGTCTTTTAACTTTAAATTATGATTAAATGAAGTTAAAAATTCAGTTCCTCAGTCATCGTAGCCACATTTCAAGTGCTCATTCAATAGCCATATGTGGCTGATGACAACCATACTGAACATCACAGATGTAAAATATTTCTACTGCCACAGAGAGATCTGGATATCACCAACATACAAGTCAATTAGCATTGAAACTATCCGATCCTTAAAGTTTGGTAGATTCTCCTATGAACAAATCTGCACATGGTCTTGATTGTGGGTGCAATTCCTTGAAAATTTTTGTTTTCTATACATCTGTTTAAACATTGTAATGCCACTGGAGTCAATTTGGACAAAAAGTATTTCCCCATTTTAGCTTTCAAATTGATTTGCATAGAGCTATTTCTCCTTTGTCATTTCTTATTTTGTATATCTGTGATTACTCATTTTATATTATGCTAAATAATGGTTTGTCTATTTCATTGATTTTTTTCCCCAAAGGAGCAGTACTTTATGTATTGCTTTTCTGTCTTCTATTTCATTAACTTCTTTTTTTCTTCTTTCTTGGTATTTGTTTTGTAATTATTTTTCTAACCTCTTGCGTTAGGAATTAAAATTTTTAATGTTCATCCTTCCATTTTTATTGATGTCAAGTATTTAAAGCTATAAATAATCTTCCTGACAGCACTTTAATTGTATGTCAAAATTCTGATACATGATGTGTTCATCATTATGTTTTAGAATTGTGCAATTTTAGTTATGTTTTCTTTTTTCAAATAAGAGTTGTTTAGGTTTTTTATTTCAAGGTAGAAGATCATTTGCAAGGATATAAGATTTGATATGTATACACACAAACACATACGTAGACACATACATATATATATGATCTACCTTATCCATTAAACCTTTAAGACTTACTTTTTTTTTTTTTTAGACAGTTGCTTGGGCTGGAGTGCAGTGGTGCAATCTCGGTTCATTGCAAACTCTGCTTCCTGGGTTCAGGTGATCTTCCTACCTCACCCTCTCGAGTAGCTGGGATTACAGTTATGTATCATCATGCCTGGTTAATCTTTTTATTTTTTATTGTTTTGTATTTTTGGTAGAGACTGGGTTTCACCATGTTGGCCAGGATGTTCTCGATCTCAAACTCCTGGCCTCAGGAGATCTCCCCGCTTTGGCCTCCCGAAGGGCTGAGATTACAGACGTGAGCCCCCGTGCCTGGCCAGTACTTTTACTTTTTGTCCTCTTGGTGTGTCCTGCCTTGAAATAAGGGTGTTAACTTTCTATTAGTGTGTTAGTATCTATCTCTTTGCATTTCCTATAATTCTATTTTATGAAGACAGGTACTTTCTAAATGATACTGATTTATTTATAACTATTACATTTTCATTGTGAATTTTAAGCATTGTCATCTTTAAGAATCAGGTGGCTTCTTTGTCTTGTTTAATGAATCTTAGCCTGAATTTTGCCTTGTCCAGTATCAGAACTGCAACCTTTCTTTCTAATTCACTTTTTTATGTATGACTCCTGTATACAGCACAGAGTGGGTTTTACTTTGAATACAATCTAAATGTTTTATTCTTTTAACAGGTAGGTTAAATCCATTTACATTTATTAATATAAATTACACATTTGGTCTCAAATCTGTCACATTAGGTTTTATTTTCTGAGGTTTTCATATTTACTTCATTCTCTACATGATATGTTTTTTTTTTTTGAACTTTTGGAATTTAGGAAATTTTGGATTTTTGTTTTAGGGGTTATCTTTATATGAATATATTTTATAATGTCCTTATCTCCCCCTTTCCTTACTTAGAATTCTACTGTTTGGTATTAGCTTAAGTGATATCCCTTGATCTCATCTAAAGACACCATAGGAAGAAACGGGTTTGCTTTCTGGTTCCAGTGTGTTTGCTGGACAGGTTCCTGCAGCACTCTCATCTTCTCCATTGTTGGTTTCCCACAGTGCATGGCAGCCAGTAGTATCAGTGGTCAGCAGCAGTAGCACCCCTACCCCCACCTGGGGTAGTTAGGTAGTAGAGTTCCTCCAGAAAAACACTTCTCAATGAATTGCGCTTACCAGCACCAGAGAGGAAATGTTTCTAGCAAGCTTCACCAACATGGCACTACCGTGACTTCTCAGTGACCCAGTGAGCCACGGCTGTGCCCTTCTAGCAAGGTCTACGACTCAGCTCTGATAATGGGGGAGAGGATGTTCTTCCTAAGGCAATCTATCTGTGTCCTAATGTAGTGGCTTCTCTTTATGTCTGCTGTTCCTATATTCTTTAGAGTTCTCGTTCATTTTTAATAGCCAATCCCTCATTATTCCTATCTTCTTTTACAGTTAACAATTATATTAAACTTTCTGGTTTCAAATTACTATGTTGTTTCTCACTTTTCATTGAACCCAGACTGATAAACACATACACACACACACACACACACACACACAAATTCTACAAGGAACAAATTGTTTCTTCATCTGATTTTGTCTTAGATTGATCATCTTTGGTTGGATGAAGCTGCTTCCCTAACTGACTCCTCGGGAAGGGCTTAAGGTTGCAATATCCTCTGAGTTCTAACATGATGAAAACTATTTTCATATGATATCAATACCTGAAGAACAAACAGTTTGATGAGATATAAAATCCTTGCTCCCATTTTCTTTCCTTGAATTTCCTGAAAATATTGCTCTACTTGTTCTTGTTTTGTACTTTGCTATTGAGAAATCTGATGCAAACCTGACTTTCTTCCCTTTGTAAACAATTGCTTTTTTGTCAGAAGCTTAGAGGATTTTTTCCTTAGAGTTTAATAGTTTTATTACAATATGTTTCGGAGTTGACCAATCTAAATCAATTTTCCCGGAAATAATTTAGGCCCTTTTCAATATATAGGTTTGTCTTTTCTTTAATTTTTGGGAAGTGTTAATCTTGTTAAGTGTTAATTCTGTTATATTGTCTTGTTTATATTCTTCAGGGCCTCCAGTTATGAATGCAGACACATATATACATATACATGTTGAATGTTTGTTGATTATGTTCAATACCTAACAATTACTTTCTGATTTTTGTAACTTTTATAGGATTCAAGGAACTTTTTTCATATCTATGATCCACATCTATGATATGGCTTGTGTCCCCACCCAAATCTCTTCTTGAATTGTAGTTCACATATTCCCCACGTGTCATGGGAGGGACCCAGTGGGAGGTAATAGAATCATGGGGGTGGTTACCTCCATGCTGTTCTCATGACAGTAAGTTCTCATGAGATCTTATGATTTTATTAGGAGCTTTCCTCACTGCTTCAGTCTGCATTTCTTCTTGCTGCCGCCATGAGAAGAAGGATGTGTTTGCTTCCCCTTCTGCCACTATTGAAAGTTTCCTGAGGCCTCCCCAACCATGCTGAACTGTGAGTCAATTAAACCTCTTTTCTTCATTGATTACCAAGTCTCGGGTATGTCTTTATTAGCAGTGTGAGAATGGTCTAATACAACTAGTATTACTAGTTGTATTCAAGTTAACTCGAGTTGTTGTGCAACAGCTGTTTGCTGATTAGTCACTGGTTTTGGCAGTATAATTTTCAGTAGTAAAAATGGTTTTATGCTCATCTGTTTTTCTTCATATAGAATATTTTTATGGATACTGATCACTATTTCCCATTGATTTTGAAATGTCTTATATTTTCCCAGACCAGCAAAAGCAAGAGGTTCCATTTTGGCGGGAAACTTGGGCCATGATTTGGCATGATGAAATGTAGTCTCTAACATGGGCCCAGAGGGGTCTGCAGCATATCCCCAATCTTCTCACAGTTCCCACTAGGCTGTAGTTCAGCTGATTCAGACAGCTAACAGAGTCATTCTTGTTAACACTGCCATCAAGGTGCAGGTGGAGGGAGGCGCCTATAAATACAGGTGGATGGGGTGTTCCTAGGATCCTGGATTTCCAATTTCATGCTGATCTTGAACTTGTTGTTTGGAGATGTGCAGGACTGCTTGCAGCAATGGACAGGCACTGGGTCTAAACATGTTTGTTTTAGGTATTTGTCCTTAGTAAAATGACATAGAGGTGACTCCCTTGATGAAGCAGGGAAGGTTCCAGAGACTTTCACAAGCTAAAACACTATAGCAAAGTCAGCACAGGGCTCCTTTGGGCCATACAAAAAGCACTAAATGCTCCATTATTTCACTTCAATTATTTCTTCAGTTCACATACACAGACTGCTTTACTTCAAGGAATGTTAGAAGATTTGATTTAAAGTGTGAGTGTAGCCACTGGACAGAACGAAAATCACAATAATCTTCCAAAGTTTAAAGTGTTTGACAGTTTTTAAGATGTTTCTACGTCTAACAGTTCATGGAATCTTCACAACCGTTGCTGCAGCATGTTAGCAGCTTCTTGATATTGGGCTGCAGACTCTGATAGGTGACCATATTTTTGTTTTCTAACATCATTCTAGTCTATTACTACATGTGTGGTGGCAGTTGTGGCACAAGGCAGCTCACTCCTTTCCCACCACCATGTTTCACTAGTTCAAGGAGACAGCTATTCTAGACTTTTCAAAATAATACGAAGTATGGGCAAACCATACTTTATTTGATCATTTGCCTGTCAGTGGATATTTAGGTATTTTTCAAGAATTACCTTTAAAATAATACTGCTTATGAGCATTCATATATGTGCTTTTTTTTTCAAATCTTGAGTGTTTCTCTAAAAGGAAATACTTCAATGTACAAATACTGAGTTGGAGGACATAAATATTTATCATTTGGACTAGACATGCCAAACTACCCTCCCTAAAGTTTTATCTTTTCACACTTACGTGAATAGCACAAGATGGGGTCCATTTCCTTATGCCTTGGCCAACTCCAGATACTATAACTTTTAATTACAGACAAAATAAAAAGTCAACAACAAAAGCTTCATTGTCTTAAATTTCATTTTCCAGCATGTGAGCATGTTTTCATGTATTTCCTAGCTAGTTATAATGTTTAAGTGACTAAGTTATGTTATAGCTGTATTGTTAGACTTTTCTTATTGATTTGCGAGTACTGAGTGCACCCATTTACAGACACACACACAGTATTTTATATACTATGTATTATATGTAATAAGTGTGTGTTTCATTTAATTTTACATCAATAATAAAAGACAGACTTTGGAACTTGTAATAGTTGTGGAGAAACTAAGACTACACGGGAAAAGTAACATATCACACAGATAAGTAGGCACAGAGGGAATATATATTCCAAGCTTTTTCTAATTCTAAAGCCACCAAATTATGTATCCATTAACCAATTGAAAACTCCTAAAACACCATCCATTTACTCCAAAGTACACAGACGCTGAAATAAATAAGACACTTAGAAAAGACCATAGCAATTGTGGATAAAACACAGAGTGAACATAACTGAGATACATTTACTTCCACCACCCTCCCTATTCACCCACCTTGTGTGCTGATTCTCTATATTAAAGCAAATTTTGAATGAAATAGTTGAAAGGTGAAAAAGATACTGCAAATACATTTTCAATTAATGAAACTTTTGTTTTGCAGTTACTTAATTTCACTTTTCAGACAGAATATAATCAGGGTCATAATAAGTGTGAGCAGGAATAAAAATGAAATAGAATACAATTTCAGTAGTTATATTTACCTTAAGATAAAAAAAACTATATTTCACTCATATTGTTTGTTTCAATTGTTTTACCTATATAATTTTGTGGTCACTTTATGAGTAAACTGAAATTTCTAAAGAACTCTTCAAATGTATTAATTTAAAGAAACACAAGCAGAGATACCGAAGTGCAAGCCCTTTGAGGCAAATGGGAATCCTGAAAAGGAAGTGATAGGGGAATGTTTGAAATAATTTCTACTGAAATAAGACATGGTTGAACAGATGAAAATCAGATAACCCTAGGAGTGGGGATTTTATCTTTCTGCTTTATAGAAATATTTATTTATTTGTTTATTTTTATATTAATTGTCAGTGTGAAAATAAAACGTGAACTAGAAACAGGGGAAAGGAAGAATTGACTGGAAGAAAAGTACTCAGTCTCTTAGCTTTCTGTAACTCTATTATGACAAGCAAGAACACTTGGACACAGGAAGGGGAACATCACACCCCGGGGCCTCTTGTGGGGTGGGGGGGAGGGATAGCATTAGGAGATATACCTAATGTAAATGACGAGTTAATGGGTGCAGCACATCAACATGGCACATGTATACATATGTAAAAAACCTGCACGTTGTGCACATGTACCCTAGAACTTAAAGTATACAAATATATATATATATGTATAAAATACTATTTTGAAGAGGAATTCCCCCAAGATTCAATGAAATACTACTAAAACACCATACAGTTCCCCTTAGTTGAAGACTGACTGATGTTTTCTATAGTAGGTCCAAGAAATAGCATAGGATCTACCTCTCCTAGTAAGTTTTTATGTCAATTAATCATTTGTAAGGTGGTCTAATACTTTCTCTTGTTTAAGAAATACTGATGTAGAATATTAAGTGATCAGCTTTCTATTTCCGAGCCCTGGTTGAGAATAGCCTGTTACTCTAGCAGAACAGACAAGTAAAAATATATGGAGTTTTGGGGGGAACAAGGGGAGGTACACAGATAGAAAATGGTGTTAGCTGATAGTAAAAATGTTGGACTGAGAGTAAAATGCTCTTAGCATACCCTGGGCCCTAGGCTGAAGGCCACTGAAAAACAGAGTCAGACATTTACCAAACAGATAAATATGTGCATACATATAAATTGTCTGAAATGCTGTGAAAACACAGGCAGTGTTATATAATAGAGAGTAATAAAGGGAACCTACTTTGAGAAATTTTCTCAGAAGAAGTGACATGTTAAGTGAAAAATGAAAAAAAAACTGACATATAGAAATGTGTTTATGTGTATGTGTGTGTGTGTGGGGGGGGAGATTTTAGTCAAAGATAATAACATGTATAAAAGCCATAACGTAGGATAGATTGCAATGTATTTATAAGAGTAAAAAAAATCTATTTGCAGTGTAGTAAGTGAGAGAAAGAGGTAGTTATTGCTGCAATCCGAGTTGGAGATAAATATTCTTTTGTTCTTTGGGAGGTTAATTACTTAATTCACTTATTTATCCTTTAATTTCCACAAATTCATATGTCTTATGCACTATTCTTAAATAACTGCATTTGCCAAAATTAAAAAAAAAACATTTTTAAACAATGCCTACGTCATAGATGGGAAATGAAACTAGGAGAGGTTAAGAAATTTACTTACTTACAGTCACAAATCTAGCAACTGGCAGAACTGAATTGTAAAGTTATAGCTATTAGATTCCAAAGCCCATAACCTTTTCAGTATGCTCCACAGTTCCTCACGTACCCTATCCTGGATGGTGCATTACCATGACTTCCCGTGGTATAAATAACACACAAATTTTAAGCAGGAAGCTCTGAATATAGAAACCATGGAGCTAAAGCAAAGCTCAGAAAGTATAATTCTATATCCACGATCTTGGCAAACTCGAAAATATATTTTGATAAAAAATGAACACGTTGTGCTTGGCACATATGAATAGGAAATGTCTACCTACCATCACCAAACTGTATTTCTTACGTTGATCTTTTTTTTAAAAAAAATTGATATGAATAATGAAATTTGGTGTAAATTAACTTGTGTAACCAAGTTACACAAAATAATTATCAATTATTTTTTCAAGACTAATGTTTATTCATTCAGATATTCAATCACTTATTCAATAATTCTAAACAATTTTTGAGTTATTTCCCTATGCCAGGCATTAATTCAGTATTGGTTGTAAAATAGTGCTTATTCACAGGGGAAGTAGATGCACAAATTGTTAAAAAAAAAAAAAAAAAAGTATAAAGGTATATACAGGGTATTATAAAACCACCCACAAGGAACCCCTAATCCAGGTAGTAGTATCTGTGAAGACTTCAAAAACACTGATTCTTCTTTTCACATATTCCTTCTTCTATGTTTCTATTGATTTGTAGTTCTTGGGTTTAACATTTTTCTTCATAGGATTAGGCACATAAGAAAGTCCAGAGAAGACTCTCCATACATACGTTATGGCTGAAAATAGTAGTCAAATGTAACACTTAAAGAAATAGAGAAAATAACATTAAAGATGAAACAAACAGCCTTCCTACTGCCCTATGTTTTCCTGCCCATATATCTTTAATGCGGTGCTTTTTCATTTTCTGAACTATCAAGTGTTTCCAAAGCTATTATAAGGATTATCTTTGCTAGAAACTGACACAATCTAAACTGAAAATCTGATATCCTAATGTTCTCAGAGTACAAAGTTTCTTTTCAACATTTCTCATCAAATGCCATCACATCCTTGCTTGGCATTACTAGCAGTATGTGTTCTTTGCTTGGAATGACTAAAATTACCCCCACAGCATATTCAGTTTTTTTCCTTCTCTGTTCCAAAGTTCCATTTCTTTTCTTCTATAGTTTAACCTGGTATTCTTGACTAGTATCAGATTACAACCCATCTAAAGCTAAAAATAGAGGACAGATCAGTTTTGGTAAGCATGTGTAGCTCTGAAGTTCAAGAATAACCTGTAAACCCATAGGAAATGTGTCCTTTCTTACATGCAGAACAGATTTTCCTAAAGTAACATTTAATGCAACTTTCGACAGTTCTAAGTACACTTCATAAGTGTTCCCATATTTAGAAGTATCTCATGAGATAATAGCTTTACTTGGGTATACATGAAGGTCCAAGACATGTAATTACAGATATCTTTTAAAAAGGCATTCATATAATTCACAACTGACATTGCTCCAAGGAGGAGAAGCTGCTATTCAGATATCATTTAATTCAATGGGCTTTCTGCTGATACGGAGTTCTTAACTGGAAAAATAGATCCTTAGAAAACTTCAAAGAGAAAATTGAAAAGTAAATAATAACTGGTTGATTGTTCTCAGTGTAAAGTACAATTTTTCAAAAGATGTCCCCTCTTAGTAAAATTTCTCATCAAGAAAATTAACTCATCCTAAGGAAACATGAAGAAAAGCTCATATGTTATTTTACATAATAGTTTTCCTTTCTTTCAACTTTTAAGTTCAGGGGTACAAGTTCAGGTTTGTTACATAGGTAAACTTGTGTCGTGGGCATTTGTTGCAGAGATTACTTCATCACCCAGCTATTAAGCCTAGTACCCATTAGTTAATTTTTGTGATCCTTTCCCTCCTCCGACCCTCCACCCTCTGAAAGGCCCCAGTGTGTGTTGTTCCCCTCTATGTGTTGATGTGTTCTCATCATTTAGCTTGCACTTATAAAAGTGAGAACATGCGATATTTGGTTTTCTGTTCCTGTGTTAGTTTGCTAAGGATAATGGCCTCAAGGTCCATCCATTTCTCTGCAAAGTACATGATTTCATTCTTTTTTATAGTTGCATGGTATTCCATGGTATATATGTACCACATTCTCTTTATCCAGTCTATCACTGATTCTATGTCTTTGCAATTGTGAATAGGGCTGCAATGAACATACATGTGCTTGATAAAGCCTACCAAGTAAACTGTTAGAATAACTTTAGAATATAGCAAGATACCTTGATATTATTACCTAACAGATTTTTACATCATGTCTATAAAAGAAAAATTTTAAAAATAACAAGTATATTTGTCTGCCTGTGGGGCTTAGTAAGTCTTCATACCTATATTAAAACTGATGGGCTTAGAGTGGGTGGTGTCTTGGGGATGCTATGTAATTTTATAAAATCTGAATACACTTTTCTATACTATTGGGTGTAGTCAAAGCATATTCATTCATATAATAATCACTGAAGAAAAAAGCATAAATGGACACAGAATTTTCTAATTTGTCTTCCTTGTCAAAATCATTATAGCTCTGTCCTCTTGAAAAGAGTATTTCTGAGTGATTACTTGAGCTATGTAGCCATTTTAGTGGACATTATTGCTAGTGATAAAAATAATTATGTATTTCGTGCCTACAAATTACCAAGTTTATCCTGTAGGTGATATTAATTTCCATAACATCCTCTGTCTCCTGATCATAGGGAAAAAAATTATTATCTTAAGAGTCCCGTTAGGATCTGTCATCCCCATTTTATGTGTGAAAATCCTCACAAAGGACTTAGAAACTTGTGTCAAGTCCCACATCTAGGAAGTGTTAGAACCTGAAACAAACCAGGTCCATCTGATTTCAAAGCCTCTGCTCTTTGCAATATAACACACTACTTCTTTGTTTACTCAGAAACTTCCTTTGTAATACTTTGTTTTTCACTTATTTTCATATCTACTCTCATTTTTAAAAAGAAAAAAATAATGCCCATTGTAAGAGAGTCCTGGTAGAATACAGATGGTTAATTCAGAGCATCTGAAATAAATTTAATGAAGGGAATATTTACAAGATTGTGGCCAGGATGAAAAGAAACCAATAAAGAGTTGATGAAGCTTCCTACAACTAACAAGGGCCAGAAACCTTTATCATTCTGAGGCCTGAAGGAACAAGATATAAGAACCTAGAGACAATTATAGCTAAGGGAGAGGAAATCTGGAAGAATCCATGTGCTTAGATTGAGGATTACAGCCACTGCCAAACAATAGACCGGCACAGACAGAGCCAGAGGAACAAATAGCCCAACCTCTCTCTTATCTACATCTAAATCTGCTGCTGGTGTCTCCCACTGGTCAAACCTAAACAGTAGCTACAGTTCATGAGAACACTGGATTGTTGCAGTCCTTAGATATCTGCTTCCTGGGGCACATGGTAAACTGGTAAGAGGGGCAGGATGAATCTGGAGGCACAAATGGAGATTACCTATTACAAATATACAGGTATATAACTTCAGAGAAACTTTCAGCATAACTTTTGGGAGTAGAAAGCAACATATGCACTTCTACCACCAGAGACTAAAATTTAATTTTTTTTCCATATACTGTAAGTACTCTAAGATGTTTAGAAGTAAACATGGAGAAGGTAACTATTGAGTTTGATTTACTTTTGAGTTTGCTTGCTAGCAGGACACAAAGGTCAACAATATACATTCAGCCCTTAAGAGTAACTAGCAAAATCAAAATGTATCTAATTCGATTACAATATATCAAGGTACATGAAGAAAGCTCTCTAAAAATTTTAATACAAGACAAAATACCAAAAGAAAGAAAGTCATGAAGGGCTGTATAAACTAATGAAATTATGTTTTAAGACTCCGGGAGGTGCAACGAGTGTCCTCATTTTTACCTTCATCTTTGTGCACTATTCTCTAATTTGCAACCACTAAACAGAATTTTCTACATCCTAACCTTTTTGCTTTGAATGTTTTGTTTCTTTCCTCTTCAACTAAATCACACATATTGTTTCATAGTTAAAACCTTCCTCACCATAAAAACATCCCATTCAAAGTCACATACCCTACCCCAAATAAGCTCATTTTCCTTGCTATATGTTCTCTTAACAATACGTACTTTGCTTTAATAGAACTTATTATGTTTCCATTCATTTATTAGCTTAGTATTCCACATATGGCCTCTCCAGTTTATAAGTCCATTCCATGAGGGCAAAATTCATGTTTGTCTTGTTCAGACACACAGCTTCAGTACTTTGCACTGGGTCTGCATACATAGACAGTATCCAAATGAATAATTACTAAATTAAAGACTGAAAAAAATCCTATTAATTAATTACTTTACTAATTTGTTCAGAAATGTGCTGTTTATTGCAATACATGGTAGGCATTCTTTTTAGACAATAGAGAAATAGCAGTGAACAAAACAGATAAAACTCTGACCCAATAGACGTGAAAATCAGAAACAGAATAAGAAAAAGTGGCTTATCTGAGAGCATAATTCCACACATGGTGTGGTTTGGATCTGCGTCCTACCCAAATCTCCACCTGATGAGAGGTTATTAGATGATGGGGGCAATTCCTCATGATTTAACACCATCTCCCTAGTGCTGTTCTCATGATAGAGTTCTCATAAGATCTGGTTGCTTAAAAGTGTGTAGCACCTCCCCTTTCTCTCTCTTCCTCCCGCTCTGGCCATGGGAAGTGCTGGCTTCCTCTTTGCCTTCTGCCATGATTGTAAGTTTCCTGAGGCTTCCCCAGAAGACAAGTAGATGCCAGCATCATGCTTTCTGTACAGCCTGCAGAACAATGAGCCAATTACACATCTTTCTTCATAAATTACCGAATTTTAGGTATTTCTTTATAGCAGTGTGAGAATAGACTAATACAGAAAATTTTGTGTCCCCATGGGTTAGAGCCCCACCCCTTGGTACCAGTTTTCTGTATTAGTCCAAGTGTAGATCACTGGAGGAATTCTGGCAATTGACAGTTCTTCATCCTATAACATGTGCCTGTAATCTATGCCTCTTCATTTACTCCTATTTTGTGAAGGTACCCCCAAGTATTTTATATATAAGCTTGAAGGACACAACGTGCAGAGAGAGAGAGAGACAGTGTGTGTGTGTGCGCGCGCGCGCTTGTTTGTTTGTAGCAGTAAAATGGGACTCCTGATCATCCCTGCCTGCTTCATGGAAGGAGATTCCCAATGAGAACAAATGTGGTTTAGATTAGGAAGTAACATGTAAAGTCTTACAGTATTTCTGGCAAGCAGCAAAGTTTTTTAATGTTTACACTGTTGCTAAGGGGAATGGGGAAGAGCCATATAGCCTGCTCCACAGCAAAGATCTCAAAATGGCATTTGGATTTTGGTGGAGTTACATGGACCCAGGAAGCAAACCCATTATTACACCCTGTTTCAGAATGGGGAGGTTCTGAAGTCCCCCATGATATCTCACGGGTTTATGATGGCATTTTAAAAAACTAAAAATACGTTCCAGTCTCTTCCAGCCACACTCTGTTATTGGTAAAATCAGTAACTCAACTAAAAGCAATTTTGTTGATGTGTAGAATGTGAACCCAAACATACCCTGACTAGTCTAAGCAGTACTGCATCAGGGCACAACCTGTTTTATATTTTTAGCCTATTATTAACATTTGTAACCATAGAACTTCCCACTTCTTGCCACCTGCTGCTGTTCTTACTTGTGGGTTTCTCCATGCTGTGCCAAAGGCTGAAAATTTATACATCTTTTTTGAACATAGTTTGATATTTTATCATTGAATACTAATTTCAAAACCCTAAGAATGGGAAAATTTATTTTACTAATGCTAGAAGAAAACAGAACATACTATTGATTCTCCATACTTTTTTCAACCAGTTCAGGGTGAGAAAATTGTAGTTGTTACTTTGGTATTTTGAAAAGCCATTTTTTAAAGACTAAAAATATGTAGTAAAGGTAGAATATAATGTTGTCCCTATTAACTTTATTATTTTTGTTTTACTAATAGTTAATTTACCACCTATTATTAGCCACCTACTCTTTTCAGTAATATTTATTTTAGAGAAAGTCAGAACTTGAGTTTTAATTTCATATTGTTTGGGCCTTCATTTTTAAAAATCATATTTTAAACATAATACTTTACATTCACCAGGCAGATTATAATATTAGATTATAATATTTTAAAAAATATGTATACTTTAATATTCTTTATAATAGCTAACCAGTAACCTACAGGTACCACTCTTCCTATGATGTGCCTCTGTTCTGTCTATGGAGCAGCCATTTTCCTATACTCTGTTGCTCTAATAAACTTGCCTTGCTTTCCCTTTATCCTGTTTGTTCACTCTTGAATTATTTCCTGTGCAAAGCGAAGAATCCTCCCAGGCCAAGCCCCAATTTTGGAGCTTGCCTGTGTCACTTTTACTCAACAAAAGGCATTTGAGAATTATCCATATTTTTTGTGAGTATCAGGAATTTGTTCGTTTTTATTACTAAGTAGAAATTCCATTTTGTAGATGTCTCGCAGTTTATCCATTCACCTCCTGAAAGATATTTGGGTTGTGTCCAGTCTTTTTGCGATTATGAATAATGTTACTGAAAACACACTTATAGAGGTTATAGATGTAGTACCATTTACTTATTTTTGCTTTAGTTGTCTAAGCTTTTGCTGTAATTTCTTTAGATAACATATCATTGGATTCATTTTCTAGAATCATGGGAACAAGAGTATCCTTATAATCTTGCTCTTGTGCCATGGTTCTAGAGAATGAATCCAATAGTATGTTAACTAAAGAGATTATAAACTCTAGTATATTTTTTCTTGGTCTTGCCTCTTTGCTACATTTGTTTCCTATGCACTGGGACTTGTGAAGTTGAAGCTGAAAACAGTAAAACTATTAGAGGATAGTTTAGCCAATTTAGACCACACCTTAGAGATAAATAATTTTCCTTCAACATTTCCTTGTGTTTACCCAGGCTTTGAAAGTATGTGATATCAATATTCAAAATTAGGTGTAGGCCTAGAAGAAACAGATGTAGGAGGCCACTAGATTTGCTGTTATTTTATATCTTAAGTAGAGTTCAGTTTCAGCAGAGCCAATAATTTCACTGAAAATTTTGAGGCTAAGACCCTACTCAGAAAAAACTAAAACTATTGGGAGGCCGAGGTGGGTGGATCACCAGGTCAGGAGATCGAGACCATCCTGGCCAACATGGTGAAACCCCATCTCTACTAAAATACAAAAAACTAGCTGGGCATGGTGGAGCACACCTGTAGTCCCAGCTACTCGGGAGGTTGATGCAGGGGAATCGTTTGAACCTGGGAGGAGGAGGTTGCAGTGAGCCAAGATCTTGCCACTGCACTCCAGTCTGGACACAGACCCAGACTCTGTCTCAAAAAAAAAGAAAGAAAGAAAGAAAAAAAAAACTAAAACAGGAAAACACTGAAGCTTTTCCTGAGTGTATCTTGTGTCTTCTCTGCATATCTTTCTCATTAATCCATATTAAGCCTTGAAAATAATTACCCTGGGTGTCAACTAAATCTTTTTCTTAACACAACAAATACAAATCTTCAGGAATTCTATGCTAGCATTATTTGTCCATTATTAAAATTTATCAGAAATATCAACTCTCAAATAAATCTGAGGGACAACAAAAAAACTGCCTAAAATGCATACTATTTTACTTAGGGTAGAGAAGGAGAATAAAGTTTAGATGCTCTTATGGAGACTATGTTTGGGTTTTCTAAAGCAAGGCCTCTTGTTATGTAAAATGGAATTCAATAAGAAAACAATTGCTAATGACTAAAAAAATCAATGCATAAAAGTATAATCATTATATCAAACTGAAAACAATAAGAAATTTAAGAATAATCGATTCAATTCAAAGTCTAATGTCAAAAACCTCAAGGGAGTCCATCACCTCAAAATTTTCTTTTAAAAGCTGTCTGAATACAATTGTTCTAATTTTGTGACTATAGAATAATGATCTATTTAACATTGACAGACTGACATTATAGAAAATAATGCTTTCAAAATCATTCACATTGTGCAGAGATTTAATACCCGGTTCAATGACAGAGGAAAAGAGAACATGTGCCTGGCTGTATTTCCCTTGGTTTTCAAGAAGTCACTGCTCCTTGATAGGTTTTCTTTCAGTGTGCTACACAAAACAACAGAGATGTTTCAGAATTTTTATTTCCTATTCTTTAAAAAGGAAAATGGAACAATAAATAAGGACATGTAAGCTCTTTTTGCAATAGGAAAGATGAAACAAAAAAAATGCAAAATCAAGCCTAGATTCAAAAGACTGTCCTACTAGCTGTTTTGTCTCTATTAGCAGAAACTGAAACCATAATTTATGATTCAAATATGCATTTTCATTGACATTACTTTTTTGCTTTTTACTGACTGTATAAATTATAGGCCCTTTGCAGTGAAAAAGAATGGCACTAGAATCAGTACAGATCAGGGTATAACATGGAAATTCTGAATGTTAGCATCCTCAGTAAGGCTTGACAACACCTTTCTAAGTACACTATTAGGTGAATGGATAGGTTTCAATAGCACTCTCGTTTTTAGAAGAACACACTGTCTTCTGAAATTCCTAGCAGGTCTAATATATGGCATTTTTTCATATGCCAACAACACAGTGGCCTTAGGACAAGTCTGGGAATATTGAGGAGCTTCTAAAGAGATTCTAGGTAGGCCTACTAATATCAAGGTATTGAACTGTCTCACACTCACTCCCAAACACACACACACACACACACACACACACACACATACACACCAATAACTTTTATACAATCTGGCTCCGCTATGGTACCCATGGATACTTCTACATTGTCACAAGTATAGTGGTGGTAGGGAGAGAGGTGAGTGGCTCAGGACGAAAGAAGTCATCCACTAAATCATGAACAATTTTTCGGAATTAAAACAAACAAATTGGCCAGATTATAATGATCATTGACAATCCTGATAAAAAACACTTCTTATCATTGAAAACAAAAAAAATCTCAAATCAAGGGATTGCTCTAGCACCGGATATGAATTAACTTTCTTTCTTTTTTTTTTTTTTTTTAACTTTACTGTAAGTTCCTGTATACATGTGCAGAACATGCAGGTTTCTTACATATGTATACATGTACCATGGTGGCTGGCTGCACCTATCAACCCGTCATCTAGGATTTAAGCCCTGCAAGCATTAGGTATTTGTCCTAATGCTATCCCTCCCCTTGGCCCCCACCCCTCGACAGGCCCCAGTGTGTGATGTTTCCCTCCCTGTGTCCATGAGTTCTCATTGTTCAACTCCCACTTATAAGTGAGAACATGCGGTGCTTGGTTTTCTGTTCCTGTGATTGTCTGCTGAGGATGATGGCTTCTGGCTTCATCTGCGTCCCTGCAAAGGACACGATCTCATTCTTTTTTATAGCTTCATAGTATTCCATGGTGTACATGTACCACATTTTCTTTATCCAGTCTATTGTTGATAGGCATTTAGGTTGGTTGCATGTCTTTGCTATTGAAAATAGTGCTGCAATAAACATACGTGTGCATGTGTCTTTATAGTAGAATGATTTATCTTCCTTTGGGTATATACCCAGTAATGGGATTGCTGGGTCAAATGGCATTTCTGGTTCTAGATCCTTGAGAAATCGCCACACCATCGTCCACAATGGTTTAACTAATTTACATTCCCACCAACAGTGTAAAAGCATTCCTATTTCTTCACAGCCTTGCCAGCATCTATTGTTTTTTGACTTTTTAATAATCGCAATTCTGACTGGCATGAGATGGTATCTCACAAAGTTATGGGCGATTCCAATTCCAAGATTGTAATATTTTATAGTTTTCAGTGATTAAATTCTGTCACTCTGTGTCTAAGAGAAGTTTCAAGGTCTTTCTTTCAGAATTTATTATAGTTACTATGTTGACTGTACTTAATTTAACCTTCATTCAATTTCTTTATGTCTGCCAGTGTAAAGCTGCCAATAAATGCAAGGAGGTTATAAATTCAGATAACATATTCTCACAGACCTGAACATAGCCATTGTGCATGAATTCTCTCAAATGAATCCCTTTGTTCTGTTTTTAATAATAACACTCAATGATTAATAAGAAATCCTTATTAATAATTAGAAATAAGAAAACGCAAGGATTAAAGTTCTTAAAGAATTACATAAATAAAGTTTATGACATTAATGCCTTGGGTGTGCAACCTTCCTCCCAAATTAAGGAGTCAGTTTCACACTAAATTTATTTTTAGAAAATTTTAAATTAGATTGCCAGCATATTAAAATAGACAAAAATTATTTCTACATATGGGTTGAAATAACAAGATTTCCCTAAAAAATAGAGAGTAATTACACTGCAGTTGAAAAATTAGACAATTCTAAGGAAATGCATTTAAGTTATCTTCATATAAGAGTTTGTCCAAAAAAATGCATGGCATCCTTACCTTCAAATATTCTTGTGTAGAAATGAAAATACATCATACAAACACTCTAATTATTATCTGCAGTAAAAAAAAAAGAAGTAATGTCTTTAGTGAAGCACCTATATGAAAAGCATTCAGGGAGGATAGAATAACAATTTGCAAAAGGGTGTGATTGAACCAGGCAGCGTTTCCTTCATTTCCTCTGCCTGCTTTTATGATCACCATGGGCAACATAGTGCCAAGCCAAAACACAGTACTACTGGTAAATATAGTACATGGCTGCTGTGGGATTACAGGATGAGGTAAGAATATTCTTGCCATTCCCATTCTGAGGCACAAAAAATATGTTCCAGCTCTCATGAGTCTCTTTAAAAAGGACCTCTGGCTTCTGGAACAATAGTTATCCCCTAAAAATTCATTTACAGAAACACATGGAGATTTCCCTGGCTACACTGATGACTTCAGAGATTAATGGGGAGCAAAATGAAACCAGGTATTCAATTCACAGTAAAAAGGAATATGAGAAATACAGTTCTGAGTTACTATCTTTACTTTACCCAATAATGCATACATACACACACACACACACACACACACACACACACACTTTCCTTTCTCTGCCCTTAAAAGTGGCTTTCTTTTGAACCTGAATAGCACCTAATATGCTTAACTAATACTGGTAATTTCTATTTGCCTTACAATTATTGTGTGTAAGCTGTATCTTTACCACTGTACTCCGCCTCTTGAGGTCAAGAAAGACAGATGATTTCTCATTTCCTCCACAGTGGTTTGGTCAGTGCTTTACATTCATGGGGACAACTTGAAGCATCGTGTAGATTTGAGTATACCAGGTGCCAGCCATGCTCCTCAAAATATACCTTCACACACTAAAAATCCTAATATTGTTACATTACTACAGTTACGATGTTATTTGAATATATTATCTTTAAAATGTGTGTACACTGAAATATTACTCAGGTCTCATTTTCATTATTTTGATTATTAAACAAATTATTTGACCTCCCTATTTTTGTCTAGTCAAATATTATTATAATGACAATTACATTCATTAAGAGCTTTTTTAATGCCACACATTGTGCTCAACCATTTACATATATAATGCTGATCACATAAAATCTATTTTTCTCCCCATCTAACAGGTGGCTGTAATCACAGGTTCAGATAGCCTAATGAAATTGCCTGAATTCATATAAATAGTTGAATTCATATTAAAAGCTAGCCTTGTATTTCTCCAAATCCTATGGAATATTCATAAAAACTCTCTTATTTCTCTATAAACATTTTGAATTTTTAAATTACCCCTTTAAGAAATGATCAGTATATAACTTGTAAATACTTGTTGGAAATCACATTAAAATTAACATGTGTAATGATTGATTTGATGTCTACTACAGCCTCCAGCTCCTTCAATTTTCAGAATCAACCATGTACATTTGGAGGTGCCCACTTTACTGGCCCTGTCTTGAAACCTTACAAGAAAAATGGAAGATATGGAGTTATAACATTTAGAGTCTGTGGGGGAGGAAGATAAGTCAACTGCAATCTTCAAATAGAAAGTGTCAAAGCAGTCATGCAACTAATTAATTGTACCTTTAAGTACAGAATACATAAAGTTACAAATGATGAAGAACACGAGAAAGGCAAAAAAAAAAATGGATGGATTCTGCATACACTCATCTAATATTGCCATACTTATCTCACGGAAAGTGTGGTGAGTATCGCAGTATCAGATAAGTGCATGCAGAAAAATGTGCTAGCATGTCACTTGGAGATGATACTGGCTAAATTTTGTGAGCATATTCCTAAGTGTTTTGATTTGATTCAGTAAAAGACAAGACTTCTCAGAATGTAAAATTTTCTTAGCATGGTGAATTTATTTAATAATCTAACTTCTTTTCTATATGGTTTACTTCTATACTATCTAATATTTGCATTATGACTGGCATGCCTTCAGAAAATTAATTACTGGTAATTATTGAAAATAGTGAAAATAGCAAACACTTTCCCATGTTGGCAAAATGTTTGATATTTAAATAATCTAATTATTCTTAACAATTTTGTTATAATAAATGTCTCCTTCTCTTGACTATAGCTTTACATTTACATCCATCTTCTCCATTAGACCCTAAACTACATACAGTCAAGAGCCACAACCAATTCAGCTTTATATCTTTCAAATCATGAAATGCCATACTCTGCAAATTTTGCAGAGTAAGCAAATGACTAGATAAAATAATGAAAGATTTCAATCCTCAGCTACATCTGAGTAGGTTTTCTATGTGACATGTTACAAATGGATGCTTCTTTTCCCATTGAAGTTAGGAAATGTTTCTCTTTTCTCCACTCTAGTAAATCACTGAAATTTTAGCCAATAGATTTATCCTAGAGCCAGATAAGCCCCCTGTTGAAGATCCGGAAATCCCATAGCCCAGGGCATAAAGACAAAGCGGCTTCTGACAGCTGGCAATATCTTGAGCGCACAGGCAGCCTATCCTCCCAACAATGGAAATTATGACTGATACTCCTCTAACATTAGACTCTGGTTCTGGATGGCATGTCATTCCTCTGCTTCAAAATTGTCAATGGCTCCCTCGGTGTAGCCTATTCTACATTCAGACAGTTCCAGCTGTTAACCTTCTTTTCGTAGAGCAGAAATCTGCCTTCTTAAGGTTCCCCACACTAGTCTTTGTTCTGCCCTCCAGATAATTGTAAAATACTTTGTCTTTCTTCCATGTGACAGCTCTTCAAATATTTGCAGACAATTCTCATTTCTCCTTCCAATCCTTTCCTCATTAAACTAAAGATGTTTCTACAATTGTTTTGGGGGATGTTGCCAAGCCACATCATCTCCCTTCAATTCCTCTGAAGGTAATGATTTGGAATTCAGTTTAGAATCAACTTGTGTTCAATTTCATTATAGTATAATCTGCTCATTACTCCAGTTCTTTATATTACAAAGGAAGTATATTACTTTCAACTACTCAGTGTATACTTTCTGATATAACCTCAGTTAAATTAGACTTCCTTGCTTCTGTCCTCTTCAAATACAGGCATGCATCCCAATTTTAATTAAGTAATTCTCTGTAATTTTTTGATTTGTGTCTACTTAGCTGTTATATTGTAAGGCCTTATAAATAAGGATATATGGCTTGTTCACAACTATGTTGTAAAACTACCAGAGAAGCCACTACGATACTTGGAACCTAGTAGGCACTCGATATATATACTGTATAGACACTGAATGCATACTTATCGAGTGACTGTTGAGAAATACCTGAATACTGAATACTACCTCTTCAGCTCTGTTTACATTTATGAATGTAAACAGCATTTTCTTTATAATTTATCTCAGGTATTCATGAAAGTATTGAATGTGGCAGGGTGGAGAAAAATAATTCTGGATCAGGCTTCCAATCAGCTTACAATCGTGTAGAAAATTACTACTGCATTGATCACTATCAATGAGATATAGGAATTTAATTATTCAGTCACATTAACAGTCAGCCAAATGGCTGCCTTGTCTGTAAAGGGTATCTTAGCATCATCTTTATTACTACATCATTTTGCTAGAAGCAAAAGGAGGATGTCACATCACTTAAATTGCCATCCTACTCACACGCAATTTAATATTCCTGCCAAGGCACAAACAGAAACAAGACAATTAGATGGAAATAATCTGATAAGAAAAAAGTAGATGATACTCATTTCTTTCATCGTAATTTCTATTTTGATGAATATGACAGATGTCCACATTATTTCATCACATGTATCTCCATACTTAAGTTCACACTTATAAAGTAAATTTAGTGTACTGACATGATTCATGTAATTGTTGTCCCTTCAATTTCAGGTCACGAAACTGTATAAGGCAGACGTGAGGTATCAATGTCCAGTGTTATATACTGGAGGTAGAAAAAAACAATTTCATGTGCATTCTTCAGGGCCATGTCAGCTGACACCAGCCCTAAAGCATCTTTTTTCATTTACATGAAAACATGTAAATACTACATGTACAAAAACATGAACATACTACATTTATTCTAATATGTCTATGTTTGTTGAGCTCTTACTATGTGCCAGATATAGTGTCAGCTCTAGGAATAAATGACAAGATAGGTAAAAAGGGGAGCCCTGGAGTGTGTAAGTATACCTGCTAGAGTGTAAGAAGTATTCTTGGGGTGGGTTTGGGAGTGGGGAGGTCCAGAGAAGCCATCCAGAGGAAGGGATATCTAAGCTGGTTCTTTTTTTTTTTTTATTGTACTTAAAGTTTTAGGGTACATGTGTACAATGTGCAGGTTTGTTACATATGTATATACATGTGCCATGTTGGTGTGCTGCACCCATTAACTCGTCATTTAGCATTAGGTATATCTCCTAATGCTAGCCCTCCCCACTCCCCCCACCCCACAACAGTCCCCGGAGTGTGATGTTCCCCTTCCTGTGTCCATGTGTTCTCATTGTTCAATTCCCACCTATGAGTGAGAACATGTGGTGTTTGGTTTTTTGTCCTTGCGATAGTTTGCTGAGAATGATGGTTTCCAGTTTCATCCATGTCCCTACAAAGGACATGAACTCTTCATTTTTTATGGCTGCATAGTATTCCATGGTGTATATGCGCCACATTTTCTTAATCCAGTCTATCATTGTTGGACATTTGGGTTGGTTCCAAGTCTTTGCTATTGTGAATAGTGCCACAATAAACATACGTGTGCATGTGTCTTTATAGCAGCATGATTTATAATCCTTTGGGCATATACCCAGTAATGGGATGGCTGGGTCAAATGGCATTTCTAGTTCTAGATCCCTGAGGAAACGCCACACCGACTTCCACAATGGTTGAACTAGTTTACAGTCCCACCAACAGTGTAAAAGTGTTCCTATTTCTCCACATCCTCTCCAGCACCTGTTGTTTCCTGACTTTTTAATGATTGCCATTCTAACTGGTGTGAGATGGTATCTCATTGTGGTTTTTATTTGTATTTCTCTGATGGCCAGTGATGATGAGCATTTTTTCATGTGTTTTTTGGCTGCATAAATGTCTTCTTTTGAGAAGTGTCTGTTCATATCCTTCGCCCACTTTTTGATGGGGTTGTTTGTTTTTTTCTTGTAAATTTGTTTGAGTTCATTGTAGATTCTGGATATTAGCCCTTTGTCAGATGAGTAGGTTGCAAAAATTTTGTCCCATTTTGTAGGTTGCCTGTTCACTCTGATGGTAGTTTCTTTTGCTGTGCAGAAGCTCTTTAGTTTAATTAGATCCCATTTGTCAATTTTGGCTTTTGTTGCCATTGCTTTTGGTGTTTTAGACATGAAGTCCTTGCCCATGTCTATGTCCTGAATGGTACTGCCTAGGTTTTCTTCTAGGGTTTTTATGGGTTTAGGTCTAACATGTAAGTCTTTAATCCATCTTGAATTAATTAAAGAATAAACAGGAATTAACCAGATAAAATGGGGGAGATGAGTCTTCTACAGATAAGTTATAACATGTAGTAACATCTGTATGTGAGAGAAAAGTTTGGTATAATTTCCTGGAAAGTAGAGCAGAAGGCAAAGGGGAGTGGGGTAGGGGACAAAGATGGGGCTATGGAGGAAAGCATGGAGCAGCTCTCAAATGGCCTGGTATGGTATATTGAGGAATTTAAACTTTATCTTAAGAGAAACGGAGAGCCATTGCAAGATTTTAAGCTACAGAGTGACATGGTTTAATTCGTATTTAAGGGTATCGCTCTGCTCTCAGTGTGGAGAATATATATGTAAAGGATATGAGTAAAATCATGACAAGACATAAATAGGATGCTTCAGTAATCTATAGGAGGGCAGATGATGGCCTGAAACTGTGGCTGTGGCTATGGGACTAGAAAAAAGAAGACAGATTCAATAAAAGTTTATAAAGTTAGAATTCACAAGCCATGAGATTTGATTGAAAATATTCATTTAATACTAAATATAGAAGAACATGCTGTCAGTACTAGAATATGTTCCAATGATATAGAAGCAGAGAGACGGCACCCATTTGTTCCAAGTGGGGATAGCAGGAGTAGTAGAAGGAAACGAAAGTCATTTGAGTTGGCTCTTTAAGAATGCATATGATTTTCAAAGGGTAGAGCTGAGCACTCAAAGTAATAGAACAAATGAAGAAAGGCACAGAGATAAACAAGTTCATTACATATTCAGAAGACTAACTGGAACACTTGATTTTAGAAATGATTGTTTTGTGTTTTCCAATCAATGTGCAATGTTGAATTTTGGACTGTATGACATAATTGTTTTCTAACTCTGGCATATATATACATATATATATATATATACACACACACACACACACACACACACACACCCATATATATATACACACACACCTATATATATATACACACCTATATATATACACACCTATAAATATATATATATACGTGTGTGTATATATATATGTATATATACACAGATGTATTTATATATATACAGGTGTGTATATATATGTATATTTCAGTTTTCTATTTCCCAGCATTTAAGAAAATTAAATAAAGCCTTGATTTTGCTAAGATATAAACAATCATCACAAACTTGACAGGAAGGAGTAAGATATTTTGTGTGAATCAGAACAAGAAAATTGGCAATACAGATCATCATGCTAGAAATCATTGGTAATGCCACCAATCCACACACACACACACACACACACACACACACACACACACACACACACACTGCCATAGATTATTGGACCCCTTTCACTGGGCTGCCTTAATGGTTTATCTCCTGCAAAAATTACTACCTGAAAGTTAATGATATGTCTTATGTGCAGTCCTATTTTGCCTATGTGAGAGGTAGATCCATATGAACTGCAAACTTTCTAACTATGCCAAACTGGTTTTCCAAGGACCTTTTGATTCTCTGATAAAAATTCTATAGAAATATAAAATGGAGTTCCCAGTGAAATTGTTAAAAGTTGTATTCAGTGGTTGCTATGGTTTGAATGATGGTGTCCCCTCCAAAATTCATGTTGAAACTTAATCTCCAAGGCACCAGTATTAAGGAGTGTGACCTTTGGAAGTTGATTAAGTCATGAGGGCTATGTATCATGAATGGGAAAAGCACCATTATCAAAGGGCTCAAGGTGGATGACAGCACTGTCTTGCTCTCTGCTCTTCTGCTAAGTGAGGGCATAGCAAACAGGACCATACCAGACATACAATATGACAGAAACTTGCTCTTGGAATTCTAAGCCTCCAAGCCCATAAGAAATACATTTCTACTGTTTACAAATTACTCATTCTGTGATATTCTGTTATAGCACCACAAATGGACTGTGACAATAGTCTTTTAGCAACAGTTCTGAGTGATGAAACATGGTGCCTAAAAGCATTCTCAGTTTGATCCACTTCAGTGATTGTGCCATTAGGGCTTAAAATGTAAAAATACCACTGGAAACACAATGCTTAGAGAATGAAAAAAAAGCTTTTAGAAATTGTGGAGCTAGAGGACACCTTATGAAATTTCAGAGTGAGATCCAAGGCCACCTGTAGTATGTATTACAAGGCAGATTCCTCAGTCTTTCTCAGGAAAACTACTTCTCTCAGGGAAGGGTCCGAGAATCTGAATTTGTAATACACACACTCATGCTCTCTAAATTTGAAAACTACTGATATAACCTGCACATTCAATTCATAAAGAAAATGATAGTAAGAGAAAGTAAATTATTTTCTCAAAGTTGCATATGTAATTTTGCCAGTGTTAGGTCTTGTTTTATAAGTTCTGGGTCACAATGATTTGTTCTTTATAATCAGTTATGCATGACATTTATAGAGGGTAGCCATGCACTATCTTAATCACCTAATAGGTTAGCCTACACGGAATAATGGCAGATTGGCTATTAATATTCTGAGATTCAATGTTGTCTCAATGGTTTTCAGTCATATCCTGCTACTGGGTTTTGTCAGGAAAAGTAACAACATCTAATAAAGAACTAAAGAAATAATTAAAGCACACACATTTAGGACATATCTTCTACTTTCTTTGAAGAAAATAACTCCAAGAATGAAATTTGTGAGATGAAGAATGGAAGCTCACAAGAAATTTAGGAAATACTATGATATCCAAAGGTGACTGAGGAGAATTCTAGAAATGGGTTATTTCAAGCATCAGGAACTTCATGATATCACTTAAAGCAAATTATATTTTACCTAATGAAATTATTCTTCTATTTTTGATGCTGAAGATTTATTATTCTTTCCCATGAAAGGAATAAAAATCCCATAGAGTGTGAAGAGGAGAAAAAAGTAACATTTTTTAAATGGCTATTGTGAGGCAAACACTATTTATTAGGCAGTACCATATAATGGCTACCATATAATGACTTCCTTAAATAACAAGGAAATATAAATATAGAGATATAGATATATAGACACACACACACACACACACACACACACACACACACACACACACACATATATATAAATTCCTTGCTGAAATTAGCCACTGGTTATTAGCAAATCTTCCAAGATTTAGTAATGTAATCTTGAAAACTTAATTCCACTGTACAAGCCATGGATTTTATGGTTTTCCTTTAAGTAGTTCATATTTTATGAAGCCTTTTCTGTAAAACTGCTATTGTATTTCTCCACATAGATTTTTATCTCAAGATTAATAATGTTTATGTAAGTATAAATAATAATTTTCTTAAGTGACCCTCCCTTCGACTCCTTACTATACTGTGATTATCTTATGGAAATACAAACAAAACAAATACAATATAGCTGAATAATAATAGCAACTGCTCCTGTGATTACTGCTACTAGCACTGTTAGGTTTTATTGAGTATCAACAATATTTCGGGAACGTTGCATGCATTAATTCTAATCTTTTCAATACTCTTACTCACTAGAATATTTTTTCCTCTTTAAATGGAATCAAATATAAAGAAAGGAGGTAGAGGTTTTCTGTGAACCAGATAAGGAGTAAATTTGTCTCAGGAAGCAGTAGTTTTCCAAAGTGATTAGACTTTGTGAATAGAACATTAAACTGGCCTCATAAACTATGTAAGCCCAGAATTCTTAGATCAATATGGAGTCTAGCAAAATAGAAGGTAAAACTTATCACACTGTGTGACCTAAATAGAGTTTTATGAAGACTGAGTTACTTAATGTAGTTTCATGTTCTAATTCATTCTTTCTTTCATTAAAATATTTGCATTAATGAGCACTTACTATGTGATAGACACTGTGCTCATCCTATCGTATCAAGAGGATGAGCAATACAGTCACAATCCCTCCTTCATGTAGTTCACATACAAATGGAAAAAAACTGTCAATAAATGCATGCAATGTAAGGCATTTAAAAGCATTCGGAAAAAAAGACAAAAAGCATGGCATGCGACCAAAGAATAATGAATGGTACAATTTTGAAAGGTGAGATCACAAAATTTCATTCTGAGGAGGTGAAGGATGAGCAAAAATCTGAATGAAATGGGAAGCAAAGCACACAAATATCTGGGAAATGATCATCCCAGGCAGAATGCAAAACAAGTGTAAAGGTCTTGAATTTTAAAATGCTTGAAATGTTCAAGGAGGAATAAGGAGGCCTCTATGTCTACAGAACAGTGAGCAGGAGGAGAGTGGCAGAAAATAAAGTAAAAGAGAAAGCTAAGGGCTACATAGTGTAGGAGCTTGTAGACCTTGATAAGGAATTTGTCTTATATTCTTTCTGAGATGATAAGTCATTAGAAGGTTAAAACAGGCATTCAGTCAAATGGTAGTTTTTGAAGACTCACTCTGCTACTATGTGGAAAACAGTCTAGAGGAAGTAAAGCGGGGATAACTAAGGTGCTACCGAAGTAGTCCGGGCTAGAGGAAATCAGAGGTGAACTAATATGGTAGTGAAGGAGGTGCAGTAAAAAGGTCCTATTCAAGCTGCAATTTGAAATTAGAGCCAAAAGGATTTGCTGATGAATTTTGCCACACATTTTATTTGGCTTTGTATATATACTTGAACCTAATTGAGTCTCAATTTCTGTATCTTAAGAGGTCCTATCCTAGTGAAATAATGAATTATCCTAATGAAGTAATGAATCCATACAATGATCAGCAATGACTGCTATTATTGCAATAAAAGAGAGAGAGCCAGGCATTATGTGCTGTCTTAGGGAAATATAAAATACCCACCATGAGATACTCTTGATAAAAATTGAATCTGGATCTGATCATGTTTTTAAAACTAACTTTCAAGTTACAGAAAATACAGGGAAACAAGTAACAGGATAAACCACACCAAGAGAATGCAGTCAGCAAAGTCTGGAATGTAGGTAAGTATACAAAAACAAAACGAAACAAAACACATTTAAGTGGTCCATCGAATAAGTTGTAAGAGACGAAATGTGAGAAAAACAGGTACATAAAAGGGATCTGAGAGACATATCAAACAATTATGATGGGTGAGCTGGCGAATTGATGCATTAAACAATTCTGAAGGAACCCTAATTAAGAGTTGCAAGAAAAGAAACGTTCCTCACTGTTTTTTAATTTTTATTTTAAATTCAGCTTTACAAGTACAGGTTTGTTACATATGTAAACTTGTGTCATGGGGGTTTGTTGCACAGCTTATTTCATCACCTGGTATTAAGCTAGTATCCATTAGTTATTTGTCTTGATCCTCTCCCTCCTTTCAACCTCCACCCTCCAAAAGTCCCCAGTGTGTATTGTTCCCCTCTATGTGTCCATGAGTTCTGATCATTTAGATCCTACTTATAAGTGAGAAGATGTGGTATTCAGTTTTCTGTTCCTGGGTTAGCTTGCTAAGGATAATGGCAATCTACAGAATGGGAGAAAATTTTTGCAATCTATGCTTCCAACAAAAGTCTAACATCCAGTATCTATAAGGAACTTAAATGTACAAGAAAAAAAAATTTCAAGTGTGCAAAGGACCCGAACAGACACTTTTCAAAAGCAGACATACATGGGGTTAACAATCATATATATAACAAAAGCTGAACATCATTAATCATTAGAGAAATGCAAATCAAAACCACAATGAGATAACATCTCACACCAGTGAGAATAGTTATTATTAAAAAGTCAAAAAATAACAGACACTGGCGAAGTTGTGGAGAAAAAGGAATGCTTATGGACGGTTGGTGGAGTATAAATTAGTTCAGCCACTGTGGAAGACGATGTGGTAATTCCTCAAAGAAAAGACAAATCCCATTGGACCCAGCAATCCCATTACTGGGTATATACCCAAAGAAATACAAATCTTTCTAATATAAAGACATACGCATGTGTATGTTCATTACAGCACTCTTCACAATAGCAAAGATATGGAATCATCCTAAATGCTCATCTATAAAAGACTAGATAATGAAAATGCATTACATATACACCATGGGATACTATGTAACCATAAAAAGAATGAGATCATGTTCCTCACTGTTTAAGCTGTTTTGCATTAGATTTTCTGTTACTGTCGGATCATAATTTATTTCAGAACAGCAAGAAATTGAAAGTACCAGATTCTACAATGTGGAATCGTCTGGGTTAACGAGGTAGACTATGGCACAATTTTGGCTCAATGAAAGCTCCGTCTCCTGGGTTCAAGTGAGTCTCCTGACTCAGCCACCTAAGTGGCTGGGACTGTAGACATGTGCCACCATGTCCGGCTAATTTTTGTATTTTTAATAGAGCTGGAGTTTTACCATTTTGGCCAGGCTGGTCTCGAACTCCTGACCTCAAGTGATTTGCTTGCCTCGGCCTCTCCCAAAGTACTGGGATTACAGGCATGAGCCACAGGGTCTGTCCTGTAAATAGTTTTCATTGCAAGGCAGCCACACCTATATGTTTATATATTATCTACCTATCTGTCATGCCACAATGTCCAACTTCTCGCTTGGACACTATGCAACAGTGACCATAGAGCTGTAAAAGCAAATTGTTCAGCTATTAAGGTTACCTTTAGATCCCCGATTTTAAACTACCAGGAAAGCGGATACTATGGATGTGCTTTCTCTAGCAGGAGCATTCTCACAGTTGCTCATCTCATGTAAGGTCATGACAGAGAATGACAAGGGAGATTCTCTCAGAAGGCAGAAGCAAGACAATGAAGGATAATAAATGGAGGGAATTCTTTTAGAGAACAGAATCAGGGGATGCCCAATGACTGACTGATCTCCCAACTCACTCCACTTCCATGACTGAGAATCCAAACTATTCCTGTCCATGGGGGTATGCTATATGTTAAGTTCCAGTGACTACTGTGTTTTTAATTTTTCAATCTCCCTTTTAGAAAGGAACCTTTTATACAGATGTCCTGTTCCTTTTATGTCATCACACGATGCATATCCAAAGGTAGATAATTTGGTTTTTAGCCATAGAAACGTATCAAAATGTTCTAAAGAGAATAGCAAGCTTACCCAGAAATACTTAACTTTAGGATGAAGTAGTTCATGGAAGCAACTTGGTATTTTCTTTTTTTTGAAGTATAATGTGTGTGCATTATTGAAATTTATATATATATGTTTGTGTGTGTGTGTGTCTATATATATATATATTCATCTAGGCAGCAAATAGGCTATGGTAAACACTATTAATTACTTATTGAAAAATGTATTCCCAACTTCCTCCTTACTAATGGAAATCCCATTTTCTTTAATTGTTTAATATATACATATATATATGTATATGTATGCATATGTTGTAATGTGCAAGTTTTGTTCACTTTATCTTCAACACTTAGCACACTTTTTAACAGAATGCAAACATATTAATGAAAGAAAAAATATTAAAGACAAATTATGGAATAAAGAGCATCATGTTAAATACAGATACATTATGTTAATGTTTGAAAATATGTCAAATATGTATAATTATGTTCAAGGACCAGAAGGTAATATGCAAAAGAAAGGCACTAGAACTTGTTATAAGTGATTTTTATTTTAAAATGGTTTTCAGTGTTGTTTTATATTATATTTGCAATAAAAAAACAAACACAATTTGGGAATTGTTCTAGATGATCACTTCCTTTTGTATGGTATACATTCTTTTATGCCCCATACACAGGGACCTGCCTTATGTCAGTGCTAGCTTACATGACCAATTGAGTGCTTCCTAGGATTAAGATTTGATTATGAAAATGTACCAGCAATCCACTTTAAGCTCATAACCCATAATAATCAGAAACCTTTCTCCTGATGACCTCACATATTGAAGTTTCCTCACATGGTTTTGGTTAATGCTCCAGATCAACAGCACGAAGGCAAAACAAAACAAAACAACAAAAACAAAAACAAAAAAAACTTTGCTTTGTACAATTATTACACTTGGGTACCTAGACCTTACCACAATGGTGTCACATCTTTACCTAAGGAAGTGATTTCATCTACATGTGGTTAGCAGAATTATATGTATTTCTTAAGTCTTCCTAAATGCTGTGTGTTTTATTATGGTAGTCAGACTTTGTAGACTGTAGAATATGGGTAGTTTAAGTCCAAAAGCCAATATAATGTATCTCAGATTTGAGGAAGGCAGTCTATACCGTGAAGCAAAGAAACAAACAAACAAAGGGCAGGGAGAAAGACTTACTTTCTAGCGTGGTAAGAGGAATATAAAATGTGTCAGGTTAAACTCATTTAAAATGTGTGGTTGGAGGTGCAGGAAAGGGGGCAGGGGCAGGGGAGGGACTTATACCTTCAACCATCAACAAAAGCAAAGGAGGCCATTCAAAGATGAATGAGAAAAAGTGAACCAACATTCTCTGAGAAAATAATTTACCCAAAGTAAAACTGCTGGTAAATAATATAATTGAACTCCATCTGTTTCTGAAGCCTGAGCTCCCTGCCACTCCCAGATATGGGCCTCCCACAGAGACAGAACGAAGTCCAGATGTTGAGTGCTGTAGTACATAGAATGTAGTGAGGAAACTTGAAATGGTGCACAAGGACAGATCATTAGGGTCTTTAAAGTCATGCTGAAAAGTTCATATTTAATGGACTTTGTGTGTGTATTTGAAAGGCAACTGAAGCCTCTTAAATGGAGGGTAGCATTCTTTAAGAAAGATTCTGGCAAAGGTACTTTATCATTGAAAGCCCCATCCTTCCCCGTGGTCCTGTTTTGGAATGAAAATGCCCCTAAGAGAGGTGACCTACAGTTTAAAGACTTTAGTGCAAAAGGGTGCCTTGCAAAAATCACAGAAAAAGAATGATAGATGAAGGAAAGTAACATGGGGCTATGAGACAGCGAAAAAAAGGTGAGGTTGGGCAGAATTTTATCTCACCAGATTTCGAGCCAGTTTGAGTTTTGCCAGGTAACAGAGTATCTGTGGTAAATAGGAGTGAAATTCCAAGCTGAAGAGGTGTACAAATACCTCAGACTCCCTCCTTTAATGACATTAACTGTTCCATCCACTTGCAGTGGCCTGTCTGTCATTACCCCATCACCTGCCCAAATTATACTCATCTTTCTAGACTGACTTCAAAAGTTACTGCATTCAGGAAACTGGTCCTGTCTGCTTTGTTCACTTCAATTTGTAAATGGCACTCTGGTTATTTGTGTTCTTTTCTCTCATTTTTCCTTCCCTGGGCTGCTTCATGGAACATTCCAGGGGGCACAAGATCTATGATAACCCACATGAATACCATCCCGGATTTTTACGGAACACTTTCTGCCTGCCTCCACGAGGAAGTTCTGTCTCTGCTAGTCAGTGAAAGTACTGCTTACATTTCATTTACCTTTATGTCTTCCAAAATGCTTTACACAGTTACTCTCACTTAGTCCTAAAATAGGCATCCATCCATGTTACATTATGAGATCCTATTTGAAAATAAATTTTAAAATTATAAAATATCTCAGATATACGGAAGAAATATAATTCAATGAACATTCATGTAGTAAATAATCATATTTAACAAATATTAATATTTGGTTAAAATTGCTTTGGTTCATGCTTTTTTAGTCATAAAACATTGCACATATATGTGAAATACATTTTTTATCCCTTTCCAACCTCATTCTCTCCATTCATTTCCAAAGGTAACCTATACTCACAGGAGCCTTTTGAAAATTTGTAGAACTCATTCTCCTTGATTATATGCTGGCTGTGAGTTCATTATTACCTGCAAAAACTCACTATAGGTTGCTTTCAAAATCACTTATGACATTTAGCTTCCCAAAAGTTTAGGGTGACCAGAAAATCAAATGGACCATGAGTTTAGGTACACTCTCCTTTGATGGATTATAAATCTGAGCTGCCACCTGGCATTGTACCTGTATATTTTTAGAGTGTTTTCTCCTAAATATATAGTGATCTTTGCAGATTTTAAACATACATTTCATATGCAATACAGTCCTGCTATATAGCACTTTTATTTCCAAGGATTTTTTTTTTTCGCCCATCCTTATAGTGATTGAGAAAAGCTGAAGGGAGCAGGTTTTCTTCACCATTTGGGAGCTAAATCCAAGGAATGAATAACATAAAAGACAGGCTAAATGTGTCACACTCCACAAGAGATTGGACAAAAAAAATTCTTACTGTGTCTTCATCTCTTCTCAAGAATATATGGAGAGATTTGTTAAAGGATACAAAATTACAGCTAGTTAGGTAGAATCAGTTCTTGTGTTCTATACCACTGCAGGATCACTACAGTGGGCATTTTTATATTTTGCAGTTTTAAATATCTAGAAGGAGGATACTGAATGTTCCCAACACAAAGAAATGATAAACGTTTGAGAAGATGAATACGCCAATCACCCTGATCTGATCACTGTACATTATATGTCTTGAAACATCATTGTGCACCCTAATAATATTTACAATTATTATGTGTCAATTAAATAAAATTAAGACAAAAATTATACAAAATATTGTGACATTCTTTCAAAGATGTTTCCTTTTTATATAGAGAACTTCATTCCCATTTTTATGAAACAAACAACTTTCTCAGAGCAGTCTTGAAATTCTGTTATTCCAGTGTTTTGATTTATTTCTTTTTAATGCCAGATAATTTTCATTTGTATAAGAGGAAAGCAAGCTAAAAATAAAACATTATAATACCAGTTGAAAACTTCTAAAGCCTAGGCTATGAGGTTAGATCTTACTCATTACAACTCTTAGAAAAAAAATACATGTACATATAAAAACATCATTTTTACTACTGAGAACACTGAGGTTCAAAGTACTTAAGTACTGAGAACTGAAGTACTAAGTACTGAGTACTAAAATGTCCTCAGTCCTTGCGATTAGCTTGAAGCAGCTAATACAAGTTTCTTCATGTGTAACTGATGACAATAGCTGCACCTAAATGTCCTATGAACTGAGGAGAATAAGAAACTAAAGGTTCTGTTTCACAGCCTTCTGGCTGCAGGGAATAATCCATTTTACTTTATTTTTTTGTTTTTGTTTTTTTTCTGTGAGAGGTTAGTTAGCTCAGTCTTATTTATCTGAAGCATTTTTTTATTATTATACCTTAAGTCCTGGGATACATGTGCAGAACGTGCAGGTTTGTTACATAGGTATACATGTGCCATAGTGGTTTGCCACACTCATCAACCCATCATCTACATTAGATATTTCTCCTAATGTTATCCCTCCCCTAGTCCCCCACCACCTGACAGGCCCCCGACGTGT
Organism: Homo sapiens; assembly: GCF_000001405.40. Taxonomy (NCBI): domain Eukaryota; kingdom Metazoa; phylum Chordata; class Mammalia; order Primates; family Hominidae; genus Homo; species Homo sapiens. The sequence goes on along the minus strand of NC_000011.10, from coordinate 26,396,773 downwards.
GATGTTCCCCTCCCTGTGTCCATGTGTTCTCATTGTTCAACTTCCACTTATAAGTGACAACATGTGGTATTTGGTTTTCTGTTCCTGTGTTAGTTTGCTGAGAATGATGGTTTCCAGCTTCATTCATGTACCTGCAAAGGACATGAACTCATCTTTTTATGGATGCATAGTATTCCTTGGTGTGTATGTGCCACATTTTCTTTATCCAGTTAATCATTGATGGGCATTTGGGTTGGTTCCAAGTCTTTGCTATTGTGAACAGTGCTGCAATAAACATATGTGTGCACGTGTCTTTATAGTAAAATGATTTATAACCCTTTATGTATATACCCAGTAATGGGACTGCTGGGTCAAATGTTATTTCTGGTTCTAGATCCTTGAGGGATCGCCACACTGTCTTCTAAGTGTAAATGGTTGAAGTAATTTACACCCCTACCAACAGTGTAAAAGTGTTCCTATTTCTCCACATCCCCTCCAGCATCTGTTGTTTCCTGACTTTTTAATGATCACCACTCTAACTGGCATGAGATGGTATTTCATTGTGGTTTTGATTTGCATTTCTCTAATGACCAGTGATTGTGAGCTTTCTTTCATATGTTTGTTGGCTGCATAAATGTCTTCTTTTGAGAAGTGTCTGTTCATATCCTTCGCCTACTTTTTGAGGGGGTTGTTTTTTTCTTGTAAATTTGTTTAAGTTCTTTGTAGTTCTGGATATTAGCCCTGCATCAGATGGATAGATTGCAAAAATTTTCTCCCATCCTGTAAGTTGCCTGTTCATTCTGATGATAGCTTCTTTTGCTGTGCAGAAGCTCTTTAGTTTAATTAGATCCCATTTGTCAATTTTGGCTTTTGTTGCCCTTGCTTTTGGTGTTTTAGTCATGAAGTCTTTGCCCATGCCTATGTCCTGAATGGTACTGCCTAGGTATTCTTAGGGTTTTTATGGTTTTAGGTCTTACGTTTAAGTCTTTAATCTATCTTGCGTTAATTTTTGTATAAGGTGTAAGGAAGGGGTCCAGTTTCAGTTTTCTGTATATGGCTAGCCAGTTTTCCCAACACCATTTATTAAATAGGGTATCCTTTCCCCATTGCTTGTTTTTGTCAGGTTTGTCAAAGATCAGATGGTTGTAGATGTGTGGGATTATTTCTGAGGCCAATGTGCAAAAATCACAAGCATTCCTATACACCAATAATAGACAAACAGAGAGCCAAATCCTGAGTGAACTCCCATTCACACTTGCTACAAAGACAATAAGATATCTAGGAATATAACTTACAAAGGATGTGAAGGACCTCTTCAAGGAGAACTACAAACCACTGCTCAAGGAAATAAGAGAGAACACAAACAAATGGAAAAACATGCTTTGCTCAAGGAGAGGAAGAATCAATATTGTGAAAATGGCCATACTGCCCAAAGTAATTTAGAGATTCAATGCTATCACCATCAAATTACCACTGACTTTCGTCACAGAATTAGAAAAAAAGCTACTTGAAATTTCATATGGAACCATAAAAGAACCCATATAGCCAAGACAATCCTAAGTAAAAAGAACAGAGCTGGAGACATCAGACTACCTGACTTCAAACTATACTACAAGGCTACAGTAACCAAAATAGCATGGTACTGGTACGAAAACAGATAAATAGACCAATGGAATCTCCTCTGTTTAGAAATTGTTGGCTGAACACTAACTTTAAATATTGAGTTTATTTAAGATTGCAGATTTAACCCCCAAAATTCCACAGGGGTCAGGTCCCATAATATGATGTTGTTCCCAGAGGTCTCTGAAAAGATAAATATCTGCTGTATTTTTGTTTATTTATTGATTACTAATTCTGAGATCAACAACCATGTAGAAAGTTTGAAAATCTATAGAAATCAATTTTTTGTGTGCATTCAGGGCCAGTCGCTATGGCTCAAGCCTGTAATCCCAGCACTTTGTGTGGCTGAGGTGGGCGGATCACCTTAGGTCAGGAGTTCAAGACCAGCCTGGCCAACATGGTGAAACCCTGTCTCTACTAAAATACAAAATTAGCTGGGCATGGTGGTGTGTGCCTCTAATCCCAGCTACTTGGTAGGCTGAGGCAGGAGAATTGCTTGAACCTGGGAGGCGGAGGTTGCAGTGAGCTGTGATCACGCCACTGTATTCCGGTCTGGGCAAAAAGAGTGAAACTCCATCTCCAAACAAAAAAAAAAAAAAAAAAAGAAAATGAAATCAATTTTTTTAATGTTTTCCATCTATCTCCTATTATTGAAGACATTGGTCAATACTGTTTAATACTGTTTGCCTAGAGAGATTTGGAGTTTTGACCAGTTTTGCTATTTGGCCAAAGTTATCATTAATAGCATCCTAGCCGCATTAGAGTTTTGTGGATTTTCTGACTTTCTAAACCCATTTGTAATATATAAAATGTTTAATAACTACATATTAATAACTATAATAATGAAAGAACCAGATAATCCCAAAATTTCTCTGATTTTTTAAATTGTTTTCAGTTCTCATTCATCTGAGGTTTTTCAAATCATCTCCTGTGAGTATGTCTAGCAAACAATATAGAAAATATTTTACTGCAAATTAGAAAATATGATTAGAATTTTACTTAGATATTGAAAGTGGTAGACTATGAAAGCAGTTTGGGAAAATAAAACCAAGTGGCTTATGGAAGTTCCTTTACAATGAAGTTGTGAAATTTTGGCAGTTAAATTAGATTTTGGTATCCTAAAATTTAAACCAAGTATCTTTCTCAAGTTGGCTAAAACATTCCATTATTTAGAAAGGCCATTTCAATAAATGTTAAAATGCATTTGCAAACCAACCGAATATGTCCGTAGATTGACTTGAATGTAAATTTATTTTAATACCTCTAGGTCAGAAAGTTTCAGGGAAATGTCAAAATAATCCCTTATATTTCAATGAAAGCATTAAAATATTTAGCAGTATGTGCATCAACTATTTATGTGAAGTTTTCAAAACAACTTTTTATGCCAATAACAACTCCCAAAGTATATTATTGTGTGACATCAAAAGAAAAAATGAGACTAATATATTTGCTATCATTTCATGAAATTCAGAAGTCTTATGTTTATACATTTTGTAAAAGTACTGAATACCTTCTGAAAACTAAAGCAGCAAATGTTAACCATTAGTATGATTACATAAATTTAATTTCAGCCAATATGTATCAATTAGAACTGATCAAAAATTGAATCTAGATGAGTTCAGGAATCCCCTTCCACATGGAGTGCAGCATAGAGCTCTTCATTGTATTATATGGGAAGCAACCTTTAATACTGACTTCTTGGTCTCTTCCATATGCCTATAGATATTCATTTCTTTCCCCTCTTTCATTCCCTTTTTCTCTTCCTTTCCAATAGAGGGCATGCTGCAGTGTTGTTGTGTTCATGCTTCTTTGAGAACAAAATGGCAAGTAAAGGATTCAACCTGCATTTACTGAGCATTACAAGGTACATAGGAATGTGCTTGGTACTGTAGTATATACTCAGAAGCAGGTCAAGATGAGGACTGTATAGGGTATAAGGAGTAACAGACAGAGATTCACAAAGGCATAAAATGTGGCAAAGTATGATCAGTGCCAAAGACAGCTAGGAGCAAAGAGGCCTGGAATAATCTTGAAAGGACACGTGTATCCAGTTGCTTCAATCAGCCATGGCTTTTTAGAATTAGAAGATGCTTTCAAAAGCATTTAGTCCAACCTTTGCCTTTCTGCATATTAACAGCAGAACTAGTATCACTGCCTATTATGATTCTCAAGAGATATGGATACTGGATTTAGTTATGTAGTTATAGAATTTACAAAGCATTTTCACGTGCTTTTAAATTACAGAACCATCCATTTACCCAAGTACCATTATTCCTATTTTAAGGATGAAGGACAGTCATTATGTTATACAAGGTTACTCAGCTAGTGAATAACAGAGGTATGGCTTGAACCAAGGCCAAATAATTTAATAATCTCAAAGTTTACAGAGTGGTTACAAGCCACATAATCTTTTCAATTAATCCCGTTATTCTCTCTCTTTCATTCTCTCTCAAAAACGTAATGCCAATTCCTACAAAAATTCAAGATAAAGGTCATTTTATAGTAGTACTTAGAGTTTCTTTTCTCATTATCACTTTTACTGTACTTTTGTACCTTACTGTACCAGCCTCCTAAATGTGTCTGTCAGGTCTCTGTGTCTATTCTTTTCCAACTATAATTCACCCTGCAGACAACTATAAAATTAGTAAAGCCCTTTGAAAACATAATATCTCACCCCTATTAAAAATAGTGGTTCCCTCAGATCTAAAAAAAGGTACAGGTCATATTAATTCAAAGCCTTCCACAATTTATACCACAGAGTATATCAAAAGGTAAATCATATATAATTTTCTCTACATATATTGTCACTTAGTAGACAATTGTCATCCTTTTTAAGTTATCAAATATACTCTAAATACAGTGTAAAAATGTTACTCTCAATTTTGGCTGAAGCCCAACACATTAGATGCCATATTCTTAAAAAAAAAAAAAAAAAGGCAGGAATTCACCATGTACGACACAGACAAAGGAGCGTTCAGAAAACCAGTCTTGTGACTCAATCTCCACAATCCCAGTGAGGTTATTATGAAAAGAGCTGAAAGATAAAGATTAGGAATAAAAATCTGGAGAGTTTTGGGCATGCTGTGTGTCTCTCTCCCCTCAGAGAGGAAGGGTAAAGAATGCACTCCATCTTCATTTATGTTCAAGAAAGAGGATTCATTAGGAAACAAAATGGAGAGCTGTTGTTTTCCGACATTTTTTGGACACAGCAGAAAGATGTCTGACTTATGACTGAGACATCAAAATGGTGAGTGATTGACTGGCTAAAAGCTTTAACGATGGAATAAAATGGAAATATTTCTGTATTAGAATCAGCCTGTGATCCTGAGTTTCTCAGGACAGAGAATGTATGAGTGTTTCCATTGGGTTAGATGTTGGCTACACATAAAAGAGCTATCATGAGTGTCTTAAATAGAGATAGGGTCTCTCAAAGATGGACCACAAGTAGCCAGGAGCCAAAAGAAAAAGTTCTAAACAACGAACAAGAATGTATTACCATCTGCAAATAAGAGATCCACAGAGATTGCAGAAGAGAGGGGTTTCTTAAAAAACAGTGAAAACACTTCCCACAGAGAAAGGGTTGGTATCAAACCATTGCCAAAACTAGAAAGTGTATGCTATCATATAAAAGTAATAGTGAAGTAAAATATGCCCTACCCCTTCCCTTGACTCTTAAAGGATCAGAAATCAATGTTTGTGCTACTATTTAAATTCCCTGGAAAAGCCATGTTGAAATTTAATAACCAATATTAACAGTATTAAGAAATAGGAACTTTAAGAGGGTCATGAGGGCTCTGCCTTCATGAATGGATTAATTCATTTATGGATTAATGGATTAGTGGGTTAATGAGTTAATGAGTTACCCAGGGAACAGGTTAATCATCATGAGAGTGGGTCTGTTATAAAAGCCAGGCTGTCTGTCTCTGGTGAGCCCCTTCGTCATGTGATGCCCTGTGTCACCTTAAGCCTCTGCAGAGAGTTCCTACAAGAAGGCCCTCATTAGATGTAGCTTCTTGACCTTGGACTTCCTAGTCTTCAGAACTGTAAGAAATATTTTTTTTTAATTCGTAAATGTCCCAGTCTCAAGTATTCAGTTTTAGAAAGAGAAAATGAACTAAGACAGTTGGCAAAGTTGTGGTGGAAGAGAAAAAGGACATTTCTTGCTCTTAAGTGGCTATCCTAATATGATCCAAGATAAGAAGGATTTAATATTTTTATCATTACCCTAAAATGTACATATTAGCTCTTGGCCAACAAACTTGGAGGAGGTCATAAAGATGGTTATGGAACTTGCCCTAATTTTTATCTAGGGACAAGAAAAGAACTAGTCACTTGCAAAGAATTTATGCATGTCACATACAAAAATAATGTTGCCTTTATTGTACTTCCCACAAGTCTTGCTTGTTCAATATCATCAACTTCAGTAACTGTGTAATGGTTCACTATATATTTATGTAATATAATTTATTCAGCCAGTGTCTTATAAATATACATTTATTTCCTTTTTTCTATTTAAACTATGTAGCTGTGAGCATTCTTGTGCTTACATTATGAAGTTCATATCCTTATTAATGATTATGAATGGCTTCATCTCTCAGATAAACTGGGATGGTACTCTGATGCTCTAGTGTTCTATGCATATAAGATTTTTCCATAAATGCCAACTTCCTTATCTTACCAAATACACTGGTGGATATTGAAGATGTTGTTTTAAGAAGTGATGATGAAATTGTCTAGCCACATCAAGTTTTTTGGGAGGGGGTCAGATGGAGGAGAAGAGAAGAAGGGCACAGGTACTTGGACCAATAAAATAGAATAAATTAACACTGAAGAGTAAACCAGGAACAATTTTCCCTCTAAAAGGAGGAGGGGGAAAAATCTGTTTTCAATTACTTAGAGCTTAATATCTATCCAATACAAAAGAAATATTTGAGGCATAATTTGAGTGTATAGTTTTGTAAAGCTTCACTAAAAGGAGCTTAAAAGGCATTTCTATTAATACTCCAAGAGCTTCACACACTATTTTCTTCTAGCCACAAAATCACTTTCTAAAAACTCTAACAGTTCGAAGACACTTAATAAAAGAGAGAACCATGTTAAGTCAGGAAATGGTTGAATGGATTATTGATGATTTATTGTCTTCTTTTTTCCCTTCTTATTTAACTTTTACATCTGCTATCAACTGTCACCTAACAATTCAGACCGTTACATACATACTTAACATCCTAAGGCAGCTCAGTATATGCTTCTGGAGGCACGTAGTAGAGGTGTACAGTGCCTTTTAATTATATATTAAAAATACATCAGGTTTATTGTAAACTTCTTTTAAATTCTAGAATTCTAGAGAGTATGCATGAAATTAAAATTTCAATATTCCTTAGAATCTTTTATTCAAAAAGAAAATAATACCTTTTCAAAAACTGCACAATGAATAATGAAGCACCATAAAATGTAACTTGAGATATTCAACTTTTAGACAAAATTAGCAAACATGTGGTACTTAATACATATTCATGATTATAATGTAAGACTTTTCATAGGAATCAAAAAATTCTTTTCAAATGTTATATAGTTCATAAAGTCTCTAAAGAATGGTATCTATAATCATCCATTTGAAAAGAGATCTTTATTATTTGAAAATGAGCAGATCACATTGACTAAAACGGCATATATATATATTTATATTGTGCTAAATATGTGTCATATCTGGGAATTATTCATTTATTTATTCATTCTTTCATTCATTCAGTTAGTTACTTAGTTATAGTCACTCAGCCTAGAGCTTTACAAAATTCTTATAAGGTAGGTACCTATGATTAATATCCCCATTGTATTGATGAAGAAATTGAGACACTGAGAGATTAAGTCAGTCCAAGATCAGAGAGACAGTAGTGGAGCTGGCATTTGACCCCGGACACTCTCAGTAAATGTTCCTAAGTTTCTTGCTATACTGTTTTGTTTCCACATTTTTTTCCTAAGAGAAAATATCTCTCTGACAAAATTGATTTTATCTTGTTGCTATGGAGATAGAAGAAAAAATGTGTGAGTTTATAGGTTAACACATCAAACACAATTATCCTAAGGACTCATTGCCTGGAAAGAAATTCTGTGTGACTTACTTCTAAACATTGAATTTTGCATATCAAAGACAAGAACGCTTCTAGGTTTGCCTTGAGTATTTGGCTTTTCTCAGATATAAAATGTTCAAACATAATACAGAATCTAGGGACTCTATTTGAATCATGGCAGACTCCTACTTGAAAAATCTAACAAAGAAGGCTGTGTAGTAAACGTGTGTACAGGGATTTAGGGTGTGTGTATGTGCGTGTGTGTATACACAGCTAAACATGTATATGTTTATTTATACATGCTTAATTCCCCGTTCCATAGATGCTGCCATTCTCACAATGAGGGGACACTGAGCCATCAATAGTGCCTTCAAGTGGCTCTGTGACCAGTGAATATAAAAAATCAGTCATGATGGGATCACTTCTAAGGTTTAATTTTAAACAATTCATTTACTTCTCTCTGCCTCGGTTTCCTTAGGAGTAGAATGAGAAAACAATTAGTTGCTAGTCATACGTATATTGTAAAGGCTTAAATTAGACTTTTCTTGCAACATACTTAGATTATTGCCTGTTATATTTAAATGCTTAGTACATTTTAGCTATTATTAGATATTTAAGGGGTATTATAAAGATAAAAGATTTCTAATAAAGTTGTATTAATTCATTTGTTGTGTATTTGATACCAACTATTTTGTGTGGAGCTAATCTAAAGCCAAGACAGTAAGCATACACAACATTTTTGTTATCCATAAAGGACTTACAGTCACTTTAGGAAGAATAATGAAATTTTAAATATAAAATATTTCTTTTTTGCCTAATAAAACGCTAGTTATTTTAAAGGGTTCATCTACTAAAGTATTACTAGATTCTGGTTAAAATATATTTTAATGTATTTCTGGGTTTATAGGACATAATAGACCATAAATATAATTTTGGGGACAAAAATATAAAATACAAAGTTGATAAAAAATAAAAATTATAAAGAATCTAAAAGTTAAAAAATATAAAAATATATAAAATTTTTAAAATATAAAAATTATAAAAGTACAATTTGGGGTCAAAAATATAAATATAGCCATAAAAAAATTAAAGAAGAATAAAATAAATGACCATAATCTGGAACTAGAAGAGAGATAGTGAGTGGTAAGCAAATGAAAACCTGTACCAGGATACTTGACCTTTGGCCTATTCCCAAGTAAGGAGCTGAAATTGTAATTTCAACACTAAGCTTGGACAACTAAAGCTGGGGAGGGGCTGAGGTGGGAGTGGTTCCGGACATATTGACCCCTGGTGCCCATCAAAAGAAAATGCAAACTCTCTCTGGAGAGAAACATCCCTGATTTAAGCACATGGCATTCCCACAGATCACATCCACCAAAATACATGTGCATAAAAAGATAACCCAAAGACACAAGGAAAGAGGCCTCTACTAATGAGAATTGAGGGGAAAAACCACAGGTTTAGATCTTCAAAAATTTTAGATATTGGAAAAATAACATACAGGACATAGAGCAACTAAGAATAAAAGTTTTAAAAGAAAAATATAGAATCAGAAAGATGAACAGGCAACAAAAATTCATTAAATTGTATTTGAGAAATTCACGAAGTAACTTTAGAAATTAAAAATAGAATCATTAAAATGTAAAATTTAATAGGGTCATATAGTAGATTACATACAGCTAAAGAGATAAGTAGAGTACTGGATTTAAACAGATTACATAGAAGGCAAGATGAAAAGAAAAGGTGACACAATAAATGACATAAAAATTAAAGGACATGGAATTAGAAAGTCTAAGATCGTACTTTTATCACCTTCATCAATACTGCACTTGAAAGGCCGTGGGTGGTGGCTCATGTCTGTAATCCCAGCACTTTAGGAGGCTGAGGTGGACGGCTCATAAGGTCAGGTGTTCCAGACCAGCCTGGCCAACATGGTGAAACCCTGTCTCTACTAAAAAAAAAAAAAAAAAAAAAAATACTACATTTGCATCAAATAACTATATTCTCTCTCTCTCTCTTTCTCTCTGTCTCTTACCCTCTTCTCCATTCTAATTATTATAAGACTTTTTCCGAGTCTTTTCAGAGCTGCTGACATGGTGCCCCATCACCTCTAAATACTTAAGTGTGTCTCCCTCTCCCCAGAAACAAAATACAAACAAAAATAAAAACTTCTACCACTTACCTACGTAAACACATTCAACATGCCAGGTCAAAAAATCAACACGTTACATACAATTTACATACATGATTTAAATTTTACTAATTATATCCACAGTGTTCTTTTTTAAGAAAATTTTGGGTCAGGATACTATCCAGGAATATGTATTTAGTTGTTTTCTCTTGTAGGTAACCTCCAATATGGAATGCTTCTCAAGTCTTTGCAATTTTAAAGATTACATAGTCCTTACATTCTATAGGATAAAGCTTAACCTAAGTTAATATGATGTTTTCTCCTACATTCTTGGCACAAATACTACAGAAATAATGTTGTATTCTTCTCAGTACGTTGGATCAGTGGGCTCAGGACGTCAACCCATTGCAACATGGTGATGCGAATATACATTACCTGGTCATGTTAGTATCTGAAATGTTTTATCACAAACCACCATCTTTTCATTTGGTAATTGACTAGTCTTTTGTCGAGAGATAATATGAATTATGAAAATTCTGTTCCTCATTAAACTTCCTCCCTCCAGCCTTAGCCTCCATTGAAACTTCCACATTAACTAACAAGCACTATGATGGATGCCAAAATGTGATCTTTCATCACCATTTAGCATTGTAACGTAAGGAGGAGCCCACACATCCTCCATTTATATACTTATTTCTATAAATATGGAGTCATATGATATATTCCTACTTATTCACTGGGTTGTGTTCCATTATTAGCATTATTTATTTTGATGCTAAAATCTTCTGGATTTGGCCTGTGTCCGTTTTATATGTCACCACATTCTCTGAATATATTCTCACTTCGTAGCACAAAGAGTTATCCCAAACTCATCATACATTTTTCCTACCCCATTAATCATTTCTAAAGAAGTCCTGGTTCTTTTTACTGGAAGATATTTAAAACTAGTATCTCTGCTCTTGGTGTGCTTGTCGCTACTGGGTGATCTTGTTTCTAGGTTCTCTCAACAAAAAAGCAAAGAAATTACATACATACATGCATATGTATGCTTATACATGTAAATATGTATATAAATATATATACACACACAAAGAACTTCACACAAATCTATCACCACATATATATGTGTGTGTGTGTGTGTGTGTGTGTGTATGTGTGTGAAACTTGGACATCACACTCAAATTGATGTTTCCAGTTCCTATTAGGCAGTTTAATATTCCCCCTTCTCAAGTATGTGCACATCCTAATCCCTGAAACCTGTGATATAGGATCTTGAGATGTGAAGAGGAATATGGATTACCCCGATAGGCCCAGTGTAATCACAGGGGTCCCATTAATAGGCAGAGTCACAGTCATTGTCACCTAAGATGTGGTGATGGAAGCAGAGGTTAGACATTTAAAGAGATTTGAGGATGCTACACTGCGTTGAAAGAGAAATGGGCCAGGAGCCAGGAATGCAAGCAGCCTCTAGAAGCTAGAAAATGCAAGAAAAAAGATTTTTTTCCCCTACAACCTGCAGAAGAAATCAGCCATACTGATATCTTGACTTTAGTCCAGTGAGTCTAATTTTGAATTTTTAACCTCCAGAACTGTAAGATAATTTATATCATTTTAATTGACTACATTTGTGGTAATTTTTTGTAGCAGCAATATAAAGCGAATATATCAATGCCTACCAAAGGATCTCACAGTTATTTCTAGTTTTCCCCTTTTATATGTTTGTAAACACTTTTTCCAACAGTGAGAAACATAGCTCCTAATATGCTTATTTTATCTGTTTACTTATTCAATCTATTTTTCCATCTAGTGAATCAATTCATTTATTCATTATGAGTCTTATCTTAATTGATCTTTTCATGTAATTTCCAAGTATCAAATGTTATATAACTTTACACTAAGAATATTAATACCATGTGAGAAAAATTTTGAAGAACAGATAGGATTTAGCCAAGCTATATAAAATAACTTGAGAAAAGGGATAAACATACTAGAGGGTAGAGGATTTTGGCACCCAGAGAGGAAGAGCCTGAATAGGCAAAATCAAATTCTTAGACAAGGTAGAATTGCCAAGGTAAATGTTCACAGAAAGATTGAGATACCAAATCAAAGAGAGACGTTCACAGAATTAGGCTTGTCCAGTTTTACCAGTTATGGTACTTTTGTGAAAGGAACAGTAAATGCTACTAAATTTAGAAAAGATAGTGTCTAGGGAGTAAGAATATAAGCACAAAGGCCAGTGAGAAGGCTACTGCATTAGTCTAGGTGAAAATTGTGGTGGCTTGGCCTACAATATCATTATATTACAGGAACAATGGGGAAAACTGGAAAGATGTGGCATATGTTTGGAGTAGAACTAAAAGGACTAGGTGATGAATGAGGTTTAGAAATAAGGAAAAAGAAGGAATCAAGGAAACATGAGAATTGGGCCTTGAGCACTTAGATGCACTGGGGGATTATCTTAACTTTGAAAGATTTTCATTTACTCCTCTTTAAGCCCTACCTCATATAATCCATTCAGAGGTTCTCAGTACCTACAATTTTTGAGCTCATCTCGGAGCTAATAGGTATGATTCTTGCAGACTTCTCCATGTACTGTCAGCTTTTTGTCTGTCTTATGTCTAAAGTTAACTACTACTTGTCTGTTTGCATTTTCCAGGGTCTAAAATTGGGAGAGCATCTATTGCCGATTTAACAATTGTTAAATTTATAATTTGTACATATACACATATATATAAATTATATAAAACAATTGTTCTTTGTAAAGAACAATGTGTGGGGCTGGGCACGGTGGCTCACGCCTGTAATCCCAGCACTTTGGGAGGCCAAGGCGGGCGGATCACGAGTTTAAGAGTTTGAGACCAGCCTGACCAACGTGGTGAACATTTTTAGTCTTTACTAAAAATTCAAAAATTAGCCGGGTTATGGTGGCACGCGCCTGTAATCCCAGCTACTCAGGAGGCTGAGGCAGAAGAATCACTTGCACCCGAGAAGCGGAGGTTGCAGTGAGCCAAGATCGCACCACTGCACTCCAGCCTGGGCAACAGAGAGAGATTCCGTCTCAAAAAAAAAAAAAAAAAAAAAAAAAAAGAACAATGCATGGCACAAGAACAATGCGTGGCACAAAGTATGTGCTATATGAAAGTTTCCTATCATTATTTTTTGTATTTTTTATTACTTCTAATTATTAACTGTCATTTATTTGCCGGTTTTAGTGGAACAAGAAATAAGCAAATATTGCATAATGAACATATTTAATCAGAAGTCTGAATGTTGTATTTTTACCCCTCGCAGTTCAGGCCAAATCTTGGCACTTCCTTGAAGATTGTTTTATTTTTCAATGTAGTTCTCCTAAGGTAAACTGAGGTTATTGTAAAGACAATATCTGACTTTTTACATGTAAGTATGTAATAGTCTAAAGTCATTTAGGATAGGGTAAGCCATTATATATATTGCTGTCATCTCCTAGGACAGTCAATCTACTACTGTGAGTTTAATTATTAGGAACAATCTAACATGATTGTTGAACCATAGCGTCAAATGTGGAAAAAAGTCAAGATTCTCACAACTAAATGCACAGCTAAACATGACAGAAAATGGAGTTTTAATGCCTTACTCTGGTTAACATTTCTCAGAGTGGTCTTTGGGAATACTTTTACAGGATATTAGTAGATATTGGTTAAAAAAATTAAGCTTCATTGTTTAAAAAAAAAGGTTTGGCCAGAGCTTGTAAAATTAATTTGAGTGTTTAATCTGCTAATTTTTATTATTAATATCTATCTCAGAAGTGATTATGGGATGGCAAATATTATTTTAAAAATTCCTACCTCATTTGATCACTAAAATCCTTTATTTCTTTGCATATTTAATAGGATACTACACTATGAAAAACATGGATACAGACTTAACTTCATCTAGTGGCACTGCAGTATAACCATGAGTGGATACCTGTTTCCTAGTCTGGACTGAAGATCACAATGTTAATAGAATTTACACAAATCTCAAGTCAAGTATATTCCACTCAGAGTCAGAGACATCACAGGTTAGAATAATTGTAATTGCCCTATAAGGATTTGTAACTGTAGGAAAACAATTATGACTCAAAAATAGTTATCCTCAGGGGCTACAACTCTTTGACATCTCTCCAATTAATGCCAATGTTTTCACAACTACAGAAGGCACTCTCCCAGCTTGGGTAACACATACTTCTAATTATATAAGCAGTACAATATTTTTCATAGCCTTGGAACATCCTAAAGGAGGAAGAAACTAGAGTTTACAAGGCTAGTTCATCACTGTTGTAAGCTTGCGAACAGACAGAAGTGGGCTTTGAAAGAATATGTAATTTGTGAGACATGATGACTAACTCCACAGTAGAGGAACATTTGGGGACAACAGCCTGCTTCTATGACTGATGCTTCTTAGGTACCAAGCTTTAAAAAATAAGACTAATTTTTATAAAATTTTCTTAAGGTATAAGTTCTGCAATTCTTTTTATCTGAGATATTATCAGAGTGGGTGGATGAGGGAGGAGGATTAAGAGCAGACGAGCCAGGTATAATGTGTTAGAGAATGCTCTTGCTGATTAAATTTTAATCTCCAGAAACCCCAGCAAACTGGGAAGTATATCAGGCTAGCCACCAATTCTGAAGCTAGCATTGCTTTGAAAACTATCAGGTTGCATATTCATTGTATAGATACTACTGTTGTTATTATAATATCAGCAGAGCCAGTGTTACTGTCTTGGAACTTCTAATTTGGAAAATCCTAACTGACATGTTTCATGATTTTACCATTGCTTAAGCAACCCATTTGACTTTTGATAAAACTGGTAAGCCCAGAAAGCTCTTTGCACAAATTGAAATATATCTATTTATTAATAGATAGATTTCATATACATATGCATAATAAATTATTAACCCAAAATTTGCTAGAATGTAGGGAGATTATGAAATAGAGAGTGAATGTATTAATAAAAATTCAGAATAATCCTATATTCAAAATACAGTTTGAGAAAGAATATAATCTTTTTTTGACATCAAAGGTATATTTTCAAGAGATAAAAAAAATTGTTTTGCCATAAATTCATTTCATGTTTACTTCTAAAAATAAAATACCAATTCTTTGCTCTACTGGGAAGTCATCTGACAATCATTGCCCTTGGGAAATGGCCATGCCTACAGTCCCCTGATTAGGAAAGCTCTGGACAAGTCATTCTCCAGACATTGTTGGCAATATTTTACATTAGACACACAAGAATGGAGAGTTGAAGGTAGAGATATGGCAAGAATGAGGATTTACCAGCTGTGTATATGACAGCCAATGAAATCATTCTTTCAGTCAACAAACATTATATGCCTTTTATGAGATAGGTATTGTACTATATGCTAGTAAACAAGACTGGTATTTACATTCAAATGGGATGAGACAATTCAGACAAAGTCAATAACTACATGAATAATTTTGCATAAATAAAACTTGATAATGGGATGGGATATAATGTAAATGCTGTTTAGAAAGTGTAGGCGTAGTAGGAAAAAGCCTATTGAAAGTAGTGATATTGAACTGAGGCCTAACTGATGATGAGTAGCTGGCTCCTGGAGAACATTCTAGGAAAGGGAAATAGCGAGTGCTACAGTAAAACAAAACTAAACAAACAAAAAACTATAACTCTTGTGTGATGCCTTACAAATCTTCCATGATCACATGCTAGAAAGCTCCTGATAATTAAACTGAAGTTAGAATAATGGGTTGACTGTCTCAGGAAATGGTGGCAATTTACCTAATACGTTACCCCATTCTAAATCAGTTTAGTCTATTACATTCTGATCTGTAACATATTAGGCTTTGGTTTTCACAATAATCTCAGGTTACCTTTAGAGAAAAACTACCTTGAAAAAGGCATCAGGGGCCTCGATTCAGTCTGAACTAGGAGGAACAAAAGATACAGAATTTAGATTGTGTTTTTCTTTTTCTTTTTTGTTTTGTTTTGTTTTTGAGTTGAAGTCTCGCTCTGTCACCCAGGCTGGAGTGCAATGGTGCGATCTTGGCTCACTACAACCTACACCTCCTGGGTTCAAGTGATTCTCCTGTCTCAGCCTCCCGAGTAGCTGGGATTACAGGCACACACCACCACAACCGGCTAATTTTTGTATTTTTAGTAGAGACGGGGTTTCACCATGTTGGTCAGGCTGGTCTTAAACTCCTGACCTCAGGTTATCCACCCGCTTCAGCCTCCCAAAGTGCTGGGATTACAGGCGTGAGACTTCTTATATTAAATATGTGCTGCTATGGTATGAATGCTTGTGTCTCTCTGAAAATTCATATGTTAAAACCTAATCCCAAAGGCAATGGTATTAAGATGTAGGGCCTCTAGAAGGTGATTTCATTAATGCCATGTAAAAGAGGTTTCAGGGAGCCTATTTATCCCTTCCACCATGTGAGAACATAAAGAAGGCATCATCTCTGAGGAATGAGTGCTCACCAGACACCTAATGTGCTGATGCCTTGATCTTGGACTTCCCAGCCTCCAGAACTGTGAGCAATACATTTCTGTTTTTTATAAATTACCCAAAGGTATTTTGTTATAGCAGCCAGAATAGATCAATGCATTTACACTGATTCATGCTTTCTTAATTCTAATCCCTTTAAAACTGGCAAAGAAATGACAGTAGGGAATTTGAAAAGATAACCCACAAGAACAAGTAATACAAAATATCAAAATAAGAATAATAACTAGCACTTATGTAGCACATACTTTGTTCCAGGCATTATTTTAATTGCTTTACCTATAATAACAACCAATAATAGATGTACCCACAATTCTGAAATCCTAAAATGGCAGATAAGCGACTGGTACCTGACTAGAACTGAGATAGGAGAAAAGCTGAGGATGCATAGAAAAGCCAACAAGAATGATGCTTATCAGTCCACAGAACCAAGAACAACTCAGAAGTTGTAGACACTAAAAACCCCTAAGTAAACTACATGGATTGGGACATAAACAGGATTAACTGAAAAACTTAAAGTAATGGGAACTCTCCAATGCATCTAAATGCTCAAGGTGTTATTCCCACTTTTGCTTGACTCCTTTTCTCCCCTCACTCTTAAAAACAATTCACCACCTAGTTCTTTCAACTCTACTACCAATAAATGCCAGATCTTTCCAATTTTCACCATTCTTTTTTTGAAACGGGGTTTTACTGTCACACAGGCTGGAGTGCAGTGGCATGATCTCTGCTCAATGAAACCTCCACCTCCCAGGCTCAAGTGATCCTCCCATCTCAGCCTCCTGAGTGGCTGATACCACAGGTGCATGCCATGATACCCAGTTCATTTTTTTTTCTTTTTTGCATTTTTGGTAGAGACAGAGTTTCATCATGTTGCCCAAGCTGGTCTTGAACTCCTGTGCTCAAGCAATCCACCCACCTCAGCCTCCTAAAGTGCTGAGATTACAGGCATGAGCCACTGTGCCCAGCCTTTCACCATTCTTATTTCCAATGTTACACCAAGCCACAGTCATCTCTCACATAGATCAAAGCCATGACTCCTAACTGGACTTTTTTCTTGTACTTTTACTAACTTACACTCTATCCTTCACAGAGCAGTTTGAGTGATTTACAAATGGAAAATAGATCACATCACACTACTGTTTAAACAATCTGATGACTTGTATCAAACTCAGAAAAAAATCCAAACTTTAAAACCAGGGTTATGAGATTCTGTATGGTCCACCTACATCTTTGATCTTTTCTCTTTCCACTGTTAACCAGGCCATCTTCTCATTGTAAAAACCTGATAGTCTCATCTTGCCTTAGAATCTTCGTAGCAGTTCTTTCCCCATGTCTTTCCAGGGTGGCTCCTAATTGATATTTATTTGCTGACATGTTACTTCTTCAGGGATGCTTTCTGTATGGACATTCTAAAGTCTCCTACTCACTGTTTCATAATGCTATACTGTTTCCTTCTCTGTGTTGCCTATCATTATGTTTTGAGGCTTTTTTTTTTTGGAGAAGTTGTTTTTTGTTTTGTTCAAAGTATATCCAATGAGACTGTTCTTTAAATCTCAGAATCTTAAAAAAAAACTTAGCCTCCTAAAGACTTATAATGATACAAACTTTGCCAAGCACCTTACATCATATGCTGCATGATAGAAAATCAGGAAAGCTTATCTTGGACCAGAGCATTTGTCTGTGTCCTTCTGGGTACAGTTAACAGACCCATTGACTCTCATCCAAAACAATGTACTCATATCATCAGCCTTTACTGGTAATGCAGGTAATATTTCACCTCAATTTGCCCCTCTGTTGATACAGTCATCATTTTATTTTAATTGAAACCGCTCAGAGCTAACAACAATGCATTTTTTATACATTTGGGTTTATTTCTATTACATTTACCATTTTGTTTTCTCATTTTAATTTTTTAAATTTTCTCCTTTTACTTTTTAATTTTTAAAAGTGTGTTTCCCAGATCCACTGCTATGGAAATTACCCACTGTAGTATTTTAGTGGTAACTAGTCTATATAGATAGATAGATAGATGATAGATAGATAGATAAATAATATATATAGATAGATAATATATAGATTATATATAGATATATAGATAATATATAGATATTTATAGATATATATAATCTATAGTTAATATAGATCTATCTATCTATATATATAGTATACCTCATGAGAGTCTAAATCAGTAACTCTACCCACTTCCTCAGTACTGTGAGGCCCTAAAACATCAATTATAATGTTTTATGGTATTATTGCCCATTAGTTGAGATTTATATTTATTTACCAGCCCAAGATATTATACATTATTGTTTATATTTACTCACATTTCATTTCCTTATTCTGCATTCTATTTTGCATATCAGGCCTTCAGTCTAAGTGTTTTCCATATTTACACTGTATAAGTATGAAAATATAATGCTTTATACTGTCCTCAAATTTTATTTTTTATAATGTCATCTAGTTAGTGTTTCCTGGTACATATTAAAAAACTCAGTTTTTTATTCTCTGCAAATGTCTTCCTTTCACATTAAAGATGGCTGTTTCACAAAGTATGCAATTCTGCATGGACAGTGATTTCTTCTCTATAATTTGGAGATATTTGTACCACTGTCTGATAGCTTCCATTGTTACTCTTGAGAAGTCAGCTGTCTAATTACTGTTTATTTGTAGGTAATCATTTCTCTTTCTTGATGCTTTTCAGAGTTTTTCTTGTCTTAAATTCTGCAGTTTTACTACAATGGGTCTAGATATGTGTTTGTTTTCATTTATGTGTTTGATATTCATCGAGCTTCCTGAAATTGAAGATTTATGTCTTTCAACAGTTCAGTAAGCTTCCACCATTGTCTCCATTTTTCTTTTTCCAGATTTCCAATTAGACATGTTAAAATTTCTCATTACATCCTTTATATGTTAGCCTAGTCTTCAGAGTTTTTAATTTATTGTTTTCTGTTATATTTTGCGTTTTTATTCAGATTTATATTCCAGCTCATTGGTCTCTTCATCTATGTTGATTCTCTGGTTTAACAGTGAACTTTTTATGCTAATGATTTCATTATTATATATGAATATGCTCATGTGGTTCCTTTTCAAATTCCTTCTTTTTATTATCTTTATGCTCATATTTTCAAACAGATTTCTTGACATAAATCACATTATAATATTTTACATTTGATAATTCAATATCTGAAGTCTTTTGGCAACTTTTAGTTTTGCCAATGCATGTTCATTGTAGTTCATTCCATACATTGTGTGTATTGTTATTTGTGGAAATGAGGAACTTTTGAATATTCAAGTTATTTTATTAATGGAAATTCAAGAAGGTCTGCATCAAGTGTGTTTTTCTCCAGGATATTTTTGTTTTCTTTCAAGTGCACAGGGACAGTACCAACCAATGGCTACTATAAATGCATTCTTCCTTTGAGACTTTCTAGGATGAATCTAAGAATTTTTCATGTAGACTTTTTTCTCCTCACTGAGCCACAGCCAAGACAAACAAATTCTCTTGCCTTCACTGCAGAACATGTTTCCTCTAGCCCATTCTCTCAGCCATGATACAAATAATTCTGCTTTGCATGGCTCCTATAAGGACAAATTTCAGTTACCCCAATTTAATTAAATAATACCAGTTCCCCAACAACACAGTTAAAATTTCCCTATCATTATCTATTAACTATTTGGAGTTAAATAAAGTACAAAATTCATTGCTAGCCGTTTACTCCACAAATTACTACCAAAATAACAGTTGCGCATCAGGATCCATGACCAATCACATGACTTCTTTCAAAACTGTTATTCTTTTTTTTTTTTACTCAACTTTTAGCAGTAGATTCTTTCCCTAAGGAGAGATCTATATTTTTGGAGCGGGTAGGGGTGCGAATAAACTTTGAGAAACATCTTTGGTTGCAGGCAGTGATGCCTTCGAAGGACATGTTTCAAGAAAATGCATAAGTTCCCTTTACCAAGCTGCTGAGTTTTATTTTTATGAACTGAGGTAAATGAATTTTTCAGAACAAGGGTGAAAAATTAAGAGGTGTTTGAATGGAAAGAACAGAGATATATATAATGTGAAATGTAAAGTTCCTTTATTTATTTACCTGTGATGTGAGTATTTTCCCTGTCTTTTTTTTAAGTGTTTAATCAATTTTGTATTAATGGGTTTCAAAATTGGGTCTGTTAAGGTGACTGTTACTAAAAACTAAAAGCAACTTCATAAAGGTTGAAGTGGGGAGTGAGTGAAGGCTGTTGTTGAAAGGTTTATGGATGTGTATAATTATTTCACTCTTTTTCACCCACGTACAATGATTTCTTATCATTTGGTAATCAAATACATGCTCTTTGACATTCAAGATGAAATGTGAATTGAACGTATCTTAAAGTCCAGTGTCAAGTAAAATGCCTTTTCTTCTAGACTGTAGGTTATTCCCTTTACCATTTTTAACATCATGCTATTCTTTGAATTGTGGGAATATGATTGTGTATATTTTGGAATGCACACTTTTTTTCTCTCCAGAAAAACTTCATTCTCCTGTCATCCTCACAGAGTAAAAGCAATGCAAAAATTAACTTCTGAATCTCTCAGTCTATACTCATTGTTTTGTTGTTGTTGCTGCTGCTGCTGCTTGTTTCTTTTCATGGGGTCTTGGGAATGATATTATCTTCTCTAGCCAAAAATAATCTATACTTCTGCTAGTCTGTGACAGCTTTGCAATTATATTGCTGTTGGATTTTTTCTCTTATTGCCTCATGCATATATATCTTGGCTCTCCTTTTCTTCATTCAAAAGCTAAGCTGTAAACTACTTGGGCATAAAAACATGCCATGTTTTTTGCCCTCTAAATTTTCTATCAGCACATGAGTTTACAGAAGATCGGGAGAAAATTCTGCTGAATCTCCCATTGTTTGAAGATTTTAAGTGTTGTAGCCAACAATAACTCACCGATTCATTCTGGCTTGTAAACATTCCATTTCGCCACCAAATGCCAAATATTTATTGAGAACTTATTATTTGTAGATGAATAAATTTCTGGACATTTGTATAACTATATAATCTACCAGTGGAAAGAGTTCCTTATACCAAGGTCCTTAACTCTGAGAAAACAGACTGGTACTGGTCCATGGTCTGTTAGGAACCGGGCAGCAGAGGAGGAGGTGAGTGGCAGGCAAGTGAGCAAAACTGAGCTCCACCTCCTGTCAGATCAGTGGCAGCACTGGATTCTCATAGGGGCACAAACCCTATTGTGAACTGCACATGTGAGTGATGTGGATTGTGTACTCCTTATGAGAATCTAATGTCTGATGATCTGTCACTGTCACCCATCATCCCCAGATGAGACTGTTTAGTTGCAGGAAAATAAACTCAAGGCTCCCACTGATTCTACATTATGATGAGTATGTAATAATAATAGAAATAAAGTGCACACGGCCAGGCATGGTGGCTCACGCCTGTAATCCCAGCACTTTGGGAGGCCAAGGCAGGCAAATCACTTGAGTTCAGAAGTTAAAGACCAGCCTGGCCAACATGGTGAAACCCTGTCTCTACTAAAAATACAAAAATTAACCAGGCATGGTGGTGTGCACCTGTAATCCCAGTTACTCAGGAGGCTTAGTCAGGAGAATTGCTCTAGCCTGGAAGGCGGAGGTTGCAACGAGCCAACATTGTGCCACTGCACTCCAGCCTGGGTGACAGAGCAAGACTGTCTCAAAACAAAACAAAACAAAAAGAAAGTGCACAATAAATGTAATGCACTTGAATCATCCTGAAACCACCTCCACTTTCCCTGTCTGTGGAAAAATTGTCAACAAGGCTGGAGATAGCTGCCTTATACTCTTATAGAATAGGAGTCCATCAATTTATCATGGCCAACATCTCAATTTCAAAAGCCATACTGAAAAAAGTATATAATTAAAATGGCAAATGATTATTACTAATTTTTGTTTCCCTTTATCAGAAACTTATTTGTTCCCTCCTAATGTCCAAGTTCTGTGATCTTTAAGATACCAATATTAAAAAAATGATTCCAGTAGTAGACAAGAGCCTAAAAGAAAACACGTGTTCAGTAATCTTCAGTAATTCTAGTTGTGGGTCACTTCACTTCTAAGACCTATACAGGACTACAAAGCAGCTCTCTTTGCCCTGACCATGTCAAATCCTGAATGTGTATTACGTTTCAGCTGCTAAACATGATGTTTATTACCTCAAATAATATTTGATGCATAAATGATTTCTTTGCCACTCAAATAACAATAGAAATGAGAAAGAAACTGAGAATACCATAAAAGGAATATAGATATTAAGACAGTCTACCATATATGCTAATTCATTTCTACTTTACTCATGTTTATATGACCTGGAAAACACAAGTACCTATGACATTGTGAACCTGGAAGCATGTAATGTCTCTTAGGATCAACAAAGGCTGATACCATTTATATACTTTGCTGGGGTGGGCATGGAAGCACTACCTATCAATATGATTTAAATCTATATAAAAATTAAAATAGCAATAAGTCCTGAAAACAAAGTATAAAAACTATAAACTTCAGATTTGTTATATTCAATCATCTTTTTTGGAAACTTACTTGTTGCTTGCTCCTTAATTGTTAAGATTTGTTAAAATAGAATGCCTGTTCTTCCATGTTCTTATCTGCAAAAGACTTACCAAACTGTTAATTACTTTTATATTAATTTATATTTAAAAACTTACTATGTACGATGCATGCATGCCAACGTGTTTGTGTCTTTGTGTGTGGGACTGTGAGCCAGGTGTGATTATGTTTCATTTTCTAGATTTGATTAAACTGATACATATATCTGCAACTTGTTGAGGATCACAAAAGTAAGAAGTATCAGGACTAAATTAGAACCAGAACTATTTAGTCCTAGAATCTAAGTTATTACCTGATGTATTCATCTGTTTTCACACTGATATAAAGAAATACCTAAAACGGGGTAATTTATAAAGAAAAGCAGTTTAATTGACACACAGTTTCACATGGCTGGGGAGGCATCAGAAAATTACAATCATGGCGGAAGGCAAAACAGAAGCAGGCACATTCTTCACAAGGTGGCAGGAGGGAGAAGTGTGAAGAGCGAAGAAGGAAGAGCCACTTATAAAACCATCAGATCTCATAAGAACTCATTTGCTATTATGAAAACAGCATGGGGGAACCGTCCCCATGATCCATTCACCTCCCACAGGGTTCCTCCCTCGACATGTAGGGATTATAGGGATTACAATTTGAGATGAAATTTAGGTGGAGATACATATCCAAACCATATCACCTGCTACTCTATAACCACCAATAATAAAGAGTTGTGATTGTTAAAAAGCATCATTTACATTTATATGTGTGTGTGTGTCTGCCCGTATATACATAATTGCCATGCATTCATATGTATAAATCTCTTCACTTGGAATAATGAACAGAATAAACCAATGTGACAAAAGTTGTAATTTCTAGGTAGTAAAAATTAGTTTATTATCAATTTTATGTTATCCTTTATATTTTTGGGATTTTTTTTTCAAATAATCTATAACAAACATACTGCTTTTACTTCCACACAACATGTTTGAAAAATCTGATGTTTATAATATGAATATAAATGTTCAAAGTGAAATGGCCAAACTATCTAATATTTCAACTATTCACTCTGCCACTTTATATGACCCCTTTCCTTGTTTAATGTTATGTCTTTGGCACCAATCACCATTCGTTCAATATGTTATGCACGTCCTTTACTTAGTCTTTCTCTGCCACCAGAATACTAACTTCCTGAGTATCAAAATTTTTTGTATGTTTGGTGTACTGCTCTACTTGGAACAGCACCTGGTGCATCCTAGCAAATCAATAAATATTTCTTTGATAAAGAAAATAATTGAGATAGTATAAAAAGCACTGTTACTTAATTATTCAGGCATGAATTAATAGGAAAATTTATCCAGTGAAGATGCTTTACAAAAGAGTATCCTCTTCTATAAAAAGAACAATTCTTCGTTTAGGTTAATTTACATAGGTCTGACTTTTCATTATGAAATGGACAGAAAGGTTATTGTATTAGTCCATTCTCTGCTGGTAATAAAGACATACCTGAGACTGGATATGTCATAAAGCAAAGAGGTTTAATTGACTCACAGTTCAGCATAGCTGGGGAGGCCTCAGGAAACTTACACTCATGGCAGAAGGGGAAGCAAACCTGTCCTTCTTCACATAGCAGCAGGAAGGAGAATAATGAGAGCTGAGCAAAGGGGGAAGCTCCTTATAAAACCATCCGATCCCATGATAATTGACTATCACAAGAAGAGCATGGGGAAAACCACCCTCATGATTCAATTACCTCCCACCTAGTCCCTCTCACAACATGTGGGGATTATAGGAACTACAATTCAAGATGAGATTTGGGTGGGGACACAGCCAAACCATATCATTCCATCCCTGGTCCCTCCCAAATCTCATGTTCCTACATTTCAAAACACAATAATGCCCTCCTAATAGTACCACAAAGTCTGAACTTATTCCAGCATTAACTGAAAAGTCAGAGTCCAAAGTATCATCTGATACAAGGCAAGCCCCTTCCACCTATGAGTCTGCACAATAAATAACACATTAGTTCCTGCCTAGATACAACAGGGGTAGAGGCATTGGGCAAATACACCAGCTCCAAATGAGAGAAATTGGCCAAAACAAAAAGGCCATAGGCCTCATACAAGTCTGAAATCAAATAGGGCAGTCATTAAATCTTAAAGTTCCAAAATAGTCTCCTTTGACTCCATGGCTCATATCCACATCATGCTAATGCAAGAGGTGGGCTCCCACAGTCTTGGGCAGTTGCTCCCTTGTGGCTTTGCAGGATATAATCCCCCTCCTGGCTGCCCTCATGGGCTGGCGTTGAGTGCCTGCGGCTCTTCCAGGTGCATGGTGCAAGCTGTTGGTGGATCTACCATTCTGGGTCTAAAGGATGATGATGATGGTCCTCTTCTTACAGCTCCACTAGGCTTTCCCCAGTGGGACTCTGTGTGGGGGCTTCAAGCCTACATTTCTTTTCCACACTGCAGAGGTTCTCCATGAAGGCTCCATCCTTGCAGCAAACTTCTGCCTGGACATCCAGGCATGTCCAAGCATCTTCTGAAATCTTCATGGAGGTTCCCAAAATGCAAATATTGTCTTTTGTGCACCCACTGGACCAACCCCATGTGGCAGCTGCCAAGGCTTGGGGCTTGCACACTCTGAAGCAATGGCTCAAGATGTACCTTGGCCCCTTTTACCCATGGCTGGAGCTGAAGCAGCTAGGATACAGGGCACCATGTCCTGAGACTGCACAGAGCTGGATGCCCCTTGGCCTGGTCCACTAAAGGAGTTTTCCTATCTAGGCCTCCAGGCCTGCGATGGGAGGGGCTGCTGTGAAGGACTCTGACAGACCCTGAAGACATTTTCCCCATTGTCTTGGTGATTCACATTCGACTCCTCATTACTTACACAAATTGCTGAAGCAGGCTTGAATTTCTCCCCAAAAATGGGTTTTTCTTTTCTATTGCATCATTAGGCTGCAAATTTTCCAAACTTTTATGCTCTGCTTCTTCTTGAATGATTTGCTGCTTAGAAATTTCTCTTCCAGACATCCTAAATCATCTCTCTCAAGTTAAAAGTTTCACAGATCTCTAGGCAGGGGCAAAATGCTGCCAGTCTCTTTGCATAACAAGAGTGACCTTTACTCCAGTTTCCAACAAGTGCCTTATCTCCATCTGAGACCACCTCAGCCTGGACTTTATTGTCCATATTACTAACAGACTTTTGGCCAAAGCCATTCAAAAAGTCTCTAGGAAGTTCCAAACGTTCCCACATCTTCCTGTCCTTTGAGCCCTCCAAGTTTTAAGAAGTTTCAAACTTTCTCACATTTTCCTGTTTTCTTCTGAGCCCTCCAAACTGTTGCAACCTCTACCTGTTACCCAGTTCCAAAGTCACCTCCACATTTTTGGGTATTTTTGCAGCAGTGCCCTACTCTCTGTGGTACCAATTTACTGTATTCATTCTCATGTTGCTGGTGAAGACATACCTGAGACTGGGTGATTTGTAAAGAAAAGAGGTTTAATTGACTCAGCATGGCTGGGGAGGCCTCAGGAAGCTTATAATCATTGTGGAAGGGGAAGCAAACACGTCCTTCTTTTCATGGCAGCAGGAAAAAGATTAATGAGAGCTGAGCGAAGGCGAAAGCCCCATATAAAACCATCAGATCTCATTAAAACTTACTATCAGGAGAATAGCATGGGGAAAACCACACCCATGATTCCATTACCTCTCACTGGGTCCCTCTCACAACATGTGGAGATTATGGGAACTACAATTCAAGACTAGATATGGGTGAGAACACAGCCAACTCATATCAGCTATCAATTGATTCTTAAGGTTTTTAGTCATTCCTAGTACATATGCTGTTCTAAATAGGGTAATTTAATTAACATCCAAGAACAAGGTTTAATCCTCACATCAAGAGTAGTCTGACTATGAAGAGGAAAAGAATGTTCACCTGCTTGATTTCATTTCCTTTTTGTATACTCAGCAGGGTTCAGGAAATTGAACCACTGATGGTAACAAATTGAACATCTTTGAGTATCCGAGGATAACTCCCACATGATGATTCAGTGTTACACCAAACTGGGAAGATTCCAATTTAGAAAGTAACAGTAAACAATAGAGTATTCAATAGTGTTTGAAGAAAAAAAACTGTAAGGAGATACTTTCTTTAAACAGAGATAGAACAGATAAAATAAGGATACAGTTAAAGGGATTAATTAGGTTGAGTATTTAATTTGTTGGTATTGTTAACAAAATCAGACCATGTTGAAAAAAAGCTTAAACTGGAGAAGTATCAAGGGCATTGAATAAAGGTAAAGAAGAAAAGGGAAAAACTTGATAATTGACTGAATGTTTTCCTATTTAAGAAATCAGAAAATATTTAAAAATTAGCTTTATATAATACCTCTTAGCCTCAGATCTCTCATATTGAAACAAATTTTGAAAAGGAGAAATGGTAGGAAAAGGATGAGGAGAATGAGTAGGGGAAGGAGGAGAAGGAGGAGGAGGTGAGAAAGAGGAGGAGGAAAACACTGAAAATTAGAAAATATCAAAGAGAAATGATATAGTTTCTTTGACATTTTAATGTTTCCAGATGGCATTGATTTTGAAAGAGTTCCTAAATGCCCTTTTGAAATCTGATAAGAATTTCAGAAATGCAGTTTCTGTTTTCTTTCTTTTTGCCACTTTTAGTCTCACTACTCACCTCCACACTTCCAACACACACATAGGCATGCATGCACACACATACCCACACAGACTTACATGGCTGGAAAATATTTCTATTGCTTTAGAGTTAAATTTAGCTGACTTATAATTTTAAAAAATGAAACCTTATTTGTTCTTATGAATATAGACCTTGTCAACTGCTGGGGGGGAATGAAATTGCCTATGACATGACTGTAGATCTTTATGCTTTTTTGAACCATAAAGTATAATGAATAGTTGATAAAAATTTTATATGGATTAACCAGTTCACCTTGAATATTTATATTCATATTATAAACATTATATTTTAAAATAGGTTGTTTCATGGAAATAAAGCAGTGCATTTTTATTATAGAGTACTTGAAAAAAACAAAAAACATAAAGGATAATATCATAAATCACTATATAGAAATTACAACTTTTAGCGATTGATGTATTTCCTTCTAGCTAATTTTCTAGGCCTAAAGATTTATACATACCAATGAATGCATGCATACACACACGCACACACACAGACACACACTTTTCCCTTCCCTCCTCTTTGTCTCTCTTCCTCTGTCTCTCTGTCTCTATCTCTCAATCTGTCTCTCTCTATCCCTTCTTCTCCCCCACCCTTTCTTTTTTCTCTTTCCATCTTCCTTCCTTTCCTTACACATATGGCACTGGTCAAAGGTACTATTATTCCATATAAAACTAGGTAAAAATCAAAAACTAATTTTGCCAATTCTATTATTTTCAGGAAATGGATGATTTTATTTTTGAAATTAGTTACATTCATATTGAGGTTGTTGATGTAAACTTTGATACAAATATAATTTATAAAATTCTGTTAGATTTGGCTTATAATTACTATACGAAATCTACAGCTCATAGTTTCTTCAAGCTTACTCTGTAAAAAACTGAAGAGCCATCTATCATTATGTATTTGTATTCACAGTGATGAAGCAGAGAGCTCTCTCAGCACTTTTGGACAATAATTCTCTGTCACCAGGACTTGTTGCTCACTCAGGTGGAATTTAATGCTTATATATTTCAGGATTTCATCTGGAGAGAGAAAAATATAGAGACTATGCTATCTTTTAGAAACACAGCATTACCTTTCAGGTATGCATAGGGGAGTGATACAGTTTGAATGTTTGTCCTCATCCATATCTCATGTTGAATTGTAATCCCCAGTACAGGAGGTGGGACCTAGTGGGAGGAGATTTGAATCATGGGGGTGGATTTCTCATGAATGGTTTAGCACTATCCCCTTGGTGCTGTCCTCATGATTGTAATTTCTAATGAGACCTGGTTGTTGTAAAGTGTGGTGCTTCCACCTGCCCCACTTTATTTTGCTCCTGCTTTCTCCCTGTGGCATATCTGTTTCCCCTTCCCCTTGTGCCACTATTGAAAGCTCCTTGATGCTTCACTAGAAGCCAAAGAGATGTCAGCACCATGCTTCCTTTACTGTATGCTTCCATGCAGTAAAGCCTGCAGAACTACAAGCCAATTAAACCTCTTTTCTTTAAAAATTACCCAGCCTCAAGTATTTCTATGTAGAAATACAGGAACAACCTGACACAGAAATTTGGTACTGAGGAGTTGGGCATTAATATAAAGATAGCTGAACATGTAGAAGAGCCTTTGGAACTGGGTAACAGACAGATGTTGGAAAAGTTTGGGGGCTCAGAAGAAGACAGATGAGGGAAAGTTTGGAACTTCTCGGAGGGTGATTAAATAGTTGTGATCAAAATGGTGACAGTAATATGGACAGTGAAGGCTGGGTTGAGGAGGTCTCAGATGGAAAGAGGAACTTACTGGAACCTGGAGCAATAGTCACATATGTTATGTCCTAGCAAAAAGCTTGGTGCATTCTGTTCATGTCCTAGGGATCTGTGGAAGTTTGAACATCAGAGTGACAACCTAGGGCATCTGGTGGAAGAAGAGCCCATAAAAGTTTGGAAAATTTGCAGCCTTGCCATGTGGCAAAGAAAGAAAAAGTGCTTGCCCATGCCTATGTCCTGAATGGTATTGCCTAGGTTTTCTTCTAGGGTTTGTATGGTTTTAGGTCTAACATTTAAGTCTTTAATCCATCTTGAATTAATTTTTGTATAAGGTGTAAGGAAGGGATCCAGTTTCAGCTTTCTACATATGGCTAGCCAGTTTTGCCAGCACCATTTGTTAAATAGAGAATCCTTTCCCCATTTCTTGTTTTTGTCAGGTTTGTCAAAGATCAGATAGTTGTAGATGTTTGGTATTATTTCTGAGGGCTCTGTTCTGTTCCATTGGTCTATAAATTTTTGCAACCTACTCATCTGACAAAGGGCTAATATCCAGAATCTACAAAGAACTCAAACAAATTTACAAGAAAAAAACAAACAACCCCATCAAAAAGTGGGCAAAGGATATGAACAGACATTTCTCAAAAGAAGACATTTATGCAGCCAACAGACACATGAAAAAATGCTCATCATCACTGGCCATCAGAGAAATGCAAATCAAAACCACAATGAGATACCATCTCACACCAGTTAGAATGGCAATCATTAAAAAGTCAGGAAACAACAGGTGCTGGAGACGATGTGGAGAAGTAGGAACACTTTTACACTGTTGGTGGGACTGTAAACTAGTTCAACCATTGTGGAAGACTGTGGCGATTCCTCAGGGATCTAGAACTAGAAAGACCATTTGACCCAGCCATCCCATTACTAGGTATATACCCAGTATATGCTGCTATAAAGACACATGCACATGTATGTTTATTGCAGCACTACTCACAATAGCAAAGACTTGGAACCAACCCAAATGTCCAAATAGACTAGATTAAGAAAATGTGGCACATATACACCATGGAATACTATGCAGCCATAAAAAATGATGAGTTCATGTCCTTTGTAGGGACATGGATGAAGCCAGAAACCATCATTCTCAGCCAACTATCGCAAGGACAAAAAACCAAACACCGCATGTTCTCATTCATAGGTGAGAATTGAACAATGAGAACACTTGGACATAGGAGGGGGAACATCACACACCGGAGCCTGTTGTGGGGTGAGGGGAGGTGGGAGGGATAGCATTAGGAGATATACCTAATGTAAATGATGAGTTACTGGGTGCAGCACACCAACAAGGCACATGTATACATATGTAACAAACCTGCACGTTATGTGCATGTACCCTAGAACTTAAAGTATAATTAAAATATATATATATATATATATATATATATATATATATATATATATATATAAAGAAAAAATGGTTTGGGGAGAGGAATTCAAGCAGGCTGTGGATTAAGTACTCACTAGAGATATTTGTATAATTAAAAAGGAGCCAAGCGCTAATATCCAAACAATGAGGAAAAGGCCTCAAAGTTATTTCAGAGAACTTCACAGCAACCTCTCACCTCACAGGCCAGCCCAGAGGACTAGGAAAAAAGAATGAGTTTAGGAGCCAGGTTAAGGCCTACTGACCTGCACAGCCTTGGGACACTGCTACTCATATCCCAGCTGCTCTGGCTTCAGCCTCAGCTCAAAGGCGTCCAGGTACAGCTTTAGTCACTACTCCAGGGGTACAAGCCATTAGCTGTGGTGGCTTCCCCATGGTTTTAAGTCTGTAGGCATGCAGAGTATAAGAGTGAAGCAGGCTTAGCATCCTCCACTTGGATTTTAGAAGATTTATGAGAAAGGATGGATATCCAGGCAGAAGCCTGCTGCAGGGGTGGAGCCCTCACAGAGAACCTCTACTAGGGAAGAACAAATGGGAAATTTTGGGTTGGAAGCCCCAGAGAATCCCCACTAGGGCACTGCCTAGTGAAGATATGGGAAGGGGGCCAGTGTCCCCCAGACCCCAGAATGGTAGATTCACTGGCAGCTTGCAACCTACACCTGGAAAAGCTGCAGGCACTCAACAACCTATGAGAGCAGTCTTTGCAGCTGAACTCCACAAAGCTGCAGGAGTGGAGCTGCCCATGTTCTTGTGGGCCCAGCCCCTGCATCAGCATGCCTTAGATGTGACACATGGAGTCAAAGGATATTCTTTTGGAGCTTTAAGATTTAATGAGTGCCCTGCTGTGTTTCAAACTTGTGTGTGGCCTGCAGCCCCTTTGTTTTGGTTGATTTCTTCTTTTTGGAATGGGTATGTTTACCAATGCCAATACCCCCATTGTATCTTGGAAGTAAATAACCTGCCTTTGAATTTATATGTTCATGGGTGAAATTAAGTAATTTCCAGGTGAGACTTTGGACTTGGGACTTTTGAGTTAATTCTGGAATAAATTAAGACTTTGGGTGACAATTGGGAAGGCATGATTGTATTTCGCAATGGGAGAGGGATATGAGATTTGGGGTGGGGCAGGTGCAGAATGATATAGTTTGAATACTTGTCCCTGCCCAAATCTCATGTTGAATTGCAATCCCAAGTACTAGAGGTGGGACCTGGTAGGAGATGATTTGATCACGGGGGTGGATTTCTCATGAATGATTTAGCACCATCCCCTTGGTGCTATTTTCATGATGTGAGTGAGTTTTCATCAGATCTAGTTTTTGTAAAGTGTGGCACCTCCACCCCCACTCTCTCTCTTGGTCTTGCTTTCACCATGTAATGAGACTATCCCCCTTTGCCTTCTGTTATGATTGAAAGCTCCCTTAGGCCTCACCAGAAGCAGAACAGATTCCAAAGCCATGCTTCCTGTAAAGCCTGCAGATGGCAAACCAATTAAAACTCTTTTCTTTATAAATTACTTTCTCTCAAGTATTTCTTTACAGCAACACAAGAGTGGCCTAACCCGGGGAGATTTAGAGGGATGGGCCTTGCTGGATTAATGGAAATGATATTTTAGAATTACTGCCAAAATTTTTGAAAATCCTGGTTGAACCAGTGATGTTATTAAATCCAAGGAGTAGGTCTGATCCCCATGTTTCTGGATGATCTTCAGGGCAAACAGAGACGAGATATGCAGAGATGGGGCTAAATTTGTCAACAGGCCCATTCTATATGGAACTAAAAAAAATTTCTTATTTGATTTGGAACGGCACCCAGGACCTTAGAGTTACATGGACCCACATAAGTCAGTGGCATCTACTATGATATAGAAACTGCGAATGCTGTAGTTAAAACATCTTTGATGCAAATATTAATTACAGTTTCTGCCAGTCAACCTATTCTTCTAAGTAATATCACAAATTAATGTACCCTCACCCCTACTATAAAGCCAGTCCTATAAGGACTGTCCTGGTCATGGCTTAATGGACCAAGTAGGCACTTGAACTTTGAAAAACTTTGAAAAGACAATCTTTTATGTTCTCAAAAGTCTATGGTTCCTTCTTATTTTGCTATATGAGTTAGGTCAATTGGTTTAATCTCTTTTTTTTTTTGCAGTATGTATTAGGGAACATGAAGAAAATCTGCAGTTATCACTAACAGCTGAAGCTGATGATAGGCTTGAATAAAAGAAATGTAGGAAGCAGTGCAGTTTGCCTCAACAATATAAAAACAACCCAAGAATATATCCTCATAAAGCATAGGCGTGGACTCTGTTATTGACTGAGTTGTGTCCTCCCCGAACTTTATGTTGAAGCCTAACTCCCAATGTGACTCTACTTGGAGATATGCCCTTTAAAGAGGCATTTTTGGTTAAATGAGGTTGTACAGGTGAGGCCCTAATCCAGCATGACTGGTGTCCTGATAAGAGGAACAGACACCAAGGGATGTGCATACACAGAGGAAAAGGACATGTGAAGACATGACAAGACAAGAGGCATCTGCACGTCAAGGAGAGAGGCCCCCAGAGAAACCACACCTGCCAACACCCTCCTGAAATTAAACTTCAAAACTGTGAGAAATACATTTCTGTTTCTTAAGCCACCCAGTATTTAGTATTTTGTTATGGCATCTCTAACCAGAACCCTGACTAATGCAGACCCTAATAATGGGCATCAACAAATTAAGATTTGTATATGGATTATATGATGAGTTTTTGTTCTGCCATTAATTACCAGAGTGATTTATGGGAAGGTATTTAATCTCTATGGGTCATATTTTCCTGACCTTTGATGAAGGATGAAAAAAGAACTAAAAAAATCTGTAAAATAGACACAAGTTTAAATGTAATGGTAATAAAGACATTCCCAATTATGCCAACCAACTGAGGTTTTCTACTTTCTTGGTACATGCATTTAACAGATCTCATCACTCACTACAGGATAAATATCCAGTTATATGGTTTGTTCTTGACTGACACATGTATATTTGGATTTCACCAATTGACCTATAAGAGTCTTAGGGGAAGATTCCAATTTATGCATTTAGGTAGTCATTTAAGAAATATTTATTAAACATTTATATGAGGTACTGTTGATGTTGACAATAAAATTATAAAGAAGGTATATATGACACCTTCCCTCATGGTATAGACTCACCAGCAAAATTATACAAGTTAATTAAAAAAATAGCAACTAACAAAATATAAAAACATAATATTTGTTTAGTGGACATTTGAAAAAGAAGTGCATTTTATGCTAGAGTTCACAGGAAGGTCTTTCCTTCCTCCAGTTTAGAAGATGAACTAATTTAGAAGATGAACTGATAATCTAAGGCATACACCAGGAGCACAATTTGTTCATGTATTGAAAATCAGTGGTGAGATTCCTCTGGTTGGGGTCAGCCCTAGCCACCATGATTCAATAATTGCTATAAGGCCATCTGCTCAAAAATCTGCAGGCTTTACTTGCCATAGGTCATCCTTTAAGATAAATTGACTTGCTCAGTGGAACAAAAGGGATTTCAGGGTCATGTATATCTGTTTTAGAGTCCATAAAGAACAATCCGAACTTACTTAAGTTACATAAAATTCTAGAGCTTCAGTTTCCAATCTACCTTGTACTGTTATGAGAATTACAGATAATATACACAAAAACTCCAAGCAAAATAACATTGAGTAGACACATAAAGTTTTTATTATTATAATTTTGTGTCAAAGCAAAATTGGCAAAATTATTTTTAATGATTAATTGTGGCTTCCTGGTGTACTATCTTGAGAACAATTATGAGTGTGCGATTTCACTCATCAAGAGCCATCACCATAGTAAATAAGGAATTTATGGCGTAGGCATCAGGGAAAGAAGCTGCAACCTGAGTCCTATTTAACTGCCATCCTCATATTTAAAACTCTTAATCAAAAGAGGAAATGGGAAATGGAGGGAGTACTGTACAACTCCATTAATTCCCCTGAATCCATGAATCCATACACTAAGTCTAAAGAACTGGAAACTGTGCAGTCATTATGACATAAATATCAGAAATCTCTGAAGGAGAGAAAAGAACAAAAAGCATTTTTAGAAGTCTAGAACAGGGTTTACCACCCACAGGCAGAGGCAGAATATAATTAATTGTAAAGAGTGAAGGTAACAATCTTAAATAAAGAGTTTGTTGCAAAAAGAAACCAGAGTGTCAAAAAACTAAAGATGAAAATTTATTGGTGGTTTTGTAAAGGGCGCCTCCTTTCTTCCTTGGGACAGGTTCATAGTAATTGGAACAATATTTTCAAAAATATTAGCTTCTAAATCATAAGGGCAATAAGCACCAAAGTTGGCAGCTGACACAAGAAGCCTAATTACATCTTTTTGCTTCTTCTTCACAATAAGTATATTTATTGCAAATGTTCTCTACTCTTTTTGCCTGAGACTCATAAGAGGGAAGCATAAACAGAAGTTCGACTAAATCCTGATAATTACATCATCAATTATATTACAGAAGGCAATTAAATCACATTTCTGTGTTGAATGCAATTATGTTTTATTAAAAATATTACAAAAAAGAATAGGTCTCTTCCAAATGCTGTTTGCTTTTGTTCTGCTACCATATAGGACAAAGCCTGGAAAAATAAAATGACATCAGATTTTTGAAATGAAAAATTAACCTAACATTCCCCAAATTGCTGTAAATATAGAACCTTGCAAAAGCACTCACAAATCTATCTTTCCTCAAGGCACCGGAATTCTTAACAAATACTTATTAAGAATCTGTGTACCTTTCATTTCCAAGAATAGCTATTCATTATCCAGGCTTTAAGCACTAACCTCCGATATAGTTAAATTAGTATTGAAATGAAGTTAAACTGGCTTTTCCTGACTCCTGGAAACCAAGTATAAAATGTTGTCACATGCTGAGTATAAAGTTAAATAGAATAAAATTTAGAGGTGACGGACTTACACACCTAATGCACGAACTTCTCTGAATATGCAACTAGAACCAATTCAAAATGCTCATTTCTACAAAGACGTCAGGTTATCCACGTAATAACAGTAGGTATGTCACAAACATTCTTATCACTTGTCCATCTATCCTCCAAACTCCACTAAAATGAGTAAGTATACAAATAGTTTTAATCCATGAAGTTAAAACATGATTTGATAATGTTGAGAGATATGAATAAACTTTTAGAACACATAAGGTAACAAAGAAAATTGACAAAGTAGAGCAGAGAAAGCTTCGAATAAAAACATGCAGAGAGGATTCCATGAGACCTTTACTAAGCGGTTCAGCATACAGATGATATAATTCACCATAGAAAGCTGGGTGACAACTAGACCTAAAAGTAGACAGGCATTCTGTCTACAGAGAGGTTGATCCACCAGGTCCCTCTCCTGCCACAAAGGGATGATGTGAGGCACAGGAATAAACTAAGTCGGATTAAATGAGGCCCTACCTAATATAAATTATAGTCTCAGTCTTTTCTCACTGTTCTCAGTAGAATGCCAACACCCCTTTGTATTTTCTACTTCCCCACCATCTTAGCAAGGGAATTTTTAAAAATCTCTATCTGATCACGCTGCAGGGAAGTACATCAGGAACCAGACCCAGCCCACAGACATTCTGGGTAGCATTTTAGAACCTCAGTTCAGCCATGGATCCATGAATATTTAAGAAAGACTGCAAAGTGAAAGACAGAGGGAAAACCATATATAGTTAAAAAGAACCAGGAGGCAACAAAAGCAATGCAGTAAGTGGAAAAAAAAAGGGCGGGGGGGTTGGGGGAAGCAGTGAAGAAAAAAAAACTTATAAAAAGGAAAAAATGTCAATGAAAATTCTTACAGAAATTTAAAAAACACTAGAAGATTTTGTATTCATAAATCAAAATAGGATAATGGGAATAACAAATAGAGAATAAGTAGATATTAGAACTTATATTATTCATATATTAATATAGTTTGTAATTTACATATAAATATAAAATTTATGTTGATTTACATAATTTATATGTAAGTTCCAATATATGCATACATTTATATATAAATAAAAATTTACACACACACACACACACACACACTAGTCTGACATAGTTCCACTCTGACCAAGATGTAAAACTGGGAACTAGATATACCTTCCCATCTGAAGTAATGGTTTGCAAGAAAATAGAGATTAGCCGCTAACAGATAATAATCTGTGAGAGATGGGTAACAAATGAGGCCATCCCTATGATTCTGTCAGTTTATTGCCTTTAGTTTCCAGGACATTGTGCACTGAGAGGAAATCCAAATGGGGTTCAGCAGACTCCCTGGGTAGAGGAGACAGAGAAGAGACTCTAAGGAGACCAAGGTGCACAGTGTTTGCAGGATAGAGTTACCAGAAAGGAGACAGCTGCATAGAGGGAGAACTCTAGAGATCTGCAAGGTCCCCTTAAGTTGTCAGAATAGCATTGATCAGTATATACATGTACATACGTGTATGATCAGTACATACATGTGAAACTTCTTGAGCCCAGAGAAAGAACCATCCACCAAAAAATTAGAGATTGCTGTACTGTACATGGTGCTCACACTTCAGGGAATACTGCCTTTTCCAATTAGGCAAACTAGGAGCACTGAAGATTCATGAGACCCCAAAAAAGCCTTGTCTCCATAGTGAGAAATAACCAGATTGAGCACTATCCTGGTCCCACCTCACAGAACTTAAAAGCAAGAAATAAAAGCATCATCTGTTGCCAAGCTAATTTGACTGCCTTCTAGAACAGTGCTTGAGGATATTCATAGCAATATAAAAATTTCCAGCATTCTACAAGGTAAAACTGCTAGTGCCTGGTTTCCAATATAAAATTTTTAGACATTCAAAGCACCAGAAAAATTTGAAATCTAATGACAAGATAATTAATCAAAGTTGAACCAGAACTAACAGATATGGTAACATGAACACATAAAGACATTAAAATAGTTATAACTGTACTCCACCATATGTTCATGAAGTTAAGAAGAAACATGGAAGACATTTTTTAAGAGACCCAAATTTTTACTTCTAGAAGTGAAAACAAAATTTTATGAGAAAAACCATACACTGGATAGGATTAATGACAATTGTGGAAGAAAGAAAACGTTGGTGAATTTGAACATATAGCAAGAAAAACAATCCAAAATTAAAGATGAAAAATTTTAAAAAGAGCATGAGTGGACTGAAGGAAAACTTCATATAGCTTAATACATGTGTAACCAGAGACCACAAAAGGGAAGGGGGATATTAAAAAACTAGTGGCCGAAAGCATTTCAAAAATGTAATGAAAACTGTACACCCACATATTTAAGAAGGCTAAGAAACTCCAAACACAATACACATAAAAATTATAAAAGTAAAAAATATAATTGTAAGTAAAAAAAAATTATGATGGTCAATTCTCCCAAATTAATCTGTATAGGCAATACAATCCCAATAAAAATCCCAACAGGATTTTAAGAGTTAAAATTGTGGCCGGGCGCGGTGGCTTATGCCTGTCATCCCAGCACGTTGGGAGGCCGACGCAGGTGGATCACGAGGTCAAGAGATCAAGGCCATTCTGGCCAACATGGTGAAACCCCGTCTCTACTAAAAATACAAAAATTAGCCGTGCGTGGTGGCGTGTGCCTTTAGTCCCAGCTACTCAGGACGCTGAGGCAGGAGAATCGCTTGAACCCAGGAGGCGGAGGTTGCAGTGAGCTGAGATGGCGCCGCTGCACTCCAGCCTGACGACAGAGTGAGACTCCATCTCAAAAAAAAAAAAAAAAAAAAGTTGAAATTGTATTCTAAGCTTCATGTAAAAAACACAGAATAGCTAAAAAGACATTAAAATAACAAATTTGAAGTATTGCTAAATGATTTCAATATTTTCTATAAAGCTACCGTATGAAGTTGTTATAAAGATTGACAAGTAGACTAATGAAACAGAAACAGCCCAGTAACAGATCCACATACACAGGGACAATTGATTTTTGACAAATTGCAAAGGCAATTCAGGAGAAAAGGACATTCTGTTCAAAACATGTCAAAACATTTGCACAGTCATATGACAAAAAACATTCTGATCCATATATTACTTAAGATATTTATGCAAAATGAATAACAGTTATGAATGCAATACCTACATAAAATGATGAAAAAACTTCTAGAAAGAAACATAAAGGGAAACATTTGTGACACTCAGTTATAAAAATATATTTTAATACAAATCAATGATCCATAAAAGAAAAGAAAAAATTCTACTTCATCAAAATTAGAAACATTTTCTCTATAAAATACCCTGTTAATAGGATGAAAAGACAAGCTACAGACTGGGAGAAAGGATTTGCAAATCTTATACCTGGTGAACAACTTGTAGCAATAATATAAAATGAACATTCAAAACTCAACACTGATGACCTGATTTAAAAAAAAAACAGAAAAAATTGAAAAGATACATTATGAAGGATGATGTATGGATGTCAAATAAATGCAACATAATGAGTCATTAGGAAAATTCAAATAAAAACCACAATAGGATACCACCACTGTGCACTTATTAGAATACTAACATTTGTATGTAGTGAGTGAGTTTATAAAGAAACTAGAAGTCTCATATTTACTGTTAGAATGAAAATTGAGAAAACCATGTTGAAAATAAGTCTGACACTTTCTTAAAAAGTTAATCATACACCTAGAATATAATCCAGTCATTCCATGCCCAAGTATTTAACCAAGATAAAGGAAATCATATGTCCATACTAAGATTTGTACTCAATGTTCACAGCAGCTTTACTTGTAATAGCTGCCAAACTGGAAACAACGGAAATGACCATCAAAGGTGAATGGATAAGCAATATTTTGTATATCCATATTTGTAGGCTGAATAATCCAAGTCCTAACTCCCAAAACCTGTGAATTAACCTTATATAGCAAAAGGGACTTTGTAGATGTGATTTAAGTTAAGGCTCTTGAGATGGGGAGACTGTCCTAGATATATGAGTAGGCCATTAATATAATTTCCAATGTCCTTATAAGCTGGAGCAGAAGAGAAATTTGACTACAAATCAGAAGGCCATTTGGTAACAGAAGCAGGAATTGGAGTGATACACCTTGAAAATATAAGGAAGCAGCCACAAGTTAAAAATACAGGCAGCCACTAGAAGTTGAAAAAGGCAGGAAAATGGATTCTCCCCTTAGAGCCTCCAGAAAGAACCAGCTGTAGCAACAATTTGACTTTAACCAAGTGAAATTCATTTTGGACTTCAATCTCCAGAAATGTAAGAGAATAAATGTACTGTTTAATTCACTAATTTGTGGTAGTTTCTTGCAGTAGCAAAAGAAATTGAATACACAATATAATAGAATAATCAACAATGAAAAATAATGAGCAATTCATATATACAACATAAATGTAAAAAGCATTATATTGAGTGAAATAAAAGGATAAAAAACAATATATACTGTATTATGTCACTTATGTAAAATTCTAGAAAATGCAAAGCAATCTATAGTGACAGAAGCATACTAGTGGACACCTAGCAGATATAAGAGAGAGGGAGGGACAGAACAGAGGCATAAAGGTACATAAAGAAACTTTTAGGGATGAGCTATAATTTCATTATCTTGATTGTGATTGTGGTTTCATGGGTGCATACATATGTCGAATCTTACCAGATATATACTTTTAAGTACGTGTAGTTTACAATTTGTGCTCAATAATCTAAATTACTTACATATGTATCTAGGAGGTTGTATATAGAGCATACACACATATGTGTGTAGATACATATATATTTATTTCATTTGGAATATATAGATGAGTGGAATAAAAAGAAAAAAGACAAATAGGTGAAAAATGAGAGAATATCATAAAAAATCAAAACACAAACCATGAATTCTAACATTTACTTTATAGTAGCATGAGAAAGGAAATGGATAAAATTAAAAATTTGAGAATTGTTATAAAAATAATACAAAGAAAACCTCCTACAACCAAAGGATATCCATTTATAGATTGGAAAGAAGTTGCTCACAAAGTGGTCAACATAATGAACAACTAGGAGAACCATGCCAAGAATCAGCATTATGAATTTTCGGCGGGGGCTTGGCACGGTGGCTCACGCCTGTAATCCCAGCACTTTGGGAGGCCAAGGCGGACGGATCACCTGAGGTCAGAAGTTCGAGACCAGGCTGGTCAACATGGTGAAACCCCGTCTCTACTAAATATACAAAAATTAGCCAGGCGTGGTGGGGGGCGCCTGTAATCCCAGCTACTCGGGAGGCTGAGGCAGAAGAATCGCTTGTATCTGGGAGGCGGAGGTTGCAGTGAGCTGAGATCATGCTATTGCACTCCATCCTGGGCAAAGAGAGTGAAACTTCATCTCAAAAAAAAAAGAAAGAAAGAAAGAAAGAAATTTCAGGATACCAAATTAAAGACAAGACCCCAACAGTGTAGAACGGTTGTGGATGAATGAGTTCTTTCAGAGAAAAAACAAAAGAAAGTGAAATGAAATAAACAGTTACAAAAGAAAGTATGATCCAGAATGATATTAGACTCTTTAAACATAAATTTTTCTGCTGGAAGTCAGCAGCAGAATAATGCTATAAAAGTGATGAAAGGAAAAAAAATCCATCTTAGAATTCTTTATCCAGTCAAATTATCATTCAACTTACATAAATGTAAAAAAAGACATTTTATGATATGCAAAGGCTCAAAAAATCAACTCTTCACTGTTTTTCAATAAGCTGCTGGAGAACATGTCTCAGTAAAACAGGGAGCAAAGAAACTGAAAGACACGGGATCAAGAAAAGAGCCCTAATACAAGAAAATCAGACAGTGAAGTCCCAATATGACACATTGGCACTAGTTCAGAAAGCTAAAAACTCTTCACTGGAGCAGAATGAGACAGATAAGATGAAGGGGCATCTTCAGAGGGAGAAAAAAAAAAAGAGTTACAATTTCATGAGCTTGAGTACAAGAAAACATTATTGCTAGGCCTTTAGTAAATTGCTTTTGAACACTAAAACAAATTATGGAAGAATTACAAGGAATATAAAATACATTTTTAAGAAATTTAAAAAAAAAAATCTTACCTGAGGAGAAATCAATCTTAGGATACCACCTGACTTCTATTTGACTATACATTAAACAATTTTAATATGAAAATAATATAAACATTGACTAAACAAAGTTGATACTTATTTACTGAGGAAACAAGGAAAGAGGAATTGTGGAGGTAATATGAAAAGTTAAATTTCAAATAATTCAACAGGAAATTAATGATAACTAAATTTAACAAATAAATTGCAACATAAGTATACAATTTAGAAATATGGAAGAATGTACCAGAAAAAAAATAGAGCTAAAGAGGCTGCTTCTGGGGACAGGGCCTGGGAAGTGCAAAGTGGTGGGACAGGATATACTGGAAGGTTTTTGTTTATTTGTTTTTTGTCTTTGTCATTATGTCATTATTTTGTGATGGCTTTATTGAGGTATGATTGACATTTAAGAAGATATATTTAATGCATACAAATTGATGTGCTTGGAGAAAAGAATGCACCTGTGAAACTATCAAGCCATCATCACTATCCAGTGTCCTGAATTTATTCATCACCTCCAAAAGTTTTCCTTCTCTCCCTTTTGTTTTTCACTTTTATGGAAAGAAGAGCAAATTTTTAAGTCTACAATACAGTATTGTTAATCTTAGGCTCTATATGTCATAGTAGATATCCAGATTTTTTCAATTCTGTACGTTACATTAATTTGTTAAGTGTTTAATGAGAAATCAGCAACTGTTGTCTTAGCAATACCTCCTAATTAGTACCAATCTGCATAAGCCTCTAATCACCTGCTGAATCACTTATTTTCAGCAAAATATCTTTTATGGCCAAAAGAAAAAGGAACTAAATAAAATATTTTAATAGAGGTCTAGATTTCATCACCCTTGCATTTCAACTTTTCAAAAGTAATATAAAAATTAAATATCAACTGTGTGTCAGGCAATGATTTCAATTTTGGTGATAT
The DNA here is from genome assembly GCF_000001405.40 of Homo sapiens. Classification (NCBI taxonomy): domain Eukaryota; kingdom Metazoa; phylum Chordata; class Mammalia; order Primates; family Hominidae; genus Homo; species Homo sapiens. The sequence continues at coordinate 26,353,936 of NC_000011.10, read as the reverse complement.
AAAGATAAATGAGAATGTGTTCTTCAACTTGTTAAAATTGGTAGTGACAGACAAGTAAAAAGGAATTGAGGCCCGGCGCGGTGGCTCATGCCTGTAATCCCAGCCCTGTGGGAGGCTGAGGCAGGCGGATCACGAGGTCAGGAGATCGAGATCATCCTGGCCAACATGATGAAACGCTGTCTCTACTAAAAAATGTAAAAATTAGCCTGACGCGGTGGCGCATGTCTGTAATCCCAGCTACTCGGGGGGCTGAGGCAGGAGAAGCAGTTGTACCAGGCAGTCGGAATTTGCAGTGAGCCAAGATCGCGCCACTGCACTCCAGCCTGGCGACAGCGAGATTCCATCCAAAGAAAGAAAGGAAGGAACGAAGGGAAGAAAGGAATTGAAGGGAGGAAGGAATTGAAGTGAGGAACGTGGCTGAGATTAGCCTTGAAGAAATTTGAAAAATTGGATAGATTCCAAGTAAGACAGAAATAATACAGTGTGGTCACAGGAGAATAAAAACTCCAGGCAGCAGTTCCACATGACTAACAAAAAGGAAACTATTGAAATAGCTGCATAAGGTAGGGGACGATAAGACCCTGAAAAACAGAATGTGGGCTAAGCTGGCTAAGACCAACTGGACCAAACGTATCACTGGATTTGACCTAGGTTTCACCTAGGATGTCATTATACACTCATCAACATACCAAATCCCACACCCACCAGCACCATTAACAGTCCAGGAACACCTATATTTGGTGTAAAAATGGGTGGCACCACAGTTCTAAGAAATCATCTTTTCCCAGGAGTCTTCATGAATATTCCACCTCGTGATTAAAGAAACCCATAAAGACAGACGCTCCAAACCCCGTTGGGCATGATCCTCTGTCCTGCATACACTTGTACTCCCCTTTCTTGAGTGTGTACTTTTACTTTGCAATAAATCTCTGTACTTTCACTATTTTATGACTCATTTTTGAGTTATTTCTTGTGATGGTGTCAAGAGGGGGTCGAGTTCATATCAGTGTTTGGTGACCTCCCCTAGCCCACTGATATGGTAAGCTTATTGAAAACTTCTTGGACTGACAAATGTAATCAAGGTAATAATAAAGAAAGGTGTCAATGATCTAATATGTATTGAACCATCAGGCATAGGCAAGGCCATTAGTAGAATTACAACCAGAATACATACCTACAAAATAACTGAAGAAGTTGTAAGTCAACAAACTAGTGATAGGGCAAACAAAGAAAGCAAAGAGAATGGTAAAGAAACATACAATCTACGTAGCATAAAAACAAAATGAAAGAAGGAAAAGTCACATTCATTTTGATAAATATTTATGTACTGGCAAAGATCTTCAATCTATAAGAATATTCTAGGAAACTGCTTCTTAAGGACAAGCATCTAATTCCCCCATCTGAAATTCTGAAGGAAAATTGTCAAAAAGATCCAGGGGAAGAGAGGGAGTAAATGAGTGAATCTTCATTTCTACCTCAGTGCTGGAAGCTAGGAAAGAGTTACATACGAGGCCAGCCCAGAATCTAGACCCTACAAAATAAAATATATTTTAAAAATAAAAAAATAAAATATAGACAGGATCTTCAATGTTCTCTTAAATAAAAACTCACTGCCTTCAGTTCCCAGCCTCCAGCTAGATCTCAAGGTGGATGACTATTTGCTCTAAGTTTACCTGCCAGTTCAGCGACAGGGTCGTGAGGTAACTTGAGGAAGAAATGAGTTCTTGGGTAGTAAAGACTTGTTTTTTAGTCAGTACTTGGTTTGTTCAGTCTGCTATGCCTCTAGACCCAGTTACTAATGAAAATTTATTTTTGTCTAGCTTCTACTTTACACATATTGTATGTTTTTATCTAATTTATTCCTGTTTCTCTTTCCTACTGCATCGAGGTAAGCCCAGTAGGATCAATGAAAAATCCCAACTCCAGCTGGATTTCTATTTCGTATGGACACAGTTGCCCTGGGCTATTGCTACTTGGCTGTTAATACATAGGGATGAAAGGATGCCAAACAGTCCCTTTGTCAGCCCTCTCTACCTGTCTTTGCATTTTCAATCAAGGGATATTAGTGCGGTCAAACTAGGATCCTGTTAAATTAAATTTAGCCTAACACTGTTTCCTTGTAAGTTCAGCCTAAACATTTCCCCATACATAGTGAACTGTAACCTAACTGGATGTGTAAACAGACTGTAAACTACTCTTTTACCAATCACCAAGTTTCAACCAATGAAAGGTGGCAAACCGTTCAAATTGTGTTTAAATAAGGCAAACACCATGCTATAACCAATTCAGCTGCTTCTGTACCTCACTTGTGTTTTCTGGAAGCCATTTTCCTTTTTCTGTCTATAAATTCTCTATGACCATGACGCACAGAATCTTTCCCTCAAGGATGATAATCAGAAATTAAGTTATAGGAGCAAGGAAAATGCTTCTTTTTTAAATAAACAGAAATAGTATGTTTGGAAAGTTGCAGAAGAGTAAAACTTTTAACAGAACACATTACAATTAAACAATAAAATATATTTTAAAAATGAAAAAATAAAATATAGACAGGATCTTCAAGGTTCTCTTAAATAAAAATAACATTCTCAAAAAATTAAGTAACACCACATTAAGATAAAAACAGAGCAGGGTAAGTTAAAAACGTGATTTAGGGTCACATATAACTTGGCAGATATTCAAACTGTTGAAGAAAAAAATAGAATGTACCCATGGAAAAACTGAATTATTGATATAGAAGACCATCTTAAGCAGCATTATCAGTATGTAGAGAAAAAAGGCAAAAATTAAGACAACAAATAAACATTATTGATTTAGAATGTGTATATCTCTGAATTTATACAATTAATTGTGATGGTTGAACAAAGAGGTATCTGAAGGTATCAGAAATAATAATTAAAGCATTACTAGGATAAATTTGCTGGACTGACAACACTGTACAGCTCAAAAGTTCTCCCTACATATCAGGCAAAAATGATAGATTCAGTACTCATATATAATTGCTGGAAATTAGATTTCATTGCTAATGAGAAAACCTACAAGAATTTGGGCAGAAAAGAGCACCTTACCCCTAATAAAGAAATATAAGGCTAAATTTAGACTTACCTTTCACAGTATTGAATTTCAGAAGATTATGGAAAAGTTATGTTGAGAAAAAAATTATTCCTAACTTTAGTAGAGTTAAAATTTTTCATTCACATATGAAGGTAACAAAAATGTATTCAATTAGGTATATTTGTGTATTTTCTGAAAAAAAATCACAACGTTGTACTCTTTGCAACTGAGTCATTATATCAAAATATATATAACTAAAATATGGAAACTTTAAAAAAGATTGAACACTGATTCACTTAAACACAGAATTAAGCCTAAGTAAACTGGAAATAGATTAAATAGATTAAAGTCAGAATCTAAATACAAATTGTTGAAGGTTTTAAACAAATTGTTGCAGGTACAGTTTTAAAAAGAAACAATTTCAAAGTTTTTCAACTTTTCTACAATAATCATGTGTTATTTGAAAACTAGAAAACAAAAATATAGATCATGTGCAAATATAATTGCACAAATATATTTCCCCCTAAGCAGCCTCTTTAGACTTGGTGAATAGCTAGAGTCTCTAATAGGTCCCAGCCCAGCAAGCCCATACTTGTGCGGGGCCCACCACACTACTCGTGCTGATGGGTGTTTCCTGACTAGTTTCACTCATGCCTCCCAAAGGAGAATGGACATGACTTTTACCCACAGTCCTCCTAAAGAAATTCGGAAATTGAGTTCCTGGTATCAATAGTTGAATTGGCTTCTAAAATTTGGGTTGCATTTGTCGGTTTCTCCACATAGATCTGTTTCTTTCTTCTCCCCCTTCCGTTCCTGTCTCCTCCCCCTTCCGTTCCTGTCTCCTCCCCAACTCTCCTTTCCCGTCTCTTTCAGATTAATGATTTCTAAGGGGAAGGGGGAAATGCCAGGGGACATCTGCTCCTCCATGCAAGGAGGTCACTGTACTCAGCCTTCAGTTTCTGCTACTGTCAAGGCTCTTCCTAACACTATGGAAGATTCCTTCTTCTCTGGCTCATTAGCTCCTTTAAAACAATTCTCGGCCGGGCGTGGTAGCTCACGCCTGTAATCCCAGCACTTTGGGAGGCCGAGGCGGGCGGATCACGAGGTCAGGAGATCGAGACCATCCTGGCTAACACAGTGAAACCCCGTCTCTACTAAAAATACAAAAAATTAGCCGGGCTCGGTGGCGGGCGCCTGAGGTCCCAGCTACTCCGGAGGCTGAGGCAGGAGAATGGCGTGAACCCGGGAGGCGGAGCTTGCAGTGAGCTGAGATCGCGCCACTGCACTCCAGCCTGGGCAACAGAGCAAGACTCTGTCTCAAAAAAACAAAAAAACAAAAACAAACAAACAATAACAATTCTCATTTCTCAAGTGACTTATAATAGTATGTAGCAGTTTCTGCCAAATAGTGGCATCATTTATTAGGGCACATGTGAAAATGCTGATATTGATAATAATAATTCTATATACTTGAGACATGTGTGAATGATTTTTATATATTTTTGATGTTATGCACTGTAAACATTTGCACAAGTTTAAGGCATTATTAGAACAACTTTAAATTACCTGTTTTTACTTTAATTTCAATGGTTAAGTTTCAGAAGTAATATCTAAACTTAGATTTTACATTTGAATGTTATTTTAAAGCTCAGCCTTAAAGGTCAAACTGTAAGCTATGTAAGGATTAAGGTGCCTGCTACAAATTAAAAGAAATTATTTTAACTGAGTTGCGATCAATTACTAGTGTGTAAGTCAATCAGTAAATAATATTTTTCATTAACACAAAAATCATCCATGTAGTAATAAGAAGCCCATGACATTTTCTTTCAAAGAGTCTCATAAACCTCTGTGCTTACGTGAACAATCATAAGTCCTCCCTGGTAACAAGTTTCGAAATGAAGCCAAACAAGCAAAAACTCAACAATTTCACAACATCAACCACAACCTTTTCCCAAAAAACCATTTCCTCATCTTAGGCAAGGGTTCTTCTTTCCCACATGACTGTATTACCTGGTGTACACCCCGTCAGTGTCCTTATTACACTCCACTGTTAATGTATGTTTCCCCAACAGTTTCACCATAAGAATGTGACGTCTTGGGAGAGCAAATAACATTTCTGATGTTTTTTACCACAACCCTTGTACCTTCCACAGTGCCTTGTAAAATTTGTTGAATGAGTAAATAAAATAAATGAGTGCTTTTGCTATGTTTCAAGATTCATCCAAAACCTGATCTTCAAGAAGTCTGAGGGGTTAACCATAAACATGTGATAAGTAAAAGTTAGGTTAAAAGGTTTATTTAATGTCTGTTATAATCATTGCTGTGATCCTCTTAAGGACAGGAATTTATTGGCCATCTTTATAATATTAAGCTTAACTTAGCTTATAGATTCTAAATTTTAGAATGTAAAATATGGTAAGAGTTCCATCAATATTTGGTAAAAGAAGCCCATTATCGATACCCAGGCCAGAACTCCATAAGCATGGCATTAATGTCTCAGAGATTCTTGAAGGAAGGTCATATGCCTTTCATGGTATTAGAGGTTTAATGTATATAACATGAACTTTAAATACACATGAGAAGATTACTTTCTATTTGACAAAAAGTATCAGTACTGTTGTGGTTATAAGTTATGCTTAATTATTTGTTCAAAACATATCTAACTTCGTAAAGAATTTAAGGCATAATATATTTAAGTGGTGATAATTTCAGATGTATGCTTCTTTCAAAATCAGGATCAGGAATAAAGTAAGAGGAGGAAAGAAAAGAGGGAAAGTATTATTGAAAAATAAGCCATATGTTAGAAGAAATAGGGAAGACATGATATTAAAGACAAAATGAGTGAAATTTTTTGAGGTGGATATTTTCGAGCTGGGAAAACATTTATACCTTTTTTCTTCACCTTTGCAAAGAGTACCCAATGGGCAAGCCAAGGAGGATTACTGATCAATCATAACCAGGGCCTCTTGGGCCAGGACCCTTTTCTTGCTCTCTGTAAAACACATGATGTTGTACAAGGTTTTCAAGTAAAGCAAATAATACCTAGAGTTTTAAAATATAAAGTAAGCAATACCTGGATTACTGATTAGTTTTGTAACTACATCATAAGATGCTATTCCAAACTTTTTTGCCTTCCTGTAATTGCTCTTTCATTTTCTTTTGTCTATGCCTTCTCTCTCTCTCAAGTGCTAATAAAAATCAGAAAAATTTACCACCCTGTCCTTAAAGAATTAATAAGGACGGGCCATGTGCCCATAGTAGAGTGTAAAGGAAAGAAGTGATGTTGACTAATTTTCACCATGGGAACAAGCAGAGATATATTCCTGATTCTATAATTAATTTGACAGAACGATTTCATTTTCACATGAACTCCTTCCTGAGATTACCATGTGAAGTATTTTGAAGTCTGGTCTTGTCTCAGAGAAAAGGGGGCATGATCAGCTGGAACACAGATAGTCACCTTCCCTGCTTTACAGCATCAGTACTACTTGCTAGATATCCAATAAATATCTGTTGTTTGTCATAATTGGATTAATAGTTTTGATAATCAAGAAACGTTAACTTCAACATTGTTAAATAGTTATTAGCTGCCAGCTCTGTGGCAGGCACTTCACTGGTCCTAGGAATTGTGCCGATTGATTCAAATATATCACCATATTTAATCCCCATGGCAACCATATGAAGCACGTGTTATTTTACACATGTAAGAGTCCAGTTTTAGATAATGTTTGAAGCAGTCAAAATGACACAGCTATTAAGTGATGGAGCGAGAATTTGAAGCTTTGTATGCAACTACCATCTTACATTACCTCCTAACAAGAATTAGATACTCTGAAATTTTATTAAAATACTTCCAAAACATAAATATGGGCAGCACATTTTGGATTTCAGTGCTGGATCAGCTCCCAGGAGTTTATTCCAAAGATAAGAATGGCAATGGCTGTGTATAAAACTGTTTTGCTTGCTTTCAAATTTGTAAGTGTCTCCTTGACCACTAGAGCACTTTTTTTGACTAAAGCCGGTGTCTAAAATGATGACAGCCAGTTATTTCTTCAATAAAAATGATTGGCAAACAGAGAGCTGTATGTTGGAGCACCATGAGTATTGACGAAAATGTAAGCGGATCTTCCTCAGCAGATGTCAAATCTTGTTAAATGTTATATTTTCCATTTAGTGCAGTACCTGGCACTTGGTAGGCATTCGATAAGTATTTGCAGAAACCCAAAAGCACTGGGCTTTGGGTAAGTCACTTCATGATCTCTGGTTCCTTGTCATTTCCAATCCCAATGAACATAACATACAAGTCTAGGCACATCCAGGTGAAATAACATAAATATTAAGTCCAGATTTAAAAGGTATATTACATGTCACTAAAGATTAGGTATTCTGAAGGAAGGTGGTTTAGAATAGCATGCAATGAGAGTCTTTTTGAGATGGTAAAACAAGTAGAGATTGTGAACATCCTATAAAAAGTGAGATATAGCCTGAAACAGAAATTCTCAGAATCTCTTGTCAATAGCCCTATTGTGCCCTGTAAATTACTAAATTTCATAAGGCCCTATAATCTCCACACTTTGCTAAAATTATTCCTCATTTAACTGTTTTTCTTAAACCACTTTTTTTCAGGGTGACTTAAGGCAGAAACAAGCTTAAACATAATATATCTCACAGTGTACTAGCAGGTCCATGGGATTTTATCCCATGTTTTCCATGTATTAGCTATGTGGCCATGTGCAACTTACTTAACATCTCAGGGTATGTTTCCTTATTTATAAAATAGGGATTTGCCTCAAAGTGTAAATATAAGATCTATGTAACATAACATGTGCACAATAGCCAGCACATTGACAGATGCACAGTAGGCCCCAAACTGTTATCAGTTCCTTTCCTCCACCTTGGTAAAACTTTTATAGTGTTTATGAAAACAAGTTATACAGCCATATTGCTCATTCAAATTCCAGCTTTTCTATATATTTATATTACTGAGTATTTATCACTCTGTGACTTTGTTTCCTTCGGCAAAACAGAGCTAATAGTACCTATTTTGGCATATTTTTGAAACAATTACATAAGTTAATGCACATCGAGCACACAGTGATGATTGGCACACAGTAAGTTAAATTACAAATTCTCCCATGGCTTTAAGACAAGCAATTCTTTCAAGTGTTTAATAAACATTCAGTAACATATTTTCATATACTGAGAAATTGAAGAATATATTTAGATCTTACAAAATATTCTTGGTAGAAGTAAACTTCAGATATATTAAGCTTTTATTTCCTGCTAAGTACAATTCACATCAAGGATATTTTTTGTTTGTTTGTTTGTTCGTTTGAGATGGAGTCTCACTCTGTTGCCCAGGCTGGAGTTCAATGGCATGATCTCAGCTCACTGCAACTGCTGCCTCTGGATTCAAGCCATTCTCCTGCCTCAGCCTCCCAGGTAGCTGGGACTACAGGCACATGCCACGATACCCTAAAATTTTTTATTTTTAGTAGAGATGGTGTTTCACCATGTTGGCCAGGCTGGTCTTGAACTCCTGACCTCAGGTGATCTGCCCGCTTCAGCCTCTCAAAGTGCTGGGATTACAGGCATAAGCCACCGTGTCCAGCAAGGATTTTTTTTATCTTGGTTGAAGGAAGGGATATCTGATAATTTCAAAGCCTTAATGCTTTGATTGTCACAATTCCAATTTTTCTTCTAATTGGTCAATACTAGGTCTGAAGAAGAGAGAGATTGCCCTACCCCACTTTACTTTTTTACATAACATCATTTCATTTTATAGACAATATGGTAATTTCCATACCAGTCTCAGATTACATGAGGAAAATTTTAAGAATGATATCTTAAACATTATATTTAACAGAATATCCTTGTCTATGTATTCATTGTTTAGTTTTATCATTATAGTGTTTCTTTAGAGCATGTAAAAGTAAGTTTTATAAAACATGAATTAATATGGAATATATATACAAAAGTAACTTCTATCCATGATTTAAACTCTAGAGTAATGCTGTCTAAATAGGCATAAGTACGTCTGAGTGGGTGCTTTCTTCACATCTGGTAAGAGCTATGACTAATTGCAAGCTGTTCACTGTGGTGCTTACCACCAACTCAGTTATCTTGGAGTACTGTGGGAGAAATAGAGAAGCACCATTCAAAATATTAGTGGCCCAAAGGAGAAATTACACCAAAGACAGTCTTTAAAAAGACAATATTTTGGTGGGGCGGGGTGGCTCACGTCTGTAATCCCAGCACTTTGGGAGACCGAGGCGGGCGGATCACAAGGTCAGGAGATCAAGACCATCCTGGCTAACATGATGAAACCCCGTCTCTACTAAAAACACAAAAAAATCAGCCGGCATGGTGGCAGGCGCCTGTAGTCCCAGCTACTCGGGAGGCTGAGGCAGGAGAATGACGTGAACCCGGGAGGCAGAGGTTGCAGTGAGCCGAGATCGTGCCACTGCACTCCAGCCTGGGCGACAGAGTGAGACTCCATCTCAAAAAAAAAAAAAAAGACAATATTTTTCTCAGTAAGGAAATTTGAATGTACTGTTTCACTCACAATTTCTTGTCTATTCTTAGGGATTGACATCATAAATTTTCTTTTTGTTTCGTATTATAAGATGCATAAAAAATGGTGAAAGTAAAGATGTAATTTCAACTCTATTTTAATACAATTCTTTTTAGATGCCATTTTCCATACTTTCACTCCATGAATAATATTGCTCTCTATTATTTATCAGCATAACAGGTCATAATCAGAAATTACTACTGCTATATAAGAAATAAATGCAAATTCAGAGATAATTTTGATTTCTGAATTTAAATCCTATTATTCTGAAACTTAAAGGTACGTTATGATTTTTTAAAAATCGGCCTAAGAACTGAACAATAAGGAAAGTGTGTTAAATTTGAATTTTACTTAATTGAGCTTTTGTAGGAATCATGTTAGAATGTGTTAAGATGATTTAAGATCAGAAAAAGTATCAGAAAAAGTGGGAGGGAGGTAGATTTGTAAACATCTTATTGTTTTAGTATGTACTACTACAAACCATTCTCAAACAACCTTATCAGTCCCAATTTATATAGGAGAAGAAGTGAAACTTGGAGAAGAAAATGATGGCAAAGGTCATACACTCGTATACAGAAATTATACAGAAACAACATTTGAATCTAAGCTACTTGAACTCTACACTCCAGTTATCAACTACAATCTATCTCCTATTATAAGTTTGACACCATCTTATGTTGATATGTTCAGTCTGTACTAAAAGTAACTTCAGGCAAGTAGAATGTAAATGCACGACCAGCTGCAAGTGTACCACGGAGTCGTGAGTGGCAAGGATGTGAAGAAAGGGGAATCCTTACATACTCTTGGTGGAAATGTAAATTGGCACAGCCATTATAAAAGCATTATGGAGGACCCCCCAAAATAAAAATAGAACTTCCATGTGATCCAGCATTCCCATTTCTGCACGTACATTCAAAAGAGAAAATGAAATCTGAATCTTGATATCAGCATTCCCATGTTCACTGCAGCATTATTTAGAATAGCCAAGATATGGAATCAACATGTATGTTCACTGAAAGATGAATGCATAAAGAAATGTGATGTATAAATATATACATGAGATTAGCCAGGTACAGGAAGACAAATATTGCATGATCTCATTTTATGTGGAATCTAAGAAAGTTGAACTTATAGAAGCAGAGAGTACAATGGAAGTTATCAAAGGGTAGGATTGGGGGGCATGTGGAGCTATTGGTCAAAGGGTACAGTTTCAGTTATGTAAGATGAGTAAGTTATGAAAATCTAATATCAACATGGTGACTGTAGTTAATATTACTGTACTATATACTTGAAATTTGCTAAGAGGGTGGATATTAAATATTCTCATTGCAAATTATGTGAGGTGACAGATATTTTAATTGCTTGATTGTGGTAATAATTTTACAAAGTATGTGTATGTCAAAACATATAAAACACCCTAAATATATATACAATCCTTATTTGCCAATTATACCTCAATAAAACTAGAAAACAAAAAAATAAAAAAAATAAAGTGATAAAAGTGTGAAATGGTGAAACCAACCAGTTAGTGGATATTATTCAGATAAACAGCAAAAGCCTTTTTCCATGGAATGGATCATCTTTAATCTAATTTATTTGGAGTGAGTACGGGAACTACTGGCATTTTATAAATATATTAGTTACAAAGTTGTCTTAGTCTATTTGTGCAGCTATAGCAAAATACCACAAATTGGGTAGTGTATAAGTTATAGAAATTTATTTCTCAAGATTCTGAAGGCTGAGAAGTAAGATCAAGGTGCCAGTAGGCTCAGTGTCTAATAAGGTCTGGTCTGCTTCCAAGATGGCATCTTGAATTCTACATCCTTTGGAAGGGACAAATGGTATGGCCTTGCATAGGAAAAGGGCAGATGAGCAAAACAAAAAGCGGTCAAACTAGTTCTCTTTAGCCCCTTCAGAAGGCACTCATCCTATATGAATCTACCCTCATGGGTTAATCACCTCCTAAAGGTCACATCTCTTAATATCATTACATTTTTGTTAAGTTTCAACACGAATTTTGGAGGCGACACAAACATGAGACCATAGCACATGCATTTAGCCTACTATATAGCAGTCCCTATAGGAGGTAATATTCATACAGAGTTGCTAATCCTCATATTTCTGCCAACAAGATAGGTACCTTAGCTCCACCACTCCCGGTTGTGTCACCCTGAACTCTGATTTAACTTCTCTGCCCTTCAATTTCCTCATCTGTTTTGATGGTTAATATTATGTGTCAACTTGACTGGGTTAAAGGATGCAAAGTATTGTTCCTGGGTGTGTCTCTGAGGGTGTTGCCAAAGGAGAATAACATTTGAGTCAGTGGACTGGGAGAGTCAGACCCACCCTTAATCTGAGTGGGCACCATCTAATCAGCTGCCAGCCAAGCTAGAATAAAGCAGGTAGGAGAAGATGGAAGAGCATCCAGCCTCATCTTTCTCCCTTGCTGGATGCTTCCTGTCCTGGAACATCAGACTCCAGGTTCTTCAGCTTTGGACTCTTGGACTTACACCAGTGGTTTGCCAGGGATTCCCGGGCCTTTAGCTGAAGGCTGCACTGTTGGCTTCCATACTTTTGAGGTTTTGGGACTCGGACTGATCCACCACTGGCTTCCTTGCTCTGCAACTTGCAGACGGCCTATCATGGGACTTTACCTTGTGATCCTGTGAGTCAATTCTCCTTAATAAACCCCTTTTCATATACACATCTATCCTATTAGTTCTGCCCCTCTGAAGAATCCTAATACATCTGCGAAATGAAGTAATAGAAATTTCTCCTTTTTATTAAATGGTTTATAAGCAAAATACTTTAAAAAATGTCTGGCAAAGAGTAAGAATTAAATAACAGCACTTATTTCTGTTTTCATAACTAAAGAAACTGAAATTAATTACCTTGCCCATGATTACTTACTGTGTAACAATCTTAAGATTCAAACACAATTTTTATGACATAATATCTTTTATTTCACACATTGCCTTTCCTACAATGACTTTACATTATTACAGTGAATTTATAAGGAAACACAAACCTAATACACATTTTCGCTATATATAAATCAAGGAGAATTATAAACCTTTCACTATACATTTTTTTCAAGTCATTCTGAGATCTTTATGTGAGGCTATACAGCAAAGCCCGCTGTTTTGCAAAATGTTACATAGCAAAAAGAAAGAAGAAAGAAAAGAAAGAAAGAGAGAGGAAGGAAAGGGGAAGAGAAGCGGGGAGGGGAGGGGAGGTAAGGGAGAGAAAAGAAAAGAAAAGAGAAGAGAAGGAAACTAACTTTGTTCAGGGCCTAGAACAAAGATAAAGAATTGACAGCATTTGGGGTATTCACAAGGGACACGATTGAACAACTGAAAACAAAGTCTAAAAATTCTCCCCTACAAGTCTAATAACTCATTAATTAAAGTGTCCAGTTTGACATGAATCAGTTGAGAAGTTAAAGAGCATAGAATAAACAAGACAAGACAGCCAATGCCATTTAGGAACCTTAACAAAACCTTAAAAAGGAAGATAGCGTTAGGAAAACACTAAAGTTACATTTCCATTGTATGAAATGCATGTATACAACTAAGTATATCTAGAATCTATATAGCTTGCCTTTACTAATAACTGTAGCATCAATTGGCAATTTACTATAGTTCACTCATTTAAATTCATTCTCTAATGTGCACATAGTTATAATATTGTATTAGCAAATTGTTTTTGAAATTGACTCAATTGTCAGACTCTCCTAGGGTGCATCTTTGTAAAAAATACAGATTTCTAGTCTCCTCCTCTGGAGTTTAGATTCGGTAGGTCTAGAGGGACTGAAGAATTTGCATTTTAACAAGAATGTTAGGTGATTCTTCAGATCTCACAAACTGGGAGACCTAGATCATATAGATGTAAGAAAATGAGCTGCAGTAAATGAAATAAATTGCTCCAGATATCAGGTAGTGATGGAGTGTGTGTTTAAAGCCAGCTCTTGTGCATACATTTAGAAAGTAGCCACCACCACCCTCCCAAATTGCTGTTAGTTAGTGTTCCAAAGCCAAATATAAAATATATTAGGTTGGTGCAAAAGTTATGGAGGATTTTGCCACTGAAAGTAATAGCATTTGACATTTTACTTGTGCACCAACAAAATACACAACTTTAGGAGTTATTTTTAGGAAATGCCTTTGGTCAGCCTAGTAACTGTCTAAGAGTACGATGATAAGAAATGTACCACAACCAATACAATGCATTTGCAAAATACTTCCAGTAACGTAACTTTCAGGCAATCCAGTTTTACCCTCAAGGAACCTCTCTCCTCAGCAGGCCAACCGCATCTTGGTTATAGTGAGGAGGTGAATATGGGAGATTCATGCTTTGGTGAACCTGTATCCTGCAGCTGCTGCAGGCTTCCTACATAGCTGTTGCACTGAAACCAGTCGGAATTTAAAGTAATTGCTACTTGCAGTGCAGTTTAAGAGGAAAGAATAACCAAACGGACAGCCAGGATGGTTGTACTAATACGCTACAGGTTAAGAATATTATTTCACGCTTCTGTAACTTTTGATGAACTGCAGAGTCAGGAGGAAACATGGAGGTCATTCTGCCAGATGTTTTCATTTCAGATATACGGTGAATGAAGTCACAGAAGGGACAGGGAACTACCCATGATCAAGTTCAGAAATAATAAAAATCTGCCCTGAACTCTGATATTATTTTTGTGGAAAAGGTGTAGAGCAAGGAAACTAGCTATAGACAGCTGTGGTGAAAATTAGACAGGAGTGAAATGCTTTTCAGCTGTTTAAGTGTTTCATTCTCCAAAGAACCTGCAACAATTAGGCTTCTTTGTGGCATGCACAATGTTTACAAATGTGGACTTTGGGCCAGGCGCGGTGGTTCACGCCTGTAATTCCCAGCACTTTGGGAAGCCCAGGCAGGCGGATCGCCTGGGTCAGGAGTTTGAGACCAGCCTGGCCAACATGGTGAAATCCCATCTCTACTAAAAATACAAAAATTATGCGGGCATGGTGGCGGGGGCCTGTAATCCCAGCTACTCAGGAGGCTGAGGCAGGAGAATAGCTTGAACTCGGGAGGCAGAGGTTTCAGTGAGCCGAGATCGTGCCACTGCACTCCAGCCTGGGCAACAAGAGCCAGACTCCATCAAAAAAAGAAAAAAAAAAAAAGTGGACTTTGGAGTCAGGGAGGGCTGCGTTCAAACCCTAGATCTTTCACTCATTAAGCGTTAACTTGCAATGCATGTAAGTTATCTTAACCTCAAATCCCTTACCTTGAAAATAAGAACAATAATATAATTATTAAAGCCTTAGGGAGTATAAAATAATGCAGTTAGTGCATCTTTGAACTTTGGGAACAATGGTGTGTCCGGAATTTATTCCTTCCAGTGGGTTCTTGGTCTCGCTGACTTCAAGAATGAAGCCGCGGACCCTCGCGGTGAGTGTTACAGCTCTTAAAGATGGTGTGTCGGGAGTTTGTTCCTTCAGATGTTCAGATGTGTCCAGAGTTTCTTCCTTCCGGTGGGTTCGTGGTCTCACTGACTTCAGGAGTGAAGCCCCAGACCCTCACAGCAAGTGTTACAGCTCTTAAAGGTGGCACGTCTGGAGTTGTTTCTCCCAGTGGGGGGGTTCATGGTCTCGTTGACTTCAGGAATGAAGCTGGAGACCCTCGCGGTGAGTGCTACAGTTCATAAAGGTAGTGCGGACCCAAAGACTGAGCAGCAGCAAGATTTATTATAAAAAGCGAAAGAACAAAGCTTCCACACCATGGAAGGGGACCCCAGTGGGTTGCTGCTGCTGGCTGGGGTGGCCAGCTTTTGTTCCCTTATTTGGCCCCTCCCACATTCTGCTGATTGGTCCATTTTACAGAGTGCTGATTGGTCCATTTTACAGAGCACTGATAGGTGCATTTTTACAGAGTGCTGATTGCTGCGTTTATAATCCTTTAGCTAGACACAGAGCACTGATTAGTGCATTTTTACAGAATGCCGATTGGTGCGTTTACAAACCTTTAGCTAGACACAGAGTGCTAATTGGTGCATTTTTACAGAGTGCTGACTGGTGCATTTACAATCCTCTAGCTAGACAGAAAAGTTCTCCAAGTTCCCACTCAACCCAGGAAGTCCAGCTGGCTTCACCTCTCAATGGGTAATAGTGTCCACACAATATTAGCTTCTACTGTTGTTTTTGCTGTTTTTTTTTTTTTTAATTATCATTCACAACAATCCTGAGAGGTAGATGTTACTGTCCTGAAACTTTGCTCAGAAAAGGTAAATGTTCAAAGGCACAGAGGTGGTGACAGGGGTCAATCTCAGGGAACTCTGAGTCAGTGCTCTTTTCAACAAGGTACGACTACATTACATTAAGCCATAATTTTTTTTTTCTTTTGAGACTGAGTTTTGCTCTATCACTCAGGCTGAAGTGCAGTGGTGCAATCTCGGCTCACTGCAACATCTGCCTCCCTGGTTCAAGTGATTCTCCTGCCTCAGCCTCCTGAGTAGCTGGGATTACAGGTGCCCGTCACCACACCCAGATAATTTTTGTATTTTTAGTAGAGACAGGGTTTTACCATGTTGGCCAGGCTGGTCTCAAACTACTGTCCTCAAGTGATCCACCACCTCCGCCTCCCAAAGTGAGCCATAATTTTTACGCTAACATTTAATAAACATCTGCAGACTTATAAGACATTAAAATAATGAAGAGAAGGTTGAATTTTTCTTGGATTTTTTAAGGGTTTGAGTTTAAATTATCTTTTGATAAATTGGTTTATATAATCATCAACTCCAAATATATTACTTTCAGAAACATCCATGTGCAGAATATAATGTAAATCCCAGATTCAAATGAAAACTTCAGCTCTCTAGAATCATCAAGGAATGTGCTATTTTAGATAATTAAAATTCTAGATAGCTTTGAAACACTCACATTTTAAAATTATAGTTACTTCAGATAGAATTCATTTTAAACTCCATCACTTCTCTCCCTTACTAAGTAGAGGATATATATTTATCACATAACATATACTACTATTCTTGCTAATTCAAAGCCATCATTTTAAACAGCAATGTTCTTACTTTGAATTAACACAGTAATTCCTCTGAGCCATCTGAGGTATATATGCAAGATTTTTTAAGTTACAGTCCCAGACACTTGTGTTTTTTTTCGGGTTGAAATATCTCTATATTCTTTTTATAGTTTGGCTCACTCTTACTGGGGGATTGTTAATGGAGAACTAGAGTTCCAAATATCTAGGAAACCTTCTGTGTAAGGAAAGAAAGAGAAGGGTGAAAATTAAAGGACAGAGTAGAAGACCAGATGGGCTCTAAATTAGATTAGACTCCCAATTCTTTCTAATATTCAGGTTGATATTCAGTACCAGCCTAAGAAAAGTATAACTCCTTACCTTAAAATATCTCCCCCAGTGATTTTTCCTATACAACTTAGAATTATTTTAATGAGAGACAATGCCTTCTGAGCTTTAGTCATAAATAAAAGAATAGACTGTGAAAATACCAGGAAGAGTTAGCACAATGAGTTAATGAAATTTTGTCACTGTATAAATGGCTCCAGTTTTTTTTTCTTATTTCTCTAAGATAAGGGTATAGGGAGGTTCTAGATTGTAAGGATGTCAGTTAGGGGAAAAGGAGATGAAAACAGTGGATATCAGAGATTCTGAAACTAGATATTTTTCCCAGGATTGTCCTTCTAGGTAATTTGAATTCAGAACTTGACACAAAGCAGGATAGTTGTGCCAAGTGGCTTTACGGGTGTGCACTTGCAATAGCAACAAATTTATTTAAAGAAAAAGAGAAAGAAAATACTTTAGACTGTAAGTCTCCATATAAGTGTAAAACATTCTTATTATTAAATGAGTTATGTGAGTAGTAAATGCTTATTTCTATGGAATTACTAAAAACACTCTCTGTTTTAACCAAATGTCCTTTAGGATAATGATGAATCACTTAACAGCCTTAGCTGATCCCATTAAGCCAAAGTCTTTTGGGACAGGCTGTGTTTGATTTGATCTATGGTTCTATGAAAAGTCTTGGTAGCTGTATTGGTAAAGAGCAGCCACCAGAAGCCAAAACTATCATTGTCTTTCTCTTGCCCACCCTTGTATGACACATGAGCTCATCATAAATCAAGCAAAACATGGAAAGCCAGGCTAGGAAGAAAGTTGGACTTTCCCCAGAAATCACTGCTGATGTGTCAGCTAATGTGTTTTTACAAGATGTGCTAAGACAAAAGCAAACATATGCTCCCAGTTGTCTATAACCATAATACACTCCAATTTACCCTTGGGACATCAAAAATAAGCAGACTGCCTCCCCCTCCCCACCACTGCACAGATGTCTCACTTTTTACTTCCTATTAAGCCTCCTAATAAGATAATCTAAAATTTACAGTGGAGTAAAATTCAAAACTATTTGTGTATATCTTCTTCATAAACACAACTGGCACTGCCAAAAAACAAAACGTCAACATTTTCCTACAGAAGTGCAGAGTTGTCTGCAATTCTCGTAAAGGTGTTTAGCAAATCTCTCAAACTTCCTATAGTAGCAAGTCCTTTAAGGAGGAGGGTTTTGCAGCAACAGATTCAGCAACAAAAGAGGACTGAATAATGCTATTATTAAGCACAGTCCCTGGCATACACGCAGCAAAAGCATGGTACTTAAGAGTGGACAGTAAATAAATACCATTTCTTGCAAAAACATTTTAGATTATAAAGTTAATTACAAACCTAAAAATTTCTATGGGAATTTTTTGGAAGTTTTCCTGAGGGATGGACATATGAATTGAGGAGAGTTTGTGATAGTTAACTCCAGACTATTTTAAAAAACCATCCATAGATGGTCTGGAGTCCACTGTTTTCCTTAAGATGAATCCCAAAGTAATAAAGCTGCGTGATGCAAAAGAAAAAAAAAGGCAAGAAATTATAAGGGAACTGCTAAGAGTCCAATATACTACTAAAGAGCCAACCAAAGGTGAATGAGCCTAGATGAATTTTAGTAAGGAAAATCACTAAATTTTTTGAGCCCCAACTGTGTGTCAGACAAACTGCTAAACACCTTATAACTCTGCAAGATAGACATAATTATCTTCATTTCACATAAGCAGTTACTGTGGCTTAGTGATATTAAATGACATAACCTGTAAGTAGAATATATTGGATTAATATCCAGGGCTCAAAATAAAGACCAGAGATTAAATTAATAAATTAGGGCTTACATACAGTATTTCATTTCCCAGATAACCAGTCTGGCATCTATACTTATCTATACTATACTTATACTTACCTATCAAAACCAATTTTGATCGGGGATTGGTTAATACATAGTTCTCATATATAAAGGAGAATCCCTATGCCTTGTGTAGAGTTTAAATATTGAGTGTGTCTGTTTTTCAATTAAGGGTGGAAACTTTAAAAATAATATAACAAGGGTGATTTCTAGTTATATCAGGCTATTTCTAGATATTTTCAAGTTGAAATCAAAATTTTTAAAAGAGACATTGAGCTCACTTGAATAAAACAAAAGTAAATTCCATCAACTGGATTTTTCAGCTAAATTAATTCGTAAAAGTAAACTAAAAGCAAGGCTCTCCTCTTTATCTGGTCACAGAAGAAATCATCTCTGCCTTCATATGCAAACCGTCCCTCCCATTAAACAGAGGAAGAGAGACAGAAAAGGCCAAAGGGATTAGGAATGTATTCTGTTCATGTTATGTATGAAGCAAAGTCCAAAGAAATTAACCACTTTGTTGAAGATTTCTCAGCTAGTAACAAACGCAAGCTTAGAACCTAGGAGTACAGAGTTCCACTACAGAATTTTCTCCATTTTAATGTGCAATTTTCAGGTTAATTTTATGGTGAAAAGCACATCTGAATGTTTTGTTGTTGTTGTTGCATACCTCCTAGGACAGATCACATCTAGAGAATTATTTTGCTTCTTCCTATTTGAAGAATAAAAATAGCTAATCCTCAATTTGGTCTGTTTTTTTCCTAATGCCCATGCAGGATTAAGAAGCCATTAACCAGAACCACTTAGCTAAAATGAATCTTGCTTCCTTCCTACCGGAGTACTCCTCCTCTAGATTTGTATCCTTTTGCTGAAGTTGCCTTTTGTGCCAAAGAGTAAAGGAAGACTTGAAATTAAATGGCTCATAATGCATCATAAAGGAAACAATGTGAAATGCCAGCAATTGCACAATTTCTTATCACTCTCTTTGAGCAATGACGGTCGGACCTACAGTTGTCAATTATTTCCTTCTTAAAAACACAACATGTATCCATACATAATACATTGTTGTGGGGGCCATTTGAAGCTTCCAGATCCCAGAAATGAGTCACCCATAGCCAATGCATCAGTGGAGGTATTTATTCTGTGAGGCTGTTGCAAAGTTCCTATCATCTTTGTCTTCATTCTGAAAGTTTATGTATGTTTAAAACCATGATTAAAGAGAACACAACTTCTTGAAGCAGTTTAACTTTATTTGAAATGTTTAGAGTTGAAGTAGAAGTGCATACTAGGTGAAATTTTTGTCTACCCCTACAGTCTCACACATCACTCCCAATTTCAACATATATTTGAAACATCCTAGAGAACTTGGGCTTGAACTGAGTACAGAATTATGGAACTGGAAACTCAGTCAGTCCCATATTCTGTCTTACGCAGGAATCCCTTCGAAATTGTTTCTTGTGTGTTAATCTAGTTTTTGTTAAAAACAAACAAAAAAGTCAAGGGCCGGGTACAGTGGCTCACACCTGTAATCCCAGCACTTTGGGAGGCTAAGGCGGGCGGATCACGAGGTCAGGAGATGGAGGCCATCCTGGCTAATACGGTGAAACCCCGTCTCTACTAAAAACACAAAAAAATTAGCTGGGCTTGGTGGCGGGCGCCTGTAGTCCCAGCTACTCAGGAGGCTGAGGCAGGATAATGGCATGAACCTGGGATGCAGAGCTTGCAGTGAGCCGAGATCGCGCCACTGCACTCCAGCCTGGGCAACAGAGCGAGACTCCACCTCAAAAAAAAAAAAAAAGTCAAAGAGCTACATAAAAACAACTGTTGATGAAAGAAATACAAATAATATCTGGAGGGTGGGGATGAGAATATTTAAGTAAATATTTACTTTGAATGAACAAATTCAGCATTCCAGAATTCACACATCTAAGGCACTCTATGGTTAACTGTATCATAATTACCATTATTAATTCAGCAAAGTGGCAATTGTGTTAATTAATGCTTCTGGATAATAAAACTCCAAAAACTGTGAATGTGCCTCAAAATAAAAATGCTCTGTAAAAAGCCTTTTAAACCAAATAAGAAACAAAGATCAAAGAGTGAGGATAACTTGAACATACAGATTCTTGTCACTATGCCCAGCAAGAAACTTGAGGGAGAAACTAAAAGACATAATACGAAGCCCCTAGAAGAGAAACCTAACCTCAAGAACTTGAAACCCAGAATCAAGCATGGGACATGGGCAAACAATAAATTTTCCCAAGGAAGTGACAGAGCCCCTTTAACTGCAACAGGCCAACTCTGGAACTCCCCCAAGAATTCATTTATCTTATGATTGTGTAAATGCGTCTCAAGGAGTAGACACACTTTTGTGAAGATTACTCAACATTTGAACCACAGAAGACGGCAGATATTGTTGAACATTTCTGTCCTCACCCCTCAGAGCTCTACTGAGCTATTCGGACAATCCCTACTAAGCGGGTTTACTGCAGTGCATTGAAACAGTCTTCACAGAGATATACATTAAGTCAAGTCCTGAAATGACGAATTCCGATACTCCCAGGCACTGTGCGGAGGCTCAGAAAATCACTCATCTAGGATGCAGAGTGAAGAGGAATTTAATTTTTTTTTTTTTTTTAACTTCACAGAGTTCCCCACCTCTGTGTCGCATAAGCCTGCAAAGGATGCTCCTACACAACTGCAAGGGCATGCAGGGGGGAAGTGACGCCCGCAGGGAGAGGGGAGCAAGATTCCAACTGACCTTTTTGCTGTTTAAAGGACTGAATGGAGCCTGAATGGTGGACCATTTTCACTCTGCGCGTCCCAGCCGGCTTAGGGAGCTGCCCGAGAGGGAGGCGGAGGAACAGTAGCCAGACTCTAGACGCTCCAAGGTCCGGAGCCTCAGCGAGCGCACTGCAATCCGACACCTGCTGTAGCCGGCACTTCGCTCTCCAGGCTACGCGCCCGCCGGTGTCGTTGTCATGGGAACGCGGGAGGGCGGTCTAGCGTCCGGCTCCCCTTAGCGGCTACTCTGGGAACAACCCCGCATCCCCCGCGCGTCCAGTGCCACAGTGAGGGGTGGGCGTTGAGCGGGGTTGGCTGGGAGTGGGAGCAGAAGACTTTACTGGAGGAGGAGATATAAATCGGAGCAAACCTCTAGAGCTGATACTGATGCCCTCTTTGCCAAGCTTTGAGGCTGGTTATTTATTTCCTAAAAGTTGGTAGGTAAACCCTGGGACTTTTAAGGAAGGGCAAAGTTGGTCTGTGCTCTGAGAGGGTATGCAGTGGCAGATGCAGAGACGTTTCTGTTTTTCTTTCTTAAATTTAAGTAGAGGGGGCAGAAAGCCACCCCAGCTTAGTTAGCCAGTAGCATGTTTTATTAGGTAAGCTGTGTTCTATGTCTAGCACTTTTCACTTGAGTTTTCCTCTTCTTCTTCTGCCATTCAGGCCTTGAATCATTTATGATGATGATGACTGAGGACCATTTATAACCTACTTAGTCACAGGGGCTGAAAAAACACTACCCACGATGCTCGATTTAATCTTCATAAAAGCCCTGTAATGTAGGTAAACTATGATTCTAATATTATAAAAAGAAACTTAAGATCAGAGCAACAAAGATTTCTCAAGACCACATAAATCAACACCTTATTTGAAAGAGAAGGCACCCGATACCCAAAGAAGTGAAGTAACTCTTTTTGTTTAGTTTGAGAAGTTTTATTTTATTATTTATTTATATCTTCACCATGTATTTTAAGTTCGTGGTACATGTGCAGGATGCGCAGGTTTGTTACATAGGTAAACGTATGCCATGGTGGTTTGCTGCACAGATCACCCCATCACCCGGGTATTGAGCCCAGCAGCCATTAGCTATTGTTCCTAATGCTCTCCCTCCCCCTCCAACAGGCCCCAGTGTGTGTTGTTCCCCCATTGTGTCCGTGTGTTCTCATCATTCAGCTCCCACTTTGAAGTAACTTTTGAAAGACCAAACTGCAGTGGCCAAAATAGGACCAGAAGCTAGCTGAACACATTTTTCAGTAGGATCTCCTTTCCTCCATCTATCTCTGCTCCCTGATTCAAAGCCCTAAGTTCTTCCTGGAAGATGTAAGATGTTATTGAACAGACACATCGTGAGAGTCCGTTGCTTCCTCAGTTTTGAAGTTTTATGGAATCAACTCAGAATCAGGTGAATAATCCAAATAAAAGCAGATAAAAAATATGCAGAAATTTCCAAACTTTCGATACCTCAAAAATATTGAGTTATTATTGTATGCTGTTTGATTCATCTGTGGTGCATGATACAAAAGAATGAGGGGAATATAGCTTTGAACAAACAGATGCTCCAATTATTTATGGATGCATAACAAACTACCCTGAAACTAAGCTGTAAACTAAAATTTATTATTATTACTTATGGATTTTGCAGGTGGGCTAGATTCAGACAGGCAGTTATCTCTCAGAGTCTCTCTTGATTGTTCAGTAACTGGTCTTAAAGTCATCTGAAGCAAAAAGCGAAATTGGATTCTACTCTCAGTGGGAGGAAGAGCAAACAATGTGCTACCTTCTTTAATGTATCATAATGGTCTTTCCAGAAAGAAATGCTGAGCATTCAATAAGAGCTCAGTATGCAGGCATTGAAGAAATACTTGGTTACAGACAATGAACTCAGTGTGAGTTCACCTCCAAATGAAGATCTAAAACACAGTTCAGAGACTGTCTCCGTAAGGGCTTTTAATACAGATATTGTATAGATGAGGGCATTGAAACCGAGAAGAATAAATGACTTGCTCGAGGATGTTTTTTTTAAATTTTGTTCATCCAGAGTTAAAATTCTGATAGAACTCAGCTTACAGATCATTCTGATGTGAACCAACTCATTGATTCTAATGCAACCCAATTCTCCTACGTGAGGATTAGACAATGAATTTAAGAATGGCAGAAAACTAACACCCAATACTTACTAGTCAGTTATGACCCCTGTAGATCTCATTTAAATGTTTAAAACCCCCTTTTAAATCACCGGTTTTAGAATCAGAAATATTTTTGAAATTTAAACTTTAATTCAATCCCTGGTCAGCAGGACTAGTTAAAAGAATTAAAGTCCCCTCGCCGGGCGGTGGCGGGCGCCTGTAGTCCCAGCTACTCAGGAGGCTGAGGCAGGAGAATGGCTTGAACCCGGGAGGCGGAGCTTGCGGTGAGCCTAGATCGCACCACCGCACTCCAGCCTGGGAAACAGAGCGAGACTCCGTCTCAAAAAAAAAAAAAAAAAATTTAAGTCCCTCTATTCCACATTTCTAGGCACAGGTATCACCTTTACCTTCCTAAGATCTTTTTCTGTTGATCCCTGATTTTCTCCAACCTACTCCCTGATCCAAAACCCAGCAGGAGGCAAATATGTATCTGCCAGAACTAGAAATGAGTTGAGATTTTGAACCTCATTGGATTTTTTTCCAAGGAAAGAATGTTTGTTATTATTTCTAACACCCTTGCACCCTAACCTCCTTGGTGCAGCTATGATTAAACTATCTTGTCATAAAGTTAATTACTTTTCTTAAAATTAGAAACATTTTAGGTTGGACTGCCAGATTGACTAGCAGGGGATTCAAAGAACATCTTTGCTTGTTTTAAAATCAGTCTTTTAGGGGAGGTTGCTAGAGGAACAGCTTTGTGAGGGGCCGAGGAAATTTGAAGCACCATCTGCTTTATAGAAAGGCAGTGCAAAGAGAAAAAGATTCCTCTCTCTCTCTCTCTCTCTGTGTGTGTGTGTGTGTGTGTGTGTGTGTGTGTAAAGAAAGAAAGTACGTTTTGGAAGTGTAGAAAGAAGAGTTTGAGCAAAAGCCCTCTTTTTTAACTCAAAATAAAAATTCTGTGTTGGGGTAAAAGGAAGCATTTTGATGGACTGACATTTCCATTGTGGACAGTTTAAGAATGGATAGCAAGTAGCCTCATTAAGGAAAGCTAAGCTAACTATGAACTATGTTGGGTTGCTTTTTCCTACTATTTTTAGCTTCAAACATTTTTCTCCAAATTTTAATGACATGCAAAATGTGTATTTTATATAATGTTTAGTGAGGGGGCATGATTAATGTATAATACACAGTACAGTCTTGACTCTGTTTTCCAAAGTAGAAAAAAAAAGCCTAGAAATAAACATGCGAAAATGTCTGGAGTAATCATGCTTGCAAGTTGAGTAAAGGGTAATATTTTTTATACTTTCATATATTTTTATCATTTTCATACTTTATCAATGATATGTGTTGATTTTATCCTTATTACATGCATAGATCTTCAACCCCCCTACCCATATACCTGTCTTGCTACAACTTCAATTTTTCTCTTTTTTCTCTTTGGACCTAGGGTTTCGTTCCCCTTCATGTTTCTGCTGCTCTTGCTCCCCACAACTCACAACCTGTCTCCTGTCCTCCTTAAGTAATTAACTTTGCAGCCCCCCTGCTAACATTTGCTCCCCAGAGAGGTAAGAAACTCTGATGTTTACATCACTGGGAGACTTTTTATTCCTTTGAATTTCGAAATAGGTCCCTCAGCTCAGCCAGTTGTGAGTTTCTCTGTATTGTGCTCTGTCAAAGGGACTGAGAGAGTCCTGTTTCTGCCTCTTTGGGTCATGAATCACTGCCTTAATTAAAATTGGAATTGTGAATGATACTTCTCATTGCCTAAATGGTAACAGAAATGGAAAAGCAGTACTTTCCTGCTTCTAGTTTCTCTCCGTATATTAAAGACAAAAACCAGCTCTGTAAAAAAGTCATATACTATCATAAAAGGAAAAATGGAGTGAAATTTAACAATTTTCTCCCTAAAAGCCTATGGTTTCTGGCCACATGTGACAGTATAACAGCAGAATTAAGTAGATTCATCCTGATGATATCCAGGCTATATGCTCCGAGTAGCATTCAGAAGTAGTACTACTGATGGGTGTGTCTAAGATAAAGTCATGGAGGAAAATCAGCAGCCTCAACCTTCTCTGAGTCCAGCCTTAAGAAGTCTTACAAAACAGAATTTTAAAAAAATTAATTCTCAAGTGCTTGGAGCACATGGCATTTTGAAGAGACAGGAACACAAAATGATTTGTGTAAGAAGACAGCATCAAGAGAAGGGAGATGTGTGGGACAAAGGAGGTGATGATGGGTTAAACAGCAGTTCATATCTTAGAACCCTGCTGAAAATCTGAATAATTATTTCAAGTTGCCTATAGGATTAAATCCATGTTGTTTAATCTGTCATCAGCTACCTTGTCCCATACATCCTGTGGATATGTTTGTTGCCTTGATTGTAGTGATTGCATGACAGGTGTTTGCATATGTTCAAACTCATCGTACATTAAGTATGTGCAGTTCTTTGTATATCAATCATACTTCAATAATGTTATTAAAAATAGACAATTTAATTTATTTAAACAAAAATCATCAAGTCCATGTTCACTGCTTTACCATTCAAGGGGCTCCATATTTTCTTGCAGCACTTTCCAATATTGTTTCAAAGACCCTTTTACAAACTCTTTTAATCCTATATTGCTTTCTTCCTTATTGGTCTGCTTTTGCTGCTGCTGCTGCTGTTTTCTCCACTGGGAATGATTGTCCTAAAACTCCTTCAGGGAGCAATGACATTTCTTGTATGAAGATATATTTTATCCACATCTACATCTACTGAGTACAAAGCCAGTTAGATGTAGATTTAGCCTTCTCCAATTTCCATCGAGCATGAATAACATCACTTAATGGCATTTTCATAATGTTTCTACCATGCATTATACATGTATGCTTTTGAAAGTAGGCGCATACTTTTCTACCAGTCAAGAAGAAATCCTTTAAAATAGACTTCAGGTTGACTCACTTTTCTATTTGTCATGGTGCCGAAAAGATGATTGACACATAAAAGCTGAGCAAATAAATATTTGCTGAATGAATGGCTTTCCATAATCCTCAACTACTCTTTATTATTTGTGAAAGTAATCTAGTAATAAGACATTCAAACAAATTTCAGTGTGCTAATTGCACTTTGAAATTTACGTACAAGTCTGTAGATTTGCATAGCTTCATGACTTTATTTCTTCTAGGCAGATAATTTCATAAAGACTCATCTTGCTGTACTGGTTTGACAACATAAGAATGTAATAATTGTTGATTTATTAGCCAGGCTCTGCCCAACTTTATAAGCTCTTAAACTGATACTCTGGTAATATCAACAACTTTACCTTATTTTGGTGAATTGCCATGCTTTTGATCAAAGCTGATACTCAGCAAGTATCCTGGGTGTGATTGTACTAGTTACTTGTTGCTAATGTCTCTTCTGATAGCTTGGCCTCTGCCTGACTGGTCTAGGCCTGTGTATTTTTGGTTGTTTAGGTGTTTGTAGAAAGATGGAAATGGAGGTAACCTTTGTAGTTATATATTTACTTTCCAGAGATAATATATACTTGACCCCCAGAAGTTAGGGTGACTAATTGAGTGAACAGTGTGGTCTCTATTTGAACATGACCAGGCCGGTTATAAGAGTAACAACACAATGCTAAGCAATCATTCAAACGTTGAGTGTGCATGAATATTTATTTACTGAGAAAAATGATTCTAATACATTATTCGTTGATAAAAGCAGACTGCAAAAAATATTGATCCTTTTGGCAAAAAAGTACGTGCATAGATACATCCATAATGATAAAATTCAAAATATAGCTAAGTCTAGATGGAGGAGATGGGGCGAAAAGGTTTATTTTTTCATTTTGCTTACTGATACCTTAATTTTATTGTCCATTCATTCATAGAGTGGCTTTATGTTCTGGGTTGCCTTTTATCTCAGTGTAATTATTAATAGCCTCAAACTTTTAAAAAGTGTGCTGGTTTGGACAGTAAGTTATGTGGTCATTCTAACCATCAAATATGCATTATTTATGTTATAAAAATAAATGTAAAAAGGGAAAAATGATAACTATGTTTAAATTACTTGATAGGAAATGGTTTTATATGCCATTTTAATCCAATAATAACACAGATTTGAAACTGAAAAAAATCAGCACTTGGTCATGGAGGGCCTCTTCTTGACTTAGCAGAGATATGTGGAAAGAGTGCATTGCTTTGGGATTCTAGATCATAGACTCTGTGTCCTAGCATGCTGTCTAACTGTGGGAAAATAAGTTTGCCTCCTTGGATCTAGGTCTCTAACCTGTAATAAGACTGATGACTTAGATGTTCTCTAACGGTCGTTCCATCTCCTCATATTCTAAGCTTTGCTGGAAGAGAATTTCACGCACTCTGGCTTCAGAAATATAATCTTTATGGCTGGTTTGACCAGGGGTTATTCCTTTTTCCCCTCTAAAGGAAAATAGTGAAAATAGTAAAGGAAATCCTCACTGATCCAAATATACAGTTAGAAGCTTTGTAGCAATCTGAACTTGAATGGGATTTGAAATCAAACATTGTGATATAATGAAGGGACAAATAGCTTGACAAAACAAGTCTTAGGATGAAAAGATTTTTGAAGTATTTAATTTACTTATGAAAATAAATATTGATGACTTGAAACCATTTATGTATCAATAATTAATCTTCCAACTACAGTCTTTAGATTCATTAAAGTAAATCTAAATAAATCCATATTTAATATCACTGAATAGTTAATCATATAATGTTGCCTTGGAAAATATTCAGTAAAACATATTTTATATCAAATAAAATTATTCTTACTTCCTTACTATAATTCCTCTAAGTAACAGGAGAAAGCTGTGTATTTTCTTTTCAGTATAGTTAACAAATATACACTGGAATCTATGTGCAAAATTCAGCTAGGATATATATTTTTAGTTATTGCAAGCTTTATGCCAAAAAAATACCCTGCGCATCTTTGTAATTACGTTAGGAAAAGATAGCAACTGGTGACATAAGCCCTAAGTGTTTGAAGCGTCAAGTCTTCCATATTCGTGGTTTTATTGTAAAACAATGGTGGAACATTTGGAAAAAAATTTATAGCATTACATTTTGCACAATAAAAACAAGGGTTTGTATATGGTCCCTTTCAGGAAAGTTTGCATGTTAACTCTAGTGACTGCATTTTCCAGTTCCCAAATCAGATTTTGTTACCAGGAAATTGAATCCTTGAGCTCATCCTTTTCCTTTCCCATGGGTTCAGTGCAATCAGGAGCAACCAATCAATTTAATTATACCTATTCATTTCACTAAAATATTTTTTAAGGTATTTAATACGTGATCACCCAGAAACTTGCCTCATATAAATATTTGATTAGGAGTACCTAACGGTAATATTAGTATTTTGTGTATTTTCGTTGTTACATGTTTCCAGACTGCCTTTGGACTCAAGATTGAAACATCAGCTCTTCCTTGGGTTCCCAGCCTACTGGCTGGCACTGCAAAATTTTGGCTTACCAGCCCCCACGTGAGCCAATCCCTTAAAATAAAGTGTTCACTATATATACATCTGATTGGTTCAGTTTCTCTAGAAAACATTGGCTAATACAGATTTTGGTTGTTGCCTTTGTTGATGAGTGTTTATTTAATAACTAATTTTGGCTTGGGCTCATTTTTAAAAGTGTATATTCTTTGTGTTGTCCAGTCATTGGCGTGTCTTTCAATTTCTTAGTAGTCAGCTAATTTGATAGACATTTCCTTAAATGTTGTGATACAATTAAATCTTCCACTTCTTGCTGAGGGTCTCAGTGTGTATTTTGGGGTACATCTGGCAGGCAATGTACAACTTTGCCTACACCTTCACTTCCGGCTTGCACAGTCTCAAGGTCAGCTGAAGTGAGAGATAGGGTCTTTTCTGGGCATATGCCCAGCTCCACAAACATGTGGTTATTTAGATATCCAAAAATATGTCAAAACTTTTCAAAGTTACCTATGAACAGCTCATTGCCAGATTTTTCTTTTACATTTTTCAGTTAGCCTCTTATTTACCTCAATTGCTATTGCCACCTCAGTCAGCTGTGATGTTAAATATTGCCTCCAATTGTTTTTGAGAAATACTCTTAAGGTAGGGCTTTTCTTATCTACCAAGCTCTGAGTCAGATCAGATAAACATAAACCTTGTGAATGTGGCTTTAACAGATAGGTCAAATAATGACATTTCTCTGGAGATGGAGCATGTGCTGCTAGGCAGCTGGTTTTCACAGCTACTGTGTTTCTAAGTCTACTGGTTTTCAAGAGTATCACAGAGCTGGTAAGATGGAGATGGGAATATGGGAAATTAAAATGTCACAAAGGGTATTATTATCACAATTCAGCTTTTTTTTCTAAATAAACACATTGAATTGTTGAAAGCTTTGGATTGATTTCCAGAATTCTAAGAATTAATTTGTCAATTTTTGCCAGTATTTTCTTTGCTTTAATGGAAGAGAAATCGTTTTAGGTCCTTACTCCATAATTCTGGAAGTTATTTTCTTCTATTCTTGATTCTCTTGTGTTCAAGTGTTGGTTCTGCAGGCACATTGAGTCTGTACTTCCTCTGAGGCTAGGAGAGCACAGGAAGCCCACGTGTTTTGAAATGGCTAATATAAATTCTTAAACAAGGACCAACGTCTCTTGAATCACAGACCCATAAGAAAAGATGCTCCTTCCCATTCAAAACCCCAAGCAATTTATCCAGCCATTTAATATTCAACCACAGTAAGCCCACAATCCCAGTAAGTCTGGGGGGAGAATCCATCCAAAGGATTCCAGTGGTCAGAAATAGGGAAATCAGACAGATCAAAATGCATACACAGTAAAACAAAACTGCCAAAGCAGATATTCAGCCTTAAATAGTTTTTAAAAATGTACTCAAGAGAAGCTAAAATAAACAAGACCCTAATAGCACCTAGCACCCCATATTTTAGTTTCTGATACCTTTCTCCAGTAAAAGGACCCAGGGTTCTTTGGATAAATAGATGATTTCAGGTCTAGGGCAGGGGATATACCAGTTGAGCCTTGAGCATCTTGAAGTCCCAGAAAGTAAGAAAGTGGTTAAAAAACACACACACAAAATTGATGAAAGCAGTCAAAGGGGTCACAGAAACCAATGGAAAGAGGTCTCAGTGGTCACAGATGAGAAAATTTTGGCACCAAAATAAATGAAGTAATATTGTATTATAACCTAAAGTGTAAAATATATATCCATGAGTCCATGATGACATAAGTAATTGACTAAATAAATGGGGAAGAAAAGACAAATGTCCCATGCAGAACAATTCCAAATAAATGACGTAACCACTCTACCCTAAAAGAGGAGAAGCATAACTCCCTATTCCTTAGTATGAGCTAAATACAGTGACTTCCCTCTTATGAGTACAGTATGGGAAAGGGGAAGAACACTACCTTTACAGTAGAGAAACCTGATAAACATTACTTCAGCCAGGTGACTAAGGTCAACATCAACAGCCATAAATCTAATTGATCATATGTACCTTTCATATGATGTGGTGAAAATGGCACATTCTTTCTGTGTACCTCCCCAAAACTGATAATTCCTTTCTAACCATAAGAAATACTATTAGAGGAGTATGCTATAATATACCTGACCAATAATCCTTAAAACTGTCAATGTCATCAAAAAGCAGGAAAGTCTGAGAAACTGTCAAGTCAAGAGGAGCCTAAAGAGACATGACAACTGCATGTAATGGACTAACCAATATGAGATCCTGGAACAGAAAAGAGATGAGGTGATAATAAAGAAAATATGAATAAACTATAGGCTTTAGTTGATAATAATGTATGAATACTGGTTCATCAGCTGTAACAAACATACAAATATTAAGATGTTAATAATAAAGGAAATTGTGCAGGGAGAGAGGTATATGGAAATTCTCTGTATTATTCACTCAATGTTTTTATAAGTTTAAAACTGTTCTTAAAAATGAGTATATTAGTAAAAAATCAGGTCTTCAATTATATTCAAGTACAAGTAATAAGAAGATTTTCTGGAGCTAAATACCATGGTTTTGCAGCTAAAAAAATGCGGTACATAAACTGAAGGAAAGATTCATAGTTAGAACCAAATGAGTGATCTAGAGGATCAAAAGTAAGAATCATCACACAGACAAATAACATTATAAGAAGACATGATAGGATGAAATATAAAAAAGCTTGAGGAATGGAACCATGAACACTGTTGTTGGAGTAATGAAAATGCTGTGAAAAGCAAGAAGAATAAACACTGAAAGTATAGCAATAATTAAACAATGATAGAAGAAAATTTCTCACAAATAAAGATAAAGCTTCCTTGAACATAGACTAGGTTAAGAAAAGACACTTATCCTGACATATCTTGTAAAATTCCTGACCACTAAGGAATTTTATAGGACTGCAAGTGAAACTAATAAAATATAATTGAAGGGAAACAGGAAGGAGATTGACATCAGACTTCTTATTTGCCATGCTGGAAGCTAGAATAGCTTCTTCAGATTGCTGATAAAAGATGACTACATCCCAGAATCACATGGCCAGATGAGACATAATTTATTCTTGAGTGTAGGAAGACATTTGAGAATTTGTAATAATTTGAGGAATATATAGCTTATAGAACTTGTTTTATTAAAATAGATTAGAAAAAAATCTAGTCAAAAAACAAATCAGAAGACAGACTCCAAGATTTATGAGTAAAATATACTAATATCAAAATTGTATCTATTTATTTATCTAAGTGCAAGGGAATAATAATACACTTTCCAGGGGAACTTAATATAAGAGCCAAAAAAGATACTGAAAAGAAAAGGAACACTGTTAAATAAATTCTAGTTTGTTGTCAATTCTCTCAGCAAATCCAGGTGGTTGGGAGTAGGGGATGTAAAAATGTTACGGAAGTCTATCAAGGGGATGAGGGATAAGAAAGAAAAAGTAAAAAGTTAAAATACTCAAGATTTCCTTTTATTGGGGAGGGATCAAGTAGGAGGGAAATAGAAGCATGCATCTTGATGACAAAATAGTTTTATTTAAATTATTTGATTATGAGAACAAAGAAAATAAAAGTAATATGTAATAAATGAGAAAACAGTACATTGTCCAAGGAGAAAACAAATGAAATATATTGCATCTTGATTAAACCAGGCCAGGAACAATAAGGAAAAGGAAAACATGTGGTCATCAATGAGAAAGAAGTAAAAAGTGCAAAGCAAGATGGAATGAATCCAGCCAAGCATATCAGCCACTACTCAAAATATAAACAGATGCATTGTTTTCTACTAAAATACAGAGAGCTAAATTAGATTAAATCAAGATATGTACATTGGTAGAAATAAAAATATTTAAGGCAAGATAATAAAGCAGTGGTCAAAGTGATTCCAGGTAAATGCAAACAAAACAGTAATCAGAAATGGTAATATTAATATTAATCAAGGTAAAATTTCACATTAGAAGAACTAAAATGTTAAACAGAAACATTATGTAAAGGTAGGAGTGTAATTTATAAATAAGATATAACATCATATATTTTATGCACTAAACCATACAGCATTTAATATAAAAGTAAACTATTAGACAACCAAGAAATTAATAAATTGCAAATACAATAGGAAACAATATATACATCTAAATTTTTAAATAGAGTATAGTAAAAAGTAAACGAAGATCTAGATTACTTTCTACATTCTGTTCATTTAACAGAAGTTTTTAAGAGCATACAACATCTTTGTAGTTTGTGGACATTTATGAAAATTGGTTGTGTGTTTTGTCATATCTGCTCTGTGTCAACTTTGCTAAACTCTAACTATGTTCTCCAGAATCTCCTTCCCTTTGTGGTTTCAGGTTAAAGCTAATCAAAAGAGAATTTGCGCAAGACTTGGGAAGCTGAAGGGATGCAGCAGACGTTATACTCTGAAGGTCATTTTGTTTAGGAGTAATTAGAGAATAATACTAACAACATGAGAGAGGAAGATAGATTCTAGTTAGAACTTGTTCTTCCCAGCACTGTGTCCAGCTCTTTTTCTCTACAGGAACTCCAGCCCAGCAGGAGGTAGAGAGGCAATAGCTTGTCCATAGGCTGCCCCATCAGCATTGCATCATAATCTCACTCACTCCAGATTCACTGGAAGCTCTGATTTGTCTGCCACACCAGTGTTTCAGAAGGGCTGGTTCGTGACATTTCTCTGATCCTCCTGCTTTCTCTTTTGGATTCTCATTGTCTCACAAATCTTACAACTGGGTAAGTTCTTAGTCCTAAAATAAAGACCTTCTTCTACAATACTTAAAATAGTTATTATTCTGCTGCCTTGATTGTACATTGATAAAAATAAAATAGAAAGAAATATTTTTAAAAAAATAAAGTGTTTTAAAAACATTGTCAAATTCTAATAAAAAATAAATAAATAAGGTGGTAAAATGTTTTTCTCTGGAAGTCATAGAAATATAAGTTAAAATAACAAGGTATCTTTAAAAGCTTTTCTCATTAGCAAAAATGAAAAGGAGCCATGATACCTATTTTTATAGGATATGTTAACAAAGGCATTTTATCATACATTGATTTGGCACTATAAAGTGTTAGAGACAATGTTAACCAATAATCCATCTCCTGGATGTCTATGC
This sequence comes from Homo sapiens, assembly GCF_000001405.40. NCBI lineage: Eukaryota > Metazoa > Chordata > Mammalia > Primates > Hominidae > Homo > Homo sapiens. The sequence continues at coordinate 26,319,561 of NC_000011.10, read as the reverse complement.
CATACAAACAAAGCAGCCATAAGTGATGACCCGTATGTCAAGGTGTTTACTGAGTCATTTTTCTTGGCAGCAAAACAATGGAGACAAAATTAATACCCAACGATATAGTTAATGATGGTTTATCCTACCATGAAGTCTGTCCAATTATTTGAGGAGGTAGAAAACATATAGAAAGTTACATACTAGGTTATTAACTTGGGTGGGCAGGTTAAGATGGGAGGATGGAAGAAGAGAGGGAAAAAGGGGAGTCAAAAAAGGGAAAAAGCCAGGCACAGTGGCTCATGCCTGTAATCCTAGCACTTTGGGAGGCCGAGGTGGGAGGATCACTTGAGTCCAGAAGTTCCAGACTATCCCTGGCATCATAGAAAGACCCTGTCTCTACAAAATAATAATAACGATAATAATAATAATAATAATGTTATCTGGAAGTAGTGGCACACACCTGTAGTTCCAGCTACGTTGGAGGCTGAGGTGGGAGGGTCATGTGAGCCTGGGAGCTTGAGGCTACAGTGAGCCGTGGCCCTGACATTCCACTCCAGCCTGGGCAACAGAGTAAGACCCTGTCTCAGAAAAAAATACAAAGGGCTAGGGGAAGAAAACAACTATATATTCAAAAGAAGATGTATTGCCACATATACACACTTGTGTAAAATTATGTATATGTATGGGTAAAACAAAACTAAACATTAAAACAAATTCTTATATATTTAGCCCAACATAATTTATCCACCAGATTTATCCATATTCCTCAGTAGGAACCCTCAACTTGGGTCAAAATATATTCCTAGATGTGCCTCATAAAAATAATCCAAAATACCTCCTTTTGTTTCCTCTTTTTGGAATGTTCTCCACCTGATGCACATCATACAAGTTCTCCAAGGACCAGTTGATGTGTCATCTCTCCTCTGAATACACCAGCCCACACAAAGTCTCTTCCAAACTTCTTTATCCTTACTAAATAATTTAGCACTTAATTATATAGAACCACGAATTGTTCTCTGATTCTTTTATGCTGTCAGTCGTGTCTCCCTACCGATTAGTCCTATTCTAAGTTTCTATTTCTTTTAACAGATGCATCACCAAATTGTACCTTTTGGATGGTGATTGTTCTATACAGCATAATGCTTAGTCTGGTTTCCAAACATGGATGCAGCTGAGAAAGTATGCAGCCATGACCTCAGAAGACCTTAGTTAAAATTGCATTCTGTTAATTGCTATGGAATGTGCCTGAGTACATTGTATTTCTCTCAGCCTTGGTTCTAATATCTGTAAAATAGGACTCTGAGGCTTAATATACATTTTTAATTATACTTTAAGTTCTGGGGTACATGTGCAGAACATGCAGGTTTGTTACATAGTTATACACGTGCTGCGGTGGTTTGCGGCACCCATCAACCTGTCATCTACATTAGGTATTTCTCCTAATGCTATCCCTCCCCTAGCCCCCAACTCCCTGACAGGCCCTGGTGTGTGATGTTCCCCTCCCTGTGTCCATGTGTTCTCATTGTTCAACTCCCACTTATGAGTGAGAACATGTGGTGTTTGGTTTTCTGTTCTTGTGTTAGTTTGCTGAGAATGATGGTTTCCAGCTTCATCCATGTGCCTGCAAAGGACATGAACTCATCCTTTTTTATGGATGCATAGTATTCAATGGTGTATATCTGCCACATTTTCTTTATGCAGTCTATCATTGATGGGCATTTGGGTTGGTTCCAAGTCTTTGCTATTGTGAACAGTGCTGCAATAAACATACGTATGCATGTGTCTTTATAGTCACATGATTTATAATCCTTTGGGTATATACCCAGTAATGGGATTGCTGGGTCAAATGGTATTTCTGGTTCTAGATCCTTGAGGAATCTCCACACTGTCTTCCACAATGGTTGAACTAATTTACACCCCTACCAACAGTGTAAAAGCGTTCCTATTTCTTCACATCCTCTCCAGCATCTGTTGTTTCCTGACTGTTTAATGATCACCATTCTGACTGGCATGAGATGGTACCTCATTGTGGTTTTGATTTGCGTTTCTGTAATGACCAGTGATGATGAGCTTTTTTCATGTTTGTTGGCCGCATAAATGTCTTCTTTTGAGAAGTGTCTGTTCATATCCTTTGCCGACTTTTTGATGGGGTTGTTTTTTTTTTCTTGTAAATTTATTTAAGTTCCTTGTAGATCCTGGATATTAGCCCTTTGTCAGATGGATAGATTGCAAAAATTTTCTCCCATTCTGTAGGTTGCCTGCTCACTCTGATGATAGTTTCTGCCAGCTCTTAATATACATTTCAAAACAGCCTGGATTGTAGGAAGCATTCTGAATAGGTGAACCTGACCTTGAGTCTGAACTCTGTAACAACTTATCTCGTATAGCACCTAGCAATTTTTTACCTGTCCCTCTGCATCCATGTTATTTCACACTGAGACTAGCTACGACAGTGTGCTACCCAGAACTAGTGTTACCTTATAATTTATTTTCCTAACAGGCATACCTTTGAACATGAAAGGGATTGCTATTAGTTATTACACTGAATGCGACCACAGGCATAAATAAGGATTGTCTCTGGCCAACTAGGTGTAGGGGGACCCCCTGAAACTATTGCTATGGAATAAAAGATGAAATGCTCCTGATTATTGTAAATACAAAGTTGCATGTAGGATTGTGTAAAGACAATGCAAGGTTGGGCTGCCAGAATGAGCCAACACTGCGTGATGTGCTTCCCCCTGCAGAGAGCCTATGAACGGACATGCAGTCAGTGAGGTTTCACATCACCAAGATTCCTATCCCAGAAAAGCAGATGTTCATAGCTCTGGGGATGGAATGCGACCCTTGTGGAGAGTCTATAAACGGACACATGAGGGGGCACCTGTTCATATGGATAAGATAGGGCTATAAACACACTTACCTTGCCACGGCTCTTGTAGGTCTCTTTAGGGTTAAGACATACTCCCTTCTGAGAATTTGTGGTCTAACCGGTTGTCTAGTTTCACTTCCTGCTTCTATTGATTGTTTGCAACCAGCTTTTGCTGCAATTATTACTACTGATTAGTGTCTTACTAAAAATAGCTTATGGATAGACTGTGTTTCTGTTTTAAGGCTCTGTTAGAAATTGCTGATGCACACACTATATTGTAAATTCTTATCTCTGTATACTGTACTTATGCATACCGATGATATGTTAAAGAATTACTTCATCCCATGGGACCATCTCACCTCATAATCAAATGACCCTAAATCCCTCACTAACCTACCCCTGCCCTCACTAAACTGAATAAATGCTGGTATATCCAGTGCATTGGTGGCATCGCAGGACCAGAAGGCGGTGACACCCCTGGACCCAGCTTTCACTATCTTGTGTGTGTCTTTTATTTCTCGACCTGCAGATCTGCCTGGGAACAAAGAAAGAGCCCCATTGCATTAAGGGCTGCTGGCCAGATCCCGCAATAACTGGGAACTATGCAGACCACATCTAGGGTAAATATGCAGCCACAAACACATACCTCATTTGTGTGTAGTAGGAGATAATTCTATTTCCTATTTACCCCTTCTGTTCTCACCCTCAACCCCAGTGGAGAGGATAGGTCTTTAGTAAAAGAGTGGAGACATAATTGGCATAATTAATTAATTACTCTATGAGGTAGAGTCAATATTAATAGGGCTATGTTTTGTTTATCTTTCCCTCTATCAAACATTTTAAGGTTATAAGGCAGTGGTTTTAAGTTGATGAACATGAGACAAATCTGGCTTTTGGGTTGTCTTATTTGGTCTACAGAATATTTATTTAAATGATTCAAAAGCATCTCCAATATTCTAAAGTGAGATAGCTAGGTAGGTAGGTAGATAGGTAGGTAGGTAGATAGATAGATAGATAGATAGATGGATAGATAGATAGATAGATAGATAGACAGACAGATAGATAGGTCCAGATTTGCAATTTCTCTTGAAAAAAAAAAGAGAATATCTCTTAAAAGTGAAACTTTATTCCCACTTGTCAACGATCAAGTAGAACTGAACAGTCAATTCTTTCTAATTTTATCTCTAGTTCATTATACTTCTCCTAAATTTGAGGGTTAATTATATTTATTCTTCCCCAAGGGATAGCATGGACTGCCTGCCTAATTCACCCACATGTTCTGCCTAGACCCTGAAAGCATTAGATATTCTAAGCTTCAGGTAAATCTCCTCCCAGCAACTTGCAGCAGAGACTTTCAGAGTGCTGCCAGAAACAAGATGGAGAGCAGAAGATTAGAAAAACTGAGGAGAATTGAGGGGAAATCACTGGAGTCTAGAAAAAGAGGATGGACTCTGAGCTGCTCACCCGAAGTGGATTTTTATGGACTGATAATTAGATAGGAAATAATAGGTAATACACAGATATTTTTGGACTGATAGAAAACAAGATGAATTGCTCTTCATCTGAATGCCATACATAGATGTAATCATCTACAGCTGTTTTTTTTTCTGAGAATATACATAATATAGACCTACCTAGGATTTATGGAAAGAAAATATTAGATGTAAAATAAAAACAATAATATTTACTCATAAAACTATTGGGATTAAACCCAGCAATAACAATATAACTTATCAACTACACATAACTATGCAATGCTGAATGGCTTGATGATGATGGAGAAGGGTCTATATTAATGGAGCATGCTTCTCAGTTTGGGAGGTTGATTAGATTACCCAGATAAAGTCTTTATATCTTGCTTCTTTGACTCACATTTACTGAACACCTCTTGTTGAAAATAGAGATAAGAGAAAAACCTATTAAGTCATTACTAATCTGACTTGGATCAATTTATCATTATTTCACATATTTATTATGTTTCCTGAGCCCTGAGACCCTGGGGTCTCAAAGAGAGGAAGGACCAACATCTTTGCCCAACAGAGTGGGATGACAGCAAGAGGCTCCAGACAAACCTGGTTCTAGAAACTAATATACAGAAGAAGACAAAGAAAGAAAAAGAAGGAGGGGAAGGTTGGCTGACTTGCCTTTCTCACTTATAATCATAGGGCACTGCCTCACATCTCTCCACAGCATCCTCGCCAATCCATTTTTGGCCACAGGAATTTTGTATATTACCCCATTTACAATGAAAAAGCAGTAATGAGTAGAATAACAGCAACTAATATTTAATGAGATTTTTAGTATGCTAAGCACTTATCTCAATCCTAATACTATCTTTATAAGATCAGTAATGTTTTCACAAATTTATAAATGAGGAAATTGGGAAACAGTTGAATTAAGTAACATATGTAAAATCATGCAGCTGGAAAATGCATAACTAAGATTTGTATGCAGATAATCGGACTCAAAAGTCCAGGAAGATGATTGCCGTGCAGTAATAGCTCTATAACCCCTCTTCTCAGCTGTCTTATAAGACGGAAAACATGGCATGCTGGCGAGCAATTTCCATTTCAAGGCCTGGTATAAAGGCTACTCTCTTGATAAGGCCTTACTGAATTTGCCACATTGAAATTAAACTCTCTCTCCATTGTGGGCCCACAACACTGTATTCCTCTCTAGGGACAAACATGTATTGCCTTTTATTATAAGCACTTATGCATTTTTCTTCTACTGAACTTTTCATGTTGAGAAAAACCCTGGCAGTCATGCTCACTTCTGTCTCTATCTCTTTCTTTTTTAGGTACTCTCTTTTTATTATATTATATTATATTATATTATAATATTTAATTTCATTTAAATATTAAGACTTTTTGTTATAATGTAATCACAAAAAGCATACATTTACATAGCATTTAACAAATTGTTTTCTAATTCAGTAACTCTTCCAGTACTTACACATAATCTACATTTGTGAACTATGTATTATCACCTGTAATTTTCTTTCTTTCTTTTTTTATTTTTTTTTGAGACACAGTCTTGCTTCATCACCAGGCTGGAGTGCAATGGCATGATCTCAGCTCACTGCAACCTCTGCCTCCTGGATTCAAGCAATTTTCCTGCCTCCGCCTCCCAAGTAGCAGGGACTATAGGCACGCACCACCACGCCCAGCTAATTTTTTTGTATTTTTAGTAGAGACAGGGTTTCACCATGTTGGCCAGGATGGTCTCGAGCTCTTGACCTCATGATCCACCTGCCTCAGCCTCCCAAAGTGCTGGGATTAGAGGCGTGAGCCACCATGCCTGGCCTATCACCTGTATTTTTCTAATAAAAATTAAGAGACTCTAAGAAATTACGTTACTGCACCTAATTTAATATTGATTCTTCTAATTTTGAATCCAATGTTCTTTTCAGAGCCTTTTCATGTACTCTCACACTTTGCTCAGTGTCTGTTACAAAAAAGATTCACAGCAATGGTGCAATAAATGAATAAATGAATGGACACATGTCCTAAGAAAAGAAGACACTCTATTGAACATATTTTGTACTGATATGCTAGGTACAAAATATATTTTGCATCGATATGCTAGGTACTCACCTTTTATCCAACGAATAAAATGACTTGTGCAAAGATTGGATCTTTCTAGGTTGCATTATAAGAACAAAACAGCAATAGGAACAACTGATTTGAAACAATAAAGATTAAAGTACACTCTCTCTGAAGAATTTGGAATTCATTTAAACAGAATTTCCAAAGCAAATGATGGAATAGTATATTTACATGATATTTAATTATTTACCATGTTCATGAAAATAAGATCTGTGCTAAAAGAAGAGAAGCCTTTCGAAATTGACAAATGAGATCTAATTAAACTAAAGAGCCTCTGCACAGCAAAAGAAACTACCATCAGAGTGAACAGGCAAACTACAGAATGGGAGAAAATTTTTACAATCTACCTATCTGACAAAGGGCTAATATCCAGAATCTACAAATAACTTAAACAAATTTACAAGAAAATTCAACCCCATCAAAAAGTGGGTGAATGATATGAACAGACACTTCTCAAAACAAGACATTTATGCAGCCAACAGACACATGAAAAAATTCTCATCATCACTGACCATCAGAGAAATGCAAATCAAAACCATAATGAGATACCATCTCACACCAGTTAGAATGGTGATCATTAAAAAGTCAAGAAACAACAGGTGCTGGAGAGGATGTGGAGAAATAGGAACACTTTTACACTGTTGGTGGGACTGTAAACTAGTTCAACCATTGTGGAAGACAATGTGGCAATTCCTCAAGGATCCAGAACTAGAAATATCATTTGACCCAGCCATCCCATTACTGGGTATATGCCCAAAGGATTACAAATCATGCTGCTATAAAGACACATGCAAACGCATGTTTATTTCAGCACTATTCACAATAGCAAAGACTTGGAACCAACCCAAATGTCCATCAATGATAGACTGGATTAAGAAAATGTGGCACATATACACCATGGAATACTATGCAGCCATAAAAAAGGATGAGTTCATGTCCTTTGTAGGAACATGGATGAAACTGGAAACCATCATTCTGAGCAAACTATCGCAAGGACAGAAAACCAAACACTGCATGCTCTCACTCATAGGTGGGAATTGTGAGAATACTTGGACACCGGGTGGGGAACATCACACACCGGGGCCTGTTGTGGGGTTGGGGGAGAGCGGAGGGATAGAATTAGGAGATATACCTAATGTAAATGACCAGTTAATGGGTGCAGCACACCAACGTGGCACATGTATACGTATTTAACAAACCTGCACATTGTGCACATGTACCCTAGAACTTAAAGTATAATAAAAAGTTTTTTAAAAAACAAGAGAAGGCTTTTAATCAGTTAAGAGGGAAATATGGATCAATTCCCTAGAAAACTCACATGAATCTCCCCACAGTTAAAAATTTGGCTTAAATTAAGACAGAAAGACATATCAGAGTACAGGAGATAATTGGTGCTCTACTGTACACAGCAGTCATGGGCTTTCAATAAAACTAAGGACCTCTGTAAAACTGTGAATTGTTTTTGAAAAGTCAACTTAGAGCTGCCTAGCAACTTATCCTTCTCCTCTTTAGTAATATCTTCACCTACACACAGAAGTTGGGTGACCTATCATGTGAGTATATGTTTTCTAGGACAGGTCTGGAGACAACGTAAAAATACTGCTTTCTAACAATTCTAATCCTAAATTTCATAGTCAATGGGAATTTTATATTTCACTAGTTTCAAGGCTTATGCCAATATCTGTGAATCATGAAGAGCTCTGTCTCTTCAGGAGACAGATGTGGGTTCAAGTCCCGGTCAGGCCTTCGTGAGGGCAGAAGCAGCTAGAACACTAGTTACTCGTTACTTCACATGTCTAGTCCTCATTCATCTAATCCTAGTAGTAGCACTGGCCTCATAGAGTTGTTGGGAAGAGTCAATAAATCCACACAATAGACTTAGTCAATGAACCAAATACAGTACCTGACACATAAGAATAATTTCATAAATACCAATTTCTTTGAATATTCTCATTGTCCTTAATGTTATCCCAGAATCTGTTTTTACTCACTTCATTGATTCCCCATTTCTCCTTTCTAATTTCCATTCCGTAAACCACCTTTCTTTGAGTATGAAGAAACTTCTGATAATGACCTGTATGTATTATTTAATATGAGAAAGCCATTTAGAGGCAAAGCAATGAGGGATAAAATAGTAAAGAAAAAAAATAATAGCAAAGTTTATGCCAGAGAAAATCTGGTTTACCAGTTGCTTCTAGGCATCCCAAGTGGCTTTTACTGTGTGTATGGTGAGAGATTGATCTTCAGTTACCGTCTCCGAAATCTGACTTTGGCAGAAGGAAGCAGAAGCTTTTCCTAAGGTAGACTCATGGTAAACAAGTTCACAGAATATACTATAATACCAATATAATACTAATAAAATTATTCTTATGTCATGAAAAATAGTACTGCTGTGGGGACTGGCAGTTATAGTGTCTATGTAGCACATACATTTCCAAAACACACATATTCACACAACACACACATGGGTGCAGACTAGAAAACAGTGAAACCAGAGATTTATGCCAGAATCAAGGCAAGGCGAGTCAGTCATATGATTTAAAAAGTTAATAGCATTAGGCTATGGTAGTCCAATGTACACCTCTCAGTTTGGTATTCAGGCAGAAGGAACTCTTGGACTAAAGTAAACTCTTCTATGAAAAAATTCTCCTGCAAGTATGGCCAATGTTTAACTCTCTATTTTATGTTTTCTCATGTGAATAGCTACCTTCTGAATGATCTATTCTCCGTCTAACCTTGATAATGTAATTGATTAACTCAGTTAACCAATAACCAATCAATTGGTTAACCAATAGAATTGCTCTCTCTCTTGAAAAGCGGGCCTCAAAAAGAAGTTGACTGCTAAGTACATTTTGCATTTATCTGATTTCATCTATTATAGGTTGGTTTATTGCTAACTATTCAGGGATTTTATGGCTGTTTGCTATTTTATATATGTAGCTATCTTTGCACATATATAAATGATTATCATATAAAATCTACATTACCTTTTTTAAAAGTATGTAATGTAAGTATGTGTATATCAAATGATTTGTGTAGGGCCTTTTGCTGATTAATTTATTAATGCTTACTGAGATTGCACAGTTATTTTGGAAGGTAAAT